>NC_000003.12:10010000-11260000 GCF_000001405.40 Homo sapiens | reverse complement strand
ATAGTCCCTGCTACTCCCCTCTGCCGCAGCCTGCATGTGCACAATATCAAGTGGAAAGCAGTAGAGTTTGTCTACTTCTCTATCATCCTCTTGGCTGAAGACAACTGGGGATTTCATCTCCTTGGGGGTTTGGGATGGTGACTTCAAGACAGATCCACCACCAGCATCTTTTGGCTTCCTTTTCAGAACCTCCCAGGGAGACTCCTTCCCTGGTTTCTTGGCATCCCCCTTGGGGTTCTCTGGCCTCAGCTTAATTTCTGAGAAGGAAGGGAGGGACCTATTGATGAGCTCCCGGTGCTGGCAGTGTTGTCGTACGGCCTTGTAGATCTTGGCATAGAACCAGAGCATGAGCAAGGTGGGCAGGTAGAAGTTGATGATGGCAGTCATGACCTTGAACCAGGTGACATCATAGAAGTCTGTCTCACACTTGTCCTCTCGGCGCACCGAGGTCTGCTGCATGAAGTGATTCCAGCCTAGAATGGGAATAACCCACAGAAAAGAGAGAAACCAGGCCCCCAGAATGGTGGCCGAGGCTCGGGTCTTGGTACGATACTTAAGGTACCTGAGGGGCTGCTGGACAGAGCGGTAGCGATCAATGCACAGGATGAAGACACTGAAAATGGACGCTGTGCTGGCCACATAGTCCATGGAAAGCCAAAAGAGGCAGAGAGGACGGCCCAGTGACCACTTGGACATGAGCAGGTAGAGGATGTTCATAGGCATGACGACGGCACCCACGATCAAGTCCGCCACCGAGAGGCTGACGATGTACAGGTTCCCCACAGTGTGGAGCTTCCGCTCACTCCGTACGGCATACAGCACCAGCAGGTTGAGCCCTACTGTGACCAAGCAGATAGTGCTCAGGACCACCACCAGGGGCATCAGCTGGGGGCTGGCCATAGTGGTCTTGTTGCCCTCACACATCTTGTCTTCTAAGAGGCAGGAGGAATTGGGGAGGCTCATTGGCGCAAGAGCAGCCACCAGTTATGGCTCACTCCCTGGGAGAAAAGAGAGAAAAAGTAAGGTCAGAGACTTGGGTGATGAGTGGCCACTTAGTAGCATGATGTTCATCAGACTGGAGTTGTATGCTGTTGGGGGTGATCAACACTGCTGGTTACCTACTCAATAGCCATGTACCCTTTTCCTTATTCATGCATTCATTTGCTCACTTAACAACTATTTATTGAATTTCTGTCACTCTTCTAGGTGTTGAGAATATAGCTGTGAACAAAATAGACAAAAATGTTTGCCCCTATGGAATGTGCATTCTAGTGAGAGAGTTGGGCAGAAGCAAGACAAATGTGTTTGTAGAAATCTAATTCCGCACATGTTCTGGGAAGGTGGGCTGCATCCTCATGTGTCTAAGCAGAATATAGCAATCCAGTTCCTCTTTACAGTGGCAGATAGAGGAGTGACCATGAGATACCACCATGGCCAAGGAATAGGATGAGGATGTCAAACAGCAGAGGCGGAGTTTTTAGGAACGTTCTTCCTCTCTGACAAATGATCAAAACAACAAAAATTGTTGTTGCTCACTTGCCTCTTTCTCCCTGACAGGATGTGAGGAAGTGATGTTTGAGGCCATGAGAGTCATCTTGGGACCATCGGGAAGGCCAAGAAAATGCCAGCCTAGGGCCTTGCTGTCACTAAGCTGCTGAGCCAACTCTGGAATCTTCTTCTCCCAGACTTATTATTATGGGAAATAATTAAATGGGCTTTGTTTTGCTTGGCTTTGCTTTTTTTTTTTTTTTTTTTTTTGGCTTACATCACTGTTGTGGCAGTTCTTACTTGCAGCTGAGACCATCCCTAAATGATATGGAGGAGGTTATAAGGGGACACACCAGAGGCACATAAAGCATGAAATAAATCTAGCATATCTTTTTAGAGGAAAATTCTCAAGTGAGAAGGGGATTATGTTATTGGAAAAGCATATTCGTTATTTTACTTTTCTATTTGAAAAACAAACAATTTTTTTAAATTACATAAATCATGCCAAGTAATATGTAACAAGACCCTTGCTAGTAGGCTGGAAATGGTGGCTCACACCCATAATCCCAGCATTTTGGGAGTCTGAGGTGGGAGGATTGCTTGAGGGCAAGAGTTAAAGGTGGAATGATCACTTGAGGCCAAGACTTGCAGCCTGGGCAACACAGTGGAATCCTGTCTTTACAATGAAATTTTTTAAAAATTGTCCTATAATACACCTATAGTCCTAGCTACTCAGGAGGCTGCAGTCAGCTATGATCACATCACTGCACTCCAGCTTGGGTGACAGGGCAAGATCCTGTATCTGAAAAATAAAAATGAAAACCCTTTGCTACTAAGGCTCTACTGAAAACGGACTGTATCCTCTGTTATTGGTGATACTCAAGTCGGGTGGTTGGGTGAAAGTAAGTATTAAATCTTCTGGAAGGAGTTTTTAAGATTTTTTTTTTTTTTTTGAGATGGAGTCTCACTCTGTCACCCAGACTGGAGTGCAATGGCACCATCTTGGCTCACTACAATCTCCAGCTCCCAAATTCAAGTGATTCTCCTGCCTCAGCCTCCTGAGTAGCTGGGATTACAGGAGTGTGCCACCACACCCGGCTATTTTTTTTGTATTTTTTTAGTAGAGACGGGGTTTCACCATGTTGGTCAGGCTGGACTTGAACTCCTGACCTCAGGTGATCCACCCACGCTGGACTCCCAAAGTGCTGGGATTACAGGCATGAGGCACCACGCCCAGCCATTTTTTTTTTTTTTTTTTTTAGGACAGAGTCTCACTCTGTCGCCCAGGCTGGAGTGCAGTGGCACCATCTCAGCTCACTGCAACCTCTGCTTTCTGGGTTCAAGTGATTCTCATGCCTTAGCCTCCCGAGTAGCTACAATTACAGGCACCCACCACCACGCCCAGCTAATTTTTGTATTTTTAGTAGAGAAGGGGTTTCACCATGTTGGTCAGGCTGATCTTGAACTCCTGACCTCAGATGATCCGCCCACCTTGGCCTCCCAAAGTGCTGAGATTACAGGTGTGAGCCACTGCGCCCGGCCAAGTTTTTAGATTTTCATATTCATCAAAAAGTGGTGAGTTTAAAGAAAACTGATAAACACTAATAAATAGTAAATTTCTCTCAATAATTTAGCAAAAAGAAATTATTTTTACATTAAGACAAAGCCAGATAAGTTCTTGAGTAGAAGGCTAAATTTATTTATTTATTTATTTAGAGACGGAGTCTCGCTCTGTCGCCAGACTGGAGTGCAATGGCGCGATCTCGGTTCACTGCAACCTCTGCCTCCCAGGTTCAAGTAATTCTCCTGCCTCAGCCTCCTGAGTAGCTGGGATTACATGCGCCCACCACCACGCCCAGCTAATTTTTGTATTTTTAGTAGAGATGGGGTTTCACCATATCAGCCAGGATCCTTTTGATCTCCTGACCTCATGATCCACCCACCTCAGCCTCCCAAAGTGCTGGGATTATAGGTGTGAGCCACCGTGCCTGGCCTGTAGAAGGCTAAATTTATATAACTTTTTAAGATAAAAATCAAAACCCCAAGGTGTTTGATCCTTGTGGAAGGAACCTTTTAAATGTCTTTGTTGGAAAAACACCATTTTGGGCAGCACTGATTTTGCCCAAGCTCTACCATTTATTTTCTCAGTGATCTCTTGGCCTCCATCTTCTCATGTGTCAAATGGGTAGGGTGGGATAGACAATCTCTAAAGACTTTTCCAGGTCTCTTTCTTACAGCGGTATTTTTTGATGTCCTCCAGCTCTGAGGTGCCAATCAGAGCAATCCTCTGATTGCTGATGGGGCCTCCTCTGACTTCTTCAAAAGCATCACTGTCTCCTTGGGTGACCCAAAGTCCTGCCCTATGCTCCTGTCACTCTGTGCTGTCGGCCTCGGGGATCTCATCCTCTCACTTACCTACCCCTCAGCCATCACCTCCTATGAGGACAACACTCAAACCCACAGCTCCAGCCTGTATTTTTCTCCATTCCCACATCTAATACCTTGCAGCTTCACCTTCTGCCCTGATCAAGTCCAAACCCTGTGGAATTGTCCACAGTCACTTCTGGAAGGAAGAAAGTAGGCTGTGAAAGGAAAATAACTTGGGGCCCCAAAATCACTTAAGGTAAAGGGAAAAGTCAAGTTGGGAACTGCTTAGGGCAAACCCGCCTCCCATTCTGTTCGAAGTCAGACCTCTGCTCACTGAGATAAATGCATATCTGATTGCCTCTTTTGGAGAGGCTAATCAGAAACTCAAAAGAATGCAACCATCTGTCTCTTATCTTCCTAAGACCTGGAAGCCTCCTCCCGGCTTCCAGTTGTCCTGCCTTTCCCAGACCTAAGGAATGTTCATCTTGCATATATTGATTGATGTCTCATGTCTCCCTAGAATGTATAAAACCAAACTGTGCTCTGACCACTTTGGGCACATCGTCAGGACCTCCTGTTGCTGTGTCATGGGTGTGCGTCCTCAACCTTGGCAAAATAAACTTTCCAAATTAACTGAGACCTATCTCAGATTTTCGGGGTTCATAAGGCTAAGGAAGTATTGTCTCAGGGATTTTTATTTTTTACTGTTTTGCTCGGAAGGAAGCAGGAAGTAGTTCCCCTAAACACTTCCCCAGCTTGGCATTCTCAAGGTGGCTCTCAGCTCCCTGGCCTCCAGAGGTGTCTCCTTTTTCTCTTTTCCTCATTGTCTGGCACATAGAGGGGAGAGAAACCATTTTTTATTTTACGTTATTTTTTATTTTTTAATTTTAATTTTAATTTGAGACGGAGTTTCACTCTCATTGCCCAAGCTGGAGTGCAATGGCGTGATCTCAGCTCACTGCAGCCTCCTGTCAGAGATGATAAATTCCTCTTCAAAAAGGTTTAGTTCTCTGTTCTTTGTTTCTTAAGACCAACTTCCTTGTACATCCTTGTCTCCTAGCTACCTGTTCTGTAAACAGCCTTCCTGCCTTCGCCAGGCCCAGACAAGTCCAGATATGCCTTCCCACCTAGTAACGGATAGTTCCTCTTCCTTCCCACCTAATAGACCCTATTCAATTTTAAATCTTAGCCAATCGAATTAGCTTAGATTGTGAAGTCCAACCCCAGCCAATGCGGAAAGGACACAGAAGTGCTAGGAACTGCATTAGGGATTAAAAACCCCTGCCCTACCCTGCTTGGTGTGCTCTTGCGATTGTGACTAGCACAAGCTGCACCCTTCTGCAGAAGTAAATTTGCCTTGCTGAGGAATTTTCTGCCTATGTGCTGTTTTTCTTTGTGGCACCAGGCACTTGTTTCTAACAAACTTGGGGGTTCATCTGGGATTCCCATTCTCCTCCGGGGAGGGTCTCAGATCATTTCTCGTGAGGAGACGCAGCCCGCTGCTTTGTTGCGGTGGCCTCAAGGGTAAGGGATCGAGACCCACCTGGTGTGATGAATAAACCTGGACTCTAGCAATGAGGGAAGAAAAGGCAGACAGATACTGTGGCGACCAGGTAACTCTGTGCATAGACCAAGGTAAGAAAAACCTTGGGGGCAGTGAAGTATTTCCTTGGTGGTCAGGACATCCTGGAGGTTGAAAGTGTGTGAGTAAGACACACAATTGAGTGCAGAGCAAGTGCAGAGTCCGGATCTGGTTCTGTAGTCACCTCATATGGCTTAAAGGCAGCTTGCCTGTTGTGGGGTTTATACCAACCTGCCTATGCTAAGAGGGACTTGAAAATTTCCGCAAGAGAAGCATATGGAGAAGGATAAAGCAAAAGCTGAAGAGTGTGAAAAATCTCTAGTAGGAGAGGTTGAGCCCCACAGACTCACTAGGGTGCAAGAAATCTCTAGTAAGAGAGATTGAGCCCCATGGACTCAGGGAAAAACTCTTTCTCCAGGATGGGAAATACAGCAAGTAAGACAAAAGATAGGAAATATCATGATCATGATAATATACCCTCTGATAGTCCCCTAGGCCTAACGTTAGAATATTGGAAGGATAATGGAAGGACCAAACACAAGAAAAAGCAGCAAATGATAAAAAACTGCTGTTTTGTTTGGACTGAAGAACCTTCCTCTCCCCCAAGCAGCTGCCACCACAGACCCTTCCCCTAAACCTAAAAAAGGAGCTTAAACCACTCTTAGATGACCCTTATGGAGTGGCAGATCAGATCGATCAGTTTTAGGACCCCAGATATATACTTTAGACGAGTTAATGTCTATCTTAGACATCTTATTCTCAGGAGAAGAAAGGAGCATGATACAAAGGGCTGCTATGACCATTCGGGAACGTGAACATCCTCCCGGTCAGAACGTTCCAGCGGCTGAACATAATTCCCAGCCCAGGATCCTCAATGAGATAACAACAATATAGCCCATCAAGGAAATATGAGAGACCTTAGGGAGATGGTAATAAAAGGAATTTGAGAATTAGTGCCCCGCACCCAAAATCTTACCAAGGCCTTTAATATAAAACAGGGAAAAGATGAGGGACCGACAGAATTTTTAGAAAGGCTTAAAGAGCAAATGAGAAAAATACGCTGGCCTAGAATCAGAAGACCCCCTCGGACAAGGAATGTTAAAGCTCCACTTTGTCACCAATAGCTGGCGAGATATTACTAAGAAATCACAGAACAAATGTTTCAAATGTGGAAAAATAGGTCATTTTGAAAGACAATGTCCCAAATGGGAAAAAGAAGAAAAAGTCATCCCACTTACAGCTTTTGAAGAAGACTAGGGAGGTCAGGGGCTCCATCTTTGTCTCTTGAGTCCCACCAACAGCCCTTGGTAAATTTAGAAGTGGGACCTAAACCTAAGCTTATTACCTTTTTAATCGAGTCAGAAGCAGCTCACTCCTCAGTCTGTTATCTTCCATCTAGTGTAACTTGTTCACAAGAAAAACTTTTTATCTCTGGAGTAAAAGGAGAAGGATTTAGAGCAAAAATCTTAGAGGAGACAAAAGTGAAATATGAAAACTGATCAGCTAGCAGCAAATTTCTGTTAATTCCAGAAGCAGGGACAAATCTATTAGGAAGTGATTTAATACTAAAATTAGGCTTAGGCCTCCAAATCAATCACGGAAAATTCCTCCCCTCCCCTCCCTAATCTTGCTCACCACCGCAGACGAAGAACACATTTATCCCGAGGTATGGTCAAAAGATGGGATCAAGGAAAGTTACAGATTTCTCTGATTCATGTTAAATTTAAAACCCCTGGGGAAGTAGTAAAGAGAAAGCAATACCCTATTCCTTTAGAAGCCAGGGTAAATTTAAAACCTGTAATTGAAGGTCTTCTCCATGATGGGCTTCTTAAATCCTGTATGTCTCCCTGTAACACTCCAATACTGCCTTTAAAGAAGCCAGACAGGTCATACTGGTTAGTGCAAGACCTTAGAGCTATTAATCAGATAGTACAGTAATAGATTTAAATGATGCCTTCTGGGCTTGTCCATTAGCAGAGGGCAGCCAGGACCTACTTGCCTTTGAGTGGAAAGACCCTCACTCCGGTTGAAAACAGCAATACTGATGGACAGTCTTACCCCGGGGGTTTACGGAGTCTCCATATTTACTTAGTCAAATATTAGAACAAGTCCTAGAGAAATTTTCCCTGCCCTCGTGCATATGTCCCCTCCAGTACATGGATGATCTTCTAATTTCAGGAGATGATAGAAAAGAAGTAGCAGCTTTCTCAACCCATGTCTTAAATTTTCTGTGGGATGAAGGGTTAACGGCCTCGAAAAACAAACTCCAATTTGTAGAACCTGAAGTAAAATATTTAGGGCATTTAATTACAAAGGCAAATGGAAAATTGGGCTTGAATGGATTGAAGGAGGATTAGTCAGATACTGCCGTCTATGGATAGACTCTTATGCCCTAGAAACAGAACTCTCATACAAAAAGCTCACACAAGACGAGCCAGACCCCATCATTTGGCAATTACCAGAAATCCAAAAGGTAGAAAGGTTAAAACATCTATTAGTAACTGCCCCTGTCCTAGCTTTACCCTCCCTAAGCAGCCATTCCATCTTTTCGTCAATGTAAACAAGGGCGTAGCCTTGGGAGTACTTACCCAAAAGCACGGAGGCCACTCCCAACCCGTAGGCTTCCTGTCAAAAATTCTTAACCCAGTAACCCATGGATGGTCCAAATGCATTCAATCTGTAGCGGCAACTACTTTGCTAACAGAAGAAAGTAGAAAAATAACTTTTGGAGGAAACCCCATTGTGAGCACACCTCACCAGAACAGAACTATCCTAAATCAGAAGGCAGAAAGGTTGCTTACTGACTCAAGAATTTTAAAATACAAGGCTATCTTGTTAGAAAAAGATGATTTAATCCGAACTACAGATGATTCACTTAACCCTGCTGCCTTCTTAACAGGAAATTCAAACGCAGAAAAAAACCCATGCCCCAGACCAGAAGAACTTGGGCATAGATGTTTAGATAAACTCCCTTTCAAACCGGAAGACACCTTTTTGTAGATGGTTCTTCTCAAGTAATAAAAGGGAAAAGGCATAACAGGTACTCAGCAGTAGACGGAGACACCCTACCTAATGACTGGTCTGAGCAAACATGTGAGTTGTTTACACTAAATCAAGCCTTAAAATTTCTGCAAAACCAGGAAGGAACTATTTATACTGACTCCACGTATGCCTTTGGAGTAGTCCACACCTTTGGGAAAATTTGGGCAGAGCGAGGCCTTATTAACAGTAAAGGCCAAAACTTAGTCCATAGAGACTTGATAATCCAAGTACTAGAGAACTTACAGCCGCCAGAAGAGACAGCAGTTGTTCATGTTCCAGGTCACTAGAAGAATCTTTCCTTTGAGAGCTGAGGGAATAATCTAGCTGACCAAGTGGCTAAACATGTTGCCTCTTCTCAAGCAGCACCCATTTTCCACCTAACCCCTTATCTTCCCCCTCCAGCTACAGTCCCTGTTTTCTCCCCCAGAGAAAAAGAAAAGTTAAAAGAAATAGGAGCCAAAGAAAGTCACGAGGGAAGATGGGTACAACCAGACAAGAAGGAAATGCTGTCTAAGCCCTTCATGCGAGAGGTATTGTCACAGCTACATCAAGGAACTCACTGGGGCCCCCAAGCTATGTGTGATGCAGTCCTCAGAGTTTATGGATGCGTAGGAATTTATACCCTTGCTAGACAAGTTGCAGATCGTTTCAGAGTGCGCAGAAAAACCAACAAACAACCTAAAGAAAATGGGAGTACCACATGCCGTGCATCCACCCTCATCAGGGAGAGTCGAAAGGCCTATTGCCCTGTTGAGAGTCCGAACTGCTCCCTGAAAAAACATAGGTCTACCCCCTTATGAGATGCTTTTTAGATTGCCTTATCTACATTCTACTACTGATCTTCCCACATTCGAAACAAAAGATCAGTTTCTTAGAAACTATGTGTTAGGTCTATCTTCTACCCTTTCCTCCCTCAGGACTCAAGGCCTCCTAGCACAAACTCCACCCATTGAATTACCAGTTCATCAACACCAGCCTGGAGATCACATCCTTATCAGAAGTTGGAAAGAGGGAAAGCTCGAACCCACTTGGGAAGGACCATACCTAGTGCTCCTCACAACTGAGACAGCAGTCCGGACCGTTGAGAGAGGATGGACGCATCATACCCGGGTACCCCTCTCCAAAGTACCTACCCCCGAAAATGTAACGTTAAAGAGAAAAGCGGCCGGGCGCGGTGGCTCACGCCTGTAATCCCAGCACTTTGGGAGGCCGAGACGGACGGATCACGAGGTCAGGAGATCGTGACCATCCTGGCTAATATGGTGAAACCCCGTCTCCACTAAAAATACAAAAAAAAAAAAAAAAAAAAAAAATTAGCCGGGTGTGGTGGCGGCGCCTATAGTCCCAGCTACTCGGGAGGCTGAGGCAGGAGAATGGCGTGAACGCGGGAGTCGGAGCCTGCAGTGAGCGGAGATCGCGCCACTGCACTCCAGCCTGGGCGGCAGAGCGAGACTCCGTCTCAAAAAAAAAAAAAAAAAAAAAAAAAAGAGAAAAGCTTAATCTGCCTCTTCCTCCTTTTCCTCTTTACCCCAGCTACCCCACATCTTATTATTAATGTTACTAAGTCTAACTCACCTCAAACTATCACTTTCTATGCTTGTCTTGTTATACCCTGTGGAGATCTGCAGGGTCAAAGACAACTCTACTTCAGAAAAGTATCTTTGTCCTTCCTGGCTCTCCTCAGACTGGAAATCTGTTAACCGGGATCAATTAGTCTGGGAAGATTTTAACGGAGATTCCGTTAATTGGGAAACTTGTCCTCCTAAAGCAGAGCCTCAGCATCTCTGCCACAGTTGGTCCAATGTTCTATTGACAACCAAAAACCAGGGATGGACTGCCACAACGAATAGTTGTATATTCCTGAAACCATACATTTGTTTCACTAAAGGGAGTACTCCTCCCAATTGCCAATATAACCAGTGTAATCCTGTACAAATTTCCATTACTATCCCAGCTTCCCAAGGTTCTTACCCTTCCTTGAGCCATTTTTATGGTAGGAGCAGAAGTCTCAGGGACAGACCCTATAGGATATTTCACAATGTGCTTCATTGCTCCTCCACCTCCTTCACCCCCTTCTCCCTCTCCTCCTAAATCCTCTTTTTTTTTTTTTTTTTTTTTTGAGACAGAGTCTCACTTTGTCACCCAGGCTGGAGTGCAGTGGCGCGATCTCGGCTCACTGCAAGCTCTGCCTCCCGAGTTCACGCCATTCTCCTGCTTCAGCCTCCCGAGTAGCTGGGACTACAGGCACCTGCCACCATGCCCAGCTAATTTTTTTTATTTTTTATTTTTAGTAGAGACGGGGTTTCACTGTGTTATCCAGGATGGTCTGGATCTCCTGACCTCGTGATCCACCTGCCTTGGCCTCCCAAAGTGCTGGGATTACAGGCATGAGCCACCGCGCCCAGCCCTAAACCCTCTTCTAACCAAACCTTTTCTCACTTCATACCCAATGATAAAACTAAAGTTACCATTATAGAAGTTAAAGATTTAAAGCAAACTCTAGCTATTGAAACAGGATATCAAGATCCAAATGCCTGGTTGGAAGGGATTAAATATTCCATCCGCAAGCTAAATAAAAGCGACTGTTAGGCTTGTGCGACAGGTAGGCCAGAAACCCAAATTGTCCCCTTCCCACTTGGATGGTCATCTGACCAACGAGGCATGAGCTGTGTGATAGCTCTCTTCCAGAACCCCACAGCCTGGTGTAATGAGTCATGCAAGATTCTTCCACTGCTGTTCCCTGAAGTCAAAAGCCCTGCGGGTCAGCCCTTGAGGGCCATCCAGCCTGCAGCCCCTGATGTTAACTTCACCTCTTGCCTTTCATGGCAGGGGGAGAAGTTAGCATTCCTTGGAGACCTAACAGGGTGCAGTGAAACCAAGCCTTTTCAAGAGCTTACCAATCAGTATGCCCTTGTTCATTCCGGAGCAGATGTGTGGTGATATTGTGGGGGACTATCGCTGGGTACTCTGCCAAGTACCTGGAGCAGCACTTGTGCTGTAATTCAGTTGGCTATCCCTCTCACCTTGGCATTTCATCGACCAAGAAAGCTGAAGACAGAATATTGTAAAAAGAGACACGTCCCTCCTGGATCCTTTGATCCTCATGTTTATATAGATGCTATCGGAGTACCATGAGGGGTACCAGATGAATTCAAAGCCCAAAATCAAACAGCTGCAGGCTTCAAATTTATATTGTTCTGGTGGTCAACTGTAAACAAGAATGTAGCTTGAATAAATTATATCTATTATAATCAACAACACTTTGTTAATTTTACTAGAGATGCAATTAAAGGAACAGTTGAACAATTAGGCCTTACCAGCCAAATAGCCTGGGAAAAACAGAATAGCCCTTGACGTGATATTAGCTGAAAAAGGCGGAGTTTGTGTCACGATTGGAGTCCAATGTTGTACTTTTATTCCTAATAACACCGCCCCCGATGGAACAATAACAAAAGCCTTACAAGGCCTTACCTCCTTATCAAATAAATGAGTTAGCTAAAAATTCTAGAATAGATGACCCCTTTACAACCCTCATGGAGAAATGGTTCGGGAAATGGAAAGGAATTATGACCTCAATATTCACCTCCCTTATAATCGTTATAGGTGTGCTCATTCTTGTAGGATGCTGTATCATACCCTGTATTTGCGGTTTAGTGCAAAGACTTATAGAAACAGCGCTCACCAAAACCTCCCTTAGTTCCCCCCCACCTTATTCAGATAAACTCTTCCTTCTTGACACCCAAGAACAACAACAGAGCCTAGATATGCTAAGGCATTTTGAAGAGGAAAAACTATAAAATCAAGAGGGGGAAATTGTCAGAGATGATAAATTCTTCTTCGAAAAGCTTTAGTTCCCTGTTCTTTGTTTCTTAGACCAACTTCCTTATACTTCCTTGTCTCCTAGCTACCTGTTCGGTAAACAACCTTCCCGCCTTTGCCACGTCCAGACAAATCCAGATATGCCTTCCCACCTAGTAAGGGACAGTCCCTCTTCCTTCCCGCCTAATAGACCCTATTCAATTTTAAACCTTAGCCAATCGAATTAGCTTAGATTGGGAGGGCCAACCTTAGCCAATGAGGAAAGGACACAGAAGTGCTAGGAACTGCATTAGGGATAAAAACCCCTGCCCTACCCTGCTCAGTGTGCTCTTGCGATCGTGACTGGTGCAAGCTGCATCCTCCTGCAGAAGGAAATTTGCCTTGCTGAGGAATTTTCTGCCTACGTGCTGTTTTTCTTTGCGGCACCAGGCACTTGTTTCTAACACTCTGTCTCCTGGGTTCAAGCAATTCTCCTGCCTCGGCCTCCCAAGTAGCTGGGATTACAGGCATGCACCACCACACCTGGCCAATTTTGTATTTTTAGTAGAGATGGTGTTTCACCATATTGGTTAGGCTGGTCTCGAACTCCTGACCTCAGTGATCCACCTGCCTCAGCCTCCCAAAGTACTAGGATTATAGGCATGAGCCACTGTGCCCATCAGAGAAAACATTTTTTAAAAATTATGTATATACTATTTATCATCTAACAATTATATTTGACAGAAAATGATTCAAGCAATCCTCCCACCTCAGCCTCCTGAGTAGCTGGGAGGGACCACAGGCACGCACCACCATGCCTGGGTAATTTTTTGTATTTTCTGTAGAGAGAGGGTCTCACTGTATTGCCCAGACTGGTCTCAAACTCCTGGGCTCAAGCCATCTGCCCTCCTAAGCCTCCCAAAGTGCTGGGATTACAGGTGGGTGAGTCACCGTGCCCAGCCATGATTTGTTTTTATTTAAAAAAATCTGTATTTTTCCTTTTTGTTTAAAGAAAGAAAAGTTATGATTGAATTGTCATCACTGAACTAAAAATTACTGTAGCATTTTAAACATTTAGGGGTGAAATCTAACAATGTCTGCAATGTACTGTGAAATGAATAAAAAAATAGCTTGAATGGATAGTTCTCGTCAGTGAGATGACTAATGTAAGGTGCTTTTCCCTCCCTTCGGGACCTGTATTTTGAAAAATCTGGTCCCTGAGGTTTTCCTTGCATAAATTCCAAAGAAAAGTCAGATACTATGGCCAAGAGTGTGGGAGATATTTGGGGACATGGATCCCATGTCACTACACGCCACTCAGGAGATCCCGCTGGGTCTGAGGTGCCCTCTCTGAGGATAAAGCCATGCCTATGGAAACAGTGCTGGACAGAGGGTGTGCTCTGGGCAGAGAGAATAAAAGCTAAAGGAGCCATGTGAGATGAGGGCTTGTCTGCAAGGAAGGCAGTCACCTGTAGGTTCTCCCTAGCTCTGTGTCCTCAGAGTAGCAGCCTAGGGAGAGCTCTAGAGGCAGGAGCTGAGTCCTCACCCTTGCTCCGCTGCTTGCTGGGCTGTATGAGTGTGTGTGAATGTGTGAGTGAATGTGTATGTGCATGTGTGTTTGTGTGTGTGAGTGTGAATGTGTGTGATTGTGTGTGAGAGTCTGTGTGTATGTGTGTGAATGTGTGAGTGTGTGTATGAGTGTGAGTGTATGTGTGTATGTGTAAGTGTGTGTGTGGTTTTTGAGTACATGAGTGTGTGTGTATGAGTATGTATGAGTGAGTGTGAGTGTGTATGTGTGAGTGTCTAAGAGTGTGTGTGTGAGAGCATGTGCACCTTGAGTAAACAGTTCGGGGTGCCAGTTTACTCACCTTTAAAGTAGGGAGACTAGTAAGCCCTCCTGCCTGGGCCATTGGGAGGATCAATTGAGACAGGGAAGTGGGAAAGCTCTGCGATTACTTGGTAAAAAGCAGAAATGGACCCATCTTCTCTAAGAGTGCACAAGCAAACCATCATTTTTGAATTAAGGCAATGACTCCATTCTGAAACCATTAGGTGGGGAGGGGCTTTTACTAGAGTGATTACAGTCTAATCCCATCAGGCCCATGTGCCAGCAAACAACCCAGTCAGCGCTCCTTGCACATCCTGCGACACCAATGGGGGCAGCTGAAACAGTAAGGAGCCAAGCTTCTCACACATCAGTTACTAAATGCCCGCAAGCCCAAGAGGCATATCTGGGCGGAGAGGAGGAAATGGTCAGCTCAAGCTCAGGAGGTGAAGCATCTTACTCAAGGTCACGCAGCTGGGAAGTGGTTGCTAAGTTAAGATTTGAACGTAGGTCTATCTAACTCAGGGTTTCTCTATTTTTTTTTTTTAGATGAAGTCTCGTTCAGTCACCTAGGCTGGAGTGCAGTGGCATGATCTCAGCTCCCTGCAACCTCTGCCTCCCGGGTTCAAGTGATTCCCCTGCCTCGGCCTCCTGAGTGCCTGGGACTACAGGTGTGCAGCACCATACCCGGCTAATTTTTGTATTTTTAGTAGAGACGGGGTTTTGCTATGTTGGCCAGGGTGGTCTGAAACTCCAGGCCTCAAGTGATCTGCCTGCCTCGGTCTCCCAAAGTGCTGGGATTACAGGCATTAGCCACCACACCTGGCCCTAACTCAGGGTTTCTTAACCTTGGTCCTACCATTGACATTTGGGCTGCATGACTCTTCATTGTGGGGAGCTGTCGTGTGTACTGGGTGATGACATTTACCATTATCCCTAGCCTCCACTCACTTGATGCCAGTAGCTGCAAGCCCCCAGTCATGACAACCCAAAATGTTACCAGACACTGCCAGGTATCCCCTGGGGGATAGAACCACTGATCCAACTGAAGAACATGCACCCTGAACTACTACACTCCATTCCCACCCAAGAGTGCAGCTTTCAGCTCGAAGTAAGGCAGAACTTTCTAAAAAAGATGTTATCCAACAATGCAACAAGTTACCTTGAGAAAGACAGTAAGCTCCCCAACATGGGAAGCATGAAAGAAGAGGCAACCTGGATCTGATTCCAAATTAGAAATACTCCAAACTTCCTCAAGGGCAATGCAATTATTTACCTAAATAAAGCTCAGCAACGTTGGTTTTAGATAAAGCACCTAGTACAGTGTCTGGCATACATGAGGTGCTCAATTAATAGCAGTGGTTGTGTTTTCTTCCATTTCTTGGTGAGCACCACCATCCTGTACCTGGCCCATTCAGGATCAGAGGACTCATCCTTGACCTTTCCTTGTTTTTCACTGTGGTGGAAGCTGCTAATAGTCTCCTCTCATGTCTAAGACTAGAACTCTGCTTCTCAGCTGAGTATACAGCTGCCTGGAATAGAAACTACATTTCCCAGACTCCTTTGTAGCTGGGTGTGACCATGTGACTAAATTCCAATGGAATGTAAATGCAAGTGTTGTTTGCAACTTCCAGAAAACAGCCTTAAAATAAAGGTGTGTACTTTTCTTTGGCCTTTCATTCTTCTAGCTGGCTGGATTGTGGATATGATGAGTAGTGCTTAAGCAGCCATCTTGGGACCATAAGGAAAAGCCACACAATTAGGAAAGTGAAGCAGCCATCGGGACAGACTTGAGGTCCCTGATGATCATGGGGCTGCCATATCAGCGAGGACTGCCCACCTCTGGACCTCACGTCTATTTCATGGAAGCCATTGTTAGCTAGTGTTTTCTATCACATACAGCCAACTCGAATCCTAATTGATACACTGTCCCTGACTTCAAAGAGTTGATAAATTAGCATGCGAAGAAATACACAAGATAAACAGCATCAAAACAATTAAATTAAAAACCCTAGAATTCAGCTGGGACAAACGTGGTGACTGGTATAAGATCAAGGCAGGTAGCTGGACAGCAGAGGGAAGAACTGCCTCTCTCAAGGCAAAATGCGGACGTCAGAAAGGACATCAGAGAAGAAGTGATATGCAAGCCAGGCTTTGAAGGATGGGTGGAATTTCTCCAGCAGGAAGAAAGAGGTATTTAAGGCTCAGTAGAAGAAAGACTCAAAGTACACAGCTGAGTTTGAGGAATTGGGAGGAGTCATTGGAAGTGCCTAGAGCACAGAACGATGAGTCTGGAAGCACACGCTGGGGCCAAGGTGTAAGTAAGCTTCTTTACACGTTGATGCCATTTCCCTGCCTGGAACATTCTTTTGCCTTGAAACTCTTACTTGTTCCTTTCTCTTGGTATCCTCAACTTCTAACATGCTCCTCTTTTATCAACTTTCTTGTGGGATTATCATTCTTTAGCTGATTCTCCTCCAACTAAATGGGGAGCAACTCCAGGGCATGGAGGATGTCCACTATTTCTGTCTCTGAAGTGCAACACCATGGGGACATCCCATTCGCTGACAGCAGGGACCCTGCATTTTCGCTTGCCATCATTTCTCCTGAGCCTGGCACCAGGCTGGCACATGATAGGTGCTCAACAGAGGTTTACTGGATGAGCCCTGAAAAAACAAGACCCAGGGTCGGGCGCAGGGGCTCACACCTGTAATCCCAGCACTTTGGGAGGCCAAAGCAGGTGGATTGCCTGAGGTCAGCAGTTTGAGACCAGCCTGGCCAGCATTGCGAAACCCCGTCTCCACTAAAAATACAAAAATTAGCCAGGCGTGGTGGCAGGCACCTGTAGTCCCAGCTACTGGGGAGGGTGAGGCAGGAGAATCACTTGAACCCAGGAGGCAGAGGTTGCAGTGAGCCAAGATCATGCCACTGCACTCCAGCCTGGTGACAGAGCAAGACTCCATCTAAAAAAAGGAAAAAAAAAAGAGAGACCCAAACCAATACAGAACAGCAGAAGCCAGGGGAGATGTACTAAGTGCAGAAAGTGTAAGCATAATTTTCAAAAGAAGTTCAGACTTAAAGAAGTTTGAGGTAGGATTTATCCCATTGACGAATATTGTACCATACCTTTTGGTCCACTTTTCTACTTTTCCCTGAACACTTTATAGTTAAAAATTTATCTCATGGTAATCTAAAATGTAAATAAAGATTTATGCACAAAGACGCTCACTGCAACATTATTTATGATAGAAAATAAAGAGAAATGAGCTGGCATTTGGGAACTAAATGTATCTTGAGGTAGTGTGTCCGGAGTTGGTTCCTTCCGGCAGGTTCCTGGTGTCGCTGACTTCAAGAATGGCGACGCAGACCTTTGCAGTGAGTGTTACAGCTTTTTTTTTTTTTTTTTTTTTTTTTTTTTGAGACGGAGTCTGGCTCTGTTGCCCAGGCTGGAGTGCAGTGGCATGATCTTGGCTACTGCAAGCTCTGCCTTCCAGGTTCACACCATTCTCCTGACACAGCCTCCCCGAATATCTGGGAGTACAGGCACCCGCCACCATGGCCGGCTAATTTTTTGAATTTTTAGTAGAGACGGGGTTTCACCATGTTAGCCAGGATGGTCTTGATCTCCTGACCTCCTGATCCGCCTGCCTTGGCCTCCCAAAGTGCTGGGATTACAGGCATGAGCCACCGCACCCGGCCAAGTGTTAGAGCTCTTAAAGATGGCAAGGACCCAAAGAGTGAGCAGCAACATTTACTGTGAAGAGCAAAAGAAGAAACCTTCTACAGCCTAGAAGGTGACCCAAGCGGATTGCCTCTGCTGGCTGGGGTGACTAGCTTTTATTCCCGTATTTGTCCCCTCCCATGTTCCGTTTTTGTCCTATCAGAGTGCCCTTTTTTCAGTCGTCCCCACTATTGGCTACTTTTAGACTCCTGCTGACTGGTGCATTTTAGAGAGCGCCCACTGGTACATTTTGCAGAGTGCTGATTGGTGCGTTTTACAGAGCGCTGATTGGTGTGTTTTATGTTTTAGAGAGCACTGATTGGTGCATTTTTTTTTTTTTTTGAAACGGAGTCTCGCTCTGTCCCCCAGGCTGGAATGCAGTGGCGCCATCTCGGCTCACTGCAAGCTCCACCTCCCAGGTTTGCGCCATTCTCCTGGCTCAGCCTCCGGAGTAGCTGGGACCACAGGCGCCCGCTACCACACCCAGCTAATTTTTTTTTGTATTTTCAGTAGAGACAAGGTTTCACTGTGTTAGCCAGGATGGTTTCGATCTCCTGACCTCGTGATCCACCCGCCTCGGCCTGCCAAAGTGCTGGGATTACAGGCGTGAGCCACCGTGCCCAGCCTGAGTGGTGCATTTTATAATCCCATTGCTAGCTACAGAGTGCTGATTGGTGCGTTTTACACTCCTAGCTACCGAGTGCTGATTGGTGCGTTTTACAATCCTCTTGTAAGACAGAAAAGTTCTCCAAGTTCCCACTCCACCCAGGGAGTCCAGCTGGCTTCAACTCTCAGTGGCTACAGAATAGAATATCATGGGGTCCTTGATAATCATTACAGAGCACCAGCAATTAGGTGGTAAAATGCTTATGATGAAATTTATAGAAGACGTACGTGGTTTGTTTGTACAGGACAATGTCAATTCTGTTAACTAACAGGCTTCTATCCAGGGTGAATCTTTGTTATGTTACATCAACCATGGTTTTCTCTGGGTACTGGATGATACTTATTATATTTGGTATTTCTCAGGATTTCAACAATGAGATTGTCTTTATTTTATAATAGGGAAAATAAGAGCTAACTGCATTCATTTTGAAAAAAACAAAATATAGATTCCTTCAATAAAAAAATAAAAATAAAGAAATGTTTTCCACATGCTTAGCACATCTTTTATTTTCTCTAGTACAAAGTGAGAGTTTGGGATTCCTTTCTTGATTCATTCTAAACTGCCTCACCTGCTACTCCCCAGTCCAAACTTCTCTATCCTCTTCATCATTTGTAGGCTGGTTATTCTAGTCAAGTAAGTCAGAACATTAATTTCTTTGATCTAATTCTGAGAAAGAGGTGTCATGCATGAGGGTGCTCCAGTACTGCATAATCTCATTAAGTCTGGCCAGGTCATAATTTCCATGAAACACCCAGGCTTATCAGTGCCACTGGTTGTGATGAACAGAGCAGACTGCAAATAGCAAAATGCCATTATGGGCCTAGTATTACAGGAACCTAACTGACTTAGAATCTGGAGGAGTTCTGGCTTAAGAGTCAGCCTCTGGGTAAGATGCAAGAGGCAGATGACCTTGCGGGCAGGTAGTGGCCCCAGTGGGTTTTCCAGGGGTGGAGGTACATGTGCAAAGAGGCTACAGAGTCAGAGAAGAAAAGCTACTAAGAACAGAGGACTGTGTGTGGAGCAAGAGGGAGTGGTAGGGATCGGGGCAACCTGGAGAGCCTGTCCTCTGCTTGAAGAGGGCAGCTGCCACTCACATTCTACCAACTGCTGCAGACTCAGATCTGCCTGTTTTTAAAAGGAAACACAAAATCTGGAGTTTTTACATGAAATATTTTAGTTTTTAAATGCTGTCAATTATTCAATTGTTTCATTTGTCTTCTTGAACACTACACAGGGTAAACAAAATAAATTTTGTAAGCCCCCAGGTAGAAACCTCAAGCTGGTTCATAGGGGATGCAGAATGCTGAATATGAGATAATGACCCAGGAGTGGACACCTTTTGGGGTATTTTCCCAGCTCAAGTCAAGCCTCCTCTCTGAGAACCATCATTTCACCTAGGGTGGGCTCTGGCAGCCACAGTTATACTATGTAACCCTGACCCCTGGGCACACGTGATTGAACCAGAAGTTATCTCTGACCCAGAACAAACCAGTCAGCCCAGTTCTCTCTTCTGGAACACTGGAATTGGAGTTGTGCCATCAAGACAGTCTGTTGGTCTCACATATCTGATATATCATATATCTGATGTATCAAGAAGACAAATGAAACAATTGAATAATTGACATCATTTAAAAACTAAAAGATTTCATGCAAAATCTCCAGATTTTATAAGTGGGGTTAAGTGGGGGTGGGGGGCTGCCACTGGGGGCAAGAGGAGGAGTGTTGCTCACCTCTGGGAATGCTAAAATAGAGGAGGGGATAGAAGAAGGCAGCAGACAAAATGCAATAATTCATATGCTGGAACAACCGAGATCTACCAGCAGAAGGATGAATTTAGACCTTTCCCTTATATCATACACAAAAATTACTCATAATTGATGATAGTCCTAAATGTATGAGCTAAATTTTTGTGACCTTGAGTTAGGCAAAGATTTCTGAGACACAGCACCAAAGGCATAAGGAATTTTTAAAAACTGCTAAATTGGACTTCATCAAGATGAGAAACTTTTGGGTTTCAAGAGGTACCACTAAGAAAATGAAAAGCTATGGAATGGAAGAAAATATTTATAGGTCATATATCTGATATATCATATATCTGATGTATCCAAAATACACAAAGAACACTTCCAACTCAATCATAAGAAGATAAATAACCCAATTTATAAATAGGCAAAGGATTTATATAGACATTTCACCAAATAAGATAGAGGAATGGCTCAAAAGCACATGAAAGGATGTTCAACATCATTAGTCATTAGGGAAATGAAAATCAAAACCACAGTGAGATACCACTTCACATGGACTAGGATGACTATAATTTAAAAAGAAGGACAATAACAAGTGTTGGTGAAGATGTGGAGAAAGAAGAACTCTGAAACACTGCTGGTGGAAATGTCAAATGGTGCAGCTACTGTGAAAAGCAATCTGATAGTTCTTCAAATGGTTAAACATAGTTACCATATGACTCAGTGATTCCACACCTAGATATATACCCAAGAGAACTAATCGTGTGACCACAGAAAAACTTGTATGCAGATACTCATAGCATTATTCATAACCACCAAAAAGTGGAAAAAAACCAAATGTTCATCAACTGGTGAATGGATTTTGATTAAAATGTGGTCCATTTGTCAATAAAAAGAAACACAGTACTGTTCCAAGCTACACCATGGGTGAACTGGAAAAACATCATGCTAGGTGAATGAAGCCAGACACAAAAGGCAACACATTGAATGATTCCATTTATATGAAACGTCCAGAATTGGCAAATTTATAGAGACAGAGAATAGATTAGTGGTTGCCTGGTAGTGGAGGGGGGGACAGGAAGGGATCTTTTGGAAAAAACAGAAATGTTCTAAACTTGGATTCTGATGATGTTTATACAACTCTGTACATTTACTAACGATAACTGAATTGTATGATTCACTTAGAATGGGTGAATTTTATGATAGGTAAATTACACCTCAATCAAGTTGTTTTTAAAATTTTTCAGTGGATGAAGAAAGAGGCTGCTCTGGGTTCCAGATCTGTCTGTTTTTAAAATCTATTTCACTACACCAGTGCTGGGAAACAGGATCAGCTATAAGATTCTTCAGTTTCATTTAAATGAAAACAAACTAGTTGCTTAGCGGAAGAACTGCTTTAGCCAGAACCAAGATTTAGATAAAATAGATATCATGATTTCTTGTGAAAGGGGCAGTGAGATGTTATGCGTAACTTCTAAATTAGTCATCAGAAGTGGAAGGAGAGGAATGACTGAGCTACATCAAACCCTTTCCTCCCGCACATCTGTGATCTTTCTCATTTTATAATTTGGTTTAAGAGATTGAACTTGTTTGATTGTTTGTCTGCTCCCCACAACCCCCAGCCCTGGTGTGACAGGCTGGGATTTTTAAAGCTAAGTGCAGGAAAGGGAAACTGAAGGATATTATCACTAAATGGCAAAACAAACAAACAAACAAACAAACAAACAAAGGCAGCATTAAAAGCCCAGCTCAGTTATCTCTTACTTTCTGACCTCAAAAAGCAAGGGAGAGGCTGGGCGCAGTGGCTCACGCCTACAATCCCAGCACTTTGGGAGGCTGAGGTGGGCAGATCACAAGGTCAGGAGTTCGAGACCACCCTGGCCAATATGGTGAAACTCCGTCTCTACTAAAAATACAAAAAAATTAGCAGGGCGTGGTGGCGCATGCTTGTAATCCCAGCTACTCGGGAGGCTGAGGCAGGAGAATTGCTTGAACCTGGGAGGTAGAGGTTGCAGTGAGCTGAGATCACGCCACTGCACTCCAGCCTGGTTGACAGAGCAAGACTCCATCTCAAAAAAAAAAAAAAAAAAAAAAAAAAAAAGGAAAAGAAAAAGAAAAGAAATATTTTCAGGATTGCATCAGGCTGGGAGAGTTTCCATATTGCATCGTTTAATCCTCAATCGTTTAATCCTTAATCGTTTACCGTGCTGGTAACCTCACCAAAATAATTCTGCCCCCAGCCTCCCATTTTAATGATGTGGAAAGAGAGGCTTCTGGAGTTTTTAGGGCTTGGTGCCTGCACTAAGAGATCCCAGAGTGACTGAAGAGCAAGTTTCACTTAAAGGCCCAGGTGGCACCCATCTGCTAAGACCTTCCAGTGAACTTCACATACTCCCCCCACTCCATCCTCTTTTCCATTGTGAAGAGAGGGAAATAAATAAACACTTTAAATAAAGATTCCAGGGAATTGAAAACATGGACATCCGTGCTAACGTGAGAAAAGGATACAGTGAATACATCATCCTCTTTTTCACTGTGAAAAGAGGAAAATAAACAAACGCTTTAAATAAAGATTCCAAGGAATTCGAAAATATGGATATCCGTGCTAACATGAGACAAGGACACAGTGATTACACCACCACACCCAGCACACACACAAGTATCATTTCAGGATAGGATGAATAATGTGTTCATTTTGTTCCGAATCCTTGGAGATTAAACTCTGAGAAATACACTTTCAAAGACCAAAGTCATTCAGGCTGTTCTCTTCTTGAGGAAAAAAAAAGTGATTGATGATATTGAACTAAATAAAAGAGCTGGCAGGAGAAAAAGAGAGGCAGATGCGGCATTTATAAGAGAGAGCTCCCAGGTGATTACCAGTTCCTGTAACTTTTGTCTCTTTCAGTCAAGTGACCTGATGGACACCTGCCTGCAGCTGCCACCTCATCCCACACCTGGGGCTCTTTAGCACCACCTGCTGGTCAAGCCCTCTTGCTGGTTCTGGGGCCAGGGTATTTATATACAGGGGTTATTTATATATTTATATATAGAAGTTATTTATATATAGGGGCATAGATGAGTGTGACTCGATCTGGTTCCTAGTTCTATTCTGATAATCACAGATGATTCATTTATTCATTCATCTATCTATCCATTCATTCTCCCTTCCTTCCATCAAACCATCCACAAAATCTTCACTGATGAATATTCTTGCCAGGTACAGATATTATGATAGCCACCGGATGAACACAGTTCCTATTCTCATGGAGGTGCCAGCCTATACCAGTAATTCTCAACTCTGCCTGCCTGAGAGCTTTGTTTTGTTTTGTTTTGTTTTGAGACGGAGTCTCGCTCTGTCTCCCAGACTGGAGTGCAATGGCACGATCTCAGCTCACCGCAACCTCCGCCTCCTTGGTTCAAGTGATTCTCCTGCCTCAGCCTCCCAGGTTGCTGGGATTACAGGCACCTGCCACCACATCTGGCTAATTTTTACGTATTTAGTAGACAGTGTTTCACCATGTTGGCCAGGCTGGTCTCAAACGATCCACTTGCCTCAGTCTCCCAAAGTGCTGAGATTACAGGCGTGAGCCACTGTGTCAAAAGCTTTTAAAACATATTGAGATGTCTTCTTTCAGGAAGATTGAGTAGAGGTACTTTCTCTATTCTGCTTAGTACAACTAAAACTCTGGATGTTATATTTAAAGCAAACACAAGAAGACTCTGACAGGTGGAGAGGCAAAGGCAAAGCAGTGAGGAACATTGGGGCCCAATGAGCGACACAGTGATGAATTCCCTGGGCTTTTTTTTGGCCACATACATCAGAGATTTTGACCTGAAGTAGCTGGCAGCTCAGAAATGGCAATCGGCACAGGCAAAACAAAAGCCTGCTGTGTCCAGCCAAAGGACTGGGAAAGAGGCTGCCTAGCAAAGTAGAAAACTTTTAGACAACACCTGCTCTATTTCAGCCAAACACCATAGAAAAACACTGTGCCCCGCTCCTGTCCTAGCCAGATGAGGTGAAGTGGGGAGGGCAGCCAAGACTTCCACCCTTGTCAAGCTGTAATGAAGTGACTCAACTCCCCTTGCTGGGGTGGCGTCCCCGCCATTCCTAGCAGGGAGCCGGGACTTGCATCCTGTCAGGTGGTGACAAGCCCTGCACCCACCCCCATGGTGTCAGTAGGGGTGCATGGGGAGCAGTGAGGAGGCACTCTCATCCCTCCCAGCTGGGGACTTATCTGCAGAGGCCTAGTGGGGAGATGGAGCTCCCACATCTGCTCAGCAACAGTGAGGAAGCCACGCCCTTCAAGTGTCAAGAGAAGCGAAGTGGGGAGCCAGGACGTCTACCTCCACCTGGAAGTAATGAGGCAGCATACTCTCCCCGTGTGTCCTCCGGCTTCCTCTGCTACAGCAGTGTCAGTCAAAAGCAGATAAATCAGGAGATTTAAATATGATCCTAGGTCTTATAATACCTAAAATTTCCATATTTCAATTGAAAATCATTTTTCACATCAAAAAATGAGAAGGGATTTCTAATAGCATTTTTTTTTTTTTGAGATGGAGTCTCACTCTGTCACCCAGGCTGGAGTGCAGTGGTGTGATCTCGGCTCACTGCAATCTCTGCCTCCTGGGTTCAAGCTATTCTCCTGCCTCAGCCTCCCATGTAGCTGGGACTACAGACACATGCCACCACGCCCAGCTAATTTTTTGCATTTTTAGTAGAGATGGGGTTTCACTGTGTTAGCCAGGATGGTCTCGATCTCCTGACCTCGTGATCCGCCCACCTCAGCCTCCCAAAGTGCTGGGATTACAGGCGTGAGCCACCGTACCCGGCCAAAACATTTAAAGTAATCATCATAAAAATGCTTCAACATGCAAATGTGAACACAATTGAGACACATGAAAAAAATAAGTCTCAGCAAAGAAACAGAAAATATAAAGAAGCAGCAATGGAAATTTAGAATGGAAATAATAATTGAAATAAGAACCCAGAGGTGCCCGCCCTGCCTGAGGAGAGGGAGGTCATGGCGTGAAGCTACAGCTGCTGCCACCGCCACTTCTGCAAGGTCTCAGGGCAGGGCTGCAGCCATGTCCTACTGCCGGCAGGAAGGGAAGGATCGAATCATATTTATAACCAAAGAAGACCATGAAACTCCAAGCAATGCAGAATTGGTGGCTGATGACCCCAACGATCCATACGAGGAGCATGGATTGATACTACCAATGAAGACATTAACTGGAACCGTCCATGCCTTGGGGGAATGGCCAGCGGCCCCTGTGGGGAACAGTTCAAGTCAGCCTTTTCCTGCTTCCACTATAGCACGGAGGAGATCAAGGGGTCAGACTGTGTAGACCGGTTCCGGGCCATGCAGGAATGCCTGCAGAAATACCCAGACCTCTATCCCCAAGAGGATGAGGATGAGGAAGAGGAAAGAGAGAAGAAGCCAGCAGAACAAGCAGAAGAAACAGCTCCCACTGAGGCCACTGCAACCAAAGAAGAGGTGGGGTCAAGTTAATGAAGGCCACAAGGCACTGGGCTCCAGTCCTTTTGGAGTGGACCTTTTGCAAAAGACCTTGTTGTCACCTTCCAAGAAAGTGTCTTTCCCTCTGTTGTCCTGTGCACTGTAATATACAAAATAACTTATTTTGATGATCAGGGGTCTTGACCTCTTGACACATACACTGAAAAAAAATGGGAGTTGTATGTATGTGTGTCCTACCCAAACCTGTGGCCGCCACTTTTGAATTCTCTTCTCAGATTGCCCTGAATTTTGCCACTTTTAAATCATGTGCTGAATAAGCTCAGCAACTAAAAACCATTACCCAGGAAGGTTTCTTGTGAGTGAGCTGATTTATTCTGATTCATTATATTCCTTTTAGTAGATATTATGCCCCTTGGGGAAATAATACAAGTAATAGAAACAAAAACATCTTCTCCTAAAAATGCTGGGGTGGGGCCTCTACTAGCAGAGGCCAGATGGTCAGATACGATTTCTGCAAACCCATCCTGACCTCGAGTATGTGAAGGGGTACTGTACTTCATTCCCGATACATTTTGGTTTCCATGTTGGCATTGAGCTCCTGGTTTTCTGTGTTTGGACGATGAAGATTTGGACCCTCCCATTCACAGTTCCTTTCTAAGTGAAGGGAGAGGCTGGCTTGGCTGTTCCTTGTTATTCTGAAAGCCCTGGTTTGGGGCCCATGTTCACACAGGCTCTCAGTCTGGTCAGGTGCAATGTTCTTGAGAGGTGGGGACCTAATTATTACCAGAGTAGCAGCAAGAGAGGAAACGTGAACTAAGTATTCAATTAAAAGGAAACATGATTTCTACCTGAAAAACAACAACAACAACAAAAAAGAACCCAATTGATGGACTCAAAAGCAAGAGGGTAGGAACAGAGGAAAGAATCAGTGAACTGGAAGATAAAACAATAGAAATTCCCAAATCTGAACATCAGAGAGAAAAGAGATAATAAACAAACAAACAAACAGAACTCCAGGGTCCTGTGGGACTATAACAAAAGATCTAACATTCATATAATCATAGTCCCAGAAGGAGATGAGAAAGAGGGTGGCAATGATAATGTGCTTTGAGAAATAATGGCTGAAAATGTCCCAAATTTGGCAAGAGACCTAAATCTATAGAATCAAGAAGCTGTTAACCAAACAGGATAAGCCCCCCAAATATACATCAAAGCACATAATAATTAAACTCTTGAAAATGAAAGACAAAAAAACTTGAAAGTATCAGAGAAAAACACCTTACCATAATGAGAATGATAGCAGATTTCCCACAGAAAACATAGAGACAAGAAGAAAATGGCATTATATTTTTCAGATGCTGAAAGAAAAGAGCTGTCAGCCCAGACTCTTATACTCAGTGAAAATATCTATAAGGAATAAAGGGAAATCAACACATTCTCAGACGAACTTGTACAGGACTGTGTGCTGAAAACTAAAACATGCTGATGAAATAAATCAAAGATGTAAATAAATGGAGAGTGTTTATGGATCGGAAGTCTCAACAGAGTAAATATGTCAATTCTTCCCAAATTAACGTACAGATTTAATACAATTCTTATCAAAATATCAGCAAGATGTCTTACGGATATAGACAAGACTCTTCTAAAATGTATAGGGAAAGGTGGAGAAACTAGAATAACTCAAATAATTTTGAGAAAAAGAGAATAAAATGGGAGAAATCGACCTACCCAATTTCAAAACTACTATATATTAATAGCTACAGTAATCAAGACTTTGTGGTATTGGCAAAGGAATAGACACATAAATCAATAGAATAGAACAGAGAGGCAAGAAATAGAAATAGAACCACACAAATATTCTCAGGTGATTTTTGACAAAGGTGCAAAATTAATTTAATGGAGGAGAGAAAGCATTTTCAACAAATGGTGCTGGCACAATTGGACGTCATAGGCAAAAAATGAACAACCTAAACCATATGTCTTTTAAAAAAATTAACTCAGGCTGGGCACCGTGGCTCATGCCTGTAATCCCAGCACTTTGGGAGGCCGAGGCAAGTGGATCATGAGGTCAAGAGATTGAGACCATCCTGGCCAACATGGTGAAACCCTGTCTCTACTAAAAATACAAAAATTAGCTGGGCACGGTGGCACGCACCTGTATTCCCAGCTACTTGGAAGGCTGAGGCAGAATCGCTTGAACCCGGGAGGCGGTGTTGCAGTGAGCCAAGATTGCACCATTGCACTCCAGCCTGGTGACAGAGCGAGACTCAGTCTAAAAAAAAAAAAAAAAATTAACTCAAAATGCTCCACAGACCATTAAGTGTAAAATGTAAACTACAAAACTTGTAGAAAAACACATTAGAGGAAATCTTCAGGATCCACAGCTAAGCAAAACGTTATTAGACTTGTGACTAAAACATGATCCATAAAAAGAAAAAACAATGAATTGGACCCCATCAAAAGGAAAATTTTCGTTCTGTGAAAGACCCTGTTAAGAGGATAAAAAGACAAGGAGAAAATATTTGCCAGCCACATATCTAAGAAAGGACTACTATTCAGAATATATAAAGAACTCTCAAAACTCAACAGTAAAAAGCAGACAATCCAATGAGAAAATGGGCAAATGATATGAGGAAACATTTCATCAAACAGATGATACAGATGGCACATCCGCATGTGAAAAGATGTTCAATATTACTAGCCATCAGAGAAGTGCAAGTCAAAACCACAACGAGATATCACTGCACAGCCATCAGAATGGCTAAAATAAAAGACAGTGGCAACACCAAATGCTGATGAAGACTGCAGAGAAACTGTGTCACTCATACATTTCTGATGGGAATGTAAAATGATACAACCATTCTGGAAGAGTATGGCAGTTTCTTAAAATACTAAACATGTAACTACCATAAACTTGAGTAATTGCACTCGTGGACATTTATCTCAAAGAAACTAAAACTTATTTGCCCAGAAAAAAAAACTGAACATGAATGCTTATAGCAGTTTTATTCATAATAGCTCAATGCTGGAAACAACCAGCTACCCTTTGATGGGTGAATGAGCAACCAACCAACTGTGGAATACTACACAGTAGTAAAAAGAAATGCACCAGTCCTATTCCCATCAACTTGGATGAGTCTCCAGAGAATTATGTGAAGTGAAAGAAGTCAGTCCCAAAAGGTTACTAACTGTGTGACATTTATGTAACATTCCTGAAATGACACCATTACAGAAATGGAGAACAGATTAGTGGTTGCCGGGTTTAGGGATGGGGGAGGTGAGAAGGAAAGGGGATGTGGCTATAGAAAGGCAACATTGGTGACGGAACTCTTCTGTACTCGACTGTCTTTATGTCCATATGTTGGTTGTGATATTTTACTACAGTTTTGTAATATGCTACCACTGGAGGAAATTGAGTAAAGTGTATGCAGGATTCCTCTATATTATTTCCTACAACTGAGTGTTCCTAAAAGGCTTAATGTAAAAAAAAACTCATATTGATACCTTGGCCGCACTCCCAGATTCCCAGCCACTATGGTTTAAAGGTCCCCAGGTGATCCAGTGTGCAGCCAGGATTAAACAAATCAGTGGTCTAGGCCAGTGCTTCCTAAACCTTCATATGCAAATAAGTTTTCTGAGAGTCTCATTAAAATGGCTCAGGAGGTCTGAGGTAGGGCCAGAGATTCTGCATCTCTAACAAGCTCCCAGGTGATGCTCATGCTGTTGGCCCACGAACCTCACTGTGTAGCAAGGGCTTTTACACTGTGGTTACATCCAGGTTGGGTTCATAAGAATTATCAGAGGAACTGTGAAATATATCGTACACTGGGATCCAGCTTAGTCGATTCAGTAGGATCCAGTAGGTCTGGACTGGTGCCGATGACTCTGTTTTTTAATAGCTCCCCTGGTGAATGTGGTGCCCAGCCAGGTTTGGGATCCAGCAGCAAGCTGCCTCTTGCTCCTTGATTCTTCTGTGTATGAGCTCATCTTGGCACCCAAGGCCAGTAATGGAATTTAAAGTTCTTGTCTTCACGCCCAGTACTTTCACTACCTTAGACCTGGAGTCAGGCCCTGGGACTTGGTCTCTCTCATCTTCCCCTGAACCTACCCAGTGGACTTCAGTCAGTGTCACCTCCCTAGAACATGCTCTGGTGTCTCCTGTCCGTCACTGGCCTTCTAGAGGCCAGCCACCTACTCCTTTTGTTCATCCTTTGGAGGCTGACTTGGTCTAAGCTCAAGTTTGCTCTCACCTGGGATACTGCAACAGCCCCCTATCTGGCCAGCCTGCTTCCAATCTCACCCCCTCTAGTCCCCACCCATGTCAACTGCAAGCAATCTTTCTAAATCCACATTTTTCTCCTTCAGTTACTAACTTATTCCCATTATAATTCTTGCTGATCTATGTCTTTCCTATACCACCATTTACTTTATATATGTATTTAAATGGATCCACTTTTTTGCCTAAGTTTATTTCACTACCACGTATGAAAAACAAGTTATCATTTTTTTTGTTATCTACAGAACTTTCCATAGGCATAAACAAGATGACAATAAAACAATGTGATTTAATTCTAGCCAGATATTGTGAGGAAGGCTTTGCTTTGTTAAAGAGAAACCTTAGCAAGAGTAAGATGGGTTAAAAACCCATCTTATATGGGAGGTTGAAAACCTCCCAGCACCAAATTGAGACTCTCTTGGAGGTAATCAGGACTGAAATATACAAGTTAAGACTTGAAAATCTGTGAGAGTCAATTTTAATTAATGGTACATCTCTGTACCATTTACAGTCACTTCAGGTAACACCCAAGATGTGGTAAACACCACTGTCTTAAATCTCGTCATATATTGTTTTGCTCCTAAATGCCTTGAAGGAAAAGTTCAAACTCCTTAGGCTGTTGGTATGACATTTCCTCCATATTTTGACCCACAGCACTCCAGCAAAAATGAACTTGCTGTCCCCAAACACCCCAGGTTCTTTCAGTTTTTGGGGGCTCTACACACAGTATTCTCTTCTCCAGGAAGAGGATGTGTCTTGCAGATTAGCATTTCATTTATGTTTACTATTGTCTCCTTATGGGCCTATTTCAGAGCCCATCTGAAACAAAGTAGGTGAGAAGAATGAAAAGGACAAAGGAAAGGTGGAAAGGTTGATAAAGAAGATGGGAAGAAAAAGGAAGGGAGGGAGGCAGAGGGAAGGAAAATGTCAATGAACTTCTATTTATTCTACGACGTCCATCTTAACTGTTCCTTCTTTTTTGAAGCTTTCCTGTATCCCTTAGCCATATCTAAGCATTTCTTCTTCTGGGTTCCCACAGTATTGTTTCCATATCTCTATTAAGGCATTTACCACTATATTCTTTTTTTTTTTTTTTTTGACATACTCTCATTCTGTCACCCAGGATGGAGTGCAATGACAAGATCTCGTCTCACTGCAAACTTCACCTCCTGGGTTCAAGCGATTCTCCTGTCGCAGCCTCCCGAGTAGCTGGGACAACAGGCACGCACCACCACGCCTGGCTAATTTTTGTATTTTTTTAATAGAGATGGGGTTTTGCCATGTTGGCCGGGCTGGTCTCAAACTCCTCAGGTGATCCACCCATCTCGGCCTCCCAAAGTATTGGAATTACAGGCATGAGCCACTGTGCTCGGCCCACTATATTCTACAGAATGAATTCAGGTGTCCTTCACGTAGACTTTGATCCCTACAAGGGCAGGAGCACTGTGATATTCACTTATATTTCCAGCACCTAGCCCAGTGGCTTTCAAACTTGGCTGCACATTGGAATCATGAACAGAGCTTTAAAAAAAATACTGATGCTGAGGACTCACCACTCCTGGATTTGATTCTGGTGTAATTGGTCTGGGGTATCTCTGGGTTTCAGGATTAAAAAAAAAAATTTTGTTAGAGACAGGTTCTCGTTCTGTTGCCCAGGCTGGAGTGCAGCGGCATGAGCACAGCTCACTGTGACCTTCAACTCCTGCCCTCAAGCAATTCTGCCTTGGCCTCCTAAAGCACTAGGATTACAGGCACGAGCCACTGTGCCTGGCCTGGATTTTTAAAACTCTCCAGATGGTTCCAATGCAACCAATATTGTGAATCACTTTCCTAACTAAAGCTGAATTATGGTAGGAGGAGTTCAGTAAGTGATGAATGAATAAGTAGATGAATCCTGCCTTTAACGCACCACAGTTCTGACCCAACATGACCACATTCAGAGTTTCATGTTATGCTAATTCATTAATATATTCAGGAACTATTAATTAAACAATAATGTGGTACCAGGTATTATGCTAGGCCAAGCCACTAGAGATGGAAATGTGAATAAGACTCCCAATTCTCCCCTCGTTTTTGATATGCCTTAGGGATGGCTGGGGCCTGTCCTAGTTCATCCAAGAACTTTCTGTCCTGCTGATTAATTGGCCAGCTCCAACAGCAATCATTTCCCTAGTAACTGATAGCAAATCTTACTTCTGGCTGCTTCCTCAGGCAAGTGCTATCTAAGGACAGACTCTATTCACTCTCAGAGAGAGGAAGTTCCTAGGGGGTGTGGGCAAGTCAAGAAACCACAAAGAAAGTGGTCTTGTCTAGATCTCTTCAAGCACTCCAGAAGTGAAAGGAAGATGCTCAGGTGCAGACCAGAGTCCTGTGCAGCTCAGACAGGCCTCCTTCTGGGTGTGTATTTACATAATGAAAAGGTAAGGCCGGGCGTGGTGGCTCACGTCTGTAATCCCAGCACTTTGGGAGGCTGAGGTGGGCAGATCACCTAGGTCAGGAGTTTGAGACCAGCCTGGACAACATGGGGAAACCTCGTCTCCACTAAAAATACAAAAATTAGCCAGGCGTGGTGGCGGGCGCCTGTAATCTCAGTTACTTGGGAGGCTGAGGCAGGAGAATTGCTTGAACCAGGGAGGCGGAGGCTGCAGTGAGCTGATATCACGTCACGGCACTCCAGCCTGGGGGACAGAGCGAGACTCCGCCTGAGGAAAAAAAAAAAAAAAGATCTTAATCACCCCATAGGCAAATGGCATTTCCTTCCCAACCACTACGGTTCCATGCTCAGACCTACTTCAAAACTCTGCACTACAGGTGACTGAAGAGCAGAGATGATGTCCATGTGGGGTCACCCCTGTTCTGTTCTGCTGCAGACTTTGACAACATCGTCTCTCAACTGCTGTCACAGCTTCCTAACTGGTCTTTCTGCTCCTGGTTTTGGCCTCTTTCACACAGAAGCCAAATGATCTTTCTAAAACCACAAATCCAGTTCCCCTACTCAAAACTCTTTAATGGCTGGCCACTGTTGTCAGGATATACAGAAGCACCCTGGCCCCACATGTGTGATACAAGGGTAACAACCCAAATAAAGTCTACACATGGTATCTTCTTTTTTTTTTTTTTTTTTAGACTGAGTCTTGCTCTGTCACCCAGGTTGTAGTGCAATGGTGCCATCTCGGCTCACTACGACCTCTGCCTCCCAGGTTCAAGTGATTCTCGTGCCTCAGCCTCCTGAGTAGCTGGGATTACAGGCACCCACCATGACACCTGGCTATTTTTTTGTATTTTTAGTAGAGACGGGGTTTCACCATGTTGGCCAGGCTGGTCTCCAACTCCTGACCTCAAGTGATCCACCCGCGTCAGCCTCCCAAAGTGCTGGGATTACAGGCATAAGTCACCACGCCTGGCCCCATGATCACATTAAAAAGAAATTCAAGTCCAACATCCAGAAAATAAAACGATATGGAAAAGTAACTTCAACCTTTACTGAAGACTCTCAAAGAGGCAAAACCATCACAAAGAACTTCTCCCATCTGTCGCTACATAGCGCCAGCTACAGCATCACCTGCTCATCCTCAAATCTTCCTGCTCTCTCTCTCAAAAACTTCAGGTTGCCTTGGTTCCCCTTTAATTCCCTTTTCCCTTCTTTCACCCACTCTTCAATCTTTCTGATTTATGGAAGAGTATCATGTAATTTCTAATATAAATGAACTTAGCTTTCCCAGTGCCCTCTTTTCTTTACTCATTACTCTAATCAGCCTGGCAAATGCCCACGAGATAAGCAAACAGGTCTACTCCGGAAACGGAGGGAGGGTGCCGGGCAGTGGCTAGTATATGTCAATACCTTCGACCCATCACACAGAGCTTTTTCCACCTGGTCTCACCTTACTGTGCAGCCTCATCTCTGATTCTCCACTCTCCCCAAATAGGCCCTGCTCGTGTACACCCCATACCTTTACAAATGCTGCTCTCCTGCCGGGAATGCCTGTTCTCATCCTCTTACCCTGGCAAGACATTCAGTTAGTTCTTTACAACCCAGTTCTGATGTCACTTCCTTTTAGTCATTCATCCGTCCCTCTGGGCTGGGTTAATTCACTTCCTTCTCCAGGGCTTCGCTGAACTCTGCACAGACCTCAATTACAACCCTTATAAAGCTGGGTTGTGGTCGGGTGCGGTGGCTCATGCCTGTAATCCCAGCACTTGGGAGACTGAGGCATGTGAGTCGCCTGAACCCGGGAGGCAGAGGTTGAAGTGAGCCGAGATCGTGCCACTGCACTCCAGCCTGGGCGACAGAGCGAGACTCCGTCTCAAAAGTAAGTAAGTAAATAAATAAATAATAAAGCTAGGTTGTAATTCCTTAATTACTGATCAGACTTTTTTCACTAGACTGTGGGTGTCACATGTGGGTCTGAGTCATCTCTGTGTCCTCAGAGCCAAGAAGTGGGGAGGTGCTTAATGAAGTTACTGAATGCTCCAGAAATATGTTCCCGTCACTGAGTGCTCCAAAGAGGCATTCACCTGTCTCCTCTTCCCTGATCATCCCTCGGGGCTACCTGGAGTGCCTGCCAGATCAGAGTTTGAGAGATCTGCCCTGGCAGTCGCCTGACTAGGCCTACATATCTTCCCGTGTCTGGCCAGCCTTCCAGAGAGCAGTCTGTCCCTCTCTCCGACTCCAGCCGGCCAGGCCTGGTTCTCACATTGTCAAAAATAAAAGGAGTTAAAAGAAGCCAAGCGATTAGGCAAGAAAAGGAAATGAAGGCATCCAGACTTGAAGGAAAGAAGTGAAACTATTTGAAGATAACATGGTCTTGTTTGTAGAAAATCCTGGGGAATCTACAAGAAAATTTTTAGAACTCACAAATGAGTTCCAGGGGCCCAAGTCCTCAGTTTGGCTTTGAAGGGGTCCCTTGGTCTCCTGGCCCTGCTCCCCCTTTCCTGTGGCACTTCCCAGCACTCCTCCTGTGAGTGGCTCTTAGCAGCCGCAGTGGAGCATCCACTTTGACGTTGCCTACTTTCCCCTCTCTTCTCCCTGCCTGGGTAGAGCCTTTGAAGAGCTTCTGTCTCATCTTCACCTCATCCCTAAAGTCCTTAAATAAGGGGCATATTTATCGAGGATAAGAATTGGACCTGTGTTATCTCATTCAATCCCCACAGCAACCTTTGGAAGTGGGAACTGTAATTATCACCCCCATTTTTCAGATGAGGCTCTGGGAACCTATGCCCCTGGTCCAACCTCACAGTTATGAGGCCCACTGGGCTTGAAAGCAAGGGCTGCCTGACTCCAACATCCAATTTCTTTTTTTTTTTTTTTTTGAGATGGAGTCTCGCTCAGTCGCCCAGGCTGGAGTGCAGTGGCGCATACTCGGCTCGCTGCAAGCTCCGCCTCCTGGGTTCACGCCATTCTCCTGCCTCAGCCTCCCGAGTAGCTGGGACTACAGGTGCCCACCACCATGCTCGGCTAATTTTTTTTGTATTTTTTAGTAGAGACCGGGTTTCACCGTGTTAGCCAGGATGGTCTCGATATCCTGAACTCATGATCCGCCTGCCGCGGCCTCCCAAAGTGCTGGGATTACAGGCGTGAGCCACCGCGCCCGGCCCTCCAACATCCAATTTCTTAACCCGAAATTTGGAAAGAGAAGTGAGGCCCTATTCTAATGCTTCCTCCCCTAGCTAGATGTATCTCTTCTTTCCCTGACCCAGACTCCAAGGCTGATAAGCTATCAGTGTGTAGAGCTGACTCTGTACTGTGATCATTTATGCAGAGCTTTTCTCTCCCCTGTTTGGCTGGAAGATCCATGGGAGCAGAGGCCACGTCTTATTCAGCCTCACATGCTAGAACTGCTTGGCACATGGTAGGCATGCACATTGCACGGCTTCAGAAAGAGTGAAATGAGATGGTTGAGGCACAATACACTAAAGAGAACAAATGTGTGTTCTCTTTTGCATGCACAGGAGAGATGGCCTCAATCATATTTGGGGTGTCAGGATGATGTGGCTGGAACATGTCATGGGGAAAGGCCATCCTCCTCCTTGCTGACAGTGCCCTCTGTGTCCCCTCAAGGCTGCGGAAGAGTCATCCTGGAGAGAAGGGCCCAGTCTTCAGGGCAAGGATTTGTGTGCTCATCTTTGTTTACTGTGTGTTTGGCACAGTAGAAAATATTTGTTGAATGAATTTGCTGTGTGACGCTGAACCCTTCTCTCAACTTCTCCAGGCCTCCTCTGTTAAACAAGGGGGTTGCTCAAGATTAGGGATTTTTCAAACATTTCCCTTTCCCCCTTTTCTTGGTAGCGCAACTACTGGTTTATGTAACAATTTATATAAGACAGAAGCAGCTTGCTGCTGTAGCTGGAGTGGAGTGGGGGAACCCAGAGCCCTGTCTACTTGACTCCCCCTCTTTGCCCCACACTCCCCAGAGGCCCCTCAGAGCAGCTAGAGAACAGTCAAGCTGGAGGAACTCTAAAGGGTGTTGAAATTCGGAGAGCTCTGTAAGGAGCGTCCACATTTTTTTTTTTTGAGATGGAGTCTCGCTCTGTCGCCCAGGCTGGAGCGCAGTGGCGCCATCTCTGCTCACTGCAAGCTCCGCCTCCTGGGTTCACACCATGCTCCTGCCTCAGCCTCTCGAGTGGCTGGGACTACAGGCGCCCGCCACCACCCCCGGCTGATTTTTTTTTTTTGTATTTTTAGTAGAGATGGGGTTTCACCATGTTAGCCAGGATGGTCTCGATCTCCTAACCTTGTGGTCCACCTGCCTCAGTCTCCCAAAGTGCTGGGATTACAGGCATGAGCCACTGTGCCTGGACTTTTTTTTTTTTTTTTTTTTTTTTTTTTGAGACGAAGTCTCGCTTTGTCGCCAGGCTGGAGTGTGATGGTGCGATCTCGACTCACTGCAACCTCTGCCTCCTGGATTCAAGCGATTCTCCTGCCGCAGCTTCCTGAGTAGCTGGGACTACAGGCACGCGCCACCATGCCCAGCTAATTTTTGTATTTTTAGTAGAGGTGGGGTTTCACCATGTTGGCCAGGATAGTCTTGATCTCTTGACCTCATGATCCGCCTGCCTTGGCCTCCCAAAGTGCTAGGATTACAGGCGTGAGCCACCGCGCCCGGCTGGAGCGTCTGCATTTTAAAAGAGTGGCTCTGAAAAGAGAAAATCCTTTACCACACATTTGGACAACTATTATTTAATGCGCTTGAATGGTGGAATGTAAGGGCCTTGATTAGGAGTGGGAGGGTGTAGTGTTGTCTTAGGATGGAGAGTTTATGTTTCCCAGGACCTCTAAACGCCCCCTGGGTCTAGGGGGCCACTAGTTCTGCCTTACTATTTGTGCAAGTGGGCCCTGACGCACAGCTCGCCAGCAGACACTCGGCCGCTGTACTTTCCCGTCAGCCTGCCATCTTCTTCTTCTCAGTGGCTATCTGCTTCACTCCTGCTTTTCTCCATTGATTTTTCCCTCCTCTTGTTTTCCAGAACTCACAAAAACCTCCACTGGTTCTAAGCATTTTACATAGTGCTGTGAACTTGCTGGAGGAAGTGGAATAAATGGATGCGTGATAGGCAAATCGCCCTAGATTTTGGTATTTGAGTTAAAATTCCACACAACACCTGGGATATATAATCACACAGAAACCACTTAGCTTCTTGTGAAAACAATCACAGAGTCTAGGAAATGGAAAAATAATCATAGTTTTCATAAATTGTTCCCATGAGGACCTGCTCAATGCTGGGAAGTTCCAGCTGTGCACACTTCCAGCTGTGGCTGCACCCACCCTCACTCCCACCCCGTCCTGTGCCTCCTGCCACCTTGCTATTTACCCAGTTCCTGACTGTGGGTGTTCAAGAGAGCTATTAAGTGACTACTGGTATCTAGCCGAGATGCTCCCCTGTACAATCTGAACAACTACACCATCACTGGAATAAAGGATTACTGGACACTTTTAAAGAGAAACTGATATACTCATGTTCATAGCAGCATTATTCACAATAACCAGAAGGTGGAAGCAACCCACATGTCCATCAGCAGATGAATGGGGAAACAGAATGTGGTCCTCACATACCATGGAATATTTTTAAGCCTTAAAAAAGGAAGGGCATCTGGCACGTGGTATCACCTGGATGAACCTTGAGGACATTCTGCTAAGTAAAATATGCCAATCAGAGAAAGAGAAATACTGCATGATTCCACTTATATAAAGTCCCTAGAGCCATCAAATTCATAGAGATAAAAAGTGGAATGGTGGCTGCCGGGGGCTGCGGGAAGGAGGAAAGGGGAGTTAGTGTTTAATGGGTACAGAATTTCAGTTTTGCAAAGTGAAGAGTTCTGGAGGTGGATGGTGGTGATGGGTGGTGATGGGCACATGATTGCATGGTTGTGAATGTAGTTAGTGTCACTGAACCGTGCATATAAAATGGTTAAACTCGTAAGTATTATGGATATATATATATACATTTTTTTTTTTTTGAGATGGAGTCTCGCTCCGTTGCCCAGGCTGGAGTGCAATGGCGTGATCTCGGCTCACTGCAACCTCTGCCTCCTGGGTTCAAGCGATTCTCCTGCCTCAGCCTCCCAAGTAGCTGGGATTACAGGTGCATGCTGCCATGGCCGGCTAATTTTTTTTGTATTTTAGTAGAGACAGGGTTTCACCGTGTTGCCCAGGCTGGTCTTAAACTCCTGAGCCCAGGCAATCCACCCACCTCGGCCTCCCAAAGTGCTAGGATTATAGGCATGAGCCACTGCACCTGGCCCCGTGTTACAGATATTTTACCACAATTAAAAATAAATAAATAAATGAGAAACTAAACAGCTCCTTAAAGCACTTTGACAAGGTCTAACATTAAAGGATTTGTCAACTTAAGGGCATCTTAAGAAGAAATCCTCCTGGGAATTCATGGTAGACTGAATGGAGGTGTCTTGTGGTAGACAGCATTGATTGAGTTGTTACACTTTAAACCAAATTTTCTTATAAACTCATATTCCCACGCCCAGATACTTTGGGGGTAGTGACTCCAGAGAGTCTATTTAACATTGAACTTGATTTCTCCTTCTCATCTCAGTTAAAGAATTGGGGATTCGTCTCTTTTATGCCCCTGGGGAAGCAGGATTCTGAATAAAACTGACTGTCTCTGTGATTGGTTTTCTTTTTTTGTTATTGACATAGAACAATCATAAAATCATGAAATGCAGCAAAATAATGTGTACATTATTATTTTACTTATATAAAACAGAGAAATGCAGGGGGAAAAAGTGAATCTTTGAGAGGTAGGCCACCCTTCCCTGGGGTTGCTATAATGAACCTCAACTTGTCTGTTCTTTAAGTTCAGCGCAGCCCGATAAAGGAGGGCAAACAAGGTTTACAAGAGGCAGCCCAACAAGAAGGGTAAAACCAGCATGATCTTCCCTGCACAGGATGACGGAAACCAATTTACCGTCTCAGCTGTGTGTCTAAGGTGCATTTTCACCTGCCGGTGTGCATGGGCAGCCCTGCAGCTCCACACCGCCTCTTGCTAGTTGCCTGCTGGAGTGGCTGCAGGCTCTGCACTGGGTTGTAGGAAACCCAAGCACCGGCAGCCTCATTCCTAAGCCCCTTGCATACCAACAAACAGGACACTGCACCTCAGCAGTACTGTTCTCACAGAGGACAGGGATTCTCAGGACAGTGATGAGGTAACCGGCCTCAGAGACAGGCGGCTTTACCAAGACTATACAGCAAGTCAGGGTTGGAGCTGACAGTGGCACTTGGGGTTTCTTAGACCCAGGTCCAATTCTTTTTGGAACGAAACAACTAACATATATAGCAGTTACCCCAGGCCAGGCGTGGTGTTAGGGGATTGATAGGTATTGTTTTATTAAAGTCCCACCACAATGCTAGGAGGTAATTACTATTACAATTACTTTTCCAGATTACTAATTGAGTCTTAGAGAGCTTAAGTAATTTGCCAAAAGTCACGGAGCTAACAAAAGGCAGAATCTGGATTTTAACCTTGGTCTGCGTGACTACTCTGTTTGTAGCCAATACTTCCTTCCTTTTTCAGAAAAATTTATTGTAAAAAAAAAAAAAAAAAAAACAACACATTAAGTTACCACAATTAAAATAAATAAGAAAGAAACTAAACAGCTCCTTAAAGCATTTTGACAAGGTCTAACATTAAAGGATTTGTCAATTTAAGGTCATCTTAGGAAGAAATCTTCCTGGGAATTCAGGGTAGACTGAATGGACGTGTCTTGCAGCAGATACCAGTGCATTGATTGAATTGTTACACATTAAATTAAATTTTCTTTCCTTTTTTTTTTTTTTTTTTTTGAGATGAAGTCTCAACTCTTATTGCCCGAGCTGGAGTGCAGTGGCATAAACTCAGTTCACTGCAAGCTCCACCTCCCGGGTCCAAGCGATTCTCCTGCTTCAGCCTCCCAAGTAGCTAGGACTGCAGGCACACACCACCATTCCCAGCTAATTTTTGTATTTTTAGTAGAGACGGGGGTTTCACTATGTTGGCCAGGCTGGTTTTGAACTCCTGACCTCGTGCTCCGCCCGCCTCGGCCTCCCAAAGTGCTGGGATTACAGGCATGAGCCACCGTGCCCAGCCTATTTATTTTTAACTGTGGCAAAATACCTACACTAAAACACTTACCACTTTAACCATTTTACATGCACAGTTCAATGATACTAACTACATTCACAACCACGCAACCATGAACTCATCGCCACCATCCATCTCCAGAATTCTTATAATAATCCATTAATTCATGTGCTAGGTTTGTATGGTTTTCTGGAGTCACTGCTCCCTGAGGTATTTAGACATGGCAATATGAATTTATAAGAAAATTTAGGCCAGGCGCGGTCGCTCACTCCTGTAATCCCAGCACTTTAAGAGGCTGAGGTGGGTGGATCACGAGGTCAGGAGTTCAAGACCAGCCTGGCCAACATAGTGAAACCCTGTCTCTACTAAAAATACAAAAAATTAGCTGGGCATGGTAGCTTATGCCTGTAATCCCAGCTACTCAGAGGCTGAGGCAGGAAAATTGCTTGAACCTAGGAGGTGGAGGTTGCAGTGAGCCGAGATCACGCCACGGCACTCCAGCCTGGGCAACAGAGCAAGACTCTGTCTCCAAAAATAAATAAATAAATAAGTAAATAAACAAGGCTGGGCACAGTGGCTCACGCCTGTAATCCCAGCACTTTGGGAGGCCGAGGCGGGCAGATCACCTGAGGTCAGGAGTTTGAGACCAGCCTGGGCAACATGGTGAAACCCCATCTCTATGAAAAATACAAAAAATTAGCTGGGCGTGGTGGCCCACGCTATAATCCCAGCTACTCAGGAGACTGAGGCAGGAGAATCACTTGAACTTGGGAGGTGGAGGCTGCAGTGAGCCGAGATCATGCCACTGCACTCCAGTCTGGGCGACAGAGCAAGCCTCCATCTCAAGAATAAATAAATAAATGAGAAAGAGAACTTTGCTGTGTGCTCCTCATATGTGTCCCATCCCACCCATGGCCCCCACAAGAAACCACTGTCCTGACTTTTAAGGAATCACTCTTGTGTCTTTTAATTTTTTTTTTTTTTTTTTTTGAGATGGAGTCTCACTCTGTTGCCTAGGTTGGAGTGCGGTAGCACAATCTCAGCTCACTGCAAGCTCCGCCTCCCGGGTTCAAGCTATTCTCCTGCCTCAGCCTCCTGAGTAGCTGGGACTACAGGCACCTGCCACCACGCCTGGCTAATTTTTTTTGTATTTTTAACAGAGACGGGGTTTCACCATATTGGCCAGGCTGGTCTCGAACTCCTGACCTTGTGATCCACCCGCCTTGGCCTCCCAAAGTGCTGGGATTACAGGCGTGAGCCACCGCGCCTGGCCTTAAAATTGTTTTCTTACTCAAATGTACATACCTAGATACTACATTCTTGATCATTTGAAAAATTTGCTGCCTTTTAATTCTTTTTAAATTTGTGAGTTCCTCATTCATCCTTTTATTTCCTTATACTTTTTCCTTGAAAGAATCTGGAAGTTTGACTGTTGCATCTCCCTTGGCCTGACATTGCTGACTGCACACTCGAGGTTCTGTTCAACACACTGCTCTGTCCTGTGATCGTCCTGTGAATTGCCAGCTGAATCCAGAGACTGGCTCAGGCTCAGGATTGATCCCTTTGGTCAGACTGCAGGTGGGGCTTGGCTTCTCTAGGTGGTATATAATGTCTGTTTGTCTCATTTTCTAATAATCTTAGCAGCTGTTATACTTAATACCTATATCTATTCCTCTGTTCTCTTAAAAATTCTAATTGTGTAAAATATATATAATACAGAATTTACCATTTTAACCATTTTAAAGTGTACAGATCAGCAATGTTAAGTACATTCATATTGTTGTGCAACCAATCTCCAGAACTCTCTTTATCTTGTAAAACTGAAACTCTATATTTACTGAACAACTCTCCATTTCTCCCTCCCTCAACCCCTGGCACTCACCATTCCACTTCCTTTTTCTTTTTTTTTGAGACCAAGTCTCGCTCTGTCACCCAAGCTGGAGTGCAATGGCGCCATCTCGGCTCACTGCAACCTCCGCCTGCCGGGTTCAAGTGATTCTCCTGCCTCAGCCTCCTGAGTAGCTGAGATTACAGGCACCTGCCATCATGCCGGGATAATTTTTGTATTTTTGTAGAGACAGGGTTTCACTATGTTGGCCAGGCTGGTCTTGAACTCCTGACCTCAGGTGATCCGCCTGCCTCAGCCCTCCAAAGGGCTGGGATTACAGGTGTGAGCCACTGCGCCTGGCCCCACTTTGTTTTTCTTTCTGTTTTTTTTTTTTTGGTTTTGTTTGTTTGTGTGTTTGTTTTTGGAGACGGACTCTCCCTCTGTTGCCCAGGCTGGGGTGCAGTGGCGCAATCTTGGCTCACTGTAACCTCCGCCTCCTGGGTTCAAGCAATTCTGCTGCCTCAGCCTCCTGAGTAGCTGGGACTACAGGCGTACCTCACCAAGCCTGGCTAATTTTTTTGTATTTTTAGTAGAGATGGAGTTTCACCGTGTTGCCCAGGCTGCTTTTGAACTCCTGAGCTCAGGCAATCTGCCCGCCTCGGCCTCCCAAAGTGCTGGGATTACAGGCATGAGCCACCACACCCGGCCTGTTTTTTGGTCTTTTTTTTTTGAGACAGAATCTAGCTTTGTCACCCAGGCTGGTGTGCAGTGGTACAACCTCGGCTCCCTGCAACCTCCACCTCCTGGCTTCAAGTGATTCTCCTGCCTCAGCCTCCCAAGTAGCTGGGATCACAGGCACATGCCAGCATGTCCAGCTAAGTTTTTGTATTTTTAGTACAGACGGGATTTCAGTATGTTACCCAGACTGGTCTTGAACTCTTGACCTCAAGAGATCCACCTGCCTCGGTCTCCCAAAGTGCTTGGATTACAGGCATGAGCCACTGCACCTGGTCTCCACTTTCTGTCTCCATGAGTTTGAGTACGCCAGGGACCTCATATAGGCAGATTCATATACTACGTGCCCTTTTGTGACTGGCTGATTTATCTTAGCATAACGTCCTCAGGTTTCATCCACGCTGTAGCATATCACAGGATTTCCTTTCTTTTGGATGCTGAATAATATTTTATTGTATGAATACGCCACATTTTGTGTATCCATTCATCCTCTGATGGACACTGGCTGCTTCCACTCTTCGGCTGCTGTGAATAATGCTGCTATGAACATGGGTGTATATAGACGTCTCTTCAAGACCCTGCTTTCAATTCTTTCGGGTATATACTGAGAAACGGAATTGTTGGGTGGCATGGTAATTCTATGTTTAATTTTTTGAGGAGCTGCCATACTGTTTTCCATAGTGGCTGCACCATTTTAGATTCTCATCCTTTATGCTCTTTTAATGTTCATTTCCACCACTCACCATTCAGGGAGTGTTCAGGGCCCTCGACTAACCATATTGGGATCCAAAAGGTAATGTTCCCTCTAATAGTCCCAAACTGGGAACTACATGCAAGTCCAGTAACAGGGGATCCATTAAATCATAGATCCCTAACATGGAATCCCACGTAGCCATTTAAAATATTGTTGGGAAGAGTATTTGATGACATGAAAAGATGTCTCTAATACTTGTTTAAGTTAAAAAAAAAAGGAGGCTACAAAACAGAATGTGTATGTGTAGGGTAAATCCATAGTTTTAGTAAAAAGACAACTGTGTATTAGTAGGAAGAGCTGTCTTAACTGACCTTCACTTAACTGATTCACTGAATTAGTCAAAGTCCCTCACCCCTGCCACTTGTAAAACACAGTGACCCGGCTGGGCGCGGTGGCTCACGCCTGTAATCCCAGCACTCTGAGAGGCCGAGGCGGGCGGATCACGAGGTCAGGAGATCAAGACCATCCTGGCTAACACAGTGAAACCCTGTCTCTACTAAAAAATACAAAAAATTAGCCAGGTGTAGTGGCAGGCGCCTGTGGTCCCAGCTACTTGGGAGGCTGAGGCAGGAGAATGGCGTCAGCCTGGGAGGCAGAGCTTGCAGTGAGCTGAGATCGTGCCACTGCACTCCAGCCTGGGCGATAGAGCGAGACTCTATCTCAAAAAAAATCAAAAACAAAACAAAAAAAACCCAAAAACACAGTGCCCCAATAGCTTTCGTTTTTACACCTTCTGCTCCCAACTATTCAGTTGTACAATGAGTAAGAGTCACCTTAGTCCCAAGTTAGTTGTTTCCAAACTTGTTTATTCTAGTTGTATTATATATGGTAAGAATGAATTACACATGACACAATAAGGTGAAATATGAGTGCAAAAAGTCTCCATGGGAGCAAAGTCAAATATTTGGAGAAGATGCCTTAAACAAGTGTTAAATTACAGGTGGATCAGACAAGGGTAAAAGCCTGGGACACCACCTCTTGGAGGGGAACTATCTTTCTGAGTTATCACCTAGAGTGCCAATTCTTTTCACCTTTATTGTCCTGAATTTTCACAGCTCTCCATGGTAAGCGATCAGCCATGTCATAGTCACCAACTATGTAGAGTCAAGAGACTATTTTTATTCTGTTGCAAACCTTCAGGTCAGCCTATTATAGGTATCTATAGAATTCATTCCTGCAGTGGCAAATATGTGGCATTTGTCCTACCATTCTCCCATCCTAAACCCATGGCTGATATCATGAACCCATCACCAGATTTTATCCTGCTAAATCCACACTGTAGTATCAGAACTCTCTGGTTAGCCACAACAAATCAACTGGGGATGACATGTCATGTGACATGAAACCTATGCTGCCTCCCCAACCTCCTCAGGTTACAGAAGGCTTTAAAAAAATCAGGTAGAAAATTAAACATATACAAAGTGTCTAAAGTCCTGGCCCCTGGGCCCCTGGACTGAATATACTGTTTTATACATGGTAAGCATTCAGTGTTCATTGAATGAATGAATGAATGAATGAATGACAATGCATGGTCTCCTGCTTTCCAAAGCTCACCATTCAGTCTTTCTCCCTCGCATCATCCTTCTTAGTTTCCCCTGACACCTGTGCTCTGAATTTCCTCCCAGTCTATAGGACAGCAGAAGGCCACAGTGCCCAGAAATCCCACCATTACCGACTGGTTTCTTTTGGATGTGATATCCCATTCAGAGTTATTTGCAGGTGACCTCAATACCAGAATCATAAACAACTAATAACTTCTGCCTCTCTTCAGGAAGGCTGTGACTTGCCAACAAAATGATTCCCAGAAGACTGCGTTACTAACTGTGAAGCACTCTGCCCCAGGAAGGGGGCTGTAAATCAGACTTCTTGTTTTATTTCACTGCTGTACAGCTTTTGGAAAGCACCGACCAGCCTCTCTTCTTCCAGAAAGGAAAAAAATGCTTCCATCTCCTTATTCTGCTTTCCCCTCCCCCTCCTGTTTGCAGCCTCTGGAGTTCAGGGAACATATCTGACCTGTCCCTGAACATTCTCCCTTCTGCCTCTTTGTTCGCGCTGTTCCATCTTCCCATACCACCCTTCCACAAACCCCACGCTGACCCCCTGAGACCCTTGCCCGGCCCCAGGCCCACCTCAGATGCCACCCGCCAAGGAGCCTTCCCTCATTCCAACCACCTGGGTAGAAAACCTGCCATCTCTTTACGTGATAGTCCTTTGGAAGCACCTTCGATTTTATTTAGCACATTCTACCTTATTTTGCTGGTCTAAAGCAGTAAGAGTCCAGGGCAGCCACCGTTTATCGAGAGCTTTGAGTGTGCCAGTCACCATGCAAAGGACTTACATGCCATTATGGTTTGAATGTTTGTGTCTCTCCAAAATTCATGTTGGAGCTTTGGGAGGTGATTAGGCTATGAGGGCTCCACCCTCGTGAATGGGATTAATGCCCTCATAAGGGAGGCTCCAGAGAGCTGCCTGGCTCTTCTGTCTTTTCTGTCATGTGAGAACACATTGTCCCTTCCACCTCTTCCATCACAGGAGGACACCTAGATGGCACCATTTATGAGGAAGGAACCCTCCCTACACACTTAACCTGCTGGCACCTTGATCTTGGACTTTCTAGGCTTCAGAGGAAATGAGTTTCTGTACTTTATAAATTATCCAGTCTCGGGTATTTTATTAAAGCTTACAAACAGACTTGTATTATCTCCTTTATCTTGCAAACCTCTATAGCCATGTCCATTTTATTGAGGCTCAGAGATGCTAAGGAGCCCAAGGTCACACAGCTAGTAAGGAACAGGTCCAGGCATTCATTCATTAATGAATTCATTAATTCGTTCAATCAACCAATCTTTACTTATTTATTAAAGGCCTATAATGTGCTAGTCAAAGTCTAGATGTTGGGAAAATAACAGTAATCAAGTCAAAGTGCTCGTCCACAAGGAGCTACCATTCTAGCGGAAGAAACATATCCTAAAGAAAAATACAAGTCAATAAATACTGTGTCAGGTGGTGATAAATGCTATGGGGAAGAAAGAGGGTTAGTGATGGCTGAAGTGGGTCTGCTGTTTATATAGGGTGGTCAAGGTGATCTGGCAACATTTGAGCGGAGATCTAAAGGAAATGAGTCATGCAGAGATCTGCAGGAAAAAACATCACAGGAGGTGGGAACAGCCTATGCAAAGGCCCTGGGGTGGGCACATCTATGGTATGTTGGAGAGGCAGCGAGGAGTTTAGTGTGGCTGGAGCTGAGTGAGTGAGGGGAGATAAACTTAGGTGACAGGGGTTAGATCACGGAGGGCCTCGTGGTCATGGCAGGAACTTCGGTTTTGACTTTGATGAAACAGGGAGCCACTAAAGGACAACTCCCAGAACCCATGTCCTTAATTGCTATGCTATACTACTGATGGATTACGTGAATGAATGCCGAAAGGTACTTGTGGACTTTTTCTCATTAAAACCAGCAGGATGGTGGCCCAGAGAGTCTAGAAACAACGCATGGAAGGGCAAGATGTGAGTTAACAAGGAGGGCTAATTAGGAAGGGGGAAAAGTGCCCATTGCCTTGGTTGCCGGGAGTCTCTGAGGCTCCCACAGCACAGGACTGTGTAGGGCCCCGTGATAGCCCCAGTGGGTCCTCTACCTGGATTTGCAGAGTAGATTTTCCAGGCCTGCCCCAGATGGGTCTCAGCCCTTCCATGAAATATGTCCTTTGCTAACAAGAGGCAGTGAGAAAAAGCCAACGTCTGCAATGACTCACCAGAGAGAAATGAAAATTGTGCCCAGACTGGAAAAGAACCCATCTGAAAGTGACACATTTGCCTCCAAAATATATATACATATATATAAAGCTTTTTCTTTTCTTTTTCCTTCTCATTTGAAGGAAGGCAGAGCCTTCTCACATACACTGCCTCACAGCAGGAAAATCTACTCTGCAAACTTCTGAAATTCCTGTCCTTATTCCTGTCGCAATTCTATGAGGCAAAAGGATATCATATCTGGGGAGGTGGCCATTTCACGGCAGGACAGCAAGCGTGTGCCCTGGCATTCCCAGGACAATCCCAATAGCAAATATTCTTCTGATTGGCTGCCCCCCTCCCCCAGCCCCACTGCCAACTAACCAGCTATTCTGACTTGGGAGTGCGTACGTTAAAATGCAGATTCTGGGAACTCTGATTCAGGAGGTCTGGGAGGAAGCCCGGACACTGCACTTCAAATAGAGAACCTCCAATGATTCTGATACAGCCTGTCTAAGAAACGCTTCTCCAAACCACAGGAATAGTCCCAGTAGCCCTAGCCTTCTGCATCTATGCTTAAAGGATGAAGTGACTCCAATCCTTTCTCAGACCACAGGGAGGCACATTTTAGCTCCTGGCAGAGGTCAGAATGCTCCTGGCCAAATCAGAGTGGTGGAGAATCTTGAAATCCCAGTCCTTGCCCCTGTCCATTCCAACTCTCTTCATTTATCTTCCTGACTTGAGCTTCTGGACTCTGCCGAGCATTTGCTCTCTGGGTCATAGCCAGGAAGGCCCCGGTGCTGAGGCATGGAGCTGCCCTGGGTCTTGGATACAAGCCACAGCTGGAGAGGGGGTCAGACCTTGCCTAAGCCTCTGATCATGAAGTATAACAGAAATGCCTAATTGTGATTATGAAACACTGTTTCACGTCTTAATTTGTTGAAGTTACATGTTGACAGTAGGTACTGCCTTAGCAGGTGGAAACAAAAGGGTCCTACATCTATTATTACTGTAATTTACTGGAATAAGGAGCCACCAGATGCAGCCCTGGCTCACACCCCTTCCTCATGAATTACAAAGCTGGTCTGAGGGCCCTGTCAGTTGCTGGCTTTGGGCACCAACATTGCTAATTAAAATCTTCCTGTGGTGCACTCCACTTTGTTGAGATCTCTGCTCAGATGCCATCTTCCTTACCCACTGGTCTAAATGACTCTCTTCCCCAGTGCCCTTCTCTTGTTATTTCTAACCTCTTAGCCTACTTTATTTTCCTTCAGAGCATCCACCACTACTTGAATTACAAATTGATTTATTTGCTTGCTACTTTATCATCTGCCTTAATCCATCTAGAAGGTAAGTTCTTTAAGAGCTATGACGTTGTCATGTTCAACACTGTATTTTGATGCCTTGCACATAACAGGCACTCAACTGATAGTTGCTGAATGAATCAATCAATGATAAATGAATGAATGTTACAATGTTCTGAGGGCCCTGGAGTCATGTCTAACTGCATGATGCTCTACTTATTGGATCCAGTGGTCTTTGCGGACTAAGCAGATACACAAAAAATAACAACAGCTGCTTTTTTTTTTTTTTTCTTTTGAGACAGGATCTTGCTCTGTTGCATAGGCTGGAGTGCAGTGGCACAATCTTGGTTCACTGCAACCTCTGCCTCCCGAGCTCAAGCAATCCTCCCACCTTGGCCTCCCCGGTAGCTGGGACTGTGAATGCGCACCACCACACCTGACTAATTTTTGTATTTTTTGGTAGAGATGGGGTTTCACCGCATTGCCCAGGCTGGCCTCAAACACCTGGGCTCAAATGATCCGCCTGCCTTGGGCTCCCAGAGTGCTGGGATTACGGGTGTGAGCCTCCGCACCCAGCCAATAGCTGTTTTATTTAGTGCTTACTATGTACTGGGTGTACACACCATCTCATTTTATCCTCAGAGTAGTTTTGCAAGGTCGGGATTATTAACCCCATTTATTTATTTATTTTTTTGAGACAGGGTCTCGTTTTGTCACCCAGGCTGGATACACTGGCACGTTCAATAGTTCACGGCAGCCTCGACCTCCCGGGCTCAAGCAACTCTCCCATCTCAGCATCCCGAGTAGCTGAGACCACAGGTACTCACCACCATGCCCAGCTAATTTTTGTATCTTTTTTGGTAGAGACAGGGTTTCACCATGTTGCCCAGGTTGCTCTGAACTCCTGGGCTCAAGTGATCTGCCTGCCTCAGCCTGCCAAAGTGCTGGGATTACAGGCATGAGCCACTGCATGTGGCCCTATTAACTCCACATAAGAGATATAAAAACCAATGACAAAGTCACCCAGCCAGTAAGGGAAGAGGCGGAATTCAAACTTAAGTCATTTAATGCCAAGGTCTTCACTGTGTCTCACGACAACTGCATTTGATGCGATCTAACTTGTGTTGACACTGGGATAGGATCCAGAGACAAGCAAGACAAGGTCCCTAATGCCAGAAGTTCAGGGTCTATCTCGGCAGCACAGCAGAATAAGGATGAGCAAGCAATTAGAATTCACCTCCACATCCGAGCCTCATCCTGTACTAGCTGAGCCTCAGCTCCCTCCTCTGTAAAATAGAGTACTAATTCACCAAAATAATGGAGCCATAAGTCATCAGTCCTCTGCTATGTGAGGACACAGCAAGAAGGCAGCCACCTGCAAGCGAGAAGAGGCCCTACACCAGAGCCTGGCCATGGTGGCACCCTGATCTCAGACTTCCAGCCACCAGACCTGTGAGAAATCAATGTTTGCTGTTAAGGCTGCCTAGTCCATGACATTTTGTTATATATAGCAGCCTGAACTAAAACAGTAGTGATTCTGGAAGTCAGGTCTACTAGCCAAACACTGTGAACCACCGATACATTTAATTCCATTACACAGATCCAAAGTAGTTTTATTATCAAACTAAAGGTACAAAGAAAAGAGTCAAGAATCTCTAGGCAATTAAAAATTAGCATCACAATCTAGGTGCGGTGGCTCATGCCCATAATCCCAGTATTTAGGATTCCCAGTACTGGGGAGGCTGAGGCGGGAGGATCACTTGAGGCCAGGAGTTCAAGATCAGCCTGGGCAATAGAGCAAGAACCTACCTCTACAAAAAATATAAAAACTAGTCAGGCATCGTGGCATAAGCCTGTAGTCCCCACTACTTGGGAGGCTAAGGTGGGAGGATTGCTTGAGCCCAGTTATTTGAGACTGCAGTGAGCTATAATCATACTACTGCACTCCAGCCTGGACAGCAGAGCAAGACTCTTAAAAAAATTACCATCACAAATCAATTATGTTCAAATCTCTCTGTTAATAAGTATTTCTTGATTGGGCTGTTTAGATTTTAGCATCTACGTGGGCAATACAAGGCAGTTGAGGGTGAAGGAAACTGGCATCTCATGGCTGGGGTGATGCAAATTATTACTCTCTGTGGGCAGTTTTGTAGCTTTTACTCAAAATCTTTAAAATGTACATATTCTTTGGCTCTGCAGTTCTACTTCTGAGAATCTTTCATCCCACAGGGTACAAAAAGATGTTCACCATAGTGTTATTTTTATTACTGGAAAGTGGGACACAATATAAACAGCAGTCATTACGGGACTGGTCCCATGTTAGCACACAAGAACACCGGGATGGTATACAGCGATTAATAATCATGTGGCTTTCTCTGCTGACATGGGAAAGTGTCCATAATAGTTTGTCAAATTAAGAAGATGACAAAACGGTACATAATCATATTTCTGTAACATCGTATGTATGGGTGTGTATGCTTGCAGAAAAGTCTACAAAAATATTCCCTGGATTGTTCACAGTGGCTTTATCTTGGTAGAAGGATTTCAAGTGATATTTTTTCAAACTTTTGATTTAACAGATAGTATTGTGTTAGGAAGCTAAGCAAAAAAACCCTCAAAAAACAAAAAACTAGAGTGGCCAGGAGTGGTGGCTCATGCCTGTAATTCCAGCACTTTGGGAGGCCAAGGCGGGTAGATCGCTTGAGCTCAGAAGTTGGAGACCAGCCTGGCCAACATGGCGAAACTGTCTCTACAAAAAAATACAAAAATTAGCTGGGCGCAGTGGTACATGTCTGGAATTTCAGCTACTTGGGAGGCTGAGTCATGAGAATCACTTGAACCTGGGAGGCAGAGGTCACAGTGAGCCAAGATTGCACCACTGCACTCCAGCCTGGGTGACAGAGTGAGAGCCTGTCTCAAAAAAAAAAAAAAAAAGAAAAAACTGGAGTCAATCTAAAATTGCTTTAAAGAAAAGTGTTGAGGAAATAATAGAACAGGCAGGAAAGAGATGTGAGAAAATGGCAAAGGGGAGTGTGAAAGTTTGGCAAACACAGTTTTAAATTCTTCATCCTGCTCTTGCGTGGAAAGACTGTCTGCTCTTGCTTCTAAGTGATAAACATCTTAGTGGGAAAACCTCTTCCTTTTATTTACCCATTGACCCAGTTTTGGTGGTCAATGACGCCCGCCCTTCCTGACAGATGTTGGGGCATGGGCCAGACAGGCCCGCTGGGTACACAAGGATGCCCGCTCTTCTCCCTTGATCCTGCAGTGGCTCCCTAGGGCCTCCAAGTAGGGGGAGTAGTTCTGTTGATGGAGGGGTCACTATGTACAAAGACTGAGCTGAAATTTCTTGCACACCTTCTCAGAATCACCCTAGGAGGGAAGCTTTTTGAATGACCCCATTTTATTGAAAAAGAAACTAAGGCTCACAGAGGTCAAGGGTCTTGTCCAAGATCACACAGCAAGTAAGCGAAGGACCTCACGCTCCAGTTCAGGTCGGCCTCTTTCTTTTGTTTTTTTGAGACAGAGTCTCGCTCTGTCGCCCAGGCTGGAGTGCAGTGGCATGATCTCGGCTCACTGCAAGCTCCGCCTCCCAGGTTCACGCCATTCTCCTGCCTCAGCCTCCTGAGCAGCTAGGACTACAGGCGCCGCCACCACACCCGGCTAATTTTTTGTATTTTTTTTTTAAGTAGAGACGGGGTTTCACCGTGTTAGCCAGGATCGTCTGGATCTCCTGACCTCGTGATCCACCCGCCTTGGCCTCCCAAAGTGCTAGGATTACAGGCGTGGGACACCGTGCCCAGCCCAGGTCAGCCTGTTTCTAGGACCCATCACTCTGAACCTCTAGTAAGTTCTGCCTGAGCCTGGCCTTCAGGGCTGAGCATGACCTGGCTTCTGTCTACCTTTCCCGCCTTCCCCTCCCACTGCTGCCCCCTGCCCACCATCAACCCTCAGACCCCAAACTTCAATATACCCCAGTATCTCACACCTCCATGCCACTGCACCTGCTGTGCCCTCCCTGAAGCCCATTCCACTGCAAACCTCCAGAGACTTCCATCCGTCCTTCAACTCTCAGACCGAGTGTGCCCTTCTCTGTAATCCCTCCTTCCTTGACTCCACCCCGATAAGACAAAAGCCCTCCTCAGACCTCCCCACACTCCTCCTCCAGCTTCCCCCTCCTCAGCTCTCCCACCCTATTCCGTCATTGACTTTCCCTTGTCTGTCCCTTTCCACAGGTCCTTGTGCCCTTCGAGGGTGCAGACGGTGGTCTCTGCATCTCCTTTGCTCCACGTGCCAGGCACAGGTGCCTGGGAACTACAGAAGAGGTTGAATAGAAGGCTTAACAATGAGTTTGGAAGTCAGGCACAGAGGGTTTGACTTCCGGGGGCACCCCTTGCCAGCTGTATGACCCTGGCAAGTCACTCTTCCTTTCTGCGCCTTGGTCCCTGCATCTATAAATTGCTGTAAGGATGAAATTACATAATTATAGGTAAAGCACCTGGCACAGTGAACAGTCCACAAATCTTAGCTATAATAACAATGACGTCAGTTAAGTAACTCACTTAGAAACAACACTGGCCACTGAAGTGGAGGGCCAGTGAAGTGGAGTCAAGTGCTGGGAGGAAGTCCAGGCCAGCAGGCCAACTTTGGTATACAAAGATGTGAAAACACGCTTGGCGTGGTGGCTCACGCCTGTAATCCCAGCACTTCGGAAGGCCGAAGCAGGCAGATCACCTGAGGTCAGGAGTTCCAGACCAGCCTGGCCAAGATGGCGAAACTCTGTCTCTACTAAAAATATAAAAATTAGCCAGGCGTGTTGGCGTGTGCCTGTAGTCCCGGCTACTCCTCGGGAGGCTGAGGCAGGAGAATCACTTGAACCTGGGAGGCAGAAGTTGCAGTGGGCCGAGATTGCACCATTGCACTCCAGCCTGGGTGACAGAGCAAGACCCTGTCTCAAAACAAAAAAACAAAGATGTGAAAACAGCCAACCACCAGGTGGCAATCCATGCAAGAGCCCAGCTGCCGGGTGTGCCCCAGCTTCAAGCCAGACAGACCTCAGACATCCAGGGCCTGGGGAAGGTCCAGCCCCAAATGGCAGCCATCTGATAGCAGCAAAAGAAAACCTGTGGGCCAGGCGCGGTGGCTCACGCCTGTAATCTCAGCACTTTGGGAGGCCGCGGCGGGCGGATCACGAGGTCAGGAGTTCAAGACCAGCTTGGCCAATATGGTGAAACCCCATCTCTACTAAAAATACAAAAATTAACTGGGTGTGGTGGCGCATGCCTGTAGTCCCAGCTACTCAAGAGGCTGAGGCAGAAGAATCACTTGAATCTGGGAGGCGGAGGTTACAGTGAGCCGAGATAGTGCCGCTGCACTCCAGCCTGGGCAACAGAACGAGACTGTCTCAAAAAAAAAAAAAAAGAAAACCTGTGAACCTGGGGGCTGGGGAACAGAGCTCTTGCCCATGCGAAACATGGGGTGCTGGGAGAGCTCATGAAAATGTACATCATTCATGTGCCATGCGCTTGCTGAGTACTTCCCATGCATAATTCAATTTCAGCCTCATGGCAGCCTTTCTCAGTTGATGTTGTTATCCCAGTTCAGAGAGGAGTAAACTGAGGCCCAGAGAAGTTAAAAAACTTGCCCAAGGACATACAGCTAGTGAGTGGTGGAGCTGGGATTTGAACCCAGGCAGTCTGTTTCCAGAGAACTGCTTCAGGCCCTCCTGCCCCTATCAAGAGGCCAGGGCAGGGCAGAGCCTACAGGTGGGACTCCAGGGGTCCAGAGCTGGATGATCTACACACAGGGGATCACATGATGCAAGCAGTTTCCGTACAATGCGTTCTATTTAGGGTGGGTTGTCCTTCTCCAGAAGGAAGAATTTCTCCCTGGAGACTGGCCAGATGCAGCCTGGTGGGTGGCAGTGCATACATTCCCATCTCCTCAGACCTACCTACCAAGAACAGCCGCGCTGATGAGAGTCCTGTGTCACTGGCGAAATTGCTTCCAAATTGCCTTCTTCATTAACTGTGCAAATTTGCATCTTAATTAGGCTTAATGGAATACAATTACCAGACCCCACGTTTCTCTCTCTGATTTCAAGCAAGGATGCCACAGAGACAGGCCAGAAGCCAAAAACGTGGGGCTGGAGGGAGCCTGGTTGGGCTCTCCCTGCAGGAAACCTCGCATCTGGGAAAGGAGGGGCCAGGCGCTACCCAGCGGGGACTGCACCTGGTACATCCAGGCTCCTGAACTGAGGAGACCATGGGATTTGGAATCAAGCTTTGGGAAGCCTGCCTCTGCCTCTGACCAGTGGAGGACTGACCCTTTCTGAGCCTCTGTTTTCTCATTTGTAAATTGGAGATGGTGATAACATTTACTATGGGGTAGCTGCAGGGATCAAAGGTGATCGCGTGTGTGTTAGCACCTGGTAAAGCACCTAACACGTAGTTTGTTCTCTTTCTCCATGCCCTCCCTTTTTGAGGCCTACAAGGTTGTGCAGAGCTGATCCCGGCCTTCCCCTTCGGTGATTCAGTGAGCGTCAGCTTATTTCATCCTCCCTTCCATGCTCTGGCCATACACACTTCTGAGTCCTGGGAAGGCTCTAAGCTCCTTCCTGTCTTGTGAGCTTTTCAAGTGCTATTCCCTCTGCTTGGAACACCTGACCCCTGGTTAGTACCTACTCATCCTTCCAATCTCAGCTCAAACAGCACTGTCTCCAGGAAGCCTTCCCTAGCCCCAGAATAAACTCTCCTAACATCATTTATCTATGGGATTATTTAATATGTGTCCCTCTCTCTCCCACAGACAGTAAGCTCCATGAGTGCAGAGAACACTTCTATTGTGTTCTCTGTTGCATCTCCAGCTCCTGGTTCAGGGCTTATCACATAGTAGGTCCCATTCATGTCTGTTTAATGGATGGATATGAACATCCCACTGAGCCTCAGCGAATGTCAAGTGGGAGCCATAATCTCATCCTTATGGTGCTGTGAAATCATTAAATGATTTTTGGCACACAGTAGGTGTTTGACGAATGAGATACCTATTCTCCCATTCCTTTCAATTAAGGAAAAGTTAGAAGCAGGCATATAGGTAGCTTAAAGGACAGCATGTTCATGGATAGGAACCCCCAATATTGTCTAGATGTCAGTTTTTACCAACTTGATTTATAGATTTAATGCAACCCCAATCAAAATTCCAGCAAGTTATTTTGTGGATATAAGCAAACTGATTATGAAGTTTATATGGAGAGCAAAAGACCCAGAATAACCAACACAATATTGAGGGAGAAGAGCAAAGTTGGCAGACTGACACTACCCAACTTTAAGACTTACTATAAAGCTACAGTAATTAATATGGTATTGGTGAAACAATAAACAGAGTAATGGAACAGAATCCAGAATCCAGAGATAAATCGACATAAATACAGTCAAGTTGTTTTTGACAAAAGGGCAAAGTCAATACAATGGAGAAAAATTCTTTTCAGCAAATGGTGCTGGAACAACTGGACATCCACATGCAAAAAAGTACATCTAGATACAGACCTTACACCCTTCAGACAAAGTAACTCAAAATGGACCATAAGCCTAAGCATAAAACCAAAATTATAAAACTCCTAGAAGATAACACAGGAGAAAACCTGGATGACCTTGGGTTGGCAATGACTTTTTAGATACAATACCAAAGGCATGCTCCTTGAAAGAAATAATTAATTGAGAAGCCAGAAGGCAAAATGGTACAGCCATTTTGGAAGACAGTTTGGCCGTTTCTCACAAAACTAAATATACTCTTACCATACCATGCAGCAATTATACTCCTTGGTGTTTACCCAAGACTTGAAAACTTGTGTCTACACAAAAATCTGCACGAGTGTTTAAAGCAGCTTTATTTTTATTTATAATTGCCAAAGCTTGGAGGCAAGTAAGATGTCCTTTGGTAAGTGAATGGGTAAACTATGGTTCATCCAGATAATGAGATACTATTCAATGTTAAAAATAAATAAGCTATCAAGCCATGGGGAGAGATGGAGGAAACTGACATGCATACTATTAAGTGAAAGAAGCCCATCTGAAAACGCTACGTACTATATGGTTCCAACTGTATGACGTCCTGGAAAAGGCAAAACTTTGGAAACAGTAAAAAGATCAATGGTTAGCAGGATTTGGGCAGGGGAAGGGATGAATAGGCAGATCACAGATGATTTTTAGGAGAGTAAAAAATGCACGGTATTAGAATGATGGATACATATTATCCATTTGTCCAAACCCACAGAAAGTGCAACATCAAGAGGGAGCCCTCATGGAAACTGTGGCTCTGGGTGACAATGATGTGTCATGTAGGCTCATCCGTGGTAACAAATGCACCACTCTGTGGGGATGTTGACAGTGCAGGGGACTGTGCATATGTGAGGACAGAGGGTACATGTAAATCTCTATATCTTCAGCAGAATTTTGCTGTGACCCTAAGACTGCTTGAAGAAAAATAAAGTCTTCGTTAAAACAAAACAAAACATCTTGGCTAGGGGATGGAGGAGGGTGGGGGCCAGGAGGTCAATACCACATAGGGTCAGGATGCTAAAAGCTGGAAGAAGTCTTAGAAATCATCTAGTTAAAGTGGCTCCCAAACAAAGGTTCCCTTTATTTTTAATTAATTATTTATTTATTTATTTATTTATTTATTTATTGAGATGGAGTCTTGCTCTGTCACCCAGGCTGGAGTGCAGTGGTGTGATCTTGGCTCACTGCAACCTCTGCCTCTTGGGTTCAAGTGATTCTCCTGCCTCAGCCTCCCGAGTAGCTGGGATTACAAGGCGCTCACCACCACACCGGGCCAATTTTTGTATTTTTAGTAGAGACAGGGTTTCGCCATGTTGGCCAGGCTGGTCATGAACTCCTGACCTCACATGATCTGCCCCCCTTGGCCTCCCAAAGTGTTGGGATTACAGGCGTGAGCTACAGCGGCCAGCCTCAAAGTTTCCTTTTAATCTTTCCTTTTATTAGAAATTAGAAATAATTTTATCTACCGCAAAACTCAACCGTATGTATTAAGGAAGAATCCATTTTCCCCACCTCTGAATTACCCCAAGACCTCCAGCTCTTCAGTCCTGGTGCCTGCCCCGGTGAGGGGGGAGTATGTGGAGACAGCCAGCCCAGGCAATTTGGCAAAACAAGAGACTGCCCAACACTGCCACAGGCCTGGGCGGCAGACAAATGATTTCCTTTAACTTCTCGGAAAAGTTAACAATAGCCTGGACTTCACAGAGAGGGGCAAGGTCCCCGCTTTTATTTTTCCCAGCTGGACATGCTTCCTGTGAGCAACTCAGCAGGCACTTGGCAAGGCCCAGACAGGCTAGCTTTCTTCCTGGGCATGTCCCCCTTGAGGGTGTGGCAACAGCCCTGGTGACACCTGGAATTTTCAGACAGCCCTTCTCCGACTAGTCTAAGGATATGCTGTTTTTTCAGCCTGTTTCTTGGAACCCCATGTTTAACCTCAGGTCCTTATGAACCTCTGCAGAGGTTTCCCTCACTCTGATCCCCACTGTTAGGCACACACCCCAAAGCATCCAGGACACAGTGACTTCCTCTTAGCTCCTCTCCCTCATGTCTTTCTCTGCCCCTCCCACTGCCCTCTACCGTCCCCCAAGTCTAGTCTCTCTGCTTTGCTCTGGTTGCACCATTACTCACCATCCCATAATACCCCGTGCCCTTTCAGACTTTGGAGCTTGTGCACATGCTGTCCCCTTTGCCTATGAAAGGGCTTCCTCCATCTGAGCACCTGGCAAACTTCCATACAAGCAGGGCAAGTCAAATCCTTCTCCTGCACATCAGAGGCTTGCCTCTGTCAGCCCCTCTCTGGCCGTAGGGCAATTGGTTTATGTGCACTCTGCTTCCCCTTCTAGACTGAGGGGATCCTCTGAGAAAGATGGCATGTTTCCTCTGTTTGAGCTCCAGTTTGGACAGGGCCAGTAAGCAGCAGCGGGCCTCTGGATACCTTTCTCTAGCGAATCCACTGATAGATCCCCGAAAACTGCACACAGCATTTTGAGGGCAGGGGCATCTTTCTGAGGAGAGGCCCTCAAAGGGATCTATTCCCCCTTAAAAAACAAAGAATTCTACTCTAGACCCTCAGCATCTTAATGGAAGGGGATATGTCTAATCTTTTCCTCTATTTCACAGCTCTGCACATAGTAGGCCATTACTATAAAATGATATTAAGTCATGGAGTTTTTTTGAGCTGGTGATCTAGTCCAGCCTTCCCATTTCCCAGATGAAGGAGCTGAGCCCCAGAGCAGGGAAATGCCTTACTCATTTGTAAGCCAAATGGAATGATCAGGGGAAATGACTTTCTGCGTAAGGGTTAGGTAATGGTCATATATTAATATTAATTTCCTCACCCTTCCATGTATTCCCTAATCAGTTTTCAAGTTTCTACTCTGTGCGAGGTATAAGTGTGGGGATGCAGAAATGAACAGCACATAGTTCCTGCTCTTGGAGAGCTCACAAGCTGCAGGAAGAGATGAATGCCTGGATCATGGAGAAGCTAGACAGAGGAGGGAGGAATGATTTCCTGGCCTGGCCTCTAGGAAGCTTTGTGGAGAAGTGGCATCCAAGCTGTGCACAAAGGATGTCCCAGGCTCTTCAACGGCAGAGCTGAGCCCATGTCCCTGCTGTATTCTCCAAACAGTCACAGACCATATGGTCTCTCTATGGCATAGAGTAGTCATTAGGATGATCTAGGCTGTGAGTAACAGAAAACCCCAACTCACTTGGCTTATGTAATAAGGAAATGTATACTCCCTCTAATGAGAAGTCCCAAGTTAGGGCAGCTCCAGGGCTGGTTAGTTTCACACCTTAAAGACATCATCAGGGACTCCTATCCTTTCCATCTTTGGTTCTGCCATTCTCTGCATCTGTCAGTCGTGTCCTCAAACCAGATTGCCTCCTGGTTGCAAGATGGCTGCCACAGCCCCGGAGGTCACACCCAGACACAACAATATCCAAGGATCTTTCTCTCTGCATCTCTTTCTTAAGATCAAGGAGAATTTTTCTAGAGGCACCTGGACCCCAGCCTCACCAACCTCCCACATGTGTCATGTCCACTACTGAACAAATCACCAGCAACAGGATTAGGTTTCCCATGATGGGCTGAGCTGAGAATGGGGTCACCTTCTCTGAAGGGTAGTTACCTGAACAAGATGAAGCTTCTATTAACCAGGAGGCAGGGGAATGGCTGCCAACTGTGACTATCATATGAACCAACCCAAATGACCATTTCTCAGGTTCCTCATCTGGGGAGCACCTGAAATGGAGCCAGCAACGTGGTCAACTGTACATCTCTTCAGCCAAGCATGCTCTTAGATCCATCAACAGCAGGCGACAAATATGCCTGGGTCCCTAATGTGTGCTGGGCTCTGGGCCAGGTGCTGGGAGGACTAGGAGGGGCCAGAGAGGCACAGTCCTCTGCCTAGGAGGGGAACAGATAGGCAGGCAGGCAATTACAACATGCAGGACAGGTGTTGCAGCAGGGAAGTGGGGACTGTGAGAGCACTGGGGAGGCAGCTCACTGCCCAGGACAGGAAGGATGTGTGCAGGAAAGGCTTCCTGGAGGAGGCATTGTCAAAATCAGGGCCTGAGGGGAGAATGGGCATTAGCCAGGCAAGGAGATAGTGGGACACTGCAGGCAGAGGGAACAGCATGCGAAAAGGCCCTGAGGTGAGGGCAAATAAGGCAGCTCCCGGGACTGGCAGTGTGCTTCATAAGTAAGCACTAGACTCTAAGGAGAGTTGCTCAAATCCTGGGGTCACCACTAATGGAAAATACAACCACAGGCAAGCTGCTTAACCTCTCTATCCCTGAACTATTTCACCTATAATATAGAGATTACAAGCTTGTAATCCCAGCACTTTGGGAGGCTGAGTCCAGGAGTTCAAGACCAGCCTCCAGGAGTTCAAGACCAGCCTGGCCAACACGGTGAAACCCTCTGCTAAAAATATAAAAATTAGCCACATGTGGTGGAATGCACCTGTAATTCTAGCAACTTGGGAGGATGAGGTATGAGAGTTGCTTGAACCTGGGGGGCAGAGGCTGCAATGAACTGAGATAGTGTCACTGCACTCCAGCCTGACTGATGGAGTGAGACTCTGTCTCAAAAAAAAAAAAATGTGTGTGTGTGTGTGTGTGTGTGTATAAAGAGAGAGAGAGTTTACAATACACAGGGTGGTGTGGGGTTCAAAAAAGTTCACATCTATGAAGTTTTCACCACAGTGTACATTCTTAACTATTGTAATTATCTTCTTATGGTTATTATGAAGATTATCAGCTCAAACAGTCCGCCCATTTTTTTTTTTTTTTTCAGATAGGGTCTCACTCTGTCACTCAGGCTGGAGTGCAGTGATGCAATCATAGCTCACTGTAACCTCGAACTCCTGGGCTCAAGCGATCCTCCTGCCTTGGTCTCCCAAAGCACTGGGATTATGGGAGTGAACTACCGTGCCCAGTCTCTGTCAGGCATTTTGACAGGAAGTCCTCACTCTCCTTTTTCCATCTCAGAGAATGGCACTACCATTTACCTGCACCTCTAATCCAGAAACCAGGCAAAAACAGACATTCAATGAACAGCAGCGATTATTATAATAATAAGAGCTGGGTCTCTCAGTCATTCATTTGCTACTGTCATCTTGTCCCTTCGTTAAATAAAATCCTGGCAGCAGGAAAAATGGAAATGATACAGATCAGAGGGAGAGAATGTTAAGAGCGTCGGGAATTGGAATGTGGGGGGATGGGGGATGGAAGCTGGTTTGGATGTGACTTTGTGGGGAAGGGCAGACACTCAGGGGAATGAGCAGGCACCGTGGGCCTGAACTCCTCGGCGGGCAAGGTAGGGGATGTCCCAGGACAGGACACATGAGGATGCAAACAGCAAACTGCAGCTGTTAGAACCTCACAGCCTTGCAGATGCGGAGCCTGAAGCTTCCACTACCCCCATGCTAAAGCTAGTGAAAGGAGGTAGATGACTGAGGGTACTGGCGAGTAATGAGGGCCCAGGGAGAACCAGGCAACTGAGGCTTCAGCTAAACAGTAGAATAAATGATGCCGAACAACAAGCAGAGTCGAGCGCAGCCTCCGCATTTCCCAGGCAGGGAATGAGATTGGAGTTGAGAGACACACCTCCAATTACCAGCTAATAAAAGGCAGAGCAGGAATTCCCAATCACAGACCTGCCAAATGTGGTCTTTCCTCAGTTCCCAAGAGTTAATGCTGGAGGGTTACAAACAGTGTAGACAGCAGAGGAGCCTGCAATGAGCTGTTTTTTTCCTTCAATTAGTTTTATGGATGTATGTCCTGACCCCAGAATGTAATCATTTACTGTAATACTTTTAAAAGATGGTCTTTAAAAGGCATGTTTACAGCGATGACCAGTGATTACAATTGTGAAGTCATACTTTCCAGAAATGATTACTAAATTGGATTGCATTACTTTATCTACTTTTTATTGAATTCATTGAGTGGCCACTATAAACATCCAAATTGGCACTGAGGTCATTTTCAGATTAATGTGCCTTTCCCAGACAGTACCTTTTGTTCAAAACAAAGTAATTTATAGAGCATCCTACAATATAAAAGGCTCCGTATGGCCCCTTTTCTGGGGGATAATTTTAGGGGAAGAAATATCTTTGCCTATAGATGCCAGGCCCTGTACCAGGCACTGAAGTTATAAAGTTGGGCAAAACATCCAGGGTGCCAGCCCTCAGGAAGCTCACAGCCCAGGAGAGAAGTCAAACACAAAGAAGCAATTATAAATCGAAAGAAATCAAGGGAAGTTATAGGAACATAAAAAAGGGTCTCCTAACCCAATGCTGCTCAGATTTAACATGCTCATGAATCACCGGGGGATCTTGTTATATTTCAGATTCCAGTTGAATATGGCTGGGCCAGCCTGAGATTCTGCTTTTTTTTTTTTTTTTGAGATGGAGTCTCGCTCTGTAGCCCAGGCTAGAGTGCAGTGGCGCGATCTCAGCTCACTACAAGCTCCGCCTCCTGAGTTCACGCCACTCTCCTGCCTCAGCCTCCTGAGTAGCTGGGACTACAGGCGCCCACCACCATGCCCAGCTAATTTTTTTTTTTTTTTTTTTTTTGTATTTTTAGTAGAGACGGGGTTTCACCATGTTAGCCAGGATGGTCTCGATCTCCCGACCTCGTGATCTGACCACCTCGGCCTCCCAAAGTGCTGGGATTACAGGCGTGAGCTACCGTGCCCGGACGAGATTCTGCATTTTTAACAAGCTGCCAGGTGATCCTGATGCTGCTAGTCCATGGATCACACTTTAGCTGAACAGCTACATATGACTGGGGATATAATACCCTGTGACAGCATCATACACAGTTTCCAAAAGGGCAGCTTCTCAAATATTTTATATGGGCTGAAGGGCTCTGAGAGATGACTCAACAAAGGGCGCAAGCATTAAGTTTCACCATCAGTATAGGGCAACTCCCATGTGCTAGGTGAGTAAACAGGCATGTCCCTATCATAATGGAGTGAGCAGTTGAAGAGGAGTAGATGAGTAAAAATCAAGGAGAATTGCTTGAACCTGGGAGGCAGAGGTTGCAGTGAGCCAAGATCACGCCACTGCACTCCAGCCTGGGCTACAAGAGCAAAGCTGTCTCAAAAGAAAAAAAAAATCAAGGAATCACACGGACAAATGTAACAGTGTGTTTGTGGCAAATGTGAGGAATGTCTGTAAGATGGGGATGTGACCTGCTTAGGGAGGCTGAAGAGGGAGGAAAGGGTGCTCCAGGATGAAGGAATGGCACAAGCAAAGCCCCGGCTGAGGAGCCGGGCAACTGCAGTGAGGCTGCTGCGCAGGGCCAGGGAGGGATGAGGCTGGAGACTTAGGCAGAGGCTGGATCATGCAAGATCGTGTGGAGAGTTCTGCCTCCAGCCTAAGAACACCAGGGGCACCGAGGAGCTTTAAGAGGGAGGAGGGAATACAGCCAGATTTACATTTTGAAGAGATCACTCTGGCTGCAGGAAAGAGAATGGACTTGGCGGGGCCAGAGTGCGGAGTCCCTTCCCTGGGAGGGTGGAGCTAGGCTTGAGACAGAAAGCATTTTAGTCTCTTCCTGGGGGGCATAAAACTCGAAAGCTGTTGCTGGCTGCTTTCTGCCACAGGATGCTGGAAACAGTGACAGACAGTCTGCTAAGAACAGAATGAATCAGACACACAGGAAGTAACTGGAAGAGAGACAGCGTGTTTGGGGTGGGGACAAGCATGGGATGGGGGGTGGTCTGCACATTTCAGCCCCTGGTTCCAGCCCTTCCTGAAGCTCATCTGCAGCTCTGCCTTGATTTCTTTGGGACGGCTTTGTATCCCTATGAGGAGCTCCTTGAGGTGGTTTATGTCCCTGGCAACCCAGAGAGTCCTGGATAACGCACCTGAATTGAGGCTTTCAAAAGGGCAAGAAGCAGGACACCAGGAAGAGATTATCCAGATAGCTCATTTCATCCAATACTGTCATGAGAGTCACTTGGTTCTGCTGAATACACGTAGACCCTCGAGCTTCAGCACAGCCACACCAGGTCATTCCCACTCTGTACGCTGAAGTGGAGGGAACTTCCAGTGGTGGGGGATTGAGGAACCACATGGCAGATATGCCTCAATGTGGTGCCAGCTGGAAGCACAGTTGGCTTTCAAGGCCAGCAGCTGGGACTGTCCACCTAGCCCCAGGCACAGCTGTTTATGGTTTCTCCTCACGTTGGCAGTTTGAGTTTGATTTACAAGGGTCTAAGAGGAAACTGAATCTTTTCAAAAGGAAAACAACTTTGCAGAAGCTGCCTGTTTTCCAAGGAACCACTTTTGACGATGTTTTGCTCCTCTTGGTTACAGGTAACAAGAGGATTCAGAATCTGAGAGATACTGCTTAAAAGGAAAATGTCCTGGAGGGATGCCAAACTGCACTCTCAAAGGTTTCGGCTGGATGTGTGATATTGATGGGGAAACCCATTTCAGTGTCTCTAAGAAGGGGGTAGTGCTCCTCTTTCCAGGATGTCTCTGGGGAATCTAGAGCACCCCAAAGTGTGGTATGCATAGAAACATTGGTAAGCACAGTGATGATGTTTTCGGTATCTCACAAAGAAGCTGTTGTTTTAAGGATTATGCATCAATTTTAAGGCGTATTAGAAAAAAAATATCAAACTGGCAATTTCACAGCTTTTAATGCTCAGGATGAGGCTTAAATTAAAAACTGAGCTGACTTTATTCATTTATTTATTTTTTGAGACAGAGTCGCGCTCTGTCGCCCCAGCTGGAGTGCAATGACACAATCTCAGCTCACTGCAACCTCTGCCTTCTGGGTTCAAGCAATTCTCCTTCCTTGGCCTCCCAAGTAGCTGGGATTACAGGTGCACGCCACCATGTCCAGCTAATTGTTTGTATTTTTAGTACAGACGGGGTTTCGCCATGTTGGCCAGGGTGGTCTCGAACTCCTGACCCACCTCAGCCTCCCAAAGTGCTGGGATTACAGGCGTGAGCCAACATGCCCTGCTGTGAGCTGACTTTAAAAGTTATTAAGTAAATAATAGTACAGTTGGTATATGAAGGAGGCAAAAGGTGAAATTTATGTAACATTGAGATGAAGCGTGGGTAAGTGTCTGGCGCAGAGTCTGAGACGGGGTGGGAGCCTGAGGTGACACCACTGTTTAATGAGTGCCTTTATTATCTCTAATCCTCACAACAGACAGGGTGGGAATTGTTATTCCTATTTCACTGTTGAAAAAGCTAGGCTTGCAGGAATGAAAAAACTTGCTCAAATGCATACAGTCAGAAGGTGCCCTAGGTCTGTTTGCTTTGAGTTCTCTGACTCTTCAACTACACTGTACTACCCTTAATAAGAAAGTATCCTCTCTCTCTTCTAGAAAAAACAGGTGTCCTTCATACAAGCATCTCATAAAGGCCCCAGGTCTGGGGCACAGCCCATTTTATCCCTACGCACATGCTTATACTACACATACATTTGCATTTATGCTTGGAAACCAATGACCAAACCAACAAACTTCAAGACCAGCAACATCATTTTTATTTCCCCACAAAACTGATAAAGAACACTCCTCTGCAAAGCAGAAAACAACTCATCACTGTAGTAAATATGTAAGCTGATACCTTGTGAAGTTGCCCTAAATCTTTTTTCCTTTTCTCCCTATCCAGCTGCTTAAGGTCTGAATATTTGTTCCTCATCAATTCATGTGTTGAAATTCTAACCTCTCCTGAATGGGATTAGTGCTCTTACACGAGAGGCCTGACAGAGACTCCTCACCCTTCCCACCATGCGAAGACACAGTGAGAAGGCTCAGTCTATGAACCAAAATGTTGACTGTCACCATTTACTCAATCTGCTGTCGCCTTGAGCTTGGACTTCCCAGCCTCCAGAACTGTGAGAAATAAATTTCTGTTGCTTATAAGACAACCAGTTTATGACATTTCGTTATAGCAGCCTGAATGGACTAAGACACCCTTCCCACCATGTGAAGACAGAGTGAGAAGGTTCGGTCTATGAACCAAAAACTGACCCTCACCAGTCATTGAATCTGCTGGTGCCTTGATCTTGGACTTCCCAGCCTCCAGAACTGTGAGAAATAAATTTCTGTCGTTTATAAGCCACCTAGTTTATGATACTTTGTTATAGCAGCCTGAATGGACTGAGACACCCACCTTAAAAAGACAGTACCTCAAAACCATAAGGCAGGATAACTGCTAGCCTGATATTAATAGTTTTTAATTTACTGCTAGCTTCATTTTGCCAACTGAGTCAGATATTTTTTAAAAGTTCTGTTTGCAATTATTTTAACTTAGGAGAGGAGAAAAAGAGCAGGCATCAGCCTGCATATGGGATATTTCTGAAAGGATTTTGCTATGATTAGCTTGCCCTCAGGGAGAGTAAAATGTGAGTTATACAACCATGCTTATATTTAGATGTTGTTGATGTTCTGGCTTATAATATATGATGAGTTAGAAATAATTTTGTACTGATCAGCCCAACCAGAAAATAAACATGCTTTAACTTGTATTTATTACTAAACTTGGTCTCCTAAAACATGATAAAGCAGTTGAGTCTATAATGACTGAGCCATAGCTTCTCTGACTGACTCTAAGAGGGAATGACGTTAATAAGAGATTAGCCCATACCTCTAATAGCCCTGGGAGAGATGAACCCAAGACGGCAAGGCCCAGCTCTGATGGATGAAGGGACAGAGAACTATAAGAAGACTGGGTTCCATCTAGGATGGGTGGCCTGTTGAGTGCCCATCTTATCTGCTTAGATGATGATACTTGGAGACCTGACTCAATTGTTGTGAATGGTCTTTGTAAAATTTTATTTTAGAGACAGGGTCTTGCTATGTTGCCCAGGCTGGTCTCAAACACCTGGGCTCAAGTGATCCTCCTGCCTCAGCCTCCTGAGTAGCTGGAACTGCAAGTGATTACTCTTATTGAACAAACAAACAAAAACAAGTGCCTGTGACCTAATAGAGATGCATGCATATGTTCACCAAAAGATCTAGAATGTCCACAACAGCCCTATTTATCATCACCCCAAATGGGGCACCCTGCACCTACCTCAACAGTAGATGCATACATTTCTGTGTATTTACACTGTGGAATATGACACAGCAATGACAATGAATGAACTACAGCTATACACAACAACATGGATGGCTATCACAAACATAAGGTAGAGCTAAAAGCGAAAAAAACCAGCATAAAAGTGGGCAAAAGCCATCTATGTTGTTAAAAATCAGGATAGTGGCTGCCCTGGAAGGGGGCATGAGGAGGCTTCAAGGTGCTTGTCATGTTCTCTTTCTTCACTGGGACGCTGGTTACGCAGGTGTGTTCAGTTGGTGAAAATTCACCCAGCTGTGCATACAACGTGTGTATACTTTCATGTATATTATAGTTCAATAAAAAGTACTGCTACTACCACTGCTACTAATAAAGGTCCATGGATAGGTGACTCATCATGCCCAGTGGACAATGTCTGGCCAGTGGGAGTCAGGATGAAACCCAAGGGGACAGGGGGCTCAAACCATGTCCATCTTTGTCCACCCCAATCTTTTAAACCCATGGGCCTCTTTTCCCCATAAGAAGAGTCTAGCACTGCATTCAATTCAACAAGGCCAGGGGCCATGCCAGCCCCATAGGGATGTTTGGAAATACATGGGGTCATTTTTGTGGTCCTAGGGACTAGGGTTGCTATAGCATTTAATGGGCTGGGCCAGGAATGTGCAGGGGCTCCCACATTTCTTAGGTGAAGAATTATCTCCCTACACGCCAACTGTGCTCTTGTGAGGAAACCCTGAGTTAAACCACAAGGGTTGGCTGGATTTACATACTTAATTCCTCTAGTTTATTAGCAATGATGTAGTAACTGAGTCTGGGGCTGTCTCCATGCTGGCCCCCAGGTTCTGGGGACTTTGGCACTGACTATCTTTCCCGTAGAAAGAGCCCAGTCAGGTGGGGGGTGCATATGAAGGTCAGACAGTTGCTCGGAATTACAGATTCTCTACTTGGCTTCTATAGACACTCAGGCAAGTTAAGAGATATGGTTTGCCAAACCAATCCCATCTTCAGCCTTCCACTAACACCTGAAGCTCCTAGAATATGGTTCTTTGGTGCTATGGGAAGAGGGGGAGGTGGGTCTTTGACCTCTCCTTTTCCACCAGACATTTCCTTCGCTAAGACCCTTTCAGGTGTGTTGAGAAACTAACATGCTTGACATGGACAATCAAAGGGTTGTTCATGGCTCCCCACCCACTTCTGTTCACTGCAGGTTTTAGTAGCAGGATATGTTGACTGCAAGTGTATACCCCGTTACAGATAATTAGGTCCTGGTCAGCACAGTCCGACATGTCAACATTCTAATTCCTTAAGTATTCCTGAACTTTGATTCCCTAAGCAAGACAAAGCAACTGAGGAGGGAGGAAGTATTACTAAGGATGCCAGATTCCAAGGCCAAGGAGGTTGCTGGCCACTGAGCCAAGGGTGGAGGCTGCACAGTGCTGAAAAAGGGATGAAAGGGGGCGCACTGTGAACTCTTCCTTCCACGTGATGGTTGGCCTGCTACCTTGTCCTCGGGAGACCTGAACAAGAAGCTCAGGTCAGTGTGGCCTCGGAGGCAGCATGTGTGGCAAGCACTGAGGCCCAAATGCGGACCAGGAAGGAGGATCTTCCTGTCTCACTTAGAGGCCAGGAGAGTTTCTGGAGCCACAATTTCAGAGCGACTGGCTGCTCAACGTGAGCAGGGTTCACTGCAGTCTCAACCTCACGGCTCAAGCGATCCTCCCACCTCAGCCTCCCGAGTAGCTGGGACCATAGGCCACACCCAGCTAATTAAAATTTTTTTTTTTTAGCCGGTTGCGCTGGCTCACGCCTGTAATCCCAGCACTTTGGGAGACTGAGGTGGGCAGATTGTCTGAGCTCAGGAGTTTGAGACTGGCCTGGGCAACATGGTGAAACCCCGTCTCTACTAAAATACAAAAGAAATTAGCTGGCCATGGCAGCATGCGCCTGTAGTCCCAGCTACTCAGGAGGCTGAGGCAAGAGAATTGCTTGAACTCGGGAGGCAGAGGTTGCAGTGAGCCAAGATCGCGCCACTGCACTCCAGCACTCCAGCCTGGGTGACAGAGTGATACTCCATCTCTACAAAATAAATAAATAAATTAATTAATTAAAAAATATATATATATATATTACTAGAGACAGAGTCTCACTATGTTGCTCAGGCTGGTCTTAAACTCCTGGGTTCAAACAATCCTCCCGCCTTGGCCTCTCAAAGTTCTGGGATTACAGGTGTGAGCCACCACACCCGGACTAGTCAGTGTTCTTTAGGTACTTACATTCCCTCTTTGGACATTCTGGGCTGGGACAGCTGATCGAGGGCAGGACTAGGCATTCCTGGGTCCTTGGCTAAACATCATCCTGATGACACCTTTGTATAAACATCCATCAGGGTGTCCCAAAGCCACCCTAGAACACACCAGAAAGGCTAGGCTTCTCCTGATCACAGTCTTTCAGAGGCATAGCATTCCTCTCCTCCACATTTCCTGCATTTTTACCACACTCGCTCTTTTAGTGACCATTTTTCTTTTTTTGAAACAGAGTCTCACTCTGTCACCCAGGCTGGAGTGCAGCGGCATGATCTCAGCTTGCTGCAACTTTCGTTTCCTGGGTTGAAGCGATTCTTGTGCCTCAGCCTCCCGAGTAGCTGGGATTACAGGTGTGTGCCATGATGCCTGGCTATTTATTTATTTTTATTTTTATTTTATTTATTTATTTTTTTAGTAGAGATGGGGTTTCGCTATGTTGGCCAGGCTGGTCTCGAACTCCAGTGATCCACCCCCTTTGGCCTCTCAAAGTGTTGGGATTACAGGTGTGAGCCACCACGCCCAGCCAGTGGCCACTTTTCACAAAGAAGTGTATGTGTGTGTTTTCAAATTGTCATAATATCATTCCATGAGAGCAGTTAACTTTTGTCTCAGCAAAACAACAAACCATTACCTGTCATGGACCAGAGGGGTCCCTAGAGAATTGCGAAACTTGTTACATCCACAGATGCCAAGGATCTCGTTATAATACTGACCACTACTGACTGAGGACTAATGATGTCCCCTGCACTATTCTAAGAGCTTTCTATGTATTAGGTTATTTAATTCTTGAGGTAAGTCTATTATCTTCCCAATTTTACAGACAAAGAAACTGAGTCAGAGAAGGATTGAATACTTGGATTCAATCTAAGGTGATTATGAATCCAGAGCCGTTCCCCTACCCACTCAGCTGGTCTATGACATAAGTCTGAGCGTGTCTCCTGGACTCGGAAGGGTAATACATTAGTCTGAGGATGCAGAAATCTGGGGTTGCATCTACACAGGAGACACGTGACCTTGCACAGACCACTCAACCTTACTGAGCCCATTCTGTAAAATGGGGGCAAAACCTTCCCTGCTCACTCAGAGGGTTTCTGGGAAGGTCAGAAGAGATAACTGATGCAAATATACTTAGTTTCTAAGTCCTGCACACGCTGTAGCAAAGTTAGGTATGCATTATTTCATATTTGGCAAACTTATGCATGAAGGAACAGGAATGAGGAAATTAAGTCTAATGATACTCCTGTCTTCAGGAAGCACTTCAGATCTTAAAGAAGAAGGGCAAAACAGACACCTACTTTTTTCTGTGGACCTGATCTGTTAACATACGTCTCTTCTAAAATTAGGATGATGCCGTTTTGGCTGTCTTGGTTTTATATCCTCTACTTTTCACTAAACACGACATTGTGAGCTTTTTTCTGTGTCATCATATATTTTTCAAGAACGTGACTTTTAATAGCTACCTAAAATTTCTATCATACAGATTTGCCATAATTTACTTAACCATTAACTTATTGTTGAACATTCAAGAGTGTTTCTCATTTTTTAATATAAATAGAATTGTAATGCACGTCCTTATATATAAATCTTTGGGTGTGTATCTGATTCATTCTTTTCTTTTCTGAGACAGGGTTTTGCTCTGTCACCCAGGCTGCAGTGCAGTGGCGCAATCTCAGCTCACTGCTGCCTCCACTTCCTGGGTTCAAGTAATTCTCGTGCTTCAGCCTTCTAAGGTGCCACCATGCCTGGGGTTGTGCCATGTTGGCCAGGCTGGTCTCGAACTCCAGGCTTCAAGAGATCCACCCGCCTCGGCTTCCCAAGGTGTTGAGATTACAAGTGTCAGCCACCTCACCTGGCCTGATTCTTTATAACTTCCTACAAGTGGAATTACAGAATCAAAAGGCATGGATATTCTTAAAGGTCTTTACATATAATCAATCTGCTCTCCTTAAAAGCCATGCTGCTTTATGCTTTGATTGCATTCTTACCAATGCTAGATATTGTCAATTAAAAAAAATTGAATGCCAATTTGATAAAGTTAAACAACGATAGTTCACGTGTATCCTAATTTTAATTTACTTATTAATGAAGGTGGCTATTTTTCCCCCAAACATTTTCTGTCCATTTGTATCTCTTTGCTGACTTGGCTTGAACAACATCCCCTTAAAGAATTATTTTCTATGTTATACACAGGAAAGCTTTGCATCACACATTTTAATAACAGGAAAAATGAGATGAAATTGAAATGTTTAGCAATTGGGAAATGTTAAGTCAATGAGGCAAAAGCAGTTGATGTAACCTTATGCAACCATTACAACTGGAGGCTACAGAGACTTCAGCAACGTGGAAAAACACCTTAAGAAAGAAGAGCAGGACAGAAAACAGAATGTACACCACGTTTACATGTTTACAACAACACAAAAATACAAATCATCGTAGGAGTTGGGATTGAGGGTTGGGATTGAGGATTGATGCTTCCTGAAGACAGGAGTATCATTAGACTTAATGTCCTCATTCCTGTTCCTGCATGCATAAGTTTGCCAAATATGAAATAATGCATACCTGACTTTGCTACAGCATGTGCAGGACTTAGAAACTAAGTATATTTGCATCAGTTATCTCTTCTGACCTTCCCAGAAACCCTCTGGGTGAGCAGGGTAGGTTTTGCCCCCATTTTACAGAATGGGCTCAGTAACGTTGAGTGGTCTGTGCAAGGTCATGTGTTTTATTATTTTTATATATTATTATATTTTTAGATATTATTTTTCTCTTCTTCAAAATGTTTTGTAATTCTATTATATAACCTTTGTAGTTAAAAGAAAAAAAAATTACGGACAGATTTTCAGCTGACTTTCCAAATGGCCCATCCCAGTTTCTTAGGAGCCTCCTATACCCTTTTAACAAATATCTGTGTTTGTGTCACAGGAGACTGAAACTCTTTGCTTAAGTATTAGTAATTCTGTTCAGCAGAGAAAAAGATATCTTTGTCAGTAGTGGAAAGTAGGGCTCACACTTACGATCCTGAAGTTGGGTTATTCCAGGCCAGAGGACCCCCTCTGGCCCCAGCCTCCTCTGAGGCTTGGGAAAGGGAAGGTCTGGAATTGTATAACCCTGAGATTATTTTAAGAACGTCATACCTTCCAGTACTTGCATACTTTTATCTTTTTTAATTTAAATTTTGGATCCATCTGGAATTAATTCTGGAGAAAGGAGTGTGCTGCAATCCAACTTAATATTTTCCAGGTGGTTCTTCAATTGCTCCAAGCCCATTTATTGAATAATCTATCTTTTCTCCAGTGATTTGTAATGCCACCTTTCATACATACTAAATTCCTATCTGCATTTGGGTCTGTTTCTGAACTGTCTTCTGTGCTGCCTGTCTGCCTGATTACCTAGAGCAGATCCAGGCACTCTCAGACCTAAAAGTGTTAGCCCAAAACAACCTGTGGCACAAAACAGACTAGAAATTAGGTCCCCCAGCCTGTGCTACATGAACACCCATAACTATGTGATGATGGTCCCTTAGCCCTGTGAGAGGAATCAGAGTGGTCTCAGATCCCGACCTCCAAGGCAGGGAGAAGCTCCAGGCATTAAAGTCAGCTCTTCCTTCCTCTTCATTTATTCAGTGAGTAAATGCAACAGTGAGTGGCTCAAGGGGAGATTACTCTTGGGTTAGTTAGCTCACCTCTTGGGGCCTCAGTTTTCACTTCTGCAAAATGGTTATAATAATAATGATATCTATGCCATGCTGCAAGGATCCACTCATCTGATACTGGGCAAAGGTGCAATGGTAAAAGCTGTGGTGATGATGAATAAGGGCACTGGCATGATGGCAGAACAGCTCTCTCCTGTTCTGAAGCAGATAATGCCCATCACTTTGGCTGCAATTTAGCAGGGAGCAAGCGGCATAGCTTTATGACAGCTGCTCAATACATCTAGAGGTCAGGCTGCCCACATCCCAGAGGTATAGAACTCCTACAGGTAGGTCCCTAGAAACAGGAAAAGGTGGAGTTGTCCGGATGCCAAACCTGACTCAGAGCCCAGCATTGAAAGGGCTTAAAACAGGGCTCGATCTTGCTTGGGAGGGGCCCAGGAACCCACTGGAGGCTCTGCAAGGTGGGCAGGAGGAGCAAGGGAATTCTCGGCAGAGCAGGAAATCTGGAAGGGGGTTGGAGGGGGCTGGAGGTCGGGGCTTCCACAGAACACCTAACAAATCTGGTGATGCCATTGCTGGGAGGCATCACATACTCATACGTGGAACTGCCATCTACCCCAGCAAGTGCCGGAGCCCTGGGAAGTCAGGCACAGAGCCCAGAAGTTACCGTAAACAACGTCTGAGTGCCAACATTCCAGGACAGGAATAACAGGCCCCACCCCACCTCCTCCACACATGTGCACCAACACGACACCGCAGGGTTTACAAACACCATCACCACTATTGGCCTGTGTCATCGGAGCTCCCCCAGGAGGGAGGGACTGTCATTATCCCCATTTTCCAGATAGGCAAATGAAGACTCAGACACAGCTCACCCGAGAAAGTGGCAAAGTTACAACTCAGGTCTTCTTGGTCTAAAGGCCAGACCACAAGGCAATCTTGACAGGGGCCAAAGTGGAGTGTCTGTTTAGTCCTCTAGTTGCTCAATAAGCATTCATGGAGCGCCAACTTCATCCTCAACACTGAGAGTGCTGGGTATACAGAGGCAGGTGAGACACAGTTCTTGCTCAAAAGGACCAAATAAATAATTACCCTGCAGTGCCACATTTAATGGGTAGACAAAGTGCTGTGGGAGGTCAGGGGAGTGACTTACTACTTTGAAAATTCAGGGAAGGCTTCCCAGAGGAGGTGACTTATGAGCCAGAACTCGAAGGATGTTTTCATCAGTGAGAAGCAGTTTAGTCCTCAATGAGTGAAAGTGCAGGTTCCTGAGCCTCAGCGCTATGCTCCAGGCTCCTGCCCTCTCTGGCTATCCTTTAGAATTTCCAGGGATGCCTTACCCCAGACTTTCTGAATCTGAATTTATAGCACTAGGACCCAGGCACTTCAAATGTTTTTTCACAGTCCCCAGGTTTTTACCTGAGGATGTATATTTGGGGCCCATGATACAATGGGAAGCTACTGGCAGGGTTTTTTTTTTTTTTAAATTAGTACTGTTCATTTTAATAAAAACTTTAAATGCAATGGAAAAACAAAGCCGATGGCTAAACCCCATGTCCACTGAGCCTATCAAAATTAGCCTGATTCTTTTTTTTTTTTTTTTTTGAAATGGAGTCTGGCTCTGTTGCCCAGGCTGGAGTGCAGTGGCCTGATCTCCGCTCACTGCAACCTCTGCCTCCCAGGTTCAAGTGATTTCTCCTGCCTCAGCCTCCCAAATAGCTGGGACTACAGGTGCCCACCACCACACCCAGCTAAGTTTTAGTATTTTTAGTAGAGACGGGGTTTCACCAAGTTGGCCAGGCTGGTCTTGAACTCCTGACCTCAGGTGATCCGCCCGCCTCGGCCTCCCAAACTATTGGATTACAGGTGCGAGTCATCGGGCCCGGCCAAGATTAGCCTGATTCTTTTCCTTGTGCTTGGAAATCATTATCTCGGCGTGTTAGGAAAGCACTTCTGCCACTCCTGATAATGCCTGACATGACAGGGAAGAATTTAAGCTCTGAGAATTTATGCCTGTCTGGGAGGAAGCCGACCTCAGACACAAAAGAGGGTAGGCTGTGCTCCACTGGCCATTCTAAGAGAGGAAGCAAGACATTCAGTGGTGAAGAGCTTGGAGATGGACCGCCTGCGTTCAGATTCCGCTTCTGCTGCTACTCCTGAGTGGTGCGATTTTAGGCAAGTTACTTAACCTCTCCGTGTCTCTATTTCTTCATCTGTAAAACGGGGATAATAATAGCATCTGCCTCATAGGTTGTGTGAAGATTAACTGCGTTAATATATGTAAAGGACTTAGAATCGTGCCTGTCAGATATAGTAAGTTTTACGTAATGATTTGCTCTCATTATGTTAAGATTTGAGTTGGAGGTGGAAGGTGGGGGCCAGCTATGGCCAAGACTGGGGGACTTTTAATCCTGTTTTCACTTGGCACCCTCTGCCTGAGCACTGGCTCTGTTCATTTACTGTGCCGGGCACTGGAGATGCAGCAGTGAATGAGACACAATGCCTGACCTTAGGAGGTCCCAGGCATGGAGAAATGGCAAAAACCATCACACCGCCTGCCTCTCTGAGCACCAAGGACCAGTCACACGGCCTGCCTCTCTGAGCAGCAAGGACCTGCCATGGGAATAAGATGGCCAGTGCTTTAAAAAAAAAAAAAAAAAAAAAAAAGCAAGCTTTCCTACTGTGGGTTTCATCACAAGCTTATTTGAAATTTCCAGCCTAAGCTTGCAGTGAGCCGAGATCGCACCACTGCACTCCAGCCTGGGCGACAGAGCGAGACTCCTTCTTAAAAAAAAAAAAAGAAATTTCCAGCCTAGAACATGGAAAGGCAAACGGCACAAAAAGATGCCCTGGAAATCAAGGAAAGAAGGTCTTCCTTAGCTGTGGGATTCACCCTCATGTACATGCATGCCGCCGCCCCGGCAGGGCCCACGGGGAGAGCAGGACCAGTTCTGTAGCTGTGTTTGCCTAGAGCAGGATTTCTCAACCTCTGTACTACAGGCGCTTTGGGGCAGGAAAATTCTGTGTTGGGGGCTGCCCTGTGCACTGTAGGAGGTTTAGGAGCATCCCCGACCCCTACCTACTCGTTGCCAGTAGCACCCTCCTTTGTGAGTTCTGACAGCCAAAAATGCCTCTAGACATTGCCAAGTGTCCCTAGGGTCAAGACCACCTCTGGCTAACAAAAACTGCTTTAGAATCTGAGGTTTCCTGCCAAAGGACACCTCCACCTGACCCTGCCGCCGTGAGGAAGCAGATCAGCCTGACGTACAGGACAGCCCCAAGGAATCCTTGTCCCCCAAACTCAGCACTGTCTAGGCTGAGGTTGGCCTTGGACATGGTTACATTCCAAGCCTCCTCAGGCCACCACTTTAAAAAGGTGGGACTGGGCTAAGCCTGGATTGCATTAGAAAGTTTCAGCTCCAGTGGGTCTAAGAGATGATGAAAGCATCAGAGATGGCCAGGGGGCGGGAGGAGTGCATCTTCCATTTTCCTGAGGTTGCTCTGTGGTTATTAGAACATTTCTGATATAATAACAATAAATATCAGAAAAGGAAAAAAAGGGAAAAGTGCTTTATAGGGGTCCCAGGAGATGGAGTATCCTAGGAGGCAAGGTGTGGCAGCAAAAGAGAGGACAGGCACTGGGCCTGGAAAATCCTGGGTTTGATACTGATTCTGTCACTTCCTAAACATGAGCCCTTAGGTAAGAAACTTCACCTCTCTGAGTATCAGTTTCTATACCTCTGTGAAATAGGAGCATCTCAGGGCAGTTGGGAGGACTGAACAGGATACGGGCAGGATGCTTTGGGGCAGTGCTTACCACACTGGAGAAGCTTCATACAGGCTTGCTGCAGCACCCTCCCTCCCCTCCATTTCACAGATGCATACACTGAGATGACCTGCCCACAGGCACGCAGCTGCGCTCATTCCAGATGTGCTGAGAACCACTGCTGAAGGCCTGAGCAGGAAGTAATTTTCCCTCCCTGGGCTGAGTTCCTTCATCCATGAAATGGATAGATAGGGGAGGGTCAGACTGGATGATATCTGGAGGCTTATATGGCCCTGAAGTTCCATGAATTAAAAGAATGTTCTATTAATGGTAACAGCTAACAGCCACCTGATGTATGTCAGGCCCATTACGTACTTTGTATTTAATCTAGGAACACAGCAAGTTACAGATGAGGGAACTGAGACCCTATATATCTGATAAGGGGCAATATCCAGAAAATATAAGAATTTTTACGGGCCGGGCGCGGTGGCTCACACTTGTAATCCCAGCACTTTGGGAGGCCAAGGCGGGGTGGATCACAAGGTCAGGAGTTGGAGATCAGCCTGGCCAAGATGGTGAAACCCTGTCTCTACTAAAAATACAAAAATTAGCCAGGTGCGGTGGCAGGCACCTGTAATCCCAGCTACTAGGGAGGCTAAGGCAGGAGAATTGCTTGAACCAGGGAGGCGGAGGTTGCAGTGAGCCGAGATTGTGTCACTGCACTCTAGCCTGGGTGACAGAGCAAGACTCCGCCTCAGAAACATAAAAGAAAGAATTTTTATGCATGAACAATGGAAAGACAAATTAATTTAAAAATGAGCAAGGGGGCCAGGCGTGGTGGCTCATGCCTGTAATCCCAGCACTTTGGGAAGCCAAGGCGGGAGGATCACGAGGTCAGGAGATCGAGACCATCCTGGCTAACATGGTGAAACCCTGTCTCTACTAAAAATACAAAAAATTAGCTGGGCGCAGTGGCGGGCGCCTGTAGTCCCGGCTACTCGGGAGGCTGAGGCAGGAGAATGTTGTAAACCCGGGAGGCAGAGCTTGCAGTGAGCTAAGATCGCGCCACTGCGCTCCAGCCTGGGCGACGGAGCGAGACTCCGTCTCAAAAAAAAAAAAAAAAAAAAAAGAGCAAGGGATCTGAATAGATATTTCTTCAAAGAAGATATATAAATGGTCAATAAGCCCATGAAAAGGCACTCAACATCATTAGCCATCAATGCAAATCAAAACCACAATGAGATAGTACTTCCTACACACTAGGGTCGTTAAAATAAAAAAGACAATAACAAATGTTGGCAAAGATGTGGAGAAATCAGAATCTTCACACCTTGCTGGTGGGATTGTAAAATGGTCCAGCCACTCTGGAAAACAGGAAATTCCTCAATATGACTCAGAAATTCCACTCCTACATTATATATACATGAATGATATATTGTATGTGTATATATATTTTATTATTACTATTTTTTGGAGACAGGGTCTCGCTCTGTCACCCAGGCTGGAGTGCAGTGGCTCACAGCAGCTTACAGCAGCCTCAACCTCCCGGGATCAGGAGATCCTCCTGCCTCTCAGCCTCCTGAGTGGCTGGGACTACAGGCACATGCCACTAGGCCTAGCTAATTTTTGTACTTTTTGTACAGATGGGATTTTGCCATATTGCCCAGGCTGGTCTTGAACTCCTGGGCTCAAGCTATCCTCCTGCCTCAGCCTCCCAAAGTGCTGAGATTACAGGCATGAACCTCTGCGCCTGGCCGTGTGTGTGTGTGTGTGTGTGTGTGTGTGTGTGTGTGTGTGTGTGTGTGTGTATGCCTGAGAGAAGTGTATGTCCACACAGAAACTTGTTCATAGCAGCATTATTTATAATAGCCAAAAAGTAGAAACAATCCAAATATCTGTCAACTGATGAATAAATAACCAAAATGTGGTTTATCTATACAATGAAATATTATTCAGCAATAAATACAAGTAAAGTACCAACACATGCTACGGTGTAGATCAACCTTAAAAACATTATGCTAAGTGACAAAAACCACTCACAGACATTACATATTGTAGGATTCCATTTGTATGAAATGTCCACAACAGGCAAATCCATTGAGGCAGAAAGTAGAATAGAGGTTGCCAGGGGCTGGAGGTGAGAGTGGTATAGGACAGGGGTACCCAACCCCTGGGCTGCGGACCGGTACTGGTCAGTGGCCTTGTAGGAACCGGGCCACACAGCAGAAGATGGGTGGTAGGCAAGCAAGCATTACCACCTGAGCTCTGCCTCCTGTCGGATCAGCAGTGGCATTAGATTCCCATAGGAGCTCGAACCTTATTGATAATTGTGCATTGTGAGGGATCTAGGTTGCACGCTCCTTACGAGAATCTAACTAATACCTGTTGATCTGAGGTGGCACAGTTTCATCCTCAAACCATCCCCTTCAACCCCCGTCCGTGGAAAAATTGTCTTCCATGAAACTGGTCCCTGGTGCCAAAAAGGTTGGGGACTGCTGGTGTAGGAGGAAGTGGAGAGTGAGTGTAATGGCTGGAGGCTTTCTTTTTGAGGTGATGAAAAAGTCCTAAAATTAGATAGTGGTGATGGTTGCACATCTCCATGAACATACTAAAAACCACCAAATTCAGTTTAGACAGGTGAATAATATGGTATGTGAATTACATCTTAATAAGGCCATTTAAAACACAAAAGAGGGCCGGGTGTGGTGGTGCATGCCTGTAATTCCAGCGCTTTGGGAGGCCAAGGCAGGAGGATTGCTTGAGCCCAGGAGTTTGAGACCAGCCTGGGCAACACAGTGAGATCCCATCTCTACAAAAAATTAGCCAGACATGGTGGCGCATGCCTGTGGTCCCAACTACTGAGGAGGCTGAAGTGGGAGGACTGCTTGAGCCCAGGGGATGGAGGCTGCAGTGAACCATGATCCTGCCACTGCACTCCAGCCTGGGTGGCAGAGTGACACCTTGTCTCTATAAAAAAAAAAAAAAAAGCCACACACACACGCACAATAGCAACAAACTGAGGCCTAGGGAGGCAAAGAGACTTACTCAAATAAGTGAGTTCAGAACTGAAGTCAGGCCCCCTAACTTCCAGGGCGATATCCTTCTGGCTGACTTTCTTTCTTTCTTTTTTTTTTTTTGAGACAGAGTCTTGCTCTGTCACCCAGGCTGGAGTGCAGTGGCGTAATCTCAGCTCACTGCAAGCTCCGCCTCCCGAGTTCACGCCATTCTCCTGCCTCAGCCTCCCGAGTAGCTGGGACTACAGGCGCCCGCCACCACGCCCAGCTAATTTTTTGTATTTTTAGTAGAGACGGGGTTTCACCATGTTAGCCGGGATGCTCTAGATCTCCTGACCTCGTGATCCACCCACCTCGGCCTCCCAAAGTGCTAGCATTACAGGCGTGAGCCACCGCGCCCGGCCCTGGCTGACTTTCTTTTTTAAATTTTTTAAATTTTATTTATTTATTTTTTTAAGATGAAGTTTCGCTCTGTAGCCCAGGCTGGAGTGCAGTGGCGCGATCTTGGCTCACTGCAATCTCTGCCTCCTGGGTTCCAGCGATTCTCCTGCCTCGGCCTCCCAAGTAGCTGGGATTATAGGCGTGCGCCACCACGCCCAGCTAATTTTTGTATTTTTAGTAGAGACGGGGTTTTGCCATGTTGGCCAGGCTGGTCTTGAACTTCTGACCTCAGGTGATCTGTCTGCCTTGGCCTCCCAAAGTGCTGGGATTACAGGCATGAGTCACTGTGTCCCCCCGGCTGACTTTCTTCTGAAAAGAGGGATCATTAAAGGAACTGTGGACCTACTCCACGCCAGGCACTATTTTACTTAATCCTGCCAACATCTCTAAAAAGTATGAGTTCCTAACTCACAGTTACAAGGGAGAAAGCTGAGACTCCGAGAGGTGAAGTGATTTACCCAAGTCACCGTCTTAGCTCAGGTTTCCCAGACGCCACCCCAGAGACAAGGGACGTATGAAGGAAGGGCTCTCGGAGAAAGCAGAAAGGGTCTGGGTGGTGGGTAAAATCCTGTGTCATCCCACAGGAGGACCCTGAAGTGTAACTCACACCTTGGAGTTGGCCCAACCAAGGCAAGGGAGGTGGGATTTCATGCCCCTGGACTCAACAGTCGTCTGTCAAAGGCCGCAGGGGGTGGGGTGGAAGGTGGAAGTTCTTGGGCATTTCTGGACTCTGCACTTGTAGACAAAATGGCTCCCAGCCTCACAGCACCCCGCTGCAGAAAGATCACAGGCGCATGCCTTTGGAGGCAAAGGTACAGCCAGGTTGGAAGAGGGTTGCGCAGAAACTGTAAAGAGATCCAAGGGGATTTAGGCAGAACACTAACACTGTCACCTCCAGGCACCCAACGGGGAAATAAGGGGCCTGGGATTTGAAACCACATTTGTCCCCAAAGCCCATCAAGTCCCCAGCCTCTTCAAGAAGGATCATCCATAGGCTAATCTTGGCAGAAATTCCCAATGTGTGTGTCACAGAGGAGAGGATGATGAGCTAGAACCAGAAGGAAAGGAGGGCTGAGCCCAGCAGTCAGAAGCTGGCGAGGGACTTGAACCTGGGCCCCAGAGGGGACAAGAGAGGAACAAAGTATGCATGAGATAAGAGTGATGGGAGCTGAAGGACGATGACAGGGTCAGGCAAGCAGCACTCTCCCTCCATGGCCTGGATCTAAATGTCATCACACCACCTCTTCTCTGCTGCTGGAAGCTCTGGTTTGGGAGTGGATGGACCCAGATAACAGAGATGATGGCAGGCTGCATGCATGTTGAGAAGAAACCCCACCGATGGAACTCTTGGACAAATCTCTTCAGAGGGAGGTGGGGTGGCAGCAGGAACACTCTGACTCCTGCCTTTGTGCCAAGTGAGAATCTGCTGTTTGGAGAGAGGCCATCAACAATTGGTGAATCCCAGGTGACTGACCTGCTCCACTTAGTCACTCAGCACAAAGGGTCTGCTCCGTGAGCAACTTAGCAAGCAAAGTGAATTCATTCCATCAAACATTCATTCATTCTGCATTGATTAATGCCTGGGATGTACTAGGCCAGCACTGTGTTGGGCACTGGAGGGAAAGGGGCTGGGGGCCTTAAGATAAATTGGACAAAGTCTCTGCTCTCAAGGAGCTCAGCATCTAGCAGGGAAGATAGACACAGCAGGAATCACAGCTCAGGGGGACGAGTGCTGTGGTGAGAGTTATGAATGTGAGCGCAGAAGCCCAGAGTGGAGGACACTCCTTCCCCCTGGAGGAAATGGGGATAATTCACGAATGAGGTGATGTTTGAGTTGGGTCTTAAGGGATGCACAAGAGTTCATCAGCAAAAGAATGAGGGAAGTGCATTTCAAAGGTTACTTGGTTGATGGGCAGTAGGTCTGGGGTTGTACTTGAGTCCTGGTTATGCGCTGGACACTGCATGATGCTATCTCTAGACTCCCATGCCATTAGTCCCTAAAATTACAAGCTTAACTTTATTTATTTATTTATTTATTTATTTATTTAATTTATTTATTTTAGAGATAGGGTCTCACTCTGTCGTCCAGGCTGGTCTTGAACTCCTGGGCCTCAAGCAATCCTCCCACCTTACTTGGCCTCCCTGAATGCTGGGATTATAGGAGTGAGCCACTGCACCTGGCTACAACCTTAATTTTTTTTTTTTTTTGAGACAAGAGTTTCACTCCGTCATTCAGGCTGGAGTGCAGTGGCGCAATCTTGTCTCACTACAATCTCTGCTTCCCAGGTTTAAGCGATTCTCATGCCACAGCCTCCCCAGTAGTTGGGATTACAGGCGTGTGCCACCACGCCCAACTAATTTTTGTATTTTTCATAGAGACGGAGTTTCATCATGTTGGCCAGGCCGGTCTCAAACTCCTGAGCTCAAGTGATCCACCTGCCTTGGCCTCCCAAAGTGCTGGGATTACCGGCGTGAGCCACTATGCTCAGCCTACTATCTTAATTTTTAAAAGTAAAGTATGAAGCATCTCATTTGGAGTTAGATAGTCCTGTTCGAATTCTATTATTTTATTATTAGCAGCATGACTTTGGGCCTGGCAGAGAGGAGATGTGCAGTAATCATTAAGTTTTCCTCTCCCTTCCCTAATCCTGATTGGCTTTAAGCTTAGCTAGCCGATTTCCTGAGCCAACCAGAAACACTGGGCACCTTCAGGTCCGCTAGTAGGCCATACCTGGAGCAGTAGGCAGAGCCCTGGAGTTCACAGTGTGTGTTGGAGGGGTGGGTACCATTGGTACCCAGCTGCTTCACAAATCCTCAGACCCCACCCCACCCCACGTTAGCCTAGGAGAACAGTGCACAATGGGGCGGGGTGTACCACCTTCCATGAGGCATCTGGAAATAGTGGGAGGGGGAGTTTTGGATTATCACAATGATATGGGGGGCACAACTGGCATCTGGTGAAGAATTGTCCTTTGTCCTGTCCACTTTTCAAATGTTCCCTGGACTATAGGTGGGTGGGAAACTCTTTTTATAATTATCTGAGACCAGAGTTCGTCATTCTATTTACCTGTAAATGCAAAAACTCATTACACAGTTTTAATCTACTCTGAATTTCTCTCTTTTTTTTTTTTTTGAGACAGGTTCTCACTCTGTTATCCAGGCTGGAGTGCAGTGGTGTGATCTCACTGCAGTCTCAACCTCCCGGGGCCCAAGTGATCCTTCTACTTCAGCCTCCCGAGTAGCTGGGACTACAGGTGTGTACCACCATGCCTGGCTAATTTTGTATTTATTTATTTATTTTTTTTTGGAGAGACAGGGTTTTGCCATGTTGCCCAGGCTAGTCTAGAACTCCTGGGCTCAGACAATCTGCCCGCCTTGGCCTCCCAAAGTGCTAGGATTACAGGCGTGAGCCCATGTGCCCCGCCTATTCTGAATTTTCTAAGATTGCTCTGATCATGTAACTTGAAGGAATATGATACATGGTTTTGTTCAGGGCCTCACCATGGGTTGAGTCCCTTGTTGGTGTTTGAATTGTCAATTCGACATATGTGTGTATCCATCTGTATTTTTGTTAACCTGATTCTAGATGTGGTTACAGGCATCTGACTGCTTCAGAAAATCTTCCAGTGTAGGCAGCCCAAATACTTACGTAGTGAAATATGTATTATTATTTTATTTTATTACAAATGGTTTTCCTTTTATTTCTCCTTTACTGTGTGGTTACTATATTAGTATTATTACTACTGCTTTTGGTATTTGTAGGTGGATTATATAATCTATTAACTGCATTTCAGGGTGCTGAAGAGGGCTTTGCAAACTATTTGTTATAAAAGGGACACTGGGTTTGAAGGATTCAGACCCACTAGCATAATCTATACAACTGGGAACCCATCCCATTTCCCCTGGGATATAGGCAGGATGGCCTAATGGTCAGGAGATGGAGTTTGGGAGTCAGAAAGACCTAAATTTGAAACCCAGCTCTATTGCTTACCAGCTAAATGACCTGGGGGTGTCTGAATAATCTTGCTGATCCTTAACTTCCTCATCTGCAAAATGGGGATAAATACCTACTTCAAAGGTTTAATGGCACAAGTTAAGTGCTCAATAGCAGAAGCTGCTATTATCATGATTATTTTTGTTGTTATTTCTCTGAGGAATCCTCCCCAGCTGGGACCCTGAGACCTGACCAAGCCTTAGTATCCCAACTCCAGCCTTGCCCTCCCACTTCCTGTCTACTGTATCCTAGCTCAGCATCCTGTATCACCAAACACTGATGGGGAGAGGGGTCCTAGTCCACATGAACCATGAAACCAAGCCACACCAAGTGGGACCCTGTTGGATCCAGGCCTGAATCCGGGACCCATTCTTTCTTTACTGAATGTTGCCCGGGGCAGGAGTGGTGGAGGGGCAGTCTATTGCCCAACAGCTACCCAGACCCCACAATGGCTTCCAGCTTCTTCTCACCAGCACTGCTGGGGCCCTGGCATGCCTGGAGCTGAATCCCGAGGCTGTGGGGGCCAGCTGGGAGCAGCCTCCCAGGTTCCAGCCCCTGTACACGAGGGGCACCCCCAGCCTTCAAAGCACTGGAGACAATTATCTTCCTCCAAGATTAAACATCCATGGACCTAACTCTAAACACGCCACCAGTTTTACTGTCACTGGCATATGAACTTTGGAGTGGAGATTGGGAATTTGTTTTTTTCTAATCATCATTCCTTTGCGGTTCTCTCTGCCTTTTCACCACAGAAGCTGTGTTTTTCTCTTCTCTAAACAAGTCCATGTCAAAAGAAGTCCCAATAGGCATCATCTCCTGCCCCCTGGGTCCCTGCATTCAGAGACCCCAGAAAGACTTTGAGCCACGCCTTTGGCCATCAGAGGGAATCAGTTCTGATTCTTCCCTCAAGGCTCTGGGAGTCAGCGCTGAGATGGCCTCTCCCACCTTCAGAAGACCCAGGGCTATCTCCTCATACCTCCTGCCCCAGCTGAGTTATTAGAAATCCCTAGAAGGTGAGCCATGGAATCTGGTCTTGATCAAGTGCTAGCAGGTATTACTGAGATGACACACACGATGCTTCCCTAAAGAACTTCACAGTCTAGCTGGGGAGACAGTCACTAACAGACAACTACAGTTCAATGTGGTACATATTGATTGTGAGGTTTCTACTGGAGATTTTGGGCCTTGGAGGTTGTAGGAATGGCCCACTAATTTTGCCTGGGCAAGATGTGAAGGCTTCTGAGAAGTTAAAATTGGAATGTGGTATTGAAGGATGAGTAGGAGTTTTCCCAGGGCTGAGCTAGATCTTCAAGCCCTACTCCTCACCCCTAGCCCTACAATTCTGGCATGGTTATCCCATGTCTGAGTGGCAGTCTTGCGGGAAGAGGAAATAAAGAAAGAACTGAGGCTGAAACACAACTCTTTACACCTGGCAGAGTCTGTCTTTGGACTGAATCCTGGCTCAGACACACTGGCCTCCCCAAACTGTTTCCAAAACACAAAATCAGTATTTCTGTAAGTGAGTCCCACAGAAGATGAATTCCTCAGGAAATTCCTCTATGTTATATGAAAAAAGAGACTCCAAGATCAAATAAATTCACAAACATTGAGTTAAGTCAAGCAGATTTTACTGCAGGACTTCTCAGAGCCTTTAAGAGTAAAACAAAAACTAATTTATATATATTTAAAATATATTTTTATAAAGGATAATCTAATAATAAATATCAAAAATATAATTATTAGCTGGGTGTGGTGGCGGGTGCCTGTAGTCCCAGCTACTCGGAGGCTGAGGCAAGAGAATGGCATGAACCCGGGAGGAGGAACTTGCAGTGAGCCGAGATCATGCCACTGCACTCCAGCCTGGGCGACAGAGCGAGACTCCATCTCAAAAAACAAAACAAAGCAAAACAAAAAAACCCCATATATATATATAATTATTATTTGACAGCTACCCTTTCTTGACTATTTCCTAATGTGCCAGACCTGTGCTATGTATTATGTCAGTAATCATAATAACTTTATTTCATCAGCATGATCATTATTTCCATTTTACAGACAAGAAAAATGAATCAACCCAAGAAAAAGTCACTTTCCAAGATCATAAAGTAAATGGTGCAGCTGAGATTCAAAGCCAGGTAGTCTCTGACCCAAAGTCCCCACCCTTTACTAAGTATGGCAAGCCCCTAAGAAGGGCATATGATACTCAGCATTTCCAAGCTTATTCAGCCAGGGAACCTCTTCATCCAGGGCCCCACAGAGGGACTTTGGGAAACACTGCTCTAGTTTGCTCCTAGAAGGTTCGCCAAAAGCTGGCCGGGCGCGGTGGCTCACGCCTGTAATCCCAGCACTTTGGGAGGCCGAGACGGGTGGATCACAAGATCAGGAAGACCATCCTGGCTAACATGGTGAAACCCCGTCTCTACTAAAAATACAAAAAAATTAGCTGGGCGTGGAGGCGGGCACCTGTAGTCCCAGCTACTCAGGAGGCTGAGGCAGGAGAATGGCGTGAACCTGGGAGGCGGAGCTTGCAGTGAGCCGAGATCGCCTACTGCACTTCAGCCTGGGGGACAGAGCGAGACTCCATCTCAAAAAAAAAAAAAAAAGATTCGCCAAAAGCCACAAAAGTATTTTCAAGGCTTTGCTTCTCTTTCTTTCCCTTCTCAGCTGGGTCTGGGGGTCCTGAGTCCCTTAGCAGGTCCCAGGGGCTGGTGTAAGCATGAGGAGGGGTTCCCAGGAGAGGTCGAGATTCTAGCAAGCAGCTCCTAAATTGTTCAGATCTAAATAGATGACTTCATCGGTCATATATGACCCATAGAGGGTTCCAATTTCTATTCTCAGTTCTAAATTGTTGCTTTAAGCTTATCTGCTGTTTGAGTGTTCAGCAGACAAAATAGAAAATGAATTCAGAATTCCTGCAGCCACTGCCTGCTTAGTAGGAGAAAGCAGGGGCCCTCTGAGGGCTGGGGCAGTGTGACCCAACAGGGCTACTGCCCGGACCCAGGCCTCATCTTTCCCACTTGGGCCCCTGCACCTCCACCCTGAGATCTCCAGACTTTCATTGCCACTCCCTCACCGCTGGCAGAGTGGTGTCTCAATAAACAACATTGAACCTGACACTCCCTTCCTCAGAATTCTTCAATGGCTCTGTAGTGCCCCAGCAAAAAATCCAAAACACTTGGCCTGGTTTTCAAGGTCTTTGGAGATTGGGGAGACTGTGTCATCATTTTCCCTTTCTCAAGAGAACACAAATGAACAAACATAGGCTGTGATACAAGTGATACAACACAAGGTCTAGGTGCCCTGTCCTTGAAGATAAATCAGCTCATGGAAGAAACCAAGTAGCACCTACAAAATCTCCTGCACAAATATATTTTCTCTGGAGACCATAACACAGAACACAGAAAGAAGTTTTCCCCTTACTGAGTAAGCAAGCAAGTTGAGTTTAGATATCCTACTTCATCCTGCTTCAGATGAGACAACAGAGGTAGGAACACATGTCACCAAGGAACACAGGGAAGTAATAAAAGGGGTTCAGACATCTTTTGAGAGCGGTCCCAGAGTTGGGGGAGTCCCCTTCTAGTCCTCTAAGACCAATGACACATGGTTATTCAGGGGTCCTGGACTGTTTGAAGAGTGAGAAGTTCATCTTTGCCAGGATGCCAGAGGCAGATGTCTGAATGCTTCTTGGCACTGCATGGGCTAGCCCAGTGCATTTCAATCTGTAATGCGGGGAGCTTGTTAAAATGCAGATTCTGATTCTGCAGGTCTGGGGTGGAGCCTGGGACTCTGCATTTCTTAAAAAAAGCTCCTGAGTCACATTGGTGCAGCAGCGGCCACTGCATGATGAGCAAGATCCCAGAGAATGAATGGGCAGTCAAAACCCTGCAACCCTGGCCAGGCACAGTAGCTTACGCCTGTAATCCCAGCACTTTGGGAGGCCAAGGTAGGTGGATCACTTGAGGTCAGGAGTTTGAGACCAGCCTGGCCAATGCGGTGAAACCTTGTCTCTACTAAAAATACAACATTAGCCGGGTGTGGTGGTGCATGCCTGTAATCCCAGCTACTTGGGAGGCTGAGACATGAGAATTGCTCGAACCCAGGTATAGAAGGTTACACTGAGCTGAGATTGTGCCACTGCACTGCAGCCTGGGCAACAGAGTGAGACTGTCTCAAAAAAAAAAAAAGAAAAGAAAAAAAACCCCAAAACCCTGCAACTGCAACTCCTCTTGGTCTCCTGGTGTCCCTTAAACAGACACATTTTGATGAAGAGATTCTAGGTTAGAAAAAGACAGGGAGGGAGGCGATCCCTAATTATGAAAGGTCTCCCAACAATATGACACTGCTTATCTCTCTAGTTTGTTCGTCTCCCACAACCCTGCCCTTAACCTTGACTTCATGCTTGACTTTAACCTATCTCCTCACAGCCTCCTGCACACACCATGCTATTTCAGACCACTGTACTCGTCTCAGCTATACCTCCTGCCTGAAAGCCCTTCTCACCTTACTTAGCTGAATTAAATCCTATTCCTCTTTGAAATTTTCCTGGCATACCTCATCCTCCAGGGGGCTTTCCCAGGGTCTTCAGGCTGAGATAAGTGCTCCCTGCCGACTTCTGTGTGCTCGTAACCCTTGTGTTCATCTGACTATGATACCGATCTTGAATCCTGGCTCTGCCACTGACCGGCTGTGTGACTCCGAGCATGTCCCTTCCCCTCTCCGTGCCTCGGTCTCCTTATCTGTGGAATAGGATCATAGTGGGCTCCTCGCCCATGGGATACTGCCCGTTCCGGGTCTGCCTTCCCCACCAGGCCGCCGGTTCAAAATCATGGAGCATGCCTCGTCCCCATTTATCTTCCCACTGCCCAGTGTGGGGTGTGGCACACAGTAGGTGCACAAATAAACATGTGGCGAGCTTATCCAAAGCTGGCGACATCTCCTCCAAGGGAAGAGTTCAGCAGCTTCTTTCCATCTCTAAGAGAAACGACTTAATTTTATAAACAAAGCATGTTTGTGGTTTGCTTTTCTGCTTCCTTCTTTGTTCCTGAGTTTTAAAAAGGCATGAAATGACAATCATGATAATGCAGTTTGCAGGAGCTTGGCCTGGGCTAACTCATGGAAAGCAGCTCCAGCTTTCAAACCCTTGAACGGATCATAACACTGAGACTCAGAGGGGTCGTTCACCTGTCACACAGCTCGTTCGTGGTGGCAGAGCAGGGATTCCAACTCAGCTCTGGGTGGCTCCAAGGCACCGTCTGTTGAGTTCTGGGGACTGCAAAGCTGGAATCTGCATTCCTAGCGAGGGAGGTGGGCCTAACAAGGGTCGCACACTGTGGGGAGGAGGAGACAGTGAGAGTTGCGGGACAGTGTCCCAGAGGGCTGGGGCATGGAGAAGGGGCATGGGACCCTTTTCTAAGGATGAGGTGTCAAAAAGGGATCTAGTTATTGAAGGACACCTGGATGAGGGAGACTGGGTCCAAACCCCAAACAGAGCAGTTCTTGTCTGCAAGACAGTTAGCAACTCACGTGGATATTGAATCACAAAAGTAGCCAGAAGGCTCATCAGCTTCGTCTTGATGGAGATGGGATGGGGAGCTTTATCAAAGGGAAATAGGATGTATTGCCTCTTGAAGAGTGCAGAGAGAAGGGTCAACGGACGAGGATTTCTAGAATGAGTCACATCCGGGCCCCAGCCTGCCCAAACCTCATAGGGGGTGCTCCCTACCCCACACTCCCTGTAGGAACAAAGGCCCCAGCCAGCCTTTGTCCCCTCCATTACTTTGTCTTCCAGCCCCCACTCTGTGCTCTGAGCCCTCCCTGTTATAGTGAGCTGGATAAGGTGGGCTGGGGTGTGAGCAATGGAATGATGGTCCTTCCTCACTCCTCCAGACCTCTCCTACTTCCCCCATCTCTTCGTTTCCATGACAGCAGCTGGCAATGAGGCGTCTACTTCAAACTGCTGGCAGGGATGCCATGCAGGAGCCCGAGACACAGGCCTGGGGGTGAGGGAAGGGAGCTCCTATCTGTTAAACACCCACATATGGGTTCTGTCTGACGCTACATCCGTCACCTCCCTTACTCCTCACCCCCACCAGGCAAGGAGCCCAGTATGGTCCTATTCCACAGAGGAGGAGACTGAGGCACAGAGAGAAGGGACATGCTCCGAGTCACATAGCCAGTCAGTGGCAGAGCCGTGATTCAAACTCAGATTCCTGCAGACCTCAAGCCCAGGCCTTTAATCACTATACCACCCTGCCCTGTGGCTAGGGGTCAGCTGTTCAGGCGAGAGCTCAGCTCCTTGCTGCAGGCCTGTGTGTGAATCCCTTCATTCCCCCAGGCTCTGCAAAGGAACTGGAAGTCCCACTGCTCTGTGGGGCTATGGGGATTTAAATAAGTTGGAGAAAACCCCAGGCTCCTGGTTGGAGCTCAGCAAAGGGGTCTTTCCCTTCATCTCCAACCAGAGAGACATCACTCCCGGGTTCCTGGATGGGGCATTGCTAGGCGGTGCCCCAAATCCATGGGGTAAACCCCATATTAGAGGAGTTCTTTACATACAGCCCGCACCCCCAGCCCTGGGGTTCCTCACAGCAGGAGTACCTCTCATCATTGTGTGTCTGCTTTGTGCCAGGAGTCCTGCTAGGGCCCTGCATGCTCGCTGTTGCCCCAGGACGCAGGCACAACGATTACGCTCATGTTATAGATGAGGCAACCAACTGTGGCATTGTGCGGCGGCAGTGCCTGAGTCCACCGGGGTGACTGGGGCGAGCGCATCAGAGAGATGTCCCTTATGCTCAGTCCTGCCTTCGAAACAGACCTGGAAGCTGTTCGCTTCTCACTGCCTCCACATTGTACCCTGGCCTAGGCCCCTGCCACCCTGGCTTGGACAGCACTGGCCTCCGGTGGGGTCCCCCGCTTCCTCTGTGCGTCATCCACACATCCCATTGTATCCTTGCAGGCTGAGAACCCTGCAGGCTCTCAGTGTCTTCTGAACAAGAGCCGAGTCCTCCTAGTGGCCGGCAGTGCCCTCCATGTCTGGCCCTGTGACCTCTGACTCCATCTCCTACACTCACCCTCACTCACTGTGCCCTGCCACTCTAGCCTCCTCACTCTTTCTGGAACATTCCAAACCCCTTCTAGCCAGGCCTTGCTGTCCCCTTTGCCCAGAATGCTTTCCACTGAGATACGGGCATGCATGCTTCAATCCTCTCTTGACTCGAACATTGCCCATCCCACCCTACGTAGAAGAACCCCTTCCATTCTTCCACATGCTCTTCACTCATCTTCACCACTGCATTTCACCTTACACCTTGGTTCCTCTCCTGCATGTCCCTCTGCTGGAATGGAAGCCCTAGGAAGGCAGGTTCTCCCGCCTTGTTCATCCTTGTATCTCAGCACCCAGAACAATCCCTGACACCTATTGGGCAGAGAAAATATTAACTGTTGAAAAATATTTGTCAAGTGAATGGGCAAGGCCTGGCAGGCCCCAAGCCTCCCTCTCAGGAGAGCTGAGCACGTGATGTCATGACTACCCATGAGCACTTGCCCAAACACAATCATTCACAGGCTATTTACAGGGCAGCCTACAGCAACATTTCCAGCCAAGTGGATACCTGCTGACTGAACTAAACAAATTTCCTCTTAGGAGGCTGAATGTGAAACATACAGGGAGGTACCAATTGATTGCGCTCAGGGGCAGAAATCAAAAACCATGAGGCTGCACAAACCATGAACTACAGATATCACAGGCCTGGAGAAGCCAGGGGACAGCAGATGTCACGGGCCTGGAGAATGCAGGGGACAGCAGATGTCACGGGCCTGGAGAGGCCAGGGGACAGCAGATGTCACGGGCCTGGAGAGGCCAGGGGACAGCAGATGTCACGGGCCTGGAGAGGCCAGGGGACAGCAGATGTCACGGGCCTGGAGAGGCCAGGGGACAGCAGATGTCACGGGCCTGGAGAGGCCAGGGGACAGCAGATGTCACGGGCCTGGAGAGGCCAGGGGACAGCAGATGTCACGGGCCTGGAGAATGCAGGGGACAGCAGATGTCACGGGCCTGGAGAATGCAGGGGACAGCAGATGTCACGGGCCTGGAGAAGCCAGGGGACAGCAGATGTCACGGGCCTGGAGAGGCCAGGGGACAGCAGATGTCACGGGCCTGGAGAATACAGGGGACAGCAGATGTCACGGGCCTGGGGAATCCAGGGAACAGCAGATGTCACAGGCCTGGAGAATGCAGGGGACCAGCAGATGTCACTGGTCTGGAGAATGCAGGGGTCAGCAGATGTCATGGGCCTGGAGAAGCCAAGGGACAGTAGATGTCATGCGCCTGGAGAAGCCAGGGGGCAGCAGATGTCACTAGCCTGGAGAAGCCAGGGGAAGGAGATGTTGCGGGCCTGGAGAAGCCAGGGGACAGCAGATGTCACAGCCTGGAGAATCCAGGGGACAGCAAATGTCGTGGGTCTGGAGGAGCCAGGGGACAGCAGATGTCATGGGCCTGGAGAAGCCAGGGGACAGGAGATGTCATGGGCCTGGAGAAGCCAGGGGACAGCAGATGTCATGGGCCTGGAGAAGCCAGGGGACAGCAGATGTCACGGGCCTGGAGAATCTAGGGGACAGCAGATGTCACGGGCCTGGAGAAGCCAGGGGACAGGAGATGTCACAGCCTGGAGAAGCCAGGGGACAGCAGATGTCATGGGCCTGGAGAAGCCAGGGGACAGCAGATGTCATGGGCCTGGAGAATCTAGGGGACAGCAGATGTCAGGGCCTGGAGAATGCAGGAGACAGCAGATGTCACGGGCCTGGAGAAGCCGGAAAGTACAATGTAGGCCTCACCAGGGCAGGAATGCTTGTCTGCTCTGTTCTGCAGGAATCCCGTGTGCCTAGAGGAGCACCTCATACACCGGAAGTGCTCAATAGATGTTGTTGAATGAATGGTGGAGTGGAGAATAGAGGAGAGTTATTTGGTATGTGCATGGACCGGGGAACTTGGGAAGAGCGTTTCTCCCCTTCTTGTCTTTCTTTTTCAACGCTTCATGGGGTAATAATTCACATATTTTAGCACTCACTCATGTTGTTATGTATATTTTATCACAATTAAAAAATACCCCAAAATTCACTTGTTTTAAGTCTACAACTCAATGGGGCCATGGGGTTTGTGTGGGCTGAGAAGGTGGGAGCATATGTGGGCAGTGATGAGGATACACAAGATGTGTCTGGGGAAGGGCTGGTTGCCCACTGTGGAGGGGCCAGGATGCAGAGAGCCTATGGGTCCTGCTTAGGGCCAAGATGCAGATCACCATAGTCCTGACCTCACAAGGTTGTTTAGGGGAGCAAACGAAACGACAAATATAAAGTTCTCAGCACAAAGCCCCATACACAGGAGACGCTCAGTACACACCATTATTCCCTTACTCCGTGTTAGGTGATGCCAAGAAAACTCGGGAGGGCAATATTACAAACTAATAAGCACAGAAGCTGAGATCAGCTCCAAATTGCAGTGTTTTCAAAGTAACATTTAGTGCACAGATAGACACACAGCTCTGTGTCTGGGATGAAAGGAAGTAAAATGCATTCATCAGAAAAATGCTTGATTCCGGAGAGACGTTTCTCCTAGTGACCAATGCAGAGAAAGCCCTCTGTATTCAGAACTGGCACAGTGAGATCACCGTAACGATTCTTGGCACTGATGGAGCAACCCGGCCCAATGTCAGTTCCAAACCTTGAATGTTCAAATCCCTGAAACTTCCTCAAAGTTTGTGCTTCGATCTACAGAGCTAATTGCTCATTTGCTTTTTCTTCTCTTCTTGCGTGTGTGTGTGTTTTCCCTGTAACAGAGGAAAAAAACCCCCTAAATCTCTGGGTATTGGGGAGCACTTAATATCAGAAACTCAAGGATTAGTTTTGGGACTTATTCCTGTTATCCAGCCTGGAACTCAGGAAAAAGGATATATGCCCAGTACCTAGAAATAGGCACTTTTGATATTTATAGGTGGAGGGAATTAACGGATGATTGCAATGTGAGATACCAAGCGGAGAATGAGAAGGATTACAAAGTGCTGGGCTATTGCCCCAAATGTTTCAGGCAGCAAGCATCATACCTTGAGGGGCTTTGCAGCACAGTGAAGGAGTCAAGGATCTCCATTTCAACCTTGTTACTTATGAGCTGTGTGAGCTTATGCGAGTCACTTAGCCTCTCTGAGACTGTCTTAGCACTGTGCTTTCTCGTATGAGAATGTCACATTCTGCTTTGTTGTTACTGGCCTAGCAGCTGTCTTCTTTACTCTGTCACCTGTAAGGGCAGCAGCCGTGTCTGTCCCAGCATCCCCACTGTACAGCAGGCACATGATCACCATGAACAGACTCCAACTCCTGTTTTACCTTCCTGCACCTTGCTGCTGGGACTCTTCCCTGTTGGGTGTGGCAAGCAGTTCAAGTTCATTCAGTTCAGCACCAAGAAATTCAGCGAGAACTTTTTCTTTGGCGGGTCACTGCTCAAAATTCCTGCGTCTGCATCTGACCGAGGAGTGAACTGCACTGCTGTTTCTGTTTCCAGCTTGATTCAAGGACTCAATAAAGGAAGCAGGGTTGACAGAATGGGTTCCATTGAATTGGAGAAGCTATAAATTTTCTATTCCCACAAGAACTGGAGTAACTTCTATTAATATCCAGTTATCAGAATGCACAACACCATCTACATCTGTAGCCCTACGTGGCAGAGAAAAAGTAAGCATGGAGGAGGAAATATCTTTGTGTGCAAGATTTTTAGAAAAACAAAACAAAACAAAACAAAACAAAACACCATCAATTTCCATCTCTCAAGGAGTTTCCAGGCTGGCGGTAGAAACAGGTAAACCAGGTATTTATTTTACATCCTGATGAGTGCACAGTGTCATGGAAGCATCTAAACCAGCCTGGGGGATAAGGATTTAAATGAAAGAAGCAACACTGTCCCTCAATCCCTCCCTTCGTTCTTCACGCCCACCCCATCACATCTCCTTTCCCTTCTTTACACAGAACACTCCTTTGGCCCCTACCCACCTTGAGCATCTTAATTACTTCCTGTTAACCTCCCTGTCGCTCTCTAAGGCATGGCCAGCCCAGGCCGTGTGCTCTTTCTGGAGCATCCCTTTCTACCTCTATGCCTTGGCTCAGGCCATCCCCTATACCTGGCTGTTCTCCCTCCATGTCTTTACCCATTGATCCCTTATGTTTCAAAGTCCTGCTCACTCATTCATTCATTCATTCATTCATTCAACAAGTATCTCCAGAGAGTGCACTATGTTCCTTGCACGTCGATGGGTACCAGGGATATGGAGGGAAATCAGTTACAGCCTATGTCCTCAAGCTGCTCACAGCCATGGGGGGACCGATGGTGACAATAAGGACATGTATGGAAGATGTGAGTCTGGGGGTGTTGTAAGGCCAGAGAAGGATCCTAATCCAGCCTTAGGGGTGGGGGGTATTCAGGGAAGACTTCCTGGAAGAGAATACCTCTGAGTCCTGAAGAATGAGGTGAAAAGAGAGAGAGAGGTGTATATAAATACATGAGAACACATATAATCTTAGGCATCGATGTGACCTATGATTATATGTGTTCACATGTACTTATATGCTAATGTAATAACTAGTGTTTATTGGATGCTACTAGGAGCAGCACTGGACTAGCACATTTGACATATTAGCCTTATAGGGGTGAGGCCTCACAACCTTATAGGGGAGAGGACTATTATCATTCCCATTTCACAGATGAGGAAGCTGAGGCACAGAGAAATTCAGAACTTGCTCCTGGTCATACAGTGACTAAGTGGTAGAGCTCGGGTTCAAACTCATTGCAGCCTCCAAGCCCATGTTTTGACCACTGTTCCCTGCCTTCTGAGGCTGGCCAGGTCATTCTGCCACTTGCTCTTGTCCAATGCATTTATCAGGGACATCTTTCCAGATGGTAAAATTCAGGTTTCCTTCTATTTAATGGCTGCAGAGGATGTCACTGGATTTTAAGCAGGAAAGTGAAATGGTCAGATATGTCCCTCGGAAAGGGACCTCTGGGGATAGAAGGGGGCTGCCTGGAGGTAGAGAAGCCTGTGTTGGGTGTGCAGAAGGAGGAGGAGGCCTACGTTGAGGCTGGGATGGGGTGATGCACAGTGGGGAGGAGCTCGGGAAACACGCGGTGCAGCAGGATGCAGCAGTGACCACCTCTAAGGTGATCAGAAGGGCAAGAAGGCAGTGGGGGAGGCTGTCTCAGGATCTCCTTCCCAACTAGACCTCTTCCAGGTCTGCACATTTTAATTCCCCCTAAGCATGCTCCAGCTAGCACTTCCAATTCAGAGCAAGTGAGCAGCAGCTTCAGCTCCACTAAGATGTGCAGATGTGGTGGTGCCTGTGGAATTCTTAATTCTTTGAATAATCTTTGCCTAGGAGGGTCATGTCTATTTTACAAAAAACAAAACAAAACAAAACAAAACCCAAGAATAACCACAAATTACCCAAGACACTGCTTTAACCCTGCCTCCTAGTAACAGCTCATTCAGCCTCACCACACATAGCCACCTGTCCAGTCCTAAGCATGGACTCCACACCAGTCTCAATCTGTCTGTTTCTCTCCTTGGCCACTGCCAGTCCAAGGGGCTGTCCTCTCCCATCTGGATGACAGCAATAGCCTTGTTACTGGTCTCCCCAGTTACACTCTAGCATAAGTTACTCCATGTCTCTAGCCTCAGTTGTCTCATCTATAAAATGGGCACATGAATATGCATCTCGTAGAGCTGTTGAGGACTGGGTGACATCACAAATGGAAAGCCCTGGAGTGCTTTCTCAACAGACAGTACTTCTTTTCATCAGTCATCAGGACAGGAGGGTCAGAAAGGTCAGGGGCTATTTCTCCCATACCCTGCTGGTCCAGATAATAGCAGGTGCTAGGGACCTCTGGATCGCCCCAACCCCCTTGCCCGCACTCCCCCACCAAGGAGAGGAAAATGCTTCTTGCCCATTCATCATATATCCTGCCACTCGATGGGAGCATCATCACCTTATAACCCAGGGCTCTCCCCAGCTCCTCAATGGCTCCTCCCCTGGTTCCTTGCATGGTGACTGTATCTATGAGTGAATCTGAGAGATGAAATAGGTAAGTAAGTATAACTCAGTCCCTTCTTTTGGGAGCCAGCGTGCCTGCAGGGAGCATGCGTCCTTTCCACTCTCTCCCAGGAAGGACAGGGAGGGGCCACCTCCTGCAGAGCCCAGCACTGCCTGTACCTGAGTGGGCAACTCAGCCCATCCTGGCCTTCAGCATTTGCGAGCCCACACGCTCCACTGTCACTCTGATTAGTAATAACCATGACATTTTGTTCTCCAGCTGCCTTGTCTTGCCTTTTGTCTTCATTCTCGATTGGTACAGAGCTCAGGCTGGGCAGAGGAGTGCTATTTATCGGCCCTTCCCACCGCCCCCTACAGGAGAGACCAGTGGGAGAAAACTCCATCTTGAGTTCCTGGCTTGTTAATGGAGGTTTTCAAGGCTTGGTGAAACCCGCTGCTGTGAGAATCAATCAATAAACAACTGAAAAATATTTATTGAGCTCCTGATACAACAGGGAAAATAACTTATCCTTGCCCAGTGTTTCTTACCACTTTCAAGATGCCTGGAAAGCCGTTCCATTCAAAGGTTTGTGAGCACCATGAAGTGCCAGGCGCTCTGTTATGAATGCAGACCCTACCAGAGGCCCATGTTAGGCTCATCAGGGTGGCCCCGCCACTCAAGTAGTCAGACACCAAGGACAGAGGAAAGAAAACCAGGCTTCCCATATGAGCCTGGGATCAACAATCACGTCCACAGACTCTCCAGACCACAGGTGTGGGCTGGTGGTGGAATTGTGCCTCACCTGGGCCGAGGGCAAGGGGCAGCAGGATGTACTTATTTAATGATGATTAGTGATTCTCTCCAGGAACAAAGAAAAGCTAGCAAGTAAATAAAAGGAACACTCTTGAAAGAGCAAACCAAGTGAAAATTGCCTGGAAAAGTTTGAAAGAAATGAAAAAAGAAGAGAAAGCAGATGCCTCTGTTAGCTATTAAAATACAACCTATACAAACAATCATCAAACCAGCATGGCACAGATCTCCGGTCCTCCTCCTGTGCTCTGTGCCCCTGAACCACATCAAAGGCTCTCTTGCTGTCCACCCACTTCTGATTGGGTTTGGCCACAGGCAGGGCAGGAGGAGAATGACATTTAGTGTTTATTCCCTTCTCTTGGGTTTGGCCACAGGCAGGGCAGGAGGAGAATGACATTGAGTGTTTATTCCCTTCTCTTGCTCCTCCAAACTTGGAGGCAGAAACAACTCTCCTCTTCCCATTGATACTCTAGGGTACTGCACTATCCCATGTTAGCTCACCAGACCAAAAGGTCTATACAAGGTAACAGGCTCTTTATCAAAACCTTTCTCAATCACCCAGTTGGGATGTGCCCTCTGTTTTTTGCCATGGCCCTGTCTGATAGTCAGTTATTAGAATTGGCAGATGGTTCAACAGATCAGAACAGACAGTTCAGAAAGAGATCTACTGTCAATGACTGGGTTTCCAGGTTACGTGCCCTGAGGCCCAAGATACAGAACTGTGCAAATGGTGTTCCCTGGAGTTGAGTGTGATTTGGTGGCTCTGCCTCCAAAGATATATTGTAATTTAGTGCTGCTGCAGGTGACGTAGGAAAGAAAGGTGGGGAAGAAAGGAAGAAAGATTTAATAAACAGGAAGGGGAACAGGATGAGGACCTTGGTTAAGTATGTGAGAAGGAAAATTAATTTAGACTTTTATCTTTCTTCAAAACCCAAATAGGTTAGAGAGCGATAATTTAGTCTAAAATATGAAACCATTAAACTAACGACAGTGAGAAACCTTGTTTTCCTATCTGAATAATTGGAATAACAGTAACTACCTCATAGCATTGTTAAGGGAGTTAAGAGAGATAATTCAAGTTAGGACAGTGCCTGGCACTTTATTAAAAAGAGGACTGAGGCAAGATTCCAGCCGAGAAAATTGCTCAAACCTAGTTATCCTGGGGGTAGGGAAAAGGTGAATTGGCAGAAAGGGGCATGGCCCTTAGGTCATAATATGGAGATTCCACAAAAACTGATAACATGACAGAGAAGGAGAGCCTGGCCTAAAAACTGGCACAGGAATGGTCAATGGAATCTGACTGTCCCTCAATCTGTGGCCACCAGGAAGTAACAATATACAGGTATACTGTCTGAAGCAGCTGCAATTGTAGAAGCAGATGGAGACTTCAGCAGATATTAAGGTTTCACCCTAGGCTGAGTCCCCTTCATCTGGATGTCTGGTTAGAAGAACTCTCATCCAGAGTCCAAGGCTGGGCTCTCCCCATGGTACTCAGGACAGACAGGTTCGCAGTCTCTGTTTACTTCCACCAGAGGCAGGCTGAGCCTCTGATTGGTAGCAAGTTCCTCCTTCAAAACTGGCTTTCCTCCCTACCCTCCACGTTAGCATCCATCCACTGGGGGCCTCACTGGTGAGTTGCATTGAACACTCAAGGAAGAACAACGCCCATCTTGTGCAATCTCTTCCAGAGAACAGAAAAGTGGGACTCTTGCCCACATCATTTTGTGAGGCCAGCATAACCTTGATACCAAAGCCTGAAAAGTAAGCATGAGAAACGAAATCACTGGTGAACAGCACTCATGAACTCATGATTTTAAAATCCTAAACAAAAGGGTTTGTAAATATAAGCTGGAAATAAAGATGCTACAGGATGACTCAAATTGGGTTTATTCCAGAAATGCAGAAGTCGATGTCATGCATCATGTTAACGGGTTGAAAAAGAAAAATCATGTGACCATCTGGGCAGATGCAGAACAAGCATCTGTTAAAACTCTATTTCCATTTATAACTAAAAAGAAAAGAAACACTCAGCAAACTGGGAATAGAAAGGAACTTCTTTAATCTGATAGAGAGTATCTACCAAAAACCTAGAGTAAACATGATACCTCATTATCAAATGTGGACAGCTCTTCCATAAGAGCTGTAAAAGGCAAGATGTCCACTGTCTTTTTGTTTTGTTTTTTTGAGACAGAGTCTCACTCTGTCACCCAGGCTGGAGTGCAGTGGTGCAATCTCAGCTCACTGCAACCTCTGCCTCCCAGGTTCAAGCAATTCTCCTGCCTCATTCCCCCAAGTAGCTGGGACTACAGGCATGCACCACCATGCCTGGCTAATTTTTGTAGTTTTAGTGGAGATGAGGTTTTGCCATGTTGGCCAGGCTGGTCTCAAACTCCCGACCTCAGGTGATCCACCCACCTCGGCCTCCCAAAGTGCTGGGATTACAGGTGTGAGTCACTGTGCCCGGCCATTCTTCAATTCATTATTGTACTAAGGTCTTAGAAGGGTAGTAAGGCAAGAATAAAAAGGAAAGAATACAAGGATTAGAGAGGAAGAAACAAAACTGTTATTTGTACCTCTTACAATTGTATATGGTGTTTTCAAAAGAATCTACAAATACATTTTTTTGAATTAGTAAGAGAGTTTAACAAGATTTCTGGATACAAAATCAATATGCAAAAGCCAAGCATATTTCTCCAACAAGTAACCAACAGAACATGAATTTTTCTATCAAAAATGTATAATAGCATACAAATTATCAAATAATAGAAATATATATAACAAAAGATATAAAAAACACAAAATGAACATTAGGAAGCCATGTCACGAGATATTAAAGATGTTAAAAATATCCTAAATAAGTAGAGAGATACCATGTTCATGGAAGACTAAATACTACACCTTCCACTCTCTAGAAGGCAATGGAAAGCTCAGTGTAACAGCTGCTATTTAGAAATCAGAGCAACCTGGATTTATATTCCAATTTCTGCTGCTTCTAAACTCTGTAACTTATTTCACCAACCCCTCTGAACCTGTTTCTTCTCTTATAAAACATGGATAATAATTTCTGCCTACTTGTTAGAAGTCAATGGATAAGAAAGCACTTTGCAGAGTGCTGTATAAATACAGGAGATTCTTACAACTAGTATTTTTGTCCCTTGTTGGTCCAAGGGTGGGAGAAAAGTTAAATGTCCCAGACTAAGCCAACTTGCTTGCTTATGCCCATCTATTTATCATCAAGGGCATTGCTGAATGTTTATTCTGTTCATAACATTTCTTCATTCAGACCTCACAGCAACCTGTAAGGTGGGTGCTATATTAGCCTCATTTTACAGATAAGAAAGCTGAGGCCCAATTAAGCAATTTGTCATTCACATATTCATCCATTCCGTAGACATTCATGAATACCTTCTACGTGCTAGGAGCTGTGAATGTCCTGGTGAATAAAACAAATGTGCTGCCTGCTCTATTAGAGCTGATATTATGGTTGGAAAGACAGCCAGAAATCACACCTCAACAAATACACTGGCAGAACTAAGATTCAAACTCATGTCTGTTGGACATTGGAGTCTGTGCTTTTAAGTACTCCCTGGGGGCAGCTTCCTCAACCTCTTCTGCTCATTCCTCTGTTGGGATGTGATAGTTTCTAACATGCATTCTGCTGGCAACAACAAGTTTCAATGGCCCTTGCCATCCAAGCTGTTGCACAAATTGAGAGCTGTCAGCTTCGATCCTGGCCCATGTGATCCCCCTGCATTATCACTGGAGAATTACAGCAGTGAGGACGAATGCATAAAAGAGGCAAGGCATCCTGGCCCCCCCTCCGACAGCATCAGCAGCATTGCTCCCGAAGAGTATGCGTCTTAGTCCTCTACAACCATTAATGGCAGAAGTGAGTCACTTATAAATGAGATATGGGAGCTTTATTATAATTACATCCCGAGATTCAGAAATGCTCAGCGTCACTGTGAAAGGGAGGGCAGCAGGTGACTGGGGCTTGAATGATCCTCTGCCAGGTACATCTTTCAGATAAAACATCTTGGATCAGGAGCAATTATAGCTAATTCCCGGCCTGAATGCTAATGAGAATTACTTACAATTGTATGTAATTCTTTGCAATTTATACCATCTGCTTTTTTCCTTCTTTTCTCCACATTTCCATCCTGACATTCATCCTGAGAAACAGATACTGGCAAATCGAACGAATGGCCATTTTGCAGATAAGGAAGCCGATGCCCAGGGTCTCTCGGTTCTAAGGGCAAGAGCTGGGGTTCCAACCCTAAGCTTTCTGTCCCTCTAGAAAACAGCTGATTGAAAACTGTCCCAAATCCATGCTCGTCAGAACAAAGCCAGAGCACAAAGTTCAAGCTGCACTGCGTAGCAGCAATATCATCCACACTAGTGACACTCGTTGCAATGGCCAGCGTTTGCTGAGTGTCTAGCAGAGTATCAGAAGTTTATACAGGTCCACACTGAGACTTCAAGTCTCAGACTATTTAAAGCTTGAGACTGCAGTAAGACTTTGGGGCACACATTACATCTAACCAGACCTACTCTCACTTTACAGATGAGAAAACAAGAAGCCTGCAGAGGCTGGGCAATTTGCAGGTGGCAGAGAAAGGATACAGAGCTGGGATTGTTTGGCCTTAATAGCAACAACAACAATGGACTCTTAACACTTTTAGCTATTACATGGCACCACTGAAGTGCTTTATGCACATGAACACACCTAATTCTCTTACCAACGCAGTGAAGAAGGTGTCAGGAATACCCCCATTCTAAAAATGGGGAAACCAAGGAACGGAGACGTGTAGCAACTTGACCAAGGCCACAAAACTCATAAGCAACAGTGCTGAGATGTGAACCCCAACAGGTGAGCTCCAGAATCCCACACTTTTGATGTCTTTGCTATGTGTTTTCTCTGCTAAGGAAAAGCCAGGCACTCCTTCATTGTGAAGAGGAAAGTGCCAACACAGAATTCTGAGAGAGTCGAAGAGGAGGAGGCTCATGTATAAGTCCCTCCTCCCTTGGACACTCAGCTGAGGGTCAGGAAGGACCACTCCCAGCCCAGCATTGGCCAAACCACTCTGGGGTGCAGGGTCTCTTGGCAGGCTGCTCCGGCCTCCACCCAGCCCTGAAATCATGGACAGGCAGCACCTGTCCATCTCCTGCCTCCACGGGATTCTCTGTCACATTTGAAAATGAAAACAATGCCAGGCATCCCCTGCCCTTCTCCGTAGATTCTCCCCACACCAGGAGAAATGCCTGAATCACACTCGAGGATTTACATGGGGTTGTCCAGGATTCCTGTGAGCAGTGGACCTGCTGCCTGGCTTTCCTCTATTCATCCTTTGCTGCTGCCAGACACAAGCAAAGAAGGAGCTAAGGTCCCATCTGCCACCTCAGTTTCATTCATAATCTAGAGGGAGTCAGGCAACATGGGTGTTCAAACCCCAATTCTGTCATGGACCAGCTGGGCAATCTCAAGCAAATTACTTAACCTCTCTGAGCCTCAGTAGACTATCTGTTCAATAATAGTACTTACCTTCCAAGAATGCTGTGATGGGATAATGCATAATGATGCTCTCATGTGTACACCCTCCCTCTCTCCCAGTCTCTGCTGGTTTCTGGCTGCCTCCAAGACTCTTCCTATAAGACCCTCAATTCCCCTCTCCTTCATGCTCCAGGGACACACTCCGTCTGTGCTCCTGTCACAGGTTTCTGGCCCCGCAATCATGAAATGAGTTATTCAGGCACCTTCCAGCCTGAAAACCTTGTTCACCAGGACTCCCAGCCTGCCTCGTCTTGTCTGCTCCAGGCTGAGGCGGGAGCCCTCTGCCGGAGGACAGCCACTCTGCCTGGAACATCTCTGCACTATCAGCTGCCAGGCAAGCGGACACCTCAGAGGGATCAGGGAATCAGGAGGGAAGAGGTGGGATCTTCATGGAGGACTGGGGGCTGGGGGTGGGGTAACAGAGCAGGAGACGTGACTTCCTTGAGGAGCTGCTGTACTCCAGCTCCTGCTCCTGGCTTCCTGGGCTCCTTCGAGAAAAACTGAGAGCAACTTCTAGAATCTGATCTCTGAAAGAGCAGCCCCGATGCTTTTCTGTCACCAGAATCCACTCCCTGGCCATAATATCCACTCATTTTCCCAAAGCATCCTCCTCTCTCGGTACAACGAGGAGGAGGTGATCCGCCTCTTGCTCCACACCCCCAGCTGCAGCCGAACTGCAGGGGAAGGGCGGGTGGTGGTCCGGACAGTTCCCACCCCCGACTCCAGGTGACGCTGAGCCTGGGGCTTACCTCAGTGTATTCAAGTGATTTGGATCAGGATGACTCCGAGCAAAACCCTGACTCTCTCCCCTTAACCAGCTGATGCTCCTGGGCACAACTTCCCTCCCCGAGCCTCAGTTTCCTCCTCTGTAAAATGAGTATAACAATATTGCAACAGATAATGGATGCCCAAAGCCTGGCACAGTGAACGCACTCAACCAATGGGCTGGCACTACGGTTAGCAGCGAACTCAGACCCTGGGGAGGCTCAAAGAAAACGAGGCTCCCCCTCTGCTCGCCCGAGCTCAAAGACGGACGCTCAGGGCGCGCACCCTGCCCAAGCCCGGGGAAGCTAAAGGTGTCTGCGCGTCGAGTGCTGAGGCCACAGTGTGGAGAGGGGAGCGGTGCCACCGAGCGAGCCGCCCTCCGCCACCCTCCCCAGGCCACCCGCGTCGCGAGGGTACCCAAGCGCGCTCTTCTCAAGCGGGCGGCTCCGGGGTTCCCGGCCGCCCTGCCGGGATGCCCGGAACCCAGCCTGGCCAGCGCGCAGCCTCGCCCAGCCGCGGCGGCCCCGCTCCCGCCCAAGCCCGCGCCCCGCTGCGACTCACCGGCGCCGGCTCCGGGGAAAGTTTGGTGGCGCGTTGGCCGCGGCGGCCAGGCTGCTGGGTGTCGCGGGGGCGGCGGCGGGGGCGCCGGGGAGCTCTCGGGGAGCGGGGCGCCGGAGGAGGAGCCGCTCCGAGGGGCCCACCCGCGAGCAGCGGGGAAGGCGGGGACCCGGGCCCCGCGGGCCTGCAGCGCCCCCGCACCCGGTTCCACGCGCCCAGGGCCGCCCCCGCGGAGAGAGGGGGCGCGAGGGGCGCGCCTCTCGCTCGGACACCCTCTCCCAGCTCGCGCCCCAGGTTTGGAGCTGCTCCCGCTGGGTACCCGGGCTCGGGCTCTGCGAGGCGGACTGCTCCTTGGGTTTGGAAGGAGGGGTGGCAGAAGGGTCAGAACCTTGGTGAGACAACTCCACCCCCACCCACGCACCTGCGGGCACACAAAACGACAGACAGAGATAAATCAAGACAAAGAGGCACAGATGGAAATAGAGATGAAACGATGTTTGGCAGAGTCAATCACAGATAGATTGAAAAAGACAAATAGTGATACCTGCGCCCCTCATTCCTGCTAGGGGCGCCAAAATCGAAAAAGGCAAAGTCAGACAGAGGTGGAACAAGATTGACAGTAGGAACCCTACCCCTAGAGGTTTCGGGGAACTAAAGAGACCCCAGGGTCTACAACCTCACACCTCTCTTCTGTTTCTCCCTAGCCCGTCCTGATGAATGAGCCCACATTTCAAAATAGGATGTGTTTTAATTAGCAACCTGTGCCACCCCGAGCAGCAAGGGGAGGAGTGGGGTGGGGGTGAGGCCCCTCTGCAGGTCCCCGGGAACCTCTGTCCCTGGCAATGGGAGCTTGAGGATTCTTCCTGGCTGCCTTCATTTCCAGAGCTGGGAGAGAGAGGTCGAGGTTTTTCTGCCTTCTCAGCGCCGGGAAAACTCCATTTGAACCTTTGAACAGTTATGGTTTCAGATTTTACCCCAGCAGTTTCGAAGGGACCACCTAAGCTCACAGGGAGAGGAGGGTGTTTGAGGAGGTGGGACATGGTGGGTTGGGGTGTGGGGGTGGGGGTCAGAGGGGTATTTTAGCCTCCTCCCAGTAGCAGCAGTCCCACCAGCCCTGGTTGTGGACCACACAGAGCTGGGTCTGAGGCTCAGCTTCACAAGCTGTGTATGGTAGGTCCATGGTCCTTTTTCTTGGCCTCAGGGCCCATGTCGGTAACACAAGGGTTCATAAAGACAGGGGCCATTGTGTCAGATGCTTTTCTAAGTGCTACAGATGCTTACTCATTTAATCCTCACAACAATAATAGGTCCTAGTAGGTAGGAACTATTATTATCCCTATTTTACAGGTGAGAAAATGAAGGCACAGAGAGATTGAGTAACTTGCACAAGGTCACATGTAGGAGAACTGAGCATCCACCCTACTCAGCCTGGCCCCAAGGTCCAAGGTGCTGTTATAACTTCATCTCCGTGGGGCTGTTGGAAAGTTTCATGATGCCATTTCTATAAAGGGCTTAGTGCTCCATAAATGGTAGCTCAGAGATCACTGATCCCATCTGCAAGGTGGGGATTAAAGGACTTTGTGATGCCCAGTGATATGAGACTTTGGCCTTGAGATAATGGCAGGCCATGTCACTGTCCTGGGCATTATGGATTCGAGAAGTCAGGGATGTCCCATTTGTTTTTCTGGCCAGCCCTCTGCACATTAGCACAACCCCACAGCCAAGACTCACCCTGGATCCACGAAAGCCCTCTCCCACTCCCTGGTGATTCTCCAGGGCCTCCATATTTTACACTTTACCAGACTAATGCACCCTTTGGAACCGAGTTAGCACTCAGGATAGCAACTGTTATAAATTCTAAAGGAAATACATTTCCTCTCTCTATAGCTGTGGGGCTTAAGGGAGGTAAGGGGGGGATGGAGGTGGGAGGGGGGATGGGGGCAGGGCGGGTGGGGGAAGCCTGGGAAATGGCTGCGTCCACACTTTCATCCCTCCTCTCTCCATTCTGCATTTCAGCAAAGGCTTGGTTATTTGGAATTCCTCCCCAAAGTTTCACTTCCTGGGCTAGTTTTAGGCCTGCTAAACCCATGGTGATCAGCACTTTTAGAAAAATCAGCATCTTAGAAACAACATGTTAGACATGATTTCAAGCCCCTGGTAAGCAGGGTGTGGGTTGTTTTGCTGTGGCATTTGGAACTGACAGATCAGGAGGTACCCCAGGCTGTATGAGGGGTTGGGGAGCAGAAGGGCACAATCAACTTACTAACAACATACAGGCTGCAGCAGAAAAGTAACAGCCCCATGCTTACTGCATACTGTGTGTCAGGCTTGATTTAAGAGCTTTACATAAATAATGCACCGATTCCTCACAATCCCATGAGGTAGGTACTGTTGTCATCCCGTTTTGCAAATGAGAAAACAAAGAGATGAAGGAGTTTGTTCAGAGTATACAGCTAGTAAGTCTTCCCAAGATCAGACAGGTGGGAAGCAGCTGAGCCAGATCTGGAGCCTGGAGCAGTCTGGACCCACAGCCCCACTCCTACTTCTGTGCTTTGTGGAAGAAGCAGAAAAAAGGGACAACCTCAATGCCTGAGTAGAGACTGAAGGCAATGAGAAGAAATAAGTAGATTAAAAATACCTGCTCTGCCACTTACTAGCTCTGTGTTTACTTTGCTTCTCTGAGCCTCAGTTTCCTCATCTGTATGTAAAATAAGAATAGTAATGCCTATGTCACACCCAGAATTTTAGTGATGGGCCGGGCATGGTGGCTCGCCCCTGTAATCCCCAGGTAGGATTGGGGAGGCCAAGGTGGGAGGATCACTTGAGCTCAGGAGTTTGAGACTAGCCTGGGAAACACGGGGAGGAGACCTTGTCTCTACAAAAAATAAATAAATTAGCTGGGCATGGCAGTGTGCGCCTGTAGTCCCAGCTACTCAGGAGGCTCAGGAGGGAGGATTGCTTGAACCCAGGGGATCAAGGCTGCAGTGAGCTATGATTGAACACTTCATTTCAGCCTGGACCACAGACCAAGACCCTGTACCCACCACCACCGCCCCCCCAAAAAAGGAATTTTCATGATGTTTCTTTTGATTGCAGGTAACTTAAACCCAATTATAAATGGCTTTGGCTATAAAGTGTTCTTGAATGAAAACGTTTAGGAAGTAGGCCTGGATTCAGATGCTTCAGAGGCTCAAAGGTAATTGTCATAAATCTGTCTCCCTCTGTCTTGACTCTGTTTTCTTTTCTGTCAGCTTTATTTTATACATATGTGCCACTTTTATTAGCAGGCTGGCTCTTTCCATAGGGAGGTGGAAATGGCTAAACAACCTCAAGGCAAAGAGATCACGTCTTTCCAAATATTTCCAGCAAAAATCCCAGGGTTGACTCCAATTGGCTTGGCCTGGATCACATACCCAGTCCTGAAACCGTTACAGTTGTTTTGGTTGGCTAAGCCTGAGTCACATGCCTGTATCTGAAGTCAAGGAGTAGAGTCAGCCCGCTGTAGGCCACTGGAACTAGGAGTGGGTGAGAGATGGTTCCTTAAAAGACAATCGAGGTGCTATTAGCAGGATAACAGGGGTCCTGGAGAGGCAAGAACACAGATGTCCTCTCCCTCACAGTGCTGTTGTCAGGATTAGATAAGCTCATGCAGGCAAAGTGCTCAGCACAGTGCTTGGCTCTGGTAGATGCTCGGTAACCAAATCCCCTTCCTTCTTCCCTCCTCTAGGAAACAGGAATCGTGGCTAACCAAATCCAGCCCAACTGCTTCCTTGTTCACATGGGGAAATCGAGGAAGGCCCGGGGAGAGGAAGGCCTGGGGAGAGGAAGTTACTTGCCCAAGTTGCCCAGTTAATTAGCCACAGAACCCATGTCCCCCAACTCTGAAACAAGTTCCAGTTAAAGTCTTCACTGATAACTTTAAATCCTCCACTAACCAAGGGAGTCATCTTTGCATTTGCACAGAGGAGATGGGAAAATCACAAAGCCCTTAAGGTCCAGAAGAAATGAGTGTCACTACGTTGGGCTCCCAGGCTGTGCAACAAGCTGTGGACGGAGATGTCCGGGCAGGGAGCCCGGTCCAGCTCCCCACCCATCGCATCATGGAGTCAGCCGTCTCCTCTGGGGACTGCACCCTCTGGGTGCTGAGAAATCCAAATGGCTCTTTCTCATGCAGCCGCCCCAAGTGGGCAGGATGGCCCTTCTCTTGATTTGTTTCCTGCTTACTTTGTGAGAGTCAAAGTGCATCCTTCAGGACCAAAGTGGCCAAGGGGCCAGCATGTTATTTAGAGTGATCAAAATGGACCATTTTCAACTTGGCCCTATTTCAGCTCCAGAGCTGTGGTTTCCACTTGCTTTTACTTATCTGTATTTTCTAACATTTCTTTAGCAAATTTGTATTACTTTGGCAATTAGAAAAAATGACCAGTAATTTTTATAAAAGGATTTGTGTTTGATTTCCTTTCAGAAAGGCACTTTCATTTATTAAAAGATCACAATGAGAAGTGAAATTAAGTTGATCTTTCTCTCTGGCAAGGATGTGTGGGGAGGAATGGGGAGGTGAATGCTGGGAGCAGAAGCCACAGCTGCAGAGCACTGCAGTGAGTGAAGGCTAGATCAGGAGACTGGACCAGGAGGCTGGACCAATTGGCTCTGTGGTCCTAGGCAAGTCACTCAGTGTCTCTGGGTTTCTATTGCTAGATGTTTGGTTTCATTATTTCTGGAGTTCTTTCCAGGAATTCTCTGTATGGATACAGTCTTTGAGCTTTAGTGAACGTTCATATACGCTGTAGGAGAACATGTAATGGCTCAGAAATGTGTTCAGCATAAATTCTGTTTGTCTTTGCGGTCCTGTGAGACTGCTGAAAGTTCTGCTCAGCTTCTCTGCTTCTTAGCATTTGGTTTCTTCTCAGCTTCTCAGTCTCTCCGTTTAGCTCTTTATGAATTGGCAAATTCATGGAAAAGAGCACATAGAATGTCAGGCCCCTGCTCCATTCATTTCTCTTCACCCTGAGATCTTGATCCCTCAAGTTCTGGCTTCCTGGATAGCTCTTTCGTGCCTTCTAACAGATTTTTATTTTCTTTGAACAATTCTACCCAGGTTTTCTAATTGTTTATGGAGAAGATTGATCTTCACAAGCTAGTTTTTTCATAGGCAAAAGCAAAAGTCTCTTCCTGTGTTATTAAGTGAAAATGGCTGATTATAAAAAGGTATGTACAGTGGGCTTCTATTTATATGCAAAGCATGTATATATGTTTATGCAGAAGAAATAGAGAAAGAGCAAAAGCTATACACAGTGGCTATCTCTGGCTGGTTTTTAAAAATATATATCTATAGATTGCACCTTTTATATAATAGATACTAAGAATACCCAAACGGGGTTGACCTTTGTGGCCATTTATACCTGTGTTACAAATGGGGAAACTGAGGTCAAGAACATTTAAATTTATTTCAGTTGAACAATTTGCGGAGGCCTGCTGTGGGCAGAGAACCGTGCTATTGACCACAGAGCATGCAAAGCAACATAACACCTAGTCACTCTATCTCAAGTGTCTACAACTTGTGCTAGCCTTTGGGATATGAGGATGAAGAGGACAAGCATCTGCCCTCAAGATATTCCAGTTGAGGAGAAAGAGATTCAAATAAGCTACCTCAGCTATGATATGAGATCAGTGCTAAAATAATGATGTGACAAGACTGTGATCCCATTCCAGCTGGTGTAGCAAAAAAAAAAAAAAAAAAAAAAAAAGACTGTGGTTTGTCTCTTAATAACTATTCTCTCAATATCCAACTAAAATATTATATTTCCCAGCCTCCCTTGTAGCAAGGTGCAGCCACGTGACCAAATTCTGGCCAAGGAGATCTGAGGGGAAGTGTTGTGATGATTTCTGGGAAATCTCTGTAAACGGAACAAGGAAACTCTTCTTTCTTTTTTTCTGCTGCTTGGAACGTAGATGTAATGCCTGGAGCTTCGGTAGCCATTTTGAGTCACATTCGTGTCACCTTGGAAAGGAACCATGTACTGGGATGATGGAGCAGCAATATGAAATAACCTCAGTCGCTGACACCATGGAGCTGCTATATTAGCCCTGGGTTGTCTATTTCCATACTTTTTTTTTACATGATAAAGACACTTCTATCTTGCATATGTTACTGGTGTTTTGGATATTCTCTTACATGCAGATAAACCTGATCCTAACTTATATGAATCCTAAAAATAAAATGCTATGGGAACAGTGGTGAAGGTAGGGAGGAGTGAATATCTCCCACTCTTGGGCATTGAGGAAGTCAGAGGTGATGTGAAGGTTGTGAAGAGTTAATCAGTGAGATGGGCAGGATTGAGAAGGAAGAGTTTCTTTTCTTTTTTTTTTTTTTTTTTGTTTGACAGAGTCTCACTCTGTTGCTAGGCCGGAGTGCAGTGGCACAATCTCAGCTCACTGCAACCTCCGCCTCCTGGGTTCAAGCGTTTCTCCTGCCTCAGCCTCTTGAGTAGCTGGGACTACAGGTGTGCACCACCATGCCCAGCTAATTTTTGTATTTTTAGTAGAGACAGAGTTTCACCATGTTGGCCAGGATGGTCTTGATCACTTGACTTTGTGATCCACCCACCTTGGCCTCTCAAAGTGCTGGGATTACAGGCGTGAGCCACCACACCCAGCCAGAAGAGAGTTTCAAACAGAGTGGACCAGGCAGGGAGCGTGGAAACAGGGCTGGAATGAGGAACATGGGCATTAGAATCAAACAGCCTGGGCCTAAAGTCCATCATGATATTTAGAAAGTCACTTCACCACTCTACACATCAATTTCTCCATCTGTAAAATGGGGATAATAATAGTATCAGCTTCATCTGGGTGTAGTGAGGATCTTACGAGTTAATACATGTAAAGTGCCTAGAACAATGATATTGAGGGAACGGTTATTAAGAGGCAAACCAGTCTTTTTTTTTTCTACACCTACTGGAATGGGATCACAGTCTTGTCACATCGTTGTTTTAGTATTGACCTCATATCATAGCTGAGGTAGCTTATTTGGATATCTTTCTCCTCAACTGGAATATCTTGAGGGCAGATCCTTGCCCTCTTCATGGCATATTGTGGGTGCTTAGTAAATGAGTAAATACTGACTGTCATGTGCTTATCTATAAAGTGGGATGTTCATAGTCCTATCTCATAGAGCAGCCAATGTGTATTAAAAGGTACAGGACTCTAGATGTAGTGGGTGCTCAACCATGTGGTTCTTTCTCTCCCTTTCTTTAAGGGGCTTACAAACAATATTTAACAAATCTTCATCAAGTCCCTACTCTGTGGCAGGCCCTGGGTCAGGAGGTTGCCGATTCCAGGAAGAATCAGACCTTATCCCTGCCCTTGAGTCTCAAGAAGAGGAAAGGAAAACAAATAAGCATAGTACAGTGTGAAAAGTGGGACTGTGGTCAAATTTCAGTCTGCAAACTCAGGTGAGTGAGAACGGTAACTTTCCTGGTAAGTGAACTCAGTCTCTGCTAAGATCTTCCATCACACGCGAGGAAATCTTAACCTTTGGCAAGTCAAGTTTTTCCTACTTCTTTGGGGTTTATCATTACTTATCCACACTGACATTTGTTGACACATCTTCATTCCTATCTGAGGAGGGGCCACCCATCCACACAGGTCACTGCTGAGTTGTCCCTTGTTCTTAAGTCTCATTTCCTCTCTTAGCTTCTTCCAGAGCCCCTTTCAAGTGCACAGAAACTTTTGCTTAGCTGCCATGGCTGCCAGGACACAGAGAATTCTGGTAGACATATGAGGTTCTTCTGCCCACCCCCAAACACCCATTCGTTTCTCCTCTAGAGTGTCCGCCTAGGAAGTGCTGAGGTGCTTTCTACATTTAATTTTTTCAGACTCCTTTGGGAATTCTGGTGTCTGTCTCCAAGCTCAGGACCATGCCTAGAGAAGGAGCAGGTTCAAGTGCCTCCTACCTCAGGGACCTGTACCCTACCCCCATCCCTTGTGGATGCTCCAGCTCTCTCCCTCATTCTTGTCTGGAAACACTTCTTTAGTTTCAGTGGGGCACAGCCTTGCTCCTAAATCCCTTGCATTTCCCCATAGGGACCATCTCATCAATGCACAAGATCCTTTTCTTGTTGCCCCTGAGATGCTAGACTTTTGAAACTCAAAAGCCTGGAAAAGACTCTGGTTTTTCTTTTTCTACAAAGCCAGAAAAGGACAGTAGCCTCAAGACAATAGCCTAAAACAGGGGGAGGTAAGTCTCCTGGGTAACAGAAATCATCAAGAATGAAAATTAACCCCAATGACCTCCTTCCATGTCTCCTCCAGAATGGATGAAATATGAAAGACTGACAACATCAAGTTGTCAAGTAGGACAGGATGTGGAACCACTGGAACTCATACGTGACTGATGGGAATGCAAAATGATACCGATCCCTTGGAAAACTCCTTGGCAACTTTAATAAACATAAATCTACCCTATGATCCAGAAATTCCACTCTGAGTCACGTCTCCAAGAGCAATGAAAATATATACCCACAAAAGACTGCACATAAATCAGAACAGCATTGTTGATAATAGCCCAAACTGGAAACAACCTAAATATTCACCAATAGAAGCCTGAATAAATTCATACTGTGGGATACTCTACAGCAATGAGGTAGATGAACTATTACTGCCTACAACAACATGAAAGAAAGTAAAAGTCACTACTTTGATAATTATAAACACAAAAAAGTAAACATATCATTCTATTCATATGAAGAGTTATCTAAATAATTAGTAAAATTGATCTATGATTTTAGAAGTGGTACCTCTGGAGGAGAAGGAGGGGTACTGTTACTGACTGAGAAGGGAGTTCTGGAAAAATTCTATACTTTGATCTTTGGGATGGTTACACAGATGTATAGACAGGCAAAAATTCATTGAACTTTACATTTATTATTTGTACATTTTACCATATGCAAATTGTCCCTCAATTTAAAAAATCTCATTTTCCTTAAAAAAACACAGAGGCAAACATTTCAAAAACAATATCTCACCTTAGATGAGATATAGAGGCAAGCAGGCAGCCCCACTATGAGAGCCTGGAAAAGGCATTAGACACACTGTGTGTGGGGTGCAGTAGGGACAGAGAGACACTCAAGGAGGGTTTCTTGTGGGAGGTGACAGCTAAACATTGAAGGACCTGTACTGAAAGTCAAACAAAGAGAAGGCTAAGGGCATTCCAGGCTCAAGGAAACAGCATGCAAGGGCACTCACAGCATCCCAAGAGAAGTTGACTGAGAGAAGGAGGGTGTGGGGAAGGGACAAAACGACGAAGCCACAGATGTCAATGGGAGTCAGATCTGACAGCTCACAAGCCAAAGGGAGGCCCAAGGGAGGCCCCGCAGAGTTGTGATTGGAGTTGGACTTTAAGGAGGCCACTCTGGAGGAAGGGAGGAAGGTGGTTTAGAGGTGGTTGCAGTAATCCACAGATGGGGTATGGGGCCTGAACTAGCGCAGCGGCCATGGGGATTGGGGCTGGGAGAAGAGCTTCCAGAGATACTTAGGAGGAAGACTTTGGTAACCAGCAGTATAGCGGGACAGGAGAGGAAATCGTTAAGGAAACTCATGGGTTCTTGCCTTTCATGGCAAGGTGGAGCTATTTACTGAGAAAAAGATAGGAAGAGCTACATTTATTTATTTATTTATTATATATTTTTTGAGATGGAGTCTCACTCTGTCACCCAGGCTGGAGTGCAGTGGCGTGATCTCGGCTCACTGCAACCTCTGCCTCCTGGGTTCAAGCAATTCAGGAAGAGCTACATTTATAAGTGTTGTCGTGGTTGGCCAGATGTTGTTTTTCTCTCTTTGGCTCCTGCTTCTGCTTTTGCTTTAGTCAGAACTGTGTTTGTCCCAGGAAGACCTGCTCCTCCCTGTTCTCAGGCTATGTAGCTAAAGTGGTGATGACCCCATCTCTGGGCTGTAGGACATATGATAATGGCTTCTGGTTCCAGCTTGAAGTTGCTGCAAAAGACACGATTTTATTCTTTGCCATGGCTGAGTAGTATTCCATGATGTGTATGTATGTGTGTGGCGTGTGTGTGTGTGTATATATATGTCTATATGTATATATACCTATAGACGTATGTCTATATGTCTATATGTATATATACCTATAGATGTATGTCTATATGTATATATACACATATAGACATATATATACACACACACACACACACACACACATATACATATCACATTTTTAGACCAATTTTCCATTGATGGACACTTAGTTTGATTCTATGATTTTGTTGTTGTGAATAGTGCTGCAATAAACATACGCGTGCAGGTGTCTTTTTGATACAACAATTTATTTTCCTCTGAGTAGATACTCAGTAGTGAGATTGCTGGATCAAAGGGTAGTTCTATTTTTAGTTCTTTGAGAAATCTCCATACTGGTTTCCATAGAGGTTGTACTGATTTACATTCCCACCAACACTGTGTAAGTGGTCCCCTTTTTCTGCATCCCTACCATCATCTGTTGGTTTTTGACTTTTTAGCAATAGCCGTTCTGACTGGTGTAAGATGACATCTCATTATAGTTTCAATTTGCATTTCTCTGATGATTAGTGATGTTAAGCATTTTTTTATATTTTTTTGGCCACTTGTATATCTTTTGAAAAATGTCTTTTCATGGAGGACATGCATTTTGGGATGGAGCTTGAAGATACCTAAAAAAGATCCGGCTTGAAGGGGGAGGATGTGTTTCAGGAGGAGAGAACAGCACGAGCAAACCCTTGGAGGCAGGAAAGAAAAGGAAACACTCAGGGGATGGTGGGTAGTCAGGTTGGCCTGACCACACTGGAGAATGTGGGGGAGATGAGTCTACCAGGCAGACTCATCTGCAGGGGTCAGACCAGGGGTCACCATTCATCTACTACTCTACAAGGGAGACTGGAGGGGTTAGACCAGGCAGGCCTGGAATGCCAGGGTGAGTTTGGATTAACCCAACCAATGAACCTGCGGACTAGAATAGGCATCTGGAAGTTCCAGGGATGTTTGGGAAAACTTCGTGGGGAATTTAAGGAATCGCTTCCAGGGTCAGAGCTCCATGTTGTTTTTCCCATCAGCTTGCTCAGGAGTTGGATAGATGGTGAGCTCAGGGACTGGTGAACTGTCCCAGTAATACAGCGTGGTAATGTCCCTCCCTTCTCCTGCCCCAAGTCATACAAGCCTTCTCAGGCTGGGACATCTGGAGGTCTTGACCAAAAAGAACCAAGACCCTTGCCTTCTGCAGCCCACTCTCCACACAGCAGGTTGAGGGCCCTGTGGACACACATCAGATCACTCTTACTAAAAACCCTCCAGAGGCTTCTCACCCCACTTAGAAGCAACTTAGAAGCACCCCACTTAGAAACACCCCACTTAGAAGCAACTCCACACACCTCCCTTTGGCCTACAAGGCTTCACATCATCTGACCCCTGCGTCCCCTCTGTCCTCACCTCCTTTCACTGTTCCCTGGGCCCACTGTCCTCCAGCTCTTTGCAGCCCTGCAAACACAGCAAGCTTTTGTCCTGTCTTGGGGCCTTTGCACTCGCTGTTCTCTATGCCTGGGACACTCATCCCTTAGATCTTGCCACGGACACCTCATCATCATTCAATCTTTTTTTTTTTTCCAAAACAGAGTCTTGCTCTGTTGCCCAGGCTGGAGTGCAGTGGCGTGATCTTGGCACACTGCAACCTCCACCTACCTGGTACAAGCAATTCTCCTGCCTCAGCCTCCCAGGTAGGTGGGATTACAGGCACCTGCCACCATGCTCAGCTAATTTTTTGTATTTTTGGTAGAGACAGGGTTTCACTGTGTTGGCCAAGCTGGTCTTGAACTCCTGACCTCGTGATCTGCCTGTCTTGGCCTCCCAAAATGCTGGAATTACAGGCGTGAGCCACTGTGCCTGGCTTCATCATTCAGTCTTTGCTCACTTGTGGCTCGTTGGAGAAGACTTTCCTGGGTAAGGGTAGTGCTCCTGCTTATCACTTGGCCTTCTTAGTCCTCATTGCTATCTCTGATTGTCTTTTTTCTTTGTTTACTTATTTATTGTGTCTAAGCCTCCATTTGAATGTGAGTGACTCAAACACAGGGTTTCTGTCTTTTTCCTCACTGTACCCCCAGCACTTAGAGCAGTAACTGGCCCAGAGTAGGTCCTCAATGAATGGTAATTGAATGAACTATCTGCATAGGCAAGGTCCTTAGGCAATTCTGCAAATAAGGCAGCTGGGCCCAGAGAAGAGAAGGGACTTGTCAAAGGTGTCCTACAAATCAATGTCAGAGACAGACCTAGGCTCCAGGACTCCTGCCTCTAAGGTCAGTTCATTTTCTGTAATTCTCTTCCACCCGTTTCTGCCAAAGGGGCTGCCAGTCTTTGGTGATTTTCCCTCTGTTGCATATGCCAGGGTAGAAAGAGCAGTGAACTAGAAGCCAGGGAACTTGGGACCTGGTCTAGCTCTGCTACCCACATACCTTGTAGACCAAGGGGTCCTTGAGGGCAGAGGGCATTACCCATATCTAGTACAGTTGGTGCTCAGACAAGGCTTGTTGAAAGAGTAAGATTTTGTTTGCATGAAGATAGTGGGTGCCAACACAGGGCAGTGTTAAGAGCTGGGAACAGGAGCTAGGCAGACATGAATTCAAATCTTGGCTATGTCACTTTCTAGTTGCCCTACACGTGATCACACATGAAGAATGTACATAGCATCATCTAGGATAGCTTGTGTCCAGGATGGCCCTGACACTTTCTGGTATTCATGTTCTTGGGTAACCCACACTGAATTAGGGCTGATTTCCATGACCAATAGAATACTGCAGAAGTGACAGTATGTGACTTCTCTATCTAGATCATGAAAGATAGTGTGGCTTCCACTTTGGTCTCTTATATCACCTACTGGGGGAAGCCAGCTGCCATGTTGTGAGGACACTCAAGAAGCTCTGTGGAGAGGCTCTTTTGAAGGAGAACCAATGCCTCCCACCAACAGCCAGCATCAACTTGGGACATGTGAGTGAACCAATTGGAAGTGGATCCTCCAGCCAAGTCAAGCCTTCAGATGACTGAAGCCCCAGCCTCATGAGAGATAGCAGGCTAAAACTGCCCAGCTAAGCTGCTCCTGAAATCCTGACCCCCCAAATTATAAAAGACAATAAATTATTATTGTTGTTTTAAGCCACTACATGTTGGGGTGATTCATTATGCAGCAACAGATAATAAATACATCACCCTTGTATTCATTACTGACGTTTATTGGGAGCATAGTGTGTGATTTTTCATTTAACCCTTCCAGTAATGCTGTGAGATAGGTAAGTTTATTATCCCCATTTTACAGACAAAGAAACTGAGGTTCAGAATGAGTGAAGTCTCTTCCCTGCAGAGTCCCTGACCTTAAGGATTTTATGGTCAGATCTGAGAGACAGAAGCTCAAAAACCTATGACTCTAGGCAAAATATGGCCCTGGGATCCCAGGATGGGGAGAGGAATTTTGGATTCTGGCTTCTACTTGGGCCTCATAGCTTGGGATGACAGAGGGTACACTCCAAAGGCAACAAACACCTTCCCTGCCCTTGAGCACCTGCTTAATCAAGGGGAGAAAGTTCAGATGCTTATGCATAATGTGTGGTATTTCTCTGCACAGAAACACACACGGGCCTGTACAGTAATAATGAAAAGCAACAACCCATCTTAAGGGCTTGGCACTTTGCACTTACAAAGCCTTATACATCCCTAATTCCATGGAATCACACCTGGCAGGTAAGCGTGGCCCTGTACACTTTACAGATGGGGACACTGAGGTCAGGGAAGTTGTGTGATTCTTGCAGAGCCAAGCAGCCTAGAAGTGGCAGAGTTCAGGTAAAACCCAGTAACTGGGTGTTTTACAAGTGCTAAGGGTATGACAGGAGGTAGGCAGGGCTCCTCTGAGGGAGGTTTCAGGAAGAGGTCACCCGCGAGCAGGGTTCTGAGAATGGGGAAGTGGCTTCGGGGAGAGGATGGTGCCTGGGAGGGTTTGAGAGGAAACAGAGTGAGTCCCTAGGGGCTCCCAGGGTGTACGAGGGCAAAGAGGTGAACATAGCTGGAGTGGAAAGAATGAGAAAGCCTGGGTGTGTGGAAGAGCCTTGGTGTGTTAGGTGGAATTGCAGCTGGAGGGTGTGTGCAGAATGAGAGGTCTTGGTATTGGGGCCAAAGTCAACTGCCACGCCTAAGGAGGGAGGAAGGCGCTTATTTTGCTTCTTGGGTGAAAATCATTCCTGTGATTTAGTTCTCCTTGGGGGAGGGGCGGGGTTTCATCCAGCCTTAGCAAATGCATTCAATCTTCACTACTTCTCTCTGTCAGATGGGGTGGATAGAGGTCCAAATGTGGGCAGAAGCTTTTATGTCCCATCGCAGGGCAGCTAAGAACAGCTGCGCGGGTCGTTCACTGTACATGGGCACTAGGCCAAAAGGGACTGAAATCCGGACGGCCCTTTGTTTACTAAGCCATGTGCCTGCAAGGCTGCACCTGCCCAGAAGGAATGCTTCCTATTTCTTTTCTTTAAAAAAAAATTTTTTTTATGAGCTAAAATTCACATAACATAGAATCTACCATTTAAACCACTTTAAAGTATAAAGTTCAGTGCTTTTAGTATAGTCACAATGTTGTGCAACCATCACCACTAGCAGTTTTCGGAACATTTCCATCATCCCAAAAAACAACTCCATAACTCCTAATTCCCCCCCTTTCCCCATCTCTTGGCGACCATGAATCTGAACTTTCATATGAATGGAGTTCTATAATTTGCTGTCTTCTGTGACTGTCTTCTTTCATTTGGCATTAAAACTTTTCAAGTTTTACCCATGTTGTGGTATGTGTCTGTACTTCATTCCTTTTTATGGCTCGATAATATCGCATTGTGTGAATATTCCACAATTTGTGTATCCCTTCATGAGTTGATGGACATATGGGTTATATCCACTGGCTGTTAAGAACAGGCGGGTCACGGTGGCTCACGCCTGAAATCCCAGCACTTTGGGAGGCTGAGGTGGGCGGATCACCTGAGGTCAGGAGTTCTAGATCAGCTTTGCCAACACGGTGAAACCTTGTCTCTACCAAATATATAAAAATTAGCTGGGCGTGGTGGCAGGCGCCTGTAATCCCAGCTACTCGGGAAGCTGAGGCAGGAGAATTGCTTGAACCCGGGAGGCGGAGGTCGCAGTGAGCCGAGATTGCACCACTGCACTCCAGCCTGGGTAACAGAGCAAGATTCCACCTCAAAATAAAAAAAAAAAAGGCGGGCGGCTCGTTCCTGTAATCCCAGTATTCTGGGAAGCTGAGGCAGGTGGATCACCTGAAGTCAGGGGTTCGAAACCAGCCTGGCCAACATGGTGAAACCTCATCTCTACTAAAAATACAAAATTAGCCGGGCATGGTGGCGCATGCCTGTAATCCCAGCTACTTGGGAGGCTGAGGCAGGAGAATCACTTGAACCTGGGAGGCAGAGGCTGCAGTGAGCCGAGATCGCACCATTGCACTCTAGCCTGGGCAACAAGAGCAAAATTCTTTCTAAAAAAAAAAAAAAAAGAACAATGCAGCTATGGCCAGGCACAGTGGCTCACATCTGTAATCCCAGCACTTTGGGAGGCTGAGGTGGGAGGATTGTTTGAGCCCAGGAGTTTGACACCAGCTTGGGCAACATGGCAAAACCCTGTCTCTATAAAAAATGAAAAATTTGGGCGGACATGGTGGTGTACACTTGTAGTCCCAGCTACTTGGGAGGCCGAGGTGGGAGGATTGCTTGAGCCTGGGAGATGGAGGCTGCAGTGAGCTGTGATCATGCCACTGCACTCAAAAAAAAAAAAAAAAAAATTCAGCTATGAACATTCTTGTACAAGTTTTTGTGTGAACAGATGTTTTCCATTTTTCTGGGTATATACCAGGGGATGGTCTTGTTGGATCATATGGTAATCCCACGATTAACTTTTTGAGGAACTTGCCAAACTGTTTTCCAAAGTAACTGCACCGTGGTACATTCCATCTAGAAATGTTTGAGGGCTCCAATGTCTTCACATCCTTGCCAACATTTGTTATTGTCCATTTTCTTATAGCCCTCCTAGTGAGTGTGAAGTGGTACCTCATTGTGGCTGGCCATCTGTATATCTTTGGAGAAATGTCTGTTCAAGTCCTTTACCCATTTTTTGGCTGGGTTGTTTTTTGTGTGTGTGTGTTGAGTTGTAAGAGTTCCTTGTTTAGGCTGGGCGCGGTGGCTCACGCCTGTAATCCTAGCACTTTGGGAGGCCGAGGCGGGCAGATCACAAGGTCAGGAGATCGAGACCATCCTGGCTAACACGGTGAAACCCCGTCTCTACTAAAAATACAAAAAAAAAAAAAAATAGCCAAACGTGGTGCGGGCGCCTGTAGTCCCAGCTACTTGGGAGACTGAGGCAGGAGAATGGTGTGAACCTGGGAGACGGAGCTTGCAGTGAGCAGAGATCACGACACTCCACTCCAGCCTGGACAACAGAGGGAGACTCCGTCTCAAAAAAAAAAGAGTTCCTTGTGTATTCTGGATAGTACACCTGTATCAGGTGTACTATATGAGTTGCAAATATTTTCTCCCATTCTCTGGGTACTGCCTTTTTCTAATTTACACTGGGGCTCCTTTTGGGCTGGTAGGGACCTTAGTTCCTCAGCCAGAGCACCAGATACTCTCCCGCCATAACAAAAGAAAGTGTATCAGTGGCCTCACTCAAGAGGACAACTTAGTACCTCAGTACCTTTACAGATGGCCTGCTATGTGCCAGGCGTGGAGGATGTGAATCTGAAGATAACAGGGTCCGTTCCGGTCGCTGTTCCCCATCCTCAAGAAGGACTCAATCAATAACTCAGACGCTCAAGCCAGAACACTGGGGGCTGACTGGACTCCTCCCCCATCACTCCACCATCCAATCAGCCATCACAGCCCATGATGACTCCTCCCACCTTGTGCCACCATCCAATCAGTCACCACAGCCCACAGTAACTCCTCCCTATCACTCCAGCATCCAATCAGCCACCTCAGTCCCTGGTGACTCGTCCCCCATCATTCCAGCATCTAATCAGCCCCCAGAGCCCGTCACCCCTCCATTCTCTTCCCCACGCCCCAGCGGAGTCTAGGCGGTAATTGCCTCTCACCTGGCTGGTTTCAGTAGCTTCCTGTCTCCAGACCTCAGGGCTTGCTTCTTGTAGTTCATTTCTCCATCAGTGCACGAGCAGAGTGATTTTTCTTAAATGAAAAATCCCATTGAGGGCTGCCTGGCGGACAACTTCTCTACGGCTACTATCAAAAGAAAATGCACACGGAAGCCGACAGCTCCGTGTCATCTGGCACCCACTGCTGTCTCCACTCCCCTCCTTGAAGTGACTCAGTCTGACTAAACTGTTGGTCAGTTTCCCAGCACATACCACCTCCAAGTGCTGCCGGCATGGTGTGCTTTGAAATGAGGGACGGTAAAGAAATGCGTCAGGGATTCCCGAAATAAGTCACGGGTTAGGCAGTAACTTGTCAGGCAGGAGCTGGGAGTTTGCTAGGGGCACGGTAAGGGTTCCGGTTATGGGAAAGAGCCTCGCTTCTGCCTGTGCAGGCGCTTGGACACACAGGCCTGCCTTGGTGCTCATGAGTCACCCGAGAAGATGTGCCTAGAAATGACTCTCCTGGGTGTGTGAGAGCCTGAGTCTACCCCAGGGGTTTGGAAGGCGGATTCAGCTGCCTTCCTTAGGTCGTCTTAGGATCTTCAAACCCCAGCGCCGAAAAAGACTAATGACCATGTGGCCCACCCCTTCATCCCTTTGCCTCTATAAACCTCCATTCTTCCCATCTCAAAAATGGGAACAATGACATTTTTTTAGATGGCCGTGAGGCTCAAAGAAGATTATCTAGACTCCTGTGTGAGTTTTAAGTTGGATGGGGAAACTGAGGCCCAAAGAAACGAATCGGTTGCTTCCAGCCTTGACGTGTGTTGGAATCATCGGGGGAGTTTGTTAGAAATAAGGATCCCTGGATCCTACTGCTGGGTTGGGGTAGAGACCCAGTCATCTGTATTTTTTAACCTCCCAAGGTGTTGCTGCAGGGAACCAGGTCTAGCTCTCCTCCCAGAATCCTAAGGCAGCCTCTGGCCAGAGGGTCACTGAGGTGCAGGCTGTGTGTGGTCAGCACGCCTTGCTTTTCCTGTCTGGAAGCCAAAAGCTGGCTTTCCCACTGCCAAACTGCTGGCAATACAGAGGCCATTCTGGCGACTGTTTTCTAAATGTGGCTATCAAGGATGTTCTGGGAGAGAAAAGCCCTGGCACACAGCCTTGGTCTCTGAGGGGCTTGCAGGCACCTGGGGTAGGGGAGGCTCAGTGGTGTATGGGAGTTGTCGGGGAGGGGCAGGATGCTCCATCATAGGGTGAATGGAATTGAAACCAATGTTTAAAATGAGCTGGGTTTAGGGCCGGGCACAGTGGCTCACGTCTATAATCCCAGCACTTTGGGAGGCCAAGGCAGGCAGATCACTTGAGGTCAGGAGTTTGCAACCAGCCTGGCCAACATGGCAAAACCCCGTCTCTACTAAAAATACAAAAAATTAGCCGGGTGTGGTGGTGGGCACCTGTAATCCCAGCTACTCAGGAGGCTGAGGCAGGAGAATCGCTTGAACCCAGGAGGTGGAGGTTGCAGTGAGCCGAGATCATGCCACTGCACTCCAGCCTGGTGACAGAGCAGACGCTGTCTCAAAAAAAAAAAAAAAAAAAAAAAAAAAAAGCTGGTTTTGTTGTGGGTGGGGTGGAGACAGGGGGAGGTGCTTCAGTTGTCACCTCCATGTCTGCTTCAGGCCCCTCCTTACCCTTCCTATGAAAACATTTTCTCTGTACAAGATCTGGAACTCATGCACACTGAGGCACAGTTATCTAATCATACCAATGTAGGGCTGAGCATGGTGGCTCACGAGGCCTGTAATCCCAGCACTTTGGGAGGCCTCGTTCACCTGAGGTCAGAAGTTCTAGACCAGCCTGGCCAACATGGTGAAACCCCGCCTCTACTAAAAATACAAAAAATTAGCTGGCGTGGTGGCAGGTGCCTGTAATCCCAGCCACTCAGGAGGCAAAGGCAGAGGCAGGAGGATTGTTTGAACCCAGGAGGCGGAGGCTGCGGTGAGCAAAGATCGCACCATTGCACTCCAGCCTGGGCAACAAGAGCGAAACTCTATCTCTGTCTCTCTCAAAAACAAAACAAAACAAAACAAAAACCAATGTAAAACATGACCACATTTCCTTCTTTTTTTTCTTCTACTCTCTCCCCCTCTCCTTCTTTCTCCCTCCCTCTGCTTTCTAATTTTGCCCCTGGTCTTGAGCTTTTAATCTGAATTACATGTTCCCAGGTTCTTTATTTCCTCATTTATTATCGATGTTTTCCAACTTGCTTGGCTAAGCCACCACTCTGGTCATAATGTATCCCACTTTCTGCCAACCCTGCCTTACCCCCATGCAGCAGAACATGCCTAGAGAAAAGCCATGTTTTTCACATGGTGTTTCACAACCATTTTGACTGTGTTCACTTGAGTCATGACCTTGAATGTTGAGAGCACTCTCAATGCTGCCTAGCAATTATACTCTGCCTCCCTAGTCATTCTCTCTCCAGCTCTGCTAGGGACCGTTTGACTCCTCTCCTCCCCTAAACCCTTAATGCCTCCTCTCCTGTCCTGTCTGCTTCCTATTCACTGAGATAATGGAAGCAATCAGAATGTCCTGAGACCCCACCACACACCTCCCCGCCCACCAGCATCTCCACCCACACGCTTCACTAGAGATGAATTGATGGTGCACTTATGTATCTGTACTTGTGCCCTAGACCCTGCCCCTTTCATTTGCTCAAGGACATCTCTCCAGCGATTGTCCCTCTTGCCACAGCATCATTTTTTACCTCCTCTGGATCATTCTCATCAAGCGTACACAATGCTACTATTTCTCCCATCTTTGAAATAACAACAACAATACCACCAACAAAAACCCTTGTTAAGTTTTAGGTCAGAACTGACACAGTGTTGCTTCTGCCAGATTCTATTGGTTAAAGCAAATCACAGGGAGAGCCCAGATTCAAGGGGAGGAAACTGCACAAGGACTTGAATACCAAGAGATGAGATTCTTTGTGGGCCACCAAGCCACAAACCACCACTCTCCCTTTTGCAGCAAAACTCTTCCAAAGAGCTGTCCGTCCTCAGTTTCTCCAGTTCCTCCCTCCCATTTTTCTTAAACACATTCCAATCAGGCATTCGCTCCCACTGCTCTACTGGTGCCCTTCATCCAGGTCACCAATGGCCTCCACATGGCAAGATCCATGGTCAAGTCTCAGTCCTTGTCCTACTGGGCTTGGCACAGTTGACTGCCCTTGCTTTGTTTGATTTCAGGCCTCATGCTCTCTTGGTTTTCCTACTACCTCACTGGTCTCACCGTCTGTCTTTTCTCTCCTCTCCCCAACCTCTTAATGTTGGGATGACCCGAGGCTCAGTTCTCCATCCTCTTCTCTTATCCATCTGTGCTCACTCTCTTGGTAATTTCACCCAGTCTCATTGCTTGCAATATCATTTACATGTGGCTCTCACATTTACGTCTCTAGCCTCGTCCTCTCACTTGAATTCTGACTAATAATACAATTGTTTTTATTTTTATTGTTTTTTTGAGACGGAGTCTCATTCTGTCGCCCAGGCTGGAGTGCAATGGCACAATCGTGGCTCACTATGATTCTTCTGCCTCAGCCTCTCGAGTAAGTGGGATTACAGGTGCCCACCACCATGCCCAGCTAATTTCTGTAGTTTTAGTATAGATGGGGTTTCACCATGTTGGCCAGGCTGGTCTCAAACTCCTGACCTCAAGTGATCTGCCCACCTTGGCCTCCCAAAGTGCTGGGATTATAGGCGTGAGCCACTGCGCCTGGCTTCTGACTGTTTTTTGACATCTCCAATGGGTAGCCAATGCCCACCTAAACCCCTTCTGTCCAAAACTAAACTCCCAATTCCTCTCTACCCCTTGACCTGACCCCAGATTTTCTCGTTTCAGTTGATGACAATTCCTTTCTTGCAGTTGCACAGAACAAAAACCCTGGCATTAAACTTGACTGTCTTCTTTCTCTCACACCCCATACCCAAGCCACCATGAAGATTGGATCTACCTTCAGAATATATCCAGACTCTGACCACCTTCTCTCCTGGTCAGAGCCACCATCCCTTCTCAGCTGGACAAATTTTGTGTGCCTCTTTCTAATTCTGCCCTGACCTCCTATGATTTACTGATTTGCAACAGAGTGGCCAGAGGGATCCTTTAAAAATATACCCCAGATCATAGCCCTCCTCTGCTCAACACCCTTCTATGGCTCCCATATCACTTGGCATAGAGTCCTCACCATCACCTACAAGGCCTTATGGGACCTGGCCACCCCCTGACCTCTGGCCCCCTCCTACTCCCCGCTTCACTCTCTGCTCCTCCAGCCACTCTGGCTCCTTTGCTATGGCCCCTCAGACACAGCAGCACGTGTCTACTCCGAGCCTTTCCTCCACCTGGGCAGTTCAAGCCCTGCTCTCTGCAGGCACCTCCCTCACCTCCTTCAATTCTTTGCTCAGCTTCTCAACGAGGCCTTCCCTGACCTCCCCATTTAGACTTGCATCCCACCTCCACCTCCTTGCCTTTCCCACTCTCACTTCCTTGCACTTTTCTCTTGTTTCTTAGCCCTTAACCTTCTAACATATTTCATGATCTACTTATTTATTATGGTTATTGTTCATTGTCTACCTCATGCAGCTAAAATATAAGCTTTGCAAGGGGAATAATCTTTATCTTTTGCTCACTGATGTATTCCAAGGGCCTAGAACAGAGCCAGGTACAGACAGAGTGCTAAAATTTTATTTTTAAATTGTACTATAAGCACCTCAAATCCTTTGTGACACAAACCAGGGCATAGACAAATTCATTCTTTCATCCACCCATCCACTCTTCCAATTGATTGCCATGCCTTCCTTTATATCTATTCATCTATTCATCTGTTTATCATCCACCCAACCATGTGTTCCTGCCTGTCTGACTGCCCATCTAACGCTCTGTCCCATTTCACATGTGCCCAAACAATCTTTAACAAACCTTCTTGGAGCATCTACTGTGAGCCAAGCATTGTGCTGGGTTCTACAGTCAAATCCGTGACAGTAAGACCCAGATCTCTGGGACGAGGAAGACAGACATGACAACTAAGCACTATCTTACAAAGTATTATAGCAGGACGAGCCGCAGACAAAACCTCTCAGACACCGAGTTGTAGAAGGAAGGGCTTTATTCAGCTGGGAGCATCGGCAAGCTACTGCCTTAAAATCCGAGCTCCCCGAATGCACAATTTCTGTCCCTTTTAAGGGCTCACAACACTAAAGATTTCACATGAAAGAGTCGTGATTGATTTGATAAGCAGGTGGTATGTGACAGGGGCTGCATGCACCGGTGGTCAGAGAGAAAAAGAACAGGGCAGGGAGTTTCACAATGTTCTTCTCTACAATGTCTGGAATCTATGAATAACATCAGTTTCTAAGTTATGAGTTGATTTTTAACTACTGGGTTTAGGCCAGGCAGGCCTAGGCCTGGTTTTGGGCCTGGTGCCGGACTGCCTGTCTTTGGTTTTACTTCCTTGTTGTTTTTTCTTAAAACAGGTACTGAGTATAAAACAATATAAAACCATATGAGAGGGTCTCTCTCTCCCCTCAGTATAATTGGATAAATAGCTGTTCCAGGATGTTCGCATAAGAAAACCCAACCCAACCCAGGGACTGGCATCTTAAGGTGAAGAATAGCGCCCTAAGCAACAGCTGGATAATTCGCTGGGTGGAGGGGACTGGGGAGGGAGAGGGGAAATGCTTTCCTTGGTGCTTTCTTCCTAGCTCCCAGGCTGCCTCTGGCTAGCACTGGGCACAGACTTGGGACATCTGAGTTCTATTTCCTTCCAGGTCGCTAGGCACCAGTTCTCTCATGTTGCAAAATGAGATCCTAGCACTCACCTGACAGAATTAGCTAAAGCATGTAGAAAGCTTCTTGCAACCGTTGTTCTTGGCCGCACACTCTCATACCCCAGGGAAGTTGATGTCTAGGCCCCACCTCTGAGCAATTAAATCTAAATCTCTTGGGGTGGGGCCTGGGCATTGCTGTTTTTTAGAAGTTTCCTGGGGATTCTAAAGTGCAGCCAGGCTTATGCACCACTAGAACTACAGCAGTTTAATCAATGCCCTTTTCTATTTCATTGATCTTGAATATTGCAGCTGGAGAAAGGCAAATTTAATTAGTGGAGGCCAGACATTTGTGAAGATGCAGATGACAATGTCTGGATACATTCAAGAGCTTCACATGTCGTGTAATTCTTGTTATATCTCTTCTCGATTTAGCTTATGCCATGGATGAAACTCATGTTTATAAGGCTGATTTTGGATGGGAGAGTTAAATGTGGGTGAGGGGGAGGACGTAAGAGTTGGCGAGAAACTCTCAAAGGTTGAGACCCAGAGGGATGGTGGGGGAGAGAGAGGGAGAGAGAGAGAGAGAGAGAGAGAGAATGATATTTTCTTGAGTTAACTGGTCAAGGTGGAGAAATGGAAAAGAAAAATCTGTGAAGGTACAAGGGCACTAGCCAGAGACTGCATTTCTCCACTGCTGGCTGTGAGCACTGGAGGAGGGGGCTGGGCAAGGTCTCACCTCCTTACCGTGGGAAGCAGGGCGCCTTGGATGGCACGGTAGAAACAGACTCGGGTTCCCAGCTCACAGTGCTATTGCAATGGCTGGGGCGCCAGTTCAGATCCTTTAAGACACAGACACTGAGACAGCAGATGTGCAGGGGATTTATGGGGAGAACTCTTGTATGCTATAGTACATGTAGTGCTGTACACAAAGCTCTGTGCTAGGCGTTGCACATATGACAGTGAAGAAGACAGGCATGTCCCTGCCCTCTAGGACCCAGGGAGACGGACATTACGTCTTCTTACTTAGTCAATTATGAGCAGCTCTGTAAGTCGGTAATAGCTGGGGTGACGACATAATTTACTTACTAAGCCTGGACGCTTTGAGAGTGGAAGTGGGTGCCATTAATAATTATGCCTGGACACTGGCATAAACTGAGACTTTCCTGGAGAATTGGGATATATAGGGATCCTGAGATATAGAAACATGACCTGGTTCTGAAAATCACAGGTGTTCTTGAGAAAGGGCCACTGGAGCTAGGATCTGGAGGCTGTGTAGCAGTTAGCTGGTTGCCCAGGCTCCCTCTACGTGTTCTCAAAGCGGAGGGACCTGTCTTGGAGGGCTGTCACCACGGTGTGGGCTGACTGACAATTGATTCCTCACTGTTGTAGGGACTCCCACATCAGGGATGTTGCCCTTGTCTGAGAGAGCGCTGTCTGGGATTCTTTATATGGCACTGAAATGGAAATGCAGGGCACCCAGAGAGTCTGTCAAAGGCTTTCCCTCTGCCTTTTATTATGTCATTCAGGGCAGAAAACAAGGGGCCCTGGTGGCATCCAATTATAACCCACTTTTACTTTTTTTGAGAAACTGATGGACCTGTTTTCCCCTAATCATTTTTTAATGGTAAATATACGTGACATAAAATTTACCGTCTTACCCATTCTTTTTTTTTCTTTGAGATAGTGTCTCGCTCTGTTGCCCAGGCCGGAGTGCAGTGGTGCAACCTTGGCCCACTGCAACCTCTGCCTCCCAGGTTCAATAGATTCTCATGCCTCAGCCTACCGAGTAGCTGGGATTACAGGCGCCCATCACCACCATGCCTGGCTAATTTTTGTATTTTTAGTAGAGATGGAGTTTCACCATGTTGGCCAGGTTGGACTCAAACTCCTGACCTCAGATGATCTGCCCGCCTTGGCCTCCCAAAGTGCTGGCATTACAGGGGTGAGCCACCATACCCGGCCCATCTTAACCATTCTTAGGTGTAAAGTTCTGTGGCATTAAGTACATTCACACCGTTATGCAAGCATCACCACAATCCATCTCCAGAACGTGTTCATCTTCAATCGAAACTCTGCACCCATTACACTCCCACACCTCTCCTCCTCCAACCCCAGGCACCCCCCATTCTGCTTTCTGTCTCTATGAATCTGACTACACTGGGTACCTCCTATAAATGGAATCATAGCACTTGTCTTTTTGTGACTGGGTTATTTCACTTAGCACGATGTCTTCAAGGTTCATTCATGTTGTAGCATGGGTCAGAATTTCCTTCCTTTTTAAGGCTGAGTAATATTGCATTGTATGGAGAGACCACATTTTGCTTATCAGTTTATCCTTCGATAGAGCCTTGGTGGTTTCTGCCTTTTGGCTATTGTGAGTAATGCTGCTATGAACATGGGTGTACAAGTATTTGTTTGAGTCCCTGCTTTCAACTCTTTTGTGTATAAACCCAAAATGGGATTGCCAGATCATATGGTAATACTATGTTTAAGTTTCTGAGGATATGTCATCCTGTTTTCCACAGCCACTGCACCATTTACATTCCCACCGACAATTTACAAAAGTTCCAATTTCTCCACAACCTTGCCAGTACTTTTTATTTTCTCCCCTATTCTTTTGGGAATTTTTAAACAAAATTTTAAGATAATGATAGATTTACATGTAGCTACTTGTCAGAATGACTACAGAGAGGTTCCATATCCTTTCCCACCATTTTTCCCCAGTGCTAACATCTGATGTCACTATAGTACAATATCACACCAAGGATATTGGCATTGATGGAATCCACTGACCTTATTCAGATTTCGCCAGTTTCACATGCACTCATTTGTGTGTGTATGCATGTGTATAATTAATGTTTGTAATTTCATCACATATGTAGATTCATGTGACCACCACCACAGTCAAAATACAGAACAATTCCATCACATGGGTCTCTAAAAAGGGTTAAAAAAACCACCTTTTTTTTTTTTTTTTTTTGAGACGGAGTTTTGCTCTGTCACCCAGGCTGGAGTGCAGTGGCACGATCTCAGCTCACTGCAACCTCTGCCTCCTGGGTTCAAGCAATTCTCATGCCTCAGCCTCCAGAGCAGGTGGGATTACAGGTGCCCATTACCACGCCTGGCTAATTTTTGTATTTTTAGTAGAGATGAGGTTTCACCATGTTGGCCAGGCTGGTCTCGAACTCCTGACCTCAGGTGATCCACCTGCCTTGGCCTCTCAAAGTGCTAGGATTACAGGCATGAGCCACTGCGCCTGGCCAGCCACCTCGCCTGGCCCAAACTTTTATTTGGAAAAATTTAAACTACACAAAAGTAAAGAGTATAGTATAATAAGCAACCATGTACCATCACCCAACTTCAAAACTCTCCATGTCCAATTTTGTTTCCTCTATAGCCTCACCTACCCTCAAACTATTTTGCAGTATATATTGCAAAGATAGTTTTGCAGTATATCTTTTCATCATTTCAGCTGCAAGTATTTCAGAATGTAACTCTAAAAGACAAGGACATCGTCTTTTAAGCAGAACCATAACACTAATATTATGCTCCTTCCCTACCTGCAGCCAGCAGTCATCTCCAGAGACTTTACAGGGAATTTGCAGACATTATAGGTTCTCCTTCTCCACCAATGACAAGCAAGCCATGTCTGAAAAGGGGCATATACAGGCTGTGGATAAGTTGCTTAAGGATGCCAGCCAGGAGTCACAACTTCTTTTTCTTTCACACCTGTCTTAGTCTGTTTTCTGTTGCTTATAGAAGAATAGCTGAAATGGGGTAATTTATAAAGAATAGGAATTTATTTCTCACAGTTATGGAGGCTGAGAAGTCCAAGGTTGCGGGGTTGCATCTGGTGAGGGCCTTCTTGCTGGTGGGGACTCTCTGCAGAGTCCAGAGGCAGCTCAAGGCATCACATGGTGAGGGGGCTGAGCATGCCCGCTCTGGTCTATCTTCTTTTTCTTATAAAGCCACTAGTCCCACTCCCATGATAACTCGTTAATTCATTAACCTATTAATTCACTAATGCATGAATGAATTAATCCATTCATGAGGTCAGAGCCCTCATGATCCAGTCACCTCTTAAAGGCCCCACCTGTCAATACTGCCACAATGGGGATGAAATTTCACCGTGAGTTTTGTGGGGGACAAACATTCAAACCATAGCAACACCCTACAGCCCAATCCCGTTGCTCTACTTTCAAGTAGAATCACTATCCAACCATGTGTGACCACCTCACTCCTCTCACTCCTGTTCCAGCACCTCCCCACCATCTCACTCCTGGACCTCTGCAACAGCCTCCTGCCTGACTTCCCTGCCTCCACATCTGCCCTGGTACCCTCTGTTCTCTGCACCGCAGCCAGAGGGAGCCCCTAAAACCTGTTAGACCATGCCCCTCCCCATCTCAGCATCCTTCCAGGGCTTTTCATCTCATTCAAAAGCCGAGACAATCTGCCCCGCCCAGCACCCTGCTCTCTTCTGATTTCCTCCACCCCCTCTCACTCTACCACGGCCACAGAGGCCTGTACGCTATTGCTATTGTGTAGATGCAGCAGGCACACTTCCACCTCAGGGCGAAGCCCATCCCCTCTGCCAGGGGTGCTCTCCTGCAGGCATCACTGACCCGCCCAGGGTGTCCCCTCCACCCGGGGCGCTCTCCTGCAGGTGTCCACTGACCCGCCCAGGGTGTCCCCTCTGCCCGGGGTGCGCTCTTGCAGGCATCCACTGACCCACCCATGCTGCCCCTCTGCCTGGAGTTCTCTCCTGCAGGCGTCACTGGCCTGCTCCCTGCCTCCTTTGGGGCTTTGCTCAGTGTCCTGTAGGAGTGTGTTTGGTCCATTCATCCGGATCCACTCAATACCGGTGTCCACTCTGCTGTGTCCCCAGGTGTTGACTAGGATGAAATCAACATGCTTCTTGGCCCTCTGGCTTCCATTGGATTTGGCCCATGGGGGCACTGTGTAAAGATTGACTGAGGGAAGAGAGGGGTTAAGCCAGGACATTTATTCCCAGGCTTGCTCTCCAGGCAACTGTCAAGTGGGCTCTCCATACCGCCCTCTCTCTTTGTGGTCTGTCACGTGTCCTCCCCTTTCTGCCACAAGGGGATAATAGCCCCACTCTCCCTATAGTTTCCCTCCATCCTGCCCACATCGCTGTAAATAGGCCCTTTGCTAACTCTCCTCCAACGACCCACTTTCTGTTGCGCCCTGACTGATGCGGTGATCTTCACAGCGAGCTGTCCCTGGTCACCCTATCTAAAATAGCGCCCTTACCCATGCCCATATCCTCTCTGGAGTCCCTGCTTTGTGTTCTTCAACATTTATCACCACCTAACATGGTATCTTATGCTTATCTATGTTGTTTGTTACTTGCCTCTCCCAACTGGGACAGTCATGTCCTGCTGCACAGGCTGTGCACTGTACAGCCATAGAGGTCACCATTCACATTGACTTCAACGTAATGCAGCAATGGCAACTCCTGGAGTTGGACAACAGGGTGGCCCTGCCCTCCACTGGAATATAAGCTCTGCTTTTTCCCTGTTGTCACTTCTGTCTCTCAAGGGCTTACAACAGTGTTTGGCACACAGTACGTTCTCACAAAGTTGTTTTTAATGACTGGTAATCCCTCTTGCGTCCCATAAAAAGGGACAACCTTGATAAATTGGTATTAGGAAGCCTTAGTGAGTTTTCTGAGGGTTTCTTTTGATACTGTGCGGCCCCTGGAGGTAGAAGCTGCATCTTGTCTTGTTTATCATCTGTGATGGGTGCTATTGGTGACCCTCCTGTTTTGAGAATTGTCCTCAGCCAAATGGGAACCCCCTAGATATGGTTTGGCTGTGTCACCACCCAAATCTCATCTTGAATTGTAGCTCTCACAATTCCCACGTGCTGTGGGTGGGACCTGGTGGGAGGTAACTGAATCATGGGGGCGAGTCTTTCCCGTGCTGTTCTCATGATAGTGAATAAGTCTCAAGAGATCTGATGATTTTATAAAGGGGAATTTCCCTGCACAAGCGCTCTTCTCTTGTCTGCCACCATGTAAGATGTGCTTTGCACCTCCCGCCATGATTGTGAGGCTTCCCTAGTCACATGGAACTGTGAGTCCATTAAACCTCTTTTTCCTTATAAATTACCCAGTCTCAGGTAATGTCTTTATCAAAGCAGTGTGAAAATGGACTAATACACCCCTTGTTTGGGAGCTCCTACCTTTCATACCCAGGACAAACTGTGGCCAGTGACTGACATGGGATACCAATCCTGCCTCTTTTCCTCTCAGTGGGACCAATTCAGTCCCTGACTCACACCTGTGTGTCCTCAATGCCTGGCATAGGGTCCAGCACACAGCAGATGCCCAGGAAGTATTTCTTAGTGAATGAATAAGTCAGCATGAGTTGGGCTCTGCCACCCAGTAGCTGTATAACCTTGGTCAAGTCAGTTTTTATCTTGAGCCTCAGTTTCCCAAAAGGCCAGGTGGGGATATTCCTGTCTACTGAGATGACCCTGCAGGACTGTGAGAGACCAATACTGATTGTGAGCAGTAAGAATGCTCCAGACAGAGTGTTAAAGCTTTCACATTCCTTATTTCCCTGAATTTTTCCAACAACTTTGCAAGATGGGGGCAAGCAAACTCCTCACCCTGCTCTGCTTGACACGTGTGTGAATGTTAAATCCTGCCTGTTCAGTTCCCTCATTAGCTCCTGATGGGGTGGCTTTCTGTTTCATGGCCTCTTTCTCCCAGGGGACAGGGCTCAGAGGCACTTTGTGGATGCTTTTTGCTTGATTGAAAGTGCTTTTGGAAGCAGGAGGAATTTCGGGAAGGAGGGCGATTTATGAACCATTAGGTATTAATGCCACCCGCCATCAGTTCAGTACCAGACTGGCTTCTCTTGAGTCGGCCGAGCTGGGGTTAATTAGCTTTTGAATTTCTTAGCTGCAGGGTGTCTCTTTAATCATCTGCCACCTGGTCCCTGTGCAGCCCTGGTGGGAGAGAGGCCTCTAGAAGCATGAGCTAGTAGAAGGCCAGTCTTGCAGAGGGAGAGCCCCTCAGAGCTGCAACCATGCTTCAGCAACCAGACTGCCCACCTGCCTGCTCCATTTGAGGAAATCGAGGCCCACAGAAGTTGGGCCTGACCCAGGGTCCCTCAGTAAATGGCAGAGTCAAGATTAGAACTCAGGTTTCCCGTGTTAGGGTCTGGGGTTCTGTCTGCTTCAGAATCCCTCTATCCCTTCCACACATAGACCCCTGGCATCTCGGGCTGGGAGGCTAAGCCTTCAAGCATGACCAAGCCAGAGGAAGACCCTCCTCTTATGGGGCTTCCACTACAGTGGAGGATGCCATCAGTCAATAGGCAAGCAAGCACATACATTGATAATGGCCAATAGGAGAGAGGGCCATGAAGGAGACAGATAGTGCACTGAAAGGAACTACTGTGGATTCCCTTCAACAGGGACATCAGGGAAGACATTTCTGAGGAAGCGACTTAATTTCCTTAAGGTCACAAGAAGTTGTTCTTTACAGAAAAGTGCTAATAAAGATAAAATAGTAGAAGGAGAATATCATAATTTTGCAATCCTCATTGGATTAATGGATCCAGGCTTTGGGTACCAGTGACTGCAAACCTCACAGAAGGAGAGGCCAGGAGACACTCTGTGGCTCCTGGTGGAAGAACACAGCATCACCTTGAAGGGAGTCTTGCCAGAAAATGGAACTTAAATCTGATCAAGCCTCTAGCCCAGCACTATCCAATGAAACACATCAGTGGGAGTCACATTTCATGCCTGCAATTTGGAATTCTCTAGAAATCACATTTGTAAAAGTACAAAGAAAGACGTGAAGTCGATTTTAATAATATATTTTATTTAACTCAATATATCAAAAATATTAGCATTCCAGGATATAATCAGTAGAAAAAGTGATCAATGAAATAGCTTCTGTTCTTTTCTCATATGAAGTCTTTAAACCTGGGCTGTATTTTACAATTCCAGCACATTGCAATTTGGATCAACTGCATTTCAAGTGCTCAGTAGCCTCATATGGCTGGTGGCCATGGCACTGCACAGCACAGCTCTAGATCAGCTACCAGCTTCCGGGAAATTCAGAGGACAGAGGAACATGTTAAACAGCACCACAGGGATGCAATCAGCAAAATCTAGATTGTGGGAAACTCTAGAGGAAAATCAAGCCAGCTTTTTTTTTTTTTTTCCCAGACAGGGTCTTGCTCTGTTGCCCATGCTGGAGTGCCATGATATCTCACCACAGCCTCAAACTCCTGGGCTCTAGCGATCCTCTTGCCTCAGCCTCCAAAGTAGGTAGGACTACAGGTGTGTGCCACCATGCCCAACTAATTAAGTTTTTGTAGAGTGGGATCTCACTGTGTTGCTCAGGCTGGTCTTGAACTCCTGGCTTCCAGCAATCCTCCTACTTCAGCCTCCCAAAGTACTGAAATTACAGGCAAGAACCACTGCACCTGGCCTTTTGTTTTTTGTTTTTTTTTTGACGCATCCCTTATAAGGTGGAGAAAGCACTGGAGAGAGAACCTATGAATTAATAGAGTCTTCAGACACATATCAAGCAGTCACACTGTGTGAACCTTGTTTGTTTTCTGGTTGAAACAAACCATCTGTGAGACATTTTATAATGTTTATGAAATAATTGGAAATCTGAATGCTGACTGAATATTTGATGATATTAAGGATTTATTTGTTTTAGGTGTGGTAATGGTATTGGTTTTTTTTTTTAAAGTCATCATTTAGAGAGACATACTGAAATATTTATGAAGGTATACTGAAATTATATCATCTGGAATTTGCTTCGGAATTATATGGGAGGGGAAAAGTGGGTGGGGTAAAATGAAGTAAGATGGATAATGGGGGATGCTGAGTGGTGAATACATGAGTGTTTGTTATGCGATTCTGTCTACTTTTGTATGTGTTTGAGGTTTTCCATAATAACGTTTTTAAGGAAATTGGGATGCTATTGGAAAGGGATATGGATGGTGGAGGGTAGAGAGGAGGGTAGAGATGCCTAGCTTATTTATCACCATTTCATAGCATCTACAGCGACATGATGCATGGTGGGTACTTAGTACCTTTCTCCTTTTTTGCAGTTTTTTTCTTCTTAAGGATTTCAGGGTATATCCTACCAAGGATGTATAATCAAATTACTCTTTTTTTTAAAAAATGATTTGTGTGGTTGGTTTTTGTAGGTTTGTTTCATTTTACTTTTTACTTTTAGTGTATTTTTTTAAACTTTGGTTTTGTCTTACATTTGTATAAAATACTTGGATGGATACTTCCCAGCTGAAATCTATACCAGGGCACATCCAGATTAATTCCCTGACAATTTCCCTTTGAGGGCTTACCTCCACTCTTTGGCTACAGCTGATGGGAGTAAAGCCTAGGACCCTCCTTCTTCCCTGAAGGGGCTGACCCATGGCCCGTCAGCCAGCCCTCAGACATTTCTTTGCTTCCTGCCTTGGTTCCAGCCAGGTTCTTTAGTCTTCACTTGGTTATGAGCCCCTAGTATGACTCCAGTAAGTTCCCTTTGGCATCTATTAATATTAGCCTGAGTCCACTTCTGTTGCTTGCACCCTAAGACCCTTAACTGAAGCATAGACCTTTAGCCACAAACTGAATAGTTAATTATTTAATGCCAAGTCTGAGAAGACAAGCCCAGAGTTCTAGGAGAGCCAAGAACATCTTAGGGGAGAAGTGAGCTCTGAGAATGCTCTGAGTCAGGCAAGCTGGAGAGGTGGATGTGGCCTTGGAGAGGCAGCCAGGACACCTGTGTTGGAGGCTTAACTGGGGTGGTTTATGTTCCTGAGGCTCCATACCTGGTAGTTTCATCCTGAGGGCCCCAGAGCCTGTGTGTATGCTGATGCTACCTGAACACTCCAGTCCAATTTCCCATCCCAGCTTACATACCACTATCCATGACATCCCCAGAGTTGAGGGCTTGTGATTTCCACCATGACTCAGCCTTGTTTGCCATTCTGAATAAAAACCTTTGAGGTTCAGGTCCTTTTTTTGCCATAGTAAGTCCTCTTGAACCTATTCCTAGACAGGCTGGCTAAAATGTCTGGAGGGATCGGGCCATGTGTAGGGCAATAGGGACTGGTGGTGAATGGGAAGAACTTGAGAGTTTCTGCTGTTAGGATCTAGTGATTGTTGCTATTTAAGAATGAAAGCTCAGTGTGGCCAGATATCCTGGGTTTTCATGAAAACCTGAAAATTTAAATTTATGTAAATGATTTTAATTTAATTTTATGTAAATTTTTGTACATGATTTAAATTTATGTAAAGTTTTCTTTATTTTCAATCAGTATCAAGGCCAAATTAGAATACGTCTGTGGTGAATCTATCCCATAGGCCATCAGTTTGAAACTCTCAGCCTACCATTGACATCGTGTGCTTCCTTCTCAGTGTGGTCAATGCCTGTCTGCCTATTTGCTTTTCCCATAAGACTATGAGCTTTGAGAGGGCCAAGATCATGATTCTCTTGCTTACAGCCAAATCTTGCATGCCTAGCTTAGGTCCTGGCATATATTAGAGCTCAATATATGGATAGATGGGCAAATCAATAGATAGATGGATGGATGGGTGGATGGATGGATGGGTGGACAGATGGATGGATTAAAGGATGCATGGAAGGTTGGATAGGAAGGTGGATGAATCAATGGCTGGCTGGCTGGCTGGCTGGATGAGGAAATCACAGTCACGGAGGAAGACAATGCATAGATATAAATCAGTACCATACAAGATAGAGAGAGGGAGAGAGAGAAGGGAGGTGACTTGGTTTCTCAGCTTGGATGGTTATGCTGTTAGCCATTGGCAGGCTCTTCTCCCGGAGTCCACGAGGGCCAGGCTGTTCCTTCGTGGAGCTGCCAGACCTTGGGCTTGGACGGTGCTTGTGGAGCCCTCATTACACCCAGGGCAAGGAATGTGCTTTCCTTGGCCCACAAAGCTTACTGCCTGTGGTTGCCCACAGCTGAGATCTGTGGGCTGTGGCCTGCCCTGTTCTCTCTCCTTGCCTGGCCTCTGAGCATCTCTCTCCCCCAGCCTCAGCGGGGAGGCACCTGCCTGGCCCCCTGCTGTTCCCAGCCCAGGGTATGGAAGTCGGGGCTCCCTGGCCAGGATAGGGCAGAGAGACGGGGCTTGTCTGGCTGGGAGGGGGTCTCCCATGGGTCTTAGCCCTGCTTAACTTCCTGCTGACTTCCTTTGGGTGCTGGCAGGAGCTTCTTCCTTTCCTGCTCCACCACATTCTTGGCTATGAGGACACAAAAAGACTCGCCAGTTGCTATAACAACACCCACCACCTTCTTCCGCACTTAGCTGTGTGTTCCCTCTTAGATAATGGATCTGCCTTCCAAGTGACCGGTCCCCTTAAGCTGGCAGGCCACTAGCCCAACCTCTGGCCTCAGAGTTTGGTTTCAGCTCTCATTGGCACTAGGGTAATAGTAGCTGTAGTGTTGTTTTAAGCTGTTATTTATTGAATGCTCACTGTGTACCATATCCCAAATAACCCTTTGCAAGCACTATCTCATTTAATCCTCACAGTGACACTATGAAATAGGGAATATTACTCTCAAATTGCAGCTAAGGAAAAAACTGGTATAATTTTATTTTAGAGCAGGAACCCAGGATCCAGACTGCATGTGTTTGAATCCTAGCTCTACCAGATGCTAACCACACAGGCAAGTTACTTAATTTTTCCGTGCCTCAGTTTCCTCATCTGTAAAATGGAGATAATAACAGAGCACAGAGTAGTATCTGTCATAGAGCAAGTGCTTGTCTTGGTTACCCCAGAAGCAGTCCCTGAGGCAAGGATGCTAGTGTAAGTATTTTGTTTGGGGTGATTTGAAGTAAGGAAGGGAAGGTCACCAATAGGGGTGCTTTAGGAATTGAGTTGCTACTATGAACACCTGGAGAGGAAGTTTGCTAGGAGCCAGTATAGGCACACACCTCTAGTTATCCCCCCGAAAGGGTGATGGAGCTGGGGTATTTACCTACCAAATCCCATCAGTCTTAGGTTGAGGTTTGCTCTTAGAAGGGGCTGAGTTCCCCAGCACTTCTGTCTGACTCTATGGGTTTTGCAAAGTCAGAAAGTCTTGGGCGAGGTGATGTGGGTGCAGCAGTGGGGAACTGGGTGAGCACTGAAGGACACAGAGGGAGACATGTAGTGGGGCACCCATGGTGTCTGCTACAAAGCTAATGGATACTTGTTGAAAGAATGGAGCAAAGGAGGCCGGGCGCGATGGCTCACGCCTGTAATCCCAGCACTTTGGGAGGCCGAGGCGGGCGGATCACGAGGTCAGGAGATCGAGACCATCCTGGCTAACACAGTGAAACCCCGTCTCTACTAAAAATACAAAAAATTAGCCGGGCATGTGGCGGGTGCCTGTAGTCCCAGCTACTCAGGAGGCTGAGGCAGGAGAATGGCGTGAACCTGGGAGGCGGAGCTTGCAGTGAGCTGAGATTGCGCCACTGCACTCCAGCCTGGACGACAGAGTGAGACTCCATCTCAAAAAATAAATAAATAAATAAATAAATAAATAAATAAATAAATAAATACAAAATAAAAGAAATAAAGAATGAGCAAAGGAAAAGATACTGTGATAGGCAGAATGGCCTCCCCAATATATCAATGCCCTAATCCCAATGACTTGTGAGTATGTTGTGTTACAAGGCAAAGGGACTTTGCAGATATAAACTTACGTGTCTTAAAATAAGGGGATTAACAAAAGTTATCCTGGTGGCCCCAGTCTAATTACATGAGCTGCTAAACGCAGAGAAGTTTCTCCAACTGGAGTCAGAAAGATGAAGCAGAAGGAAAAGTTGGAGACTTTGAAAGCCTGAGAGAGATTTGACCCATTGTGGTTGGATGGGGCACATGGAAAGCAGAAGAGGAATGTGGGCAGCCATGGAATCAAAGACTGGTCCCAGCTGACAGCTGGCAGCAAAATGGACCTCAGCCCTACAGTCCAGTACGTGGCTGAATGCCCTGGGCCTCTGACCAGCAGAACTGGGCGACAGCAAGCCTGTGTTGTTTTAACCACCCAGTCTGTGGTAATTAATCACAGCAGCCCTGGGAGACTCGTACAGAAACTGAAGGTCAGAATGGGCATGTCGCTTGCCCAGGGCCACACACCTGTTAAGTGACAGAGCTGGGGTGCAGAGGAGGCAGTGCTGCCCTCTGTTCCTCGAGGGGCAGGAGGGGAGGAGGATCCTGAGAGTGGTGGTGGAGCGGCTGAGGGTAAGGAGAGTCACAGGGTGCGCTTGCTGACTAATCAGTGTGGCGCTGGCTAAGAACATTGGGCAGATTTGGGCTCCAAGTCTCTGTGATGAATCAGCTGCATCACTCTCAGCAAAATCACATTACTCCTTGATCCTTGGTTTCCTCATTTGTGAAATGGGGATGACAATAGAACCTTATCAGGGATAACACTGCATCTCCCTGACGAGGATACTGTGAGGATTAAAGGAGACCATGTTTGTACAGTGCTGTTTTGTGGTGCCTGGCGCATGGCAGGGGCTCAATTTTGCCCATCCTTACCGTCATTTGCTCAGCATCTGTTTTGTGTCAGGTGCCACACTGGCTCCCGCATGCACACAGCCACTCTGAGGTGAGTATTATGATGCCCACTTTACAGATGAGGCAACGATGCTACGGAAACTTGTTCACAGTCGCACCACCGGGCTCAGATCTGGGTTTAAACCCAGCTCCTCGAGTCCCTGGCCCTGTGTCTGCCTTGGCACCCAGCAGTCCTGACGTATGTGCTCAGGACTTCACCAGCTAAGCCTGGGGAATCGGAGCCTTCCTCCTGCTGCCTGAGGGCAGCCAGGTCAATCCCAGATGTCCCAAGAAAGCTTTCTCCTTCCGGTTTCATCTTTGGTCTGGTTATCTGAGTCCTGTCTCATTATGGCGCCAGAAAAGGGCCTCCTGGCTTCATTAAGCAAACACTCTGAGGGCCTTTGTTTTGTTAATCTCTGTCCTGGGCAGGGGGACACGGAGCTGGAACAGCTCTTCGCCAGCCCCGGGAGGAGGACCTGGTGTTGTGAAGAAGACAGACATGAGAATAACTGCAGTGTGGCGTGCCCAGGTTATGAACCACATCTGAACAGGGATGGTGATGCCGGTGACGGTGATACTAACAAACAGACCATACTGGGATTGTTTCCTATTTGGCTAGTGAGGAGATCATAGTATCCCAGGGCATGTGTCCTAGTCAGATGTGATAAAGAGAAAAAAATGGTAAGGCAGGGAAGGAAGGCAGGAATGGTGAGGGAGGGGTGTTGAAATTTAGCTTGTTTCTAGGGGAGGCCTCGCCGGGAAAGTCCATATCAATAGTCTTGAAGGAAATGATGGAGGAGCTATGAGGATACCTGGGAAAGAGCTCCCCAAGCAAACGCAACAGTGAATTGAAAGGCCCAAGAATGAAGAGTGTTTGGCTTGTTCCAGAAACAGTGAGGAGGCCGGTGTGGCCAGAATGAAGTGAGTAAGGATGAGAGGGTGGGGCCCTGATAGCCAGGAAGAACTTCCACCTTCATTCTGAGATTGAAAGAGGGGAGCCACTGGGGGATCTCTGAGCAGAGGAGTGACATTGAATGAGGTATCAGGATCCCTCCTGCTCTGGCAGGGATAGGCGGGGGACAGGAAGCCTGTTAGGATGCCACTGCAGTCATCCTGGTGGGAGATGGAGGTGGTGGTGGCTTGCGCCAGATGGTAGTGGTGAGAAGTGGGTGGCTACTGGATACAGGAATGAGGCAGATCAATATGAACTGATGTGGAAGGATCTGAGTCATACTGTTAAACCGACAAATCAAGATGTAAAGGACAATGTGTTAGGCCACATTTTCCCAGAAGCAGACCTTGAGAGGAAAGGAATGAAAACAGTTTATCCCAGGAAGCACTGGGAAGAGAGAGGGACAGAAGACAGGGAGAGAAGGAGGCCAGCAAAGGTGTGTTATTGAGCAGGTTACTGCTTTTTAAAACTTGGGCTCAATCCCTGCGGGGAGCGCTGGGAGGTGGTGTAGGATGTGTCTCCAAGTTGTCCCAATAGGAAAGGCAGGAGAACGGTGCAATTATACCAACTCCCACGAATCGCTGGTTGAGATTGGCTCTTAAAGGGGAGCACCAACTTCCTGGCACTTCAGACTGCCTTGGTGCAATGAATCTCAGGCACTGGGGTTTGAAGCAGGGTTGGTGTTCATGGAAATGGTGACTGGGAGGGGGACCTTGCTGGTGTCTGTTATGCAGTGCTTATGGTGCACTGCCATTTCCATCTTCACCAAGGAATTGATCTTTATATGGATATAGAGAATAACTCTGAAGGGACAAATAACATTCTGGTGTTGCCTCTGGGGAGAGGAAGTAGAATATTTAGGGTCAAGATGGTTGAGACACTCTTCACTGTATAACTTTCTGTATACTTTTATTTTTTTTACTGTGTGTTTTAATTTATGAAATTAAAAAATAATGTTGGGAATTTTACTTTCATTCATGGAGGAGTGACCTTTGAAAGAAGAGAGGCACCTGAGGGCATGAGGGAAGCCCCAGGTCCCCGGATGTCTAGCCTGGAGACACTGTCCAGACGACAGTGTGGGGTGGTGGGAGAGATTGGAGTTTGAAGCTGCTGGAGCAGGTGACATCTGCAGGGCAGAATACCAGGGAGGAGGGAGTTATGCAGGGGAGGGTGGCAGGAGGAGAAGAAGTCTGCAGGGGGGTTTCTAGTAGGATCTTGGTCAAGGGCTGGTGTGCACATGTACAGGGTGAGACTCCATGAAGCCCTGCAGACAGTGAATGCTGTCACCGAGAGCTGAGTGCAGATCCTGGTGGTCACATGATGCAACTTCATCGCAGCCAGAGTGAAGAGGCCTCACTGAATAGCTGGGACATTGAGTTGAGACTTCAGAAAGTCCACACGTTAGGCAGAAGGATTAAGCATTAGGTCCACCTTCTAGTACAGAGGACAAAACCAAAAAACTCTAGCCATAATCAAGAACAAAACCAAACCTGACAGGGCCAAGAGGATGTGCTGGCAATTTAACTTCCTGTCAGAACAAAACTCAATACTCTCTAAAGGAAGAAAACCTCGTCTAAAATTCCTACAATATTATCAATAATGTGAAGAATAAAATAAAATCACTAGACATGTGAGAAAGCAGGAAATTCTGATCCACATCAAAGTAAAAAGCAGTTAAGAGATACAGACATCCCCAAATGATCAGGATGTTGGAATTAGCAGATAAAGACCTTAAAATAGCTATTATCAATATGTCCATAAACCTAAAAGAAAACATGAACTTCAGAGAGGGCATATTAGAAATCCAGTAAAGAAATGGAAAATAGCTAAGAGAATTAAATGGAAATTCTAGAACTGGAAAATACAATATAAGAAATAAGAAATTCACTGGGTGAATCTAACAATATATTGGAGACTGCAGGAGAAAGGGTCAATGAGCTTGAAGACAAATCAATAGACATTTTCCAATCTGAAGAACAGGAGAAAAAGAATATATTAGTTAGCTTGATTGAATCTTCCTACGGGGTATACATAGATCGAAACATCACAGTGTACCCCATAAATATACACAATTATTATTTGTCAATTACAAATAAGTAAAAAAAAAGTGAATAAAAACAAGATAGCAAAAGAAAATGAACAGAGGCACAGTGACCAGTCCAATATGCATGTAATTGAAACTTTAGTAGGAAAAGACAGAACGTGTCAGGAAAAACCTGGGCATAGTGGCTCAGGCCTGTAATCCAGCACTTTGGGAGGCGGAGATGGGAGGATCGCTTGTAGGCCAGGAGTTTGAGACCAGCCTGGCCAACATGATGAAACCCTGTCCCTAGTAAAAACGCAAAAATTAACCAGATGTGGTGGTGCGTACCTGTAGTCCCAGCTACTCGGGAGGTTGAGGTGGGAGAATCAGTTGAACTTGGGAGGCGGAGGTTGCAGTGAACCAAGATCACTGGTGTGTGTAGTATAACAACAGGGAGGGTGGGGACTGTGGCCAAAAGGAGTTTCAACCAATTGTTGCCATGCAGAAGTGAGGACTCACCATTGTCAGATCTCACTTTCCAGTAGAAACAAGGAATTCAGATTTGTATTTAAAATGCCCGTATAATTTAAGTTGATTGCTAATTAATAAGAAGACAGAACTATATGCGTTAACACTATCCAGGCAAACAAAAACCTTTGGGCAGCAGTATGCAACCTCTCGTTTACAGACATCTTAAAATGTGCTACCTAAAACTGGATGTGACACTCAGAGGTGGTGGCTAACCTGTCCCATCAATCCTTCCTTGGGAAAGCCTATTTCCTCCCTCTCAATATCCACTATATCACGTCTTCATCTCCCGTACCAGGCACAGGCCCACAGTGTCCTGACCAGTCAGCTCTTTCTTTTTTTTAAAATTATATTTTAAGTTCTAGGGTACATGTGCACAACGTGCAGGTTTGTTACATATGTATACATGCACCATGTTGGTGTGCTGCACCCATTAACTTGTCTTTACATTAGGTATATCTCCTAATGTTATCCCTCCCGCTTCCTCCCACCCCATGACAGGCCCCGGTGTGTGATGTTCCCTATCCTGTGTCCAAGTGTTCTCATTGTTCAATTCCCACTTATGAGTGAGAACATGCAATGTTTGGTTTTCTGTCCTTGCGGTAGTTTGCTGAGAATGATGGTTTCCAGCTTCATCCATGTCCCTGCAAAGGACATGAACTCATCCTTTTTTATGGCTGCATAGTATTCCATGGTGTATATGTGCCACATTTTCTTAATCCAGTCTATCATTGATGGACATTTGGGTTGGTTCCAAGTCTTTGCTATTGTGAATAGTGCTGCAGTAAACATACGCGTGCATGTGTCTTTATAGCAGCATGATTTATAATCCTTTGGGTATATACCCAGTAATGGGATGGTTGGGTCAAATGGTATTTCTAGTTCTAGATCCTTGAGGAATTGCCACACTGTCTTCCACAATGGTTGAACTAGTTTACAGTCCCACCAACAGTGTAAAAGCGTTCCTATTTCTCCACATCCTCTCCAGCACCTGTTGTTACCTGACTTTTTAATGATTGCCATTCTAACTGGTGTGAGATGGTATCTCACTGTGGTTTTGATTTGCATTTCTCTGATGGCCAGTGATGATGAGCATTTTTTCATGTGTCTGTTGGCTGCATAAATGTCTTCTTTTGAGAAGTTCTGTTCACATCCTTCACCCACTTGTTGATGGGGTTGTCTTTTTCTTGTAAATTTGTTTGAGTTCTTTGTAGATTCTGGATATTAGCCCTTTGTCAGATGAGTAGATTGCAAAAATTTTCTCCCATTCTGTAAGTTGCCTTTTCACTCTGATGGTAGTTTCTTTTGCTGTGCAGAAGCTCTTTAGTTTAATTAGATCCCATTTGTCAATTTTGGCTTTTGTTGCCATTGCTTTTGGTGTTTTAGACATGAAGTCCTTGCCCATGCCTATGTCTTTCTCCCTTTCCAGCCCCTCCTCACCACTACTGCCCAGCACACTCTATCACTCAAAACCCTGCCCTAGGACTTTAACAAAGGGGCGGGGGTAAATATAAAAGACAATTTTTAAAAATTCTCTTAGTTTCTTTAGAAGGCAACTGATAAATGCAAAAATATTAAGATTATATTATGGGATTATAATATATGTAGAAGTAAAATATAAAACACTAATCCTTCAAGGGATGGAATAGTGTATTTATATACATATACATATTTGTATACATATACACATACTGTTGTAAGACGACACACACTGTTGAAAGGATCTTATATTTTACATGAAATAATACAACATTCTAAGTAGACTGTGATAAATTAAAGACCCATATTATAGTTCCATTAAAATCTAATACAAAAAGGTACAGCAGACAGTGGATAAACTACAATGGGATATAGAAAAATATATGATTAACCCAAAAGAAGGTATGAAAGGAGGAACAGAAGAACAAAAAGCAGAAAAGTGTAAAATAATAGCAAATTGGTAGACTAAAACTCGGCTGTATCAATAATTACATTGTGTGTAAATGGACTAAACATTCCAGTTAAAAGATGAGATGGTCAAACTACATTAAAGAAAGGTAAGACCAAATTATATCCTGTTACAAGTAGTATTCCAGATAGGCTGGAAATCAAAGGATGAAAGAATATATACTACATAAACTGTAAGCCAAAGAAAGCTGATGTTACTTGGCCGGGCACGGTGGCTCGCACCTGTAATCCCAGCACTCTGAGAGGCTGAGAGGGGTGGATCACGAGGTCAGGAATTTGAGACCAGCGTGACCAACATGGTGAAACCCCATCTCTACTAAAAGTACAAAAATTAGCCTGGCGTGGTGGCATGCGCCTGTAATCCCAGCTACTCGGGAGGCTGAGGCAGGAGAATTGCTTGAACCTGGGAGGCGGAGGTTGCAGTGAGCTGAGATCGCGCCACTGCGCTCCAGCTTGGGCGACGGAGTGAGACTTCATCTCAAAAAACAAAACAAAACAAAACAAAAACAACAACAAAAAACAAAACAAAAGAAAGCTGGTGTTACTCTGTAAACATCAGACAAAGCAGACATTAAGACAAAGAGTACTATCAGAGATAGAGACTTTTCATAAGAATAAAAGAGTCAGTTCAATCCCCAATGTATTATGCACCTAATAACATAATTTCTTGATAAATGAAGCAAAGCCCCGTGCTTAAGGGAAAAATGGATAAATCTACCATCATGTTTGGCAATTTAACAACTCTCTCGGTAACTGATGAAAAAGCAGACAAAAATCAGCAAAGACATAGAAACTTTGAACACTATCAATCACCTTGATCTAATTGACATTTATAGAACCTACACAAAATAACTGCAGAATACCTATTCTTTCCAGGTGCATAGAACATTTACCAAGATAGACCATAAAATGAGCCTTAAAATGTCTTGATAAATTTCAAAAGATTAACAATAAGTAAAACTAGAAAAATTTATAAATCTCAGAATTAAACAAGAATTCTAAATAAGCCATGGTCAAAGGAGAAATCACAAGGAAACTCAGGAAATTTATTGAACTAAATGGCAATTTTTATACACAAAATTATCAAAATTTATATGCTGCAACTATAAATATTTAAATTTATAGCTTTAAGTATTTATATTAGGAAACAAAAAGGGTTAGAATAAATAATCTAAAATGGAGAGACACGCTGTGTTCATGGATTAAAAGACTCGATTGTTAAGATTTCAATTTTCTGTAACTTTTTGTATAGATTGCATGCAATTCTCATTAGAATGCCGGCAAGATTTTTTTTTGGTAGATGTTGACAAGTTGATTCTGGAATTTATATGGAAAGGTAAAGGAACCAGAATAGGCAATTTTGAAAAAGAACTAAATTGGAACACTAACATTACCTGATTTAATGATTATACAGCTACAGAAATCAACACCATGAGACATTTGCAAAACGATAGATATATAGATGAATGAAAGAGAATAAAGAGTCCAGAAAGAGACCCACAGTCATGGGCAACTGATTTTTGGCAGAGGTGCAAATACAATTCAATGGAAAAGGATAGTCTTTTTTTTTTTTTAACAGATGATGTAGGAACAATTGGATATCCATACGCAAAATGGTGAATTTCAGTCTATACATCATAGCTTATATAAAAATTAACTCAAAATGGAAAAGAGACCTAAATGGAAAACATAAAACCCTAAATTTTGTAGAAAACATAGCAGGGAAAAAAACCCATGAATTTGGAGAAGAAAGCACAGGAGAAAAAACTGCTGTGTCTTTGGTTTAGGCAAGGAGTTCTCAGCTATGGCACCAAAAACATGAGAAATGAAAATAAAAGATTGTCTAGACTGCATTAAAATTAAAAACTTTTGCTCCATGAAAACCATTAGTAAGATAATGAAAGGTAATGCCATAGACTGATAGAAAATATTTGCAAATCACAAATCTCACAGAGGACTTGTGAGCAGAATGTACAAAGAACTCTCAAAACTCAACAATAAAAAAAGAAACAACTGAATTCAAAAATGGAAAAAAATTTGAACAGCTCTTCACCAAGGAAGACATGTAGGTGATAAATAAGCATATGAAAAGATGCTCAACATCAGCTGTTTTTAGGGAAATGTAAGTTAAAACCACAATGAGATACCACTACATACTTACAGGAATGGCTAAGATAAAAATAATTGACAAGTGCTGCCAAGGATGCAGAGCAACTGAAATGGTCATACATTGCTCATGGGAATAAAAAAATGGTACAGCCACTTCGGGAAATAGTTCAGCAATGTCTTATACAATTAAACATACACTTTCTTTTTTTTTTTTTTTTTTTTTGAGACGGAGTCTCGCTCTGTCGCCCAGGCTGGAGTGCAGTGGCGGGATCTCGGCTCACTGCAAGCTCCGCCTCCCGGGTTCACGCCATTCTCCTGCCTCAGCCTCCCAAGTAGCTGGGACTACAGGCGCCCGCCACCACGCCCGGCTAATTTTTTTTTTATTTTTAGTAGAGACGGGGTTTCACCGTGGTCTCGATCTCCTGACCTCGTGATCCACCCGCCTCGGCCTCCCAAAGTGCTGGGATTACAAGCGTGAGCCACCGCGCCCGGCCTAAACATACACTTTCTATATGACCCAGCCATCCTACTCTTAGGTATTTACTTAAGTGAAGTGGAAACTGATGTTCACACAAAAATCTACCTGTGGATATTTACATTGGCTTTATTCATTATTGCCAAAATCTAGAAGCAATTAAATGTTCCTCAAATGGGAAAGAGATAAACAATCTGTGGCACATATGCAGGGCATTATTACTTAGCAAGAAAAAAGAAACAAAATATTAATACAACATGAATGAATTGCAAAGGCATTATGGTAAGTTGAATAAGTCAGAATTAAAAGTTTACATACTGTATGATTCCATTTACATGACATTTTGGAAAAGGCAAAACTAAAGGGACAGAGAATAGATCAATGGTTGCTAGGAGTTAGAGAAAGGGGAGAAGTGTTAACTACAAAAGGGTAGCAAAAGGGAATTTTTTGTGCATATCTTAATCGTGATTGTGGTTTCACAACTTCAAAAAGAGTAAATTTTACTATGCAAACAAAAATTAAAATGTTTTCATTTTAAGAAGCTATCAAAAAAGAGAAAATTAAACCCAAAGAAGGTAGAAGAAAGGAAAAAATAAGCAGAAACAAGTAGGAAAGAGAAAATAACAACATAAGTGCAACATAAATTTAATGATTTAAAAAACAGATAAACCAAAGAGAAAATTAACAGAGCCAAAAGTTGGTTTGTTGTAAATATTAACAAAATTGATAAACTTCTAGAAAGATTGATCAAGAAAAAAGAGAAAACAAAAGTTGTTAACGTCAGGGATGAAGAAAGGGATAGTACTAGAGATCCTACTGATATCAAAAAGATAAGGTAGAAACATTATGAACAATTTTATTCCAATTCATTTGAGAACTTAGAAAAAGTTGACAAACTGAGAAAAATACAACTTATAAAACTTTCTCAAGAAGCAACAGAAAATCCATATCTATAAAAGAAATTGCATCGATCCTCAAAAACCTTCCCACAACAAACTCAGGTCCAAATATTTTCAGAGGTAAATTTCATTAATCATCTAAAAGAAGAAATAATATCAACCTTATACAAATGATCTCAGAGATTAGAAGACGAAGGAATATTTTCTATCTTGTTTTATGAGGCCAATATCCAATACAAACAAGACACAGAAATCTTTGACAAAATATTAACAAACTGAATTTAGCAGTATAGAAAAAGGACAATATATTTGTTTGAAGATTTGAAATCTTCAACAAAATATTAACAAATTGAATCCAGCAATATAGAAAAAGGATAATATATTTATTTGGTGTGCTGGGATTTGTCCCAGGGGATGCAAGATTTATTTAGCCTTTAAAAATCAATGTGTATTTATACATTAACAAAATAAAAAAGACAAACAATATGATCATTTCAACAGATGCAGAAAAAGCACTGACAAAATTCATTACACATTGTTTTAAAAACTCTCAGCAAACTAGAAATAGATGAGTGTTTCCTCAATTTGATAGGTACAGCTATGAGAAACCTACAGTTAACATCACAGTTAATGGTGAAATACTGAACACTATCCCTGGAGATTAAGCACAAGGCAAGGATGTCCACTCTTACCTTTTTTATTTAACATTGTATTGGAGGTTTTCTGGTCAGTGTAATAAGGCAAGAAGAGGCAATCAAAAGCATAAATATTAGATAGAAAAAAGACCACTTCTGTTTGCAGAAAAAGTAATAGTTTGTGAAGAAATCCTAAGGACATTACTGAAAATCTATCAGAAATATTAAGTGAATGTAACAAGTTTGCAGAGTACAACATTCATATATACAAATCAATCATACTTCAATATATTAGCAAAAATAGAAAAATAAAAATTAAAAGCAGTATCATTTATAATACCATCAAAAAGATTAAAATATTTAGGAACAATTTGTTTTATTTTTAGAGACAGGGCTTCACACTGTCACTCAAGTTGGAGTGCAGTGATGTGCATACCTCACTGTAGCCTTGAACTCCTGGGCTCAAGCAATCCTCCTGCCTCAGCCTACCGAGTAGCTGGGACTGAAGGCATACACCACCACTCCTGCCTATTTTTAAAAAATGTTATTTTTTGTAGAGATGGGGTTTTGCTTTGTTGCCCAGGCTGTCTCAAACTCCTGGCTTCAAGTGATCCTCCTGCCTCAGCCTCCAAAATCTCTGAGACTGCAGACATGAGTCACCATACCTGGCCTTAGGAACAAATGTAATAAAGGATTTGTAAAACCTCTACCTTGAAAACCATAAAATATAAAAAACAGATACAATAGATTGGTGCAAAAGTAATTGTGGTTTTTGCCATTAAAATAATGGTTAATGGGTTAATGGTTAATGGTTAACTGCCGCAAAACCGCAATTACATTTGCACGAACCTAATACCATGCTCATGAACTAGGAAACAGTAGTGTTAAAATGTCAATTCTCCCAAAATTGATTCCTGCATTTTACGCAATACCAATCAAAAATTTCAGCAGGCTTTTAAAAAGTATATAAATTGACAAAGTGATTCCAAAATGTATATGAACATACAAAAGGTCTTGAATAAGCAAGACAATCTTGAAAGAGTGTAATTAGAGGATTCTTACTGCCTGATTTCAAGACTTTCTATAAAGTCTGTCATCAAGACAGTGTAGTATTGGCACAGTGACAGACTAACAAATTAATAAAATAGACTAGACAGTCTAGACATAGGCTCACACATATAAAGATAATTGATTTTTGACACCAGATGATAAGGAATGTCAATGGAGAAGATACCTTAAAAATAGTGTTGGAACAACTGGATAATCCTACAGAAAAAGTGAACCTCAATCTCTCACACCATACAGAAAAAGTAATTTGAGATGACTTACCAAGCTATATGTAAAGCTAAAATCACAAAGCTACTAGAGAGAAAGTAGACTTTAAAAATCTAGAGACAAAGAAGGACATTTTATAAAGGTAAAAGAGTCAATGCATCAAGAAGACATAACAATTATAAACATATATACACCTAACAACAAAGACCCAAAATAGATGAAACAAAACCTGACAGAATTGAAGGAGGGAATAGACAATTCAACAATAAGTTAGAGACTTCAATACCACACTGCCAATAATGGATAGAACAACTAGAAAGGAAATGGAAGACTTGGACCATATTATGAACCAACTAGATCTAACACACATTTATAGAACACTTAACAACAGCAGGCTGCACATGTTCTCAAGTGTGCATAGAACATTCTCTTGAATAGAACATATTAAGGCTTAAAACAAATCTTGATAAACTTTAAAGGATTAAAATCACATAAAACATGCTTTCTGAACAGAATGGAATAAAATCAGAAACCACTAACAGAAGAAAATTTAGAGAATTAACAAATGTGGAAATTAAACAATACACTCCCCCCGAAATGGACAAATGGTCAAAGCAGAATCACAAGGGAAATTAGAAGACATTTTGAAATAAACGGAAATGCACGCACATCACACCAAACTTATGCGACAACTGCAGCAAAGCAGTGCTCAGAGGGAAATTTAGAGCTATAAATGCCCATGAAAGAGGAGAAAGATTGTAAATCCAAACCCTAACTCTATACCTTAAGAAACTACAAAAAGAAAAGCAAGTTGAAGTGAAAGCAAGCAGAAGCAAAGAAATAATAAAGATTACAGTAAAAATAAATGAAATAAAGTATAGAAAAACAATAGAGAAAATTAACGAAAATCAAAGTTGTTTCTTTGAAAAGATCAACAAAATTGACAAACCTTTGGTTAGATGACCAGAAAAAGAAGAGAGAATGTTCAAGTGACTAAAATCAGGAATGAAAGATGAACCATTACTACCAACTTTACAGAAATAAAAATTACTAAAAAGGGCTGGTATTACTTTGACACCAAAACCCAGAAAAATGCATAATAAGAAAAGAAAACCACATCTTATGATAAAAACTCTCACTAATTAGGTATAGAAGGAATGTACTTCAACACAATAAAGGCCATATATGACAAACCCATAGCTAACATCATGCTCAATGGTGAAAAGTTGAAAGCTTTTCCTCTAAGCTCAGGCACAAAACAAGGATGCCCACTTTAGCCACTTGTATTAAACATAATACTGGGAGTCCTAGCCAGAACAATTAGGCAAGAGAAATTGGAAAGGAGCAATGAGGCATCCAAATTGGAAAGGAAGAAGTTAAAATGTCCTTTATATGTAGAAAGACCTAAAGATTCCACACAAAAACTGTTAGAACCAATAAACAAATTCAGTAAGGTTGTAAGATATAAAATAAACATACAAAAATCAGTAGTCTTTCTATATACCAACAATGAACTATCTAAAGAAGAAATAAAAAAATTAATTTGCACAGCTACAAAAAATATAAACAAATTTAACCAAGGAGACGAAAGATCTTTACTTGAAAACTATAAAACATTGATATAGCTGGATGTGGTGGCACGCATCTGTAGTCCCAGCTACTAAGGACTTGATGCAGGAGAATCACTTGGGCCTAGGAGTTCAAGGCCATGTGGTGTGCTATGATCGTGCCTGTGAATAGCCACTGCATTCCAGCCTGGGCAACATAGTGAGACCCTGTCTCTTACAAAACAAAACAAAATCAATGAAAGAAATTAAAGATGATGCAAAAAATGAAAACATATCCCAGGTTTATGGATTACTACCTAAAGTGATCTACAGATTCAATGCAATCTCTATTAAAATTCCAATGATGTTTTTTACAAATATAGAAAAATAATCCTAAAATTTATATGGAAACATAAAAACCCCCAAAGAGCCAAAGTAATCTTGAGCAAAAAGAACAAAGCTGAAAGCATCACACTACCTAACTTCAAAATATACTACAAAGCTATAATAATCAAAATAGCATGGTACTTGCATAATAACAAACATATAGCTCAGTGGAACATAATAGAGAACATAGAAATAAATCCACACATTTATGGTAAATCAATTTGCAACAAAGGTGCCAAGATCACACCATAGGAAAAGGCTAGTCTCTTCAATAAATGATGTTCGGACAACTGGATATCCACATGCAGAAGAATGAAATTAGACCCTTATACCATATACAACAATCAATCACAGAGGAAAATTTAGATCTGGGTAATGATCTTCTGGATATTGTATTAGTCACGGTTCTTTACAGGGACAGAACTAAGGATATATGTATATATCAAAGGGAGTTTATTAAGGAGAATTGGCTCACACAATCAGGTAAAGTGGTAAAGTCCCACGATAGGACATCTGCAAGTTGAGGAGCAAGAACGCCAGTAGTAGATCAGTTTGAGTCCCAAAACCTCAAAAGTAGGGAAGGCCACAGTTCAGCCTTCAGTCTGTGGTCAAAGGCCCGAGAGCCCCAGTCCAAGAATCCAAAAACTGAAGAACTTGGAGTCTGATGTTCGAGGGCAGGAGGCATCCAGCACGGGAGAAAGATGAAGGCAACACCCTCACAGACACACCCAGGAAAAATACTTCGCATCCTTCAATTCAATCTAGTTGACACTCAATATTAACCATCACAGATATGAACCCAAAAGCCTAGACAACAAAATAAAGATAGAGAAATAAAGTTACGTCAAAGTAGAAATCTTCAGCATAGCCAAGGAAACAGTCAACAGAATAAAGAGACAATCTACAGAATGGGAGAAAATATTTGCAAACCACATATCTGATAAGGGGTTGATATCCAAATACACAAGGAACTCAAACAACTCAACAGTAACAAAAAAAGTTTGATTAAAAAATGGGCAAAAGGGCTGGGTGTGGTGGCTCATGCCTGTAATCCTAGCACTTTGGGAGGCTGAGGCAGGTGGATCACGAGGTCAAGAGATCAAGACCATCCTGGCTAACACGGTGAAACCCCGTCTCTACTAAAAACACAAAAAATTAGCTGGGCATGGTGGCAGGCACCTGTAGTCCCTCCCAGCTACTTGGGAGACTGAGGCACGAGAATGGCGTGAACTCGGGAAGGGGAGCTTGCAGTGAGCCAAGATCACACCACTGTACTCCAGCCTGGACGAGACAGCAAGACTCTGCCTCAAAAAAAAAAAAAAAAAAAAAAAAAGGCAAAGGATCTGAATAGATATATCTTCAAAAAAGACATATAAACGATGAGCAGTTATATTTAAAAAAATGCTCAAAATCACTAATTATCAGAGAAATGCAAATTTAAACTGCAATGAGATATCACCTCACACCTGTAAGAATGGTTGTTATCAAAAAGACCAAAGACAACAAGTGTTGGCAAGGTTGTAGAGAAAAGATAACTCTTGCACACTGTTGGTAGGAATGTGAATTAGTACAACCATTAGGGAAAATAAAATGGAGATTCCTCAAGAAATTAAAAATTGAGGGGCTGGGCGTAGTGGCTCACACCTGTAATCCCAGCATTTTGGGAGGCCAAGGGAGGCAGATCATGAGGTCAGAAGATCAAGAACATCCTGGCTAACATGGTGAAACTCCATCTCTACTAAAAATACAAAAAAATTAGCTGGGCGTGGTGATGGGAACCTGTAGTCCCAGCTACTTGGGAGGCTGAGGCAGGAGAATGGGGTGAATCCTGGAGGTGGAGCTTGCAGGGAGCTGAGATTGCACCACTGCACTCCAGCTTGGGCGACAGAGCGAGACTCTGTCTCAAAATAAATAAATAAGTAAATAAAATAAAATAAAAATTGAACTATCATATCATCCACCAATTCCACTACTGGGTATATACCTAAAGGAAATGAAATCAATATGTCCAAAATATATTTGCACTCCCATGTTAATTGTAACGTTATTCACTGTAGCCAAAATAGGGAATCAAACTAAGTGTCTATCAACAGATGAATGGGTAAAGAAAATGTGGTCTATACACATAGTGGAATATTATTCAGTCTTACAAAAGAAGGAAATCCTATTATTTGTGGTAACATAGATGAACCTGGAGGATATTATGTTAAATAAAATAGACCAGGCACCAGAAGACAAATACTGCATGTTCTCACTTATATGTGGAATCTAAAAAAGTTGAACTCAGGCTGGGTGTGATGGCTCATGCCTGAAATCCCAGCACTTTGGAAGGCCAAGGCAGGCAGATTCCGAGGTCAGGAGTTCGAGGCCAGCCTGGCCAACATGGTGAAACCCCATCTCTATTAAAAATACAAAAAATTAGCTGGGTGTGGTGGTCCTGTAGTCCCAGCTACTCGGGAGGCTGAGGCAGGAGAGTTGCTTGAACCCAGGAGGCGGAGGTTGCAGTGAGCTGAGACCATGCCACTGCACTCCAACCTGGGTGACAGAGTGAGACTCTATCTCAAAATAAAATAAAATCAATAAATAAAAATAAAAAAGTTGAACTCATAAAAGTAGAGAATGAATGGTGGTTACCAGGGGTTGGGGGTTGGGAAAATGCTAGTCAAAGGGTAAAAAAAGAAAAGAAAGCTACAGACCAACAACTCTTGTGAATATTAATGCAAAATCTTCAACAAAATACAAGTAAGCAGAATCCAGCAACCTATAAAAAGGATTATACATTATAGCAAAGTGGTATTTATTCCAGGAATGCAAGGTTAGTTCAACATCTGACAATCAACCAATAGATTACCAACATAATAAAAACAATAAAAGTAGAATAGAATAAATATTAATAGAATAAAAAAATCACAGGATCATCTCAATAGATGCAGAAAAAATATTTGACAAAATCAAATACCCCTGCATTCTAAAAAGAAAAATATATTAGGAATAGAAATGAACATACCTTGATAAAGGGCATTGATTAAAAAAAATCACAGCTAACCGTATACTTATTGGTAAAGACTGAAAGCTTTCTCCCAAGTTCATGAACAAGACAAGGGTGTTTGCCCTCACGACTTCTATTCTACAGTGTGCTACAGGTTCTAACCAGGAAAATTAGGCAAGAAAAATAAATAAAAGGCACCCAGAAAGATGGATGGAAAAGAAAGAAAGAAAGAAAAAGGAAGGAAGGAAGAATGGAAGGAAGGACACTATCCCTATTTGCAGAAGACATGACCTTGTATATAGAAAATTCTGTCATCAAGGAAGAAAAGAAAGAAAGAAAGGAAGGAGGGAAGGAAGGAAGAAATAAAGAAAGAGAAAGAAAAGAAGGAAGGAAGAAAGAGAGGAACGAAGGAAGAAAGGAAGGAAGAAAGAAAGAAAGAAACTAGGGCTAATAAATGAATTCAGGGAGGTTTCAGGATATGAGATCAATATAAAATATATCAAAAATCAACTGTGCTTCTATATGCTAGTAACAAAAACCCAAAAATGAAAATAAAAAACAATTCCATTTATAATAAAAAGATTAAAATACTTAATATATTTAACAAAAGAGGCAAAAGCCTTGTACACAGAAAATTACAAAGCGTTTTTGAAAGCAATTAAGGAATACCTAAATAAGTGGAAAGACATGTGTGTTTATGGTTTGGAGGGCTTAGTATTGTAAAGACGGTAATATTGCCCAAATTTATTCACAGATTCAATGCATTCCCTATCAAAATTATAGCTGCCTGTTTTTTTTTTTTTTGCAAAAAACTGACAAGCTGATCCTAAAATTCATATGAAAATGCAAGAGATGAAGATTCGCCAAAAAAAGTCTTGAAGAAGAACAAAGTTGGATAAATTGCACTTCCTAATTTCAAAACTTACTTCAAAATGACAATAGCCAAGATTACATGTTACTGGCATAGGCATAGACATGTAAATCAATGAGATAGAACCGAGAATCCAGAATACTGCCCCACATTTAGATTAATTGATCTTCAACAGGGAGCCAAGAAAATTCAATGGGAAAAGAAGTCTTTTCAATATAAGCTACTGGGAGAACTGAACAGCTGTAGGCAAAAGAATGATCCTACCTCATACCATATATGAATTAGATCAAAATAGATCATAAACCTAAGTGTAAGAGCTAAAACCATAAAACTCTTAAAAGAAGCAGGTATTAATCTTCATGACATTGGACTAGACATCGGTTTCCTATATGACACCAAAAGCACAAGCAACAAAATAAAACATAAATAAGCTGGAATTATTTAAAAATTAAAAACTAAGGCTGGGCACGGTGGCTCACTCCTGTAATCCCAGCACTTTGGGAGGCTGAGGCGGGCGGATCACGAGGTCGGATGGAGACCATCCTGGCTAACATGGTGAAACCCCGTCTCTACTAAAAATACAAAAAATTAGCCCGGAGTGGTGGCACGCACCTGTAGCCTCAGCTACTCAGGAGGCTGAGGCAGGAGAATCGCTTGAACCCAGGAGGCGGAGGTTGTAGTGAGCTGAGATCATGCCACTGCGCTCCAGCCTAAGTGATAGAGCAAGACTCTATCTCAATTAAAAAAAAAATTAAAAACTTTTGTGCTTCAAAGGACACTATCAAAGACGTGAAAATAAAACATGCAGAATGGGAGAAATATTTGCAAATCATATATTCTAGTATCTAGAACATAAAGAACTTTTACAACTCAATCATAAAAACACGTAACCCATTTTAAAAATAGACAAGGCTTTGAATAGCCATTTCTCCAAAGAAGATAAACAAACAGCCAATAAACACATGAAAATATGCTTAACATTATTAATCATTGGGGAAATACAAATCAAAAACATGAGATACCATGTCACACCTACTATGATGTACTACAATACTATGATATACTATGATGGCTACAATCAAAGAAACAAAACATCAACAATGCATGCTGGCAAGGATGTGGAGAATGTGGAACTGTTATACATTGCTCCTGGGAATGTAAGATGGTGCAGCTGCTGTAGAAGAGTTCTCCAAAAGTTACACATAGAATTATCGTATGACCCAACAATTCTGCTCCTAGGTATATACCCAAGAGAATTGAAAGCATATGTTCACAAAAACACTTGTACACGAATGTTCATAATGGCATTATTTATAAGAGCTAAAGAGCAGAAATAACTCAGATGTCCACCAACTGATGAATGGATACACAAAATGTAGCAATAGGCTGGGTGTGGTGGCTCACACCTGTGATCCCAGCACTTTGGGAGGCTTAGGCGGGTGGATCACCTAAGGTCAGGAATTCCAGACCAGCCTGGCCAACAAGGTGAAACCCCATCTCTACTAAAAATACAAAAATTAGCCAGGCGTGGTGGCAGGCACCTGTAATCTCAGCTGCTTGGGAGGCTGAGGCAGGAGAATCGTTTGAACCCAGGAGGCAGAGGTTGCAGTTAGCCGATATTGCAACACTGCACTCCAGCCTGGGCAACAGAGTGTGACTCCGTCTCAAAAAAAAAAAAAAAAGCAGCAATAAAAAGGAATGAAATACTGATACATGCTCAACATGAATTAACCTTGAAAACATTATTCTAAGTGAAGGAAGCCAGGTGCAAAATGATGCATGTTGTATAATTCCATTTATATGGAATGTCCAGAGTAGGCAAATCTGTAGAGTCAGAAAGTGGATTGCCAGGAGCTGTGGGAGAGGAGATTTAGAAGTGACTGCTACTGATTATGAGGTTTCCTTTTGGGTGAAGAAAATGTTCTGGAATTAGGTAGTGGTGGAGGTTGCACAACCTTGTGAATATATTAATACTGAAAAATTGAACTGTACACTTTAAAAGGGTGAATGCTATAATATGCAATATACTTCATTAAAAATGTTAAAATAGTTCAATAAAAGGATTAAAAGAATAACATGCATGCACAGCATTTGTATTAGGTTATTAGCTGCAGATATTAGAAATACAACCTTCACTAGTTTAATCAATAAGAAAATTTATTGACTTACTGAAACTTGGAGTCCAGAGGTAGAAGGAACCTTCAGGATTAGTTGATTTAGTAGCTGAATGTTGGTGTCAAAACCCTGATTTAAAAAAATCTCTCTGCTGTGTAGTCATCAGGGTCAGTTTCATCTTTGGACTGATAGTGAGATACATCGAATGATTCCAGACATCACATCTGGACAAAACAAAGTCCTTAGGAAGAAAAGAGTTATTTTCCTAAGCTGTTCTCTTTAGAAGGAGGAAAAATTTCCCCAAAGCCCTCAACAGATTGGGACTTACATCTCATGGCCAGAACTGGTTCATGTGCCCATCCTAAGATAATCACTGCAAACAGGAATGGGATTAATTTCAGACCGTTGAGGCCTAGCCTAGATCTTGGGGTGATGTCCACTGTTACTGCAATGACTGGCTGGGTGAAGAAGGAGATGGAAACTGAACAAAGTAAGAAGTAGGAAGGATGGGGAGAAATAGATGCTGGATAGGAAGGCAATACCTTTATTAAGTTATCTCAATAGCATATGATAAATTCAATTTTTATATATTTGACCTCATATCAACGTATTCAATGAGCTAGAAGGAAGTACATGGACAATGTTAAATCCAGTGTTCTCCAGGGAGATTTAAGATGAAATAGTACCAACCAAAGATGCACCATGACCGCCATCCTGCCTGCCAGAGATTCTCCAGGGAAGTTCCCTTCTCCAGTCACTGGACATCTAGCAAACATGTTAGCTCAGAACGAGGAGAATCCCATCTTGGAATTGCATTATGTGTAGCTCAGCAGCACAAATGAGTTAAGAAAAGTTGACTTATAGAATATTTTACTCCTATTCATTAGTTTTAAAAAAAAGTTAACAGAAAGTACAAATAAACCATAAGACTGTTTTTAAATGGGCAAAAGACTTGAACAGATGCTTCATCGAATAATATGCACCAATGGCCCCTGAGCATGTGAAGTGCTCAACTTCGTAAGTCATCAGGGAAATAGCATTCCCGAAAGCAAAAGCATTGAAAAGCCTAATGTTTTGAGGATATAAAGCAGCTCAAATAATCAAATATTGCTGGTAGGAGTAGAAAATGATAGATTCATTTTGGAGGACAGTTTGTTAGTCTCTTATGAAGTTAAACAACACCTGCCTTATGATCCACCATTCCCCTCCTAGCTATTAATCTGTGAGAAATGAAAATATGCCCACAGAAAGACTTGCTCAAGAATGTTCATAGCAGCCTTATTCATAACAGCCAAAAGTAGAAACAACCCAACGTCTACCTCAGGAGGATGGATAAACAAATTGTGACATATTCATACTATGGAATATCGCTCAGTAATAAAAAGGAAGCAGCTGGCTGGGCACAGTGGCTCATGCCTGTAATCCCAACACTTTGGGAGGCCGAGGCCGGCGGATCACGAGGTCAGCAGATCAAGACCAGCCTGGCCAACATAGTGAAACCCCATCTCTACTAAAAATACAAAAATTAGCTGGGTGTGGTGGCACATGCCTGTAATCCCAGCTACTTGGGAGGCTGAGGCATGAGAATCGCTTGAACACAGGGGCGGAGGTTGCAGTGAGCCGAGATCGCGCCACTGCACTCCAGCCTGGCGAAAGAGCAAGACTCCGTCTCTAAATAAATAAATAAATATAAAAAAGGAAGAAGCTACTGCGACAAGCCCTACATGGATGAGTTTCATACACATGATGTTGAGTGAAAGCAGCTAGCCCCTGAAAGTACTTATTGTGTAGTTCCATTTATTTGATGTTCCACAACAGGTACATCCAATTCATGGTGATAGAAATCAGGACAGCAATTGCCTAAGAGGGTTAACTGGAAAGAAACATGAGAAAACCCTCTGGAGTGGCAGCAATGTCCTATATCCTGAGAACTGTGTTGAGTACACAGGTGTATACACTTACCAAAATACATTTATCTGTGACCCAAAATCCATGCATCTCAATATATGTAAATTTCACTTCAATTAAAAAAAATGTAAAAAGTGAGGGGCAGATGTGATGACTTAAGGGACAGTGTCTGGAGCCCAATGAGAAGAGCCAGGATTTCAGGGCTAAAGCGTTTGACTCTAGTGTTTTAGGGCCCTGGGGAGCCATGGGAGGTGTTGAAACAGGTTGCAGGAGGACCTGGCTCAGTATTGCCATGTGTTCCGGGCACACTGTGGCTCCCTCAGCTCAGCTCTGCTGCTTTGGTGGCTGAGTCAGCTTAGCCCCCAGTGTCTGGGCTTTCTCATCTGCCTCCTCCTTCCTGCAACACCTTGGAAAGCTTGTCTCTGAGGAGAGGCTCAGCTGGAGGCAGGGCACCCTTGGCACCCCTCTTCCCCCAACCGTCCCCAGCCCCCGGGGGACCAGGAGTGAAGAGCCTCCCCCACAGCCACAGCCCCTGCTTTCCTAAGCAGAGCGCGACGGAGGCTTCTGTTAAATCTCATTTGGAGTGTTACCGCCAGCCCAGCGCCCGCTCAGACTTTCTCCTCGCTCAGCGTGGGTGATGACTCACTGCGGGGGAGGAGGCGAGAGGCGCCTGCTCTGCCCAGGGAGGTCGGCTGCAGCTGTGGGAAGAAAAGCTGCCCATCCCTGCGGCGATGTGGGGTTTCCGCTCCCAAACTGTCTGCTTTCTATTCCATCCAGGCAGGATGAAGGAACAGAAAGGGCTTGAATTTTAGGGACAGACCAAGCTGGAGGACATCCTATGCAAGCCTCAGATTCCACATCTGTAAAATGGAGCGGAGGCACCTTAAGGCTTTGGGTACACGTCAGTTATTGGAAGGCTGCTCTTTACGGGAACGTGTGGGTGGGAAAGCAGGATATGGAAGGGTAGTTGGCTGAGCACTGAAGCAGCCTCAAGTAAGTTTGGCTTTGGTCTGACCCACTGGGGGCTATAGAATTGGTCATACCCCATTAAATTGTTCCTGCCCCAGCTGAGATACGGGCAACCTTTTGCACCCCCATGTCAGTCATTAATATGGGATGCTCTTGGAGGCTCCCAACCGTGTATGCTCCTGTTAACAGAGACAGGAGAATGGGGACAGCTGCGAGCTATTACACAGCTGGAGGCTAGGCACACTGGCTTAGTTCTGCAGCCCCAACGGCGACTCCTACAGGAGGTAAAATACCCACTGCCCAGAACTTACGTTGAGTTCACAAAATACGCAGTGAAGAAATAGTAACTCTATTTCAGCTGCATGAGAAAGACGACTTAGGAACATAAATGCATGTGTCCTGCCTACTGTAGATCGAACAGGGTTGGACCCAGAGCAGGCTGAGAATCTAGTCTATGTGTCTCAGCAGGAGCAATAGCAAACATACTTAAGAGCCAGAGGCTGGCAGAGCAGCTGAGGCCTGGAAGCTCCCTTTAGTTCCTGGATCATAAGGAAGTTTGGGGTGACCAAGGAAGGTGGTTGGGGTAGTGGTGGGAGGCCCTCAGGGACTTGGGACAATGGCTGCCTACCATCTGGTGTCACCAGCTTGCCTATCATTCTGCCTTACTTCCATGCACCTGGAAATGTTTGTGCACACCTATCCTGAGCCAGACCATGTATCTCAAGGGAGATTTGGTCACCGGCCTACACCCTTTCCCTGTCTACTACGTGCAACTTGAGAATTGGCCACTGGGCATTACCTGGTCTATCCAACACATTAGTCGGTTTTGGATGGGGCTTTCCAGAAACTGAGTTAGAAATGTCCCTGGGATGTCACTATCTCCTGCTAAAAGCCGACTGTACTTCATGGAAGGAAAGAATGCTGACTTTGGAGTCAGACAGACCTGTGTTTGAATCCAGCTCTGCCATTTGTGGGCTGTGTGATCTCGCTCCAGTTGCTCTTCCTTTCTGAGCCTCAGCTTCCTGCTGAGAACATGGATAAACTATGATGCCTGCTCAGAATGGTTACTAGAAGTGTGTCCAGAATTGGTGGGTTCTTGGTCTCACTGACTTCCAGAATGAAATCACGGACGCTCACGGTGACTGTTACAGTTCTTAAAGGCAGCGTGTCCGGAGTTTGTTCCTTCAGATATTCAGATGTGTTTGGAGTTTCTTCCTTCTGGTGGGTTCAGTGGTTTCGCTGGCTCAGGAATGAAGCTGCAGACCTTCACAGCGAGTATTACAGCTTTTAAGGCGGCGCATCTGGAGTTGTTCCTTCTTCCTTGCAGGTTCGTGGTCTCCCTGGCTGCAGGAGTGAAGCTGCAGACTTTCACAGTGAATGTTACAGCTCATAAACGCAGTGCGGACCCAAAGACTTAGCACTTGCAAGATTTACTGTAGAGAGTATAACAACAAAGCTTCTACAGCGTGAAAGAAGACCCAAGCAGGTTGCGACTGCCGGCTCAGGCTGCCTGCTTTTTTCTCTTATCTGGCCCCACCCACATCCTGCTGATTGGTCCATTTTACAGAGAGCCGATTGGTCTGTTTTACAGAGAGCTGATTGGTCCGTTTTGACAGGGTGCTGATTGGTGCATTTACAATCCCTCAGCTAGACACAAAAGTTCTCCACTTCCCTACTAGATTAGCCAGATACACAATGTGAATTGGTGTATTTACAAACCCTGAGCTAGACACAAAGATTCTCCAAGTCCCCACCAGATTAGCTAGATACAGAGTGCCGATTGGTGCATCCACAAACCCTGAGCTAGACACAGGGTGCTGATTGGTGTGTTTACAAACCTTGAGCTAGGTACAGGGTGGTGATTTGTGTATTTACAATACCCTAGCTTGACACAAAGGTTCTCCAAGCCCCCACCAGACTCAGGAGCCCAGCTGGCTTCATCCAGTGGATCCCACACAGGGGCCGCAGGTGGAGCTGCCTGCCAGTCCTGCCCTGGGGCGTCTGCACTCCTCAGCCCTTGGGTGGTGATGGGACCTGGTGCCCTGGAGCAGGGGGCGGCGCTCGTAGGGGAGGTTCAGGCATGAAAGGCTGCAGGTCCCGAGCCCTGCCCCGCGGGGAGGCAGCTAAGGGTCGGTGAGAAATCGAGCGCAGCAGCGGTGGGTCTGCACTGCTGGGGGACCCAGCGCACCCTCCGCAGCTGCTGGCCCGGGTGCTAAGCCCCTCACTGCCTGGGGCCGGCGGGCCTGTCCGAGTGCAGGGCCCGCCAAGCCCACGCCCACCCGGAACTCTAGCTGACCCACAAGCGCAGCGCGCAGCCCCGGTTCCCGCCCGTGCCTCTCTCTCCTGTCCCGCTGCACCTCCCCGCAGGTTGAGGGAGTCGGCTCCGGCCTCAGCCATGCCAGGAAGGGGCTCCCACAGTGCAGCGGCAGGCTGAAGGGCTCCTCAAGCGCTGCCAGAATGGGTGCCGAGGCTGAGGAGGCACCAAGAGCGAGCGAGGGCTACGAGGGCTGCAAGCACGCTGTCACCTCTCAGGAGGACTGAAAGCCTGTCATATATTGTGTTTAGCAGCAGATAGTGGGCCCTTGATAAATGTTAGCTTCCCCCCCTTTTTCTTTTCTGAAGTGATTCCACTTTCATAGGTTCACCATTCACACTAGAGGGGCAGGCTTCTCCTGCTTCTAGATCCTAATGGACCCTTTTAGTCTCTGGGGAGGAATCCCTTATCCTGTCAGTTTCAGGCCCCAGTTCCAGGAACTGTACCACAGAGGCTTAATTGCTTCCTAAGAAATAGACATAGCTATTGTTACGGGATTCTTAGGGTGTCGCTTCGCCGGCTGGAAACCTCTGTGGCCAGTGTGGCGCCTTTGCCTGCATTTTGCTCTGGCCCATTTGGCTTGCTTTGCCCCCTGAGCCTGGAGGGCTGCACTTGGCTCGCACTACTGGCCTGCATCTCAAGGGTGAGCCAGGTGTGGAACGGTGAGGGGTGTGTGAGCGAGTGTGGGGTCTGGCCACTGTGCACAGCCAGGCATAGCCACTGTGGTGGGGCAGGCAACTCCAGATGCTGGCATAGGTGCAGGGTCCCTGTGAGGCTGCAGCTGGACCAGGCATACCATAAGCAGCTTCCATGGCTGACACTGGGGAATGCAGTGGTGGTGGCTGGAAGCTTGGAGACACCAGGAACCTCAGAGCCCTAAAAAGGGGGTCACAGCCCTGGCTCAGGGAGCTCCTAGGTCTAGGCTCCCCAAAGGGTCACAGCTCTTCTCTCCTTCTGGTCACCCACAATGTGATGAGCAAGAGGCATGTTTCAGCCCTGTTTGTGTTACAGCTCTTCTTGCCCTGCCATTTGGCAGGTCCCAAGTTCTTGTCTTGTGTCCAAGAAGAATGAGGTACGCAGACAAGTGGAGGAGCAAGATGAAAAGGAGTTTTATTGAGTGATGGAACAGCTCAGAGGAGACCCACTCAGAGGAGACCTGCAGTGGGTAGCTCCTCCCTATAGCCAGGGTGTCCTGAAGAGTGTTCAGCTCCTAGCAGAGAGAGTAGCTGCTCTCTGCAGGTAGGTTGTCCAGACGAGTGTTCAGCTCTCAGCAGAGAGGGTAGCTGTTCTTTGCAGGCAGCTCATCCCAACAAGTGTTCAACTGTCAGCAGAGGGGATCCTGGGGTGAGTAGCTCCTCTCTGCAGCTGGCTGTACTGTTGTCTCCTGGGTCTGGCTGAGTCCAAGGCTTTCTATGGGCCTCAGAGGGGAGGATGTGCGTGCAGGTTGGTACATGGGAGGCCACAGGTGGGTCCAGAAAAGGCACCACAAGTTCCCACTCCAGTCCACAGGACTGGAAGTCTGGCCTCCAGGCATCAGGCCCTACCAGCTTGAGGGTGGGGCTTCACCAGGGACCCACCCCCTTGACACTGGAGCCTGTCCGCCTCCTGCTGCCATTCATAGTGCCCAGGCTGTTTGTTCCAAGGTGAACAAGCCCGGATGGGCTGCAACAGTGCCCTAGCTCAGCCCCATACTTATTCTGAGATCAGAGTGGGGCACTGGGAGTAGACAGTGGGAGCAGACATCTCTGAGCCTGCAGGGACAGGGGTGACAGAGAGTGCAGAGATGCCTGGGCTTGCAGGCGTTGCTGGGAGTGTGCAGCTGCGCCCAGGAGGGCAGTGCTCCTGCCTGCTCTCGGCTCCCTATGGCTCCGTGGAGTAGCAGCACTGCCCCAGGCCCAGCTCTGCCCTCTCTGTCCACCCCTCAGTGCCCAACCACACTGCTTCCCTGCCAGTAGGTCACTCAGACTAGCTCCATTGTGGCAGCTCCCAGGGTGGCGGGCTCCGGGAGGCTCCTGGAGGCAGGCTCTGGGGACTGCCTGCCTCCTCTCCGCATTTTCCCATGGGTGGTGGTGGGCGAGGTGCAGGTGGTACGGTGGCCCTGGCCAACCCTGCACAAATGAACCCAATGCATTTGGGGCCGGCTTCACGAGTCCCGGCTGCGCCTTCCACTGGGTGCTCACAGGCTCCCGAGACGCGGCAGAGAGTGAGGTTGAGGCCGTGGTGGAGGCTCCAGGCCTGGGAGCAGGTCCTGTCCAGCTGTGTGAGGGTGCAGGTGGCACAGTCGGCTGCTTTGGGGACACAGGGCACACCACCGCTGCTCTAGCAGCTGCTCCTGCAGCCAGCGTGATAGCAGTGGCTGCTCCGTACGGCCCGCCACGGTCATCACTATTAGATGAGCGCCCTCTTTGTGCCCCATTCAGCTGCTCCTTTCTTAGAAAGATGACCTGGCCATTGGGGGTGGGCCTTTGCCAGTAAGCTCTGTCCTTTCTTTGGAATCCTGAAGGGTTGGTGAGGAGCTTTACTTGGAACCTGCTGTCAGAGATGCAGACTTCAAAGGGGCTGGTGGGACAAGAATGTAGTGGACACAGGGTGGGGCGTGGCCTGGGGGTGAAGGGCAGATGCCTCAGGAGGCGCTTGGAGGCCGGAGGCTGGTCAGGGCTCGAGGCCAGACATGCAGGCTCCCCGTCTGGGCTTTTGGCTGTGCTGAGATGGGCAGGGCTTGGTGGGGATGCTGCCATATCTGGAAAATAGCTCTGGCAGCCCGTGGGGGCAGCCAGCCACGTTCCCGCATGTGTCCACACCACATTGTGCTGTCATAGCTTCCCCGAGCTGTAAACAGACGTCCTCCCACCGGAAGCGTGCTTTTCTCCTGTCTCTTGGACAAGGTGGCATTTTCCAAAGCTTGGTCACATCAAAACCAGTTCTTATCAGGAGGGATCAGATCATTTTTCTTCCTTTTAGAGCATGATCACACCCAGGGGATAGACTTCGTTAATTGTTTTGTGAAAACTTGGCATTTGGATACTTCCTAATGGTTTTTTTTGTGCGTAGTTCTGGAAGCAACACACACACATACACGTACAAACATATAAACATTTACATATCTATAAGGATTTATATATAATTGTATATTCATAGTATCCTGTTGAATTATGATTACAGTACAATGAAATGAGTAAATCTTAGGTGTATGGCTTGATGAATTTTTACCTCTGTTTATACTGCTGTAACCCCTGCCAAGATCAAGGAGTAGAACATTTCCATCTCCCCAGAAAGTTCCCTGTGCAACTTCGTAGTAAATAGCCATTACCCACCACCTACTACAAAGCAACTGCCATCTGGCTTTTATCACTCCAATTCAGTTTTGCCTGTTTTTGAACTTTGTGTAATGGGATCATAGTCTAAAGTCTTTTGTGTCTAATTTGTTTATGTATGTATGTATGTATGTATGTATGTATGTATGTATGTATGTATGTATGTACTTATTTAGAGACAGGGTCTCACTCTGTTGCCCAGGCTGGATGCAGTGCCCTGATCATAGTTCACTGCAGCCTTGACCTCCCAGGCTCAGGCGATCCTCCTACCTCAGCCTCCCGAGTAGCTAGGACCATAGGCATGTGCCACCACACCTGGCTAATTTTTGCTTTTTGTTTTTTTGTAGAGGCAAGGTTTCACCACATTGTCCAAGCCGGTTTCAAACTCCTGGGCTCAAGTGATTTGCCTGCCTCAGCCTCCCAAAGTGCTGGGACTACAGGCGTGAGCCACCATGCGCAGCCTGTGTCTAGTTTCTTTCACTCATCGATAACGTTACTTGAAATTCATCCACGGTGTTGCATTTTTCAGTAACCATTTTTTTTAATTGCTGAATAGTATTGGATTATATGACTATACCACAATTTGTTTATACAGTTTCCCACTGATGGACAAGAGCCAATTTAGTTTAAGCATAAGATGTAGGGAATATTGAATTTCAGTAAACACGATGTCAGGGATGAATGGAGGGAAACTTAGAGATCATCTGTCTAAACTTTCTTATTTTGCACATGAGGCCCAGAGAAGGAAACTGACTAGTCCAAAGTCACACAGGTTTGTCAGGTCAGAACTAAGGCCAAATCAAGTCTTCTACTTCTCTGGCCAGTTGGGGCTGTTTATCTCCCCCTCTCCATATCTCACCGTATCTCTTAATCAGATGTGAACAAGTTAATCCTTTACTTCCTAAAAGGATTTCTACAGTTTTTCTTTTCTTTTCTTTTTTTCAGATGGGGTCTCACTCCTGTTACCCAGGCTGGAGTGCAGTGGTGCAATCACGGCTCACTGCAGCCTTGACTTCCTGGGCTCACGTGATCCTCCCACTCTTAGCCTACTGAGTAGCTGGGACCACAGGCAAGCACCACCAAGCCCGGCTAATTTTCTGTACTTTTAGTAGAGATGGGGTTTTGCCATGTTGCCCAAACTTACAGTTTTTCTATGTATACAATCCCCCAAGAGTATATAATACAATTTACTTCCAAGGTGTCAAAGACTTGTCTATTATGAAGTGAGATGGATTTACGAATGTTCATAAAAGAGAAAAACATAATTCACAAGAAACAATCTGTTTGTACCAAGGTCTGACATGCCAGAAAACACAATATAGGGTTAAGTATTTCTCAGGTAGCCTTGCAAAGATGCTAGAAGTCTACCAGCCCCAAGATATCATTCCAGGAGTGATTTCCTTTATTTCTATCTTTTTACTGCAATAGAAAAGCTGCAGAAATTCAAACGGATCTGGGTTCAAATCTTGGCTCAGACCTTTTGTAGCTGTGTCACCTTGGACAAGTGACCACGTCTCTGAGCCTCAGTTTCCCCCTCTGTAAACTGAAGATGATAATAGCGTCTGTCTTACAATGGTGTTGGGGAACACATTTCCTGGCATGCAGTGGATACTTAATACATCATTCTTGGTTATAAATTTGGATTTACAGCCTAGAGTGGCTTGAAGACGGGGGCAGCTCTGGCAGAAGCAAAGGTAGGGAAGTGAGAGTCGGGGTTGGGGTGTGTGGGAGGCCATTTTCTTCCTATGAAGTTTGAAATTTTCCTTGGCAAGAGCCTCATGCCTTTCAGGTCTCTGGCATCTGGCCTTGTCTGTCTGCATAGATTTCCCTGGGCTCCTATCTCAGAAACAGAGGCCAGGAAAAGGGCAAGGCTTATGTGGTGCAGAGGTCATGGAGCTGGGCCTTGGTGGTCACACGGCCTTGGAGTGGAGCCCCAGCCTGGTGCTGAGCCTGCGGAAGGCTGAGCGACAAGAACAAGAGAAAGGCCCTAAGTAGGTAACTGCCATGTTTTCATGGACTTTTCAAGACCTCGGGAGACCCGCTAGAATGGGGCCTCAAGATTTGGGGTGTCTGGAGCAGAGGATGGAGTGGGCTCACTGGGCAAGCATGGGTTGAGATCCCTGCTTCCTCATCAACTACCTGTGTGGCCTTGAGTGAGTCGTTTTCACCCACTGAGCCTCAGTTTCTTCCTCTGCAAAATGCAGAGTCATTTCTATTGGGAGATTTCAAGGATCCAACGGGACAACAATGGGAGGATGGCGAAAAGTCATTTCCCTGGTCTGGCTGATGGCTGAGAAGTCACCAGCCACAACTCATTGACCTGCTAAGTTACTGAAGCTCCCCCAATCCCAGATCCTGGGCAAGCCGGGCAGTTTCCATAGGCATCCCCATAATTCACCTCCTGTCCAGCCCCAGAGCAAGGTGACAAGCTCAGCACATGTGATGGAAGAACATGGCTGTTGTTCTCCCATGCGAAATGACTTTGGAATTTCCTGGTGGCCTTTGTCTCTGGGACTTTCCTCGTGGCCAGATATTGTTTGCTGAGAGCCCTGAACCATGCCTTCCCCTCTCTGAGTTTCTGTCGCTTTAACTTTAAATGGGATAATCAAAGCACAAGTATTAGAAGATTATTGTGAGGATTAAATGGAGTAATGATTGCAAAGCACTGAACAGAGCCTGGTTAAGTGCAGTAGTTAAGAGAATGGGCCCAGGATTCAGGCTGGGTTCAAATCCCACCTCTACCATTTCCTGGCTGTGTTAACTTGGGAAACTGCTTAAGTTTTGGGCCTCCATTTCCTTATCTGTAAACTACAGATATGACTGGAATCCATTTTATGGAGTGGTTGGATAGCACTGAGATAACAGATGTGAAAAAATAAAATGACTGGAGGCTAACAAAAATTCTTAAGTAGTAGGATGCAGACATCATCTGGGTGGGTGACAATGGTTAAGAATTCTCTATTCTTCAATTTTGCTGTCTACCAATCACAGCAATATCATTGAGCTTTAATCAGTTACAGCAATAGAACTGAATTTCAGTAATACTCTAGCAGCCTTTTTTTTCTTTTTAAAATTATTCTGTTTCTGGAACATGAAAAAGTGTTTTTTCTTTTTTTTTGGAGACAGAGTCTCGCTCTGTCGCCAGGCTGGAGTGCAGTGGAATGATCTCGGCTCACTGCAGCCTCCTCCTCCCGAGTTCAAGCAATTCTCCTGCCTCAGCCTCCCAAGTAGCTGGGACTACAGGCGTGTGCCACCACAACCGGCTAATTTTTGTATTTTTAGTAGAGACAGGGTTTCACCATGTTGGCCAGGATGGTCTTGATCTCCTGACCTCATGATCCACCCACCTCGGCCTCCCAAAGTGCTGGGATTACAGGCGTGAGCCACTGCGCCCGGCCACTGAAAAGATTTAATCTGTTGCGTCCAATGCAGTCATAGACCGGCCATGTGAACCTGAGCAAGTCACTTCCTCTCTGTGGACCTCACTTTCCTCCTCTGTAAGATGAGGATAATTATGCCAACCTTGCGGGGTTTCTCTGACGGTGATATGGGACCCTGGGGGCCCAATTCCCAGCCCACCCTCTGGCCCAGGATCTGCTTCCCACACCCTATGGTTTCCTGGCTTGCCATTGTGCTCTATAGTTGCCATGGCAGGAAAATTCTGGCTCCAGGGCATTTTGACAACTCACTGCCATTAATGCAAAGTTGGTGTGTGCTTATTCTGCAGGCTGTCTGCACGTGGACCTAAGGATGAGGACTGGGAGCGGGGCTGGGTTTCAGGAAACCATCAGGATTCCTGGCTCCTCCAGCCATCAGGAAACCTGGCAAAGGAGGCCTGCTCCAGGGAAAGGCAAGGCGTCTGGGCTTTGGTGTCAGACAGACCTGGGCTTGATCTCAGTCTTGTTCTTTTAAATATGCGTGCCATTGGGCAATCCCTTTGATCCTCAATAACAAAGTAACAACAGTGTTTACCTCTAAGCATTACTAGGGCACTGTGTTTGTGCCCAGTAAGTGTTGTCTTCTATTATTGCTGTTAGAGATAAAGATGGGCCTGACATGGTTTATTGACCGAATAATGAATGCCCCAGCAGAGTGAGCAGAGCCAAGACTTCCCTCTCATAGTTCTTCACCAGGCTTTAAGGAGTGGAGTAGGACGTGAGTTAACACATTGACATCTCATGATATCAATCAAGTGCTTAGCAAGTAGTAGGTGCTCAATAAATGCTAATTCTTGCTCCCCCAACCTCACACAGGCAGGTCTGAGAAGACCTCAGAACTTCTTTGGGCATGGCAGTCATCATTTTCTTCTGCTCAGTCCTTTAGGAAATTTAAGGGCTCATGGTCTCCTTCAAACTTCATTGTGGCCTGGGACGGAAGGAAACTTACCAGGGAGACTTTCAGCGGCTTCGCCAATGTGGCAGAGGTGGAAAGCGATAACAACTGTGTCCACTCTGTTTCCCATCCATCATTCATTCATCCAAGGAATATTCTTAAGCACTGTCAACTGAAGAATGATGAGGTTCACACATGTGGAAAGGAGATCTTTATTTATCATAAACAGAGGCAGCCTGCAGGCCAGCCATCCCATAGGCTGGGCAGCATGGCCTCTGGCTCTGCAGAGAGCAAGCAGTTTGAGGGAAGGGTAAAGGGAACAGGAACTTATGCTGAGTGAGACGGCTGAATATACACACGTAACCAGCGACCGGAGGAGCCATGAATACTGATGAAAGGAGAAACATGCACATGCGTGGTCCAGCTTCATGCCTCTTCTTGGGTTGCATGTCCAAACAATACCAGGGTTAGTATGATCCTCAAGGGTGGAATTTTTGGTCCTCAGACATCAAAAGGTGAAGCAAAGGACGTGAAAACCCTCACGCACATCCTCCAGAGGGTGGCCAAAACTGGCCCAGAGATGGTCACTGGCCGTTTCTTTTCTTTTTTTTTTTCTTTCTTTTTTTTTTTTTTAAAGCTGGAGGGTGGTCAGTTTTTAGGAAGGGATACCATTATGAAGCTGGTGAGCTTTCATGTCAAAACTGCAAAGGGGAAGAGGGAGTCTGGTCATGGCCTCATTGGCATGGTCACGATTGGCTGAAGGTAATAAAGGAATGAGTCGTCTGTTTCTTGTTTTCCAAATCTGCTTACTCCTTACGAAGGAATTCTGGTTAAAAGTCAGTAAGTAAGGGGCATACTGAGATGTGTTTGGCCTCCTGTCCCATCATGGCCAGGAACTTGGTTTTTAAGGTTTCTCCTGGGTCCCCTTGGCCAAGAGTGGGTCTGTTCAGTCCGTTGTGGGGCTTAGGATTTGATTTTTAGTTCTCAGCACCTACTATGCACTCTGAGCAAAAGTGGTTCAGAGGACAGACTCTTCTCTGCCTGGGGAGTTTATAGCCTAGTCAGGAGTGAGATAGGAATAAATAACTATACCAAAAGTTTCTTAATCACAAGGCCATTAAGTGCTGAGAACGGGAAGTGCAGGGAGTGGCTAGAGTGTCCAACAGGGTGACCCAGCCTCCTCTAAGTGGTCAGGGAAGACCTCCCTGTGGAGGCTCATCTTGAGCTCCCCTGAGAGCAGAGCCTGGAGCAGAGACCTAGGTGCGGGAGTTTATTTGGGAGCGAACGCGGGGAGCAGCAGGGGAGGAGTGGGGAGGTGACACCAGGCATGAGGAAAGCCAGCATAAAGGTTGCAATCACGGTCGTTCCTGTGGGCAGCTGGACTGGCTATGCCTGCGACCACCTGACGAAGGGACAGACGGCCTTCTGGTAGTGTCCATGCAAAGGGACAAGGGACATCACCAAGGGAGGCCCATGCACCTCTCCCAGTGTGCTTCCAGTCAAAGGAACCTAATGGCAGTCGTCCAGCCCATCCAGAGTTCAGGCCCAGATGAGTCAGCTGCATCAAGTGACATTTTCAATGCAACTGTGGAGGGCCTTAGGGGAGTATTCCAGGCAGAGGGACAGCTCCCGATTCACCTGCCTGTAAGAGGGACGGCTCATCTGCCACAGCCTGGCCTGGGCGATTCTGCTGGCCCCCCCATCTTGGAGTAGAATCGTTTCCTGGAATAGTACATCTTCCGGACCCCACCCCACGCTGCACAACTCAGAGTGTCAGCTGGAGCCCTTTCTCCATGGAGTGCCTCCTCCGAAGGTCTGACAAAGGCAGGCAGGGGTGTCAGTGAGGAGGTGTGTAGAAGTGCTCCTTTCTCCTCCGCCGTGGTCTTCCTGCCTCCCAGACAAGCTTCAGAAGGCAGGAAATCTCTAGACCACCTATGGAAGACAGAAGGCTGCCTGGGCCTGGGGTTTGGGTCATGTGAGCCAGCTCTAGAAAGCCTTTTGGTGCCCACAGAAACCCCCAAAAAAGGAATGCATGGCATAACTCTAATGAAATTTAGGAAGCCCGAGGCATTCCCCACCCTTGTCTACTCTCCCTGAACTATCCTGTGCACCAGGCTGACAGCTTCTGGCCAGGGGCCAAGTCCAGGGGCTGGAGGGAAGATGCCTGCAGGGAGGTGGTAAGCTGCATTTTGTTCCCTCCCAAATGACATAGACAGAGCAGTGGCCGGGAGTGAGGAGATCTGGTTAAAGGCCCAGTGACTCCTTGAGCCATTATTGCAAAAAGACCTAAGCCAATCTGAAATGCACAACTCCAGGCTCTCCTTGGTGGCCAGCGGTGTTAGCCAACAATTAGCAGTGAATGAGGACCTGCCGCTTCCCCTAGTCTTGCTACCAGGTTCACATGAAAGCAAGTTGTGGACAGAATTCTGCCCCCACAAAGACATTTAGTAGGCAACTGTTATGAGCAAGCAGGTCCCAGACAGTTCATGCAACATGTATTTATTAAACTCAGCAGATTCAAGGCAGACGTAAGAATATTCCAGAGTCACATTCTGTGACTGTTACAGGCCACATCAGGCAACCAGAATCACTTTTTTGAGATGGAGTCTTGCTCCGTTGCCCAGGCTGGAGTGCAGTGGCATAATCTTGGTTCATTGCAACCTCCACCTCTCGGGTTCAAGAGATTCTCCTGCTTCAGCCTCCTGAGTAGCTGGGATTACAGGTGCATGCTACCATGCCCTGCTAAGTTTTTTTTTTTTTTTCAGACGGAGTCTCGCTCTGTTGCCCAGGCTGGAGTGCAGTGGCACGATCTCGGCTCACTGCAAGCTCCGCCTCCTGGGTTCACGCCATTCTCCTGCCTCAGCCTCCCAAGTAGCTGGGACTACAGGCGGCTGCCACCACGCCCAGCTAATTTTTTGTATTTTTTAGTAGAGATGGAGTTTCACCATGTTGGTTAGGCTGGTCTCAAACTCCTGACCTCAAGTGATTTGACTGCCTCGGCCTTCCAAAGTGTTGGGATTACAGGCGTGAGCCACTGTGCCCGCCAGAATCACCCTTAACCAGTGGCTGGACCCAGGACCTACCAGGGAGCAGCCTGAAGTGCCATCCCTGGGGCTTGCTGGATTCTTACACCTAATTTGTGCCAGGGGAGGAAGTGCCTCTAAAATATTTTAACCGAGCTGTGTATTCTGAATCCCACTAATTTTATCAACAAGTGCCTGTTTCCAGCATCCATTAAGCTGGCTAACAAGCCACTGATTTCACCTCTGAAAACTCATTTATTTTTAACAGTCATTATGCTAATCAACCGAGCCACTGGTGTTGATCAGCACTAAAGACAAATGAAACCCTTGTCCTCGTGGCTTCTGGAGCCAGTGAAGCTGATACTGCAGTGAAAATGGCAGCTGGCCGCACCTGGACTGTGAATTCTAGGAGAGGCAACTGACTACGCTGGAGTCATAGCAAAAAATCAAGAACACATGTCTATATCACATCATCTTCTCTGAAGCATTCTCAGCTTCACTTTGGACATCGTGGTGGTGAGATTCTGACAGTCAACTCTGCCACTGGCCCTCATGTCCCCATCTCTAATGTGCCTACTACCCCATGCCCTTGGAACAGCCTCCTGCTCTGGGGCAGAATCTGGGGTGAGGTTGTTCTGGGCTCCCTATGGATGACACTGGGGATGACTCTGGTCATTTTCTAATGCCTCCCTTTGTTGAGAGATCTCAGGGTGATTATCCTCAGAAAAAATGTGCCTGTTCGGTTGCGGTGGCTCACGCCTATAATCCCAGCACTTTGGGAGCCTGAGGCAGGAGGATCATGAGGTCAGGAGCTTGAGGCCAGCCTGGCCAACATGGGGAAACCCTGTCTCTACTAAAAATACAAAAGTTAGCCGGGCGTGGTGGTGTGTGCCTGTAATCCCAGCTACTCAGGAGGCTGAGGCAGGAGAATTGCTTGAACCCAGGAGGCGGAGGTTGCAGTGAGCCGAGATCGCACCACTGCACTGCAGTCTGGGTGACAGAGCAAGACTCTATCTTGGAAAAAAAAAAAAGAAAGAAAAACATGCCTGTTTGCTGCCAGCAGAACCAGTTCTTACCTCTAAACACTCTTTTGTCCAACTGATCATTAATTTATTTGTTAACAAGTTATTTTGGGGAGGGATTTCCATGTCTGTGCTAGGGCTAATTTTCTAGCACAGTGTTGGAGCTCAGTAAATATTGAATGAGTGCATGAAGGATGACAGGAAGGGAGAAAGGGACTGGGGGCTGTGTGCAAGGGAAGCAGCAGCATGGTGTGCCTGCAAGGCGGCTGTCCATCTTGCAGAGACACCAGCCCTGCCCTCCAAAGGTTCCCTCAGCCTCTCCATCTTCATGCTTCTCCCAGGTTGGTGTTGAGCCCTTTGAGAGAGGCTGAATTAAGTGCTAGGCTCCCTTCACTGCCTAAATGCCCTGTGAGAGCTGCGCCAAGCAGCAGATTGCTAGAGTGTGAGGCTGTTTTCATTGTCTGACTCGCTTGGGAGCAGGTGGTTCATTTCTGAAAAGCTGAGGCTTAGTGAGTTTTCATGGATGGAGGGGACAGAGAAGGAAACAAGACAGACTGACAGACACAGAGAGCCACAGCCAGCTGATATGTGCTGAGCACTCAATCCATGCCAGGCATGCTGTTAGGCCCTAGGAATTCAGTGGTGTAACAGACAGACTCAGGCCCTGCCCTCAGGGAGCTTAAAGTCTAGAACAGGGGTTGGCAAAGTCCAGCCTGTGGGCTGATTCTGGCCTGCTTGGAACACAGCTGTGCTCATTTGTTTGAGTGTTGTCTAGGGTTGATTTCACTCATTTGTCTGAGTGTTGTCTAGGGTTGATTTCACTCATTTGTCTGAATGTTGTCTAGGGTTGATTTCACTCATTTGAGTGTTGTCTAGGGTTGATTTCACTCATTTGAGTGTTGTCTAGCGTTGATTTCACTCATTTGTCTGAGTGTTGTCTAGGGTTGATTTCACTCATTTGTCTGAGTGTTGTCTAGGGTTGATTTCACTCATTTGTCTGAGTGTTGTCTAGGGTTGATTTCACTCATTTGAGTGTTGTCTAGGGTTGATTTCACTCATTTGTCTGAGTGTTGTCTAGGGTTGATTTCACTCATTTGTCTGAGTGTTGTCCAGGGTTGATTTAACTCATTTGTTTGAGTGTTGTCTAGGGTTGATTTCACTCTGTGGCAGAGATGAGTAGTTGCAACAGGGACTGTGTCACCTATAAAACCTAAAATACTTACAGTCTGGCCCTTTCTAGAAAAAGTGTGCTGACCTGTGGTGTAGAGGCCAAGCAGATACAAGCAGCCAGAAGCAGAAAGAAGAGTGAAGTCAAAACGCACACAGAAAATGAGAGAGAGAGAAGGAGCCCCCCAAAATATGTGAGGTGGGAAGGCTGCAGTTCCCACAAATATTTCCATTTGTCATCCTTCACCATGACAAAACTCCACCATCAGTGGCTTATTCCTTAGGGATAAGCATTGCTTTCACAAATATTCCCCTGAAAAGAGTTCTTCTTCCTCGATTTATACCCTGAGTATGGAGTAGCTGAAGAGATCATTCTGGAGGCAGACAGGGCTGCTGAAGATTTCCAAAAGCCAGGACGGAGGGAGAGGGAAGGGCTGGGCCTTATGGATGGGAGGTGTCTGGGTAGGGCAGAGCACCACAGCCTGCAAAAACAATTGTGTTGTTTGTCCAAGATGAGCCAGTGGTAGGGTGTGTCTCTGAGCTGCTCTGCAGTTTCTCAAGGGTGGGATTCTATTTATGACCAAAGAAGTCACTCACCGCCTAAGGGCAGAGTTGTGATTCCTCTTCCATCCCTGACATTGGGCAGCGTCGGCTCTTGGGGGTGCATAGGTATGTGTGTGCATGCACTGGTGTGTGTATCAGGAGGGAGCCACATTTTGCAGTGAAGGGGGTTCAGTTGATATAATTTGGGGGACCCTCTTTAAGGAAAAGATTTCAAAATTATCAATCCTAATTTAGGTATGCATATGCATATTTAGAATTTAAAAAGAAATCATAATGTTACAAAATTTTAAAAAATTGACAAGGGTCAGAAACACTGCAAAATCTAGAAAAATGACATATGTGTTAATTAACTTCCTGATACCCTCTGAAATGCATTTCATGGTAGTTTTGCTATATACTTTTCATATGTTTATGATTTTTAATAATCTTTTCTAATAGAGAAAAGAATGATAAGTCAGCCTTTCCTCTGACACGGTCGACTGAAATTCGTTTTTTCACCACGAGTTAGGATGCACAAGATGTAACTTCATATACATACTTGCTTCTTGCAGCACAGCCTTGGGTTTGGCTCCTACAGACTCAAGAATTCTGATAAATTCAATTTTGTATGTTTTCCATCACAAAAAGAAAAATGTATGGTATATTTATAATGCTATATGTTACCTTATTAGGGATATGCTGCATTATCAAGCATATGCCCAAATGGAAAAAAAAATTTTTTCGATTAGGTGTCAGTGAGAACTGAATCCAGTTATAATACTGTCTGTGATGATCTGAATAATTTTCCATTTCCATTTCTGGCTCTGTCCATTTCCAACACTGTTTCTCTTCTTTGGCCCACACCTTTCTGGTACTGGGCACCAGACCACACACTGAGATATTTTGGTACAGCCATAGGCCTCACTCCTTCATGTCATGATGCAGGGCAAGTTGGCATGGGGGCAATAGGGCTATTCTGGAGGTCATTGCTATGTCAGTGTCTTAGTCTATTTTGTGTTGTTTATCACACAATACCTGAAAGAAAAATCATTTATTTCTTACATTTATGGAGGCTGAGAAGTTCAAGGTTGAGGGCCTGCCTTTGGTGAGGGGCTTCTTGCTGCTGGGGACTCTCTGCAGAGTCCCAAAGTGGCTCAGGGCATTACATGGCAAAAGGGCTGAGTGTGCCAGTTCAAGTTTTTCTTCCTCTTCTTAGAAAACCACCGGCCCCACTCCCAGGATAACCCATTAATCCACTAATCCCTGAATGGATTAATCCATTCATGAGGGCAGAGCCCTCATGACCCAATCACCTCTTACAGGTTCCGCTTTTTAATTACATGACAAAAGGGCTGAGTGTGCCAGTTCAAGTCTTGCTTCCTCTTCTTAGAAAACCACCGGTCCCACCCCCATAATAACCCATCGCAGAGCCCTCATGACCCAATCACCTCTTACAGGTTCTACTTTTTAATATTGCCACATTAGGGATTAAGTTTTACTACAAGTTTTGGAGGGGACAAATATTCAAACCATAGGAGCCAGAATAATAATAACCTATATATGGAAGAGGTGGTGAACCACATCCATATATGCTCTGATCTCAAACTAAATGTATCACCAAGTCAACTCTCCCCAAATGCCACCTGTCATGAGGGGAAGTGTGAGTAGAATGAGCTAGGAGTCTTAACCAGTTGCGGATAGAATGTGTTGCTTGTCCTAAATGTTCATCATTTGATGCATGGACAAACAAAATGTGGCATATCCAAACTATGGATTATTCTTTGGCTACAAAAAAGGAATGAAGCACTGATACCTGCTACTACACATATGAATCTTGAAAACATATGTGAAATGAAAGGAGACAGACACAAAAGGCCACAAACTGTATGATTCCATTCATACGAAATGCCCAGAACCGGCAAATGTATTGAGTCAGAAAGTAAGACTAGTGTTTGCCAGGGAGGAAGGAAATGGGGAGTTACTGCTAATGGTTGATTTTTAGGAATGAATAAAGTGTTCTAGACTTAGATAATGGTGATGGTTGTACAACTTTGTGAATATACTAAAAATCACTGCATTGTACACGTCGAAAGGGTGAATCTTATAGTAAGTGAATTATATTTCAATCAAGCTATTATTTTAAAGATTTTTACTTTTGTGAGTTTTACAAAACCATGTGACCAGGTAAACACATAGCTAGGGCCTTCTCCCATGATAAATTACCCTTTGGGAATGTATCAGTTTGGGGATGTGTATCAGTTATCTATCAGTAGAGCAGATACTGTGTAACAACCAACCACAGAACTTTAGTGGCACAAAACCTCAGTGGCACACTACAATAAATATTTATTTGGCTCACAAATCAGCTAGGCTCTGCTGGGCTGTTCTTCTGGTTTTAGCTAGCTAGTCTCCCGCTTTTTTTTTTTTTTTTTGAGACAGAGTCTCGCTCTGTCACCCAGGCTGGAGTGCAGTGGCACGATCTTGGCTCACTACAACCTCCACTTCCCGGGTTCAAGCGATTCTCCTGCCTCAGCCTCCTGAGTAGCTGGGACTACAGGCACACGCCACCACACCCAGCTAATTTTTGTATTTTTAGTAGAGACGGGGTTTCACCATGTTGGCCAGGATGGTCTTGATCTCTTGACCTTGTGATCCGCCCACCTCGGGCTCCCAAAATGCTGGGATTACAGGCATGAGCCACTGCGCCCAGCCTCATTTCCCACTTCTGGTGGTTGGCCATGGGCTGTCTGATCTAGGATGGCCTCAGCTGGGGCAAATGAGGTGCCTTGCCTCTGCACCAGGTGTCTCCTCCTTTACATCCCAAGTATGTTCTCACAGTGATGGCAAGGACCAAGAGACAGAAGCAGAACCACACAAGCACTTTTTCAAGGTTCTGCTTGCATCATATTTGCTAATACTGCATTGGTTAGAGCAAGTTACACTGCCAAGCCTGGATTCAGTGGATGGGGAAATAGATCTTCCCTCTCAGAAGAGAGGAATTGCAAAGTCATATGTCAAAAGAAGTGGGTATGTGGAGGGGTGATGACTCAGGACCAGGAAGACAATTAATTTTACATCTGCTTCCATGTATATACCAGTGTGTGCCTGCGTATGTGTTTGCAGACATATGTGTCTATATTGGTGAATATGTGTGTTCAGGCATCCGTGTGTGCATGTGAGGCTGTTTGTGTGTACACTTCCTTTGGATGTGTCTACATGTCCAACATGCATGCATGCATGAACAATTTTGGAAGCTTTTCTGCTTGTGTATCTGTGCAGGTGTGAGCCTTGCCAGATAGGTGCCAAGTGTAGTGGGCCATGGATTGTGTCAAGTAGAGTGGGCCAACACATGTGCTCCCAAACCCTCACACCAGCAGGACTCTGGGGTCTCTGGGTCCTTGTCTGTCATTTACCCAAGACAGGCAACTATTAGAGAAGCAAGAGTATCGACTTTGAAATCAGGAAGGCTGGATTCAAACACTAGCTCTGCCACTGACTGGCTTGGCAGGAGATTCCCACCCTAGTTTTCTGATCTGTAAAATGGGGATACCACTTCCTAGTTTTCTTGTGTGAAAGGGCTTTGTAACATGCACTGTGCCATGGCTTTGTTAGCTATGAAGACTCTGGGGGAGTGAATTTCCCTTCCCACTCTATGCCCCAAAGACTTGACCCCTTTCCAGATGCTAAAACTGGAGGTGGCTCCGCATCTCTTAATGCGTTGCCATGGCAATCACTGCCTTCTGCTCTTCTGTCAGCAGTGCTGGACGGGGCTCTGGTGTCCTCTCACTGCTGGGCGCAGGGCGAGGTGGAGGAGGAGCAGGCTCACCCGAAGTCCATTTCCTTCTGAAGCAGATCAGGGAGGAAGGGAGGATGTGGGGGGCTGTTACCTGTCTTTGTTGTTGCTGCTCTGCTCCTCTTACCATTCCCCCACCAACAGCAGCTTAGGGAGGTCCTGGGGCAGCCATTCAGACATTAACACACCCCCAAATCACCTGAGCAGCTTCAAAAAATGAAGACTTCTGTGCCCCACTCAGAAAGTCTGATTCAGTAGGCCTGAGGTGGGTAGCAGGCAACCAGTGTTTTCACTATACTCTCCAGGACATTCTGATGGGGGAAGTCCAGGAACCACACTTGGAGAAACCGTGCACTAGGGGTACAGGGCCTGAGGCAACCCACTGACTTATGCTGCCAGTCCCCACAACATAACCAGTCTCTTCATTTATTCATTCACTCACTCATTCATTCACCTACTCACTTGTCATTGTATTCCCTTACATCAAACCACATTTAAATAATTGTTTAAATAATACATTCACATTTAAATAATCACTCTCTCATTTATTTACTCATTTATTAGAACAAATATTTATTACTGTCCTAAGCTCTGGGAGATGGAGAGATAATTACAGATACAGTCCCTGCCGCCCTACAGGAGGTTCCAGGGCAATGTTTTTCAAACTGTAGCAAAATGAATTTAATGGATGGACTAACATGTTTTTTAAAAAAGAAACAGAATAGACTATAATAGAAGATATTAGTGGTCATAGCAAGCAGCAGGGGAAAATGATGTTTGGGAAACCTTTGTATCCACTGTGCATGTGAGTGTGGGAAAAGGATCTCAACGTGCAATGTATCTCTGGGCAGAGCGCTGGAGGCAGCGGGCACAGAAGCAGATGCTGATACTGCATGCCGGGTGCTACAGTGAAGATGTGCTGGGGGTGTTGGTGGAGCTCAGTCCCTCTGCCAGGCGACACCAATGGGGAGGTTCACAGAGAAAGTGCATTTGAACTGGGGGCTTGAAAATGTGCAGGAATTTTCCCACTAAAGACAGTGGAAAGGGACCACAGGCAGAAGGAAGAGCATGTGCAAAGGCACAGAGGTGGGAAAACAGAGAGGAGCTAGGTGACTGGTGGGTCTGGAGCATGGGCGGGGAGGCTGGAGGGTGAGAGGCTGCATCCTAAAGGGCCTTGGGTGCCAGAGAAAGTAGTGGCATGACATGGCCAGAGTGGCATTTTAAAAGGACTGAGAGGTGAAGCTGACTGCGCTTCCGGGTCGGGTGGGAACCTGGAGAACTTTTCTGTCTAGCTAAAGGATTGTAAACACACCAATCAGCGCTCTGTGTCTAGCTAAACGTTTGTAAATGCACCAATCAGCACTCTGTAAAAACACACCAATTAGTGCTCTGTGCTTAGCTAAAGGTTTGTAAATGCACCAATCAGCACTCTGTAAAAATGCTCCAATAAGTGCTCTGTGTCTAGCTAAAGGTTTGTAAATGCACCAATCAGCACTCTGTAAAAATGCACCAATCAGCACTGTGTCTAGCTAAAGATTTGTAAACGCACCAGTCAGCACTCTGTAAAAATGCACGAATCAGCACTCTGTGTCTAGCTAAAGGTTTGTAAATGCACCAATCAGTACTCTGTAAAAACAGACCAATCAGCACTAGGTAAAATGGACCAATCAGTGCTCTGTAAAATGGACCAATCAGCAGGATGTGGGCAGGGCCAAATAAGGGAATAAAAGCTGACCATCCAAGCCAGCAGTGACAACCCGTTGGGATCCCCTTCCGCTCTGCGGAAGCTTTGTTCTTTTGCTCTTCACAATAAATCTTGCTGCTGCTCACTCTTTGGGTCTGCACTACCTTTATGAGCTGTAACACTCACTGTGAAGGTCTGCAGCTTCACTCTTGAAGTCAGCGAGACCATGAACCCACCGGGAGGAACAAACAACTCCCAATGCGCCAGCTTTAAGAGCTGTAACACTCACTGCGAAGGTCTGTGTCTTGACTCCTAAAGTCAAGCGAGACCAAGAACCCACTGCAAGGAAGAAACTCCGGACACATCTGAACACCTGAAGGAACAAACTCTGGACACACCGTCTTTAAGAACTGTAACACTCACTGCAAGTGTCTGTGGCTTCATTCTTGAAGTCAGTGAGACCAAGAACCCACTGAAAGGAACCAATTCCAGATACAAGACCACAGCAGCAATGTGGGTGGAGAGGCCAGTGGAAGGCTCAGCTGCTTTACAGCAAGGGATGGCAGTCATGGGAGTTGGGTAGTGGTTTGTGGTTGGGGTTATGAGATACGGATACACTTGGGAAGTACTTTAAGAGGTAAAATAAACAGGAGCCAATGACTGGATATAGGGTGGGAGGATGTGGAAGCATCCAACCTGGTGCCTGGGTCCCTAAGGTGGGAAGCTGAGTTGGAGGGGAAGCTGCTCACTGATATCAGGTCCCTCAATTGGTTACCAAAACACCAAGGGTTTGGTGTAGGTCCTGTTGTTTGCCACACAGAAAGCCAATGACTGAGATGAGTACTGCCAAGGAAGAAGTCTTTAACTGGGTGCTGCAGTCCAGGAGATGGGAGCTCAGCCTCAAATCCATCTCCCTGACCTACTAAAACTGGGGCTTTATATAGCGGGGAAGAAATGTAACTATGTGTAAGAAAACAGGAACTCGGGGTGGGGGGGGCAAGGAAGCAATCATGAGAATGAGGGGTACTATCTGGTGTAGTGATCTGGTGAGTTTTAGTTCTTTGATACTTTTTTGAGAGGCCTGAAGTTCCTTTCCTGAGGAAGGAACTCACATAAAACAGATGTAAATTTCAAGCTTTAAGCCCAGAAGGATCAATTTCTATAGTTATCAAAAATAATGGTCTGTGGGGCAATTGGGCTGGTTTCAGTCTCCCCTTTCTACTTATCAATCCCTCAATCATGAGGAATCTGGTCTGAGTATTTCTGGCTGTTTCATTCTGAGGATGGGTGTCCTAGGCAGTGGCCACCCAGGAATCAAAGGTTAATCTAATATAGAGTTTTCTTCTGACACTCAATCTTTCTCTCTCCAGTTCCCCACTTCCACCAAAGACAATCACAGCAGGACCACTCTACCTGCAAAATAAGCTTCAGTTCCATATACTTGGCCTGATAACCCACAAAGTGCAACAAGAATCATTGTCCATATAGACTCCCAAATTGGCTTTGCTGGAATCTCACAAGGCCATTTCAGTCAAAGCCTTGAGAAGATAACCAGTTACTCCAACTGTGTCCCATTACAAAAGAAAACATGTTATTAATTGTGTGCAAACAAACACCATGAATTAAGAATATTCACAAAGAGTTTCCATATTCTGGATAAATTAAGCAGAGAAATATCTCTCAAATTCTGTTTATAAAAGCATACTCCATTCAATACCCTTGAAGTATATATACTTTAAGACTATAAATACACTTAAAGGCTATAAATAAATAGCTCAAAAGAAAAAGATTCTCCAGACTCTGAAAAACAAAACCAAAAGAATCAGCAATATTTCAAACAACAAAAGCCATAAAAAGTTCTTTCTGTCCTGCATTAGTTCAGTCCATGCAATCACCTCCTGCTCTGCTTCGTATTGGGTTGGGAATCTTTATGAGCACATCAGCCTTTCAATTAGTGCCCTGGAAATTTTCTCTCTAATCTAGTGGCACAATCTCCAAAGTTATCAGAAACCTGCATTCAAGAGTCTTTTTCATGAACTCCTCCAAAGAAGGAAGCTTTGGACTATAGCTGATTGTAAGTCACTTTTTTTCTTTTGAGAAGGATCACAGCAAAACATCAATTGTGGATGACAAAAGTCTTCAGACAGCCATAGTTAAAGACACAGTTGACAAGGAAACTTAATCATTTCTGTGGCATAAAACAACTTAATATAATAATAATTACTACTGACAACATATATTAAGACGTATCAGAATTTTAGGACTCTCATACAATCCTGGAACACATACTAACAATACATCTATATAAATATAACCCAAGGGAAGTTAAACATCATCTCAGATTTGGCAATGCTTCTTGCATAATCCTAACGTAACAAATCAGCCTAATATGTCTCTCTCAGACTTCAGGGAACCTAATATCCAAGAAAGTTAGTTTAAGGTCAAGAGACTGAATTTAGAACTTGAAAGTTTGCTCTTAGAAGTCTGCCGAATATCCAGAAGAATGGTGTGAACCCGGGAGGTGGAGCTTGCAGTGAGCTGAGATGGCGCCACTGCACTTCAGCCTGGGTGAAAGAGCAAGACTCCGTCTCAAAAGAAAAAAAAAAGTTTGCCAAATAGCGAAGTTTTAGGCACAAAATAATATCACAAGTCACTGTAAAAATAGTCATTCATTTAGCGGAGGTGATAAAATAAAGACGTTTACTTTTTGATAGATTTAGTTTCCCAAACAGTAAGACCTAATAAAGACAGCATGAGGCTAACTAAATCTCTCTCTCCACTCCATTATCTCCCTGCAGTGTACTCAGAAGGTCAACATCATCTTTTATCTCTCAGTATTACACAAACATTTTATTCAAAAGAAAACGATATTTTACCTTTGTATGGTATATTACTAATGTCAAAGCTAATTTTAATAAAACCTTATAAAAATCTAATTGCAATCAGTTTGACCATAAGGTAAGGTTTCCATAAACTTTTAATAATTGTTTCCAATTTTCTATTAAAGAACAGATAAATGTTCCAAGAAAACCCTGTTATTCCAACACATGGGCCCAGATGCTGGCCTTGCATCAGGGAGCTTTTGATATTAATGTTTAATTTATAGAAAAACTCTGAATTAATCTTATGCCTCAAAATCAGCCCTTATAACTTCACACACCTACCACTTCTGCAATAGTCTCTGGGCCTAGAGGGATTGAATAGTTTTAATTTCTGGCCTGTGTCTCACAAAAACAGTTCATTTGTATTGTTACCTTCTTCCAAGTCTGAGGATGAGGCTTCCACTGGTGTCAATGCTCAGAATTTAGCAGGGGCTGGTGCCTTCTTCAGACCCAAGAGTCAAAGCCCTGTAACTTAACAGCACAAGCATTCATTAATACAATGTTTATATTACAGAAAGTTCTATCATTCTAATGAGAGGTGACAGCATGCTGGCAGCCCTTGCTTGCTCTCAGCGCCTCCTCAGCCTCAGCACCCACTCTGGCCGTGCTTGAGGAGCCCTTCAGCCCACTGCTGCACTGTGGGAGCCCCTCTCTGGGCTGGCTGAGGCTGGAGCCGGCTCCTTCTCCTTGCGGGGAGGTGTGGAGGGAGAGGCGTGGGCAGGAACTGGGGCTGCGCATGGCGCTTGCAGGCCAGCACTAGTTCCGGGTGGGCATGAGCTTGGCAGGCCCCGCACTCGGAGCAGGCAGCCGGCACCACCGGCCCTAGGCAGTGAAGGGATTAGCACCCAGGCCAGCAGCCATGGAGGGTGCACTAGGTCCCCCAGCACTGCCGGCCTGCCTGCACCACGCTCAAATTCTTGCCAGACCTCAGCCGCCTCCTGGTGGGGCAGGGCTCAGGACCTGCAGCCTGCCATGCCCGAGCCTGCCCCCCTCCCCACTGTGGGCTCCTGTGCAGCCCGAGCCTCCCTGACAGGTGCTGCCCCCTGCTCTGTGGCACCCGGTCCCATCGACCGCCCAAGGGCTAAGGAGTGTGGGCGCGTGGTGCGGGACTGGTGGGCAGCTCCGCCCACGGCCCTTACGTGGGATCCACTAGGCAAAGCCAGCTGGGCTCCTTAAGTCAGGTGGGGACTTGGAGAACTTTTATGTCTAGCTAGAGGATTGTAAATGCACCAATCAGCACTCTGTGTCTAGCTTGGGGTTTGTGGATGCACCAATCAACACTCTGTATCTAGGTAATCTGGTGGGGACTTGGAGAACTTTTATGTCTAGCTAGATGATTGTAAATGCACCAATCAGCACTCTGTGTCTAGCTAAAGGTTTGTAAATGCACCAGTCAGTGCTCTGTGTCTAGCTAATCTGGTGGGGACTTGGAGAATTTTTATGTCTAGCTGGAGGATTGTAAATGCACCAATCAGCACTCTGTGTCTAGCTCCAAGTTTGTAAACGCACCAATCAGCACTCTGTGTCTAGCTAAAGGTTTGTAAATGCACTAATCAGTGCTCTGTGTCTAGCTAATCTGGTGGAGAACTTTTATGTCTAGCTGGAGGATTGTAAATGCACCAATCAGCACTCTGTATCTAGCTCAAGATTTGTAAATGCACCAATCAGCACCCTGTCAAAATGGACCAATCAGCTCTCTGTAAAATGGACCAATCAGCAGGATGTGGGTGGGGTCAGATAAGGGAATAAAAGCAGTCTGCCTGAGCCAGCAGTGGCAACCTGCTCGGGTCCCCTTCCACACTGTGGAAGCTTTGCTCTTTTGCTCTTTGCAATAAATCTTGTTGCTGCTCACTCTTTGGGTCCACACTGCCTTAATGAGCTGTAACACTCACCGCAAAGGTCTGCAGCTTCACTTCTGAGGCCAGCGAGACCACAAACCCACCGGGAGGAATGAACAACTCCAGACGCGCTGGCTTAAGAACTGTAACACTCACTGCAAAGGTCTGCAGCTTCACTCCTGAAGCCAGCGAGACCACAAACCCACCAGAAGGAAGAAACTCCGAACACGTCCAAACATCAGAAGGAACAAACTCCGGACACACCATCTTTAAGAATTATAACACTCACCGCGAGGGTCCGCGGCTTCATTCTTGAAGTGAGACCAAGAACCCACCAGTTCCAGACACACTAACATGTTACAAATTAAAACACTGAAATTTGGCCTTTAGGAGTTACTGCCTGCAGCACTTCAAACCACTGTATTAAGTAGTTAGGTTACTCACTGCATATATCTAATTGCTAGTATTCTAGTGACAAAACTGTGACCAAAAGCATCAAAAAGTGATAGGTCCTATGGCAAAATAAGACAGCCAGCTTTTCTCTCCATCATTAAAAAAATGATAAATGCAAATGTCAGTTTTGTCAATTCCGTAAGAGGATAAATAATCTCCTTTCACTTAAATATCACACAACAACACAAGGACAAAGTAAGGACAAGTACACAATAATTTCTTTTCAGTTATTTAAAAGAGCATCATCCCACATTTCCAAGACTGGTTTCTAGAGACAGTAGTGACAGCTGATTAGGTAACTTTCACCACCAAAATCTTCAAACCAGTGCAACGCCTGCACATATTTTGTTTTCAAGTATACACATGAAGGTCCATCAGTGATAAATGGCCTGGGATCAGAGATCACTAGAAAGTCTCAGAATTTTTTATTAGTACTTAATCCAAATGAATATTCCTTAATTTTAATAATGATCAACACAACTCAATTAGTTTGAGAGAAATCCTAACCAATATAATTTCCCTAAGGACAAAGCCAGTCTTTCTCGAACATTAAAATTGTACCCATATCACAGTTTTTCCTCATTAAAGGAAAAGATCTGAAACCAACTCAAATCATTGATTTAATTGAATTACCTTGGAAAAAACATCACTTAAACATTTCTACTACTTTAAAACATGCCTACTTTATTACATTTAAACATACCTACTTTTCCAAATAACGAAATATGTAATGTACTATTTCTGCTCAGAACTTGTAAAAACAAGTCTTTTATTTTTGCCAGGATCCTTAAAGGGCTCATAGATTTCAACATCATCAGAGGTAAGCAAAACAAACCAAATTCCAAATGGCTGGTGTGCTCCATCAATTCCTGCGGGCCCAACAAAGGCAGCCTAGGCATTCCAGATAAATAGAATAAGTGATAACTTGTTAGAAATTCATATGAAACAAAATAACTATTCACAGAACCAAATAAAAGCCTTCCACTAGATGCTAAAAAAAATCTATAGTATATATGCATGCACAAACAAAATCCAAAGAAGAATGAACAACAAATAAAAAGAGGCAAAAACAGCCCAGGTGCCATGACTCATGCCTGTAATCCCAGCACTTTGGGAGGCGGAGGTGGATGGATCACTTGAGGTCAGGAATTCAAGACCAGCCTGGCCAACATAGTGAAACCCCATCTCTACTAAAAACACAAAAATTAGCCGGGTGTGGTGGCACGTGCCTGTAATCTCAGCTCGGGAGGCTGAGGCAGGAGAATCGCTTGAACCTGGGAGGCGGAGGTTACAGTGAGCTGAGATTGCACCACTGCACTTCCAACCTGGGGGACAGAGTAAGACTCCTAAAAAAAAAAAAAAAAAAAAAAAAAAAGCAAAAACAAATAAACAAGAAACCTACCTCCAAACCTCCAACCTTTCCCCCACTCGGTCTACCCCAGAGGCTACAGTGTTACCTAGAGCCCCAAAACCCCACGTAATGAATATTTTATTCCTGATACACAATTCAGTATCCTTAAGTCCACCAACATTACTATACATCCTGTGCAATCCAGAAATTCACTCTAGACACACGACTAGTAATTATTAAATATTCTAATGCAAAAGAATTGTCATATTGCCTATGCATTTCTTTACAATATTTCTTATTTTACCTTCATCAATGAAATGAGATAGTTCCCTTGACCCCTTTGTGGGATTCATGAAGGGGTGGCTTGCTTACTCAGCCTATAGCTCTCAACCCCTCATGGGAGGGGGAGCACACAGGTGAGTGGGTGCAGAGGTAAGGAGGAGTGCTTCTGGGCAACTGGCAGGAGCAGAACTCTGTGCAGGCCTGCAGCAGCATCTAGGGGTTGCCCATGACCCCCAGAGCCCCATGTGTTACAGTGCACTCTTTTAGTTTTGCCATTCATGGACAGCTTAAGTGTTAGACAGCTCAGTGGAGGGTCAGTTTGACAACGTCTTGCACACGCACCAGGGTCCTTGTCCAGCGTCCAGGAGGAATCAGGTTGCACGAATGAATTGAAAATGGTAAATGCTGAGGATTTTATTGCTGATGAAAGTGGCTCTCAGTGGGATGGGAAGCTGGAAAGGGGATGGAATGGGAAGGTGGTCTTCCCCTGGAGTTTGGCCAGGGACTCTGAGGCACCACTGTCAAGCCATCCCTCTGAAGTCAAGCTGCTTCTCATTGATGTCACGCTGCTTCTTCTCTTCTCTCCTCTGCTGCACCACTCTGCCAGTGGAGACTGGGGTTTTTATGGGTATAGGATGTGGGGAGAAGTGGGCCACAGTGGTTTTGGAAAAGGCAACATTTGGGTGGGAAAACAAGAATGGATGTTCTCACTTTGTGCCTGGGTCCAGGCTTGAGGGTGAAGCCCTTGCCAGGGACCCTGCCCTTTTTTACCTAATATTTCCCTGCCTTCTGCCCCTATCATCAAGACTAAGAGCTTTAACTATGAAAATGTTAATTAGCCGAATTTCTCCAATTTTCTATCAGGTTTTAAAGAATATTTTATTATCTAAACTTTTTCAACTTTCTATTTTCTCTGTATGTGCATGAAGATAAACACACAGAGAAACAGGAAAAACTACGTCTGACTTATACAGACCATCCATGACATGACTGGGCTTTCTGTTCAGTCCTAGACTTTCTTTTTCTTCTTTCTTAAAAAAGAGTCATTTTACTCCAGGAGGAAAATTAACTATATAAGATCCTCTGTCATACAAAATTATTATCTTTTCTTTATAATCATTTTTACCAAAAGTACATCTTCATATTCAACTTTCTTCACATCTCTCTCTCTTACTTACTGGTTTCTTACTACCTTGTTTCATAAATAACCATTTTCAAGTCCATAATTTGAAGTAATTTTAGATAACTTCTGAATTGGACAAAATTATGCTTTTTCTCACTAATATCTTTTTGGGCACATTTTATATAGAATTATATGTCAACTAGAATTCTTACACTAAAATTGTAGTGAAACCCTAGGAAGGAAGAAATCCTGAACAATCAGATATTAACATTTTATAGATAAAAATTACATAATCTTTGGAAACATATTTCCCCATATCATAACCCTTTCTTAATTGAAGATGACCCAGGTATCCAATGAGCATCAAAAATAATTTTAAGATTTTTAATTACACAAAAAATTTATCTAAAACCTTTATTCCATTTACATATACTCAATTCTTTCGTTTTTAACAGTTTATTTAGATTACTTCTGAAAACTGAGATATTAGGCACCATCATTTAAGGTTAGTTATTTCCTTGTTAACCATTTTATAATCTGTGAATATCAGGTGTTCATCAAAATAAGAATCTTAAAGTTAACTACATGGGCATTTTCACCAGTAATTCAGAAGATTCAGCTGTTTTCATTAAACCAATAACATAATTAGTTTTAATTATCAAAAATTTGCACAAAGATCATTTTGTTTTGGCTGGGTTTACAGTTTTATAAGCTTCTATGCCAAACCCTGACACCTCAAAATATCTATCAGAGACAAACATAAAATCCAGACAAAAATGTATGCTAACAATTCAACTTTACCAATAACTTTTTTTGGACAGAGTCTCGCTCTGTTGCCCAGGCTGGAGTGCAGTGGCACCATCTTGGCTCACTGCAACCTCCGCCTCCCAGGTTCAAGCAATTCTCCTGCCTCAACCTCCCAAGTAGATGGGACTACAGGCATGCGCCACCACTCCCGCCTAATTTTTGTATTTTTAGTAGAGACAGGTTTTCACCATGTTGGCCAGGCTGGTCTGGAACTCCTGACCTCAGGTGATCCGCCCACCTTGGCCTCACAAAGTGCTAGGATTACAGGCATGGGCCATCACGCCAGGCCTCATTTTAACAATAATTTTAAAGCCAGCTTGTTTAGCAAACATTTACTTAAGTCATGTGAACTTGAGTGGATTTATTTTCTTAATTTTTTAGTGCTGTTTTATTTATAAGCCAATTTGGTAGATACAACATGTGACTTAAATACACATAAACACATCTAGACATGAATACACACACACAATGATTCAACAGCTTTTATAATACCTTGGAACTCTAGCCATGAGATAGCAATACAAACTCACCGGTTTTACATGGTTATACTTTTTTTCGCCCCAGTAGGTAATCCAGTGAAGGCTGTGAACCAAGTTTTGGGTAAAGCAGTTTCCATGGCAGTTTGCTTTTCAAAGGCCAAACCTCCCCAGACTCCAAAGAACACTCGGGTCAAACAGCACCAAGGGAGAGCATCACATACTAACCAAGACCAACCCTACTTAGAACAGCAGCACAAAAGCCTGGATACATGGACTCCATCTCACTCTCCCATTCAACAGCAAACTCCACATTTCAAACAATATTGGGGCCGAAAGTATTTCAAAAGAATATCAAGTTTACTGAAGTCTAATTTCCCATGACACACACACACACACACACACACACACACAATCACCAGAACACAATCCAACTACTACAGCAACAAACAAGCCCCCAAAGTGTCCACACCAAAACAGTCAGGGTGTTTCCCTTTCCCAGTTGGGCTCCTTCAAACTGCAAATGGAAATTCTTTAAAAAATTTCCCGGCCAGGCACAGTGGATCATGCTTGTAATCCCAGCACTTTGGGAGGCCAAAGGGGGCAGATCATGAGGTTAGGAGTTCTAGACCAGCCTGGCCAATATGGTAAAACCCCGTCTCTACTAAAAATACAAAAATTAGCCAGGCATGGTGGCACACGCCCGTATTCCCAGCTACTCAGGAGACTGAGGCAGGAAAATCGCTTGAACCAGGGAGGCGGAGGTTGCAGTGAGCCGAGATCATGCCACTGCATTCTAGGGTGACAGAGTGAGATGCTGTCTCAAAAAAAATTAAAAAAAAAATTTCCAAACTGAGAGGAGCAGATCCTGCTCTCTGGGCCCACAAATGACACTCACCTACGTAGATGCAGATGTCAAATTAGAAAAACAGTTCTTCCAAGGCAATCAGGAACATGATTGGGACTGGCTGTGGCAAAGCTGGAGAGAGACTGAAACTCACCTCCAGCCAAAATTGGTGTGGGCAGCTGCTTAGGAGGGGTTGTGAGACTCCCAGCCCGCTGCAGCCAAGCCATGAGCTCACCACACAGAAAGCCAATCACTGAGATGGTGAATACTGCCAAGGAAGAAGGCTTTAGTTGGGTGCTGCAGCCCAGGAGATGGGAGCTCAGCCTCAAATCCATCCGCCTGACTAAAACTGGGGCTTTACATAGCAGGGAGGAAATGTAACAATGTGTAAGAAAATAGAACTAGGGAAGGCCAAATAAGCCATCATGACAAATGAGGGGTCTGCTATCTGGTGCAGTGATCTGGTGAGTTTCAGTTCTTGGATGCTTTTTGAGAGGCCTGAAGGTCCTTTCCTGAAGAAGGATTTCAGATAAAACAAATACAAGTTTCAAGCTTTAAGCCCAGAAGGGTCAATTTCTAAGTTTACCAAAAAGAACAGTCTATGGGACTATTGGGCCAGTTTCAGATTCAGTTCTTCCTCAGGGTCCTCACCTGATTTCAGCTCAGCCTCTCTCCTTGGGAAGCAGAGGTAGTTCCCCAGCTCTCCATATAAGGAGGAGAAGGTTTTATGACTATATATATATATATATATATATATATATATATTTTTTTTTTAAACTAGCTGGGCATGATGGCACACATCTGTAGTCCCAGCCACTGGGGAGGCTGAGGTGGGAGGATCCCCTGAGCCCAGGAATCTGAGGCAGATATTGAGAGCTGAAGCCAGCTGGACTTGCTGGGTCCAGTGGGGACTTGGAGAACTTTTTTGTCTTACAAGAGGGATTGTAAAATGCACCAATCAGCGCTCTGTAAAAACGCGCCAATCAGCACTCTGTAGCTAGCAAGAGGATTGTAAAATGCACCAATGAGCACTCTGTAAAACACACCAATCAGCAGGATCCTAAAAGTAGCCAATCGCAGGGAGGATTGAAAAAAGGGCACTCTGATAGGACAAAAATGGAACATGGGAGGGGACAAATGAGGGAGTAAAAGCTGGCCACCCAGCCAGCAGTGGCAACCTGCTGGGGTCCTTTTCCACACTGTGGAAGCTTTGTTCTTTTGCTCTTCATAATAAACCTTGCTACTGCTCACTCTTTGGGTCTCTGCCATCTTTAAGGGCTGTAACACTCACTGTGAAGGTCTGCAGCTTCAACCAACTCCCGACACAATATGAGCTATGATTACACCACTGCACTCCAGCCTGGGTGATAAAGTGAGACCTCCTCTCTAAGAAAAAAATAAATTAGCCGGGTGTGGTGGCTCATGCCTGTAATCCCAGCACTTTGGGAGGCCGAGACGGGTGGATCACCAGGTTAGGAGATCGAGACCATCCTGGCTAACACAGTGAAATGCTGTCTCTACTACAAAAATACAAAAAATTAGCCAGGTGTGGTGGCAGCCGCCTGTAGTCCCAGCAACTCAGGAGGCTGAGGCAGGAGAATGGTGTGAAGAGGTGGAGTTTGCAGTGAGCAGAGGTCACGCCACTGCACTCTAGCCTGGGTGACAGACCGAGACTCTAGCTAAAAAAAATAAAAAAATAAAAAAGTAAAATTGATCCGGGAATGGAGGCTTATCGTGGAAATCATAGCACTAGCAGGGTGCTGTCCGTCACTAATCTGATGTCCCCTCTCCCTTGACATGGGGCATGGCCTGCCTCAAACTCTGGCCCATGAAAAATGAGAGGCAGTGACGAATGTCACTTTCATTCAGAAGCATTTACTTGCTGCTGCTCCACTTTTCACCACTCTCATTCCCTAGCTGGGACGCTGATGCCTTCTAAGAAAACAGCCTAATAAAATCATTTGGGTCTCTAAGTGAAGGGCCCCGCCCACCCAGGCCAATCCCTCTTGATAGATAATGTGAGCACGAAATCAACTTGTGTTGCTTAAACCACTGAGATGTGGGGTTATTATGCCACTGGCTTCCCATCCCCTTCAGAGTCCAAGTCCAATTCCTCCCACCATGACCTCCACAGCCCTGCACCACCCACCCCTGCTGTGACCTCCCTCCCTCCACACTCATCTGGCTCAGGGCGCTCCAGGCCCACTGACCCCCTTGGCTCCCTTCTGCCTGGGTGCCTTTCCCTGTGCATCCGTGCATCCCTTCACCTCCCTTGCTCCAGGGTCGCTCTTCAGCAGGTCTTCCTTGGCGCCTGACCGTCTACACGTCTAACCTGTGACCACACACTTCCCCTCTGCCTTCTCCATCTCATTATTTGCTCCACATCCCATTCCCTAGCATAACGCACACTTGGTTCCTCTAGGTTATTGTTTGTCTCCCCTCCCCAAGAACGGAGCCTCCCTGAGGGGAGGGCAGCGGGGTTTGTAGGCTTTATTTCCTGCTGAGTCCCCCGGCCTGGCACCCAGGAAGTTCTCAAGGAAGCACTGCTGAAGGTGCATCCGGAATTGGTGGGTTCTTGCTCTCACTTACTTCAAGAATGAAGTCTGGGACTCTCTCAGTCAGTGTTACAGTTCCTAAAGGCGGTGTGTCCAGAGTTTGTTCTTTCTGATGTTCGGATGTGTTCAGAGTTTCTTCCTTCTGGTGGGTTCGTGGTCTCAGTGGCTTCAGGAGCTAAGCTGCAGACCTTCACAGTGAATGTTACAGCTCATAAAGGCAGTGTGGACCCAAACAATGAACAGCAGCAAGATTTACTGCAAACAGCAAAAGAGGAAATACCCCACAGACTGGAAGGGGACCCGAGCAGGTTACCACTGGTGGCTTGGGCAGCCTGCTTTTATTCTCTTATCTGGCCCCACCCACATCCTGCTGATTGGTCCATTTTACAGAGAGCCGATTGGTCTGTTTTACAGAGAGCTGATTGGTCTGTTTTGACAGGGTGCTGATTGGTGCGTTTACAATCCCTGAGCTAGACACAAAAGTTCTCCAAGTCCCCACTAGATTAGCTAGATACAGAGTGCCTATTGGTGTATTCACAATCCCTTAGCTAGACATAAAGGTTCTCCAAGTCCCCACCAGATCAGCTAGACAGAGCACTGATTGGTGCATTTACAAACCTTGAGCTAGACACAGGGTGCTGATTGGTGCATTTACAACCCCTGAGCTAGATACAGAGTGCTGATTGGTGTATTTACAATACCTTAGCTAGACATAAAGGTTCTCCAAGTCCCCACTAGACTTAAGAGCCCAGCTGGCTTCATCCAGTAGATCCCGCACAGGGGCTGCAGGTGGAGCTGCCTGCCAGTCCCGAGCCTTGCGCCCGCACTCCTCAGCCCTTGGGCGGTGGATGGGACTGGGTGCCGTGGAGCAGGGGGCGGCGCTCGTCAGAGAGGCTCGGGCTGCACAGAAGCCGATGGCGTTGGGGGAGGCTCAGGCATGGTGGGCTGCAGGTCCCGAGCCCTGCCCCGTGGGGAGGCACCTAAGGCCCAGCGAGAAATCGAGTACAGCGCCAGTGGGCGGGCACTGCTGGGGGACCCGGCGCACCCTCCGCAGCTGCTGGCCCGGGTGCTAAGCCCCTCACTGCCCGAGGCCGGCCGGCCGCTCTGAGTGTGGGGCCCGCGGAGCCCACGCCCACCTGGAACTCACGCTGGCCCACAAGTGCCGCGCTCAGCCCCGGTTCCCGCCCGCGCTGCTCTCTCCACACCTCCCTGCAAGCTGAGGGAGCCGGCTCCGGCCTCGGCCAGCCCAGAAAGGGGCTCTCACAGTGCAGCGGCGGGCTGAAGGGCTCCTCAAGCACAGCCAGAGTGGGCAACGAGGCCGAGGAGGCTCCGAGAGCAAGCAAGGGCTGCCAGCACGCTGTCACCTCTCAAAGGGATGAAGGTGTGGGCTCATGCCGTTTTCCCGCAGCCTGGAGGAAGGGGTGGACAACCCGGTTGCATTCAGAGGGGGAAGCTCACAGTGGGCGGAAGTCCCATAACTGGAAGTGACCTGCAGGGCTGAGCCGCTAAAGCTGGCCTGCCCGACTGACAGCAGCACATCTCTGCCCGAAGCCTCCGGCCGAGCCTCGCTTCAGGTACCTACTGCCCGCGCCCCGCTCTCCAGCCTGGCACAGACTCAACTGGCAGGCTGGTTCTGCTGGGGCGCCCGAGTCGGGCCGCGGCGCCACCTGCTGGACACACGATCCATCTGCGCCTCCAGAAGCCGGCGGCCTGTGGGAAAGGAAGACCCCGCTCCTACCCTGGGACTCAGCTTTGAGGCCCTCAGAGGGTTGAAGTGCGTGCCTCAGGGTGTGAGCCAAGAGACAACACCGTTCCCTGGTGTGGTCACGGCGTGGTTAGGAGCTCCAGGGCTGGGCTCTGACAGACCTGGCTTCAGTTCCTGCCTGGACCACTTCCTAGATGTGTGACCCTTGGGGAGCACTCGAGCCTCCCATGCCTCATCTGTGAAACTGAAATGACGCCCATCAGAAGGAGCTCTCCCACCTTCCTCCAAGCCATTCTCCATCCTTTCGCTTTGCCTTTTTTTTCTTTTATAGCACGTACCACCGTCTGATATTTTAATATCCCTTGTTTACTATCTCGCCCACAAAATGTCAGCTGTAGCGTGGTAGCAACTTAGCTCACTGCTGTATCCCAAAAGCCGCAAGCAGGGCCTGCCAGGGTTGGGGCTTCATAAAAACACTTCTCAGTTGAAACACACTTTGCACAATGACTAGCACATACTAAGTATTCCATAAATGGTATTATTATCTTCATTATGCATTCATCAATTCACTTATGCATTTATTCATTTCTTCTTAGCTGATTCACTCACATATAGTTATTTAAAAAATGGAGGTAAAAGATATGTAACATAGGATTTACCATTTAACTATTTTTAGGTGCGCAGCTTGCTGGCACTGAGTCCGCTCACATTGCTGTGCAGAGTCACCACCATCCATCTCCAGAACTCTTCCCATCTTTCCCAGCTGAAACTGCACCCATGAAACCCTCACTCCTTGTTCCCCTCACCCAGCCCCTGGAAACCAGCATTCTACTTTCTGTCTCTATGAATTAGACTGCTCTAGGGATCTCATGTAAGTAGAATCATAGAGTATTTGTCCTTTTATCACAAGTATTTTGGAGCCCCTACTACATACAGTAAGGAGTAGTTCTTGTAGCACCAAGGTGAGGATTAACTGAGATCAATGCAGGTAAAGCACCTAGCACAGGGCAAGTCACAGATGGAGAGCCCAGATTAAATTAGGGCCCCATCCCCTGCACCTTCCTCCCTGAGCTGTGAGGTGAGGTCGTGCTTTTGCCCTGGCAGGGAATTCTCACCCTTGATTTCCCTCTGTGGCTGCTATACTCTATGTAGACACCAGATGGCCGACTTGTACCACGGAGATGTCTTTGGCTGCTGCCTGCAGAGGGGAGCATAGAGAGATGCCGGGAAAGAGGGAGCCTGTCTGGGGCTCGGAGGCAGCAGGAAATGATTAAGAAAAAGGGTGCTGTGGATGAGACACAGGGGCCTAAATCCCCTAGGGTTTGAATCATATGTCGATAGCAGGGATCCTGCAGAGAGGAGGAAGAGGAGAGAAGGGACAGGATGTTGCAGCGGAAAGAGCACAGGGGCTGTTGCTGTATACTTGGGGAACACACTCAACCCAGCTTGGCCACCTTTCTGCTAATGCGTCTTCTGATAGCCGCTCTGTAGAGTTGTTTGGGACATTAAGTGAAGAGGTTTGCTGAGGCTCCTGGCACACGGCAAGGCTCTGTGGGGACTGATGCATGGCAAAGAGAGGCTCCTTCTGGGACCACGACACAGCCAGGAGGTGGGGGAATCTTTATCCCTCCTCACGCCACTCAGTGAAGGCCACTCCATCTCCTACTTACTAAGTTTCCACTGAGTGCCAGACCCTAAGCCAGGTGGTAGGCAACCAGGGACCTTAGCATGCCTCCAGTCCCTGTCCAGCCTGCTAGTGAGTGGCACAGGAGAGCCTGCGTCGCTGGGGTCCTCCCCCACCTGCTTGTCAGCCCCTGCTGCTTCCAGGAGCGCTTTGGTCTCCTAAGCAGGAGTGGCCAGGCAGGGGGTGTCATATGCCCACTTTACAGATTCCTCTCCGCCCTCAGAAACTAGTTTTTATTGCCCACAAAAAGCCTTATTTAAGAAACTAGACACAAAAGGTCACAAATTGCATGACTGCGTTCTTTGAAATGTCCGGAAAAGACAAATTCAGAGACAGACGGTAGATTAGTGGTTTCCAGGGGCTGAGGGAGGGGACGATGGGAAGAAACTGCTTAATGGGGTTATCTTCTGTGAATGATGAAAATGTTTTGGAACTAGATAGAGGTGGTGATTGTACAACATTGTGAATGTACTGGATTGTTCACTTTAAAATGTTAGCTTTTTTTTTTTGGGAGACAGATTCTCACTCTGTCGCCCAGGCTGGAGTGCAGTGGCCGGATCTCAGCTCACTGCAACCTCCAGCTTCTGGGTTCACGCGATTCTCCTGCCTCAGTCTCCCCTAGGATTACAGGTGCATGCTGCCACACCCACCTAATTTTTGTATTTTTAGTAGAGACAGGGTTTCACCATGTTGGCCAAGCTGGTCTTGAACTCCCGACTTCAAGTGATCTGCCCACCTTGGCCTCCCAAAGTGCTGGGATTACAGGCGTGAACCACTGCGCCTGGCTACGTTATGTAAATTTGACCTTAATTTTTAAAAAGGTGATTTAAAAATATGTTACTGCTATTGTGACCATTAAAGTTAAGGGCTGGGAGAGGTATAAGGACCTTCCAAACCTTGAAATCCAAAGACTGGAGCTTTTCTCTCTCTAACGATTGAGGAAGGACTGTATCCATCCATCTGTCTGTCTGTCTGTGCATCCATCCGGCCTTCTCATCATTCATCTATCCATCCATTCACCTACTCACCCATCCATTCTTCCGCCATTTATTTTATTATCTGTTTTCTTATTATTCATCCACCAATGTATCATTCCCTCTGTTTCCTCGCTTACCCATCTGTCCATGCACGCACCCACCTACCTGCCTATACTCCCATTCGTCCAACCACCCATCCATCCATCCACCCACCCACCCACTCACCTACCTGCCATGCTCCCGTTCATCCATCCATTTATCCATCTACCCATCCATCCATCCACCTATCCATCCACCCATCCATTCATCCATCCACCCATCCATTCACCAACCCACCCACCTACCTGCCATGCTTCCATCTTTCCATCCATCCGTTCATCCACCCACCCACCCATCCATTCACCAAACACTCACCCACCTACTTGCCATGCTTCCATCCTTCCATCCATCTACCCACCCACCCATCCCTTCACCAAACACTCACCCACCTACTTGCCATGCTTCCATCCTTCCATCCATCTACCCACCCACCCATCGATTCACCAACTCACCCACCTACCTACCATGCCTCCATCCATCCATCCCATTCACCATCCACTCACCCATTCATCCACCTACCCATCCATTCATCCATCCATCCACCAACCCACCCACCTACCTGCCATGGTCTCATCCATCCATCCATCCACCCAGCAGACCCTTTAGCCCCTTCTCTGTCTCAAGCATCATAATTTCAATAATAAGCAACTCAAAATCAGTCCTTATCCTCAAGGGGTTCCCTGTGTCCAGTGGAAGAGACACACTCTTAAATAATTACAATGGACTATGGTAAATGCTCCCTGAGAGAAGCTTGGGAGATTGTGGGAACACGAAGCAGGGCAGCTGACCCAGCTGGGTCAGGGGAGTATGGAAAGGGCTTCCTCAGGGAAGCAATGTGTTAAGTGCAGCCTTGAAGAATAAACAGGAGAAAACCCAGAAGATGTGTTTTGATTGGGGGTGGTGGTGGCCAGAAGGGGAGAAAGGTGCTTCTTGCAGAGGGATCTATAAGATCAAATGCCCCAGTGCGGTGCAAGAACATGGCACAAAGAAATGTCCAGTGTGGTAGGAGTTTAGCATTTGAGAGGGGAGAGTGCAGTGGCCAAAGGATGGAAGAGGGACTCACAGGCAACCTCAGAACAGGTGGATGGGGCTTCACGGGTCAAGGCAAAGAGCTTGGGTGGTGGGGAGCCATGGGAAGGTTTTAGGCCAGAAAACAACCTGATAAGATCTGCATTTTAGACTAATCCCTCTGCTGCAGTGTAGAGGCTGGACTGGAGGGGGCGGGCCGGAAGGTGGAAGATAGGGAGGAGCCAGGTGAAGAAGAAGAGGCATTGGGTACAAGTGTGTTACTGGGAGTATCCTCAGGACCCAGATGGTCCAGTGACAGGTGTCCTCACTGGACCCTTCCCATTCCAGCGACCCTGAGCAGCACCCCTTCCAGCTGCCAGCGACGCCCTTGCTGGGATCCGAAGCCAGAGTTCATCACTTTGAGTTACATGCTGGTTGGGGCTTTGGGGCTCTGCCTCTGGCTGCGCCCTGGGCTCTGGGCTGCTGCAAGGGAAGGGAGCAGAGGAGGAAAGGCAGCCTGTTCAGGGGCAGGGGTCTGGAACCCACAGGGGACAGGCCCTTCCCCTGTGCTCCTCCTCCCTCTCCCCTCCCACAACCCCTCCTGCAGACCATTGCTCACCTCCTCTTACTCCATTACTTCCCTCAGAAGGGACTTGACTATGAGTCTCATTTCACAGACGAGGAAGGAGGGAAAAGTGTCTTGCTCCAAGGCACACACCCAGAAAGCAGCAGAACCAAGGCTTGAGCTCAAGCTGGCCTGATCCCAGAGCCCCTGCCCATTCAACTCTGCCAACCACTCCCTTAATATTCGCCATCTTGTAAAAATTTGCTACAGAATACCATCCATGCCTACATCTATACGTCCACAACGAGGAGCAGAATATTAAATAAAATGATAGCCAAGCACGTGGGCTATGGAGCCACAGGGCCTGGGTTGGAATACTGGCTTTTCTCCTTAGTAAAAGGTGTGTGACTTTGGGCAAATTTCTTAGCCTCTCTGTGCCTATTTTTGCATGTACTAAGAGGGGTAATGAAAGTGACTACCACGTGGGGTATTGGGAAGAATTAATGAGTTAATCTGAATAAATGTAAAATGTCTTAGTAACAGCTGACATTAATCGAGGGCAGGCGAACCAGACACTGTTCTTACACTTTACACATGTTCACTAATTTAATCCTCACAACACAGCTCTGTGAGGCAGGCATCACTGTCAGCTCCGTTTTACAGATGAGGAAGATGAGGCCCAGAGAGGGGAATTAAGTTGCCCTCAGTGATATAGCTACGGAGTAGCAGAGTCGGGATTCAAACCCACGAAGGCCAAGCTGCCAAATCCGCCGTCTTATTGATGCCCCGCTGGAGCAGTAGTTACATTCCACAGACCTTGGCTGTATGACTGCAGCCACCACCATGACCACCATTCACCATCTTGCGGGAACCTCCAGCCCTGCAGCAGGGCGTGATGTGAGTGAGACACAAAGGCAAGGGCCTTCTTTCCTCTGAGCTGGGGCTGGGTACATCCTTCCTCTGAGGGCCTCTGAGAAATGGGCTCAAGAGAATTGAGCACGGTCCTTCCTTCCCTCCCTTCTGTTCAAACAGAAAACCAGAGAAGCCAGGCTGACCCTGGGAGCAGGAGGAGCAAGAAGCCTGGAGTTCTGCTGGGGCCAAGCCCAGAGCCTCGTTTCCAGATTTGATCTGCACACGCTCTCCCCTCCCAAACACCCCTAATGGATAGTGTTAGCAACCATCCTGTGGCAGCCCTCTCGGGGGTCTTGGATTCTAATTATCAGGGCCCTCTGACATCAGCTGCCCTTCCTCGGCGCGGCTAGAAGGCCCTGGCCCTGCAGGAGCCTAATGAGGGATGCAGGGGTGGGAGGCTGACTCCCTCACCACACCTTTGCTGCCCTGCCTTACCCAGCCCTGCTCTCAAGGACCCCTCCCTGACCACCTTCACGTTTCATCGGAAAAGGGTTTTAGAGCCTCCATGATCCTCACTTTAATTAAAAGGAAGCGTCCTCCTGGAGCTGTTGGGCTGGATTTTCTTTTCCTCCTTGGAACATTTGCTCAGCCTCTGAGCCGGAGCCTGGTGCCTGGTTAATTGAAAGTTACAGATGAACAAGGACATGGCCCTCTTGGGAGGGGACGAGGAGAGGCACAAGCTGGTGTTGGTGCCATGCTTTTCTGGTGGGGACGGGGGCGGCCATGGCCTAGGCTTGTGGGGAGAAGGTGGGCAGGGGTCTAGAGGTACCTTCACCGGATCAGAGCCGGCCCCACTCCAGACACCGCAGACCCTGACAGAAGTCCCAGGCACCAAACACCCGAATTCTAAATAACTCATGTGCTCAGTTTCTTCAGAAAAGTGACAAAATAGAGCAAAATGAAGAGCCCACAGTGCTCCAGGCCTCCTGCCAGCTGGAGATAATTGTCCCTAACACCTGGGCATGTATAGCCTTCTGGAACTTTTTGGACACTTTGCACAAACAAATGATTTTTATTGCCTCCTGTCCTTGATTATAAAATTGATAGATGTTCATTGGAAATAGCTTGGAAAATAGCTTCTTAAAAGTATACAAAAACTTTTAACCATCCACCCATAATGTCATACCCAGAGGCTGGTGTGGGCCTGAATGTGTACTCTGGAGTCAGACAATCCTGGCCTTGGTGAGGACCTTACTTTCCTATGCCTCGGTGGTCCCATCTGCAGAATGGGAATGATACTGTAGCGGCTGTCTCATGGGGTTGTTATGAGCAGGAAGGCATCATCGCATGTCCTCCTAGCCTTGCTCAACAGATTCTTCGGGTGTATAATGATATCATGCAATACAGTGCAAATAATACTGTGTGCATATAGTTTTGTATTCTGTTTTTACTCATCCTTGAATTTTAGACACTTTAGAAAAATGATATTTACTTTTCTCTTGCAATATTACTTTTAATGACTGAGTCATGTTTCATGGGATGGGAGTGTCATCATTTATCCTACCAACCCTATTGCTGAACTTCTGGGTGGATTCCTTTCTTTTGTTGCTGTTGTTCAACGTGATACTACTAAGCATATTTTCGAGTACAAACTTGAGACAAGATCTCTGAGTATTTCTCCAAGAAATAGATTCCTAGACGTAGAATTGGTGAGTCAAAAGGAATACGCAGGCCAGGCAGGATGCCTCATGCCTCTAATCCCAGCACTTTGGGAGGCCGAGGCGGGTGGATCACCTGAGGTCAGGAGTTCGAGACCAGCCTGGCCAACATGGTGAAACCCCATCTCTACTAAAAATAGAAAATTAGCCAGGCATGGTGGTGGGCACCATAATCCCAGATACTCCAGAGGCTAAGGCAGGAGAATCACTTAGAACCCGGGAGGTGGAGGTTGCAGTGAGCTGAGATCGTGCCACTGCACTCCAGCCTGGGTGACAGAGCAAGACTCTGTCTCAAAAAAAAAAAAAGAAAAAAAAAGAGGAATTCTTACTAAATACTGTTACCAAATTATGATCAGAAAGTTTAAAAAAATCAATCTATGCATCTGTACTATGTCTCTGATGTGTTTATTTCTCTGCATTCTGATGCTGCCAATTATGATTTTTGAAAGATCTATAGACTTGATGGATGAGGAAGATCTTTCTGGTTGCTTTCAGTATTTGGTGACTAGTAAGTATTTTGGTATTTGATGTTGAATATTTGGTAGTTGAGAGAGCAAGTTTCTCATCTGTTTGCACCTCTGGTTTCTTCCTTGTAAATTTGGGACAATAATAATATTTATTTCATGGGGATGTTGTGAAGATTAAATGAGTTAATACAGATGAAATATTTAGAGCCCTTCCTGGCAAATGCCAAATAAACCTTAGTGGATATCATTATCGTTGTTGCTGTGTTTGCCAAATTCTACAGGCATAATTCAGGGCCTGTCTCCTGATGGAAAGAGTGCTGTGTGATTTCATGGAAGCCTCTTGTCTTCTCTGGTCCTCAGTTTCTTAACCTGCCAGTTGTGGCCGAGAACACCAGTGTTGCCTGCCTTGGAAGGTTGTTGGAAGGACTGAACAAGGACTTGCCTCTCCAGAGGTGGGCAAGTGTGGGGGTTTACTGTCTCTCTTCTGGCTTCATGGGCTTTAGGTTCCTAAGAGAGAGTCCAAGATGTCTTCCTGGAGGAAGAGCACCAACGCCAAGACTGAGAGAGAAGTTGGAGTTAGGCTGCTGGAGGGAAGGAGGCGAGTGCTCCAGGCAGAGCAAACAGGCTGTGCAAAGGCCAACAGGGGAAGAGCAGTAGAGTTTGGGGGAACTCCATGCGGCTGAGCAGAGACTGGGTCGTGGGTGGCTGGGAGAAGGGAGTGGTGAATAATGAGAGAAGCAGCAGGAACCGGAAAACAAGATCTTAGCTGGAAAGCTCCCCAGACACCGCAGCCCACAGTGGTCTCCATCGCCACTGAACTGTCCAGCTCCTCTTTTGGTGGGACATTCCTTGTATTGTTATTCTGAATGCTCACCTCTAACTCAGGAACAACTAGAATGCCACTCCGAGGTGGGGTGGGGACTTTCTAAGTTTTTCTCTAAGCCTCGGTGTCCTGGGGGATTAGACGGGGACAATGATAGTCCCCACCTCTTACAGTTGTGCCAGTGTCAAGGTTGACAACAATGTCACCTAGGCTCAGCCTCCATCTATCTGTTTTGCCATCTGGGGGCTGGCTCATTTCCTTGGCATCATAGATGCCAGCAGAAACTCCAGCATCTTCACTACACCTAGCTATATGGAGAATCAGAGAAGGGGGATGCTTCCCTTCAAGCATATGCATCTTGAACTCTTAATCGAAGTATAACATACACAAAGAAAGGTTCAAAAAAAAAAAAAAGCATGCAGCTCAGTTGCTTCCCTGTAACTAGCACCAGCTCAGCCAGCAGAATATCACCAGCCCTGCAGGAGCTCCCATTGCCCTGCCTTCCAGTTGCTACCTTCCAATAAGGGCCACCAATCTCTGAAATCTAACAGCACAGTTCAAGTCAGCCTGCTATGGGCTCTATAGAAATGTAATCATGCATTCTGTACTTATAGTGTCTTTGCCCTGCATTACATTAGTGTGATTTACCCTGTTGTTGTGTGTCGCTGCCATTTGTTAATTCTCAATGCTATGTAATATTCTATTGCACGAATATATCACAATTTATTCATTCTTCTGTTGACAAACTCGACTGTTTTCAGGTTTTTGCTATTATAGATAGTGCTGCTATGAACATTCTTGCACATATCTTTTGGTGAACGTTAAGAATGCATTTCTGGCTGGACACGGTGGCTCACGCCTGTAATCCTAGCACTTTGGAAGGCTGAGGCAGGAGGACTGCTTGAGCCCAGGACTTTGAGACCAGCCTGAGCAACATAGCAAGACCCTATCTCTACAAAAAATAAAATAATTAGCTGAGCATGGTGGCATGCCTGAAGTCCCAGCTACTCGGAAGGCTAAAGTGGGAGGATCACCTGAGCCCAGGAGATGGAAGCTGCAGTGAGCTGTGATTGTGCCACTGCACTCCAGCCTGGGTGACAGAGCAAGACGCTGTCTCAAAAAAAAAAAAAAAAAAAAAAAAAAGAAAAGAAAAAAGAAAAAAAGTATGTGTTTCTGTTATTCTGTTAGGCATACACCTAGGAGTGGAATTGCATATATTCAGCTTTAGTAGACACTCAGGCATCATGCTTTTAAAACACATCATTATGAACAGTTTTAAACACACAGAAAATTTGAGTGAAAAATAGAGTGAGCACCTATGTACTTAACCATCTAGATTATACCATTAGCACTCTGCATTTTACTATAATTGCTTTATCTTATCTTCATAGTTTGTCCATCCATCTATCCATCTATTCATCCATCTCTCTCTCTTTCTTTTTTGGTCCAGTATCTACTTGTAAGAGCAAAAACCTTTCCAGTTTCACTTCCCCGTGTCTCGTCCTCACACCTCATTGGCCATAATTGCTCCCATGCCCGTGACTCCACCAATCACTTCCAGGAAAATGGAGTGGCATGATTGACGTGGATCAGTCATGCCCCGGAACAAGGGCAGAGCTCTGCCCCCCACCCCTCTGTAGCGCAAGGCCACCTGATACCTGAGCAAGATCAGAGTCTGGTATTGAGGAGGAGGAGGGAAATGGCTGTTGCTTCACCATTCAACTGAGTTTTTCACACCATCTCCAGAGACCACCTCGACAGGCAAGAAAATAGGCTGTGTGGGACCTGAGCATCCCCTGGGGAGAGGAGGCGTCTCCTGCATGGCTGCGAGTGGGAGCCGACAGTTGGCTTCCTTGCCTCATTTGCTCCTCCTGACGTTCCCCTTGGGCTTTGACAGTTTCAGGGAGCTCAGGGAGCAGGGGGAAGATCAGCTTCTCCCATCAGGGCATGAGGGAAGCAGGATGCCTGGTACCCAGCCCTGCTTTCCTTGGCAGGCCAGGTGAGTTGGAGCTGAGCCCTGACCTGTCCTTAGGGTTCTGACCTTGGGGTGCTGGTGTCAAGTTGGAAGAGGCGGGGCGGAGCTAAGAGGCTGGCCCTTGAACGCTTAGCATGTAGCATATATGCCCCTGGCACGTCACAAGTGCTCAGGAAATATCCTGCTAAGTCAGTGTTTCCAAGATTGATCCTGGGCTTTGGGCAAGTTTCTGCTCCTCCCAAGGTCTCAGGTTCCTAATCCACAAAAACGGGAAAGTAAAGAAAAAGAACAATTGTTAGAGCAATCTCTGTCCCACCCTTTTAGGGCTTCTCATCCCTGGACCAGGAAGCAGTATCTGTCACCTCCTCCAACCCTTCTTTCACTAAAGGACTAGAGAGAAAGAAGACCTCTGGACCTGTGGGTCTCAAAGTGCGACCCCCCAACCAGCAGCCTCAGCAGCATCTGAGAATTTGTTAGACACACACATAGTCAGGCTCCCCCCTCACCCCAGGCCTCCCAATTCCAGTGATTTCTATGAAGCTTGAGAAACTCTGAGGTCCCCAGGTGACGCTCACACTGCTGCTCTGGGACTACACTTTGGGAACCACTCAACCCTGACTGTATGCTAGAATCACCAGGAACTTAAAAAAAGGTGAAGCTCAGCCCCACCGCTAAAGATTCCGAGTTGATTGATCTGAGATGGAGGCCTAGGTGGTTCCAACCTGAAGCCAGTGTTGAGAACCATTGCTTTCAAAGCTTGGGAGAATGCTCTGTCATTTAATTATCTACCTACATTTGTGTATACATCAGTTCATTCATTCTTTTGTGTGTACACTTGTTTGTTTGTTTCTTTGGGGAAGCATGTTTAATGTGCCTTTAGGTATTCTCACTGGTTCTTCCAGCCAGCCATTGCAATCCACATAGTCGTTGAATCTTCACAAAGCAACAGGCATGTGCTCAGTGCTGGGGAAGCAATGTCATGAAAAACAGTCCCTGTCCTCTAGCTGGGGAATGAAAATGGGAAGAGATTAATGGGGTACTCTTGTGCCCAGATGGGCAAGTCCAGAGGCCCCCAGAACACAGTGAGGAGGGCCTGGTGCAGGGAAAGGTTCTGGGGGAGAGGATGCTCCAGGGGGTTGCAGCAGGGCAGAGATCACCTCCAAACTCCTTTAGCTCTTATGCAGGATAGAAACCAAATTGACACCAGGCAGATTAACAAGAGGAAAGTGTACACATTGTATTAGTTTTACATGTACCCAGGGATCTTCACAAGAAAGTGAAGTCAGAAGTGGCCAAAGCAAGATGCTTTTATACTTTTTAGACAACTGTAAATTTGAGAAGAAATGACAGGACAAAGAAAATCTTGATAGGAGCAGCAGGTTTTCTAGGGGAGCCACTAGGAGATATGTGGGGTACTGGCACGTGGAACTAGTGGATGTTGAGGGTTACTATGTTATGTATATTCAGTCATATTTATCCATCACAGCCCCTAAGTCTCAGTCTGTGGTTACAACGGCTATTTTCTCACCCTGGTATGGCGAAGGGACCCCCTCCCAGAGGAATCTTTATCACTTGCTACATGCAGGAAGAGACGGGTCAGCTAGCCCTTTTGGAAATTACAATTACTCCAGTGTTTTTAACTCAAAGTAATCAATATACCAATCTGGCATATTTTGGGTTAGTGCATCCTTCATTCCTCCAGGGATCCAGGAGTAGAAGCAGGAGTTCATCAGGGAGACCAGAGAGTTGAAAAGGGCACATCTGGCAGAGGGCAAAGTCCTCTACATCCTATATTCATGGATTGGAAGAGGTAATATTGATAAGATGGCAATACACCCCAAATCAATTGAAAGATTCATGCAACCCTATCAAAATTCCAGCGGTTTTCTTTTTTTTGCGTAAATTGGTAAGCTGTTTTTTAAAATTCATATGGAATTTTCAGAGAGGAGAGCAGCCAGATGAGTGTGCATGGGCAGCTAGATGGGGCTGAAGGTGGAAGACCAGATCAGACAGGGCCTTGCAGGGTATGGAGAGAAAGTTGAACTTGATTATCAGCATGGTAGGAGGCAGTTGGAGGGTTTTCAGCAGGCGAAAACCCTCCTGGCTCTGCCTTAGAAAGAGCTCTCTGGCCATGGGTTGGAGCACTGAGTGGAAGCTGGCCTTGTGGCTGCCAGGTGAACCCTAGCAGTGATCTGGCATGGGGAGCTGGAAAGAAGAGGCCTGCTTTGAGATATATGGGGTGGGGCAGGGGAGAAGCCCAGGTCAGGGCCCCACATCACAGGCTGTGGGGGTCTGGGGCTGGGGAGCCGGGGTCTGGTTGCGGCTGAGGAGGTGAGATTCTGAATGTCCCAGTTGGCTCTCAAGCCCCAGATGGGGCCAACTGCAGGCCCACATGACCACTATTAGTCTGTTTGGGGGTCACCTCCCTCTTTAAAGTCTAATGAGGCCATTGTTTTGTTGCAAAGCTTCAGCTTAAAAATTCTTTAAGTGCAAGGGCCAATTTAAAGTGAATGTTTCAATGGGCCAGGACTTGGATACATGAGGTGGGGGTGAAAAGAGAGCCAATGTGGGTCTTATCCCATGTCCCAGGTCCCTTCTCCCATTGGACCAACTCAGAAACCACCTGCTGCCAGGAGAATCATAAAGTCAGCCCCTCCCAGGCATCAAGCCACCATCCTCTTACCCCTGTTAAGGTGGGGCCCTCTGCTTGCACACCTCCAAGGACAGGGTGCTCACTCACTACAAAGACAGCTGGTTCTATTGTTGGACAGTCCTGACCATGAGAATGTCCAGTTCCTTAGGTACTGGAGCTTGTCTCCTGAGGTTCCCCTCTTACCCCCAATACACACACCTTTGGCTCCTCTAGGGTCACAGAGTACTCTGTATCTTTTTCCTTCATGCACGCATGCATGCATTCATTCAGTGTTTTTTTAAAGCGAGTCACTTCATTTCTCTAAGCACCATTAAGTGGGAGTAATTAGACCTGCTCTATGGGTTTTCATAGATATTAATGACACAGAGGTTAGGCAGCACTTAGCTGGTGTGTATTGCAAAATGCTGGCTTTCAGGAATAGGAAGCTATTAATAAAAGCAGATCTCTTTTAATCATTGGCATGTGGCAAATTTTGTGCCAGGCCTGGGGACACAAAGAAGATTGAGACAGTCTCCCCCAACAACCTTCAGCTCCCAAGAAGCTCATAGGCCAGGGTGGGAGGACCACAGTGCCAAGGAGCCTTGGAGCACAGGAGGGTGCCCAGCACATCCTGGGTAGGCTCCCGGGAGGTGACTTCTCAGCTGGGACCTGAGGAGAAGTTTACCAGGAGAAGAGGGGCAATGACAGGGATGGGAGTGTGTGAGTGGGGACGGGTCCTGGTGAAAGCTAGAGCCTGCTCCACCATCCCCCTCCCCACCGTAGGAACCTGTTCCAAACCTGTACCTTTCTCATCAAATAAAGGTGATACCCAGCTTCTTCCTAGATTGTTTGTGTGTTTAAAATAATTCCAGACTTAGAAGTTGTAAAACTCAGCTGGGCACAGTGGCTCATGCCTGTAATCACAGCACTTTGGGAGGCTGAAGTCGGTGGATCACTTGAGGTCAGGAGTTTGAGACCAGCCTGGACAACATGGCGAAACCCCATCTCTACTAAAAATACAAAAATTAGCCAAGTGGGATGGTGCACATCTGTAGTTCCAGCTACTCGGGAGGCTGAGGCAGGAGAATTGCTTGAACCTGGGAGATGGAGGTTGCAATGAGCCCAGATTGTGCTACTGCACTCCAGCCTGGGCAAAAGAACAAGACCCCATCTCTAAATAAATAAATAAATAAATAAATAGAAGTTACAAAACTCATATAAAGAGTTTCTGTATACTCTTCACCCAGATTCCCCAAATGTTATTTTCCACATTTGCTGGCTTTATCATTCTCTCTTATGCTCTCTCTCCACACACATATTATATATGTATATACTGTATTGTTATTATTTTTTTTCAGACAGAGTCTCACTCTGTTGCCCAGGCTGGAGTGCAGTGGCACAATCTCAGCTCACTGCAACCTCTGCCTCCCAGGTTTAAGCGATTCTCCTGCCTCAGCCTCCTGAGAAGCTGGGATTACAGGCACCCACCACCATACCCGGCTAATTTTTGTATTTTTAGTAGAGACGGAGTTTCACCATATTGGCCAGGCTAGTCTTGAACTCCTGACCTCAGGTGATCCACCCACCTGGGCCTCCTAAAGTGCTGGGATTACAGGTGTGAGCCACTGTGCCCAGCCTATATTGTATTTTTTTTTCTGAGTCATTTAAGAATAAGTTGTAGACAAGTTTCCCCTTTAGCCTGAATACTTCAGCATACATTTCCTAAATAAATGACATTCTTTTACATAACCACAGTGTATTGATCAAAATCATGTAATTATCATCCATACAATATTATTATCTCATCTACATATCTTATTCAAATTTCATCTATTGTTTCACTAATGTCCTTTACGGCAAGAGAAAAAAATTTCTGGGCCAGGTTCCATTTCCGGATAAAATTGCATTCTGTTGTCATGTCTTTAATCTGAACAATTCCTTGGTCTTTGTCTCTTATGACCTTGACATTTTTCAAGAGCATAGGCCAGTTGCTTTGTATACTATTCCTCAATTTTGGTTCCAGGATTGCTTTTAACAGTATTTCTTGATGTGATGTGTGGATGACTTTCTCCACTAGAAGGGCTTGAGGTGCTTATTAGAATGTAATTTCTGGGCACCAGCCTAGACTTCCTGCATCAGAGTGTCTGGGATGGGGTCTAGGGATCAGCTTTCTGCCCAGCACACTCTCTGATTCTTATGTGCACTGCTGGGTTAAAGCTTTCTTTTTCTGAAGATGCCGCTAAGGATTTGTGCATGGGGCTTCTGGGCCGGTGTTTCCTGGCATGGTCCTTGTAAATTCAGTCTGTGCATTTTACCCTGAAGCCCCTGCAGGCCTACGAGGTCAGTGCAGGCCCTTGCCTCCAGAGGGGTTGGCAGAAGATGTGGGGCTAATTTCTGAAGCTAAAAACACCTTTGCAAAAATTGTAGTAGTAAGGGAAATCGAACATACCTGACTTCATCTTGCTTCTACCAGGCTAGTTTGCTTTTGCTCATTCTTGTGCGGAGGCCATAGCAGCCCCTTCCTGGAGCTGTTCCCTTCTTTGTTTGGAAATTGCAATCGTATCTGTAAAGACTAACAAAAGGTAACAAGGTTAGAATGATGCTAGAGGCCTACAACTTCGCTAAAGAATAGGTTGAACTATAACCATCCATTGCTTGTTTAGTTTGCTTTTCTATATGTTGCTTACTGCCCCAGAGTCACATAACTGGAGGTCGTGATATTTGTAACTTCCCCAACTGCTCCTATGGATAACTTCACTATTGTGAAACCTAAAAGACTGGTCTTTGAGATGTTTTTCAGATTTAGCATTTCAGGAGATCAAGAGATGCCACATGATCCTGAAATCCCCTCCCAGGAACTGACTCAGCTGTTCAAAGACAGTTTAGAGACCCCTGTGATTTTGTCCCCAGCCAATCAATTGTTTCAGTTTCCCAGCCCTCTGCCTGCTGTTTTCAAGTACACTTAAAAACCCTAGCTTCTGAATTCTTGGGGAGGCAGATTTGAAAAACATCTCCCATCCTTTTGTTTAGTTACCTTGTGATAATTAAACCCTTTCTCTACAGCAACACTGCTGTCTCAATGTTCTGGCTTCATCTTGCAGTGGGCAAGAAGAACCCCTTTGGGCTGTAACAAGACTCCAGCAGGAAAGGGGCAGAAGCCCCTCATATTGATGCCATGGGCTTTTCCTGATCCCCCTCTTGCCTTAACTCTGCCTGGTCTTAGATCTTTGCCTTATACCCTGTGCCATGTTTGTGACCATGGAGGCCACTGTGCTATAGTGGAAGGATCTGGGCTCAGGGTCCAGTCCTGTGACTTTCAGCTCTGTGGCTTTGTGAGAAAGTTGTTTTCCCTCTCTGAGCCTGAGGAAATTCATCTATAAACGTGCATTAGTCCTTTTTGTGCTGCTATCAAGGAATATTTGAGACTGGGTAATTTATAAAGAAAAGAGGTTTATTTGGCTCACAGTTCTGCAGGCTGTACAAGAAGCATAGTGCCAGCATCTTCTCGGTTTCTGATGAGGCCTCAGGAAGCTTTTACTCATGGTGGAAGGGAAGGGGAGTCAGTGTGTCATATGAGAGAGGGAGAGAGAGAGATGCCAGGTTCTTTTAAACAACCAGCTCTTGTGCAAACTCATTACCATGGGGAGGGCACCAAGCCATTCATGAGACATCTGCCCCCATGACCCAAACACCTCCCACTAGGCCCACCTCCAACATTTGGGATCACATTTCAACATGAGATTTGGAGGAGATGAACATGCACACCATATCAAAATGCCAGTAATTACCTGCAATGTTCTGTAGGTTTGTGGTGAGGAGTAAACAGTATTCCACGAGAAAGTGCCGGGCACACAGAAGGCATTCAGGAAATAAGGATATCTTTTCCTTGCCTCCACATTCCTGTAATTTGGAGAACTGCTGTGGGGAGTACAGTAGGCTAGTGGCCCCCAGTTGCAGTGCCTTTGGGATGTCCCACAGTGTTGAGCCAAGTTTACACTGTCCCTGGCAGCACTGAGTGCATAGTGGAGTTAATAGGGCCTGGACATTTCTTCAATGTGGAACTCTTCAAAGCACAGCCTTTGCAGTGGGGATTCCTGGCGGGCTGGCTGAGACTGTCCCAGCGCTGCACTGCAGTCTATGGTTCTTCCCACACATGACTCCTTCCTTCTCCTGTTGTCCAGCCATCAATGTGGCTGGGTGTCTTCCTGCCTGGCCCTGCCCTTTCTCCCCTGTGTCATTTAAGGGTGTTTACCCCAATAGCTAGAAGAAAAAATCTGAAATGTTCCCAACACAAAGAAATGATAAACATTTGAGGCTATGGACATCTTAAATGCCCTGATTTGATCGTTATACATTGTATGCATGTATCAGAATATCACATGTACCCTATAAATATGTGCAATTATTATACATCAATACAAAATTTCAAGGTGTTTACCCACAGGTCCATTTTGCTGCTACATTTGTCTTGGCATCTGCTTCTTGGCGGACCTGAACTGACACCAACCTCAAGTAAAACACCAAGACATTCTCTTTGACAGTATCAGGTGAAACATCAGTAAACACATCACTGGAACCCTTGATTTCTCCTTCGCTCATGTTAGGATATTATTAGAGTTGTCTGTCATGGTTGGTCTCCTCACCCATGTCCCATTAGCATTTTTTGGTGAAAGAAGATTTTCCTCCAAAAGCAAAATATACAAAGTCCTTAATTTTATGTGCATTATAATGAGATGCCTTGTCAGTAAATTGTCCTTCTCCACATTGACAAGCCCACGTGACTTTGTATACCTTTTTGTTTTGTTTTGTTTTGTTTTTTTTTAGAGATAGGGTCTCCTTCTGTTGCCCAGGCTGGCACGCAATGGTGCAATCACAGGTCACTGCAACCTTGAACTCCTGGGTTCAAGCCATCCTCCTGCCTCAGCTTCCTGAATAGCTAGTACTACAGGCATGTACCATCATGCCTGGCTAACTTTTTAAATTTTTTCTGTGCAGATGGGTCCTTGCTATGTTGCTTAGGTGGGTCTTGCTTGAACTCCTGGTCTTAACAACCCTCCTGCTTTGGCCTCCCAAAGTGCTGCGATTACAGGCATGTGCCAATGTGCCTAGCCATGACTTTGTGTATTTAAAAATATAGTTTATTATGTATTTCCTATTATAAAAATAATGCTTGTATCTGACACAGACAGAAGTGCTGGATGTCAGAGTGCAGGCACGGCGGGAGCCAGTGTGCACAAAAATGAAGATGGAAAAGGGACTTCAGTGTTATGGCTGGAGCACTGACATGAAGGGTCAGCCATACCCCATGGGGTGGTCCCAAGGGAGAAGTGAGAAAAATCTTGTGGGGTGGTTGGTACAGAGCCTCAAACTTAGTAGGGCCTGAATGAATAGTTGTTATCATTATCACTGTTGTCATGAACTGCCACTACTTCAACACCTGCCTTCTCTGAGCAGCCCTGACCGTGGCTCAGTGAGCCTGAAGGGTGTGCCAGGGAAGATTCCACGAGGATCATAAAAGGGCTGGTTTGTGAGGACAGAGAGAAGAGTAAGCAGCTGGTGCTATTGTGCGGTCACAGAAAGTCACAGAATGGCTCAATATGAGAGTTTCCTATGTACCAGGCCCTGTTCTAAACACTTGACACTTACTAAGCCATGAATCCTCAGCCCTGAGTGGAAGATGCAATTGCTCTCACATTTCCACCCAAGAGAGGGGCTACACTAGCACAGGGTTGGAAAAGGGGATGGCTGAAAATGTTTTCCTAGCCTTTGGCTCAAACTGTAAAAGGTTTGGAAGTAAGAAGCCAGGAACTAGAAAACAGAAAGACTTCCTTGGGAGAAGAGATTATCTATCTATCTATCTATCTATCTATCTATCTATCTATCTATCTATCTAGATTATCTATCATCTATCTATCATCTATCTATATCTATCTACACACATACATGTGCATATGCATATATCTATACATATAGATATACATACACATGTACATACGCATATACATATACATGTACATACACATACACATATACCTATCCATATACATCCTGTGATTTATTTTCAACATACATAAGATAGTGTTAATATCCTCAATATATTAAAAATAACTCTTCCAAACAAATAAGACAAATACAAAAACAGGATGCTGGCTGGACACAGTTGCCCATGCTTATAATCCCAGCACTTTGGGAGGTGAAGGCAGGAGGATTGCTTGAGGCCAGGAGTTTGAAACCAGCCTGGTTAACACAGCGAGACTCTGTCTCTACAAAAGAAAAATTAAAAAATTAGCTGAACGTGGTGTCTCATGCCTGTAGTCCCAGCTACTGGGAAGGCCAAGACAGGACGATGGCTTGAGCCCAGGAGTTCGAGGCTGTAGTGAGTAGTGATTGTATCACTGCACTCCGGCCTGGGCGACAGAGCGAGAGCCCATCTCTAAAGAACAGCAAGATGCTCATGAGCTATAAATTCACAAAATAAATACAACAGGCCAGAAAGGACATGAAAAAAAGTCCTGCATCAGTAAAATTCAAAGAAATATAAGCTCAACTATTAAGATAACTTCATCTGTGAAATTGAAAAAGATTCTAAAAAATAATAAGATCTAATTTTGGAAAAAGTGTGGGGAGATTGTCACTACCATATACTTCTGGGGGGAATAAAAATGGTCGCCACTTTCCCTGCGGACAGTTTGGCACGAGGCATGAACAGCCTTAAAAATGCACAGACCGCTTGACTCAGCAATTTCACTGCTGGGAGTTTATTAGAAAGAAATAGAGGTGTGCACAAAACCTGAGCTTCAAAACTGGGAGCCATTTGCATGATATGTATTAGCTGGATCAAAGCTCGTGGTCACCTAGCCTGGAAAATGTTTACTCCTCAAAGCAACCTTTGGTTTTAAAGAAAGAGAAATACAAAGTCTGCAGCCAAACATTTTGTGAGACATAGACCCCACCTGAGGTCCTGAACCTGTGAGGGTCCCTGGAAAAGTCAATGGGACATCCAGAACTTTATTTTTCCATATTATAAAGCCCAGAGGTAATCACATAATTACAAACCATCTGGGTAAGCTGAGGACCCCAAATGCTACATTTCTTTGCTTCTGCCTGGAATGATATCAGATTAGTGCTGTCACCCTGGTTACCTCATGCTAATCGGGAGCTCTAATTAGCAGCCACATCTGATTAATAAAAAGAGGGGAAACAGCTTAATTATTAAGCGACAGTTTGGTAGACAAAATCCTTCAAAACATGGGGCTCTGGGTGGGGGATGGACCCCGATTAAAGAGGTTCTTCTAAGGGAACATTTCAGGAACCATTGCTGTAATAAAACCACTATTTTTTTTAAGTGCTCAGTTTGGGCTAGGCACCGTGCTATGTGCTTTCCTTGTTTTAACTCATTTCACTGTAACAACAATTTTGTGAGGAAACTGGGGCACAAAGAGATTTAAGCAACGTGTTCAGAGTTGCTGAGAGAGTGAGCGGCAGAGCCGGAACTCACACGGAGAGCTGTCTGACCCCAAAGCCAGTGCCTGCGATGGCTGTTCCATTGCCATTCCTTGCCCATCCATCCATCCTGCCATCCGTCCGTCCATCTATTCATTCATTCTTTCCTTCACTCACTCATTCATGTATTTGTTGAGCTTCTACTGTGTGTCGGGCACGGGCACTGTTCTGGGCATCTAGGACAGAGCAGTGAATTAGCAAAAGTCCCCATATTCCCAGAGCTTCCTTTATTTTTATTTTATTTATTTATTTTTTTGAGACAGAGTCTCTCTCTGTCGCCCAGGCTGGAGTGCAGTGGCACGATCTCGGCTCACTGCAACCTCCACCTTCTGGGTTTACTCGATTCTCCTACCTCAGCCCCCGAGTAGCTGGGATTACAGTCACCCACCACCACGCCCAGCTAATTTTTGTATATTTTGTAGAGATGGGGTTTCGCCATGTTGGCCAGGCTGGTCTCGAACTCCTGACCTCAAGTGATCTACCCACCTCGGCCTCCCAAAGTGTTGGGATTACAGGCGTGAGCCACTGTGCCCGCCCCCAGAGCTTCCTTTATAGTGGGGAGAGATAGAGATTAAATTAGTAAGCTTGTGAATGCTGAGAATAAGAAAAATAAAACAGAGTGAGGGAGCAGAGAGAGATGAAGGAGCATGTTATTTTAGCCAAGGTGGTCAGGAAAAGCCTCTGTAAGGAGGTGACAATGGAGCAGAGACCTGAATGAAAGGAAGGAACCAGTGGTGAGGACAGCCGGGGAAGAGCAGACCAGGTAGAGAAACCGCAGACTCTTACTTTCCAACTGCCCTGCAGTGGTCTAAGGTCCGTTCCTGTAATAAAGCCCTGATTCCATCATATCCAGTGGCTCCACTTGCCAGGCTGAACCTTGACTGACAGAGAGTTAGTGAAGATAAAAGTGGCGACGTGTTAACAACTGGCAAATCTGGGTGAAGTGCAGATGTGTCCACGGAACTATTCTTACAACTTCTCTGTAGAATTCGCATTTTTCTAAATACGATTTAAAAAGATAAAAATGTTGAGGAAAGAATCAGTGAGTGAATGAACGAGTGCTGTTGTTCACTAAATGTGCTCCTGGTCTCCTGTGGTTTTAGATCTTTATTTAGTTGACCCCATGCACAGTGAAAGCACCTCCCTCGTGCAGCACACAATCATTTTCTATGACTTTAAGACTCTGGGGAAGTCCAGCTCCGTTTTGTTGGGTTTTGAGCCCCAATCTCTGTCTGCTGGGGAAAAATAGTTCTGTGTGTATGTGTTGTTGTTGTGATGAAAGAGGATATTGTGCCCCCACCCCAAAGAATTGAAGGTCTGATGTTGTATATCATAGAACCTTTATTATTTATCCTCTAAATTCTTAGAAACTTACATAACGCCCGTGCTCTAGTTATGACACCATTTATAGACATTTAAAATGCATCTTCATTTATAAATATTTTACATTTGGTCCATAGAACAGATAATTTTACTAAATAATACTGTATTTTTTAAAACAGGCTCTGTATATACTTTGAATATGTATATATTACATATATTTTTTATATAGAGATAGATTTACTTGGTGTTCTGAGAATAAATCCTTATTGCAAAAAAGCATATATGATAATACAATATCTTTTTCCCCCCGGGCAAATACTAAAAAAAAGTTACACATATTCACAGTTCTCACAGTAATTGTACAACACTTAATATTGTGCTCTATAAGGTAGGTTTGGATGGAAATCAGTTAGGGGATTTCTTGCCAAACATCTCACTTAGAATTGCTTACAAACATTAAATACACTGCATTTGTCTTAGAGAGACTTGGTCTCAGTTTCACATTGAAGAACAAAGAGAAAGCTGGAAGTCTTCCTGCCCTTAGTCTAAAGGAATTCACACACAGATGGGGAAGTGGGACCATGAGACACAGTGATGGGTTCCTGTCATTCTAAACCTTATCATTTAACAATACGTATGCATTTTGATCATGGATTCACCAGCTGGCACTGGGGATGCCTTGGCAATGAGACTATTTTACAGATGACCTCAGGAAAAGGCTTCAGATTTCCTACACAATATCAAATGAGACCTTACGTGCCACATGTGAGGATGAATGTGCATGTTGTGCGTTCATATGTGTACACATATTTTTTTTTCTCTACAATAATGTGCTTAATATTCTGAGGGTAATATCTTATTGCAAGAACTGGTATGCTGGTCACTTTTGGATGAGAATGACAAGAGATTAAAAACCCCACAGTCACAGTTATTTACCATAGTTATTAAGGATTAGTCATAAAACACGGCTTGTGAGCTAACTAGCTAAGGAGCTACAGGGCACAATGTACGATTTGCTACGTGGGAACCCATCTTCCTGGCAAATGAGACACGCGGAGCTACTGGAGCTTGCAAGAAACTGTCTTTGCTTGAAGTGCCGCCGCCACCACGGAGCCCAATTCCAGAAAGGAACAAATCATACTTCCCAATGAAGCAGTCTGAATCTCGGAAGCACATTGCGGGGGGTTCTCTGGATTAACACTAGCTCCTCAGTTAGTGGGCTGGGTGGATTTTAGTGGCAGTGAGGAGACTCCCGCTGAGAAATTTCAAGGAAGGTGAGGCGGCAGCAGCTTGGGGTGGGTGGCAGCGAGGGTGGTAGTTTAAGGAGACCGAAAGATTACTGTGGATCCGTCTTGACTGTCGGACAGATCCTTCACCTTGATTTCCCCTACAACTATTTTGTACTCTGTGAAATTGGGCAGCTTAAGAGAAACTGGAGCTCCGGTATAGGAAGTTTCCCCAGTAGGACCTGAGGCCCCTGGAATGGCGATAAAAAGAGATCAATTGTGCTTGTGGCAGTTTTCCAGCAAGCAGGGCTTGTCTGGACAGATTGCACTGGGCCAGGTCCAATCAGAATGGCCCGGCGAGGAGGGGACAGGGACATCGGGCTGCAGAATGCTCATTCATTCCGGCGGCGGGGACAAGGACGCTCCACAGACTGCAGGAGAAGCGGCCCTGGGAATATCGACTGACGCCCCTGGGTTTTTTTGTTTTGTTTTGTTTTTTCAATCCAGCTGCCTTGGGAAGGAGAAAACCAAAAACACGAAAGCCAGAGCTCCGCCGGCTTCTGGTACTTAAGAGCAAGCGTTCCCGGGAAGTCCCCATTGTACAAAATGCCCTTTTCCTGTGCATGGAGCAGCGTTCGGAGGGAAAGGAACTCCTGCAAAGTCCGAGATAACAGTCAAGGGTTTCGGCAGTAAGAGAACAGTCAGGAACAGGTTTAAAAGCCAGGAGCGCATGTGGTCTTCCTGCATCACACTCCCTGGCGGGATAAAAATGATCTACCGCGGCGGTTACCAAGGCCGATCGTGGGATGCTGATGGGGCCTGGATTAAAAAGGTCACCAGCCCGCCAGGTGCCAGAAGCCACCGGGTATCCTTGCCCACGGCAGGGCCCACCCAGGGGTCTAACTGTCCTCCCACCTCCCCTCTCTGCGTGGTGATGGTGTCTGGACTCGCCACTCGAGGTAGGTTGAGATGGAAGGTATCCTCAGACATCAAGTGGTGGTCGCACTCAGCCAGGTCGGGGGGTGAGAGTGTCGGGTCGGTGAGTGGCCCCCACCCTAGATGTAGGCCTCCTTGCTGGTGGAGCTGCCCGCCTGGGGCTGCTCAGGACCATTCTCTGGGCGAACGATGTCTTCGCTGGGCTGGACCATGACTTGGATGCGCTGTGGGTACCGGGGAGGAAGGTGTGAGGCTCTCTGGGGAAAATCCCAGCCTGGGATGGTGAGGAACTGGCCGCTTCCCTCTCCTGCTCTCTATTCAAGTGCATCCTGTCTGCTCTGCCTCCAAACTACACCCAGACTCCAGCCACATCCCCACCTCCTGCACCCCTGCCACTGCCCCACATGGGCCACGCCACAGCCCCTCTCACTTGGGTTATTGCAACAACTCCCAATCAGCCCTCAGCTTCCACTCCCACTTTCATGCTGTCCTCTCACCCCTTCATTCTGTCGTCAACACAGCAGCAGGAGAGTTGTATGAAAACCAGACTCAGATCATGCCCCTGTACTCTTCAGGACCCAATGAAGGCTCCCATTTCACCAAGAGGCAGAGCCAAAGTTCTTCAAGGCCCTACACGACCTGGCCCCTGCCACCTCCCAGTCCTCAGTGTCCTCCCCTCTTCCTCGCACATCCACCTCATCTGCATAGGACTCCTCGACGCCCCGCAAACACAGCAGGCACGCTTCCGCTCCAGGGCGTTTGCACAGGCTGTGCCCTCTGTCTGGCAGAGCCTTCCTCTCAGATAGCGACAGCTCGCTTTCCACTTCCCCAGGTCTTGGCTCAAATGTTTCGCCTTCTCAGTGAGGCCTCATCCGGCACTCCCTAAACACCCTGTCTACTTGATTTTTCTCTATAGTGCTCCTCGCCACCTCACGTGCTTTTATTTTGTTAGTTGCTTATCTTCCTCTCCCTGAATGGGAGCTCCAGGAGGGTGCAATTTCTGCTTATCTTGTTCATGGCTGTGTCCCCAGCACTGACAGTAGTGTCTGGCACATCATCAGGGTTCCGTCCATGTGTGCTGAATGGATGGACCCCCTACTGCCTTCGCCATCCTGCCCCGTCAGCTCACACCCTGGCCTCAGGTATGTCTTGGCCCTTCCTACCGCTGGGCCTTTGCACAAGCTGTGCTGTTTTCTGCAAGGGCACCCCCCTAACCTCTTGCCACGCTAAGACCCAGCTGCTGTTTGAGGCTCTCCAGTGGATCATGGAAAATGAAAGCTTTGGACTTGCATTGGGAAGAAAGGGCTGCAAGCCCTAGCTCTGCTCACAGCTTCCTGAGCTGGGAACCTGCTTACTCAACCCCTGTGGTTCCCCAGTTTCTTCATCTGAGGTTGGAGGAAGATGGGCCAGTAACTCCACGGCAGCACATAACCTGCAGCCAGGCTTCCCTGTATCTCAGACCTGAGAGCGCTTCCCCTGGGTCTGGCAGGTGCATTTCCCAGGGCACTATAGTGGACAGCAACTCATCCAGGGCCTTCCGGGGCAGCCCTCACACTCCGACTCTCCACTTCTCCCCGTGGCATCTTTTCAGCCTGCACACACCTCATCAATGAGGCACCTGCCTGGCACCTCCAGCACTTCTTTGCTTCCCTCAAGAATTTAGTGCAATTTAACAAAGTGTGGGCATGGACAGAGAACCCTATGTGATGGTGAGGCCCCTGCTGCAGGCAGCAGGTCTTTTGTGCTTTGTCTTTCTTTGTGGGTAAGACCACATTTTCTCTATATCAACCCTACAAATGAGATCTAGAGTGAGCCCTGGGCAAATGTGATCCCACCCTCCGTCTGTTCCAAGCCCTTCATGACACCCCATTGCTGCCAGGATAAAGTTCAAAGTTCTTGTCCTGGTTTTCAAAGCCCTTCATGATCTGGCTGGACCTTCTTACATCCCAACCTCATCTCTTGTCATGTCCCCTCCTCGCACCCCTTTCCACTTTACCTTCCAGCCACACTGATCTCCGTTCAGTTGACCCAATGCAGTTTATACCCCTGGACCTTTGCACATGCTTTCCAACCTCTCCTCCCCTCCCTCTTCTAGAAACATACTTTCTGCTTCTACTTTTAAGTTTGGTTTATCCCCAGGCCTCTCCTTTGTTATCCCCTCTTCTGGGAAGCTTCTTTAATCCTCCTTAACCCAAGTAGGGCTAAGGCAGGCTGTTTGCTCCCACCCCCTTGGCTTTCCCTAATCTCAGTGTCTCTAATACTCTACTGTCATTGGCTATTGACTTGTCTGTTTCCCCAGCTAGACTGTGAGCTTCACAAGGGGTGGGGCTGTGCCTGACACAGTGGGAGAAGGGCACTGGCAATTTGAAGGGTGGGGAAGGGCTTACCTGCTTCAGGGAGCCCTTTAAGGTGAGGAACATGTAGGCCATGTACCCGGGGATGAGGACCATGGAAGACAGAGCCATCAGCCAGCCCACACCCTGGCCCCACTTGGGGAAAACATAGTTTCCCATGGTGAGTGGCGTCATCTGCACAGCACTGAAAATGAACACGCCCTGGAGAGGGTGGAGGGGAGGGGAGGGAGGGGGAGGAGTCAGTCACCCAGGATGAACCACCCTGAAGCCAGCAGGCTGACTGCCCTCCACCCTCACCCCGAGGCTGACCCTTACAGAGGCCCAAGGTCTTGGGAGTCCTGCACTCAGCACCGCTGCTAGCACATAAGGTGCCTTTGTGCATAATAGAAAAAGACACCCTCTCAGGGAAGATCAGTAGGAAAAGGCAACTCCTCTAGGGAGACTAATTAGAAAAGGGAACCCCTTCCTCCAAGTTCCCCAGCTTCAAAAGCAGAGCAAGGGTGAGATATCAGCTCCCAATGTGCCATTGGCAGGGTCCCCTTATGTGGACACAACATATGCAGTGGCTCTGCCCCCACCTCAAGAACCTTGGGTGGCCCCTCCCAGGCCCGCCCCTGCTTCAGCTCCTGCTTGTGGGGATGAGGGACCCTGAGAAGGAGAGTCTCCAAGTGCCAAGAGACTGGGCTTGGTTCGAATCCCAGTGCTGACTAGCTGGGTGATGCTGGCTAGGTGAGCCCCAGATCCTGCAGCGGTAAAGTGGGACAATAATGCCTCCTTTCTGAGGTTTGTGGAGGATGATATAATGTGTCTTGTACCATGCAGGGTGCAGAATAGATGCCCAACAAATGGTAGAGAGAAGTATTATTAAGGAACAGGGTTTCTGGGGGCCTCTCCCACCTGCCTCTGCCTCTAGAAGTTTCTCCCTGGACCTGAGTCCCCCCAGGGCTTGGTCTAGCCTCATCCTAACAGGGCTAGTCAGGCCTTGTTCTTACCGCCACAATGATTGGTGTGAAGAAAGACCAGCAGAGTTTCCACCAGATGCAGGGCCTGGATCCAACCATCTCTTGGATATTGTCATAGAATCGGTTGACACCTGTGACATTGGGAGCAGGAGGGATGGATGAGCTGTGGGTGCTTCAGGGTCAAAGCCTGGTTCTACCACTTTCTCACAGTGTGACCATGGGCAAGTCACCTAACCTCTCTGAGTCTCAGTTTCCTTGTCTGTACCATGGGGGTTATGCTCTGGGGGTCCTCGTTACCAAGTATTTTTCAATAGCCCAATTCTCACAGCAAGTGGGTTGTGTAGGTGAGCAAGTCACTTTAATGTGAAGATATCTACCAACAAAAGGAGACTGACATGATGATCCCCTCCACCCCTGCCACTCTCAATGTCCCTCCCACTCGACATCTATCCCAGCCATTCCTTCAAAGGCTTTCCTGGGCAGGGGCTGTTTCTCCCTGATGGTCAGATGCTATAAGAAACTGGCAATCTGCCGGACACGGTGGCCCATGCCTGTAATCCCAGCACTTTGGGAGGCCGAGGTGGGAGGATCACCTGAGGTCAGGAGTTCGAGACCAGCCTGGCCAACACGGTGAAACTCCGTCTCTACTAAAAATATAAACATTAGCCAGGTGTGGTGGCGGGCGCCTGTAATCCCAGCTACTTGGGAGGCTGAGGCAGGAGAACTGCTTGAACCTGGGAGGTGGAGGTTGCAGTGAGCCGAGATCGTGCCATTGTACTCCAGCCTGGGGAACAAGAGCGAGACTTCGTCTCAAAAATAAATAAATAAATAAATAAATAAATAAATAAATGAATGAATGAAAGAAAAAGAAATTGACAATCAATTGCAAAGAACTGCAAATCTCATGAAAAAGAAAAACCCCAAACCCCAAACTGGTGTCTTGAAGTTCACCAGAGCGGCTTCGGGCACTGCTCAAATTATAAGCAGAGTCACTGACCAGTGAGGATCTGACCGTGTTGGAACAGTTAGAGAGAGAAGGTGTTATTGGGAGTGTAAATTAGTGCAACCTCTATGGAAACCAGTACAGAGATTTCTCAAAGAATCAGAAATAGAACCACCATTTGATCCAGCAATCCCACTACTGGCTATCTATCCAAAGGAAAAGAAATTATTATATCAAAAAGATATTTGCACTCGTGTTTATTCACAATAGCAAAGATAGGGAATCAACCTAAGTGTCCATCCGTGGATGGCTGGATAAAGGAAATATGGTATACATACACGATGGAATACTATTCAGCCATAAAATAGAATGAAGTCATGCCTATTGCAGCAACGTGGATGGAACTGGAGGCCATCATCTTAAGCAAAACAACTCAGAAACAGGAAGTCAAATACTGCATGTTCTCACTTAAAGGTAGGAGCTAAACACTGGGCACAGGTGGAATAATAGACACTGGAGACTCAGAAGGGTGGGGGAATGGGAGCTGGGGTGGATGATGAGAAATTACTTAGTGGGTAGAATGTACTGCTGGGCTTGGTGGCTTATGCCTGTAATCCCAGCACTTTGGGAGGCCGAGGTGGGCGGATCATGAGGTCAGGAGGTCGAGACCATCTTGGCCAACATGGTGAAACCCTGCCTCTACTAAAATACAAAAAATTAGCTGGGCGTGGTGGCACATGCCTGTAATCCCAGCTACTTGGGAGGCTGAGGTAGGGGAATTGCTTGAACCAGGCAGGCAGAGGTTGCAGTGAGCTGAGTTTGCACCGCTGCACTCCAGCCTGGTGACAGAGCAAGACTCCATCAAAAAAATGAATAAAATAAAATAAATAAAAATAAAAATAAAAAAAGAATGTACATTATGTGGTGATGGGTACACTAAAAGCCCAGACTTCACCACTACACAAGATATCCAGGTAACAAAATTGCACTCATGTCCCTTAAATTTATACATATAAAACAAACAAAAAAGAAGGGACAATGACAAGGAGGATGAGGTGGCAGATATTGCAAAGGGGGACACAAAATATCATGCTTCTTTAAAAACATTTGCTCTGATGGGACAATCAAAGGTGCAGGAAAGGATGTTGTCATTTTTTACTATCATGCAGTTGGCTCAAGAAACTTAGGCCACAAAATAAACAAAATCAATGTTTCTTTTGTTATTTGTTTTAAGATAGTGCACACTTTTAATTACAGCCTAGACTGTGTTAAATATATAACTTTAAAACTTTAAAAAGTAGTTTTGGTTTCCCTTTTCTGGATAAAATCTCCACTTATTTTAAATGAATTCATTTAACTGCTCTTATATCTTCTAAACATGGGGGACTCCTGGACTAACCTCATTGAATTGTAATGTGAAGAATAAATAAATAAATAAATGTAAGGAGAAGACCTGGGGTTCAAATTGCACTTGTTGAATGATGACTCAAGAAAGGAATGAATGGATGAATGAGTGAATGAATAAGGGATGAGGGGCTGATACTCACCGTAAAACCAGGAAATAGAGACACATTCAAAGAACACGAGGAACAGCAGGCTCATGCCACTGGCAGAGTAGTAGTCAAAGAGTTTGAAGACATAAATACCCCCCTGCAAGATGAAAAGAGGTGAGAACAGGTGCATTGTCCCCGGCGCCCACTGCATCCAGTTCACAGACCACATGGACTCTGGAGGCTGATGGGGCTGGGATTAGGCTTCAGGGTAGATTAGATGAAGCACTGAGGGCTTTGTGACCACGAGAGGATGTGGACATTGACAGTCCGGGCATTGGGAAGGAAATGTCCAGGTGGTAGAGGAAAATGCCAATTTCTGGTAAGGTTGGAGGGCAGAAAGCGGAGTTGGTCACCAGGGCCATCTTTTTACAGTGTAAATCAGTCAGGTCTCTCCCCTGCTTAAAACCTTTCAGGACTTAAATGAGACAATAATATAACACATAAATAAGCAGAGAGAGATCTAATCCAATCCCATGCCATCCAATCCCATCCCATCCCATCCCATCCCATCCCATCCCACCCAAATGTCTTGGCCTGCAAGGTCCGCATGGGCTGGTTCTTCGTCTCCCACCCACTGCCTCACTCCCTCTGCCTCCACCACTCTGGCTTCCCTCGTCCCTCAAATGCCTCAGGGCTTTTGCACCTACTCTGCTCTCTTTCCCCAGATCTTTCTCTGGCTGGCTCTTTCTCATCATTTAAGTCTCAGCTCAACTGTCGCTTTCTTGGAGAGAGAGACCTCCCTTGACTACCTTGTCTGAGGGAGCGCCCCTCCTGTGCTACTGGCCATTCTCTGTGCTGCTGTCCTCTTTTCTCCAGGGCACTTGACACTCTCCAAAATCATCTAATTTGTCTGTCAGTCTTGTCCACCAAAATGTAAGCTCCAAGACAGCAGACATGGTAGTATCTGCCACATTAATTGCCAAATTTCTGGGGTCATGCCAGGCCCATAGTAGGTATTTGACAACTATGAATGAAGGGATGAATGAATACTAACTCTGGAGCAGAACTACATTTGGATCTGGTGGGGGGGGGGTGGGGGTGATTTGTGGATTATAAAAATCAGACCCGCAGTGCTGAACTCATGTTGCTAGAGTCGTTTATATTTATTGCACAATTCACCAGCTATGTGAGCATTTCTCATTCATGTCAATACAAAAGAAAAATGGGAATGAAAGAAAGCTTTGGGCAGTGTCAACTTCAAAGGCTCAACTCCAATTTGACTTTCTGGCTAATTTCTGTGGGCCTTTCTTTTCTTTTTCTGTCTTTCTTTCTTTCTTTCTTTTTTTTTTTTTTTTTTGAGACAGAGTTTTTCGCTCTTGTTGCCCAGGCTGGAGTGCAATGGCGCGATCTCAGCTCACTGCAACCTCTGCCTCCCGGGTTCAAGCAATTCTCCTACCTCAGCCTCCCAAGTAGCTGGGATTACAGGCACCTGCCCCAATGCCTGACTAATTTTTGTATTATTTATTTACTTTATTTTATTTTTTTAAGTAGAGACGGGTTTTCACCACATTGGCCAAGCTGGTCTCAAACTCCTGACTTCAGGTGATCCGCCGGCCTCTGCCTCCCAAAGTGCTGGGATTATAGACATGAGCCACCATGCCAGGCCTTCTGTGGGCCTTTCAAAGCTCAATTTCTACATCCCCTCCTCCAAGAAGCAGTCCCTGGTGCTCCGAGTCCAGTTAGGTGCTGCATTCTCTAGCTCTGTCCTATATGTCTTAGCTCAATGTTTGTGTCTCCACCAGCCTGGGAGCCTCTGGAGGGCAGGGACCCCATCTGACTCACTGTTATGTGCCCAGAGCTTGGCACAGAGATGATGCTCAATGAAGGCAGGAAAGGTGGGATACAACAGAGGAGGGGAGAGGAGGCCCTGGGCATGGCCCTGGGCAGTGCTGGGGGAGTGCCAGGTGCTTACTGAGCTTACCTGAGTGATGTTAGAGAGACCGATCAGGTAGGAGATGATGCAGACAGCAGCAATGAAGAGCTCTCTGCGGTTGCGGAGGAGCCTGGGGTACTCATCCACCAGGGCTGTGATGAAGCCCTCCACAGTGCAGAACTTCAGGTGGGAACAGAGGTCAGCCACCTGCAGCAGCCCCAGCCCCAACCCACCCAAAGCCTGGCCCTCTAAGGAAGGACGGGAGGCCCAGCAGCACCGAGCCAGGAGAGCCCAGGGTCCAGCCTGATTCTGCCTGTGACTCACTTTGTGACCTCAGGAGAGTCCCTCCCCTCTGGGCATCAGTTTCCCCTTCTGGAAAATGGAGAAGGTGGCTGAGCTGTTTCCTGAAATTTCATGCAGTGGAACATTCTAGGGACCTGGAATTTTTGGTCATCTTCTTGGCAGCCTAAGAGTTGCCTCCTCTCCCTGTTTACTCGGGGACTGAGGAGTCTGGGGATGGAGAGCTCCTGGGGTGCGGGGGGGGCGCCCTCACCTGGCTGTCAATGCCCAGCATCAACAGCATGGAGAAGAAGAGGATGGCCCAGAGTGGGGAGATAGGCAGCTGGGTCACCGCCTCTGGGTATGCCAGGAACGCCAGCCCGGGGCCTGAACAGAGAAGTGCAAAAAAGAAGAAAAATAAAAGGTACTCATCACCTACAGCCTTTCCAGCACACTGCCCATTTTCTAAGCCTTATTTCATTTCATCTTCAGAGTAACCTTTTGAGTGAGTGTTTTCAGCCCCTTTTTCCAGGTGCAGAAAGAGGGTGGGGGATGTGGGGCCATAGTAATTGTGCCCAGAGGCAAGAGGACCAGTGAGGAGCTGTGGCCATCATCTCGATGGGGGATGGCATGGCTTGGCCAGTAGTGAGGATAGTGCAGGTGCAGAGAGGCAACCAGATAGAGAGATATGTAGGGGATGGAGGGGCAGGTGCTGGTATTGGCTGGTTTGCAGGATGAGGGTGAGGGAAGAGTCCAGGACAATGCTGAGGTCTCCACCCTGGGCACTGGACCATGGGACCCTTCTGTGATGGGGAGCATGGTGGAGGAGAAGGCTTTGGAGCCTTGTTTGGCATGTATTGTGTTTGAGTAGTTGGTGGGGGTGTCTAAGAGATCAGGAAATCTCGGAATGAGAAGGAAAGAGATTGTAACCTCCCTGGGTCTGGCTCCGGATGGGGGTGGGGGAATGGTTGGGGAATTGCAGAGAAACGAGATGGTGGCTGCCCTTGAAGGGGAGATTAGAACCGGAGCAGAGAATGCTCCTTTCACGGAACCAGCCCACTTCTTCAAGGGACCAGCCGTGTGGCCTCCATGAGCCTCAGGGGCCTCTGCCCTGCATACAGTGGGTTCCACCTGTTGGCTGCTTGCCTGGCTGTGCAGCGAAGGGCTGTCTGGGGTTTTCCTTGGGTTCTGTGGCATTGATGACTGTGTGGTGAGCAGAGTGGGCATGGCCCACTTGGCGAGAACATTTTTGGAGCTGAGACAAAAGCATGGATTTAGTGGTCTTTGTAGTATGGTGATGAACATGTCTGAATTGAGCCAAAGTGTTGCGGGAGGTCAGGGACCCCAAACAGAGGGACCGGCTGAAGCCATGGCAGAAGAACATAGATTGTGAAGATTTCATTGACACTAGTTCCCCAAATTAATACTTTTATAATTTCTTACACCTGCCTTTACTGCAATCTCTGAACATAAATTGTGAAGATTTCATGGACACTTATCACTTCCCCAATCAATACTCTTGTGATTTCCTATGCCCGTCTTTACTTTAATATCTTAATCCCATCATCTTTGTAAGCTGAGGATGAATGTTGCCACAGGACCTTGTGATGATTGCATTAACTGCACAAATTGTTTAAACAATATGAAATCTGGGCACCTTGGAAAAAAAACAGGATAACAGTGATGTCCAGGGAACAAGGGAGATAACCTTAACGTCTGGCTGCCTGTGGGCCAGGTGGAACAGAGCCATATTTCTCTTCTTTCAAAAGCAAATAGGAGAAATATCGCTGAATTCTTTTTCTCAGCAAGGAACTTCCCTGAGAAAGAGAATGCGTCCCTAAGGGGAGGCCTCTGAAATGGCCGCTTTGGGGACGTCTGTCTTTTACAGTTGTAGATAAGGGATGAAATAAGCCCCGGTCTCCCGTAGCGCTCCCAGGCTTATTAGGATGAGGAAATTCCTGCCTAATAAATTTTAGTCAGACCGGTTGTCTGCTCTCAAACCCTGTCTCCTGATAAGATGTTTTCAATGACAATGTGTGCCCGAAACTTCATTAGCAATTTTAATTCTGCCCTGGTCCTGTGATCTCGCCCTGCCTCCATTTGCCTTGTGATATTTTATTACCTTGTGAGCATGTGATCTCTGTGACCCACACCCTATTCATACACTCCCTCCCCTTTTGAAAATCATGAATAAAAACTTGCTGGTTTTACAGCTTCGGGGGCATCATGTGATGTCTCCCCCAGACATCCAGCTTTAAAATTTCTCTCTTTTGTACTCTTTCCCTTTATTTCTCAGACCAGCTGACACTTAGGTAAAATAGAAAAGAACCTACGTGAAATATCGGGGGTGAATTTCCCCCAATACCAAAGTTTATACTCCCAAGGCAAGAGTGGATCTTCTCCCCAAATTGTCCAGGATTGTGCTGGACATGCTAGTATAGCCAAGAGACTAAGAGCCCAGGCTTGGGAGTCAGCCAGACCTGGGCTCCAACTCCAGATCTGCCATCTTTCTAGCTCCATACCCTTAGGAGGTGAGTCTCAGTTTTCTCATCTATGAAATGGGCTAACAATAGCGTGTATTGCAAAGTGTTGAGAAGAATCATGGGTACAGTCCATGTAAAATGCTCAGTGCATTGCCTGGCACATAGGGAGTGCTCAAGGCCAGTGAGCCACAGTGGTGGTGGTAATGGTGATGATGGCAAAGGCCAGCATGGTTAGTGCCCCCATGCCAGGAGCCCGGCCCCACACAGTGTTGCACTGACCTGAGGCCGCCACATCAGCAATGGACCTCTTGGTGACATGGGCCATGAAGCCCACGATGGAGAAGATGACGAATCCTGCGAACATGCTGGTGCACGAATTGATGCAGCAGACGATGATGGAGTCCCTGAAGAGAGGGAGGGGTGGGGTGAGGAGGGTGCAGCTGGCAGAAGGTGTAGCTGCTGGCTGTGGTTATGGAGGGGTGGCCCGGAGGAGGGGGCTGGGAATGGGGCTACACGGTAGGTCCCAGATGCACAGGCCCTAAGAGCAAGCTAGAGGAGGGCAGAGCCAGAAGATCAGGGTCAGGAAAGGGGGACAACAGGAATGTCTGTGTCTCCAGAAGGAGTTAAACAAACGACTGGCTCAGGGAGAGGTTAAGCTGAGAGTGCAAAGTGGCCAAAGAGGGCCCTAACACATGAGTGTGGGATGTGGACTCAAAGGGCTCGGCCAGGAAGGAAGGGGCTCCCGCAGCTGTCCTCTCAAACCTGTAGACATTGTTGTGGAAAGAGTTGTAGCTCCCGAGAGCGATCAGGGACCCCAGGCCCAGCCCGTATGAGAAGAAGATCTGGGTTGCCGCATCCAGCCACACCTATAGGCAGAATTATCAAAGACTGTCAAAAGTAATCACCATAGCCGCAGCTATCCAGGAACTTTTCCATGTGCCCACCAGCTCTCCCTGGCAACAAACCTGGTCTACAGTGAGGGTCAGAAAGATGCAAAAGCTTATCTCAAAGCTGCTAAGTGGTGGCTCAGAATCCGGGCTGGGAGGGGCACTCACCTCGGAGTCAGACAGCTTGCGGAAGTTGGGTGTGATGTAGAAGAGGATGCCCTCCTTGGCCCCGGGCAGCGTCACTCCACGGAAGAACAGGATGATCAGCATGATGTAGGGGTATGTGGCTGAAAAGTAGACCACCTGGGAGGAAAGTGGGTGACTGGTGACCCCTCCTCCTGTACACCCTTGCTTCCTCCTCCCCCATTTCCCCTACATCCGTATCTGTTGTGGCTCTGGGCTTGATTCCAGTTCTTCCGCCTCCAGGAAGCCTTCCCAGATCCTTGCTCTCCTTGGCCACTTATCTGAAGCTCCTCCTTGGAGTCTGAGCCAACCAGCTCACATTTGGTTTTTCCCTTCCCCTGTCCCCTCCTATTTTTTGACTTCTAAATTATCCAAGTATTGCATGTGGTGACAGGAAAACTTTTAAATTACATATGCACACACACACATAAAATGAAAGTTCCTTTAACCAGCACCTAGAATGTAAGTTATGTGGGGGGCAGGGCTTGTGTTGTTCACATCCCCATGTCTAGAACAGTCCACCGTATATAGTAGACACTCAAGAATTGTCTGACGAACACATAAATGCAGGGATGTTCCTACTTTAATGCTCCTCTGAAACTCTCCTTTGCAGATGCAATCACATTTTCTTACAAAATGAGGTTCAAATTAGGTACTTGCCTTTCCATGTAACATGTTTAGAGTTAAAAAAAACGCAGTACATACAGGTTTGTTTCCCATTTTGTTCACTAAACGTTGTTTTATTGCCTCATGAACAATTTGACGTTTTAATTGCACAAAACAGTCCCTCAGAAGGTCCTACCATTCTCTTTTAAGCTTCCCCACTGCTATGCATTCAGGTTACCTCCAATTTTATGTGACTCTAAATAACACCAAATTAAACACCCCTGTATATAAATCTTCAGCTACAAAATTATTATACCACTCTTGGGAAAAATTTTTAGAGGTGGAACTACTGAATTAAAAGGAATAAATTCATCACAGGCTTTTGATCCATATTACCTTGTTGCTTTCGAGAAATGGAACTTCACCTGGCATTACAGAGAGTGCCTTTCTGTCACAAGGCCAGCACTAGGTATCATCATTTAAACAATTATTTTTTGCCAAACTGATGATCATTGTCTAAAATTGCATTTCTTTGCTCACTAGTATGGAAGAGCAATGTTCAAGTTTGATGACCTTTGTATCTCAGAGTCTAATGTGAGCCTGTTTCCCGGTCAGCATGGACAGTTCACTGGCTTAGCTTCACCTCCCTGACTTGACCCCGAGATTCTGCAGGATTAAGGAAGGCAGCCACAATCCAAGAGAAAACCCATTGTACTTGGAGCTAGGAAAAGGGAATTCAAACTCATCTGTGTCACCCACAAGCTGCGTAACTTAGGGTCAATGTTGTATTTTCTCTTAGCTTCACTTTCTCTTGTCTGGAATCAGGCACAGTCACACCTACTGCTCAGAAAGGTCAGTCACATCAGGACATGCCGCAGGCTTATTATATGTCACCTTGGTCTCGTACTTCCCTGTGCCTTCCGTGTTCAGCATGAAGCCAGGCACATAGTAGGTATTCAATAAATGCTTGTGGATGGATTGGTTGACATCCTCAATATATGCAGTGAGGGGGCCCTACTCTCTGTCCCCAAGAAGTGGCCAGTCTCCTAATGTAGCACGAACTCTAATTACCACTCCAAAATGATTATAATTGATACTATGTATTGAGTGCTTACTATGTGTAAGGCATATGCTAAGCATTCTACTCATCTCCCTCAGTCTTTGGGACAACCCTGTAAGGTACTGTTATTGTGACCATTGAACAGATGAGGGGACTGAGGCTCAGAGAGATGAAATGGCTTGCTCAAGTGCACACAGCTAGAAGCTCAGGGACTGAGACTCAAACCCTTCCAAAGCCCATAAGCCCTATACTTTTCTGCTCCTGAAATTTAGACTGGGAGATACTTGTGCCCTCCTCCGGCGTCCCTAGTCCTAGGAATGGATCAGAGATACTTTTACACCAGCCTTGGATTTGAGAACCCAGTGGGTCCAGAAGTTCCCACTAGATGAAACTAGGGTAGCTTTTCATCAGCTCTGCCCTGCCCAAGTGTGGAATTTGTTAAGGTTCTGCTTGGTTCATTTCTACTACTGCTTCTAGAACCTTGCATTCACTTCTTGGGTAGTTCTGACCTTCCTGCCTCCCATCTTATTCAGTACAAATCCCTTCTCTGCCCTTGACTTGCCATAAGATCTGAGACAACACACTTGTCCTCCGGGTTCCCTTCAGGTCAGGGCCAGTGAGAGACTGCCATCTTCTGCCCCCAGGCTCCTGGGGTAGGGCTTGAAAGGGAGAAAAGGTGGAGTAAGGCCAGTTTTCCACCTCCCGGGTGTCCCTGGGCTAGACATCCCAGCTTGGCATTTGCTCTGCACTTGCTGAGAATAAAAACAAGAGTAATAACAACTCTCCTTGCTGGGTGCTGAGCGCTTGACAAAAGCACCATCTCATCTGATTATCATAATAAACCAACAGATAAGTATAATTATTAGCCCCGTTTTACAGAGAAGGAAACTGAGTTCCAGGGAGGCAAAGTGACTTGCCTGAGCTCACAGCTAGTAAATGGTGAGGTTGGGATCTTAACTCATGGACTGCTTAATACAGAGCCTGAATCTAACCATTAACCTATTCATCTCTGTTGTTCCTCAAGGGTCAGGATGTGAAGCTGTCATCTCTGGAGTTTCTGCACCTAGAACAAGGTTTGGTGCAGAGCAGATGCTCTGGAAAAGTTTGTTCAACAGTCCAGGAGCAACATTTGCCCTCTGTTTTGAGATGACTCTGTTAGGCCCAGTGGAATCCCATGGGACTCACTGTGAGCTTCGCACTGTGCTGCGTACTTGACTTGCACTATTTCCTTTTATCCTCACAACTGCCCCAGAAGGTAAGGTAATGTTATTATTCCCATTTCACAGTAAAAGAAACGGACACACCGAGTGTTGAAGGGACCTGCTTAATTCAAGGTTGGATGGGACTCTTGGGAGTTGTGGGCAGAGCTTCCTTTGTAGACCTGTTCCTCTATCCAGTGCCCTCCTGTCCCCACTGTGCACATATATCCCTTACCTTTCCAGTCCAGCCAACACCCTTCCAGATACAGAAATACACAAGGATCCAGGCGATGGCCAGCGTGATGGCCAGTGGCCAGCGGATCTGACCTGGCTTATCCAGCCCGTCCGTCATCTGATGCATGTTGCGCCTGGTCAAACAGTGGAGGGAGGAGAAAGTTACACAGAGCTGGTGGGAGCCGGAGTGACCCAGGGGTGCCCAGGGCATGGCCACAGATGATATCCCCGCCCTAGAACTGTGCTGACACCGTCATCACCGTGATTCAAGAGGTAGCTGGGGACTGTGAGGCCCATTATACTAATCAGTAGAAAGTGCTGTTTGGTCAAGAGATCAAAGAGAACAGGACCTGCCAGGGCCTTAGTCAGCCACCACTACTGCTCATCTGGATGGCCCAGTGGCCTCCTAGTGGGACCCTGCCTTCAGTTTTGCTCTATCCCCTCTCCAGCCCCAGAGAGCCTTCTAAATTGCAAGTCTGATCATGTCACTCCTCTGCTTACTGCGATGAATAGCACCCGCTTGTTCTCAGAATGAAGCCCAAACTCCCTGGCCAGCCTTTCAAGGCCCTTGCATCTCTCTCTCCTCTCAGCACTCACTGCAGCTGTTTGCCGGTGCCTGGCCTGACCTCATCTGCCTCCCAGCCTTCACACTGTTTCTCTCCAGCACCTGCCTGCCCTGCAGTTTTCTCTTCTAGATGCCACTCCCGACCTGGGGTGGTCCAGGGGACTCCCTGAGGTCCCCGCAGCCCAGCTGCCTGGGCTTCCCTCCTCTCCGCATTGGCCGCCTGGTGGTGCCATTGCCTGTCTGCATGTCCGTGCCTGTCATCAGTTGGCACATAGTAGGAGATCAAGAAGTGTTTACTGAATAAATGGTTGAATGAAAAGTCCGAACGTGCCTGAGAGCAGCATGCGGGAGATGCCAGAAAGCAGAACCCACCAGAGCAGAATTTGATTTTTATTTGTAAAGAAACAGTGTAACCATGGACATTGGCCATGAAGAGATCAGGCAACTCTGATTCTGACAGTGCCTGAGAACAGCTCCTCCTGGGAGCTTATCCAAGGTGCTCTGAGACCTTCTAGACTGCTCCCGGATCCTTCTGAGCTGTCCAGCATGGATGCTTCCTTCATGCCAGAGAGATTTGGGCCCCAGCACCTCATTGTGTCACATCAGTGACCCCCGACACACATCTCTACAAGGTACTCCCCTGAAGATACAATCAGCACGGCCTTCACTATGGCCAGAGTGTGTGTGCATGTTTATTCCGAGTGACTCTAGGTTCGTAAGTAGATCAGGCTGGTTTTCAGGATGAATCAGGATGTGGTCAACCTCTCCAGGTGATTCTAATTGGCTATGCTGGTTATTCCCCTCCGTTTGCCTCTCTGATCCACTCTTCCCCTTGACCACTCTGTGCCAGGCCCCAGGATGCTGACGACTATGGCCACATTATCTGGTCCCCTGCCCTCTGGCTTCTAGCTGGGTTTGACCATTGGGAGGAGCTGGCAGGAGATTAGAGGCAGAGATGTTGGGGAATGTATTCTTCCTGCTGGACCTTGGCTTTGTGAGTAGCTGGGTTTTGCTATCAAAGGTCAGAGTTTGTGTGTCTCATGGCTCTATCTGTGGTCCAACTCTTTTTGGGGAGAAAAGGTCTTCAGCATCCCTTGTGGCTGCCTTAGCCCTGCCACAACTCTGCAAGTATAGTCATGTGTCACTTAACAACAGGGATATGTTCTGAGAAATGCGTTCTTAAGCAATTTTGTTGTTGTGTGCATATCATAGCGTGTACTTGCACAAACCTAGATGGTCTAGCCTGCTACACTCCTATGCCATACGGTGTGGCCTATTGCTCCTAGACTACAAACCTGTACAGCACATGACTGTACTGAATATTGTACGCAACTGTAACACAATGCATTTCGGTACTAGACATGTCTAGACGTAGAAAAGGTAAAGTAAAAATATGGTATTATAATCTTATGGGACCATCGTTGCATATGTGGTCCACTGATGACCAAAATGTCATGATGTGACACATGACTGTAGCCCCTTTATCCACCTCTTCTGTTACCCCTCCGAGGGGCCTCTGTCTCCTGCCGGGCTCTGGCTGACATGCCCCGTCCCTGCCATCCCCTGATGGCCCCATACTCACTCCCAGAACTCCACCACAGCGCTGGTCATGTTGGTAGTGTTGACCATGCTGTAGTTGGAGAAGCAGCGGTCTGTGTTCCAGGGGTTGTCGCACTGTTTCCACGGCAGTGTCTGCAAGGACACAGTCATGAGGACGCATCCTGCTGGGCTCCCAGGGGCTGGCATGAGTGGTCCCAGTGCACCCTGCCCACCCTCATGGTCCCCAAGCCTCCTCACACCTCCCCTTCGCAGCAGCTCTGGGAGGCAAGTAGCATTATGATCCCCATTTGACAGATCAGAGAGGGACAGTGACTTGCTTGAGAATGCACAGCTACTAAGTGCCAGAGCTGAGATTTGAACCTCAACCTGTTCACTGTGAGAACAGCCTTCCAAGCTGCAGCCGGGGCTACTTCCCCACCATGTGACCTTGGGCAAGAGACCTTGCCCATCTAACTCTCACTGCAACGACACCAGCAAACACTTACAGGGCTTGTTCTCTGCCAGGCGCAGTTCTAAGTTCCTTACACATATCTGCTCCTTAATCCTCACAAGAACCCTATGAGGTGGGTTTCACTTTTTGTTTTCTTTCATTTTTTAATTTTGATAAAATACACACAACATTTACCATCTTAACTATTGGTGCCTGTACAATTTAGAAGCATTAAGTATACCCATAATGTAGCTCCCTGAACCCTGCCACACCTCTGCAAATACAGTCATGTGTCACTTAACAATGGGAGTACATTGTGAGAAATGTATTGCCTAACATTGTCAGCATCCAGCTCCAGAACTTTTTTCATTTTGCAAAACTGCAACTCCACCCACTAAACAACAACTCCTCATCCCCCTACCCACAACCCCTGGCAACCATCATTCTACTTTCTGTCTCTATAAATTTGATTACTCTAGGGAACTCATATAAGCAAGATCAAACACTATTTGTATTTTTGTGACCGGCTTATTTCACTTGACATAATATCCTCAAGGTCCATCCATGTTGATGCATGCGTCAGAATTTCCTTCCTTTTAAGGCTGAATTACATTCCATTGTATGTATAGACCACATTTTGCTTACCAATTCATTTATCAGTGAACGCTTGGCTTGCTTCCACCTTTTGCCTACTGTGAATAGTGCTGCTGTGAACAGGAGTGTACAAATATCTCTTTGAGAGCTGCTTGTAATTCTTCAGGTATCTACTCAGAAGCAGAATTGCTGGATCATATGGTAATTCTATGTTTAATTTTTTGAGGAACTGGGGCAGGTTCTAATTTTATTTCCATTTTATAAATGAGGGCACTGAGACTCAGAGAGGTTAAGTCTCTTTTCTGAAGTTGCACAGCTGGTATATAGTAGAGTCAGGATTTGAACCCAGGCTGTCTGTGTCCATATAAAATGTGCTAACAATACGCACTTTAGAGGGGTGTCATGAGGATTGGATGTGAGCCTGCAAGGAGTGCCTGTCTCACAGGAGATGCTAAATTTGTGAGGCTATGGCTGTTGTGGGGAGACCAAGGCCCACAAAAGACAAACCAAGTTCCCCACTCCTGGAGGAATGGCCTTGTCAGCAGAGTGGTGGCCGTGGTGGGCCAAGGGTGGGCTCTGGGTGTGGCTTCTGCTGGATGGGGTGGTCAAAGGGACCACTCACCGTGGTGAAGGAGTTGTACAGGTAGTAAATGGCCCAGGAGATGATGACGATGTAGTAGATGTTCAGCCAGAATGATAGCACAGCAGCCGCAAGGCCCACGCCTGGGAGCGGAACACAGACACGCGTCCATTTAATACGGAATTAACATGAACTGTCGTGGCATGTTCCATGACCTCTACAATCTTATTGATCTCGGAGACAGGCATTACTGAGGACACTGAGGCTAAGAGAGAGGCAGTGACTTGCTGAAGGTCATGTACATCTGACAAGCCAGGGGGCCAGGACTCATGTCTGGGGCCCAGTGCAGACTGGTGGCAGGCAGGGCTGGGGTCTCAGCTTGCCGGACGAGGTGAGGCCCAGGCCCTCGGTCAGTGAGCATGACTCACCATGTATCTACCTGGGTGCCTGTCAGGCACTGAGCACGAGGCAAAGAAAGTCACACCCAGCCCTTGCAGAGGAAATAGATGGGCTAACAGGACAGAGCAGGCTGATGTGCGGGGGACTCTGGATTGGGCCTCTCCACCTCCACCTCCCTAGCTTCTGACCAGCACTGTCATCTGCCACCTGGCCCCTTGCAACAGCCCTCACTCTGCTCAGATATGCACCTGGTGGATGGATATGTGATGTCAGCCCTGGTCTGGGTAGACAGCTCGCTCTCTCCAGAGGGCAAGAGGTGTGTGTGGGCAGGGGCACCACCACCCAGGTCCCTGATCTGCAGACTTACCCTTGAACATAGGAGCCAGCTTCCATACCCCTAGCCCCCCGATGGAGGTGTACTGGCCCAGGGAGCACTCCAGCAGGAAGAGTGGGACCCCCGCAAAGATGAGTGTCAGGAAATAGGGGATCAGGAAGGCTCCTGCAGGTAAAGAAGACAGAGCTCGTGGCCCCAAGACTTTCAAGACCCGCCCTGGTAGAGGGAGTGTCGTGGGTCTGGGTCCCCATCCAGTATTTCTTTATACCTGCCTCAAAAGCAGGACCCACAGCCAACCACAGGCCCAAGGAAAGCCATATGTGAAATACATCCCATTTTTTGCAGGTGAATAGATGAATTTCTTGGTATCATTAACAGAGGACAATTGTCCTTCAGGAATCTTTTGATAAAGGGACAAGAAACAAGAAATGGGGCCTGGTGCTCCCTCTGGAGTCTTTAGGGGGGCTTTTCTCCTACAGTTGCCCCAGAAAAATGCCTAAGCAGGATCCTTTTTGCAGGGTCCAGACCCAGCCAGGAGGTCCCCGGGCCAGCACCTACCCCCACCATTTTTCCCGCAGAGATAGGGGAACCTCCAGACGTTGCCCAGGCCGATGGCATAGCCCACACAGGACATGAGGAAGTCGAAGCGGCCCTTCCACGTGTCCCGGTCGGGGAGGTCTGCCGCCTTCTTCTGCACCTTGACCACCAAGGTTTTGGGCTTGTCATTGGCCACAGGGGCCTCGCTGACCTCGGTGGAGATCTGCCCGTCGGCCACCTTGCTGCCGTTGGTCGCCATGTCTCGGAATTTGGACGCAGGGGTCCTGGCAGATGGACGTGCGATGTCACCCCCGGTCCACGTGGACAGCAGTTTTGCGGCTCAAGGGCACCCTAGGAGGACGGGGTGGGTAACAGGCACAGAAAGAGAGTAGGACCTTGGAGTTGCCTCACCCTAAAATGACAAAAACAAAATAACCCATAAACAAGCTAGGGGCTTGAAAAGGCTCTCTATAAGCCCTCTTCCTCTCACCCGCCCTTGCTCCTGGAGGAAGGAAGGTGACTTTTGTTTCCAAAGACACAGCGATGTTTCCTGGCCTAGCTTCAACTCTGGCCATCTGTGTCCAACCCTCTGTTGTATGTCCTGCTCAGAGGAGAAATCTGAGGCCACCAAACTTCCAACAGGAAATGTTAAGTACTTAATCATAAAATCTTTAACTTTGCCTCCAAGGATGCAATTGGGAGCCTTGTCACACTCTGCGGCCATACTAGCCATCGCCAGGGTGAGCAAGAAAGAAGCTCCACCTGTGGCTGAATGGGGAGAAAGGTGTCCCCACTACGGAGGTGTCTGGGTGAAGACGACAGAGCCTAGGAGTTACGACCTCTGATCACAGTCCACTTTACCACATTTTTTTTTTTTTGAGATGGAGTCTTGCTCTGTTGCCCAGGCTGGAGTGCAGTGGTGCCATCTCAGCTCACTGCAAGCTCTGCCTCCCGGGTTCATGCCATTCTCCTGCCTCAGCCTCCCGAGTAGCTGGGACTACAGGTGCCCACCACCACGCCCAGCTAATTTTTTTTTTGTATTTTTAGTAGAGACGGGGTTTCACCATGGTCTCGATCTCCTGACCTCGTGATCCACCCGCCTCCGCCTCCGCCTCCCAAAGTGCTGGGATTACAGGCGTGAGCCAGCCACTGCACCCTGCCCCGACTTTACCACTTTTGAGCTGTGTGACCTTAAGTACACTCAACCTCTGTGTGCCCCTATCTTTTAAAATGAGGATGACACTGGTACATCTCTCACTGGGTTGCAGGAAGTCCTGAGTCTATACTTTTAACAAGCTCTGCCAAAGGAGATTCTTATACTGGTAGCCCAGCCCTGGCCCTCAGCTAAGGGCCACTGGTTTAGATGACCTCTTTCAGCCTTCAATCACCCTAAGATATTCTACTGACACTCTGCAGCCTTCTTACCTTTTTATTTCCAGGGGCAGCGTGGGGTACAGTACAGTGGAGGAAATTGGGCTGAGACTAGTCCTGAGTTCAAATCTCCGGTCTGCCTTCTACCAGCTGAGTACTACTGCTCAGTACTACTACTCAATACTACTACCAAGTACTGCTGTTGTGTGTGCTTAGTTTCCCCATGTATAAAATGGGGGCAATCCCCTCTGGCTTGTAGAGTTGCATCAAAACTCAGCTGTAATCGCTGCAAGAGTGCTTTTCGCCAACCTGGTTAAGAGAGAGAACTCCACTCATGGATGTTGTTACCGGGGCTGTTGACGTTACCTGATGGTCGTCGGGGGTGGGTCAGCTCCAGAAGGCCTCCTTCTGCCACCCTGGGTGAGATCCTGCAAAGCAGAGAAGGGGAGGAGAGGAGGGATGGTGAAGCAGCGATGGGGCAGGCAGGCAGCTCCTACAGAGGGCAGCAGGGGTGCAGGAAGCCTGCCAGGGCGTCTGGGCTGTGCGCGTGTCCCGCAGAGCGTCCCCAGCCAGGGTGGCCGCAGCGAGACCATGCAGCATGGCACTGGCCCTTGGGGTGCTGGGAACATGCAGGAGTGGGGCCCGCTGCCCTCGGGACAGCTGTGGGCGTGGGATGAGGGCAGCGTGGAGAAGACATTCCATAATTTTATCAGAAGAAAAGAGAAACCAACAGAGGGGCTGCTGAGACTTTTCTCTGTCCTCCATCCAAACTTGTGGAAATGTAACAAAAAGACCACGTAAGAACACGAGAAAGAGCACCTTGTTTTGGGGTGAGAAAGGCAGGTTTCTAGACAGTTTATTTCGAATTATCCCATTTTGCCCCCACCCCCCACATCTATTTTAAAAAAGGATATACCCAAAGATGGTTACAATGCTTAGTTTTTGAGTGACTTTCGTTTTCTTCTTTGTGCTTTTTTAATTTCTATAATGCTCTACAAAACTGATTTAAATTAATAATATAACAAAAAATAAACTTATGGAACCCTCAGAACAAACCAGAACATGTGAAGCGGTCTGCATTCCCTCAGAGCTGGGAGCTGCGCCAAAGCAAGGTGCGGCGTGGCCCTGGCCCTCCCCACGCGGCCTCCTCCCCGCAGCTTTGCCCGGCGGGGGCCCAGTCTGCTGTGCACTCGCCCTCCAGCCCCTCGCATGCAGTCCCCATTACCAAACACCATCATCTCCTCCCAGAGTTCACGGAGAACCAGGCCATCTTCAGATAATCCAAACTTTCCTAACACCCCTGCTCCTCGTTCTCAGGGATGGCCTGCTCACTTTGAACTCCTTCACGGCACACAGGCTGGTCTTGGATGCCCATCTAGATCCTGGCCTGGGCATGGCAATGTTAGAGAGAGCTCTGGACTCAGTAGGGTGCCTGCCTCCCCTTCTGGAGAATGGCAGGATAGTAGGAGGCGGCCGATTCTGTGGTCTACCAGGGACTCTTGGGATACGCAGGAGAGAGCAGCCTCAGCCATTAACTCTGGTAACAATGATGCCCTTAACGGTCCCATGATCTACCCTTGTGGGCTCCAGCTGCCATATTTGTTCAAAATGATCCAATCACCTTGAATCAGGACTGACCACCTGACCCAGGCTAGCCAATCAAATTCCTTCTCTGGAATTTGGCATGGGACCCAGGAAGAAGGGCAGTTTTGCTAGTGACTTGGGGACTCTGGGGCAGCCATCCTCTGCCCATCTTGTACTCAGAGTGAGATTTGGTCTGCTGAGGAAGGAGAAAACTAGACATCAAAAGATAGAGTGTCTCAAAGCTCCTAGTTTGCAGTTCCAGGCTTTCTTCAGGCTGGTGCTTGGATTTTACAAAACATTCCCATAGTCATGAAATAGATGTTTTGCTTACATTGGCTTGGGGGTTCCTGTTGCAATCTTAAATCTCTGCACCATCCCTCTGGTTCACCAGGAAGTTCAGTCCATGAGTTCTTCTCCATGACTATATTGAGCACCTCCTCATGCCAAGCCCTGAACGATCAGAGACGGTGGCTGCTCTGAAGACCTCACCATAAAGCAGACATACATGTGATTTCCAATTTCTGGAATACGGGGATATGTATTCAGATTCAGCCAAATGCCTATAATTCCCTAGGAGGAGCCACATGACTATATTTGGAGTTTTCCTTTTAGAAGATGTGGCACATATGAAGATAAACAAAGTAAAGCCATGAATTGATATAACTCATACTTCTTTGAGGATTTAGAACGGAGAAGGCTCTTTGACTTACACAGCAGCAAAGCCACCCTGGTGCTGAGTCAGACAGACCTCGGCTCCCTCCAACACCTACTAATGCTGGGTGAGTTACTTCACCTCTCTGACCCTCATCTATAAAATGGGAAGATAATAATAACTCCTTCCGAGGGTTATGGTGATGATTAAATGAGATCATGTGTGTAAAGCATGTACAACTATGCCTGGCATATAGTTAGGGCTTAGGAAATCTCAGCCATTGTTATCACTGCAATCGCCACCATCTGGGTATGGGTCCATTGTTCTTAATTTGGCATTCGCAACTTCCCAGAAGGCTACAACAACAACAATAATAATACCGAATAACGTTTATTACGGGCTTACTATTCAGGTCTTTCAGTGTCTTCAGCATTTTAAAAAATCCAATGGAAATCATCCTTTTAGTCACCCTGGGGAATACCAGCTAACAGAAATGCCAAGTCTCTTGGCTTTGGGCTCTCTTTGTACCAAAGCAAAGAGGTCTAGCTCAGCACCTTGGGCCAGTCAGAAGCTGGGAGCGGTACATTTGTTTGCTTAGTTAATACAAAAATAGTTATTCTGTAATAAAGTCTGGTAGAAAAAAAAATCCCAATCATCTGGTCCACGGGAGGAAATTGATAAAGAGCCTCCTGCTAGTAGTGAACATGCCTGGGACCCAATGCTTAAATGGAGTGGTCCCAGGAAGCGTGCCTCACCCACACACCTGGGGAACAGTGCATCCGCAATTTTAATTCCCGGCACTTCCCTCTCCTATGAAACATAACATGCAGAAAGCACAGGTGTGTGTGAGTTCACGGCAGGGTAACTTGGCTGTCTTTCTAGAACATTTCTCTGAAGCAGAACCAACCTTTTTGCAAGTTGTTACTTTTCCTTTCCCAAGACACACCCCTGTGTTTTGTGGCTCTCTTGGATCATGTTGGAGGACAGCTCTGCGGGTCTGTAGTGGCAAGACCACGCATTTCTTCCACCTCGCCCTGAGTGCCAGCCTGTGATCAGCCTCCTTTACCTGCTGGTGGAGCAGGCGGAAGAAACACCTCTCACCTTCTCATGATCTGGGCATTTTTCCAAAGCCTTCTTCCAGCGTCTTCCAGTTCTTCTTCATCAGGTGACAACATTCTGCAGACCCAGCATGCGGCTCCACATTCCTTCAGGTGCATACTATACCACGATTAACTTAATTCCACCAAAGCCACGTTCAAAGGGCACTATTAACGTGAGACCACCAGTGATGACATGTCAGGTCCTCTGTACTCACTCACTAACACATTCATTCTGCAAGTATTTACTGAGCACATGCTATGTGCTGAAACGACAATGGAGCCGTCTCTTCAAGCATTTTGTATTCTGAACTACACCCTGGTCACCAGAATCCGAATCAGTGAACTAACAGGTTCCAGCAGAAAGATTCATTTCTGTAAATCCTTACTGAGGCCTCCTATGTGGGTGGAGCTGGGGTGGACACTCAGGGTGTGAGAATTTCATAAGACAAGACCCTTGCCCTTGTCAAGGTCATGGCCTAGAAGGAGAAATATTTCTGCCTATAGCTGATCATAATACCCTGTGATAAGTGCTGCAAGAGGTGTAAGAACAAGACACGGGAGGCCTAGAAGAAACGCATTAATACAGCCAGAGAAAGTATCCTAGGCGAGGCGTCCTTTGAGCAAGGCTTTGAAGGTTGAATAGGTGTTCATCAGGTTTAAAAAGAGAGAAAAGGCGTTCCAAGTGGAGGGAAACACATGTACTAAAGTATACAGTGTGAAGCTAGGAAGGTCAGTATATGAAGGGTCTTGGACACCGGACTAAGGAACCTGGGGACTAGCTGCAGGGATGGGGCAGGGCTGATAATGGGATCAGATTCGTAAACCAGAAGATGACTCGCTCATGGGGCCTCTGGGAAGGACGGAGTTAGTGAAAGACACTCCAGGCAGGAAGATGGTAAAACATTCCCAGGATATCCCATCCTTCCTCAGTGGATGCTCTATGACCAAGTGTTAAAGCCATTGATAAAAATGGGGCCAAACCAAGCACAAAGAATTCCTCTGCCAATCTCTGAATGACAAGATGCTTTGTAGGGAAAGAAAACATGTACAGTTTGGAAGCTCTACATCAGAAGTGGCAAAATGGGTCAAAACTGGCCCTTGGGCTTGTTTTATTTGGCCTGAGCAAAAAAAAAAAAAAAAAAAAAAAAAAAATTCAGTCTGAATTAGGAGCCAGAAATGGGACTCTCTGGGATACAGTATTTCAAACAGAGGGAGCAGCAAGTGCAAAGGCCCTGAGGCAGGAAGGAGCCTGGCACTTTTGAAAGACACCAAGGTGCCCAAGGTGGTTGGAGTCCAGTGTGAGAGGAAATGGATTCAGGCAGAGGTGGTGGGCAGGGGCCAGGTCACACAGGTCTCAGAGGTCACAGCAAGGATTCAGGTTTCATTCTAAGTGGGATGGGAGGAAGTGGGGGTTGAAGTGGTGGGAGATCTGACTTACGGTTAGTTTAAGAGTCTCCCTCTGGCTGCCCAGAAAAGGCTGCATAGGGGCAAGGGGGAAGCAGGGATACATGATCAGAGGCTGCCAGTCCAGAGAGATGATGGTGGCTTGCATGGGGGTGGCTGGATGGGCAGAAGTTGGGGGAAGTGTCACCGACACCCAGGATCTATTCTGGGGGTGGGGCCCGTGGGCCATGGGCCTTGCTGGATGATTGGCTGTGAGCAGCCCAGCCCTGGACCAGATGGCAGGCAAGGGGGAGGGAAGTGTGTGGAAACCGCCTTGGACAATCTCCCTCTGTCCCACTGCATCAGAGGGACAGGCGGCTGCGTGGGGTGGGGACCTAGGCAGAGACCGAGAGGCCAGGGCTGGAGTCTCAGGGCTGCCATTGTCCCAGGCCATGGCCCCGCCATGGAGTGAGTGGGGAGCCCTGAAAAGCCAGGGAATCGAGGACGGGGAGTAGTGGGTCTGGGAGTAGGGCCTGCTCTTCCCCTCCCCCTATCCCCACCCCACTCCCTCCATGAGACTGTGCTCATGCCTGCTTTGCTTTGCTCTCGTTCTGTAATTACAGAAATTACAGAGGCTCGCTTCAGACTGCAATCACTCTAGTTTGCCTTTATTTCTTTTTGAAACTCTGTGGTTTAAGAAAGAAATTAATATTGAGTTTGGCTTCATTCCAAGGGGAAACATAATACAGTTTATTCTCTGCCTTCGGGAAAAATGCTAGGCTCAATCCATTGGACAAGGCTTTATTGAGCATCCGTTGTGTACCCAGACTCATGCCAGCTCCTATCGAAGGAGAAGAGCTAGCATTTATTGAGCGCCTATTGTGTGCCAGGCATTTCACAGGCACTATATCATCCGGGAGTCATTCCATCTATGTAAGCCAGGGCTACCTCACCCATCTGACAGATAAGGAAACAGCCTTGCCAGCCTGGGGTCTCAAATTGCCCAGTGATTCAGGGCCTTGCTTCTCAAAGTGCGGTTCTTCAAGAGACAGCATCAGCATCACCTGGGAGCCTGTCAGAAATGCAGAATCTTGGGCCCCACTCAAGACCTGTGGAACGAGAAGCTGATTTTTAAACAGGTCCCGTGATTTAGGCACATAGGAAAGCTTCAGAAGCTGTTGTTAGGAATGACCCAGATTATTTCATGGGACTTCGTTCAAATCTCTGTGTAATAGGGCTACATATCTGGCTTGCTTGAGTCCCAATTTTCTCATCTGTAAATGTGGATTTCACAGAATTGCTCTGAGAATTGCATGATAATGCATGGAAAGAGGCCAGCCAAGGGCCTGGCACACAGGAAGTGTCAATAAATAGCAGCTTAGGCTGCCACTCAAAGAGATGAATGGCCGCAAAAGTGCTTTGTAATTGAAAAATGTTATACAAATGTGAAGACCAATTAATAGTGGATGATCAGGTACAGAAGGTTAGAGGGAGGTTGGAATTGTGTGGGACAGCCGGTGCTGTGGGCAGTGCTTGCCACGCGCTGTCCTGGAGGTCAGGGAAAGCTCCCTGGAGAAGGTGCTCTAATGGAAAGGGAGCCGCCAGAGAGGGTCTCCAAGGCCCAGCATTTTAACAAGACCTCAGAGGCCAGCCAGGCCTGTGGTGGGATGCAGGCTACAGGAGAAATGAGCTGGTTGGGACAGCTTGGGGTCTAAATGGGAGGCCTCCCTTCTTGGACCTCAGCCCCATGCACAGTGGTGCTTAGGGCCACGACCCAGCTGGTCTCCTTCCTGGTCCAGACTTGCTGCATGCCAAACTGGTGCACCTGGTCTACCATGGCATTCTATAGATGAAGAAAAAAACCCAGCAAGGACTGGTGGCTGGCCCAAGGTCACACAGCCTGAGAGTGGCCTGAACCTTATGGACTCCCAACTCCCAGCCAGCCGCATACTCTTACTCAAGAGATGGAGGAAAGCAGTTTCATGCCTTGGTATAAACCCCTCAGCTGCCTCAACGTACCTGAGAGGGAATTTGCAGAAGCAGGTGTCTTTGTCAGTAGTATTTATCGCGTGCCTACTGTTCACAACATCCCACTGTGATTTTCAAGTAAGCTACTTATTTTCTCAAAGTTTTTGTTTTGGCCGGGCGCGGTGGCTCACGCCTGTAATCCCAGCACTTTGGGAGGCCGAGGCGGGCGGATCACTAGGTCAGGAGATCGAGACCATCCTGGCTAACACGGTGAAAACCCGTCTCTACTAAAAAATACGAAAAATTAGCTGGGCATGGTGGTGGGTGTCTGTAGTCCCAGCCACTCGGGAGGCTGAGGCAGGAGAATGGCATGAACCCGGGAGGCAGAGCTTGCAGTGAGCTGAGATCGCGCCACTGCACTCCAGCCTGGATGACAGAGCGAGACTTCGTCTCAAAAAAAAAAAAGTTTTTGTTTCTTCATCAATAAAGGAGGTCAATAGTAAGCACTTCCCACTCTGTGATGACTGGATTTGAATTTTCTAGCACCGTGCCCAGTTCAGCAAGAGCTAAATACATTGACGCTAAACTGATCATTGGTCCCATTTTGCAGATGATGGCACTAAGGCCCAGAGACGTCAAATGGCCTACCCAAGGTCACACAGGACTTGACCCAGGCCCTCTGAGTTATAGTCTGGTGCTATTTGCTTGTCCAGAAAGTGCCTCCCAGGCGCTGGCCTGTGTGAAATTCCCTGAAACCATTAGACCTATCAGGCCTCATGATCTGATCTGCCCAAGCATGGCTGCTGGATGCCAGAGGGAGAGAAATGTGACTGCATGGAGATGAGTTTGCCTAGCCTCACTGTCCTAGGACAGATGAATAAATGGAAGCTCTAGCCCTTCCCCTCTGCTCTCAGCCTCTGAGAGCCTAGAAGTCAGGTTTTCTAGGACACCTCTGAAACCACAATGTGGAAGAAGGCCAGAGGGCATCCCCACCCCGACAACCCAGGCGAGAACAAATTCAACTTTGCGACTACTGGAATATGACAGACCCATCCAATGGTGAAACAGATTCCAGGAGGATGGTTCTCCTTCTGCAGCCGCCTACAGAAAAGAAAAATTCCCCAACTTTTCATTAACAAGGGGTGAAAGAAAAAGAAGAGCTCAGTACAGGGAGGAAGTGAGCTGGACACACTTACTAATGTGCCGGGGCCACTCTAAATGCTTTCTGTCTATTCAATTGCTTTTAGCCCCCATTTTATTGATGGGTAAACTGAGGCACAGAGAGGTTAAAGTGACGTGCCAAAGGTCTCCCAGTTAGGAGCTAAGGATGCCAAGCCTTGACCCAGGCAGCTGGGCTCCTGTGTCCAAACTCTTAACCACTCTGCTGTCTCTAATGGGGTACCTGTGGAACCCCCCAAACCCTCCATTTGGGGTGTACAAGTATGGCCCGTCCCCAGCAGCCACCTCCCTCCAGGACAAACCTCCACAAGGACAAGGCCTGCTGTTCTTTTTAAGAAACCCAAGAGAGGCTGCTAGCATGAGAGCCTCTGAGTTCTGGCTCCAAAATGGCTTCTACGGTTGCGCTGGACAAAGCCTACAGGTATCCAGGGAGACCCCGGGAGGTCACGTGGGATTCTGGCTGAGCTGTGGGGCTGCAGGCTCTAATCAGAGTCCCCAGGAGGCAGCCAGCCTCTAGGGGCAGCACTCCCCTCTTGGAGACCCCAGCTCTCCTCCAACTGCAGACATGGCTCGTGCCTTGCAGCTGCTGCGAGGAGCTGACCTGAGGAGGAAGGGCAGTTAGCTTGACGCCCTGAAGTCCAGTAGACACAGGTTTGAAATCTCTCTCTAAACTTACTAGCTGTGTGACCTTATGCCAGTCCCTTCCCCTCTCTGTGCCTCAGCTTTCTTCTGTGTGCAAGCAGGACAGTCAGACTCCAATTTCCAGCTCCACTTCACTCTGATCCAGTCCTGCTTGTCTCGCTCACACGATCAGTGGTTTACTAACGTCTGTTCTGGCCCCTAATTATCTGTAGTGCCCAACTGAGAACTTCATTTTGTCAAGGCAATTTTCAATCTGATCCGCATCGACTGTGCACCTCCGGGGAGCCGGGCCTCATGCTGGGTGCTGAGGGACAAAGATGCAAGTTGGAGTCTGAGTCCTGCTGCCACTGAGCTCTCGGGACAGCTGGGAGATGGGCCATGGACAATCCACATCCACGGGGTAAGTTCTTCCACAGCACGCAGAGAAGGAGAGGTGGCACCCTGCCCCGGGGTCTGGGTTCAGGCAGGCAACTGGGAGGGGTAGCATTGCGGTTGGTGGAAAAGGGAGCAGAAGTGGGGATATTTTTCAAATAATCACAGCTAGAGGAGCAGGACCGGACTCCTTGCTTTTAACTGCAACCCTAACCACTCCTGGTCCATTCCAGGCAGATAGAACAAAGCCAAAATACAGAACACATTTGGAGACAGTGAGGAGGCTTGTTGGGGGCTAGAATCTGGGGTGATTTAGGGGAACGTGGCCAGGAAGCCGCCAGTAGTAGTAAAGAGCTCTGATGCAGGAAAAGAGGGCGCATCTTACCCTGTAATAAGAATGATGATCACACCGAAGGCTGAGGAAGTGCTTAATATATTTACTGCATTTCTGTACTGCACACTGTACAGATGAGGAAGGCGAAGTTCAGACAGTAAAACAACTTCCCAGCTCCCAGACACTGCAGTTTGATTCCAAAGCCCATGTTCTTAACTATCCCTCTCCACTGTGGGCATGGGGTGGTCACCAGGGCTGCCACCTGAACCGTGGAAGATGGGGAGATTTGATGTGATGGTGACTTGGCAAGACCGCCCAGCAGCTGTGTGGGGAGGAGGAGAGGAGAGGGAGCATGGGTGGAGGTTGCTGTAACAGGGATGGTGCAAGGATAAGGGACAGCGCCTGAACCAGGACCATGGTGGGGGCGAGGAGGAAGGCCTGGTCGCCCTATACAACATGGCTTCTCTCGTGACTAATTACGGATTCTTCTCTCTTAGCTTCCCAGCTGCACTGTCACCTATGCAAGAACGGGGCCCAGGTCTTCCACCCGCTCTGCTTCCCCGACAGCAGGCAGCTTGAACAGTGCTAGATATGCATGCGCTCTTCTGGGTTCTGCCCTCTATGGCAGAGGACATTGTTCTTACAAGGCCTCAGCACAGAAACGTTTGCTTGGGAGAAGGTGGCAGGTCTACAGAGCAATGGTGTGCTGGTAAGCTTTAACAATGGGCTCTCAGGAAACAAAACAGAAGACTCAATTTGCAGCATCTGCTGATTTCTGTGGTGTAAACACTCCCACTGTGGCCTGTGCAAGGTACTAATATGAGGTCATAGGATTGGGTATGTGCCATCTGTGAGCAGGCTCCAGCACACCACTGAGCCTTAGGCCTGTTTCTTCTTGTGGGGCCAGTGAGGCATGCTCTCGGGCAGAAACTGGCCTTGCTTCCTGAGTGGTTTAATGCTGGAAACTCTCTTGATTGCTTCCTGTAAGGAAAGCCCTGGATGTCAACCCCTGGGCTGGCCCTGGAGCGCATGCTGGGGCTGGTGGGTGCCCGCAGAGACGTCTGCTGCAGGATGAGGAACATCGAACCCTGGGATCAGACACAGGAACTCAGAGGCATCTCCCTGGGTGGATTTGAAAGAGTGGAGAGGGATGGAGAGAGAGGAGGGTGGGAAGGAGGGGAAAGGAGAGAAAAGGGTATGGAAGGAGAGGAGGAGAGAAACAGACAAGGAGGAGGCTGGGGTAAAGGAGCAGAGTGATGAGGAGGAAAACAGGAGGAAGAAAGGAGGAGCGCAGGAAGGGATCAGAAAGGGGAAAGAGGAAAAATAAGGGCAGAAGGAAGGAAGGACAGAAGAGAAAACAGATGCGCCATTCACTGCTTGTGAGCTGGGCAAGGCTCCACTGTGTCGCTCACTGAACCCAAGGAGGGAGGGAAGGAGCCTACCTTTCAGCCAAGAGAAGCCTGAGGTTGGCGGAGGCCAAGGTCAAAAGCGGCTGAGGAGCCGGGATTTTTGAACCCAGGCTGCAGGGCCTGTTCCACTGACTTCCTTCAGTTGGTTCTGACTGTATTTGCTGGGGGCCAGCCCATTAGTCTCAACCTTCCACTCAGGGCAGCTGTCTCCCATTGCCAGCTTGAGCACCCAACCCTGTGCTGGGCACGAGGGCGAGCCCCTGTGGAACAGGTCCGGGTGCCCACCCTCTGCACCCTCACCACCTGTTCCAGGCTCCTTTCTTCCTCCTGCCTCTGAGGGGTGTGGGGCTTTCTGGAGGACTTCAGTTCCAGGGGACGCCTCTGTAAAAGCCCTGTGCTCAACCGGCCAGAAAGGACTGACTTAGACCAGGAAATAAGAGCGGCACGATGACCTTTTGCCATTCTTTTACATCGCTCTTTGCCTTTTAAAACACACTTGTAAGAAGCCCGTGGGGTTAAAATAGCTGTTCATTCCTGTTCAAGATGTGCTTGGAAGGCTCCGACGGGCATTAAGATAAAGGCCCTTTAAGCATTCAGATTTGGGGAAAAGAAAAAATAACACTGCAAGGGCTGGCTGAACTAAACGATGAACTAAATAAGTGACGTGCAGGAGCACAGCCCAAACAGAGAGCTGGCTTAGGGTCGCAGAAGGCATATCCGTGACAGTGGCTGCAGACAGCGCCATGGCTCCTTATTAAGTGTCCACACCTGGGACTGCATTTCTCTCTCAGCAGCTCTGCAGGCTCTATCAGCCCCTTCTAGAGACAATCAGACTGAGCCCCAAAGAGAAACTGTCTGGATCAAGATCACACAAGGTCACAATAAGAACCACCAGGGATCTCAACGTGGTGGTTTTGAGCCGAATGGGTCCCACAGCTATGCTTGATTGAGTGGTATCAGATTTGAATTTTAGAAATTGAACTTGCATGCTTTGGAGAAGGGAAGTGGTGATGTGTTTTCTAGTTTACTACAAGTCCCACCATTACTGTCATCCTATCGCTGACCTCTTTACTCATTTCTGTGACCTGTCTGGCCCTCAATGGCCCCTGAATTTGCAATCCTTGTATACACGGTACAATCTTAGTCACTCAGTAGAACTCTTTCTCTAAGCAGTGGAAGATGGATGAGGGTTAATATTGCCCCTTTCCTGGGGGATATGTCAAACTCTTGGGGGTGGTGAAGTTTGAAAAAGCATGTTTGGTGTTATAGTTTTATATTTGGGAAACAACAAATCCTATTGGTCTCTTAATAAAAGCTCAGTTGGATTTAAAAAACCGCAGAGAGACTCTGCTTTAGAATAGTCTGCAAGAATGAGGGAGGCGTGTATTTTCAGAGTCAATTAAGGGTCAGATTCCAGGGTCTAAAATATTTTCCCACAATATAAAGGCTAATTTTATTTTTAAAAGACTTGAATGCTCACGTTCACCAGTGCATCTGTTCTTGACTCACTCACTTAGCTGTGGAAAGGAATTTTATGGTATAGAGCCCCTTGTTTTTGTAAAGTGGAAACTCCTATGTAGCAAGAACAGTCTACCCATTTGGTAACATCAGATTCTTTTTTTTTTTCTGAGACAGGGTCTCACTCTGTCACCTAGGCTGCAGTGCAGTGGCATGATCTCGGCTCATTGTAACCTCTGTCTCTCAGGCTCAAGCAATCCTCCCACCTCAGCCCCCTACGTAGCTGGGACTACAGGCATGTGCCACCATGTCTGGCTAAAAATCAGATTTTTATTGAACAAATTTTCTTTAAGTCCCATGAACAATGAGCAATGCCCTCTTCTGCCTGCCCCTATCATGGCTCCTGACAAACAAACTTCTGATCACTCTATGATATCCCAAGCAGCAGCTCTTCATAAGTATGCCCATTGTTCGTGGGACTTAAAGAAAATTTGTCCTTCCCTAGGGGCAAGGACACCCAGTTTTGAGTTTCAGCTCTGGTTCAATGCTGTGTGACTGTAGGTTAGTCATCTACTCTCTCTGTCTAAAACAGAAGTGATAACACCTACTTCTAGGGCTGCTATGAGGATTAAATGGGGAAATATGTAGTTAGTACAGCATCTAGGACATAGTAAATGCTTGATACCTGGCAGATATTATAATAAACCACCTGATCAGGGCTTTCATTTATATTTTTAGTTAGTGATGGGAAAAAGTCCTGGGTGGAAGGCAGGCCAGTGTTATCTTTTTTTGTTGTTGTTGTTGAGGCGGAGTCTTGCTCTGTCGCCCAGGCTGGAGTGCAGTGGCGCAATCTCAGCTCACTGCAAGCTCTGCCTCCCGGGTTCATGCCATTCTCCTCCCTCAGCCTCCCGAGTAGCTGGGACTACAGGTGCCTGCCACCATACCTGGCTAATTTTTTTGTATTTTTAGTAGAGACGGGGTTTCACCGTGTTAGCCAGGATGGTCTCGATCTCCTGACCTCATGATCCGCCTGCCTCAGCCTCCCAAAATGCTAGGATTACAAGCGTGAGCCACTGCGCCAGGCCCAGTGTTATCTTAACCTATAGGCAATCAATATAAAGGAATGGTGGGAGTCACTGGGAGATGCTGATTGAATCAAATTCTTAGGGCAAATTGTTTATTAAACATGATTCCCAAAGTGGACATGTGTATGTATCTTGCAATTTGGCACACCCATTAAAATCCTGGTTAAATGTCAACCGTCTTTATTTGTTCACTGAATCAGTCTCCCTGACCCTTCTCCTGCCTGCATAGAATAGGGGTGTCAGGATCCAAGGTCGTCAGCTCATTGCCTCATAGCTTGGCATCCAGCCCCAGAAACAGCAGCAAACAAATGACCCTCTCTCTCAGGGGACCCAGAAACAGGTTGCTATCTCTGGGGGTGGATTTGCTCAAACAGGTTTGCGGAAACAAACAAAATGGTTGCTTGCATCTCAATCATCAGGATCCCAGCTCTTACCAGCGCTTTTCAAACAGCCAAATGCCTGAGTCCAGCACCCTCTTTCCGCTTCCAAAATGGAATGGGGTTGTCTGCCAGCCTGCATCTTTGCCAGCATGCAAATGATGCACTTTGGGGTTTCACAGGGTATTAACCCCATGTTCTCCAATCCCTGATTAGGGAGGTAAGTACACTGAACCAGCTGTGCTTCTAGAAGAGAAACTAGGTGGGTGGGTGAGAGTGTTTATTTTCCAAAAGCGTTTGCAGCATGGGGTCATTTAGATAGCTGGCACAGAGAAAACACACATTCCCTCAGTGAGGTGTGCATGGAGGTTTTTAAGGACAGTACATTTGCAGTGAGGTACAACATTCACACTCTTCAAATGCAAAATATTTATGTATATTTTTGGTGATGGAGCTGTTCATTTGTTCTAGTGATATTTACTAGCCTGGAATGAAGAGCCCTGTTATGTATCATGCTTGTACTGTGTTAGCCAGTTTCGCTCTTCCAACACCACAAATTACAAGCTGATACATGGTTGGGAGTGGATCCTTTTCCCAGCCTCTCCCCTTTGGTTCATAACAACAGCTGCTGGTGATTGAGCTATGGCCAGGATTGGGGCTCGATGCTTTATCTTCCTCATGATATGCAGTCTCACCACAATCCTATGAGGTAGGTGCCGGCATTATCCCCATTTTGCAGATGAGGACACTGAGGCTCAGAGAGAAAGTGACTCATCCAGGATTACACAGTTTAGTAAGTGGCAGGGAGAGATGTGACTTTGGCTCCAAAGCTGATGCTTTTAGCTATGCTGACATTCTGTTTTCTCTTCCTCTTGGGCTGGAATTGTCATTCCTGGACCATCAGGACCTCCACAAGCACTTAAGACTTTAGAGAGGTCTCCATCAACCATCCCCTGCCCCTGCAGGTGAGCCTCCTTCCAGGCCCTCCCTATAGCCTAGGCCCCCGTGTTGGTTGGAGGTATAATCCCAGCTCTGGCTCTTTCCTGGTTGTGTGACCTGGGATGAGTCACTTCACCTCTCCTCACCTGACTCTGCACCTCCACGAAGTGCAGGGAAGTATCCCATTCTGACAAGGCTGTAGGAAGGATGGAAGTAGAGAAGGCAATTTGCCCCACCCCTACCAGTCCCGCACCTCCTTCTTGGGGAAGCTCGAGTTCTAGACACGGTCCCCTCCACTCTCCTCTTGTACTCACTCTCACTCTAGCAGGTCCTGAATCAGCATTCAACACACATCGCTCTGCCTTGTGCAACGCCATTATCTCCCGAGGACACAGGCTCCGTTGTCACGGCAACCAGAGTCCTTCCACCAACTCTATTTAATAATTTCTTAACGGAGGAGCTGGGCTGGCTTGGTGGAAGGGAAAGAGCACTGGGTTAGGGGTTAGAAGCTCTGGGTCCTAGCCTCTGCAAGACCTAGGACTCTTCCTCTCTAGGCCTCAGTTTACCCATCTATAACACAGGTGTGTCTGAAATGGGTGGGTTTTGTGATGTTCTCTAGCCTACAAAGACCTGAGAAACAGCTTTCCAGGTCCAGGAAGCTGGGAACAAGTGACCTGAGCTGCTGGAGATGAATTGGGGGTTGGAGTGAGATTTGAGTGAGACCCACAGGAAGAACCAGATGCTGCCTTTGGTGACTACACTCTCTCTCTCTGCTGAATTTCCTCCAGAATGTCACTCTTCAAACATTCATGAGGTCTCTGTGATCCTCCAGATTCAGGGCCAGGATTGGTTAGGAGACAGTTGTTTTGCCTGCAGCCATCATGGCCCTTATCCTCCCCATTTTGCAGATGTGCAAACTGAGGCTCAGAGAGGGCAAAGGAGTCGCCTGTGGTGCCTCAGCAAGTGGAAAACCCGGCTCTTCATCCAGGTCATGGCTTGTTTCAGAACCTGGGGCTAAGCTGTCCAGGAAGGTCATGTTGCTTGTACCTGAAGAAGACAGCCTGACCCTGGCCCAGTCCCTCTGCCCACCGATCTCACTCTGGCCACAATCTGTGTGGCCTCTGGCTCTCATTCAAGGAACCAGCAGATAATCAAAGTAATACAGAGGTACCCACTCTGTGTTCTTGACTATGGGACCAGAGACTCCAAACAACACAGCATTCCTGCTCTTAAGGAATCTACGGTTTTCAATGCAAGTGGATCTTCAAAGGGCAGGAACAGCATCCAGTTTCTTTCTACAATCCAAAATAGGACCTGGCACACAGTAGGTGCTCAGAGTTTTATTCGGTCCAATTGTTTGTCCACATCTGCCCCTAAGGATAACTAGTCTAGGCCCCCCAGGGGCCTTTAAGAAAATCTCCCAAAGCAGCCACCGATCCATGTCTCCAAGGAGCTGCTTCGGACCCTGAGCTGAAGAGGGGTCTGTGACCAATGAGGGGACCCTTACTTTGTGACTCCTGTCTAGCTCCAAGTTTGGGGAGGGGGCTGCTCTGCCCCGGCCCGGTTTGATGGCATCACTTTTAAGCACAGACGTTGCCAGATCAGTGGTGCTATTTAACTCCTCCAGGGCTGGCGTTTTCATTTAATACCCGTGGAATAATTAACAGTGCTGCATCTGCTCTGTCATTAGTGGCATTCACTGCCATTTGGAGAAAGGGCTCTTATCTTCCTCAGTCATTAGTCTCGGGGAGGCTATTATGGGGGAAATGGAGGAGGAGAGGAGGAAGTGGGGCGTGCAACTTCCCTCCCCTTGCCTGGAGAACTGGCGCCTGGTGCGGGGAGCAGCCGATCATCCTATCCAATGGTCCAAACCTCTTGGCTGTATGAACTGAGCATGCAAAGCCAAGAGGGGAAAGAACCTGCCCACGGTCCCCCACAGGCTTGAGGCCCAGCAGAAGGCGGCTCTCCCACTTCTTTCTCAGGTCTGCAAGCCCAAGCCTCGGAGCCCTGCAGCTTTGGATCTGATTCCCAGCTCTGCCCTGTGTCAGTGGTATGACCTTGGGCAACTTCTTGAGCTCCCTGAGCCTCAGTTTCCTTATTGAGGATCCTGGGACAATGCTTGTGAAGTACTGGCTCAGTGCCTAGGTCACAGGCAGAGCCCAAGACTGAGAGATGTACATATCAGATCATTCTGTGTCATTATGCTGAACCAACCTGCTAAAAATGCATATGTAATACATGCGTGCATTTAAATTCCATCTTTCAAAAATACTCTTCAGTAAGATGACTTCTTCTCTCTCCCCAGGCCTACTTTTTATTATTATTTTTTTAATCATAGGTGGGTCCTGGATCTTAAGCTCTGGAAACATCTGACTTGGGCGGAAAGGGGCTTGGTCAGCTCAGGCGGCAGTGAAGCCTGGATTGCAGGCTGGCAGCTCAGACGGTGCCCAGGAAGCTGGTAGCTTTTGCTTTTGGCCACTTTTATTTTGTATTGCTTTCACTTTTTCTCAGCCCTTGCATGGCACAGCCAGAAATGGCGAATACAGAGAAAAAGCCCCTGGCTCCCCAACAGTTATCTTGTCTCAGGTGCTTTTCAGAAGCAGCATGAGGTTGGCATCACCAAGACCTGGGACCAAACTTGGTCTGTGCACCCTGTGGCAAGTGACTCCACCACCCTTGGGCTCAGGGTCCTCTCTGGCAGAAGGAGAGAGTAGCACCTATCATCCAGTATCAGCCTTGGCTCAGGGACCAGTGCCCAGCAGGCCCTCTGAACTCACTGTCAGGGCCCAGCTGGACAAGTTCTCTCCCCACCATCCAGCCAGGGAACTGTCAAACCCTCAGGTCTCTTGCCTCCCCCTGCACCCCAGAGGGAAGCTCCTAGAACTCATGATATTTCACAATCTCCAGCATGGCAACAGTCCAAAGGCAGAGGTGAGTGATCCCTGCCCTCTTGCCTGGGCATGGCTCAGAAGCACACAGCCTGCTCCTCCAGTGGGTCTGAGCTGAGGCTCACATACAAACACTCCCCACAACCTTCCTGGCTACCAAGACCTTTAGATCCTTCTATGAAATCTCATGGGGTCCCTGGTGTTCATTTCTCCCCCAATTCACCGAGAAAAGCATTCTTGTGTGCACATAGGTGTGTGAGAGCAACCATCCCTTCCTCTCCCTCCAGGCCTGGTTACTGCTGGGACCCCCCGGCCAAATGATCACACTTTGGACCCCAAACTCTGCGCATAACCAAGGAGATGTTAATCTCTGGCCAGAGCTCAGGTAAGGTTACAAGATGCTACGGCCCTTTTCTCCCCAGCCTCACAGCCGTGCCTTCCCACGCTCTCTTGTAAGTCTCGATCTTTGAGTGCTCTGTGCTCTGCCTCCTACCAGATCTGGCCTCATCTGGGCTCCTTCTCAAGGGGCTACCTGGTGAACTTGGATTTCAGCCTAGCAAAGGTGATTTTCATCAGCTGGGAAACTAGGGGACAGAGATGAGGAGTCAGGGCTCACTGAGCCTCAGGTTCATCTTTTGGATGGGGATAATAATGGTACCAATAATAACAATAAAATTACCTTCACTTGAAGTTCCCAGGGCTGTCACAAGCTTCGACTGAGAAAACACTTTGAAAACTGAAATTCTACATAAGTGTTAACGTGTGCATGTACGCACATGTGTGCAAAGGAGCCTCATTTGGGTCAAGGTCATTCTGATTTGGGCTTTATAAGAAAACTAGCTTTAAAAAAATCACTCTTTATTGGAGAGAGGATTCTTCTCCAGGATCTCAAGGACCATATTTTCTTCCCCTGGAATACTTCATACATGATCAAAAGAAAAAGCAGCTGCAAGAGCATTTTTAGCAAAGTATAAAGTGCGGTTCTGATGACCGGGAGTATCGTGATCAGCGCTAAGTTGCAGCAAACCGCAACACTGATACCAAATGTCTTTGCTCACCTCCCTGTGGCTGCTGCCCTCTCCCTGCACAGAATCTCCTTATCAAACTACACAGCCATGAAAGCAACCTGCTGTCGATGTTTCAGGGCATCTTTGACCTTGAATGTCCCTCTGGCCAGGGCTCAGTTATCTCAGGAGCTGGCGTGAGACACAGAACTTGCAGACACCAGGCAGCTGACAGGTGGGCAGAGCTGCAGGTCACCGTCCAAGGCAGTCACTAACTCCTGCATCCCCAAGCCTGGCCTGTGTGCCAGGATCCCATCCAGCCCCAGCAGCCAGGGGGCCCCTTTCACAGCCAACAGTGCCCCTGGCATCCTAAAGTGGCCTGTTCCACCTAGTTGTACATCCCCTGCTTTCAGAGCACCACAGCCAATCTCGCTGCAAGACCTGGCCTCCTTGTAATTTCCAATTTGTGAGAAATGTAAAAATAGAAGACCATTCGCTGCAGGCAGCTTGCATAGAATCGGATGCCACTTCTGTGTCATGTCAGATCACGGTAAATGCAGCTGATGGCTTTGTCAGGGCACTCTCAATAGCTTCCTGAGCAGTAAGATGGTGGGGACAAAATTGGGGGATACCCGAGAGTTAGGGAAAGGTGGCTGAGTGCATGACATCAGCACTAGCTGCAAATGAATTTAAAATCTAGGTCCCAAATATGTTGTAACAGGCTGGACATCTCAATTTGAACCCCAGTTCTGCAACCTAGCAGCTGAGGGACCTTGGGCACAAATTCATCTCTCTGCAAGTCAGCTTCCCCAGTTATCACGCAGAAGCTATCATGCCACCCAGCCTCCCAGAGCTGTGGCAAAGCTCCACAGATGGAATGGATGAAGAAGTGCTTTGTAAACTGTGCAGCTCCTTAACTGGGGTGGAGGCAGCGGGGGGCGCTCATGGTCATTGCCAAGTAAGCAGTGTCAGGGGCTTTTAGTGGCAGAGATTTAAGCATGCTGTGACTGAGTTTGGGCTTTAAGGCTATTTACCAGCCCAGTGATCCTGCAGCAAGTGCTTTAGCCCCTCTCCTCCTCAGTTTCCTCACCCTGACAGGGATCATTATGCTACGTATCTCACAGGGTTTTGTGAAAATTAACTGCAACGATATAAAGCACACAGCACAGTCCCTGGCATATTGCCAACATGCAGTAACTGACAGTTATTACTGTTTTTGATACAATTGCATTGGAACAATATTTAGTGTTTTCTTTCTTTTCTGTTTATGACTGAATTCCAGGTCTCTGCTGAAATATCACAGCTTGCATTCACACCTACTGCCTATGCCAGGCAACTCTCCTGTCTGCTACTGGCCCACTTCCCACTGACTCCATAGCCCCTTCCCCTGACCCCAGAGGTCTTAGGTGAGCATGGAGTAGATGAAGATGCTGGATGTTAATATGCTCACTGAGACCCATTTCCTGGGAAGTCCTATTTTGGGGTGCACATCTGGCCTCCCAATCTTTTCTTTTTCAAGCACCAACCTCTTCCCCTCCATCTCCCAGTGCCCTTCAGAGAATGGGGTAAAGTTGGCAAGAAGAGCCACCCGTGCAGGGCCTGTCTGAGAAGCCAGCATCGAGGCATGCCAAGCCACAGAGCAGTGGACACAGGATGATCTTTTCACCTTGTGGGGGAAGTGCCCAATGCTCTTGGCAACTGAAGTCAATTCGAGGTTGCTGTCATTCAGCGGGGCTATACCCTGCCCACCATTCTCCAGGCACAGAGAAGCTCAGGCGACGTTGCATGGGTGAATTGAAGGGGTAGTCCCGACACAGGCATAGACAGGCCTGCTGACGCTTGCATTTTAGTTTTCATTTGGGCAGAGAGGGGATGAAGTGGCTCTAACTGGGTTTGGCATTGGGGCTGTGGCTGAGGAGAGGGGCTGCTGGGGCGGGGGTGGTAGTCAAGGGGAAGGTGGGCACATTTTGGGCTAGGCAACAGGGATGGGCTTCTAAGGACAAAGGAGATGGACTTCAGGATGCAGGTGGCTAAAGGTGGTGGCAAGGCTGAATCAACGGTCATTAACACTCTGCCTGAGACCCATAGACAAGCAAGAGGGTGGAAAAGACATCTCCAAATTCCAAGTAGCATGGAACTCTATCTCAGCTGCTGAGCTCACAGCCAAGCCAAGGAATGGAGTCTTTGTGTGATGGCAAGAAGTGGCCTGATATTGGTGCTTTATTTATTTCATGGTGCTCTCCACATGTCATATGCCACCAAGGTAGAGGACCAGCCACTGCTCCCATGGCAGGCCCACGGGAACTACCACCCCATCACTTCACTTTACAGATGGAAAAACCGAGGCCCAGAGACCCACAATAGGACAGAGTTGGCCTGGAAATTAGAACAGTAGGGTTAAGATCCCTGCCCTTCCTCCTCCTGGCTATGTGACCTTTGACAAGTCACTTCCCCTCTCTGCATCCAGTTTCATCGCCTCTGAAGTGGGGATTAGAATAGTGCCTGCTCCACACGGTTCTTGTAGGAATAATCCCTGGCACATTGGAAGCTTTGGGTACTCCATTCCTTCCTTCCAACAGGAACAAGAACGTACCCAAGGTCACCTGGCCAGAAATGGCAATGCCCCAGCTCAAAGCAAACCCTCATCTGGGGCTCGTTCATTCCCGGCTATGGACTAAGGGGCCACATTTTATAGCCTTCCTGGCTCAGTGAGACAGGTACAGATTGCAGGTAGGTCCATGCCAGTGATAGCATCACCTTCCATCCATGCAGGCTTTATTCTAAGAGGTTTATTGAGGTCCTGCTGTGTGCTGGGCCACGTGTAAAAAAATTTATAGCCTCTGCTGCTCCGGGGTCACCAGGCATGTAAAATCCGTGGCAGGCAGGAGAGACGTGGCCACTGTGCATCTTTTGGCTTCGATGGACTTGATTTTGCCTCATCTTTACCCTCTAAGCTACCTACTCCTTGGTCTCCAGACATCCTTCCCAGCCCCATCTAAGTTCCTGGAGACCCACTTCTCATCAAGCCTCCAGACCTGAAATAAAGTGTCCCACATCAGGACAGAGGGTCCCTGATTTTACCTCCAGAGTGGCTGCCTCTCTCCTGTGTGTTCCTAGGGGAACCCCACTTTCCAGATGCTCTGCCAGACAGGCCGGGCTGCGTCTCTCTGCTTGGGACTCACTGTTTGTCCTCCAAGGACTGGCCACTGAGCCAGTGCTTGGCTGGAGACAGAGCTCTTTCTTTGTTTGCTGCCTGCCTGACGATTTATTTCTGAGGCTCAAGGGAGGCTCAGCCATTTTGCCAGGGCTGCTCTGGGAAAAGGTCTGTCCCACTCCCCCAGGGACTCCCACTTCTAAGGGCAAGTTCTTTTTCCCCTTCTCTGCCTTGGAGAGGGTCTGTCCTGCCCCAATCAGACCCTGATCTGGAGCTGGGTCAGTCCTTCCCAATGTGCTCCAAAGATAAAGAGATAACATGCAAAATGCGAGTAGCTTTCACTGACCTCTTTTGTTTTGGAATTTGGGGGACTGGGGTAGCAGCCTTTTTGGCTCCCTTAGGAGGACACTTCCCCCAAAGTTCCCAAAGACACAGAATCTAGGCACTATCCAGCACCCAACATCCCTACTCTCTTGCCAAACACCCACCTTGTGTGTCATAGAAAAACAAAGGTAGACCCCCAATGCCACTCAGTCTGATACCGTCTCTGATTTTTGGGGTGTCACAAATCTCAGGAGCCATTTTATTCCCGCCCTCCCCGCCCCCCCAGCTCTTCATGGGGATAAGGCTGAGCTTCCTGGGAAAGGGAATGAGCGCTCCAGCCCCACATCCGGAAAGAACGTGGTGTTATCATTTGGCTTTTAAAAAATTCTCCTTGTGGTTCATGTCTATTTTGGGAGGATATTAGCTCAGAGCCTCAATAGGGGACTGCCCGGTCTGAGTTTCTTGTCTGAAGACCGAGCCAAGCCTAGAACAGGACATCTGTGGGTGCCACCCGTGGGGACGTGTGCTCAGAACCCAATGGGCACTGCCCGAGGCTACCGTGGTGAGCGGTGTCGCGCCGGGGAGTACACGCAGAGACCAAAAGCAAGAAGGGGAGCGCAGTTCCCGAAGCAGCAAGGAGGCACCGTCCTCCAGCCCTCTAAGGGACCGCCCGCACCCCACATCTCTTGGAGAAAGTCGGGGCTGGGAGAGCGCGGCGCGAGCTCTGGTGCACTAGGCTTAGCTCCGGTGCACTCAGCCCAAGCCCCGGTGTGCTTTTAAGCCAACGTTTCTGAGAGCTCGGGCTGTCCCAGAGACGTCCCATCCTCAAGTCGCACCCGACCCCGCCGTAGCCCGCAGAGAACAAATGAGGGGCATAGCTCTAACTCGGCTCAGCTGACCCCAGGATTGGGAAAGTGGCGCACGGCCCCCCAACGCTGCTCGTGTCATTCACTCCGCGTCCCCTCCATGCCCTGGGGAATGAATAGGGAGCTTCGACGGCTCCAGCAGAATCCAGTGCCAACTTGCGGGGCCAGTGGGGCACCGCGGGAGGGAAGGGGCATGCAACTCTCGCCTCTGTTCCAGCCCTCCTGCCTCCCGAGTGTCCCAGGGGACGGATGGCCTGGGCGCACGTCGGGGTCCGAGCGGCGCCTCTGCTCCTTCATGTGGCTCAGGGAAGGTGCGGCGCGGGGGCTTGAATCTCGAGGTGTCCGCCCCCCACCCGGCCCGGCTCGCGGCAGCGGCTCGGGGCTCTGGCCGTTCCTGCGCCGTTATCCCAGGCTCTGCGCCCCGCGCCCCGACGCCGGCCGCCCTTTCCTACCTGCGGCCGGGGCTGCGCTGCCCGGGACAGGCGCTGCATCCGGGCGGCTCGGCCGCTCCGATGCGCTCGGGACGCGGGGCCGCTCGGGCTCGGGCTCAGCGCTACTGCGCTCCCGACTCCTCGGCTCCTGGGCTCAGCGCAGCTCACCCGCAACCTCTCCGCTGTCTCGGTCTTCCGAGGGCGGGCGGAGGGTCGCGGGGAAGGGAGAGGAGGGGGGAGCGAGTCCGGAGGGATGGAGGGGGAGGGCAGGGCCCGCGGCGCCCGGAGCCCGCCCAGCTCGGGTATAGCCCTGCCCGCACCGCCCGCCCCCGCCCAGCGCTCCCCCAGGCCCGCCGCGCGCTCCCTCCGCAGCTGCCTCTTGCAGCTTCGCCGCCAGCAGGCTCTCTCCTTTTCCCTTCACCTCCTCTCCCCTTCTACGCCTCCCCTCTCCCTTCTTTCCTCTCGCATTCTCCCGCTCTCTTCTCCCTCCTTCTCCCCTCTCTTCCTCCCTCTTTCTCCCCTCTCTTCCTCCCTCCCTCTCCCCACCCCCTCCTTCCCTCGCCTGCCCCGCCGTCCCGCTCCAATCTCTCTCCTTCCTTCTCCTTCCTTTGATGGCTCTTTCCGGCCTCATCCTGGGTCACCAGCCTGTCTGCCTGTCCGTCTTGGTCTCTGTCTCCCTGTCTTTCACAGCAAGCACTCCCCTCCTGGCTTTTCTCCTTCCAGCCTTGCAGTACTGCTTCCGTTGGCCTGTCCTTTCCGTTTCTCTCTGCGGTCGTCCTCTTTTCGCCCTCTGTGGGTCGCTGTGGGTTGGGGTGGGCCCGTGCCCCCTCCCTGCTCTAGTCCTAGGGCAGCGTCTGCTGCCCGTTACACCTGGAAACACAGGCCTGGCCTGGGGTGACCAGGCTCTGGGTACCAGCTGGGAGTGTGTGTAAGAGTGGGGGTGGGAAGGACACCCTTCCACTGCCAGCGGTTGGTCATGGAGACACAAGTGGCTGTGTGTATGGATGGACAGATGGGGAAACAGATTACTTAAAAGGGAAACAGGGATGGTGGCAGGAGCCCCAGACACCCTTCTCTCAGTTCTTGAGGTTTGAGGGATTCTCCCAGAGAAGTCCCCTTTCCAGCCAATCCCAATCCAGCACGTAGGGACTCCTTCCCTTGTCCTTGCCAAGGCCTGACCTCCCCACCCTCTTTTATAAAGGCTTCTGGGAATGGGGCCACATCTGCCCTTCCCTCTGGGGTCCCCAGGAACTCAGAGAAAAGATTCCTTCTCTCCAGCCCAGACCTACTCTTCCCCTCCTCTCTTTGTCCCCAGGGATGGCCTTTGCTGATGGACCTCAGGTCCTCTACCCCACCTAATCTGGCCTCCTCCCTGCTTTCATCCATCCTCGAGTCCCCCAGGGCAGTGCTCACCAAGGTCACCCTGACTTCTTCTGTTTCCCCACACTCTCACTCATGAGCAGGGAATCTTGGTGTCTTTCTTGACCCATTCACCTCCCACCACTGATCACCAGGTCATATGTGCTGTGGACTTCCGTTGGTATTTCAAATAAATATTTCCCGAGTTCCACCTGTGTGCCAGGCACTGTCCTAGGCTCCAGGGACAGAGCGATGGACAAGACAGGCCACAGCTTTCAAGGTGATGCCAGTCCAGTATGGGAGACAGGCTTTCATCAAATAACCGCACAAACCCAGAATGACAAGCTCTGCCAGGAGCACACATGCAGGGGATTCTAGTCCAGCAGGGGATTCCAGTCTAGTGTGGGATGGTTTGGGAAGGTTTCCTCAAGGAAGCGCCATTTGAACTGAGGTCTGAAGGATGAGTAGGAGCTGTCTGGATGGAGATGTGGGGCATAGCTTTGAGTGGAGATACAAGGGTAGCAAAAATGAAGGCTACTTTTGCTTGCCTGACATTCATTTCAACTTCTTTGGGTGACAGAACCTCAATTTTCATTTGGGAAACTTCCCCTCCTTCACTCATATTCAATATGGTTGGGTGGGGCTCCCTCCTCCTGGAGACAGACATGTGACCCAGGGCACAGATAATCAGAGCACATCACTCTGACCTCAATGAGGGGACGTGTGACATATGCTGGGCCAATGAGAACTCTGTCTGGGACTTTTGCTAAAACTATTGTCAAACAGAAACTCAATCTCCACCAAAGCTCCTAAGCATAGAGGTGTTGGCAGCCATCTTTGCAGAACTTGAGCAGACCCGACCTAAAATGAAGCCAACATAGAGGAGAGCAGAACTGAGAGACAGAGAGTGGAGTGAGTCTTGATGTATATCAGGTCCCTGGATCCAGCCATACCTGAAGGCAGTGTCAGCTATTTATATCATTAAATTGTTTTTCCTATGCTACACAAGTTTGAATTCAGTTTATGTTGCTTAAAACCAAAATAGTCTTCATGAATCCAGTGTTGGATTGAGAATTATGAAGCATTATAAAAAGGAATAATAATAGCCATTCCCATCCCCCTTTTGTCCTTCGTGTTTTCTGGGTAACCTCATTCACAATTGTCTCTCTGTTTTTTCTACGTTGCTGACCAGAAATGAATTCCTCTCTCTTTTCATCCCTCTGGATTTGTTTTGCTTACATATGAAAGCAAACTCTAGCTATCAGGTCAATTTCATAGGCTGACCATCTGATGCTTGAATTATCTCCATGACATTCCCTGCCCCCGCTGGCATTCTCTGCCCCTGCCCTACACCCATGACTGTCCAGCGTATGTCTGCATCTCTGCAAGGATGGGGAGAGCTCATTATTCCACCAGGAAGATGGTTTCCAACAAACTCTTATCACAGTCGAGCTCTGAGAGCTGTCTCTGGTGCAGTGAGACTTCAGATAGGGACACTATATTGTGAAGGCGAGGTAGTTGCATGCAGGGCTTCCAATACTCTTTCAAAAAGCCTGAGTTGAAGTCTTTCAGAGAACTCATATGCATACCTCCTGAGCTGGAGCTGTGGGCTCTGTAGAACAAGGTTTCCAAAATGTAGGCTGCCAACCTCTGATGGTAGGTAGGATAATTTTCAGTGGAGTGAAATAACTTGGAGTGAAACAGTTCTCCCCTATTCATCCCTTTGTTACATCCTTGTGATTTCTGTCAATGGGCAAGTCTCAGGTTGGTGCTGGTTTAGTCTTTAACACCTCTCCAAAGCACTGACTAATCCCATTTTAACTGAGAGGCTGCCAGCTTTGGTAGACAACAGTATCTAGTTAGAATTGAATGCTTTGCTCATTTGTCCTTGTATTTATTTTAATGGAGACCTATTTCTGGCAAGTAATATTGGCCTTCTAGTTATAGCATGATGTAAAGTTTCCTTTTGAGATACATTTATTTAATCTAAAAAAGGAAAATATTTAAGTAAATAAAAATAGACATGGTGTGCAGATTTTTGCAAAACTCTTGTGGCTGCTTTGCAAAGGACTAAAGTTTGAGTAGCCTAATTTAGAGAAACATTTTATCCATGTGTTCATTCACTCGACAAATATTTATTGAGCACCTACTGAGTACGAGGAATGGGGAGGACTAGACAAAGAGACAACACAGTCTGTCAGAGAGTCCATGACAAAGGGAAGGGCTTGAGCATGGAAGGTTCGCTTGCCACATTAAGGAGTTGGGTCTTGACCTTGAGGGGCACTGGGGAGCCACTGAGTGTTCTGGAGCAAAGGAGCAGGCAGGGTTTAAGAAAGCTGAAACTGGCCAGGTATGCAGGATGGATTAAAAGGGAGAAGATCAGAAGTGAGAAGATTGTCAGGAGGCTGCACTGTAGGTGTGAGACGAGGAGGACCTGGTGCCCAGCAGGGTTCCCAGCGCATAGTAGGCACCCAATAGATGGTGGAAATGTCGATTGTGAATGTCATTATCATAGTCCTCTCTCTTTCTCGAGTTGGGAGAGTTCATTGAGTCATAGACTCACAGGCCATTAGGCTAGAAATGGTCCTTAGATATTAGCTAGTTGAATGCTTTTGCAGGTAAACTGAGGCCCAGAGAGAGGCACTGACTTGCCTGAGGGTACTTGGCTATCTGCTGGCAAAGCCACGAAAACCATGCCTACTAGCTACATTTTTGAGCACTTGCTGCATGGTAATGATTGACACATGGGGAAACAGAGGTGTAGAGAGGACGAACCACTGGCCCAGAGACACACAGTAGGAGAGGAGCAGAGACTGGATCTCAGCTTAGGCCTGGGCTCCTCCAAAGCCAGGGCTCTGGGCCTGTAAGCTCATGAATCCTGCCAGGGAGTTTTTCTGCCGCCCCAGAGAGCCTCTCATTAGGCTATAGGTGACGATCTGGGAAGAAACCCAATCTGGGAGTCAGGACCCCCAGACTTGTCACCAACCTGCTTTGCTCTCCTGCCCGTTGTCCAGGCCCTCTGTCCAGGACCCCATCTGCTGCTCATAGCAGACTCTGTCTCCATGACAACAAAGAATCCCATATTCCAGGCTTTCCAAAATTGTAGTAACACTGAGAAGTCCCCCTTCAACCTAAGAAAATATCCCCTGTAGGGAAGCAGGCCTTCATTTTTTTTGTTTTCAGAAGAAATGTTATTACCTTAACCACACCCCCCTCCATGCCAGAAATTCCCCCATTAGCAAAAGGAGTCCCTGCATTAATGTGCGTAATCACTTGAGAAACCACAATAAGCCTCGCAGGAGATAATAAGACCTAAGTTCATTTTGTTATTCTGTCCCCGAGTCACGCTGGGACAGATCTTGGGCAACGAGGCCTCACTGCTGAATGTTTAAATATTTGTGCCTGTCATACCATGCTGAGATCAATACTTAAACACTCAACAGGCACATGCCTCCAAATGGGCAGCGCATGAAAAGACAGGCCAAGAGCAGCCATGGAGATGAGCCTGCCCCCAGGAGATGGCTTCATAAACATTTCTCCACGGCACATTGTACTATAGGTATTATGCTGTCTTTGAGCTAGACAGACCTTGGACATGTGACCTCCCCTTTCTAGGCCTCAGTTTTCTCTCTATAAAGTGCGAATGATAGTAGTCTCTACCTCAGAAGGTTGCTTGGAGAAAGCCAGCTAACGCCCTGGTATGTGGTAAATGCTCAGTATATGTTCATTGTTCTGCTGTGAATTGCAAGGAATATCCATGCCCTACCTCCCCAGCTGACAAGATTCTAGTTGAGGTTCAAGGTCAATCTCAAATGCTACCACCTCCAAGAATCTTGACTGATTTTTTCCCAACTACATATGATTTCTTCTCCACTGAAACTCCCACACAGACCTTACTACTGCCTTCCTTCAGCTTCTTACCACTCTCCCTTTGGTGGGGGCAGGGACTGTTTTCCCTTGGACTGCTACACACAGCAGGGCTCAATACTTGTTGACTGTGACCCTTACATTCTCTCGCGGGGTGCCTGGGACTCTTGAGTTCCCTTCCACGCTCATTGCCTGCATCCAGCCAAATGAGGCTACTTTCAGTGCCCCTCAAAAGGCTTCTACCTCTGGGCCTTCATATATGCTGTTCCCTCTGCTGGAAACACTGTTCCCTCATCCTCCCTCTTCTCCTGGTAAACTCTTTCTTACTCTGCAGGTTTCAGCTTGGGTGCCACCAGGACACCTCTGACCCGTGCAATAAATATCCTTTTTTTTTTTTGAGACAGAGTCTCAAACTGTCGCCCAGGCTGGAGTACAGTGGCATAATCTTGGCTCACGGCAACCTCTGCCTCCTAGGTTCAAGCAATTCTCCTGTCTCAGCCTCCTGAGTAGCTGGGATTTCAGGCTCGCACCACCATGCCCAGCTAATTTTTGTATTTTTAGTAGAGATGGGGTTTTGCCATGTTGGCCAGGCTGGTCTTGAACTCCTGACCTCAGGTGATCCGACTGCCTTGGCCTCTCAAAGTGCTGGGATTATAGGCATGAGCCACCACCTCCAGCTGGAAACATGCAATAAATATGTATTGAATAGATGAAGGCACTAAGGAAAACCATGCATTTGTGTCTCACTCAAGTATAAATTTTTGAGGGCCTGGGCGTCCACCCCTCAATGGACAGGATGTGAGGAGCAGGGCTCAGAGTTCAAAACCCCTTATTTTTTCTTCCCCGGGCAGTGCCAGCCTCCTGGGAATAAGAGCCCTGCCCAGTTGGCAAGGATTGGAATGTCACCGGTCACCTGTGGTGTCTGACAGCTAACACAGACTGGATCCTGTGTGCTGCACACCGAGGACACTGATGCATGTCTATCTGGAAACCCAAGGCTTATCTGGAGGGCAGCGAGGTGGTTGGGCTGGAGGAAAGACAGGCCTGGAAGGAAGGCACAAAGAGGCAGTCCATGCTGTGGAAAGAATGTGGACACTGGGGAGGGAAGACTGGATTCACATCCCAGAGAGTTATCCAGGAGCTATGCGACCATGGGCAAGTCATGTCTTTAAAATACCAAGTAACTATGTAAGTATTTATGGAGGTTCTCTTAGTGCTGGAGCCATTCACATTAACCACTGCAATCCTCCACCAAAAGACCCCATAAAATGGGTGGTGTTGTTCCCTTTTTATAGATTAAGACTCCACCACAGGCTAATGGGTGCAGCAAACCAACATGGCACACGTATACACATGTAACAAACCTGCACATTGTGTACATGTACCCTAGAACTTAAAGTATAAAAAATAAAAGACTCAAAGGATGAAACAACTTGTCCAAGGTCACACAGCCAGTAAGACCTGGTTTAAACCCTGGTGAGCTGCTTACTCTCTTGGGGCCTCTGTTCGGGAAAGGCACTGATTTCTTCAAACTTCTTTTTCATGGTCTGTGAAATGGGAATGAGATAGAGACTCCCAGTATGGCCCTGAAATCTGAATGAGGTCACCTGCAGTAGTGGAGAGGGCTCGGTAAATGCTGACTTGTATTGACTAACATGTGAATAGCTAACATTACTGAGAGCCTACTGTGCCAGAGAATATTCAAGCAGCTGTACAGCAATCCTTAGACAAGCCTGTGAGATAGGTGCTATCAATAGCCTCATTTTACAGGTGAGGAAACAGGCACAGAGAGGTTAAATCACTTGCCCAAAAGCACACCTAGAACTGCTAGAGATGAGATTTGAAATCAAATAGTTTAGCTTGGGCTTCTAACCATTTTCTTACTATGTAGAAAGTGCCTTCATATGTATAAAGTGTCACACCTATGTAAGGATTTTTTCTTGGTCTTATCTATAGAGCACTGATGTGTGGTGCAGATGCAAGTATGGCTGTTAGAGTAATTAAGAAAGGGTGGCTGGGCACAATGGTTTACACCTGTAATCTTACCACTTTGGGAGGCCGAGGTAGGAGGATCACTTGAGGCAAGGAGTTCGAGACTAGCCTGGCCAACATAGTGAGGGCCCATATCTACCAAGATAAAGAAAGAAAGAAAGAATAGGAAAAGAAAAGAAAAGAGGGAGGAAGGAAGGAAGGAAGGAAGGAAAGAAAGAAGGAAGAAAGGAAGGAAAGAGTTAAAAATCACAGCATGTCCTCACAGCCGTGTGGCCTATGGCAAGTTCCTCAACATCCCTGCTTGTGTCTCTGCTTCTAGGGCTGGTTGCCTGGGTTCAACAGAGCAATGCATACCAAGTGCCTTGTGCCCAGCCAAATGTGGCAGTTTATACAAAGGCAGTCCTAGGAGAGGGCTTTTGGTGGCTTTTAAAAATGATATCACCTTGGAAGCAGCTCTTGAGATAAGCATCTGTGAAGAATGTGCTTCTAAGAAGAAGATGGGAGAATAACTTCCCTGCTGCCAGGCCCTTGGGTGCCTCCCTGACCCCACTGCACCCATAATTGGTGGTGACAAAAGCCACCAGCCACTAGATCTCATCAACTTGCTTTCTTGCCTCTCCATGGGGCTGGAGTGACCCACAGTAGCCAACACACCTTATCTGCTGGGCTGGCTAGCAGCCTATGAAAAAGTTTTTCAAATTGGGGTATAACATGCAATAAAGTGCAGAAAGAGCTCTAATTCTGAGTGTATAGCTCAGTGACATTTTACAGGTACACCCATCCATGTACCTACTGCTGGAGCAAGCTGTAGAACATTTTTACCTTCCCAGAGATTCCCAGTCAATATATCACCCCAAAAGGTAGCCACTATAATGACTTCCATTACCATAAGTTAGTTTTGCCTGTCCTTGAACTTCACACAAATAGTGTCATACTCTCATGTGCCTGGCTTCTTTCATTCCACATCATGTTGGTGAGATTTATCCTTGCCGTTGGATGTAGCAATCATTTGTTATTTTCAGGTCTGTATAGTATTCCCTTGTACAGATATGTTGCAATGTATTTTTCCATTCTCCAGTTGATGGACACTGGATTGTTTTCTGCTCCAGGGTACTCTAAATAGTGCTGCTGAGAACATTTTTATACATGCCCTCAGGTGCACATGTGAATGCACTTCTGTTCAGTGGTTCTTCTTCCACACTTACTGATTTCATGATAAAAAGCCATGCATTTTTAGGCCAAGACTCACTTGCAGAATTGTCTTTCTAATACCTAGGAGTGGGATTGCAGGTCCTGGGGAGGTGTGTGTTGAACTTTGGTAGATTTGCCAGCAGCCCATTTAAGAGCTCTGAGTCTCCATTACTAAGAAGCCAAACCTGCCTCTTTCAACAAGAAGGAGCTCTGAGGCCGAAGGCGACATGCACAGGGCTCTGAGGCCAAAGGCGACGGGCACAGGGCTCTGAGGCCGAAGGCGACGGGCACAGGGCTCTGGTTCCACATCCATGGTGCTAAGGGATGCTCTGCAACCCTTTCACTCAGAGGGTTCAAAGGCAATTTAATTCCTCATCTGACAACCCTGATCCTTAACCTATTAAAATATTTACCCATTGCTACTCTTGTTGATACTGCATTCTATACGGGCACCTTTACTTACATTAAAAAAAAAAAAGTTTTTTAGTGCCTGCCTTTGCTGAGGAGTGGGTGGCCAAGATGACAGTTGGACATGTTGCCGGGCCCCTTTCCCTATGGCCTTGGCAGTCAGGGACCTGTGAAGGCCTAAGGGTCTGCTGTCTAGACCAGGGGGTCAGCAAACTTCCTTGGAAGAAGACCAGGTAGTAAATATTTTAGGGTTTGCAGGCCGTAAGATCTCTGTTGCAACTATTCAACTCTGCTGTGTAATCCACAAGATAATATATAAGCAAGCGAGCATGGCAGTGTTCTAAGAAGACTTTAGTCACAAAAACAGGTTGTGGGGCTGCAGACTTGGCTGATAATTCATAGTTTGCTGACCCCTGGTCTAGACTGTCCTCAAAGTGTAATCCATGGACCATCAGCTGCATTGGTCTCACCTGGGAACTTACTATTATGCAGAATCTCGGCCCTTCATCTCCAATCTGTTTAATTAGAATCTGCATTTAACAAAACCCCAGGAAACTCACCTGCACATTAAAGTTGCAGAAGCACTGGCCTATGGCAGAATTTTCCCTAGTGTCAGATTCTACCACTAGAGGGCCAGGAGAGGATTCCGGGTGAGACCTGGACCTGGCACTAGATGACACAGACTCGCAAACGTGGAAAGTGACCTCCTCTTCAATTCACACCTAATCCTTCTGTTCACATGAAAAAGAAAGTCTCACAGTGGTGCTGCCATGAATTTAACACCTCTCCAATCCTTGCTAATCTCCTTTTTCAATACAGAGCTGGCCTCAGCTTCCTTCCTGAAACGGAGTCTGGCTGGAATTTAATAACATTGCTCTTTGTTTGTTATTTTTGTTGTATTTATTTTAACAATTTCTATTTTGGCAAGGGATATTAGCTTTCTATTTGTAGTGGCAGTGGTGGAATGTTTCCTTTTAAATAAGTTTATTGTAGTTTAAAAGTAGGGATTTATTTAAAGAAAGATATTAAGTCAATGACAATCTGAGTACGTGCAGTCCTGGCAAAATTCCTAAACAGTGGCATGAATGTTTCAAAAAAAACCTTTTTGATGTGGCGTGTGAGTCACAGAAACTTAAAAAATACGGTCGGGGAGGTGCAGAGAGTGGCTCACCTGGATTCCAGCTGTCACTCAAACATGTGATTCTGGGCAAGTCACTTTCCCTCTTGGACTTTCTGTTTGTTCAGCTGGATTGTTACAGGGGTGGTACAGGACAATGGTCCCAGTCCTGGGACCCCACTGATCCCTGGATCTTCCTGTGGAGGTGCCTCTGGGAGGCAGTTACATGTGAGTGATATTTCCTTGTGTGATAGAGTTTCCCCCATGCAATTGAACTCCTATTGCCCACCCTGGTAGCTGGCTCAATCATGCACCCTACTTTGAGGGGCTCAAGGGTATCTATCTTGAATTCAACTAGTACAGTTGCACTTTTATAAGCTGGACTTCTACTGATTATTTTGATATAATTTTTGTGTGGCTAAAGATAAAACCTGGAAGTCACTGGCCTTAGGATGTTAAAGGGCTACTGATTATTTTGATACAATTTTTGCGTGGCTAAAGATAAAACCTAGAAGTCATTGGCCTTAGAATGTCAAAGGGCTACTGATTATTTTGATACAATTTTTATTTGGCTAAAGATAAAACCTAGAAGTCACTGGCCTTAGGATGTCAAAGGGCCATCTGACTCATTCAATTCAGATCTAGAGTGTGACTCCATCCTAAATTCTTTTGCTTGCAGGAGATGGAATCTGAGCTGAAACCACCTGAAACATCAAATGAAATTTATCGACTTGCACAGCTAAAATGCCAGGAGTATATCTTGTCAGCATGGCTGGATCCATCCCCGCCCCCAGCCTCCATTTCTCAGCTCTGCTTCCCTGAGAGTTGGCTTCATTCTCCCCACGTGTTGACAGCATGGCTGTCAGCAGTTCTAGACAAACACCCTTATCCTCTCAAGAGGAAAGACTCTTTCATTCCCAGCCTTTCCGGCAAATTCCTAGGGCTGGTTCTCATGGGGCTAACTTGGCCCACAGACTCATTCCTGAGCCAGTCGTTGTGGTCAGAGGTATTTGTCTTTTTCTGGCTAAGCCTGATTCACATCCACCCCATTTCTACGGAACCTGGGGTGGAATTAACCCACCTGAACCACATGCCAGGTACTGCCAGCTATTATACTCAACCCTTTGTGTGTATGAACTCATTTAATCCACATGAGACCCCGTGTGGGTGGTCCCATCCTTGTTGCCCATCATATAAAGACTGGAGGCTCAGTGAAGTGACGTACTTGCCCTAGGTCCCCTAGGCAGGATTCAGATCCACTAGTCTCGACCATGATACTATCCTGTGTCTTGTTAGGACTGAATTTGGAGAAGTAATTTCCTACCCTCGTGCCCAATTGAGGGTTGTAACTAGGTCAGGGAAAATGGTTGCTGAACAGGCAAAACCTTTATATATGTCCAGATACCACTTGAAAGAGTTTGAACTTAGTGTAGGAGTCCTGGAGAAGGATGTGATTGGATCTGAGTCTTAGAAAGTTCCTTCTAGAAGACATATTGTTGGTGACCAAAGCTTCTGTTAGAGTGTGTCTGGATCTCAGCTTCTGAAGGAGGTTATTGTTTGGTCTTTCCCAGAAGCATACCCTGAGATGAGGACTTGAGTGCAGGCAGTTTATTTGGGAGATGCAGAGAACCTGGGTAGGGAAGTGAGATTGGGAAGGGAAGGCAGCCAATATAGGGTGTATGATTGAGCCAGCTACCAGGGGTGGGCAACCAGAGTTTAATTGCCTGGAGGAAACTCTAGGAAATAGCGTAGCACATGCACCTCAGAATTATCCTACTCAAGGAGAGAGGGAGCTGGGGTATTTGTACACCAGATCCTGCCAGCCATCAGTTGAGGGCTGCTTCTCAGGGTGTTAGTTTCTCAGTCTCTGGACTAGCGAGCACTTGGGCACAACAGCCTTCTGGGGTTATAGAAAAGCCCCCAGGCACAGAGGTGCAGGCAATGGTGGTGGAAGGTCGGCCAGACCAGCTGGGAAAGGTAAAGTCTAGAGATACGAGTGGCACACTGCGTCTCCTTCAGTGGGAAAGGAGTGGGCACTGCAAAGGTAGCTTATGCCTGATGGGGCTTTGCCAGTGAGCCTTACCCTGAGACCTTATTCATTTTCTGGGATTTTCACCTTCCAAGAGTAGTGGGTAGTGGAATCCAGAGGCAAGAATCCTGGCCTTGGAGTCAGAAGGCCCCAGTTCCTGTAGGACTTCCTAGCTGGGCCTCAGTCTCTTCCTTTCTTGCATGGGCACAGCCGTGAATACTCAAGAGAGGTGTTGAGAGGCGGAAGGAGTTTGTGCACTCAAGACCTAGCATGGAGTGGCTGTCCCATTAAGGCTCATGGCATCCACACATCTCTATCTTAGGAAATCCAGAAGCAGCAAACGCTCGCTGTGCTCTCATTACTTGCCATGAGAGTGGCAGCTAATCACAATATCATTATTTAGGAGAAAAAAATGGATTCAGCATTTTTATCCCAAACGGAAGCTATTGACGTTCCTAGAATAGTTCTGGGAGAGGGAAAGCCCACCGTTAAATGCTCCTTCAGAAACAATTGGCAATCAGTGGGCCAGGCACAGGGCCAGCGCTGAGGTCCTTTCTGGTCCTCTCTGATAAAGGGAATGAAGCGCTCCAAAGGAGGCCATGGCTGGGGGCAGGCAGGCACCAGGACAGGAATTGAAATCTTAATGGGAGAGAAACCTGCAGAGCCCTTGGATTTCTGCTTGTCTGCCCCAGGCTGATGGGGACTGGGGAGAGATTGGCAGTTGGGAGAAGAGAGGACCACAAGGTGTTTCTGCACCTGTTCCCTTCCCACCCCTTTCGTGCCTTCCCCTCCCCTCCTCTCTCTACTTCCAGTTTTAACTTTCATTCGCTCTTCCCCCAACTCTCTCTCCTTTATTTTCTTATTTTGTTCTCTTTCATTTTCCCTCTTTAAAAATATTAATTACAGGCCAGACATGGTGGCTCATGCCTGTAATCCAAGCAAGGTGGGGGCATTGGTTGAGTTTAGGAGTTTGAGACCAGCCTGGGCAAAGTAGCAAGACCCCACCCCATCTCTGCAAAATGTTTTATAAGAATTAGCTGGGTGTGGTGGCGCACACACGTAGTCCTAGCTACTCAGGAGGCTGTGGGGAGAGGATCATTTGAGTCTGGGAGTTTGAGGCTGTGGTGAGCTGGGATTACGCCACTGCACTCCAGCCTGGGCAACAGAGCGAGACTCTGTCTCTAAAACAAACAAACAAACAAAACAAAGTTAGACTGGGTGTAGTGGCTCATGCCTGTAATCCTTGTACTTTGGGAGACTGAGGCAGGTGGATCCCTTGAGGCCAGGAGTTTGAGACCAGCCTGGTCAACATGGCAAAACCCTGTCTCTACTAATTAGCCAGGCATGGTGGTGCATGCCTGTAATTTCAGCTACTCAGGTGGTTGAGGCATGAGAATCGCTTGAATCCAGGAGGTGGAAGTTGCAGTGAGCCAAGATCACACCACTGCACTCTAGCCTGGGTGACAGAGTGAGACTCTGTCTCAAAAAATAATAATAATAATAATAAATTATGCAAGCATTTCAGGCGTTTACTCCTTGTAAACTATTACAACATTTAAGACAGTTGTTTTTGATCGTCACACGTAATCATCGCTCACTCCTCCTCCCTCGCCCGATAGAACCACCGTGAATTGTTTACGGCATGTCCTTCCAGGCTTGGTTCTTTCCACTCGATTTCATCTATACGTACCTAGAAAACATATGCTGGTGGGTTTTTTGTGTTTGTGTGTGTTGACATTATAAAAGTGGCATCCTACTATGCTATCATTGGGCCACTTGTTTTTCTCGCTCAATAGTTTCGGTGATCTTTGCACTTTGCCATGCAATAAACAGATCTTCTTCATTTTTTTTCTTTGAACTGCTGTGAAGTATTCCAAAGTGCAGCCTAGAGGGGCTGTATGCACTTCCCCATTGATGGTTATTCAGGCATTTTCAATTCTTTGCCATTGCAGACTGGGTTGCAGGGGACGCTTGTTTACAGAACTTCTCTCCTTCCCTTTCCTTCTATCCTTTCTTCGCTAGGCCCCACCAGTTTTCACTGTGTTCTTTTTACAAAACAAGATCCCTTGGAGATACATCTCTTTTTTTTTTTTTTTTTTGAGACGGAATTTTGCTCTTGTTGCCCAGGCTGGAGTTCAATGGCGCGATCTCGGCTCACTGCAACCTCTGCCTCCCGGGTTCAAGAGATTATTCTGCCTCAGCCTCCCGAGTAGCTGGGATTACAGGCATGCACCACCAGGCCCAGCTAGTTTTTTGTATATTTTAAGTAGAGACATGGTGACCAGGCTGGTCTCGAACTCCTGACTTCAGGTGATCCATCTACCTTGGCCTCCCAGAGTGCTGGGATTACAGGCATGAGACACCATGCCCGGCCGATACACCTCTTTTAATACAATCTCAGCTGCTCATGTGGACCGAGATGGGTGACGTGTCTCCATGAGATTGCATACTCCATCTCACAGAGAGGTAGTCGTGCTTGCAACCAGGTCTGCCTGGACACGGCTGCCCTGTTTCTCTGGCAGTTTTGGGGCCTGCTTTCCTTGCGGTAGATTCCTTCCATCTTAGACACAGTGGGGAAGCCCGCAATCTTCAGAACACATAACTGAGCTCTTCCTCTTCAGAGAACAGAAGAGAAATAAATGCCTCTCATTCTTTTGGGGTGAGCCTGCCAGTCATCATGATTTCTGGGTCAGACTCAGTTCCCAGGGGGCCACATGCACAAGTCCCTTTCTTCAGCAGTGGGGAGAAGGTCAGTGCTTTGAGGGAGGGAGTGTGGTAGAGCCCACAGCCCTGTTTACAGAACCATGCTCTGTCTCCAGGCATGGGAATGTGATGCGTGTGATGCCGCAGCCCTGGTGAGCAGAGAGAGGAAGAGGGCGCAGGCTGAGGGGAGGTGGGGGAGGGGCTGTTTCTCACTGGCACAGTAGCTACCTGCTTTTCACTTTAAAAATCACCAGGATCGGGAGGGCGTGCGGTGGGGGCTGGCACAGGAGACGGGAGAAAGCCAGGCATGAACTTGGCTTCTGCTAGCAGCTGCTCTGACAGGTTTAGGGCTGTTTGATGAAGTGTGCATCCCTTATTTGCATGCATTTGGAAGAGGAGGAGGAAGAAGAAAAGAGGAGAAGGCAAAGGAGAGCCTGGGATGGTAAGAATCCTGACATCTAACGATGTTGTTTGTGCCATGGGCCATTTTAGCATGCTGGTATGTAGCTCTTTCTGAGAAAAATTCTTTTAAATGCGTAAAATACAATATACTGGATAACAAAGGAACATAGTTATCAAAATACTTTAAAAATCAAAATTGTTACACATACAAATATGTACGATTCCATCAACGCGTTAAACAAGATCTAACATTGGATCTAGTCACTACTGTGATTTCAAAGTCGTGATGAATGTAAACAATATTGAAAAGATTGCTGTAACAACTGCAAGGTGATAGGAAAACACGTGATTGCTACTGGCTGCAGAGTCATAGGTACAGCTGACACCACTGTGGCTTGCTATCTTTATTCCTACTGTAAAGAAATGGATGAGAATAAAGCTGTAATGTTTTCCCCATGCAAGTTCACGGACCTCCTGAGTTCTCTTTGCACCGTGGAAGGCCAGAAACTCCTGGGCTGGGCTGTTAGAGGAAGAGGCTATGGTGGAAGCTGAAGAGGTCTCTTCCATAGGGGTCTGCATGAGGCTCTGGGCCCAGGGGGCTCTGCCCAGCCCCACAGGTGTGAAAGAGAGGATCCCTTTCTTGTCCCCAGATATGCTTGGCTACAGCATCAGTCCAGCATCTTGAGAGACAGCTGAGGACAGCACCTTGAGCCCAGGCATCAGCAGGGACAGCAAATGTGGATGCTGGAGAGATAGAGGGTGGCAGCTGTTATAGGCAACTAGTGCTGCCAGGCTGGTTGGTGAGAACCTAGGAGATATCTCTTGGGGCTTCCCAGACATATTTGGGTGAAATTTTCAGGTCAATGTAGGGCCTACACTCTAGTGAAATGTGAATTATGACTGTTATGAGGGCTTCTGTTACGAGGGGAGGAGACATAATAGTAACACTTGGTGTTTGTGTAATATTTTATAGTGTAAAAATGACTCATGTTTCTCAAGATACATCAATGGTAATCCCCAAATTCACAGATGAGGAGGTTGAGGGCCTAAAGAGGGACAGGGATTTGTTCAAGGTCACATGGTTAATGAATGATGGGGCCAACTCAAGGCTTGAACTCTTAGTCCAGCATAAAAAGTGGAAGAGAGAAGCCTGAGAAGAGAAACTAAGGAGGGACCACTGGATACCTTGAGCATGAGACTGAGGTATGAGGACCTTGCTCTGGTGCCCAGGGGAAGCTAAGTAGGTTTTTTGAGCAGGGGATTGACTTGGAAGCTTTGGGAAAATTAATCTGGTGATGGTGTGTGTATAGGTTGGATGGGAAGAGTGACTGGGGACTAAGAGGCATCCAGGAGGTGGCTACTATTATCCAGAGAGAAACAATGACATCGTGACAAAAAACTTTGAGAACAAACTCCATGCAATGAACCCCTGACTGTCCACCTGGAAGGGCCACATGGACATCTGGTGGAGTCTACTCCCAGGGCCGTCCCATGCACCATGAGCGCATGTCATTCCCCACACAGGTGTCTGACCCGGGGGTGGGAGGAATGTGGGCTGAAATCCAGTCTGTGCTCCACTGGCCAAGCCAAAGTGTGGGGCTACGTCCACCCAGAGGGGTGCTGTTCTAATTTACATGAAGGTTCACTATATGCAAGTGCAGCCCTGTACATTGCCCTTTCTTTCAGCAAGAGCACCCCAAATTTCCTCAGGAGTACCACCCCTTTACTCTGTCCAGATCATGTAGTTTAGGTAGGGCTCGACTCACCTCCAGCACTAGAGATGGGCACATGACCCAAGCCTGGCCAATCAGGAGAACTTCATCTCTTCCACCACAGTGATTGGTTCAGGGAGGAGCACATGACCCAAGCTGGTCCAATCAAAATAAATCCTGGAACTCTTGATGCTGACAGCCATGTTTCCCCCATGAAAGAGTGTTTAGTGAGTCCTAATGATATCATTTGAGTCCCTGGATCCAGCCATGCCTGATGTCTCCCTGGGACTTTTATGTGACCCAGTAAGTCCTTCTGACCTAGGTAATGTTTAGCTTACAGCACTTAGCATTGGGATTTTGTTGCTTGCAACCTATCAGAAGGGTCACCTAGGTCACAGGAAACCAATCTATAGACCACAGGCCAAATTCTGCCTACTACCTGTTTGTAGTAAGGTTTTACTGGAACATGGCCATGCCCATTTGCTCACATACTGTCTATGGCTGTAGAGCAGAATTAAGTAGTTGTGACAGAGACCATAAGGCCCCCAAAGCCTAAATATTTACTGTATGGCTTACCTTACCAAATATCTTACCTAAATATCTTACCAAAAAAACTCATTGATCCCTGACCTAGATTAATGTCTGTCTTTATTAAGGTGGAAATTGGGGCCCAGAGAAGGGCTTCCCTAAAGTTGGGGCAGAGCCAGAACTAGAAACCTGGTTTTCTGACTCCCAGCCTAGAGCCCTTTGTGCAGTCTCTTTTTATCTCTCAGACACTACCCCTAAATGTCCATGGGTCCCCTAGAGGTGTTTGATTCACGTGGCAGTTGGATCCCTCTGCTAGTCTGAGGCAAAATTCTTTTCTGCAGCCTCCTTGTGATACACCCAGGAGATGCAGGAGTGGGGAAATTGAAATCCATAAATAACCAAGCCTCATTCCAGCCAGTCCAGCCTGCCTCCCCAAAGGACCTGCTAACTGGAGCTGGAGCTGACACAGAGGACAACTGTCCCATTTGGGACCCTATCCAAACCCCACAGATGCTCTCCTGGCCATGGAGCCTGGGACCAGAGGAAGGCCCTGTTGTAAAATGCTTTTTCCATCCTCTGACACTCCTCCGTCTTAAGGGGGCCAAGAGGTGTTTGGGAACCTACCTCAGGGGTCTGGGCTGGGAGAGCTCAGAGACATGAAGGATGGGCAATCAGAGAAGGCTCCCTGGAGGAGGTGGCCTGGAGTATTCAAAGATGGAATAAAAACGTTCTTGAAACCCTTTGCTCCCTTGCTGAAACCCTGTCCTCCCCCAGCTGCCTAAAATGCAGCCACACGAGTGTGCCCTGAATATGCCAAGCCCATTCCTCCATCTGCCAGCCATGCCCTCCTCTCAGAGCTTTGCACGGATGGGATGGCTCCCTTCATCGTTCGGGTCTCTGCGCGCTTGTCACTGCCAGCCTTCCCTGAACACCTTTCTGACAGCTGCTGCCCAGTCTGAGTCACTCTCCATTCTGCCTTCCATTTTCGTTTTCTTATAACGCTGGTCTCTAGAATAGTAATACCTGGCCTGGGGCGGGGGAGATCAAGGGTCTCTGTTAAGTGATTAGCCAAGGATGCGGCAGTTAACAGGGAACTTGGAATTCAGCAGTGGAGATGCGGTTGCCTTGTGGAGTGAGGGGTGCTATTCCACTGTTGGGTGGGGTAGGGAACTACGGGGTCCCTGTTGTGGAAAGACTTTGCTGAGTTGGTCAGGAGTTGGACAGGGAAAGCAGGAAGGAGAAGGAAAGGGGCTCCTGGTAGGGGACCAGGGAATAAGGAGCGCAGCGGGTGTGAGGTGTGAGGAAGGAAGAGAGGAGGGAGCATGGAGTGCCAAAGCTGGAGAGGTGCGCAGGCCTCATAGAGCACGTGTGAGGCTGAGTCCCATCCCAAGGGGGATGGGGCACCAGGGCAGGCGGTGGTTGAGATGGGACTTGATAAAATCACCCACAGCTCAGAAGGCTGGTTTTTAGGATGTGTTAGAGGCTGGAGTCAGGGCCAAAGGGAGGTCTATCTGAGGGAGGATCTCTGAGTCTACCTGAGGAGTGAGTGTTGCCAGAGAAGAAGACACAGTGACCTGGACTGCCTGCTCTCCCTCCCTCAGCATCCACATCTAGGACTCCTGTCCTGCTACAGCCCCTCCAGGCCGTTGGTCTGGTCGGCTTCCTGGAGGAGGTGACCTGAGCAGCCTGGACCCATTGAAAAAGGCTGAACAGGGAGGCCTTGGTAGAAGCCCCCGTTTAGCTGTAAGTGGGCTGTGTGAGGTTGGGCACCTCTCTGAGTCTCAGTTTCTTCATCTGTCAAATGGGAACAACAGAAGTCCCTGTCTGCTGGGTTTCGTGACAGGTCAATGAGACGTGTCAAGTGCTGGCACAAGGACCAGCACCCAAGGAGTGGCGATTCAGTGATTATTAGGGGCTGGCTTTTTCCCACCAGAGGCCCATTTAAGGAAGGTGGGGACAGACTAGGAGGAGAGAAAAGTTGCTGGAGATTTGGGGGAGTCTAAGGCATTAAGAGACATATCTTTTGGGGAGGCTTAAGGCTGACCTGTCTCCTACGGGGCTCCTAACCCTCAGGGCAGCTCTTAGAAGGACAGTCCTGAAACTGGGAGGGGGATCCCATCTTCAGAGTTGGCAGCTGAGGACAGAAGCTGTGCATTTTGGTCCTGCTGCCATTCCTTTGCAACCACAGTGTGCAGGCCAGGTGGAGACAGCCACCTTGTGGAAGGTGACAGATGGCCACAAATGAGGGGTGAATGAACCTGCTAAATCATCAGTTGGGAAATTGAGCATCTCACGTCCCATCTGCGAGAGCCTCTTCCTTGTGGAAGGGAGCGTATGCTCGGGTGTGAATGTAGGGGGCGTTCGGTGTATATACAGACGGGTTCAGACAGTGCTGCGATGAGGGTGAGGATACACACACGCACTCCCTTCCCGCATTCTTCCCATCACACGTGCTCTGGCACCTGTCCATTGGTCCACGGGCTTTTGCACACAGTGATCACACATTTTTGTAATCCAGAAACACCAGCCTATATGTGTTTGCACCCAGAAGCAAGACACCCCAAAGGGCAGATTTGCACACTGGCTCTTTTTCACTTGGACCCACATGCAAGGGAGAAGTCAAGGAAGCCGTGTGCTTTTCCTCATGGAATCACAGGCGTGCAGCCTGTGTCCTTGTTCACAGGTATTTCCTGGCCTTCCCCAAGAGGGGATTTCACTTCCCATCCTGTTGCAGTCAGGCTCGGCTGTGTGTCCACTCTGGCCATAGAATAGGGTGGAAGAGCGAGGAGTCACTTCTGCGCAGGAGCCTTGAAAACCAGTTCATGGCTCCTTCATGCTCTTTTCCCTCTGCCACAGTGACCCGCAGTGTTCCAGCTAGAGGCTGCCCGTTTACTCTAGGTCCTGGGATGCAGCTGACAGAGAGCAGAGCCATAGGTGACCTGCAAATTAACTGGTAGATGCTGAGAAGTAAATCTGTGCTGCTGTGAGCCATTGAGACTGGGGGCCATTTGTAACTGCAGCGTCACCAGCCTTAGCCGACTGAAACAACACCCCCTCCCTCCGACTCCTGCTGGGTTCACACGCACCACCCACAGACTCACATCGGTCTCACACCCTTTACACACACCCACACACTCATGTACACTCACACTGGGCATGTGCACATGCACACATGCTTCCCCTGGGCTCACACACACACAGGCTCACACTAGGTACAAAAAACCACATTCCCCTGAGCTTATACACACTCTCACACTCTCATACACACACTGGGCACACACACACACACATTCCCCTGGGCTCATGCACTTTCCCTAGCACACTCCAGGTGAGTCTGAGGTGCAGTGCCTCCAGACTCTGATCGGGACCAGGCAGGGGTGGGAACAGCATGACGTGGGAAGCAGCTGTTGGCTCCCTGGTGGAAATGCAGTTGAATCATTTCATCAGAAGGGGCTTTTATGTTGTCAAAGGACACAGACCTCAACCTTGGCTGAATGGGCAGTTTTCTGAGAACAAGGAACCTTTCCTGGGGAGTCAGGAGTTGGAAAACTTGGCTTTGAGCCTCCCGTGGCTGTGTGACCCATGACTGTCCTCGGTCTGCTCCTCTCTGGAGACAAGAATGACTTTGAATCCAGGAAGGGAGGCTGGTCAAATGCGAATAACAATGAACAGCCCAAATGCAACCTTTGCTCCTCCTGGAGGGCACTCACTGCATGCCCAGTGCTCAGTTTGTGAGTCTGGCTCATGGAATCCTCCCAGCAGCCCTCTGCGGAGGTGTTTGGGTTAAAGTCCCCTCAACAGATGTTGGTGGGTGGCTCCCAGGCTGCAAAACCCATGCTGGATGTGGACGTGGTGATCCCATCCTGATCCCCTCCATAGACACACCTGACTAGACCCTATGACAGGAGGGGGCAGGCATGATGTTGGGATGGAGGGACATAGGCATCCTGCCACGTCCTGGGAAGTTTGGGAAGACTCATCTCTGTCAGGGCTTCTTTAGCTGAGCTTCCAAACACTGGTGAGGGATGGGCTTTGATGCCAGGAAGACCTGGATCCAAGTCCCAACTCCTTTACTTTCTGGCTGTGGGACCTTGGGGAAAGGACTTAACTTGACTGGACCTCAGTTTCCTCATCTGTAGAATTGATATAATCATTGCTATAATCATGGTTGGGTTGTCGTGAGGATGAAATGAGAAGATACTCAGAGCAGGCTCAGGCAGGGCCAGTCTGTGCCTCTTTACCTGAAGGCTCACTTTGATGCTTCTTCTTCCAGGAAGCGTTCCTTGATCTCTTCTTCTTCCATACTCACAGAGCACTTTGTATCTGATTAAAGCACCTGTTCACAGTCTGGCATAAATTATAGTCCACTCGTGCATAAATTTGTTCAGCATTTTGTTAGGCATCTTCTCTGTACCAGGCTCTAGGCTGGGGGCTGGGATGTGGAGTTGAACAAGGCGAGATTGAAACCCTCCCAGAAATGACCTCCCGTTGACCTGTAATCATCCTGAGGGCTGTGGCTACACTGTGTTCACCTTCCTGTCCTTCCTTCAGCCTGCACAGTGTCAAGAGGAACAGAATAGGAAGGGCTCAGGCCTCAGTTGAGCCAGGCTTGGTTACATTCTTGCTAAGTGGCCTTGAGAAAGCCCCTGCTCCTCCCTGAGCCTCAGTTTCTCCATCTGCAAAATGGCAGGCATTGGAACAGATCCTCTCCAAATGCCACTGGGCCCTGTCACTCAAGAGCTACCAAGAATGAGTCTGTCCTCAATGGAGGCCTAGAGCCCACCCACTATGCTCACCTCCCCCAGGCTCTGAGGGTGCCCTGCCAAGGGGAGTGAGGGAAAGGTTCATGCTGGAGCTCTCAGGAGGCTGCCCTTTATTCGGAGTGGCTTTAATTAGCATCTGCGGGCTGATCAGAGTCTGAGTATTAATGAGCCATTGAGTCACAGCCAGTTTTCCAGTGTGCTGTGTTTTTGATGAATTAATCACTTCTGACAGCTCCAAATGCCAACTCTGTGCTTACCCCAAGCAAGGCTGGGGTGCCATTGGCTGTGCCATCCGGGGCCTAGGTTGACCAAGCTGCCCACAGCACCCCCTACCCCATCAGCATGTCTACCAGCCCAGCCTGGGCCCTTGGCATCCTCCATCGGATCCAGCCTCTCTCTCCATCCCACCCATCACTTTTCCTTGCTCCCCAATCCACTCCCATAGCACTGCCAAGTCACTTGGCCTCCTCGCTGGAATGGCAGCCTCTCTCCTTACTCCTGCCTTCCAGTGGAAGGAAATAACCTCTCCAATCTTTTGAGTAACAATGTGAGGAAAATCATATGCTCTCAGCAGCAGACCTCCCCCAAGGGAGAGACCTGTTTTATTTGGATGAATGCCTATATACTTTTTGGGAGAGACTAGGGGTAAGATCTCCAGTGGGAGTGCTGGACTAATTAACACTTGAGGGATGCACATTGAGGGCAGAGTGGAATTGCTCCAGCAGTAGAGGGGATTTTTAGAGACTGCATAGTAAGAAAAAAGAAGAGACATGGGCACACTATGCCTCCTTCTGCTGTGGCCTCCTGGAAATTCCAGGGCTGCACCATGTCCTTTCAGACCCCTGGGCCTTTGCCCAAGCTCTTCCCTCCACCTGGAATGCCCAGGCCTGTCTTTTTGGTTTGAGAAAACTCCTAATTATGCTTCAAAAACCCAGCTCCAATGTCTACTCTACCTTCTACAGTGAGCTCTTTCTGAGTTTCCACTCAACTCTGAAAAGATTGCCTCTGAGGCACTTATAATCTTGTTCTGGATCTGTTGGTGTACACATCTGCCTCCCCTGGTAGCCTGGCTGAGAGCTCCAGAGGGCAGGTACCTTGTCTTGTGCACCATTGTGGCCCCAGGGTCAGGCACATAGCATGTCATGGAGGGTTATGCAGGGAATGGTGGGGAATAAATGGAATTAGTCAAATCCCTGTGGAAGATCGAAGGGACGTCCTTTGGGAATAGTTGAAAATGTTCACCCTGGATTTCAGTTGCATGTGCCTCCTGGCCTAGTAGCCCCATATGGGCAGGGCTGAGGTTTGAGTCCTCTTGGGTTCCACAGCATGGCTCAGCTCATGGATGGTGAGTGAGTGGAGAAACCAGGGCACATGGAACTGAGTGATGCCAGGTGGCTGAACAAGAGGGGAGCTCAGGGGGCTAAAAAGAGGAAGAGCCCTGGCTCCTTCACCTGGTATCTTTCCTTCTCCAGGCTCCATCACTCCCCCAGGCACAGAGCCTGGGATGCAGCTATCTCAGGGTGTCCAATCTTGACTCTGCCAAGAAATGGGGCACAGAACATGCCCCCCATCAGACTGTTGCATGTAGGCAGAATCAGCATTAGAACACACAGTGCCAGCTCCATCACTTCTCCACTCTGTGTCTTTGGGCAGGTGACTTAACCTCTCTGAGCCTCATTTTCCACATCTGCAAAATAGGCCTATTGATAGGAATTACTTCATAGGGCTGTTGAATGGATTAAATGAACTAATGAATAGAATAGAAAGTATTCGGTAATGTGTCCTGCCCATAGTTGATGCTCATACAAGGGTCTTCCATTTCTTTTATTCTTTTCCCTTCCCTTCCTTCATTTTTCTCTCCCTTCACCTCCTATCTTCCTTCCTTTCTAACTTCACAATTTGCAACACAAAGGCAGAGAGACAGAGGAGGAGAGAGAAAAAAATGCTTGATTCAAAATGCTCTGATCGGGGGTACGTTTCATCATCTGTCAGCCACATTTTTGACCAGTACCCCTAAGGTGTCTTCATAGGCGGCTGTGAGTCTCCCCCACTTCAGAGCAGGGGAGCCTTCATCTCTGTGTTATTATTTCAGAAACTGTGTGCTGTTTTTGAGTAAGAGTGTCATGGCCTGGGCTCTGCAGCCCAGGGGCTGGAGGAGGATGAGAAGGACTCCCTGGGATGGCCCGAGGCCTCTTGAAAGCAGCACTCTGAGGGACAACTGTTGTCACAAGGCTTCTGATCATCTTCTGCACGGGGCTTGCTTTCATGTCTGTGATCACAGCTGCTCCCTGGGGCTGTGCTGGCAGGGCGGAAACACAGGGGTGGAGGGGCAGCTGCAGACACAGCCAAGACCAGCATCTCCCGCCAGGCCCAGCTGCTGTCTGCTGGGCTTGAATTCCACCCTTTGCAGTGTGGGCTTCACTAGCTTCCCTTTAAACTCTTGCCCCTTGTCTCTCCATTAAAGTAAGTGGCTCAGACTCATCCGTAAGAAGGTACAAGGACACTCACTGATTCTTTCATTCACTCGCTCATTCATTAATTCACGCATTACTTTATTTTCCTCTCAACCTGGTAGCCAGAGTGACTCTGTTCAATGCAAGTCAGACCACGTTGCTCCTCTGCTCCGAATCCACCTCACTCAGAGTAGAAATCAGAGTCCCTGTAGTGACCTGTATGACCTGGCCCCCATCCCCTGAGATGACCAGCTCCTAATCTCAGCCACACAGTCCTCCTGGCTATTCCTGTTCTGGACACCCTGGGGGCAGACTCTTTTTTTTTTTTTTGAGACAGAGTCTCGCTCTGCTGCCCAGGATGGAGTGCAGTGGCACAATCTCAGCTCACTGCAACCTCCATCTCCTGGGTTCAAGCAATTCTTGTGCCTCAGCCTCCTCCGTAGCTGGGATCACAGGCGTGCACTACCACTCCCGGCTAATTTTGCTATTTTTAGTAGGGATGCGATTTCACGATGTTGGGCAGGCTGGTCTCAAGCAATCTGCCAGCCTTGGCCTCCCAAAGTGCTAGGATTACAGGCGTGGGCCACCATGCCCAGCCCTGGGCAGACTCTTGCTTCAGCATTTTGTACTTGCTGTTCCCTCTACCTGGGACTCGGTGCCTCACTTAGCCACATGGGTCCCTTCTCTTCTCACCTCCTTCGAGTCTTGGCTTCAATGCTGTCATCTCTGGGAACCCTTTTTTGAATTCTCTACCTCTATTGAATTCTATTGAATTCTCTACCTCTCCCCACCCCAGTATTCCCTGTCCCCTGACCCCTTCTCCATAGCATTTATTGCATTTTAAAATCCCACACATTTTATTTATCCATTTTATTTATTGTGTGTCTTCTTCCCCTAGAATTTAAGCTATATTAGTGCAGGAACTTTTATTTCTTGCCTATTAGTGATGAGATCTTGGGAAAGCTAAGTCACCTCTATGGCTCCGTTTCCTCATCTGTGAAATGCAGACGGCAGTTCTCACAGTCTCACAGCTCTGTTGCCGGGGCTATAAAGGGCAGACCTGCAGACACAGCCTAAGCACACATGCATCACGGGAGGCTCCAGCCTGCTGATGGGTGATTAATTGATTAATGGTGCATATCAGGTGATGGTGGTGTGGGTAGCTCCCCCTGCAATGCCCTTCACCCCTCCACCCAAGGGCTTTCTCTTGGCTGTGCAGGGGAGGCTGGACATGCGGGAGCTTCTCAGCCCTGGTGGCAGCTCTTGAACAGTGAGCGAGAGGGACAGAAGTGGGAGGATGAGTACCCAGCTTGATGCCCTTCTGTGGGATGGCCCCAAGGTGGGGTCTGTGTAGGAGGGATTGAGACCCCATTGCCACTGGTGGTAGCCTGCTCTGAAATAGGCTATTTACTTCCTTTCCTTCTCCTCCTCCCTGCCCCACTAGTGCTTCCTCCTAAATTAACTGCTTGCTTGTCTCAAGGTCTGTTTCTGGGAGGATCCAACCCTCAAGACAGGTGGACTCTTGGGTGAGCACTTCATGGGGAGCACGCACCATCCCTTCCCCACCAGCTTGGCCAAGCTTCTCCAGCCAACAGCTCTCTCTGTGGTTTTCTTAAAAGTGCCCTTGCGGTTTTCCTGCGAAATTCTACCTGGACAACATGGGAGAGGAGGAATTAATGAAAATAGTGGAGCATTTTCTTCCTTCCAACTAGAACTGTCATAGGCCTGGCGAGTGTTTATTTGGCTGAATCAAAAGACTACTAAGAGGAAAGTGTCTTGTGTGTGGGGATAGCAGGGGGATTCTTCCAGAGAATCCTCAGGCCATATGTGGTGCGGGGAGGGACTTTGAAATACATTGGGCCTGAAATACAGGAAGAGCTCCACTGGCTCCTGAACTAGCTTATGGACTCAAGTGTTCATTCATTCATTTATTCATCATACTTTTATGAGCCTCCACCCCACCTGCCAGGGTGGGTCCAAGGTTGCATGGGGGAGCAGCACAGACATGGCCCTGGGACAACACGGCCACCCCAAGGGCTGTGGTAGCTCCATGCCTCAGGAGTCTAGGAGTCTATTGGACTGGGACCCTGGAGAAGGGAACTGAGCCCACCCTCCTAGGGTCCCTAGCACTCCTCTGGGCCATGGCAGCATCAATCACTGTTTGCACCCTTGGTTGGTGGTGTTGCTACCATCTTGGCCACATCACGGAGGTCCTTTTATACCTCCTGGTCTTGCAAGGTTCCCTAATTACCTACTTGAAAGGGCAATAGAGCTGTGAAGTGATTTGCTCATCCAAGTGGGGACAGAAACCAAGTCCCGACTTCTGTCTTGTTATGTAACAGAGCCTGTGTTCCCAGAAGAGAATCAAGGATACGGAGAACCAAGCCTGAGAGATAAATTTCCAGTGAGAGTCAGAGAGTGGCCCAGAGCCCATGGGCTGGAAACAAGAGGTCTTTAGGGACAATTTAGGTTCCAAACTTCACTCCCTACAGGTCTTTTGTTCTTTGCACTCCACCAAACCACGTGTTTGTCTTACAGTGGGGCGCATGTGTGTGCATGTGTGCATGCACATGTGTGTGTTGGGAGGGGTGTGGCAGTGTAGGATAATGGTTCAGAGCTTTGGGCCTTTGCAGCTAGGTAGCCAATAGTAACAGTGAACCTCTGCCCAGTACTGACCATGTACCAGGGACTGTGTTGAGTGTGCTACATGTGGGATTTTATTTAATCTTCCCATCAGCTCCACAAGAGAGTATATTAGGCAGGGTCCTGGTGGGAAATAGAAGATGCACACACAGGAGGAAATTGAGGAGCATTTAACAAGAGGATGATGAGGTGTCTGAGGTCAGCAAGCATGGATTTAAGTGGACCAAGGGAAGGAGACGTTTGGAGCATTGCAAAAGTGGTCGTAGCTCTAGGAGAGGGCTGCCTGACACAGCTGTGGCTTCCACACAGACTTCCATGCAGGGATGGAGCTATTGCTTCCATGCAGGGACAGAGATGTGGCCAAGCTTCTGTCACCCAGCAGGGAAGGAGCGGGGGAAAGACATTCCCCTGGGGAGTGGGTAGCATGTCCTTGGATCCAAGCACCCACTCCTCCTGCTCTCCGGTCCCCTGCCAGGGCCTCCCATCAGCTGAACCCAACTATACACATCAGAAGACAAAGGAGCCTGTCGGTGTAGCCTTTATAAGCCTCCTTCATGCACCATACAGTGTGTGGAGAAGAGTGGAGAGCAGGCTGAATAGGGGAAACAGCATCTCCGGGAGAGGGAGGCGTATTATTCTTCTCTTGCAGGACTGGTTATGTGATTTGAGGGGCCCAATGCAAAATGAAAATGCTGGCCCCCTTGTTTAAAAATTACTAAGAATTTCAAGACAGTGCTTGAAGAGCATAGTGTGCATAAACTAAGTCACATACTCATGGAGCCTGCCTTGTTTCCATGTTACAGATGAGGAAACTGAGGAATAGAGAGGTAAGGCACTTCTCAAAGACAGTATGAGTCCTGGCTCTGCCCCTTTCTAGCTGTGGAGCCTCAGACAAATCACTTTACTAACACGCAGGAGGGCCTTAAGACATCTAAGTAGTGTGGAGTCCTTGCTAAGAAGGAGGGGAGCAACCAGGGCCAGGACCACGCCTTTGGAAGCTGTCCAAGGTGCTGATACTACATTGCTCCCAGGGCCCTACACATCTCATGGATGCGGAAGTTGGCGGGAACTTTGGACATAACCTGCTCCCATTCCCAGTCTGTTTCTGGGCTCATATGAACATCAGAGCAATGAGTCCTGCAGTGTTATTATCTGGAGCTTGAGAAGTGATGTGCTGAGCTGGAAAGAACACAGGAATGAGAATCAGGAAGTAGGGATTTACCAAGAGCGGTGTTGACATCATCTCATTTCATCCCAACCAGCCATCAGAATGACCATCGTAGCCACATCACCACACCACTAGCAGCTTTACTGAACACTTACTGTGTGCCAGGCATAACCACTGCACAAGTACTCTATCATGAAATTGTTGATGCCATCCTCACTTACAGGCCAGGAAACTTGGGTCCAGAGAGAGGAAGCCACAGCTGAAAATGCTGGTGTTAGGGCCCATAGAGGCAACCTTCAACCAATGATGAAAGAGGATTGGATGGGAAAATGCCCCCAGCATCCTCACCTGTTTGTTGGAGATAACTCCGAGGCATGCTCTACACTTTCTTCCAGCGTTCCCCTGTGGGATTAGCCTCTCAGTGCCCACAGTGGGACCTGGCTTGATATCACATCCACTATTGACCTCTGTGACTTCCCCCATCTTACTTTCTGTGAATTCCACCTGGTATCCACATCCTTGCAGCCCCTCCCACACTGTATCAGTGTTGGTCTGTGAAGCCAGTAGAATATGACAAAAGTGATGGTATGTCGCGTCTGAGATTAGGCTATAAAAGACATTATAGCTTCCGTCTTGATTTCTCTCTCTCTGATTTCTCTATCTTCAGGTCACTCACTCTGGAGAAAATCCTGCTTCCATGTTATGGGAAGCCAGATGGAGAGGCCCATGTAGTGAGGAACTGAAGCTTCCGGCCCCCAGCCAGTGAGGCATTCAGGCCTGCCAATAATGACCTGAGAGAGTTTGGGAGTGGATCCTCTAGCCTCGGTTAAGCCTTCAGATGATGGGAGCCCTGGCTGACTCCTTGACTGAAACCCCGTGAGGGTCCCTGAGCCAGAACCACCCAGCTAAGCCACTCGCAGATTCCTGACCCTCAGAAACAATTAGATAATAAGTCTTGGTTGTTTTAAGCTGCTAAATTTTGGGATAATTTGTTATACCATAGATAATATTAATAAATTTTCTCACTTCATTATCAATGTGTTCTGGGTTTACCTCCCAAATGAACTATTTAGGCTTGAATCCTTGTTTCAGGGGCAGCTTCCAGGGGAACCCAAATTTAGTCCCTTGCCTAAGGGCACTTAGCTGGTAAGTGGAGAACCAGAATTCAAACCCAGAGCACATGAAGTGACTGCCCTAGGGCCCTGCACTGTAGATGTGTCGGCCACTCCTGGCTTCTGCCGCAAGTGCCTTGGCGATAAGTTCCAGCTCTTGAGGGTCCTCAGCTCAGTGCCTTCCATGTGCTAGGTGCTCAGTATGTGATGCTTCCCTTCTACTTCCTGCCCTCTCTTATGGAGGCTTGGCTTTGTAAAGCTTAACTCTCCTGTATTAGACTGAGACTTAAGAGCATGATCTCTGGATTTAGGCTTCCTGTATTCAAATCCCGGCTCTGGGACTTACTATCGGGTTGATGTTGAATAAGTCATTTAGCCATTTTTCTGCCTCTGTTTCTTCCTCTATAAAATGGGGATAATAATGGTACCCACCTAACAGTCTCATGAGGAGGACTAAGCAAATGTATGTATAGTCGTGGTAAACTCCCAGCACACAGTGAGTCTAGAGAAGGGTTGCTTTACTCTGATCAGTTCATGCCTCTCCCCAGCCCTCTGAACACACCCATCAGAAGGGTACAAATATCAGGCAGTCAATGCCTGCCATGATTTGACAGATGACTTTGAGAGATTGTTTTTCAATTCCCAGGGCCCCCTAGGTATCCTTACCAGTCATGTATGACTTCGAATGAGCTCTCGTCTTACCTTGACAACCCAGAGAACAGATCCTTTTTTGGGGTGGGAAGGTGGATAAGCAGCTTAGAGGATGGGAGTACGCTTTGTGAACTTCTTCTTTTTTTTTTTTTTTTTTGCCAAGAATAAATACTGGCTGCCTTCCCAGCAGGTGCTCAGTAAGTACACATCAAAGGGATGGATTGGAGAAATGCCAAGATGAACATCACTGCCTTGAAGACAGGCATGCATTTTACATAAAACAACGTCTCCAGAAGCACTCATACAATAATACCTCCAAATACACAGGCATCTCCTACCCTCTTCTCCTCTCCCTTCTGTGCTGGTGGCCCCCAACTTCCTGGCTGGTGTTGTTCTCTCCACTGGAAACCCTGAAGGCCCCATAGTTCATATTCATCTCCCACATTGGGTTAGGAATATTGGCCCATTTATTCCCTGATTATGCTAATTAACTAGTTTTTTTCTTTCTTTTTTTTTTTTTAGGAGACAATTATTACCTTCAGTTTGACAGTTTGTAGCTCCATTAGCAGTCACAGCTGCCAGCATCATGGTGCTGATTAGTTACCTTGAATTGCTTGGAGAAAGGCAATTATTGTCAGAGTGCATCCCCAGCCTTTCTTGCAGTGGAAGTGATGGGTCACTGGGCTCTGTAGTTTCCACAGTGAGCTGGAGTCTAGGGAGGTGAGGCCACAGCTGGCAAAGTCACCAGCTCTGACTGTGGTCTAGGCAAAGGCAATTAGGTTGGAGCAGGATGGGTGAAGATCCAGACAGCTGAGGCTGCTGCTCTCAGATTCAATGAACCATGGGGACAGGAAGCAAGCGATGTCAGGGGCAATTCTCACTGCTCATCTAGCGCTCCATGTGGACCAAGTGCCTAGGTGAAGCTGATGGGCCCCTCTTCCCGCATGGGCATCACTTTCCATGGCTCTGAAACATTCTGTGCCCAGGGCCCATGGTTTCTCCTAACACTTGGCTCCTGGGTTCTGCAAACTCATGGCAAACTATTCCCACAGCCCACAGCATTTCTTTTTTCCTTTTGGTTTTAATTTTTTAAAAAATATCTCTTTTTTATTTAAGAGAGAAGGTCTTACTCTGTCACCCAGGCTGGAGGGTAGTGGCGTGATCACAGCCACTGCACTGCAACCTCAAATTCCTGGGCTTGAGTGATCCTCCCACCCCAGCCTCCTGAGTAGCTGGGACTATAGGTGCACACCACCATGCCTGATTAATTTTTTCAAAAATTATTTTTTGTAGAGACAGGGCCTGATTATGTTGCCCAGGCTGGTCTCGAACTCCAGGCAGTTCTCCCACCTCAGCCTCCCGAAGTGTTGGTATTACAGGTACGAGCCACTTTGTCCACCCTAATTTTTAAAAAATTTTTTTGATAAATATTTTTTCTTTTTTATACTGTCATTGAATAGGTAGGCTCGTGACTTATTAATAATTCACGGGAATGACTTCATTTACCTTTGACAGTTCCATAATGCTTCTGACAGTTATACACTTTATTTTTGTCTCTGAGGGTGGGAGGGGCTCAGGCACCCACCCATAGCTGCCTTCCCCAATGTTCTGCTTATGAGCGGTGGGTGCACCTGTGGCAGGGCGAAGGGGAGGCCCCCAGGAACTCACCTTCCACCTTGCATCAAGGACAAGGGGCTGACCAGCACCACCAAAGGGACAGTAATGGGGGAAGGTGGGAGTCTGGGTCCATAGTCTCTGACTCCCATTTCATGTCATCTTAGCTATAATCATAGTCCTCCTTTAGAGCCACTTCCTCTGTGACAGATGCTGGGCTTTATAAAAGTATTTTGTGCTCATTTTTCCCCCTGACACCCAGTAGAATCCTGAGGAGGAGAAATCAATGGCCCATTTTACAGACTAGGATACTGAAACTTAGAGATATCAAGGCCCTTTCCCAAAGCCTGTGAGTAATGGATCCAGGATTTGAACTTCAAGTCTACATAAAGCCCCCTCCCCTGCCACACTCCACTACCCCATCTATAGAGTGGGGTCTTAATCCCTACCTCCTGGTTGTGGGGACAAGAGGAGATGACATCTGTGAACACTTGGTACCAGTAACTGAGGTCCTTTCTTCCCTCTCTCCTACTTAGTCCATCCCCTTGAGAGCATCTCTGTTTCCTCATGCCCCCATCTGCTCTCCCTGGGATTGACTGGCCAGGCCTGCAGTGCAAAAAGGTGATCTGCAGGCCTCTCACTCAGGCAGAGGGCACCTTGGATCCCCTCTGCCTAATCGTAGTTGTGGCTGGATTGTCTGAGCGCCCATAGGCCATGTGGGGCCATAGTCTGGAGGTTGAGCAAAACGCATGCACATGCACACGTGGGCCCACACATTCAGACACATGTTCTTGCACGTGCACGGGGCATGAGCATGCATGTGTGAAACTGTGTGTGGATAGACCCTGGCCCCTGGCCTCTGCATCATCACACACTGCTCTGGGGCAGACAGAAGGCAAGTGGTGGGAGGAACCTGGAGGATGAGGAAGGGATTTGGACTGAAGTTGGGGGAAGAAGAGGCCCTGAGGCTGGCAGGGAGGGTGAGGCCACCTAGGGAGCATCCAGACTTCCCCTAATACCTGTGTCATCCATGCCACAGGTCACGGTCACAAAGATCCAACCCACTCATGGGGCCGACAAAAGAACCAAGACCCAAAGGACGGCATTGGCCTGTGCAGGGCCACACTGTGTGGGCATGGCAGAGCCAGCACTAGGACCCAGGCTTCTACACCAGACACAGGTTCCCCTGACATCAGAATCTCAGACAAGGACTGGCTTGAGGTAGTTCGTGTGAGAGGTGTGAGAGGTGACACCTGAGAATAGGAGTGAGGGAGCCAGAAGAGTGAGGCAGGGAGAGAGAAGCCAATACAAGGCCGTGCAATCCAGGCTGCCATGGTAGCAACAGGGACGTGAATCTGCCAGGATCTTTGAGGGGCATACAGAAGCCCTTCCACAATTGCCCATCAGCTCCAGTCCCCCATTTCTCAAGGGGTGCAAGGAACGGGGTGCTAACTTCCCTGGACTTCTGAGTTGCACGTGCACGGGGCCCCAGTGAGCTCTGTGGGTGCCCCCCACCGACCCGCCACCACATATAGGCAAAGACTCTGGCACGCCCTTGAGCATAATCTGTGAGTGCAAAGGAAGAGCCTGCATAGACAGCTGTGGTGAGATCAGAGCGGTCAAGAGCAGAGGTGCCAAATGCATTCCAGCAGCAAAACACACCTGTATTTCCATCTGCTTTCATTAGGTAACTGCCCGATAATTCAGCTCACCTGAGCTCCCTGCCCCGGCAGGATTGTTCACTCTTCATAGGAACACAGCAGTCTCCCCTTATTTGTGGGGGATACTTTCCAAGACCCCCAGTGGATGCCTGAAGCCAAAGATAGTACCAAACTCTATATGTGTTATGATTTTTCCTATCCATACAGACGTATGATGAAGCTTAATTTATCAGTTAGGTACAGTAAGAGATTAACAATAACAATAAAATAGGATAATTATAACAATATGCTGTAGTCAAAGTTATGAGAATGTCTTTCTCCCTCTCAAAATTTCTTATCGTATATAATATTTTCACACTGCAGTTGAAGGTGACGGAAACTGCAAAACGTGAAAGTGTAGATAAGGGGGGAACTACAATAGCAGCTAATACTCAGTAAGTCCCTGATATGTGCCAAGCCCTGCTCTAGTCACTTTATTTGTATGAACTCATTTAAACCTTCCTACAGCCCTGGGAGGTCAGTACTGTTATTATTGTTTCAATTTTACAGATGAGAAAACTGAGACCCAGCCAGTAAGTGGCAATGGTTGGATACAAACCTGGCTCCAGAGCCTGAGGCTCTACTTCCCCTTTTATGAGATCCCAAATTCTAAGTTGCCCACCCCCAGAAGGAGTCCTGGGACATTTCTACCTCAGTAGGACATGGCCAGCCGCTGGCTCAGGTCACTTCCTGGGGAGGGTTATTGGGAAGAGCACGTCCCTGGCACTTATGGGAGAATAGGCTCCCTGGCCCTCAGGACCTGTAGGTGTCCCTTCTAACCCCTCAGGCCTGCCGTGGGGCCACTCTCTGCAGGCCCCTCCTGGCTTTCTCCCTCTGCCTCTGGCCACCCATCCGTGGCTGATGGGAATAGGTGCTCATGTCCTGGAGATGTGGGCACAGGAACTCTTGAGCAATAGCTGTCTAGATCAAGTGGCCTCCATGGCTCAATTTCCAGCAGCTGTGGAAGGAGAGCTGCTGGGTCACAAATAGCTGGGAAGCTCGCCAAGCCACAAGTGCCACTGATTGCTTCTGAATGCCCCACTCCCTAGAGCTCAAGGCCAGCTCCCCTCAGCCCACTTGGGCAGTGGCCAAGGCTTATCAAGTGGGTAGATGTTGTGGGTGAGGCAGTGTGGTGTGCTGGGGCCCCTGGCCTCCCTCCCTGGCTGGTTGACTTGGGGTCCAGCACCCTCCCTGAGACCCCTCTGGTGAGCAAAGAGCTTAGACTAAGCCAGGTGTCCTCCACTCAGGGTCCTGGATCATGGAGCGGGTGAGAACCTGTACTGGGATCGTCAGTCCCCTTGTTGGTGAGCCTGGAGCTCGTGCGTCTGCCTCCCTGCTGGATTGAGGGCCCCACACGCAGCGAGATGCTCAATAGACATGTGGTGAGTAAGTTCACACATCGTTCTCGATTATCACCGTGAACGGCTTGCACTGGTGACAGCTTGTTCTGCCGAGGCTCTGTTTCAAACATCGATGCACGATGCACGTAACCTCACATAAGCCTAGGAGGTGAGCACCTCCATTTCACAGATGAAGAAAGTGCTGGAAATAAGGCAGAGTCCTGTCCCAAATCACACAGCCAGGAGGGCAGAGCCAGGATTCCTGCCCAGGTCTGGCTGCATCCCAAGCCTAGCTTGTGGCCTCTGTTGCACTAGAATAATAGGCATCGCTGCTACTGATTACGGGGTGTTCCTCTCCACAAGCCCCAAGTTAGGATTTGTGTAGGCACCATCTCATTGAACCATTGTATGGGTCAGGAAACAGAGGCTTGGAAGAAATGGAGCCAATTGCACAAGACCATGAAGCCTGGAACTGGGGAAGCTGGGTTTGGAACTGCATCTGGTGGTCCTAAAGCCTGTACTGTTTTGACCACCACATTGCTCCCCTATCCCCACATCAGCCCCACTGCAAATCAAGTCAGGACGGTGGGTGGGAAATACCCCTAGAACATCCAACGCAAACCAGAAGGCCCTCCCCTGCAGCCCCCATGGTCTGTACTTGAGTGTTCAAGCCTCCTTCTCCCTAGACTGGCAAGAGGTAGAAAACAGGGTCAAAGGCCCGAGCAGGATGGGAGAGAATGCAAGATGATAGTCCCATGGCCAGCGGGCCTGTGGGCAGGAGGGACTGGAAATGGGTTAGTGTCCAGGGCAGTGCTGACCCACTTTGGGGCTTGTTTCCTCTCCGTAAGCCTTTTTCAGGTCCCTCCTCCCCTTCCTGTCAGAATGGGGGAGTCAGCTTCTCCCCCACCCACATGGGAGCCAGGGACACTGGGAGGATCTTTCCCTCCTGCTTCTGCATCTGCTGGGCAGAGCATGTGCCTGACACCCTCAGTCGCGGCCAAAGTGACCTGCCTGAGAGATTCCAGCACGCTCATCTGAGCAAGGACAAGGAGCAGCTTGCTGGCCCTGGAAATTATCTGGGGAGCTATTATGAGCCCGTGTTTTCTGTCTACACATCCACAAGACGGGTGTGCCTCAGAGACAGCTGTGAAAATGCCTGCCATTGATTAAGCACTCACTATGTGCTGGGAACTTGGCATACCTTGTAAAGATTCCTTGCAACGGATGGAGGGATCAGTGTTATATTCAATCTCCCCTGAAAGATGAGGAGAGGGAGGCTCAGAGAGGTTAAGCGAGTTGCCTAGGATCACACAGTGAGTCTACTAGGATTTAAGCCTGGGGCCTTCTACTTCCAGAGCCCCAGGTTTTTCTTCTGTCCTTTGCTGAGGCTTGCTGTGGTTCCTGGTCACAAGGAAGCTTGTTAAAAATACAGAATTCTCTGGGAGATTTGGAACGGGCAAGTAAGGGATGGGCGTGGGAGTCTGGATTTTTTGGAAGTTTCTGGTGGGATAAGCTGTGATGCCTATTCTAGTGTAACAGAGGCCACAAAGCCAGGCTTGGGGGTGGCCAGGCCCGGGCAGGAGTCCTGGCAGCAGCCTCATTTTAAGGAGGAACCAATGTGAATGTAGAAGGTAAATTCAGGGTGTGGGGTCCTAGTAACTGGGACCAGGTGTCCTCCTGTCCTTGCCTGGGTTAAATTCCCAGGATTAGGGAACATAAAGGCAGAAATGCCTGGAACATGAGGGAATTTGTTCTGTGGGCGCCAGACCTCCTTTAAGCTGTCCACGTTCAATCTCAGCAGGTTTGAACCTCCGTTGAGAGTCTGCCGGGGGCTGCATGCTGGGAGAGGCTGTGGGTCAGGCTAAGGCAGCGAGGAGATGTTTTTGCAGCTGCTGTTTTGAACGCTGGCTGAGGCCCCATCTGGCCAGAGGACTCAGTCCTGGGCTGGGCTATGGTTATGGGTTGCCTGGAATGGCTTCCCTGGGAACAGGAGACGCATGGCCAAGTGTCTGGCTGTGGCACGTTGTAGGCCCTCAACAAAGTGCAGGAATGGCCTGCAGTGCCCAAGGCAGAAACTGACTCCCCTGTGGTTCTGTCCTCCTCCATGCCCGTGCGCCTTGACCCATCACTGGCCCTGCCCAACTGTCTGAGCTCTGTCGTGCCTCTCCCCGACTCAAAACCCTCCTGTCACCCCGGTCTCCTTTCTGCACTTCAGCCCCCTGTTGCTGTGTCCTGCCGAGGAATTTCCACTCACAGTTTCCTCTCTCCCAGATGCTGCTCTCTGCATGCCGCCCAGCTGGCTCCTTCTTCCCACAGTGTCTCTCTCAGGGTGGCCTCTGCCCATCATCCCATCAGGAACAGCTGTGTCCAGCCTTAGGATTCCCAGGCCCAGGGACCCTTCTGAGCACACATCATTGTCATCATTTATTTACTGTTGGGTGTATTTCCTCTGTTGCTCCATGAGGCAAGAAACAAGTGTCCAGCATGGTGGCTGGCTCAGAACACTGTTCAATAAGATTTTGCTTAGTGAATTAATGAATGATTAGCGAATGGTCTCACACCTGAGCTGCTAACTGGGGATCTTTGCTCCTGTCCCTGGCTCACTGCCGCTTCTAGATCCTTTGAAAACGGAAGAGAAAAAGGAACAGACACATCAGAGTGAAAAGATGACTTTGACAAAATTTAGAGAGATCTGGCAAACAATGGTTCGGGCGAGAGTCCTCAAACCCATCAAAACAGACACACAAAGGCTGTGATGAAGTCCTTCGTCCAAAGAGGAGCAATGAAAACCAGCGCAGTCAGAGTGGCTGGGCAGAGAAGGCTGCCTGAGGCCTGGAGTCAGGGGACATTTGCTCCCCTAGTAAGGCCTTTGGGCCCCTCCTTGCAGTTTGGATAAGTGTGCCAAGACCTGGGCCACGTGGAGCTGACCACTGGTGGGCAGTTGGTGCCTGCTCCCATGCCTTCAGCTGCCAGGGCCCCTCCACTGTCACCCACCCCTCCTGGAGCCCTGGTGGTTAGTGCTCAACATTGAAACTGTCTGTGCTCCTTGGCTGGGTCTGGAATGATCATATTTGAGATGAAAAGATCAAGAAGACAATGGAAACATCTCAGGGGGAGAAAAAACTAAACAGCTCTACAGGGAATATCAGCAAGTGTGTGTGTATGCAGTGTGGTCCGTGCATGTGGGTGCATGTGTGTTTATGTGTGCATGTGTGTGGTGTGTCTATATGTCTGCATGCATGCAGCATGTGTATGTGCATGCAATGCATGTGTGTAGTGTGCATGTGTGTTTATATGTGCATGCATGTAGCATGTGCACAAGTATGCATGCACATTCTTGTGTGTGGTGTGTGCATGCATGTTTACATGTGTGCATGCATGCAGTGTGTGCATGGTGTGTCTGTACATGTGTGCACATTTCCCCTGGAGCGTCTCATTTCAAATGTCACCTCCTCGTTTAGAGGATCTTTACAGGAAGCTCCCCCAACACCATTCTCTGCACAGCCCCCTCAACACTCACCTCCCAGTCCACTGGACAGTAAACACCACAATGTCCTTCCTGATCCAGGTAGAGGGACTGTCCCTAGCAAAGGATGTCCCAAGTGTAGACTCACTGGGGAGGGAAGACTTCCTCTCTCCTCTCACCCACGTCAACTGCTCCTAAACCAGCTGCATCCATGGTGGGGTGGGAAGACCCTGGGGAATAAAAACCAAATCCACAGATACTCCTAATGGCAGAACCCGAGCATTTATGCTAACCTTCTTACTTGACAGATGAGGAAACCAAGGCCTGGGGAGGGGAGGGACTGCTCAAGCTTGGACAGTCAGTTAGGGGCTGACCTAGGGGCAGAATCCTGTCTCCTGACTCTCAATTTAAAGCTTGAACTACTACACTCCCTGCAGGGGAACAACACAGGTTACAATCCATGGCCCAGAGCAGTGTTCATTCATTCATTTTCATTCATTCACTGATGCATTCACACAGCAATGCTCCCTGAGCACCAGCTACCCACACTTGCTAAAAGCATCTACTGTGTGTCAGGTTGAACGGAGACACCTAAGCGGAGACCCTGTCTGGATGTGGAGACTGGGTGAGCCCTGAGTGGGGGGCTCAGACCTTCCATGCTGTGCTGAGAGCAGCTGGGGAAGGGGAGCTTGCAGGGCCTGGGGTGAGTGGGGTTCGTCGTGGGCCAGTGCCTGGCATGTCCTGCACAGGGTTAGAGAAGCCGAGACCAGGAGATCCTGTGAGATCCCATGGTAAGTGCCTGGCTTGGGGGCCAGTGACTGTCCCCATGTCGTGGGGGTGAATGAGCTCACTTAAGAGTGTGTGTTGGGGGAGTCTTGCTGAGTTCTCCCCTAGCAGCCACGATGGAAGCAGAGCTGGCTGTGGGGGCTGAGCCAGGGGAATGGGAGAGAAAGAGAAGAGAGGAAGAGAGGACTGCTGACTCCAAACCTCCCCACAGCCAGCAAGACACTCGTATACACTGTGGTGGTTTCCAGGCAACCATCCCCCCTCCAGCAGATACCTGTCTCAGCCCCATGGGTGACCACCTTTTCCATCTTCCTCCCACTACACTCAGAGCCCATAAGCTCCAAATCTGACCCCTTCCCTCACCCCCGACAGTTAAAACCATTTGTGGGGCAAACATCTGCCCAGGAATGGAGCAGCTAGCGAAGTTGGAACTGAGGGAGGTGTGTTGGGGGCGGAGAAGGCCTGCGTGTTAGCCTGCTGCTGCCAGGCCCTGGATGAGAGACAAAAAAGGAGTGAAGGGTGGAAAGACGCCCGAGTGCCACTCTGTGCCTTGCACCCAGGGAGGGCTTGCACCCACTCCCCAATTTAATTTTAGCAGGAAGGGCTTGCTCTCCTCAGACCCATTCTATACACATAAAGTCTGAGGTTCAGAGAGGTAGAGGGGCTTGCCCGCAGTCACACAGCAAGACAGCAGAGAGCTAAGACCTGGAGGTCATCGGACTCCCAGGCCCCATGTGCACTTCATTCTACTGCATCGTCTCTCTGGGCCTCAGTTTCTCCATCTGTAAAATAACAGGGTTGGGGTAGATAAGAAATGATAAATAGGTCTGTCTTGCATGCCAGCGCTGATCCATTGCTGCAGCAGCTACTTGACTGCTGTGCTGAGAATTCTGAGGCCAGGGCTGGGCTGGGTGGGAAGGAGAATGGTCGGTGCTTAGTGACGTCTGCCCTGGGCTCAGGACTTAAGGGTAATACATGTGCCCCGTGTTAGCCAGCTTTCTATAGGTCCTGCCAGCTCTGGCATTTGGCAGTAGGATGTGTTAGCCCACATCTCTAGTGACCTTGGGCAAGTCCCTGCTCATCTTGGAGGTTCTGATCCTCACTGCACCTGACTTGGGAGCAGCATCCACAGGACTCTTTGTGAAGGACAGAGCCAGCTGCTTCCACCTCCCTCTGCTCCACCTCTGCAGGTACCCTCAGCAATGAGCAGCTGTTGCCTAGCAACAGGGGGTAGGGGGCGGGGGTCTGCAGAATCCCGGAGTCTGGGCAAACATCCTGTCTGTCTCCCACATCCCACACATGGGCCCTGAAGAGCCCATCTGTGCCAACCTCAGGAGGATCCCCAGAGTTGGGACCCAATTCCAGGTGATGGAGGGAGACAGGTTTGGAGGAGCCACGCCACTGAGTCCAAGTGCTGGCCTTGCTAAGCGTGCTGTGAGATTTGGGGCCAGTGGCCTCACCTTTCTCGGCACTGGAACAATATGGCAGCAAGTCATTCCAGTCCTCACCGTGATGGCAGGTGTGGAGTCTTAACCCTGGACCCCCCTCCTTCCTCTGAGGGTTCATTTAGAAATGCATGGCTCAGATGCCCAGCCCAGTTCCCAGATGTGAAGTCTGGGGCCAAGGCCAGTCCCTGACTCCCTATTCATGATACTGATCGCCCCCTGTATTTTTGGCCTGGTGTCAAGCACTTTGCATGAGTTCCCTGGATTTTCACAACAACCCCAGGAGGCAGGAACTAGCTTCATCCTCATTTTACAGATGGGGAAATTGAGGCCCAGAGAGTTCAAGTGACTTGCCCTGAGTCACACAGCCAGGAAGTGGCAGAGCCAGGATTTGAACCCAGGCCTGTGTGACTCCAGAGCCTGTGCTCTGGACCCCCCTAAGTCCCTGTTTTGTTCTGAGCCTCCTTTCACCACAGCCCAGGCCTCCTCCCCACTCCCCAGGTGCTCTGCTCTGCTCCAGGACAGCAAGGAGGGACTTCTGAAAGCCACGTCTCCCTCCTCCTCTTCTTCCTCAGGATGGAATGTCGGAGCCACATCCCCAAGGGCTGCAGGGCGCTTGCAGGCCTCCTCAGTATGGTGCACAGAGTGGAGTGTGAGAGAGAGAGAAAGAGAGAGTTTGAGGTGGGGAGATAAGCAGCATGGAGGTAGCAGACAGGGAGAGGCGCCTAAAGAGGGGAGGAGGAAGTTGAGGCAGCAGGAGTGTGGAGAGGAAAGGAGCCTGGGGGAGTAGGGATGGGGAGGAGGGAGAGGAGGGGAGAGGGAGAGGTGGGAGAGGAGCAGAGGTGTTGAAGAGAAAAAGAGGCAGTGAGACAGAGGAAGGGAGTGGGAAAGGGGTGGGAGATGCCTGAGAGAGAAGGGCTCTCCCAGGAGTAGACAGCGGAGGGGAGGGAACTGATGCGTGCCCCTCAGAAGCCCCTGAGGCTGCAAGGACCTACCAACCAGGAGTCAGAGGTCTTCAGATTATGCCACCTCCTAGCGCTGCCCAGGACCTGGGGGCCAAGTGGAAAATCCAATGAGAACTCCAGTCCCTGAGCCAGAGCTCTGGAGCTCCTGCTGTTGCCAACAGGCCTTGGCTTAGGCTGCCTGGGATTCCAAGGACCCAGGCCAGGTCTCCGCTGCCCCCCTGACTCCCCCCATCACAGGAGGGCACGGCTCCCTAGTCCTAGAGAACCACAGGCTCTCCTAAGGAGGGAGAAGGATCCAGGGCTCAGACCCAAAGCAGCCATCTTCTCCATGATCTCCTGTCAGGCAGATATGCAGAATTAGATTGCATTTTCCCTATGCGGGGAGCTCAGTACCCCCGGAACAGCAGAGTTCGTCTCAGGATAGTTCCAGGAAGTGAGGGCTGAGCTCAGTCTAATGAATGGGCCAGAGTTAACTAGAAGAAGGGAGACAAGATCCTCTATCCAGGAAGGAAACACGGCAAGGCAGAGGCCCTCTGGTGGACAGGCGCAGAGTGGATTAAAATCTTAAGTCTGAGAGAAGACCAGGGAGTTAGTGGTGTAAAATGAGGCTGGAGAGGGAGAGGGGCCAGTCTCTGCAGAGCCTTGTAGGCCACTATGTAGGGTTTAATCTTAATACCTGCAGCAATAGGGAGCCATTGATGGTTTAAGCTGGGAATGGTCAGGGCTGGTGCCCAGATTTGCATTTCAAGATCATTCTATCTGCTGTGTAGAAAATGGACCAAAGTGGAGGGTGGGGGTGTGCACTGCGGCCACAGGGAGTCCCGGAAGGAGACCCCGGAAGTGGTCCAGGTGTGGGGGTGATGGGGCTTGGGCTGGGTGAGTGAGGAGGCAGCAGGGGTGCAGAGAGGCCCCTTTGAGAGTAAACAGGTAGATCTTACAATGATTGCAGTTGCACGAGGGAGTCTGGGACAGGATTGATTGATGTTTGGGTTTCTGGCTTGGGCGACAAGATGGCTTAACTCACCATCTTGCCAGGGAGGAGGCTTAACTCGCCAGGGAGGAGACTTTTCCCAAACCACTGTCCCTCTGGTGCCCACTGTTACCGGGAGAGTGTCTTAAAATACTGATTCCTGGGCCCGTCCCAGGCCTACTGATTCCAGACCTCTAAGGACATAGTTGAGAATCTGCATTTTTGAAATGTGCTTCCAGGAAAGTCCAAGAATCAGTCCATGACCAGGGGCACCCTATTTTACAGAGGAAGAAACAGGCCCCACCAGGAGAAGAGACTTTTCCAGGATCACACAGGATGAATGCAGTAAAAATAACCAGCATAAGATGTCTCATAAGCTGTTCCCACTCATAGTTTCCATTCAAACGGGCGCAAACCCCGAGCAGGCTATGGGGTGGTGGGAACACTGGCTTCTGCCTCACACGGAGCTTGGGTCAAATCCTGACATCACCATTCCCTCTTTGCGAGACGCGAGGCAAGTCACATTACCTCCGTTAACCTCAGGGTCCTCATCTGCAAAATGGGCACAAAATATGTGCTGAAAAGATGGTTGTGGGGTTTGCGTGGATGACGTGCCCAAGGCAAGTGTCAGATGCCCAGTGCAGCGAAGTCTAATTATTAAAGCTCCATCCCGCCCCTACCAAGGGTGGCCTCAAGTGCAGCCAGAGGCATGAATGGCATCTGTGAGTTTGTGTGTGTGTCTGCATGTGTGTGCATATGTGTGTCCAAGTGTGTGTGTGATGGGGTGTTTTGAAGAGCCACTTCCCCTGGCCACCGACCCGTCACAGTGTCTAAATGCCCACCATGAAAGCCACATTCCTCCACATGCTATTTTATTCCATACCCTTCTGAGCCCAGAAGGATTTTACAGAGGACGAAGTAGAGATCTGAGAGAGGGAAGGTCATCTGCCCAAAGGAAGAATGAGGACCCTAGCTCATGTGTGCTGCACCACTCGCCCGGTCTTCTGGTCTGGTGGCCCCTGGGTGACAGCAGGAGCCGTGGTGGGGGAGCAGGAGCATGTACTCCGCACACGGGGAGGGGGCTGGGCAAGGCGCCCGCCACAATCAAGGCGCAATCAGCGCTAATCAGCGTGTTCTTGAAATAGACCCAACTGGATGGGGGAAGCGAGCAGCCGCCTGGGTTTGTATAGCGGCAATCAGAGGGAGGCAATTTTAGATTCGAGGGAACAACAGCTCTTTGTCCATGCGCCCAGGGACTCTGCCGAGCTCTGCGGAGCCCACTGCGGCTTGGAGATAAAAACACCCCATCAGGCCTGCAGCTGCCCTGGCCCAGGAAGTGGGGCGTGGGAGCAATGGGTCCAGCTGCCTCCAGGGTGAAGTCCAAACTCTCTAGCATGGTGGCTGAGTACCTACTGTGTGCTGGGTGCATGTACACCTGCTTCTTTTGTGAGACGGGGGCTCTGTTTTGCAGGGGAGGAGATGGAGGCTCAGAGAGGAAGAGGTTTGCCCAAGGTCACTCAGCTGAGCTGGGATGGGAATCCAGTCTGTCTGGCTCCAAAGCTGTGTCCATTCCTTTCATGGGGGCCCATCAGGCCCTGGGAGGCACTGTTTTAGGTTAACGTAAGCCAACACCCTAATGGAACTCCCAGGTCTTGCAAAAATCTTGAGGCTCAGAGATTATTGGTTCCAATTTGCAGATGAGCAAAGGGAGGCTCAGAGAGGTGAAGAGACTTGCTCAAGGTCACCCAGATGGTGTAAGAGATAGAGCCATGATTCAGATCCACACCTTTGAGATGCCAGAGACCACGCTGAGCTATGAACTTCTTCAAAGGCCCAGCCTTTGCCGACCCTGGGGCCTCCTTCCTCTCCCTGCTGAACGATGCCTGGTTGTCATGCAGCTGGCCCTGGTGGTGGACATGGTGGGTTTTTGGTGAGCCAGCATCATCCCCCATCTGTTGGCCCCCTGATTTCCTTTTGGGGTGGTAACTCTCAGGCAGAAGGGAAGTTCCCTGACAGTGGTGGGCTCTGGCTCAGGTCTGCCATGAGTGCTAACAGGCATGAACCGCCCCACCACAGGGGTTGAGGGGAAGGCACGTTGGCGGAGAAGGCAGGGAAAGCTGGCCAGGAGGAGGCAACAGCAGTCCAGGGGATGATGGGAGGTCAAAGCAGTGGCTGGGGTGGAGGGAGTGAGTGGACTTGAGAGGTTTAAAGGAGGAAGAGCCAATGAGACTCACCGGTGGATTGAATGCGGGGAATGAGGAGGTTTTCTCGCTTGACAAGTTGGCCCCAAACCTCAGTCATCCTCAACTCCTCTCTCTGTCAATCCACCAGGAAACCCTGCTGGTTTACCTTCAAAATATACCCAGAATCAGATCCCGAATCCCCTTCTCTCTGGTACAGCCACCATCATCTCTTTCCTGGAGGACAACAGCCTCCTCCCTGGTCTCCATGCTTCCACCCAAGCCCCTGCCAGCAGCCCGAGGGGCCTTATTAAAACAGGAATCAGAGCAGGTCCCTTTCCTGCTGAGAACCCTCACTCATCCTCATTGCACATCTGCACTGGCCTCGGGGCTCTCTGTGATCTGCCCACCACTTCTCTGGCCTCCCCTTCCACCAGTGCCCTTTGCTCACTTTGCATCAGCAACCCTGGCCTCCTAGCTGCCTGGGAACACTGCAGATAAGCGCCCACCCAAGGGCCTTTGCACACACCGATCTCTGTGCCTGGATGCTCCTCTTGGGACAGCCACCGCCGCCCTCCTTCACCTTCCCCATGAGGCCTTCCCTGACCAGCCTGTTTAAAATTCCAACCTCCCCATTCTGACCCTTCCTATACCTCTTCCCTACCTTATTTTTAGCCAGATAATTTATCATCTTCTGTCACACTGCATAATTTTACTTTCCAAAATGTCCGTGTTCTTGTCTCCTCTGGCGAGAGTGCGAGCTCCCCGAGGGCAGGGCCATAGATGATGCTCCATCAATATTTGCCGAATAAAGGAAGTGGTTGGACAGCGGTGTCACTTACTGAGATAGGAAGGAATAGGCTGGGCGGGGGTAAGGATTGGAGGAGGTGAATTCAGTTGGGAAAATTGGGTTTGAGATGCTGAATGGATGTTCAAGAGGAGAGATCCAGAAGGCAGTCAGATATGTAAGTTCATATCTCAGTTTTCTCATCTGTAACCTGGGCTGATAATCCCAGCTCCCTCAACAGGGGAGTGTGGGGAGGGAGGTCTGATGAGTTAATAGAGGTGGCAGCACTTAGTTCATAGTCAGCCCTCACCAAGCATGGCTTCCTGGCTTGTTTGCTCCCTTCTTCCTTCAACAACCATGACGAGCTCCCAGAGACAAGCGGCAAGCTCAAGGCCCCTGGAATGCTGGCCCATAAATGTTACGGGGAGCTCTGTGGCCCGGAGGAGGGGTCCTGCTGCATCTGCCTCTTCCTTGGCTTCCCAGGGGAGGCTGGAGACAGGACTGAAGGCAGCTTACGTGGTGACGCCTCCTCTCCCCTCCCATCTCCCTCTGGCCACATCTTCCAGCCACAGGAGAATCATTGTTTCTTTCTCTGGAGCCTTCATTTATAACCAACCTCTTGATGGCAAGGAAAGGATTTTTAAAAATAGCTTTATTGATTCTGGTTTTTGGAATATAAAAGCAATAGATGTTCTTTGTTAAAAAAAAATTAGATGGTACAGAAAAAATAAAAGAAAAAGGAGAAAATAAAAATCAGCCCAAACCTTATCATTCAGAGATAATCACAATCGACATTTCCGTGTTCTGCCTCTCGTCTTTGTTCCGTGCAGGCACTCAGACATTTTTGTGTTTAAACGGGTTGGGGCAAGACTCCAGGATAGATGGAGCAAGATAGGGGCTTGGGGCATGGCCGGGAAGATGCCAAGTAGGGTGTGGCACAAGGGGCCTGTGTCATTGTAGGTACACAGAGCAAAACCCGCAGCCTGTCCCATGTGCCCGGTCACCTCTCCCACCTCACCACTATTTACACATTCACCCAATCCCACCCCCTGAAAGCTGCTGCAGAAATGCTTTCAATAATCACCTTTCCTGATCATGTGGGGCTTTATAAAACAAATGCCATATAGCCATGTTCTCATTTCATCCTCAGAATAACCAAAAAGAAAGTTCCTGTGATTAGTGCCACTTTACAGATGAGGAAACCGAGACTTGGAGAGGCAGCATGTCTTTTTTGAAGGCACACAGCGAATTCAGAGCTAGGGTGCAGGTCTCCTGACACCGGCTGGGGCCCTTCTGACCATGGACCCGAGGAAGGAGGCTCACTGGGAGAGCCATGTTCTCCCTGTGTGCCGGACGCTTGACACACACCATCATCTCATCTCATCCTCTCGGCACCCCTGAGTGGCTTATTCTGTCCACTTGTACAGAAGAGGACGTTGAAGTCAGAGAGGCAAAGTCACTTGCCCAAGGTCACACAGCAAAGGAGTGAGAGAGTTAAGAACCCTCACTTCTGGCTGTTAGGGTAGTGCTGCAAACGTGAGCTAGGGATGGGGCAGGGTGAGAAGGATGAATTGTGCGCGTTTGACAAGGGCAGCCTTTCTGTCCCCCATCTGGGCACCCAGAGTGAGACCTCTGGATCCTCTAGTCTCAACTGTGGGGTCCCAGCTCTAGTCCTGACCTCACTGGCCTGAGCCAGGACCACAGGGAGGGGGCTTGGGTTTAGCAGCAGCGCCACCTGGTGGCTGACTTGCTGCTAACAGAGCCTGGATCTGCCAGCCACAGGCCCCTCTGAGCCCAGGACTGGGATGGAGGGGTGGGGGTGGGGGAGAGTGGATAAGGGCAGGAAGGCTCAGGGCTCATTCTTCCCTGCTAGAGACCTGGGCCAAGCCAATAGTTGCCTGGTATAGAGGGAAAAAGCCAAGAATTCTGGGTTTGATCCACCTGGCTTTGAATTCCGGCACAGCCTGTGTGATGTTGGGCAAGTTCCTCCTTTTAGCTCTCCGAGCCTGTGTGCACATCTGTAAAATGAGAACAAATCACAGTTCCAGTGGTTGGTTTGAGGATTATGGAAAACACCCACCTCATCCGAGGTGCATGGTAGGTGCTCAATAAATAACACTTGCCTTCACTCTACACGGTCCTCTGCCCCTCTCTCCATCATCTGACCAGGGGCTCCCAGAGCTCAGGCCCAGATTCCTCTGTTAGGTTTCCCCTAAATCCTTTGCCTTTGGTGGGGGGCTGAGTTCCTGGCTCAGCCTGGGCTACAAGAGCCTCCTCACTTCAGGAATGGTTGGCTTTGAAAAGAACGGCAGAGAAAATTCCCAGGAGAATAAGAAAAGCCAAGTGTTGGCTAGACCCAGATGGGGGATCTGGCACACCCAGGTTGGGAATCTCAAGAAAACTCAGGCCTGTACAAGCCTAGGAAGATCAAGGTCAAAAAGTCCTTGTCCCATCATGTACCTGCCGGCCGCCTATCGTGGTCTGCGGAGTTCTGGCCTGGCTTTTCCATCTATGGCAGCTGGGCATCCGGCCCCTTTATTCGTGTTGGCTCCAGCTCCCCCATCTCTGCGCCCCGCTGTAAGAGCATTTCTGAGCTACCCTCCTCCCCTTTCCTCAAGGCTACATCCTGCATATTGCTCCCCCAGGCAGGGCCCCCCAAGGTGACCCCAAGTACTCCCTAGGACTCTGGATGACTAAAATACCCCCCAGTCATGACCAAGAGCCCTGATATTTTTTATAACTCTTGATGGCTCTCAGCACCTCTTAATGCTCCCCAATGAGCCTCCTTTTTTTTTTCAGTAGCCGTTATGACTCTCATATACTCCTGTCACTCCCAGTCTCTCGTAACTCCCAAATGGCTCCACATAATTCTACTGGGTCTCCAGGCCCTCTCCCCTTGCAACATCTCTTTCAGGTCTCTGGGGGTTCCCAGGTACTTCCAATGCCTCTCACTGGCTTTAACATCCCCTTGTCTTTATCAGTGAACTCTCATGGCCTTCTATCGTTTTCTGGGAAATTGTGAAGGTTTCCAGAGGTCCCTAGTGTCACCAAAGGCATTCCAAGGCCCCTGAAGACCCTCAGACCTTCCCCACATGGCCTCCACCACCATCCATAGCTTCTCTATGGCCTTGAGTAACCTCTCAATGCTGATGGCTGTGGTGACACTCAGTGGCTCCCAACAGTGCTGTGATGGTCAATTTCATGTGTCACCTTGACTGAGCTAAGGAATGTGCAGATAGCTGGTACACATTGTTCCTCGCGTCTCTGTGAGGGTGTTTCCGGAAGAAATTAGCAGTTGAATCAGTAGACCTAGTAAACAAGACCTGCCCTCACCAAGGCAGACAGGCGTCATCCAATCCTTTGAGGACCCAAGTACAACAAAAAGGTGAAGGGAAAATTTTTCTCTGCTTGAACTGGGACATCCATCTTCTCCTGCCATTGCACGTCAGTGCTCTTGGCTCTCAAACCTTTGGGTTTGGACTGGAACTACACTGTTGACTTTCCCGGGTCTCCATGTTGCTGATAGTAAATCATGGGACTTCTCAGCCTCCATAATTGCATGAGCCAATGCTTTATAATAAGTCTCTTTCTATATATTTTTATCCAATGTTTAGAGAAGTTTCTCTAGAGAAGCCTGACTACTACAGGTGGTCGGTGGAAAGTGCATGGGCCTTGGCGCCAGACACACCTGGGCTGTTACCCCGGCTCTACCACTTTCCAGCTCTGTGACCTTGGGTAGCTGAATCTACCTCTCTGAGCCTGTTTCCTCATTCCTGGTAGAATGTGAACACCATGCCAACTTACAAGGCAGTTGAGGGCAAGGTAATGCATAGGAAAGTGTCTGGTATGGTCTCCAGCACTGAGTAGGTCTTCAATGCCTATGTATTCCTTTTCCCATGGCTCCCCACTCTGGGGCAAGCTGGGCACTTGTTCATCCAAGCTCCTGTCCTGTGGGGGGACCAGCATCAGATGCCATTCCATGATAAGCATGGTGTTACCTGATCTTGCTCTGCCAGAGAGATTGGTGAAGATACATGAGGGGTTATAGAAAGTAGACTGGGGTGAAACCCTGTCTCTACAAAAAAAAAAAACAAAACTGGGCAGGGTGGCACACACCTGTTGTCCCAGCTACTCAGGAGGCTGAGGTGGGAGGATCACCTGAGCCCAGAAAGTGGAGGCTGCAGTGAATGGGGAGTACCCTGGTTCCCTGCTCTCCCAAAGCCTCTGTCATCACTCGGGATGTTCCCTCATCTCAAATGTCCTTCTCTGCCTAAGTCTTCCCATCCCCCAAGGTGCAACTCAAGTCCCACATCCTTGGTTAAGTGGCTGGGCACATGGGCCTTATTTAGATCCAGCAAACCTGGATCCAAACCCAGCTCCTCCACTTGCCAGGAGGTGTAATTTGTATCTCTTAGAGCACATTATTTACAGTTCTGAACTCTAGTTTTCTCCTATGAAAAATGGGATTAATGACAATTACCTCTTAGATTTGTTGTGAGGCTCTGATGAGGTAATGCAGGCACGACCCTGGAACGCAGCAGGTGCTCCATAAACAGTTCTTATTCCTGCCTGCAGTACTTCCCCAGCACTCAGTCCATGGCACATCCTGCCATATGGTTTCCTGTGAAGTGGCTCTGACACTTGAGCCACGCTGGATGCTCAGAGAGTGCTGCATGTGTTACTCTTTCCAGTATCCCTCACAAAGTGGGCATTATTTAAAAATGAGAGAGAAGTGGCCAGAGTTGGCAACAAAGGCTGACTTTTCTCCCTAATGGGTAATGAGGGGCCCAAGCTCATTTGCTTTTTAACGGCTTGAGATGGTGCAGGGGACTGATTATGAGATGGGAATACAGAGTTCTAGGGGAATCTTGGGCAAATCACATTCCCTCTCTGGGTCTCATTTCTTTGCCATTCTACCAGTGGCTAACCGAGGCCCAAGGAGTGGGCAGACTTGCTCACTGCCACACTGAAGAACTCTAACTGGCTGGAAGACGGCTAGGAACAGGAGGTCAGAATCAGAACAGCATCTCCCTGTGAACTTACTCCTGTCCAGAAGCGTATGGACACCTCTCCTCCTAAGAGTAGGAACACTCCAGGGAAGGGGCTGTTAGTCCTGAGTCCACACAAAGAATATGGTGGCTGCTCAGTAAAGGGCTGCTGAATGCATGAAAGAACTCAATTTTCCAAAGTTGGCCACTTTCAGCAGAATATGCCTGCTCTTTGGTGCCTGATCCCCTCCCCCATGGGAAATGCTGTTAGGCCTGAGGTAGCCTTGACTTCACTGCCAAAGCTCCTTTCCCCTTCTCTGGTTATTGGCAGTGTCTAGTAGAGGCAGCCTGCAGTGTCCCACTTGGCCAGCAGGGGTCACTAGCACACACTGCAGCCTGGAGGGGTCTAGTGCGTCAATTAATTCCTCATGCTATTAATTCTATAGGCTCAAGAGTCTGCAAATGAAGTTTCCTGGGAATGAGTGAAACTCATATTTCTGTGACTCAGCCTCCTCTTGCATATGACAGCTGCTTAATGCAAGACACTTTCAGACATGAGGAGGGAAGATGGCAGGGAACAGGTGACTGCAGCAATCCCTGTGGCTCTGTGAGGGTAGGAATTACTCAGGGACCCTGGCTGTGGATCACAGAGACTTTCTGAATTCCAGAAGTCTGTGGGATGCTTTCCTACGAGCAGATATTACCACCTCAGAGAGGATCAAAGGCCAAGACAGGGTCAGGTAGACTTGAGATCAGGGATTTCAAGCAAAAAGTTGACCAGACAGGAATGAGTAGACACTGCATAAGATGATCTTACTGTCATGAGCTGGCAGGACAAAACATGCCTGTGGTCTAGAGTAGCCATTTAGAAATATCAGACACAAATTTAGAGGCTTTAGTCTAAGTTCTAGGCAATACTACAAACACTTTTTGAGCTTAGGCATTATTTATTCAGGATAATAACTAGTGTGAATTCAGAACCTTACCATTCACACACAGAGCTCACGGGATCTTCATGATCCCGTGATGCCTGCATTACCTCATCAGAGTTAGACCCTGTATTTGAAACAGGAGCTATTATCCCCATTTTGGAGATGAGAAAACTGAGGCTGGCAAGGGCAGATCCTGGAGCCTAACTCAGGGCTGCATACTCCAAATCCTCATCTCTCTGTGCTCTGCCTTGCCTGCCTCAAACATGAGTGTCTGCCTACTAGGACACAAGCATAAGTTTTGTGGCAGCTATTTTCACCACTGTGAGGGGGCTGTTGCTTTATTTAGGCCTCATAGCACGAGAAACAATAAGGCATTGTGGTCAGGAGACAGGGCTTTTGGGTCAGACACACCTGAGTTCTCTTTCTGGTCCTGATGTTTACTAGCTGTGTTACCGTGGGCAAATTGCTTGACTTTTCTGTGCCGCAAAATCCCCTATCTGTAAGGAGGACGGAGAAGAGGCGGCTGGGGACAGAGAAGGGCCTTAGAAGAAAACCAGGCCCCACTGTGGCTCCTTCTCATGGGAGGCTGGAGGAAGGTCTTAGAACATAGATCCTGGCTGGGGTGGCTGCAAGAATAGATGGCTATCTGTAAAACAGGGGAAGTAATAAAGAAATAAAGCAATACATAAATAAAGTGGAGAAGTACCTACTTTACAGAGTTGTTGTAAGGATTAAAAAGACAACTTCTGTAAAGCATCTAGCACATACTAGGCAAATGGTAAATACATGAACCTAAAGAAGTCTGGGCTCCTAAAACACCACTGCTTTTGTTTCTAATTTGTAGTGCTGAGTTGAGACTGCAGCTTCCACACAGGGACCCAAGATGGTTTTGCAGGCATATCATGGAGGGAATAAAACCAGGACAAAAAACCCAACGAATACCACCTTGCTAGGAATAGCCACACTGATTGTTCATTTCTTTAATTTTTAAAAATGAGTAAGCAGACAATCTTGCACCCTTTGAATGCCCAATAAAAATGTTCATTATGCAAAACAGTACAACCTTTTTCATTTTTTAATAATACTGTAAATATCTCAGAAAGGATGTATTGTTTCTAATGAATATCAAAAAAGTCATCACAATGACATGTTCCCCTGCCCCCACATTGCCCTCCCCACCCCCAAAGTTACCCAAATACTAGTAGGAAATTACAAAAAACAAAAAGCAACAATCCACCCTCCGCCCTGCCCCATGAGTAGTGTTAAGTGAGTCAAGCGTTAGCCACATTACGACGTGTGTGTGTGTCGGCGATGGCGGACCACAGGGATCTGTGGAGAACCGGTAGCAGCAGCAATGGGAAGCCTCCTTGCCTGGGGCCTGCTGGGAAGACAGCAGCCGAGGATAAACACAAGCAGGGCCCCAGCCTGGCCCTTCCTGGGTCCGCAGAACCAGACAGCTCAGGGAGACGAGAGTGGGATGGTGGCTTGCCCATAAGAAGCTGGGCAGGCCTGAACTGTGTGCACAGAGGGGGCCCAGGCTAGGCTTCCCGTCCTGCCCAGTGGGGCACTGGGCATCCCTCTTAGTAGACACAGGCTTCAGATCAGGGCTGGCCAGAGCAGAGATGCTGGGGGTTTGCAGACTTTTGGGTGAATCAAAAACAGAGGACCCTTACAGGAAACTCAGGCCTTGGTTTGGAGAAAGCCCACGTTTCCACCAAATAATATTGGGAACCTAAGGAAAAAGGAAAAAAGAGTGTGCCTTCCCCACCCTCATATAGCTCAGAAACCAAGGCAGAGGCTTGATATGAAGTCCAATTAAAGAAGAAGAGCGGTATCAGCCAGAGAGGTCTGCAGCCAGGCTGGCTGGGGAACAGCACCAGACTCCAGGCCCCACGGAGAGAGGAGCCAGCAGGATGCCCAGGTCTTCCCTCTAGTGAGAGCTGAGACTTCTGTCTGCCAAAGATGGGAGGGAAGGTGGCCGGGAACAGGTGACTGCACCTGTAGCCTTGCGCCTGGCCACTGAGGCAGGTAGAATGGCTCCTGAACCAGGGGCAAGGATGGGAGAGAACTGAGAGGGAGGATGGTGGTAGGTGGAGGTTAGGGGACAGGAGGAGGGAGAAGAGGTGGCCTGGGACAGAGAAGGGCCTTAGGAGGAAACCAGGCCCCCTGTGGCTGCTTCTCATGGAAGGCCGGAGGAAGGTCCTAAGACATAGACCCTGGCTGAGATGGCTGCAAGAATAGATGGCTGCTTCCCCACCCAGAAAATCAGTCCCCACAGCAACTCCAGCCAGCCCTGCCAAGGGTGGAGAGGCAGAGCCGGCGCTAAGAGCAGCTGACCAGGAAAAAAAGGCAGGCCAGACAGAGGAGCCCCTGCCATGGGGGCTGAGGACCCACTGGTGTCCAGAGAGCAGGGCTGCCCACAGATGAGATGAAATTAGAGTTTTAGGGAAAACACACATCAACACCACACCATTTCTACAATAAACTTGATTTTAAATAAGCAGGTGGGGAGGAGGTACAACTGGGAGGGCGGAGATTATTGCCTGCAAGTCTTCAGAGGAAGCCAAGGTCCACGGCAGGTCTGGAAGCCAGCAAGGCACACAAAGAGAATCCCTAAGAAATAACCCAATCCGGCTCCTCCTCCCATTTGGGAGATGGGGAAACTGAGGCCCAGGGAGGGAAAGGGAGTGCCCAAGGTCACTTCATGGGATCAGGGCAGAGGGGGGCCTGCAGCCCAGGAGTCCTGAGTCTGCTGGACTTTTTCTTCTCTGCCACATAGCCTTGCTGTCTGCAAACCCAGTGTCCCTTGGAAAGGGAAGGTTTGAAGGAAAAATTATCCCTGGGGTATGGAGGAGGGGCGGCTGTGGATGGTCAGAGACATACATGGGACACAGAACGGTCATTAAAAGGCCGACAGAGGAGGACAGCCATCACTCCCCACCCCACCTGGCCCACAACCCCAGTAAAAAAAGTTTTACAATATTATACACTTCTTCCTAATCCCTAGAAAACATTGATTAAAACTGCCCTAGGACAGAAGATCTGGCAGTCCCCGTACAGTGTTATCTCTTTGTAGTGGTTACTTCCATGATGACTGGGGGCGGGGAGGGGATATGACTTTAGAGCAGTGTACAGTGGCCACCTTAAAATTAACTTGTTAATTAATCCTGTGCAAAACAAGCAAGCCCCTACCATTAGGTGAAGTATGGGGTTCAGGAATTCATTTACATACACGGGGGGAAGAAAGGAAGAAGAGCCCCAGATGGCTGGTGGCCGCTCAGAAGTGCGTCTCCTTCTCTGTGATGGCTGCGATGGTCCCGTCACTCTTGAGTTTGGCATCACAGTCATTAACTGTCACCATCCGTGGGCTCACCCCAAGCTTGCCCCGCATTTTCAGATCTGTGCTGGGGGTCGTCAACTTCTGGAGTTTCTGGATGGTTGGAGAGGAGGGGAAGATCTGAGTGATTAGCTGCCAGGGTCCAGGGTCTGCCGTGGCCTCTCCCAAGCACACGGCGGACATCTGGGTGCTGGAGAATTCTCAGACCAAGGTCCGGGCCCCAGCTTGGCCCCTTACAGCTCTGTCCTGGATGATGAACAACCTCCCTGGGTCTCAGTTTCCTCCTATGAAAAATGGGGACCGTAGAGGTCCCTACTCCTGGCATTAGGTCAAGAGTAAGGAGAGGCTATGGAAAGTGCTTAGCCTCGCACCTGGCTAGGAAAGGTTGCTGGGACTCAGAGCGGTCATCAGGGTCCACTGCCTGGTGCCTGCCCTCAAGGGACACTGAGAAGCTGGGGTGTGAATTGCTGGGTGGTAATGCATCTCCAGGGCTGTTTACAGGACAATTGCTGGATACCTGGGTGCATTCCCCTTGGAAGGGGTGCCATCATGTCGGGGAAGGTGTAGTGTGTGTTGGGTGTTCCTCCAGCTGTGCTCAAAGGTAGAAGCATTATCACAAAGCCCAAGGCTCACAGCCTCAGCCTGCCTTGCAAAGCAGCCCGCACCAGCTGGCTGGCTCTGATGGATGCAGACTTCTGCCCCACAGCCCTGCCCCTCAGGCCAGATGTGGCCCTGCCTCAGGCCCCTATCCCTCAGCTTCATCTGCACTCCCCAAGTTTCCTGGGAGAAGACTCCAGGCTGGGATCTGGGGGGCCCTTTCTGGGCATAAACCATTTCCCGAGGAAGGTTGCAAAGTCTTTTGGGTGGCTGGTTTCTCAGGATCGAGGTTCCATGTTCTCTTTCAGATCCTGCTGTGCCTGCTGTGGCACACTGTCCAGGTAGGATTAACAGGCAGACTCACCTGTGCGATTAATAGGTGCCTCCTCTGTGCCAGGCACCGTGCCAGGCTCTGGCATGGATCTGGGGCTAGAGCACGCGTTCCAAAGCCAGGTGCCTGGGTTTGTGTCCAGGCTCTACAATTTAACAAGGGCAAGAAGCTTAACCCCCCGTGCCTCAGTTTCCTCATCTGTAAAGGGGGATAATAACGGTACCTGCCTTCCGGGGTTAGTATAAGGATCAGATTAGTTGAGCGGCCACCATGTTACCTTCTATCATTCAGTAGGATGCATCCTCAGAGCGCATCACTGACGCACCTCTGTCCTCATTTTTCCCTCTAGATCCTTCCCGTCCCCCAGCAGCAGCTTTGTGGGAACTGAGGCTCGGGTTGTGGACTACCTGGCACAAGGACTCTCGGTAAGGAGGGCCTGGAAACTGGGTCTGACACCTCCAAAGAAGTCCCTCTTTAATAAACCCTGCTGTCCACGTCGGCAGACATGTGAGCTCAGGGAGATGGAGGGGGCTTAGGAAAGAAGGCTCCCTCCCCTGCTTTCCCGCCCACACCAGGCCGGAGATGATCTCTGGAGGATTTAGCAGGCAACACCAGGCATTTCTGAACACCAAAAGGCCATCTGGAAGTTTGGGCAGGGGTCTTCCAGTGGTCAAGGTTTTAAGGCCCCAGGTCAGCTTCCCTCTGGACATGTTTGGCCTGAGATCAGAATTAACCAACTGCCCTTGACCTACATTCCCTGCAGGCTCCAAGGAGCCTGACTTGCTCTGGGGCATGAGCAGGCTTGAGAAAGAGACTTTCCTTTGTGGCTGGCCCCTTCTGGCTGGATGCATGACTATTTCTGGAGCCCAGGCCCCTCGGTGGGCAGGCAGGTGGGTTGGGTGCAGCTGACTCTGAGCTGGAGCTTGCATTCTGGCTCTGCATACCCCCACTCCCCATCGCCTCCTGGGTGGCCAAGTTCAACTCCTGCAGTCCCTGGGGTGTGGCCCTGGGGCAGAAACAGGGCCACACAGTGGAGTGCAACTGGTTCAGCAGAGGAAGGTGAGGCAGCGAAATTCAGGGGACAGGACCACACAAGCCGGAGTCTCTGCTGTATCCTTCAGAAGCTGTGTGCCCTTGGGCAAGTTGCTTCACTTCTCAGTACTTCAGTTTCTTCATCCATGGAGACAAAAAGAATCTCCACCCCCCTAGGATTGCTATGCGGATTAAATGACTTAGTATTTGTAAACTGCTTAGAACAGCTTCTGGCACACAACAAACACCCTGTGCTGTTTACTAAATAAGCAGAAACCCACTCAAACCATCGGGCTGCCAGCGGTAGGGAAGGAGAGTGAATAGGGAGTGCCGCTCTGGAGTAAGATGGGCTCAGTAACGATTCAGTTGCTGACAAAGGACCACACACTGTAGGACTCCAGTGACAGGAAACATCCAGGGTAGGCAAATCCACAGAGACAGAGCAGATCTGTGGTTGTCTGGGGGTGGAACAGGGGTTAACAATGAATGGGCATGAGGACTCTTATTAGGACAATGAAAGTATCCTAAAGCAGATTCATGACAATGACTGCACAATGTGGAACATTACTAAAAATTGTGTAACTGTATGGCTGAAATGGGTTAATTTTAGGATATCTAAAATCTACTTTGATGAAATTGTCTTTAACCATGTGATCTGCTAACTGTTGGCTGTGTGACCTCAGGCAAGTGACCTGATTTCTCTGAACCTGTTTCCTCTGCCTGCTAACTGCAGAAAATGATGCCTATCGCCCAGTTTGCTCTGAGGATGGCAGGAGATACAGCAGGTAGACGGCCTGGCACAGTGACAGGTCAGAATGATTGGGATTCACAAAACAGTCAGCGCTAACACTTGTTACCCTCTGGTCCAGGTCTGGGTCCCAGGGCTTTTCCTATATGAACTCACTGAGTTCTCACAGCCTCTGTAAGTTAGGTACTGTGGTTATCCCATTTTACAGACAGGAAGACAGAGGCTGGACTCCTAGAAACTGGCTCAGCCAAAAGACTTCACAGAGACACCTTGGGCACAACCATGATACTGAACATTGGCCAGAGAGGAGTTTGCCACAGCGTCCCCTTGAGGCAGGTGGGCGCAGGCCGTCATCGCGCACCATGCAGATGAGGAAACTGGGACCCAAGGCGCGAACCCTGCCCAAACGCACCAGCCCTCCTGGGGCGGTCTCACCTCGGGCAGTGTCCCCTCCGTCTTCCACACTGTGATGCAGATCCAGAGCGGGATGCAGAGCATGGAGGACAGGGCCATGAGCCAGCCAATGCCATAGCCCCAGGCTGGGTAGGTGTAGATGTTGTTGTACTTGAGTGGCTTGTACTTGATCAAGAAGAAGATGAAGATCCCCTGCAGAGAGATGGGGGCAGGTGCCTGGGGGATGGGCCCTCAGCCCTGCTAGGCCATGAGGGGTCTGAGGCCCAGGAACAGACTAGCCAGAGGCTGGCAGGGGAGGAAGCTGGCCCTGTTTCACAGCCATGAAAAGTGAGGCCCTGCCAGGACCACAGTGAGCTTGAGGCACAGCAGGCTAGAGCCCCATTCCACAGGCAACAGATGCTCAGGGAACGTGGCCCTGGGTTCTGGGACCTCGCTGGGCTGTGAGGACCTCTCCCCACCCCCAGGAGCCTCTTCCCCGGCCTCTGCCCAGTTAGGAATTTTTATTTTTTCTAGTTACTCCTCGGGACTGGTTTCAAAGTTGCTTCTCAGAACTACAACAGTCTGTGAAGATGCTGAGTTACTTCCAGTGCCAAGAAACGGATAAGGAGTGATAGGATGTTTTTTAATTAAATGTCTGCTCACAAAGGCCCCGCTGTGGTCCGGTCTCAGGCAGAGCATGAACCCCAGTGTCACCCTTGGCTCTGCTGCCTTCATGGTTAACAACAAGATGGGGACAGGCCTTTGTTCCCCACATAGTCCTCGGCCCTCTGAGGCGGATCCAGCGCCCGATTTGCGTATGCAGCACCTGACGTCCTGAGAAGGGAGGCGCTGTGCTCCTAGTCACACAGCAACACTGGGATCCCAATGAGGCCACTCCTTGGCCAAGCCCAGAGCCTGTGCCCATGGGTGCAGCTTTGTAAGGTGGCCTGAACCAGGGGACATCAGCCTCCTCAGGTCCAGCCTCGGCCAGGGTGGGGGCTACGGAGTGGAAACGTGGGTTGGAGGGTAGATGGGTGGGTAGATGGCTGGAGGTGGCTCCTGGTGGGGCCCTTACCGCGCAGATCCCAGGGGTCATGATCATCCAGCACCACTTAATGAGCGACGGTGGCCGGTAGCCAATCATGTCTTCAATGTTATCATAGAACCGGTTGCTTCCTGTCCGGAATAAATCAGAGGGGAACATACACACCCCAGAGAAGTTTTGTACATGAGTCAGAGGAATGGCTAGGAGTGTTTGCTTTCTCCAGCCTGAGACAGAAAAACTGCTGCAGGAATCTTTGTACTGCTTAAACAACGACCGAGATGTTACATGTGTGAGGTTTCAGAATAAAGAGCAGCAGGAGGGATGCTGGCCCACTACTGGAGAGAGCTCTCCTGGCCTCAGGCCCAGGAAATGATGAATTTCTGGGAGAAAGGCGGAAGGTGATCCCTTTGGAGGCAAGGCAATCAGGGGTGGGGATGAGGATTTTGAAGGCAGGGGCCTGGCAGGGCTGCTACAGAGCAGGGGCCTGCAGAGGCATCCATTCCCAAGCCACACTCATGGCAGGAGTGACCATCACTGAGCCCAGCAACCCTCACCCACCTGTTGGGCTTGGGGAGCAGGAGGACCTGAGGTGGTTGTCTATGGAAGGCCAGGCACCATGCAGGCTGCTGCTTGATTACACTTCCTCCCACTTGGAGACATGTTGATGACTACTGTTATTTTACAAAGGGGAAAACTGAGCCTCAGGGGCAGAACTGGCCCAAGATCATAGTGCCTGAGCCCTGAACCCCTTCCTGTGCTGCATGGTGTGAAAGCAGAAGGTCTACCAACAGTGGGAAAAGGCCAAGGAATCCCTGAAGAGTAAGAAGAGGCCAGTATAGACCAAGATAAGCCACAGAGAACCAGAGCCAACCAGAGTCCAAGCACCAGGATCCTGGGTACCTGGTGGGCAGCTGGGGTGTGGACGGGCTTGGCTGCTACTCACCATACACCCAGCCGATGCAGATGCACTCAAAGATGGCCACGAAGAGAAGGCACATCCCACTGGCGGCATAGGAGTCAAAGAGCTGGAAGATGTACATGCCACCCTGCAGGTCGGGGAACAGACACACGGATGGGAGGTGAACGGACACACGGGAGAGCAGGGTCAGCCATCTGGCCTCAGGAAGGTCCCTCTCTCTGCTCTGTGGCTACCACTGCCAGGAATCTGTTTCTCCCTAGTCTTCCCAGTTTGAAAATTGCACCCTCCCATCTGGGAGCCCCCTAATTCCCTGTCCTTTGGGGGCTGCTGGGACCGCAGATGGTTTGTCTTGTCTCAGCCCCTCACTTTCCAGCACCCCAAGGGCCAGAGACTACATAGAAAATCGAGATGGGGGAGACTCAGCACCTCTCCCTGGATGGGTATAACAGCCTCCTGACTGGCCTCCCTGCCTCCAGCCTCACCCTCTCCAATCCGTCTGCACGCCAGCTTTCAGAGGAACCTTCCTCTGAAACGTGCAAATCCAACCAAACACGTGGTAGTTTAAAGTGACCCTCTGGCTCCTTTCAGCCTGCTAGTCACGGCTGCTGCCCTCCTCATTGGCCTCATCTCCCTTCCCACAGTCCCTCCTGGACAGACCAAGGGACAGCCTCACCTCTGTGCCTCTACACATGCTATTCCCTTTCACCTGGTAAGCTCCTTCAAAGCTCAGATCAAATGCCACCTCCTTCAGGAAGCCCTTTCTAATGGTCTCATTCTTTCTTTGGGCCTTCATAGCATGTTTTGTGGGCTCACAATTAAAAAAAGAGGGGAGTGGGGCTGGTGCACAGTAGGTGGTGATAAACGTAAGTTAAATCCTGTGGAGTGTGATCTCCATAGGGTAGGGAGTCCAACTGGCTTTGTCCAGTGCTGGGTCCCAGTTTCTGGCCCAGGGCTTGGCACGCAGGAGGTATGTGGTCCATCTTCATGGGATGAAGAAATGACCACAGACCAGCTCTGTAGCATACAAATCCATGATGATTGAGTTTAGTGATGTCCTAGAATGTGTGAGCTCAGCTGACCAAGGTAATCTGGGAAGGTTTTCTAGGAGGGAGGGGAGGAGAGAGGACACCAGCTGCAGATATAGGGAGAGCGGGGGTCTCTAAAGAAAATCTTTACAATACAATGAGGGTCCTTAGAGGATGCAATCAAACGCAGGGGAAATAAAAGTGTCAAAGAGCTAGGAAGGATCAGGTGGGGTGGGGTAGCCTGAATACCAGGACAGTGCATTAGGGGGCTGGAATGAAACCTGGAGAGCCTCCTGTGCGCCTGCCATGGGGACTTCCTTGGAGTTCTGCTTCCCCTCTGTGCTCCCAGAGTGCCCTGGGCCTCCTCCTGTCACTCACAGACCACACACCATGGGACTCGTTCATGTCTTCATCTAGACAGGGAGAAACATCTCAATGCCCACAAGGCCAGACAGATGATACGAATGAGAAAAGGGAGGTGGGTGTGGTACCAGGGAGTGGTGGGGACCATGGCTAACTGGGGAGTATGGGCCCCATCTAGCTACACACCTCTGGAGGGCAGTTGCTGGGGAATGCAGCTGTGAGGCCAGATCTGCAGATTTTCTGGAAGACACCAGAAACGCAGATTTGTATGGGAAATTTTTCTGTTATAATTGTTGGCAACTTCGTGTTTTTAAAAAACACAGTGAGGGTGAAACAAAATGGATCTCTCAGCGGGCCATGCCTGGCCTGGGTTCTCCCATCTGTGACAACTACAGTGAATATTCAGGTCTGTGGGGGTCAGGAGCAGGTCTGAGGCACCTCTCTGTGGAGTACGGGGCTTGTATTTCTGAGTTAATACCTAAGACCCGCCCCCACCTCCCGTTGCTCTCCTCCCATGAACATCATACTCTACAAAGGAACAAAGAAACCTTAATGCAGCATTCAGCAAGTAGCAGGCTGTGTTAAACCGCTTCCTGTGTCTTAATCCAGTTGGTCCTTCATGGTACAATTACAAGGCAGGCACTAGTGTTATCTCCACTGTTCACATGGGGAAACTGAGGCACGGAGCAGCGACAACACCTTCTGCAGGTCATCTAGCCAGCTAGTCAAGGGCTGAGGATTGAACCCAGGTCATCTGTCTGCAAAGCCCATGCTCTCAACCACTCATCACACTGCCTTGGTGGAAGAAAAGAAGTTTGTGGCCTATTTTTCTTAGAGCTGAGTTTAAATGTGTATAAGGAGGGAAAGTTCCTTCCAGTAATTACCATGAAGGCCAAGGTGGCACGGCCCATTTGGCAATTTGAACTTCTCCACTGCAACTGATGACAGATAGTCCTCCGAGAAGGCGGAAGGTTGGCATGTGAAGCCCCAGCGCCTGCTGATTAACAGTCTTGGGTGACTGTGGCGCTGGCTCCCTGATGGCCTCTGGGGGCCATGAAACACCCCTTGGGCAGATGTGAGGCCTCAGTCAGAGGTTGGGTATCAGAGACTCGGTGAGCTGGGGGCACCTGGGGCAGGCAGTTCAAGAAGCACCCTCCACCACCTGCCTTCTCCAAGCAGCTGATGCCCGTGCCAACATCTGCTCCTCTTGGAATTCTGTCCGTTAGCCTCTTTAACGCATCAGGCTAACCCCCAAATTTGTATGTGACAAGACTGTGACGAGAGACTCTAATTAATCAGTGCTTAATGAGGCCCTGCTTACTGCAGCGCCTGGTTTCTCCGAGTGGGGAGAAGTGAGGTGGAAACTGGGAAGCACCGTACCATTTATTTGCTCCAACACTGATTATCACTCTCATTAATGTGACAATGACTGGGCGAGGTAATGATGCCAGCCACTGTGCACCGAGCACCCACCCCATGCCAGGTGCTGAATTGGCTCTGAGGGCATGAAGCCAAGCAAGGGCTGGCTCCTGTTCTCACGGCCCCTGAGGTCTGGTGGGGGAGACAGGTGAACAGGTGGACCATAGATCGTGGTAATGGGGAAGAAGAGACTGAACTGAGCTACAAACAAAGTGCTAGGAGCTGGGGGCATGAATGAGGGAAGGCAAGCTAAGAAGGCTTCCAGGAGGAGGCAGCATATGAGTTGGAAAGTGGGGGGATGAGTAGATGCAACAAGGTGGCATGAACCCAAATGCTTTCTAGCCTGACTTCAATATTACATCAGTTGCTTTTAGTGATTCTGAGTTCCCTCATTTCTTTCCATGTTTCTTACAAAACCTATTCTTGTTTCTAGGCAACAGTTCTTTTTTTTGTTTTTAAATTAATTAATTTTGTGTATATGGGGAGAAAAATACCTAATGTTACCTTCCCAAGATACATAAGAAGGTATTTATTTGACAGGATGGCTATGGGAGGTGGGGGAGAAAAATATGGTTTTATCAGATGGTCTTAATTTGGAGGTCATGGAGAACCTCTCCTAACCTGCAAGCCCAGCAGGGACAATGAGAAGAGGGGCACGCATAGAAGTCCCAGGCTGGTGCACATGGTGCCCAAAGGTGCCAATATCATCATGGGAGCCTCTTCTCAGAGATGCCCAGAAAAGCCTGCTTTGAACGTGAGACCACTCATAGGTAAATGCTGTAGGGGCCAGTAGCTGACGTTGTTGCTTCACCCAGAAGTTATTCTTAGGGATGGCCCAGGAGTCCATGTGCTCACCATGACAGATCAACCCAGCGTTCCCCTGGTGAGTGTGACTCCCCTCTGTGAATAACAGCCGCGGCCTTTAGCTGAGCACTTGCACATGAAGACACTGTGCTGAGGGCCTGATGAGAACTTCCATTAGATCCTCACCATGACCCGCTAGGAGGAAGCATAAACCGAGTGGCAGAGGGCACTAGACCTGACCCGGGTCACACAGCTGGTCACTTTTAGAGCTGGGAGTTGACGTCACACACCCACTTCACCCCGTGCGGCCCGAACCATGCCACTCACCTCTGTTAACATCACGAGGCCCAGAAAATAGGAGATAACAGACAAGGCTAGGATGAGCAGCTCCCGCCGGTAACCCCTCCGGAAAACCTTGGGGTACATGTCCACCACGGCGGTCACCAGGCTTTCCACACACACAAACTGGATGGGGAGATATGATGGTGTGAAACTCAAGGACAAGGCTGCTCCTGGTGGCCCAGGCTCTGGGCAAGCGCAGCAGGCCTGAACCCTGGGCTTCCTTCATTCCCACACCCATTAATGCAGACGAGGGGCCTGAGGATAACAGTCATCCCAGCACTAGCGGAGCTCCAGTCATGCCCATTTAACAGATGACGACGCTGAGGCTCAGAGGTGGGGAGTGACCTGCCCAGGATTATTCAGCAAGGACGTGGCAGTCAGGACTTGAGCTGGTGTCTCCAGACTCCAAATCTAGTACTCCTCCTTCTCCCGCATGCTGCCTGTCACATGCCTACATGCTGGGCTCTGTGCTGGGGTCGACAACTTAAATGAGACCAGCCCCTGCCCTTGAGGCAAGGCTGGGATTTCTGTGCCTGTAGTGGGAGTTACGTGCTCTGCTGATGGCAGGCTCTGGTCTGTCTCTGTGGTCTCCGGGGTTGGGACGCTTCCCTGCCCTTTCTTTCTGGCAGATGAGGCCCCTCTGCTGGTGGAGGGCAATCAGAGGTGAGCCAACTTCCAGCTCTTTGTCTCTGCTGGGTGTCTTTGGGCCCCAGCCAAACGATGCAGGCATCAGTGGCTGAGTCTGAGCCACTAAGCATCTGTATCCCGTGTGCTAAGCACAGGGCCAGGTACAAGGTATCTGCCCAGTTCCTACCCACCCATTAACAGCCAGCCTGAATATCCTAAGATACCGACCACCCCCTCACCTGGTTCTTATGGCACTGGGGGCAGATCTGCATGAACCTTTTCCTGATCACTCTTGTCCCCCACTCAGGACAGCCCATCCCTCTCCTCTGCGCCCTGAGCACACCCCTCACCCTGGGGGCCCTTTCCTGCTTATATCTGTCTCCTTACAAGCAGGTGGGATCCTGGAGGGAAGGGGCCACATCATTGTCATCTGTCTATTTCCTGTGTCTAGCTCAGGGCCCCTGGCACAGAGGAGGGAGAGGCTCAGGAAATGTTTGCTAAATTAATAATAATAACACGAATAATAGCAAACATATCATACCTGCGATGTGCCAGGCTGTTTTAGGCAGTTGGCATACATTAACTTATGTAGTCTCTACATGGTCTGTACTATTATTATTCCCATTTTGTAAATGAAGACACAGAAGCACAGAGGAGGGAGTAAGCAATTTACCCAAGGTCACCCAGGCGATAAGTGGCAAAGCCTGGATTTGAACGAGGTGATCTTGCTCCAGAGCTGGGCTTTACCCACCCCACTGCCCTGCCTTGAGGGAGGGAGGAGGAGTTAAGGGTTATTTTGCCAGCCACCTTTTTGGGAAGCACCCCTTCCCTGGAGCTATTTGTCGGCTCCAAATCCTTTCTGATTCACCTCTGCCTCCCCAGAAAAGGTGTTTCAATACTCCTTGTGCAGACAAAGGGAATGAGGCACAGAGAGGCGAGGTGACTAGCCCAAGGCACACAGCTGGCAAGTCATGGGGCTGGGACTCAAGCCCAGGCTATGGCCTCGCAGCTGCTCCGCCTCAGCAGCAAGGGCTGGCTCTGTCTATCCTTTCTCCAGGTCCTAGGGAAGAGGATGGGATGCAAAGGAGGTTGTTTATCCAGGATTGAAACTGATGAGACACTGCAGTGTGTAGGCCAAGAGGCAGACGGGCCCGGGTACACGACCGAGCAAGTCACTCAGTATCTCTGAACCTCAGTTTCTTCTTCTATAAAATGCAGACAATGAAAGGAGCCCCCAGCCCGTGTGGTTATTGTGACAATGAACTGAGAATATATCCAAGGCACACAGCAAGGGCAGCACGCATGGGGATAGGCAGAGTGGCCGCCACTTTTTGTGCCAGACCTCGGGCCCCCAGGCCCAACTGCTGGTTTAGCTCAGCCCAGGGACTCGCCGAGCCGGGGCCCCAGCCCCTGCCTCCCTCTGCCAGGCAGGCCTGGCCTGTCACGCATAAGCTGCCAATCCCTCCGAGACCTCTGCCCGCAACAGCAACAATAAGGGAAGATTATCAGCAGAAACACCCGGTGATTTGGCTTAGCAGCTTCTGGGAAACCGATCAGAGGAAGAAATTGAATTGGACTTGGCTGGCTTGACAGATATACTGGCTGTGGGGCTTGGGTGCCAAGTGACTCAACTGGCAGAAGGTCATGGGTGAGGGCGGCACTCCCACAGGCTGGGCTGGGTGTGTCTCCCTGGGGGTCTGACTGCTTTGCCTGCAGAGGCCCCTGCACAGCACAGCACTGGTTGGCCAAGAGACCCCAGTCTCCGAGGCGGGGAGGCTGTGGCTGGGGGAAGTTCTCCAGGGCTCCTAGGGAAAACAGCTGTGAGGACCAGCAGGCAAAGGGTGGGTTTCAGGGACTGTTGGGGGAATGGTCTGGGAAAGAGGCCGGGGACCTGGGATGGGAGTCTGGAGTGTGCTCAGTGCGGGAAGCGAGCGCCTGCGTGCTGTGTGGCAACAAAGGGAAACCGAGTGCATGGGTGAGTTACTAGCTCCAGGTCTACCCCCTTCGCCAGGGAAGGAGGCTGCCAAGCAGGGGGAGGTTGGCAAGGGGCCTCTAGGGAGGGCCGAGCACAGAGACAGGCAGGCGGTGGCGGGGCAGAGCTGGTGGTGGCATCCAGGACAGAGATGGAGGAAGAGGAGGTGCTTTTCTATGTGTCCGTGTCCTCAATGATTGGGTTGGGATGGGGACATGCATGCTGTGGAACTCACTCTCTGAGACTCTCTTCTGCTGTGCCAGGCAGTGCTGTTGGCAGGAGTGGTTGAGCAGAAGGGAAGTATTTAGCAAATTTTTCTAAATGTGAATTGAGAGTTGGGAATTCCGGTAAGGAAAACAGTGTTTGGGAAGGCTTAGAGGGGCCGGAACAGACATTTGTGGGTAAGTGTAGAGCCCACCTGGTGGATGGCGGGGGTGCAAGAGTTGCTGGGAGGGAAGTGGAGGGTGGAATGGGGGACGGTGGGCAGGGCCCTGATGCCAGGGCCAGGTGGGAGTGGCTGGGCCTGGGGAGCCACTCCTAAGGGTGGCGTCTGGCCTCCTGGCCCAGGCTCCCCTCCCTCCTGGGCTCCCCATCCCCATGGCCCCTTACCTGGCTGTCCAGGCCCAGGAAGATGAGCATCATGAAGAACAAGGTGGCCCACAGCGGGGAGAGAGGCATCATGGTGACCGCCTTGGGGTACGCAATAAAGGCCAGGCCGGGGCCTGGAGCGAGGGAGAGAGAGAAAGCCACTGGGTGGAGTCCCATCCCTCATATCATTGCTATTTTAATCCAGCATTTACTGAGTGCCTCCTCTGCGCCAGGCACTGTGCCTGCCTCTCACTCAAATCACTTCTGTTTCCCAGCCACCCCATGCGTTTGGTGCTATTCTGATGCCCATTTTGCAGATGAGCAAGTTGAGGCAGAAAGAGGTAAACAAGGGCCTTGGAAGGGTCAGGATTCAAGCCTAGGTTCAGCTGATCCATGGACCTTCCTCTGGACATGTCTCTACTGTTCTCAAGGGGGAAGGTGCAGTTTCTTGTTAAAATGCAGATTCTCAGGCCTACCCAGCGATTCTGACTCTGTCTGCCCAGGGGGAGGCAAGGACCAGGTACCCAGTGGTTGTGGTGTACGTAGGTCGGGTCCAGGCTGGAGAAATGCTCTTCCACCCTGGCAGCCTCTTCCTCTGGTTTCCACTCTCATTTCCAGGTCTACACTCCCTTGTTTTAGTTGCTGCACATAGAAGGCTGGGTTAACGTGTCCTCGGGATGAACTTTATCAATGTCAGCAGACAGATACCTGAGAGGCTAGCCCTGTGGCACAGTGGTCAACAGCACAGGCTCTGTAGCCAGGTGGCCTGGGCTCAAATCTGTTTTCTTAGCTGAAATATGGGGATAATAAAGTCCTATCTAAAAAAAGTGGTTTTGAGAATTCAGTGAGATGACACAATAAATGGAAAGCACTGAAGCAGGTAAATGCTTAATAGACATGAAATCTGATGATTTTTTACTTTAAAGAGCAGCTTCATTAAGGTATAATTTACATACATAGTTTGATGAAGTTTTAAAAAGTGTATACACCCAGATAACCACCACGACAATCAAGCCATGGCAATCAAGCTATAGAACACTGCCATTGGCCCCTTGAGGCCCCTTGCTGTCTCTTCGCCTCCGTTCCTCCTCTTCACGTTGGGCAACCATCAATTCAATTTTTTTTCGTCCTCGGACTAGTTTTGCCTATTCTACCTAGAAGTGGAATTGCTGGGTCATATGGCAATCATATGTTTAACGTTCTAAGAAATTCCAAACTGATTTTCAAAGTAGCTTTGCCATTTTACAGTCCTACCAGCAATGTTTCCAATTTCCAGTGGCTCCACATCCTTGTCAACACTTGATATTGTCAGTCTTTTAAGATGTGTCATTACAGTGGGAGTGAGATGTTATATCATAGTTTTCATTTGCATTTCCCTGATAGTTAATGACATCGAGTATCTTCACATGTTTATTGTCTATTCATATGTCTTCTTTTGTGAAGTGATGGCTTGATTTTTTGGTCCTTTTTTTTTCATTAGGTTGTTTTCTTTTTATTTGATTGTGAGCGTTCTTTATATGTTTAGGATGTAAATCCTTTGTCAGAGGAGTTATTACAAATATTTTCTCCCAGTCTGTGGCTTGCCTTTCCATTTTCTTAATGGCGTCTTGTGAAGAGCAGAAGTTAAAAACTTTCCAATTGTCTCCTGCTAGCATGTAAAGAAGTATAATATATTTTATCTATTTTGTCCTTTGACCTCTCTAAGTTCACTTATTACTTTTTTTGTAGGTTCCTTAGGATTTTTGACTCGGTCAGTATGTTTATCAAGAAAATTTTTATTCTTCCCTCTAATTATTTTTCTTGTTCTTGCCTTATTGCACTCTCTAGGAACTTCATTGCCATATGGTATAGAGGCAGAGACAGCATACATCCTTGCTTTGTTTCTGATTTTAGGGGAACACTTTCAATATTTAATAACTGGTAAATTAATATTGGTATAATACCATTAATTACGCCACAGAGCTTATTCATATTCTGCCAGTTTTTCTCCTTTTGCCCCCTTTTTTTCTGTTCCAACATTTAATTCAGAACTCCACATTGCGTTTATTGGTTGTATCTCTTTAGTCTTCTCCAGTCTGTGGCAGTCCCTTAGTCTTTTTTTGGTCTTTGCTAAACTCAACATTTTTGATGAGTTCTGGTTGTTGTTTTGCAGAATGTCTCTTGATGTGGGTTGGTCTGATGTTTCCTCATGACTTATGGTGAGGTTGTGCATCTTTTGGCTAGAAAACCACAGCAGTGATGTTATATCCTTTCTGGTGTATTATATCGGGGGTACATGTCAATCAATATTATTACTGGTGATGTTTACCTTGATCACTTAAGGTTAAGGTTAAACTGTTGTCTGCTAGGTTTCTCCACTATAACATTACTCTTTTTCTCTTTGTAATTGTTAACGCTCCTGCAGGAGGAAATATTTTGAGATTATGAAAAAATCCTGTTTCTACTCCAACTTTTACCTACTGATTTTAGTATCCATTGGTGGGTCTTGCCTGCAACCATGATTACAATGGTGTTTGCCTAATGGTGATTTGATATTTCCCTCATTCCTTCTATATTTATTAATTATAATTCTTCTCCAAGGAATAGCTGTCCTTTCACACCATTTATTTATTCAATTATTTATATATGTGAATGTGGACTCCTGAGTAGTTTATTCTATGGGTTAAAATCCAATACTATCATTTATTTTGCTGTTCAAGTTATTTCAGTTTTAACCATTGGGAGTTCCTTCAGGTTGATTTCCATGGCTTTTTGACAAGCCTCAAACCTTTCTTTCTGAGCACTTCCTTATTTTTTGGCATCACAAAAATGTTCTAGCTTCACCTTGTCTTGCCCTAGCCCGGAAATCAACTGTTTTGCCAAGGAGCCCTGTGTTTTTTTTTTTTTTAATTGAAGAATAGTGTTTAGAAACCAAGATCTGAGCCCTAGGTGTGCTCATAACTGTGGAGTATTATTGCTTTTAGGCCCTCTCAGCACACAAAGATAGGAAATATATGTATATTTATCCATGCATATACACATGAATATTTCTATATCTATCTGTACATAGATGAAAACCATGAATTTTAATATATTGATACTTCCAATTCCAATAAAAGACATTCTAGCATCTCTCCTTTCCTTATTTATAACTTCTTTCTCAGTGAAAAATCTGACTAATTATCTATAAAATATTTACCTATTTGTTCAATCCTAATATACACACTTACAACAGTTGTGGAATTGCTACCCCTGTACTAACTGGAGCACAGTATCGTTATTTTTGTCTTTAGCCTTAAAATATCCAGTCAAGATGCTGTTTCTCAAAGTTACATAGGTTAGTTTTTCCTTCCCCATTCCCTTTAGCATGGTGACAGTTTTCATTTGTAGTACAGTTAGGTTCATTTGTTACTGTTTGTATTCCATTTAGGGTTCCACCACAAAAAAATCATTGTTTGAGTGGTATGTGAAACATTACCAAGACTCAGAGCTAATAAAAAAAATGATATATTCAGGGAAGCACTGCTTCCTTCTCATTCTTCCTCCCTCATTCCCATTCCTCCCTTCTTTCCACCCCTTTTCCGACCACCCCTGAAGGTAACCATCCTTGTTTGTTTCTAGTTAATCCTTTCTGTATTTCTTTTGCACAAATGAGTAGACATATTTTCTCTTCTCCCCTTCTTTTTTCACATAATGGGTAGGATACTATAGATATCTGCTTTTTAAAAACTTTTACACACACACACCATTTCAAAAAGTACTCCTCAATTTCTATTTTCTTGATTATTTTATATTGTAAATGGGTGTCAAATCTTGTTAAAGGCTTTTTAAGCATTGATGAAGCTAATCTTATGTTTTTTTGTTAGATCTATTAACATGGTGCATTATATTAATGGGTCTCAATTTCATGAAATACATTGATGCTTGTTTTATGGCATAGTATATGGTCTATCTTGGTGAATGTTCCATGTCCACTGGAAAAGAATTGTGCTCTGCAGGCACTGAGTGCACTGTTTGATAAATATCAATGAAGTCATTGTGGTTGATAGTATTGTTCAGATCTCTATGTCTTTATTGACATTTCATATAATTGTTCTATCATTAGTTAAAGAGGGGTGTTAAAATCTCCAACTATGCTTGTGGATTTGTCTGTTTTCCCCTCCAGTTCTATCAGTTTTAGCTCCCTATATAACAAATCTCTGCTTTCAGGTACAAACTCATTAGGATTGTTATGTCTTCTCAATGAATTGCCCCTTTTATCAATATGAGGTGTTCCTCTTTATCTCTGCTAATATTTTTTGACTTGAAGTTTACTTTGTCCACACTAATAGTCAAGCCAGTTTTCTTATGTTTATTGTTTGAATGGTATATCTTTTCCCATTCTTTTATACTTTATCTGTGTCTTCAAAGTGTGTCTCTTTTAGACATGTTATAGTTGGGTCTTTTTTTAAAAAAAATCTGGTCTGATAATCTCTGCCTTTTAATTAGTGTATCTGGTCCATTTAAATTTAATATAAGAATATGGTTGGATTTAAGTCTACTATTTTGCATTTGTTTTCTTTTGGTTTTCTGTTTTTCTTTGCTTATTTTGTTTAGTTTTACTCTGTGGCACTTTCCCGCATTCTTTTGGGTTAATAAATATTTTTAATTTTCAATTTTGTTTCATCTACTAGCTTTTTAGCTCTACCTCTTATTATTTTTCTCTAAACAATTGGACCAAGACTATATGTCATAACTTATTCGAGTTAATAACATATCACTTTGCACTTCCACCACACATCTGACACTTCCCACTTCTGATTATTATTCTGACATTTTCTGCCCTAAAACAGACCTCAGGACCTAACCACATCAATCATTACAAAATACAAGTGGACCACATACTCCAGTTAAGAGATTATTAGGCTGGATAAAGAAGCAAGACCCAACTATAAGCTGTGTAAAATCATTCCCCTAGAAGAGAGCATCCTGAGTGTAACAGCATCAGAGAGACAGATGCAGGGCATGCAGGGAAGGTCAGCAAATCTCAGGCACTAGGCTTAGAACAGAACAAAATCTGAACCCTGCAAATAGTACATTCTGTCTCCCTGGCTCAGTCTCCGAAGTGTTCTGGGACATCCCACTGAGTGTTCTGGCATCTAATTAAGTATTTTCCAAAAATCATGCCTCAGAAAGTGAGCCCAGGTCCTTCTGAGAAAGGTGAGGTGACTACATATTCAGCTGTAACTTGCATTTTCTCCAATTGGCAGACTCCTAAAGAGGGTCTTGGTGTGATCCACACCCCCAACCAGAGGCACAGAGCAGGTTTTCCTGCTTGATGCCAACAGCAACACAAAAAAGCAAGGCAGAAGAGACCGGATCCAGGCTGCACTGCTTATGGACTACATGCTCTTGGATGAACCACTTCATCTTTCTCAGCTACAAGGTCCTCGTCTGTGATAGGCACTGTAAAAGCTAGGACTGCTGTGTGAATAGTGCCTGCTGGAGTTGTGCAGGGCATAGTCTGCACAGCCACGAGTGGAGGCCCTGGTAAAACCTATGTTGCAGAGGTGCCAGGAGCATTTCATGAGGTAGTATATGAAAAAACAACTATCTTACGGCCTGACAAGTGGGACAGAGAAAGTCAATTCCAGTGTATCAATTCAATGGAATACCACACAACTCAATGATAGCAATCTATTTTTACTGAGGGGTAAGCTCCTCATGCTTTATTATAAATGGAAGAACTCAGCCTACATAATGCCAAGGATAATATGATCCAGTTTTGATCACCACGCTTATAGCTACATATGTATGAAAAATCCTAGCGGGATAACCCCAAGGTGTTGCGTTGGATTTGAATTTTTTTTTCTTCTGTTAATGTTTCTCTGTTTTTCCACAATGAGTATTCTTTCAATTTGAATAAGAAAAAGTCCAAAATTTAATTTTAGTTGGATTTTTTTCTTCCTATTACTCCTCTCTGGGACTCCCCTCCAAAACAGAAGCAATGATAAAATGAGCAACAGCAGTGCTGTGGATACTCTGTCTCATGCAACACTGCGAGGGAGTTTCAGGGTGCGCACTTTACAGAGGAGGACATGGATTCTCACAGAAGCAATGCTACTACTGAGAAGGCAATGATCCCTCCTCGCAGGGCTGCCTGTGGTTGAATATGAGGAAGATGCAGAGGTGTTTTGTGAAGGGCTAGGTGCCCCAGCCACAGTGGGATGGAGTGGGAAGTACATGAGTTTGATAGCCAGATGGCCTGGATTAAGTTCCAGCTCTCTTGCTTCCAGCCTGTGTGTCCTTAGTTAAGTGACCTCACGTCCCTGAGCCTCAGTTTTCCCATCTGTAAAATGGGGGTAGCAAAAATGCCACTTCAGAGGGCTGAGCTGAGCATCATGTGAGATGATGTGTGTAACAGTTCCTGTCCAGTGAATAGGTGCCCAGCGATTGAGAGCTTTGATCATACTCGTATCCTCTGGTCTAGCTTGTACGCCTGATTTCCTCAGGGGCCCTTGCATCTCTGATAAACATGACCAAGAGCAAGGTGGACTCTGAACAGTCATGGAGCAGAGCTTGCTGATCAGCTGCCTCCTTTGACATCCACACCCCTTGGCCTGCCTATTTTGGTGGGTCAGAGGGGTGCTTCCCTGACTGCACATGCCAAACCTAAATAGCCACACCCTGGACTGGGGCTTGAGAGGGAGGTGGGTCAGTTGTCACAATGAGTTGGGGCAGGACTGGCCTTGAGTAGACGGAGGCCAGGGAGGCCAGATGCCCTGTGCTGGTCTTAAAAAATATGTCCCACTGGACATGCTTGTAGGTGAAAAACCTATTTATACTTATCTGAGGTTAGACTCCATTTGTCATGTAAACACAAACTATGTACTTTTTCATATGCACTTAATTTTCTGGAAATTCAAATACCATGGAAATCACGGAAAGAGTTTTTCACCATTTTGCACAATCACTCAAACAATGATAACCCTGCTCTTGGTGGGTTTGCTACAAACACATGTCAATCTATACTTAAGGCTGTCACACTCATGGTGATTCTATGTCTAGAACAGGGAAAGGGAGGGAGGGAGAGGTGCTCTCCAAGCAAAGGGGAAGCATGTGCAAAGGCCCTGAGGGAGGAGGAGAGAGTTAACTTGCAGAAGTGAAGCAGACCGCTGTGGTGGGACCGAGTGAGTGTGGGGGAATCGTAGGTGGTGAGGCTGGTGGGGCCACAGGAGCCGGGCAACACAGGGCTTTGTGGCCACGCTGAGTCCAGCACTATGAGAAGCCAAGAAAGGCTTTTCATCAGAGAAGACATGTTCAAATTTGCATTTTGAAAAAAAAAAATCCCTCTGCAGGGTAGAGCATGGAGTGGAAGTGACAACAGCAGAGGCACAGAGTCCAGGGAAAGGTTTCTGAGCCATCCAGGTGAGCAGTGATGGTGGTCCGGGCTAGTGGGGAGACGGTGAAGCTTGGGAGAAATGAATGAAGTGGGCAACAGCATCTACAAAACTCGGGGATGCCTTGGATTTGGGAGGGAGGAGGTGTCGAGACTTTCCTCCTAGGTAATTCCCAGGATCCTGGATTGTGGATGAATGGTGGGGCCCCTTTCTGAGGCCTGAATCCAGGAGATGTGTGAGCCGAGGAGGAAGATCGCATTTCCATGATGACCATCACTCCTGGCCTCCCTTGCCGCCTTTTCCATCCCCACCTTTGGCGAACTTACCTGACTCTGCCACCTCAGCAATGGGTACCCCCTGCTCGTACGCCATAAAACCCAGGACTGAGAAGATGGCAAACCCAGCCACGAAGCTGGTGCCGCTGTTCAGGCAACAGAGCATGATGCAGTCCCTGTGGGGAAGCAGCGAGAGGCACTAGGGTCAGAGCGGGCAGAACCGGTGCACGGCTCAAACGTTCTCCACCCGAGCACCATGGCTGTCCTGTGAGGCAGGCAGGGAAGTGCAGGCACAGGGAGCTCTGTTTTTCTGATGGAGCACTCATGGTTCAGAGAGGTTAGGTGGCTGGCCCATGGTCACACAGCTTCTCCTGAATTTCTAGAAGGTAAGGTAGGTCACGAATCAGAAGCATAGAGCCAGCATGGGAAGGGAGGCTGGCATATGGGAAAATGCAGAACTAATGAGAAAATACTCTGAAACACACCGACGCTCCTCCAAGTCCCTGGTAGGAGAGAAAGGCTGGGAAAGTATTCCTGGGAGCTCAAAGCAAGGAGGGCAGGAGAAGCCTCCATGGGAGAAATGGGGGCTTCTCAGCCAGGGGAGAAACCATGGGCCTTGCACCTGAAGCTCCGGCAGCCTCCGGGGGAGAGGCTTTATGGTGACATTCTTCCTGGCCAAGCTGTTTACTGGAGCAGCATCTGCCAGACCGCAGTCTGGCTCTGCTCTGCTGCTGTGAGCGAGCAGCCCCTTCCAGGTTGAACCCTTGCATGGAGAGGTTTATCAGAGCAGTGACTGTCCCCTGCTCTTGGGAGCGGGGGGACTCACCAGCTAAGAAGCACCAGCATAAAGCCATGGCCCAGGAGAAATCAGACTAGAAACAATGGAACTTTGTCAAGATGAAGACGGTACCCTCGAGTCCCGGCCTGTCCTGCCTCAGGCCCAGCATCCTAAAATCACCAAGTCAGGAAGTTAGCCTGTTAGAATTTCAACCACTGTAGTGCCTGGACTGAGACTTAGGCATACAATCCATGTTAATACCCCATTTTATAGGGGAGGAGCTGCCAGGTGACCTTGTTCAACCTCCTGCCAGAGGCATGACTAGCCTCCATGGCATCCCTGCGGGTGGCCGGCTGACCTCTGCTTGCACACCCAGGCATGAGGAGCCAGCCATTTTTTCCAGTGGTACTTTCCCCTTGTTGGACAGCTCTTACTGCTTAGCGTGCTAAGAACTTTCTCATATTGTATTCACCCATGCTTGTTCTCTCTGATAAAGTTAGCTTTACCCTCCAAAACAGCCTGGAGTTCCTTCAGGCTTGGGAGATCTGAAGATAATGGCCCTATAGCCCCTTGAGTTTTTTGTTCTGTGTTACACATTCCAGTTCCCTTACCAATTCCTTATTGTGCTTGAAATCTGTAATACACTCCAGCTTATCCAGTCCCTCCTCAATTGTCACATCCAGAACTATTCTCAACAACACACCAGGACTCTCACCTCCTCTTCTTCTGACATCATAGTTTTTATAAAGCAACCAAAGGTTACATTAATGTTGTTCTTGGTTGTTAACACCCTGTTGCCTTGCAATGACCCTAGGAATCAAGGGTAAAGTAGAGAGAGCATTGAACTGGTGGTCGAGAGCCTTGGGTTCCAATTCTCCCTGCAATATTTTTTCTTCGAACCTGATCTCACTGGCTATACAAGGTGCTTGGATAACAGAATTTCTTGACCTTGCGCTAGATCAAATCATTTTTCAGCAAGGAATCACTCTCACAACCTTCTTCCTTGGAGTGAAGTATATTTCCCTGCCCTCACTGACTTTGGGCTTAGCCACATGACTTGCTTTGGACAACAGGATGTTAGCAGATGTGACATAAACAGAGGCTTGAGATGGGCTTGCATGATTGGATTTGTCCTATATCATTTCTGTGATTTTCTATGAGAACTTCCCCAGGGGAGCTGCTACCCCTTCGGCCTGGACCCCAGAATGTACACACGTGGAGCTGACTTGAGCCTGGCTTGGACCTTGGAGCCAAACCCAGGGTCTTTCAGTCTACAGCCTGCAGGAGAGTCTCCTCAGCTGACCAGCAGACTTGTGAGCAATACAAGCAATCACTTGCTGTGGTCAACCCCTGTGTGCTGGGGTTGTTTGTTACATAGCAGTATTGTGGCCATGGATGACTGATACAGGTCCCTTCAAATAACTCTTCTGGTACTGTGAATGCTGGCTGGGCTGGTATAAGTGGGGACTTTATCTGCAAGTCTGATTTACCTCTGCTCAAAAAGAAATTCAGCTATGCCCAGGCAAGGGCAGAGTTAGTTATTCCTAAGGTTGGGATACATCTGCTCCTTGTGCCTGTTTCCTGAAGTCTGAGGCAAAATGGCCCTGACTTATCAAATAGTGGACATTGGATGATACCAGGGAGGAAAGCCTTTGTCTACAGCCTCTCCATTCTGGAATTCTCCCACGTGATGCTTTCAGGACCTGCAGTATGCCAGCCGTGGACTAGGTTTCACTGAATCCTGAGGCTGAGGGAGATGAGTCACATAGATCAAAGCCCATGCTTTTGCTAGGAGCTAAACAAAAATGATGCACCCTAAAAATTAAGATGAACAAATCCTCACTTTAAAAAATTGTCTCTGGGCATCCACACAGGTGTTGAAAAACAAATTGTCCCTTGTTAAAAAATTCCCATCTTCCTGCACAGGTCTGTTGAGTGACTTCCTCACATTATGGAGAGACAGAAGGAGAGACAGAGAAGCTCTTTAGGGACCTGAGGTCCCTTCCAGCCCCATGCATGACCAGTCCCTCCTCCCCTCCAGTCCTCAGAACACCCACCCCTTCAAGCAGACAGGGCTTAGTGGTGTCTTCGGAAGTGAGGATTTTCCCTGCCTGGCTCGCTCCCATTTCCATCCCTCTAATTCCTTCCCCAGCTCCCACGTCTAGGTAAAACGCTTATGTAACAGTGCTTTGAAGTCGGCAGGCACTGAGCTGGGCTTTTAAGACCTCCAGAAGCTATTATGCTGTCAGGAGAGAGGGTACTAATTTACTCCACTGGAGTTGAGAAGACCCACTTGCAGAACAATTTGGAAAAGGAAATAAAATGAATTTTCTAATTTTTGCATTGCCACCCAGGGGATTTGCTTTCTTCTGCTGATGGGAGAGATGGAATAAAACCTGCCTGCTGGAGGGGGAAGCAGAAGGGACCCATGGCTGACAGCATACATCCTCCACGCACTCAGTGGGGAATGAAGCTGCCACTGCCCCAAGACACAGGCTGGAGACAAGGCAGTTTTGGCCAAACCCTCTTCAACTCCAGTAGCTGGGAAAGAGCTGGCCACCCCTGGTAGTGAGGAATGGGGTGCAAGAGCCAGGAAGACTCAGGTGAAAAGCCACGCTCCATCTGTGGCAATGTGAACAGGAGTAAGGGACTCGAGCTCCACGGGCCACCATCTCCTTGCTTATGTAATGGGGTGGTTTCTTTCTGACTGCCCTGCATGGAAGCCAGCACTAAACTAAGTACAAGAGATGCAGCAGACAACAAGAACATCCAGCCCACGTCCTCATGGTGCTGACAGCCTAGCTGGAGGGGACAGTGACCAAGTGATCTCTGAAGGGCCCAGCACAGAGGTCCCCATGCTGACCGTAAGCCACCGATGGGGTGATACTGTACACAGACAGTGTACATTTGAAAGAACTCCCAAGGGGGTCAGACTTGGCCCAGCCCGGAAGCCTGCATGTGCTGTTCTTCCTATCTGGGTGCCTCTCTCTCTCTTCCTGTCCATGGTTAACATTTTCATTATGGCTGACAAAGAGCTTTACTTCTCATCCCCCATGCCCACATCCTCCACAAAACTAGATGCCTTCTTCTGGACAGCCTGCTCTGTCTGTCTTTAGCATCTCATTGTCATCCGGTCACCCAAATACCTCTCACCCAAAGAACCCCAGAAGCAGAACTCACGGCGGCCTGATGGCACACTGGATTCTACAATAGCTTCTCTTTTCAGCATGTTGGACCTGCCCACATTAACTTCCCCATTGTCTTGATTTCCCCAAGTTACAAACTCTATAGGCTGTGCCACTGCTGTCTGCAGCTCCCATGGCACCGATTCCAGGGCCTCGCACTTAGTAGACACACAGTAAACACTGCCGACTTAACAAGTGAGTTCATAATGTGACCGCTAAGCTAGCTCTCGGAAAGGATGTAGTGGGGAGGCCAGAATGGACACTGAGAGACCCCAGTCAGAGTCAAGGCCCTGCCACATCTAGCAAGGTACCACCTCCACCAGCTTCACTTTCCCTGTCTCAAAGATGGGGTAATGTGGGAGGGACGCTATCACCGGTGAAAGTTCTTTCAAATGCATGGTGCCACTCGAGCCACATGATGACCCAGTGATGTGGTGGTTAATTCCAAGTTCCTGTCCCACCAGCAGGGGTATGGCATGATCTGCTCACCTACCCTCACCTATGCTGAACAGGACTTGGGAAAAACACTCAATATTTTAAGAGTGTGTTGGCCGGGCACCGTGGCTCAAGCCTGTAATCCCAGCACTTTGGGAGGCTGAGGCAGGCAGATCACGAGGTCAGGAGATCAAGACCATCCTGGCTAACACGGTGAAACCCCGTCTCTACTAAAAATACAAAAAATTAGCCGGGCGTGGTGGCGGGCGCCTGTAGTCCCAGCAACTCGGGAGGCTGAGGCAGGAGAATGGCGTGAACCTGGGAGGCAGAGCTTGTAGTGAGCCGAGATCGTGCCACTGCAGTCCAGCCTGGGTGACTGAGCGAGACTCCGTCTCAAAGAAAAAGAAAAAAAAGAGTGTGTTGCTTGTTTTTTTACTGGTGTTTTAGTGTTTTCCCATAGACTTGTTTGTATTCTTTATATATTGTGGATATAAACCCCCTGTGTATCATACGTTGTTGGGATGCTCGTTAATCTTATAGAAAATTCTCATATTTGTAAATAAAATAATGTAGATGATATTTGTATTAACAATTTTTTAAAAATTATAAAAGCAATACGTACTCAAAGTTAAACAAAAGAAACTAAACAAAACACACCCATTTAAGCTGTATAGAAGGTGGAAGTGGGAAAAGCCCACCTCCCCACCTCTGACTTCCCAGTCTCACTTTATGGAGGTGGTTATTTTGAATAGTTTTTGTGTTTCTTTCCAGAAATTTAGATGTTCTCCATATTTATGTGGACCAATCTGCCACTTAGTTCTTTTGTGATTTCTTTAATTATTTTTGATGTTTTCTACATCTTTTCCCATTCTGAAATCAGTATTTCATTCCTACTTATAGGGTGGTTTTCTTTTAAAAAATATTTAACTCTTTAATCAATCTGACACTTAACTATGGTGGAAAGATGGGATGATATATGAGAATCTAATTTGATGATTTCCCCAAAATACTTATCCTATCTCAGAACCATTTGTTAAAAAAAAAAAAAAAAAAGGCAACCTTCCTTCCTTTCTCCACTACTCTGTGGTAAGGGATTGTTGCACTGTCATGATTCCATGGTCTTATCTCTGCTTAAGGAGCTCTCAGACTCTAAGGAAGAGATGCGCTGTCCATCTACCATGAAATATTAACCTATTGCGTACCAGGCACTGAGTTCAGGGGTGCAGAGACCCCAGTGGACCGAAACCTCAACAGACTGACCATCATCCTAGATCAGCACTTCCACCACACAGAGCTGGGTGACCTTGGGCAGGTCCCCTGCCCTCCACGACTCAGCCTTGCTGTAGAACTCAAGCTGCACGTGTGAGAGGCCAGGCAGCCAAGGGTCAGACACTGGGGCTCGCCTCCTCACCTGAACCCCCTCCCAGCCCTGGTGCAGCCAGCTACAGGAGGCCAGAGAGACATGTTAGGCTGAGGGGCAAAGTGGGGCACTGGCCCCAGGTGGGGCAGAAGATGACCCTACAGTCAAGTACGAAGGGCAGGAAGCAGATTTCTAAATAGTAGGCGAGAGAACAAGGCCCTTGGTGTATATACTAGCTCTGTGACTGGGGCAAGTCACTTATCCATCCTGGAATACGTCTTTACCATACGAGGTGGCACTGAGACCTGAATGAGATGCCGGTAGTGGTGGGGGATTGGCTTTGCAGCCTGAGAGAGACTCTGACTACATTTGCTATTCTCCTAGCTTCTTGGTGGCCCACTCTTTGACCCTTCGGTAGTGGGAGGCCAACAAACAGCCTATCTATCTCCTCCTGGGGCCCTGCAAGGTGGGCAGACAAACATAAACTAGCCTGGCAGGTTAGAGGGCTCTCAGGGTTTGGTGGAGAGCTGGCAGGGCCCAGGGAAATGCTCACCTGTAGCAGTTGTTGTTATAATTGTTATAACTTCCCAGAGCGGTCAGACAGCCCAGGCAAATGGCATAGGAGAAAAAGATCTGCGTTCCAGCATCTACCCAGACCTGTAGGAAGGCACAAAGATGTTGGCATAAACAGAAGTCAGATGTGTGGTGAGAGGGTAGCCCTGGTCTCTGAAATCCCCCACCCACACTCTACCCTTCAGAAAAACTCCATAAGGGATAATTAAACTTCCTAACCTACCCAGGACCCCCTTTAAAAGAGTTCTATTCTTGGGGACCACATGATCAAGTGTAAATGTCCTCAATTAATTCCAGAATTTGCCAGAGTTTATGAATAATAGCTCAGTGAATAGCAAGAATTTGAATGCTTAGGACCCCGGCCTCAGCTGTGTGACCCTGGACAAGTTACTTAACCTCTCTGAGGCTGTTTCCTTATCAGCAAAGTAGGGAAGAAACTTCCCTACCAGGACTGTTGCAAGGATTCATGCAACAAGGACCATGAGCCCCTGGGATCTAGTGCCTGCTTGCAAGGTAAGTCATGTTTAAGGTAAAATGAATGCTTCCTTTTCCTTGTGATTAAGGCCACCATGAGAAAAGTGTCATAAGATTCTGTCCAGGGTGATACATTTGCATAGCTGACCTCAGCATAAAAGGTGGCAGGGAGGGGAGGAGTGAGGGAGGCCCACCATGTCCTTCTCCCTTTCAGAACAGACTCCCCCCCTCTAGGCTTCCTATGTGGTACACAAGATAACTACTTTCCTAGTCCCCAAGCTCCCTTTTGATAAAAACTGCTGTGGACAGCATGACATGCACAACAGAAATGACAGTGGCTTCTCGAACACTTTCCCCGGGCTCCCTTTGAGCCCAGCCCCTAGAAGTTGCCAAGGAAAATCCAGAGCTCAAATCAAAATGCAGCTGATGAGACTCATGCTTAGGTATCAAATGCCATCTGGAGAACAGGGCTGGCACTAAATATATAAAACAGGAAACACTTACTGACCTCTCAATGTACAGGCAGCACGCATTACTGCCCTTCATGCATTACTGAATATTCACGGCAACCCGGCCGGGCATGGTGGGTGGCTCATGCCTGTAATCCCAGCACTTTGGGAAGCTGAGGTGGGTGGATCACCTGAGGTCAGGAGGGGGTGAGAGCAGCCTGGCCAACATGGCGAAACCCTGTCTGTACTAAAAATACAAAAATTAGCCAGGTGTGGTGGCGGGGGCCTGTAATCCCAGCTACGTGGGAGGCTGAGGCACGAGAATTGCTTGAACTGGGAGGTGAAGGTTACAGTGAGCCCAGATCACACCACTTCACTCCAGCCTTTGTGATGGAGCAAGACTCTGTCTCAAAAAAAAAAAAAAAAAAAAATTCACAGCAACCCTATGTGGTAGGTGCTATTATTGGCCCCCTCTTACAGCTGAGGAGACTGAGGAACAGAGAGGTTGAGTAATGTGCCCAAACCACACAGCTGGAAAGTGGCAGATGCAAGTCCATGGAGGACTGCCTCTAGAGATGTATGCCCACTCAGTCCCAGAATTTCCAATGTGGAATCAGCCTCAGAAGGCCTGTGGTGTAACCTCTCACTCAACACAGGACTCTCTTCTGAGTACTTCTGACAGAATAGTCTCTGCTTGCTTACCACCAGTGACCGGAAGCTCACTATCTTCTGACCCAGACCCTTTCTTCTTCAGAGAGCTCTGACTATTAGAACATTTTTAAAGATGAGATGAACTCTCTCTTCCTGTTTTCCTCGTTCTGGGGGCACGCAGGCCACATCCCTCTCCTCCATGTGGTAGCATTTTAAAGATTAAAAGAAAATACTCATGCCCACTGGACCCCAGAACTCTTTCCTTTCCAGGCAAAGTATCTGTATCTCCTCCCTCTTCAGAACTGGATTACATGGTACAAGTCATTCTATCGTGGGTCTGCCCAACTGTGTTAAGTCATTCAACAAATTGCCTATTAAAATGGAAGATCATAATGCCGCCTCTGAACCTGAGAAATAAGTGTATTTTTTTCTCCTCTAACAATAGTATCACTGGGTTTAGGGTCTTGGAGCTCTGTGAGGAACTTAAGGAGAGCTTTTTCATGAAGTGCAGGGGCAGGGAGAGGCAGGTAATGCCAGTAGACCAGAGTGCACTGAGATGGGGTAGGAGAAACTGGAAAGAGGAAAGACAAGAACAAACTCCAGACATTTCGATGTGTGGGGGGTATGAGATAGGCTGGTAGTAAAAGGGTAAATACAATTTGGGGGAGGTTTTTGGAAATGGTAGAAGCTTAAGGATGCTTAAATGTTGGTAGGAAAGGTCCAGTGGAGAAAAAAGTGTTAAAGACTTGAGAAGAAGTGGTTGTATTTTTAATTCCTCCCGCTTTGTCTCAGTTTCCCCATTTGCTACCTCAGTGGATTGCCTGTTCTGCTTAGTAAGGCCAGTGAGCCACATGGCGAAGCAAAAAGCAGTGCAGCTGCTGACCCAGGAAATGGGAGGCCAAATCCCAGTGGCAACTTAGAGCTACTCAGTGCCTGACCAGACACTGGGCCTCCAGTCACACTTGTTAATGGTGCCACAAACCAGGTGTCCCTCTTTCACTGTTCTGGGCCAGAGTGTGCAGGCCAGAGTGAGCAAAGCCCTCAGAGTTGTGGGAGAGCTGGCTCCCCAATCCTGACTGAACCCCGTCACTCAGTGGAGTGGACCCTCCCCCTAACATGGTGAATAAACGCTCTATGAGTTAGAAAACACCAAAGAAAGCTTTCGACCCACAAGCCCCAGATACGTCCCCCAAACCAATGATTTTCACTTGCAGGTATTTTTTTTTTCCAATTTGCTCTTTGGGCACATCAACGCTGAAATGGACATCTGCTGTTTTTGCCTACTTAGCATCCATCTTTCCTTTTTCGGTAACAGCACCTCAATTTTACTTTGGAAAGCTACCTCTTCTCTGCTCAGAGGTAGATTCAGGGCTGGCCACATGACCCAGACCTGGCCAATCCAAGGATTTTTCTTGGCTACAGTGACTGGTTCATGGATGAGCATATGATGCAAGGCAAGTCAATGGGACACTTTTTTTTTTTTTTTTTTTGCTGGGGATGTTAAGCTTGTAACTGCTGGGGGCATCACTGGCCATGAAGGAAGAGTCTACCTGAGAATTAAGGCCAACACACAGGAAAGCAGAGTCTAGAGCAAAGGCAGACCAATATTAGCACATGACTCCCTGGATCAGACCTGAAATCAGACCTATCCTAGAACATTTCATTTCAGAGGCCTATAAATTCCTCTTTTATTTAAGTCACATTGGATTGAATTGTTTTCACTTCAAACTCAAGCTAATAGCAACATTTAGCTCTTAGAAAAACCCAGAGGGTATGAGCCCAAATCCTTTAATCAATCCCAAATTACTGATGGACCAGCATTCACTGAGTGCCTTCACCTGTATACTGTGCAGAACCCTGTGTCACACTCTGAAAGAGTACCACTCAATTTTACATAGCACTCCATCTCTGTCCTCAGGTGAGATAAAACATTCACAAAACAAGGTGCCCAGTAGCTGGGAGAGACAGATGGGGGGAAAGAGAAACTTGTGCTAAGGCAATCAGAGAAGGCTGCCTGGAGGAGGCACACCTTTTGAGATTGGAGAAGAGATGAAAGAGGGCATGTTGGGCTTAAAGATTCACATGAATCTTTAAGGGTATGTTCTCAAATGATTTTTCCATCTTGCTCTCCTACCTCTATGGGGAAAAGTCTGTCATTTTTATTCTGATGTTCACCATTAAACCAGCACCTTTACACAATACGCTTAATCCTCCCCTTTTCTGACAGTCTGTTGGTTCTCTGCTGTGAGGAATACTGAAATTAGCTACAGCCTCCATTTGTCTTCCCTCCCTACCCACTAGCATCCAATTTGAAGAAATATCCATTTGCTTCCAGTTAATACTTACAAGTCAATCTGTAAACTTTTTATACTTTTCATATATATGTTATTATATTCAAATTTTTAGTACACTGTATAGATTATCAGAACATACAACCATCACATAATAGCCTTTACTGATTGACTGAATGAGATGGGATCTTGCTATGTTGCCAAGGCTGGAGTGCAGTGGTGTGATCATGGCTCACTGCAGCCTTGAAATCTAGAGTTCACATGATCCTTCTGCCTCAGCCTCCTGAGTAGCTGTGACTACAGGCATGCACCAGCATGCCAGGCTCCTTATAGTCATTACTTAATGTGAATTTGATAGGTAACTATGAATTTAACAATCACCCCCAGCCCTTATGTTAATACCTTTCCAGTCAATTTTGTTATCTGTAGAATGTTTTCCAGTAAATTCCTCTGGAAAGTCTCATAGGAAATAATATTAGCTGAGTTCTTGCATGTTTAGAATAGTTGATCCGTGACTTTCATACTCGAAAGGCAATTTGGCTGTATATAAAATCCTTGGCTCTCTTTTTCTTTTCCTGAGTATCTGGAATATATTGCTTAGTTGCCTTCTGGCACAAAGTGCTGTGGTAGAAAGGTCTGGTGCCAATATAACTTGCTTCCCCTTATAAAGCACTTATTCTTTTGGTTTGGATGTCCAACAGGTTTTGTTCTACACTTTATTAAAGTCCAACAGTGACTAATCTGTGTTGATTTTCTCAGGCTCATGGTATATTTTTTCAGGATGCAAGTGCAATTCTTCTCTTTCAGGAGAAAAAAGATCCCAAAATTATTGCTGTATTTATTCTCTTCCATTGCTTTGGGTCTCTTCTTTGGGGACTCGTATGTATGTTGGACCTTCTTTGCTCACCTTCTATACCTATCACTTTTTCTTTCATTCTTTAAAAAGTCTTTGTTCTTTTCTGACTTTATTTTTACATTTTTCCTCCTTTCCATCTTCTGTTTGCTTTGTCATATCATCCATGGTCTGTATTCACTGTTATTCCTTCATTTTAGTTACTTTTTCTGAAATAGTTTTTCTTTTGTAAGTTGTCCTTCCTGTCAGCTCTCTTTTTAAATAGTATTTTTGTCTGACAATTTCATGTATGCTATTTGCCTCATAGTGTCTATTGGTTTATTATTTTCCTTTAGCTTGTTTTGAAATATTAACTTTCAGTGCTGCACTGTTTTGTGGTTCTGTCTTTGTGCAATGCCTTGGGACAATATTCTCCCCATAATTATTTTCCTTATCACAGCTTTGCATAAGTTTTGATCACAGTCCTCTTCTGTTGCTCACGTTTAGGTGAGATAGATTTTCCTGTACTCTTAGGAGAGGATTTTCTTGCGTAGAGGAATGAGAGTGGTCCAGGATAGATTTTTCTAGACTTGCAGTCTGAACTTTCCTTATTCTTTTATTGCCAAAAACTCTTTAAAACTATGGCCATACAGATAGTACTTTCTGAAATTATTGTTCTCTATTCTTTTCTCCCACTCTTATCCAAAATTTCTCCTTTCATTTCCTCTAGTGTCTCTGTCCTGCTCAATTTGGAGTCTGCTTCCCGTAATTTCTCCTTAATATCCATGAAGCCTCAACTGGTTAGTGCGTAGTGTTCACAGGGCCCAGACCTCTGCCCAAATTTGCTGCAGTCCTCCCCCACTTACCTAGGGGTTAGAGACTGCATAGACCCCCTCCTCATTTGAGGTGATGTTCTCAGATAGGTCCACTAAGCTTCTACCCCCAAAGAGAGTCCTCTCCCAGTACATGTTAGAGCTTTATGGGTTTCCTGGTGCTGGATCTTCAGAATTCCCTTTGCCTTTATGTTCATCTTCATCTTATCCTACAGAACTGACATCATGCAGATGTCACTGCTGTTGGCATCTGGCCCCATCTATTCACATTTTGTGGTTCATGGTGATACCTAATTGTGCTGAAGGTGCTGTCCATAGGGTTTTTGTTTTACTACCCTTGTTTCTCGTTTGGGTGAGAAGATTCCAGGAAGTTAAAATAATTTTTTTTTCTGTTGCCACCTTATCTTCTTGATTCTCAAGAAATCTTTAAAGGGCAAGTTATACAAGATTGATCTTGGCTGGAGGTGAGAGACGAATACCCAGATCTGAGCAATATGGTGGGTGAGGGTGCAACACTAGATGATCCAGGTTTTCTAAGGGTGGTTGAAGGTATAAAGTGGGGAAATGGGTATTAATTTGGAGAAGGGAAGTTTGAGACATCAAGTGAGATGTTCAAGAGATACATGGAAAGTCTAGGGCTACATATCGATGTCTGGGCTAGAGACATATATTTGATCATCATCAGGATTTTAGCAGTAACTTAACATCTCCCTGACTCCAGATCTAAAATTTTCTTCCCTGGCCTCTTCTATTTTTCACAATTGAAAAACCAATGTTGAGATCAGCTTTTCTGCTGAGACACATGCTCATTTGGGCATAGCAGAGCCTGAGAATGTACAGGATTAGATTTCTTGAAAACATCCCATGAAGAACCATGGGATGTCTTTACATGGAGTCTGCAACATTAGGCTCTTTACAGAAAGCATAACTGATATATGTTTGTTTCTTAAACAGATGCCTGTGGTTGTGAAAATGCAACATGGCTCCAAATGTCATCCTTGCCTCTCAGTCTAGAAAGGAACTAATGAACTCATCAGTGAGGTGGTGTATTTGTTAAGATAATTACTGCTAGGTTACTCTGTATTAAACAATAAACCCACAAATTTCAGTATTTTAGCACAATAAAAGTTTATTTCTCACCCACACAAAGATTAAAGCATAGCCCCTGTGAAGGGGCTCTCTTGCACCCAATGATTTGTGATATTAAGTGTTTTTCCTTTATGACACCACCACCTCTCAACACAAGCTTCCAGCACAGCCTCTGAGGCAGAGAAACTGGAGGTTTGCTTGGGAAGGTTTTAAGGATTAGGCCTGAGGGTTGCCTTCACTCCCAAATACATATCATTGGCCACACCCAAGTGACTTGGTTGCAAACTAAAGACAAGGAACTCTGGGGAATGTCATCTTCCCATTTACTCAAGAAGAGAAAAAATAAATGACATGAACACAGCATTATCTCTGCCAAAGCATTATCCCAAGTCTATTTCACCTACAGCTACTTTCTTCAACTAAAAATTCCACAAGCACAGACAAACAAAATCATGGTGGGCATTAGAATGATTTGACGAAAGGGGAAAGAAAGTCTAGTAAAATAAGCTAACAGAACATTCATGAACCAGCCCTTCCGTGGGTTTGGTAATGCCTTAAGAAGTGAAAACCTTGAGTTAATGTTTGCTGAAACCTAGTGCGTACTACAGGCTCTCATGTACACAATCTCATAATTTGCTAATGATCTTACTAGGTAAGTATTATTGTCTCCATTTTTTCAGAAGTGGAAATAGGCTCCTGAAAAGTCAAACAGCTTATACGGGAGAGAGTCGGGTTTGAACCTAGAGCGTTCTGGCTCTATACTTTACAGAGAAAAGCTAGGACCTCCTGGTCTGCTGAGTAGGCCTGTAGTCTCAGCTGGGATTTAAACAGCTCTGCAGCTGTCAAGTCAAACAGAACAAAGGCAACCCCACCTCAATGAAAGGAAGACCAGGCAACTGAGCCCTACTGACCAGCATCTCCCAGGACGCTACAAAGGGAGCAGCTCAGCAGAGAAAGGGCTTCCTATTTCTCGACACAATTTGAAGGGAAAACAGTCTCAACAAAACAAACCCTAAGGAAGCTGGGTCAGTAGCTGAGAAAGGGATCACTCCCCATGTTCTGCAGCAATGAATGGGGGGCGTTCTGGCAGTGCAGCTGTGGGCGGTCCACATTCAGAGGTTTGGAGGACAGATTTGCATGGGAACAGGGGAGTGGGGCCCCTTTAGAAGAGAGGTGGTCCCACCTCCAGCTCTGGGGCAACCTCACCTCTTTCAAGGCCACTGGTTCCAGTGAGCCCTGGTGCACAGTAGGTACAGAGAACAATGAATAATGGCATAGCCCACCTTCCCAGCTATGACCACAGGGCTGCACAGAGTAGCTCCTTGATGACATTTGCTGGGAGAAGCAAGAAAGGATGGATGGACAAGGACAAATTTTCCCCACCCACACTTTAGCTACAGTCATCATGATGGATACTCAGCACACGCTGTCCCAGTCCACATGGATAGCACTTTACAGTTTACAATACTGTATGTCCTATGACCTGTGTGTTCCACACACTGCCCTGAGGTGAGCATCATCATCCCCAGGTTAGACACAGGTAGGTTGCTGGAAACATGCTCACCTTTTCTCCACATTCCTACCTTGATCATGCAAGTAGAATGTCTAATTTCTTAGATGTTTGGGGGAGAAAGCTTTACTTCTTTTTCCTACCTCTTGGAGTGACTTATCCAATTGGGGAGACTGGGGAGATGGTCATTGTGCATATGTGGGCAGCATGTCTCTCTCACACACAGAAGTTGAAATAACATTTGTGAAACAAACCTTCAGTACCGTCCTGGCTCTTGGAGAGCATTGAGAAATACTCTGGAGAGTATTCAGAAACCCAGCCAGAAGCCCTCATGAGCAGCAGGTGCTTAGTCAACGTTCATTCCCTCCCAGGATATTCCAGTACTCAAAAACCTGGAGGAAACAAAAAAGCCTATTCCCTCTTCCCCGCACCATAAGCATGCATTTAGTGTCTACCATGTGCCAGGCACAAGTCCCAGGAATGGAGGCTGAAGCTGTCACTAAATGTTACAGAGCTCCTACCCTTAAGGAGCTTACACTTTAGCGGGAGACACAGACAACAAGCAAAGGCAGATAAGCTCTCATACAACATCTGGCAGAGAGGAGCAACTTGTGGGGAGGGGTATGGGAGATGAGTTCAGTGTGGCAGTGAGTTCAGTGGCAGTAGGGGCCAGGGTCCCGCCTACCCATGAAGGTACAGATGCTGCTCTGGGATTTTATACAGCATTTATGGCAACACAGCTTACAGAAAAAAGCTACCCTAGAAATGTGCTTTCAAATCTGCAAAGAGAGCCTCCAATCAGAACAGAAGGGCATGCCTCTGCTTGTCACCAAAGCCAGCATCAGCTGACCGACCAATTAAATCCATCTCTATGTCCTCGAATTGGCTTGTGTTTGCTGTGGTAATGCCTTAGGTCTTTGACAAATGCAGCATTAACCCATCCTGCCACGAAAGCACCAGTAAGAGGGTGTATGATGATAGTCATGCTGATGATCACAATGACACCAACTAACTTTTATTAGTACCTATGACATACCAGATGGAAAGTGCTTTACAGGTATTAAACTCACCTCGTCCACACGGTTAAGGTGGGTGCCATTGTTATTTATTATCTCCCTTTTATAGATGAATAAACTAACACCCAGGGAGAGGAAGTCACTTGTCCATTTACTTTAGAGAAATGTACACACTGGCCAGCGTGAGGAGTCACTTTGGGCTTACGAACAAATGAATCTCCTAATTGCCCCAGGAATCTGGCCCACTTGGAAGAAGGCACTGAAACACCAAGCAAAAGGGGCCTAAGTTAAACAAGATAGCTCTAGCCAGGCTCCATGCTTTGAGCCTTGCAGGAGCTTAATGAAAAGGGCAAAAACTTTGGGGTCAGCAGACCCAGCTTGGAGCTCTGCTCTTTCGCTTACTGCTATGCAACCCTGGGCAAATTACTTCACCTCTTTGAACCTCAACTTCCTTGCCTGTGAAAGAAAGACATAATGAATGTAAAGTGTGTAGTGGAGTACCTGGTACCATCCCTTTAATCTGGTTTCTTTTGGTGGCTGACGATTCTCAACTATACTATGCAAACAAGCACCCACGTCATTTCCAACATCCCAGCTTCCCTTCCCATCAGGTGAACTAAATCAGATTTCTGAGAAGCACCAAATGCTGAACTGCCCATCACTAAAGCAGATACACATGCCTCTTAGGGCTACCAGCTTGGGTCCAACAGAGATGGATGGGAAGAACCAACACTTCATCCCTCCTAGGCTCCTTGCTGTTCCAGCGCCTGGCCAAGAAGATGTGTGAAAACCGTCAGACCCAACAGTACATGGGGTATGGGCTTTTGGATCCAAGAAGCCAGATCAGAGCTTGGGGCCCTCCTGGGGCTTCCAACCCACAGCCTTTTCTTTCTTCTACATTTTCTTTCAAACAGACAGCTACCACACACACACACACACACAGACCCACACACACACAGACACACGCACACACAACTTTTGTAAGCAGAGCCTTGGCTTGAGGCAAAAATACAACTTATATGGCCTGGCAGAAAATGGCTGAATTAAGCTCTTTCTTTTTGCCTTTTATATTGGTAAGGATTCTCAAAAGATTAAAAGTAGGTTAGGAGAATAATAAAACAGCTGTGTTTCCAGTGTGTACCTGACAACGGCTTTTGTAGAAGTGAATGATTACATGAAAATCACTTCCTTCCCACCTCTTTCTCAGCCTCCTCTGGGTTGCTAGGCGCCCTTGCTCCTTCTTTCGGCTAATGCCACATACAGAAGCTGATGAATACAGTATGGCCATTATGAGGAAAGGGGAGTCTGGGAGAGGGATTCAAATGCTCCCTCCCTGGTGGATTCCATGGTGGGAGAGGGCTTTGGTGGAGACGACTTTGGAGATATTTAAATGCTAATGTGCTGGGCAGGCAGGCAGGGCCAGTGGGAACAGTGGTGGGAAGGGGCTGAGGCTCTTGGCCTGTAAGCCCAACTGGAAATATGTTCTGCAGCCTCTCGCTCTGGTGCCAAACCCTTCCCTGGGCAGCCGGCCCTGGGGCCAACCAGGGCCCTGCCAGTAAAGTGTCACTGGGCTAAAGGGTTGCGCTGCGGGCGGTGAGGAGCCGTTCAATCCTGTGCAGGGGGAGTTTGGGTGTGTAGGCCGACCCCGGTGGCCCCTTTGTGTGGAGCAGGGAACGAGGGTCACTGTGGCTGGGCTTTTGCCCAGGAGGCTGGACAGCCATGTCCAGGCATGGAGAGTGCATAGGGCAGATGGGCAGTTGGCCTCCCCTTAATCCATCACGTCAGTTGCTTGAGCCCCATTTTACCAAAGCGCTAAATACGGGAGGCTCAGAGAAGGATAAGCCTGAGCAAGGCCTGAAGACGGCAATTCCTAGCCCCAAGCTCTTCCCAAGATGTCCATGCAGACTCAGGGAAAGACAGTTTAGGCCAAGCTGTCCCCTGAGGAGTGTTCCTTAAAGGGGAGGCTCTTGACATTTTGGATAATTCATTGTGCAGGACTGTCCTACTCCCTGTAGGATGTCTACCCACCAGCCCCCACTCTCTAAATGCTAGAAGTTTCCCATTCATTCTAGCAGCCAAAACTATGCCCCCACTTGTTTCTAAATGACCCTGGGCCAGCAGTCCTACCTAGTCCTGGCTAGGAGCCACTGAGGCAGGGGGAGTCAGAGTGGGCAATGATGGTGGGGCTGCAGAACCCACATCCCATGGGCAGCACTGGGCTAGGGGCTCCCAGACCAAGCCAGACTTCAGCTTCCAATCCCAGCCTGATCAGGCAGGTTCTTTTGTGTCAGCTGAGCAAGCAGTTAGGATGAAGCCTCATCATCTCCCCCCAGAACCACATTTCTTTGCTAATAACCATGGAACTTGTTCAAAGCCAGGAAATGAAATGGCAAGCCTGGGTGCTCCATGCCCTGGAGAAGCCAAAAGGGAGCTAAACTTCAAGCAATAGAAAAGACATCCTTGGGAGGAGAACGGAAAAGAAAACAGCCACAATGGTGAAGGTAGCCACTTCTGTGTCTGGCTGCAGATAGAGAAATAAGTATCTGAGATCATATCGTGGCATTCATTGTTTATTGTCTGTCTCCCCCAACTGGAATGGAAGCTTCCTGAGAGCAGGGTGCTCTGCTTTCTCACTTTTGAATCCCCAACCCTTTGCGCATTGCTGACACATGATAAGCACTCAAGAAATGTCTGTAGGGTGCCCACAGCTGCTTAGGGTCTCCAGCACACAGGAAAGGAGTGCTCAAAGCTCACACCGAGTCCTAACTACCAGGCCAAGTGGAGAACTTACTGGACTGAGAGGGACAGGACACCTGGCTCCGATTGCAGCTTACCCTTAAAGTTCCTGTGTGTTCTCTCTAAAGTTCATTATTTTCTCCTAGCCCCAGTTTTCCAACTTGTAAAATAAGGGAACTACATTGCAATGGAGATGGCAAATATGTGACATGCACATCCAACCCCCATTTCTGCCCAGGGCAGACATTACTCATCAATCACAGCACTCTTCTGCCTTCAGTGTAGCTATGGGGAAAGACATCCACCACCTGTCAGACATAGTGAGCGAGCAGAAACCTGCAAGAGAGAATCATCCAGCCCAGCCATCCCAGGCTTTATAACAGGGTTATGGTTTTGGGTCAGCTGAGCCCATTTTCCATGGGGCATTTCAACCTTGCAGTTTTAAAAGCCCAGGAAGACACTGGAACACCTGTGTTTAAGCTCCTGCTCCATACTAAGGACAAACTTCACATCAAACACAAGGGACACAGAAAGGAAGGAGGAAAATGACACCATACTGATGGAGATAAGTGTTTTTAGTGGATTTCTGGCACTTATGCTGGCCTGGAAGGCTGGCAGAAAGTGGCAGGCTATTCCAGTGGAACAAATGCTACAAGCAAAGGCCTAGAGGGCAGGAAAGGAGAAATCTTTCAGAAGCTGCCCAGCAGAAATGCTTCTAAGCAAGAGGCTGAGAGGGGAAATGGAATAGATCTTCCAGAATCTCATGGAATTCAGAGCTAGTGTTTCATTCATCACTATATCTTTGGGCAGAAACCACTCAAAGTTCCCAAGTAGGAAAATGCTTATGGTAGTCATACCAAGGATGCAGGAAGATATTACTCAATTCCATATGAAACAGAATTCTGATAGTGAATGGGAACACATTCAAATTTATGCCCCAAGGAGCCTCCCAGGGGATATCTGTGGTGGCTGGGGAGTGGGAACAGGCACAGTCAACAGTGGAAGAGTCTCCTCCCTGGCTGAGAACTCCAGTCCTGGGATGAGCTCATGTGGCTAGAAGGAACCAAGCACAGTCGGAGATGCAGAGAGGAAATTTCTGCATTGATATGGTTTGGCTCTGTGTCCCCACCCAAATCTCATCTTGAATTGTACTCCCACAATTCCCACATGTTGTGGGAGGGACCAGTGGGAGATAATTGAATCATGGGGGTGGTTTCCCTCATACTGTTCTCATGGTAGTGAATAAATCTCATGAGATCTGATGGTTTGATAAGGGGAAACCTGTTTTGCTTGGCTCTCATTCTCTCTCTTGCCGCCACCATGTGAGACATGCCTTTCATTTTCTGCCATGATTGTGAGGCTTCCCCAGCTACATGGAACTGTTAAGTCCAATAAACCTCTTTCTTTTGTAAATTGCCCAGTCTCAGGTATGTCTTTATCAGCAACGTGAAAATGGACTAATACAGTAAATTGGTATTGGTAGTGGGGTGCTGCTGAAAAGATACCCAAAAATGTGGAAGTGACTTTGGAAATAGGTAACAGGCAGAGGCTGGAATAGTTCAGAGGGCTCAGAAGAAGATAGAACAATGTGGGAAAGTGTGGAACTCCCTCAGGATTTGTTGAATGGCTTTGACAAAAATGCGGATAATGACATGGACAATGAAATCCAGGCTGAGGTGGTCTCAGATGGAGATGAGGAACTTGCTGGAAACTGGAGCAAACGTGACTCTTGTTGTGTTTTAGCAAAGAGACTGGTGGCATTTTGCCACTGTCCTAGATATTTGTGGAACTTTGAACTTAAGAGAGATGATTTAGGGTATCTGGTGGAAGAAATTTCTAAGCAGCAAAGCATTCAAGAGGTGACTTGGGTGCTGTTAAAGGCATTCAGTTTTGTAAGGGAAGCAGAGCATAAAAGTTTGGAAAATCTGTAGCCTGTGATATGTGATAAATTTGTAGTAATGTGATAGAAAAGAAAAACCCATTTTCTGAGAAGAAATTCAAGCTGACTGCAGAAATTTGCATAAGTAACCAGGAGCCGAATGTTAATCCCCAAAACAATAGGGAAAATGTCTCGAGGGCATGTCAGAAGTCTTCACAGCAGCCCCTCCCATCACAGGCCCAGAGGCCTAGGAGAAAATGGTGTCCTGGGCTGGTCTCAGAGTTCCTGTTCCATGCTGTCTGCAGCTTGGGGACATGGTGCCTTGTGTCCCAGCCACTCCAGTCATGGCTAAAGGGGCCAATGTAGAGCTCCGGCCATGGCTTCAGAGGGTGCAAGCCCCAAGCCTTGGCAGCTTCCACGTGGTGTTGAGCCTGGGAGTGCACATAAATCAAGAATTGGGGTTTGGGAACCTCTGCCTAGATTTCAGAAGATGTATGGAAATGCCTGGATGTCCAGACAGAAGTTTGCTACAGGGGCAGGGTGCTTATGGAGAACCTCTGCTAAGGCAGTGCAGACAGGAAATGTGGGGTCAGAACCCCTACACAGAGTCCCTACTGGGACACCACCTAGTGGAGCTGTGAGAAGAGGACCACTGTCCTCCAGATCCCAGAATGGTAGATACACTGACAGTTTGCACCATGTGCCTGGAAAAGTTGCTGACACTCAACACCAGCCCATGAAAGCAGCCAGGAGGGAGGCTGTACCCTGCAAAGCCACAGGGGTGGAGCTGCCCACGACCATGGGAATTCACCTCTTGGATTAGCATGACCTGGATAGGAGACATGGATTCAAAGGAGATCATTTTGGAGCTTTAAGATTTGACTGCCCTGCTGGATTTCAGACTTGCATGAGGCCTGTAGCCCCTTTGTTTTGGCCGATTCCTTTCATTTGGAAGGGTTGTATTTACCCAATGCCTGTACCTCCATTGTGTCTGGGAACTAACTAACTTGCTTTTGATTTTACAGACTCATAGGCAGAAGGGACTTGCCTTGTTTCAGATGAGACTTTGGACTGTGGACTTTTGAGTTAATGCTGAAATAAGACTTTGGGGGACTGTTGGGAAGGCATGATTGGTTTTGAAATGTGAAGACATGAGGTTTAGGAGGGGCCAGGGGCAGAATGATATGGTTTTTCTCTGTGTCCCACTCAACTCTCATCTTGAATTATATTCCCATAATTCCTACGTGTTATAGGAGGGATCTGGTGGGAGGTAATTGAATCATGGGGGCAGTTCCCCCATACTGTTCTCATGGTAGTGAATAAGTCTCACAAAATCTGATGGTTTGATAAGGGGAAACCCCTTTCACTTGGCTCTCATTCTCTCTTGCCACCACCATGGGAGATGTGCCTCTCACCTTCTGCTATGATTGTGAAGCCTCCCCAGCCACGTGGAACTGTAAGACCAATAAACCTCTTTCTTTTATAAATTGTCCAGTCTCGGGTATGTGTTTATCAGCAACGTGAATATGGACTAATACATGTATTGCATTGGAAGTTAGGGCAAAAGGTGTTTGGGGCTTTCTGCTGCTAAGAAGCTTAATGTTAGTGGGTCTATGCCCCCTCACCATTTCCTGAGCACCCTGTAGAGCACATGGAGACTATAGAAAGAATGAAGCTCCCCATCCTGTGCTCAGGGCCTTGCAATCTAGAAAGCATATGAGGAAAAAGAAAGTCGAGCAAGCCCCTGATATCATCCATCTGTGACTGACAGATTCATCTGAGCAGTTCTTAAATCTCATTTTCAGCCATTTCCCTTCTGGGTAAGGTAGAAGTTTTCCACGGGTCAAGAGAGAAAGAAGAGCAAGTATAAAATCTCACAAAATCAGACAGATCTGGTTGAGTTCCAGCTCTGCTGGGCCACCTTGAGGAGGTCACCTCTTTGAGCCTCAGTTTCTTTATGGGTACAATGGGGAAAATCATCATTCCAAGCTGCCAGAGTTGTTCTGAAGACAAAATGAGACTAGGTTTGTAGAGTGTGCACAGAGCACCTGGCTCACAGTAAATGCTAAGTGGCTAGAGAGGGGTCATTCCTTTGGGCCTGAAAAAGCATCTTTGAAGGGTGTGTGGGGCTGACTAGGCAGGTCCCACTTGGGGTAAGAGAAGAAAAGCCAGCTTTTCTAGCCCTGGGAGGAGCTGGCCTCAGAGGCCCTGACTGTCTCCTCCCCACCCTGGTGTGGATGTTCTACAAAGGGCAGGAGGCCAGGCCCACTCATTCTGTCCCAGAAATGCTGCAACAGCTGGCCCTGCCCAGCCTTCACTGCAGGGTCAATGCCTCCTTTGCCAGGCCCAGTGGACAGACCTTAAGGAACCGGGCCTTGGGGCCTCTCAGTCTCTCTGCAGGCATTTACCTTGGGCAGCATTAGGAGAAAGGAGGAGACATCCTCTCATCATGGGCCTTCGAGAAGCCACAAAAGCTGCCCACATGAGCATCACCTGCACATGCAAAGACGACGCTTGCTCCTAAAAAAATAAATGTGTGCCGTGGCGGTTTGCTGCACCTACTAACCCATCACCTAGGTAGTAAGCCCCACATGCATTAGCTATTTATCCTGATGCTCTCTCGACCTTTGAGAAGCCACGCAAGCTGCCCATGTGAGCATTACCTGCACATGCAAAGACGACCCTTGCTCCTAAAAAAGTTTACATAGATAAATGTGTGCCATGACAGTTTGCTGCACCTACCAACCCATCACCTAGGTAGTAAGCCCCATATGCATTAGCTATTTATCCTGATGCTCTCCCTCCCGCTATCCCCCCAACAGGCCCCAGTGTGTGTTGTTTTCCTCCCTGTGTCCATGTGTTCTCATTGCTCAGTTCCCACTTATAAGCAAGAACATGAGGTGTTTGGTTTTCTGTCCCTGTGTTAGTTTGCTGAGGATAATGGCTTCCAGCTCCATCCATGTCCCTGCAAAGGACATGATCTCAGTCCTTCTTATGGTTGCATAGTATTCCATGGTGCATATGTCCTGCACATATATCCTGTAACTTAAATAAAATAAGATTAGAAAAAAAAAGTACCAAGTTCCCAAGACTCATTAGTCCTAACTTCATGTTGTCTTCGTATTTCTACAAAAAGTAGCATTACCAACTCTCTTTTTTAATCAATAAAATGCACTCTCTCAAATTAAAAAAATTAAGTTTTAAAAAAGGTGAGTGGATTCTCTTGCATTATCTCAGCAGCAGAAACCCAGCCCTTGGAATCCTCATGGGCCTCCCTCTCTTTACTGGGCACTTCCAGGCTGTTCATCTCCCTGAGTTCTCACAACAACACCATAGGCTGGTACTATTATCATCTCCACTTCACAGAGGAAGAAGACAAGGCCCTGGGGGATCACTCAGCTGATACCTGAAAGACTCAATCCCAGATCTGTATGATCCCAAAGCCCTCACTTTTTAAAAAATATGCTCCAAATTATTTTATTTTTTAACTTTTAATTGACAAAAATTCTATATATTTGTGGTTTAGACATGATGTTTTGAAATCCATAAACACTATGGAATGGCTAAATCAGGCTAAATAACATATGCATTGCCTTGGTTTTTTTGTGGCAAGAACACTTAAAATTATTCTCTTAGCGATTTTCAAGTACACATGATTGATTGTATTGCATGTTATTGCCTATGTCACCATGCTGTACGATAGACGTGAACTCATTCCACCTGTGGCACTGACATCTTATATCCTTTGACCCAATCTCTCCAACCCTGCCCACCCAGTCCCTGGGAACCACCATTCTACTCTCTGCTTCTGTGAGTTTGACTTTTCTAGATTCTACATACAGGATAAGTGAGATCACATGGTATTTGTCTTTCTGTGCATTGCCTGGCTGCTGCTCACTTTCGTCTTCCCAGTGGACTGCCATCATCTTCACCAAGAGGAGAGGTGGTGTAAATGAGCCTGGAGCCAAACGCTCTTATCTTACCTATCTCTCTGCTCTCTGCAGGCCCAATGTCCAGACGGATTTCACTGCTTGACACTCACTGACCTGCCTGCCCTGCTTACATACCATTCTCCTTCCACCTCTCAGGTCCTGCCAGCCTTCAGGGTCACATTGCCACCTGCTCACATTGCCTCTCCTATGCTCATCTGAATGGAACCGGTGACAGCTTTAAACGGCGCCAGTTCCCTGGGAATCTGACTAACGGAGCATCCTGGTTCACATAAGCCAGTGGGAGCAGCAGGACCCAGGGGCCTGGGGGAATGGGTAAACATGCAGGGCTGTGTCAGGCAGGAAACCAGGAGGGGTGGCTAACCTGGTGGACTAATGGGAGATGGCAGGCCACCACAACACGCCCTCCTGGATAATGTGTGGGACACAGTGGCCTTGGCTTCGGGGCAAAGCCACTGTGAGGGAGGGGCTGTCTTCATTCCTCATGCTTCCCTCAGCGATTTTTCAGGGCTTTGGGTTGAGCTGTAAAACTAAGAATGATCAGGTAAAAATAAAGTAAGTTACAGACATCAATGCCAACGTACTTAAGGCTGAAGTGTACTGATGTCTACAACTTACTTTGAAGTGTATCAAAAAATAAAATAGAATGCATGGATGGGGGCTAGAAAGGTCTGTGGTGAAGCTGACATAGTGAAACACCCATAGTAGAGTCCAGGGGGTGGGCATGTGCAGGTAGAACCAACCCACAAGACAGCAGAAGGAATACTCTCGTCCCACAGTGGGAACTGGAGGCCTCACTGGAAGAGACGCGTTCACGACACTTCTCAGGAATCCTTTGGTGAGAAGACTATGCTTTGTGCCCAGTAACTCATGCTTGCATCAGTGGGGGGAAACTGAGGAAACTCCTACCCTGCCAGGTGATGTCAGAAACCGAAACCAAAACCAACGTTCAGTCTCAGATCAGAAAAACTGAGTTTTCTGGGATCAGTTGTCTCCTCCTTGACGTCCCCTCAAAGATTAAAAACACCTCTGAACTCCTGATATTATCCATCTGTGATTCACAGATTCATCTGAGCAGTTGTTAAGCCTCATTTTCAGCTGTTTCCCTTCTGGGCGAGGTAGAAGTCTTCCACGAGTCAAGAGAGAAAGGGGAGCAAGTATAAGATAGAAGTTTGCATTCCTCCAACCTCACCTTGCACAAACCTATGGATTAATTTTATATTCTGTCTCTGAGGTATTCACTAAAGAGGTCTGTATCTGTTATTTATTTTCCTCATCTGTCTTTCTTAGGGAATATTTTCTTTAAAGCTCCAAACAGGTGACAGGGCTGGAGAAGAAGGACAATTATCATGGTACTCACCATCCCAGGCAGGAGCTTAACTCTGAGATGACAACCACAGGCTACAATATGCACTTAATGAGCACCTACTATGTGCTAGGCAGTTTGCAAGCCATCATAGGAGAGGTAGAGTTGGATAAAATGTTCACGTTCTGGAAGGGTCAGTCAACTGTAGCTTGGATTAACACCCAGGAATGTTAATCATACGCTTGCTTAGAATGACATTCACCCAACCCGTTTCCCCCACGCACTTCCACAGCCTTGGGAAATCCTAATGCACTGTCATCTATAACCTTGGAGACGTGCAGTTTCTCCCTTCCAGGTGATTTATGATATAAAAATCTTCTCATGACCACAGGTAAATCATCTCTTCTCTCTGGGCTTTGTCTCCTCCAAAGGACATTTTAAAGACTAATTCCTGGGCTTTGCCAGCTTTTATTAATCAGACACATACAACTGCTAATAGGAACTTCCTGTCAGCAACACATGGTCCATGCTGGTGGATCATAAGGGGGAAAATAAAAGGGATTACTGATAGCAAAAAAAAAAAAAAAAGGAAGACAGTGATTTTACTAGACACTCTCATTTTACAGCTGATGGAACTCTGGCACAAGGAGGTACAGTGACAGTTCAAGGTCGGTGGTGGAGCTGGGTTTCCTGATTCTTAGCCTGGGAGTTTCGTACCATGCAACAGTGCCTCCTGGGATGAGCAGTGGGGCATGAAGGACCGAGATGGGTACAGCATAGGAGGCTGAGCAGCACCCACTTGCCTCTACTGTTTGGAACGTCACTGAGACCCTAAGCAAGGAGGCAGAGCTATGTTTGGCCTCTGTGTGAACATTATGCAGGACTCAGCACTCGCCCTGTAGGGCTTTCCAGCGCTTGGCTTGCATATGAGAAGTGAGAGAAATGGAACATGAGATTCACACACCAGTGAGTTTTCAGAGAAGGACATCAAGTGTCACAATCCCAGCCAACTAAGAGGTATCAAAGACCCGTCATCTTGCTGCTCACAAAAGAAATTCCTGCTCTCTTACAAAGCTGTGCTATATCAGAAATCATCAGAACACACTGCATCTGCAAAGCACACTTCTTCCCAACTATGGAGGAGCTGCAGGAACCAGTCATAGCAACTTAATAACAAGAGCTGCTCTGTAGCCCTTGTGTTGCTCAGAGCTCTTTCACACACATCTGCCTATTTGATGCTTTCCACAGCCATTTGAGGTGGACAGAGTAGGGTTTATTAACATGGAAGCCCAGAGAAGTTATGTGACCTGCCCAAGGACACAAAATTAGTGAGACAGGACCTGATTCCATGTCTGGTCTAACCTCTTCATTTCATAGATGAGCAAATAGACTCAAAGGGGTGGAAAAGTGGCAAATGTTTCAACTGGAGGTTCTCGGTCCTGGTCTAGTTCTCCACCAGCTGTGGCCTTGGGTGAGCCATATCCTCTCTCTGGCACTCAGGTACTCATCAACAAAAGAAGAAGTTGGACCTACATACTGGCTCTTAAATTTATTAAAATAGCAAATAAATGAGCTTTATGGAGTTCTTTGCCAAATACCTTCATGAGTATAATTTTACTCTATGTGTAAGAAACAAATTTAGTGTCAGAATATAAAACTATGGAAATTATGAAATATGAAATCACCACCACTGACACATGATTTTATGAATAAAATTGAGCTGTTGAATTAAGCATGAATAAGGGTATCTCCCTTAATATTAATTGGCTACTTGAATATTCAATATATCATGTTCAAGACTAGCAGATAAAGAAAAGTAAATGCTGAGGGTTAATATTTTTATGACAGTTACAGAAAACAGATAATTATGAAATATTTTAAATCACAGCCTTTTAAATCTGTAACATTTTAAATCCATTTTAAGGAAGATAGAAAATTCTCCCAGATGCTAGAAATGAGAAGTCAAAACTGAAGTTGAGGAGGAGGAGGAATAGACCTAGCAACCCATAGGGACATCTGAGCAAATAGAAGTCTGAGAGGCTGAGGTTTCATTCCTTCCCAATGGTAGAGTTAAGATTGCATGCTGTGGGTATGACCAAAAGCTAATTAGGCTTACTGAAAAGAGCTGGGAGCTAGAAAGGATTGTCCCATAGTGAGCCAGAAGTTAGAAACTCTACCCCTCAGCTCACCATGAAAGCGCCAGATATGGGTATGATTACACACTGCTCTTGCAATATGGGCATCCAAGTTCAAAATGTAACTTAAAAATTACCATCCTACAATTCCATACCCAGCTAAACTACCACTCAAGTGAAATAAATGTCTTTCCAGAAATACACAGACTAAGAGAGCTTAGTTACTCCAGGCCCTTGCTCAAAGAACTGCTAAAGGATTAACTCCAACAAGAAGAAAATGTAATCCTGTAGAAAGGAATGAAAACAATGGGGAGCAAAGAAATCAGTACAGCATGTTGTGAAATACAAGTGTCAACTCTTAAGAAGTAATAAGGCAGAATCAAAAAGTAAATATCACAGGGATGATGACAGCGTGGGATTTAGAGCGGAATTTGTGTGCTAGAGTATTTTTTCTTATTCAGAAAGAGGACAAAGATAGTTAACAGCCACACTGACTGAGTCAGCACCACACCGCCTATCTCTGCACTGCACTCAGGGATAGACCCTTTCCTCCCAACCCAGTGGTGCTGCATGTACAGCTATCACAGCCTCCCACAGCACTTCACAGATGGACTTTAGTTGCAGTCTTTTCTTCCAAAGACAACTGTGGCCATGGTTCAGGTCTTGACTCTTCAGTGGGCATTCTTAGAACTCTGCTGTTTCATTCTTAGGAACGAAACCCACAAGGGCTGTCAGCGTGCCTTCAGGGCACCAGGAGTGACTGCTCCATTTCCAGTACCTGGCACAATTGAAGCTCCAGTTTCTACACATCCTCCTGCTTCTTGGGCCTTTTTTCCTATAAAGCACTAATGTCCAATAGAATGTTCTATGATGATAGACATGTTCTATGTATGTGCTCTCTGATATGGTGGCCACTAGCCACAGATGGGCATCGAGCATGGGAAATCTGACTAATGAAACAGAGGAACTGAGTTGTAAATTTTATTTAATTTCAATTTAAATAGACATATGTGGTTTATGGCTACTGTATGGGACAATGTAGTTCTAGAAAGTGGAAATTGTTGAAGGGATCCATTCCATTCCCTTTGCAGGAAGCTCTGAAGTGATCCTCTCTCTCTCTCTCCCCCCTGGCATGGGAGCGAGGGCAGGTGGGTGGCCCCAACACCCAGGAATTCCTTCTTGCCTAGACTACTTAGCCCCAGAACTTCTGCTTCCTCTGACCACAAGCCCTCACTGGTTTGTCTGACAGGCCTCAGCCTGCCTTCAGTGCTCTCTTAGACCAGTGCTCCTCAAATTTTCATGTGTATAAAAACCACCAGGGGTGTTGCTAAAATGCAGGATCTGATTGAGCAGGCTTGGGATGGGGCCTGAGGGAGTCAGCATGTCTGACAAGCTCCCAAATAAGGCTGGTGCTAGGCCTGGAGACACTTTCAGTAGTAATAAGGTTTTAGAGACAGAAGCTCCTCTGAAAAGGCTACAAACTGTATGATTCCAACTATGTGACAATCTGGAAAAGTCAACACTATGGAGGTTGGGAAAAGATCAGTTCAGGGGAAGGGAGGGCTGAACAGGCAGAGCACAGGGGATATCTAGGGCAGGAAAACTACTCTGTGTGATACTGCAGTGGTGGGTGCGTGACATTACACATTCACTGGAGCTACAACATTGCACATTTGGAGGTACCTCCAAACCCATAGGAGGTACAACACCAAGAGAGAACTCCAATGTCAACTATGGATTTAATTAATAATAATAAATCAATATTGGCCCCTTGATTATAGCAAATGTATCACCCAAATGCAAGATGTTCCTAATATGGGAAATGGGTGTTGGGAGGAGGTGTGGGGTGTATATGGGAGCTTTCTGTACCTTCTGCTCCATTTTTCTGTAAACTTAAAACAGCTAAAATTAATAAAAATCTATTAATCTAAAAAAACTATACTTAATCTGCAAAATTTAATGTGCAATTTTGGAGAGGGGGGTTAAAGATCCTCCCCCACTTAAAAACTCCTGTCTGAGAAAACAGGAAATGTGTCTTACTCATCCTCCCCACCCAACCTCCACCCCACTCCCACAGTGCCCAGGAAATATCTAGCAAGAATGGATACTTGGTAAATTTCTCCTGATTAATTTAAAAAGCAAAGCCTGGCATCATGCCTGGCATACAGTAGGTACTCAACAAATATTTGGTGGATGAATAAACATAAGGTGGGCATTCTAACAAAACAGCCTGAGAATACCTGAAGACAGGCACTTGGTTGTTCCTCTTTTGTGCTGGCACAGCTCAGCTCATGACTCTCCAAGGTTCTCACCAGCCCCTGCCGTGGCAACATCTCTCCTCTATGAGACAGCAAAATTCTCAAGGGTGAAAACACCACCATTTCATCCCTGTACTCTCACTGCGTGGCTGGGCCTTGCACACAGTACGTGCACCTTGAATGTTTGCTGACATCTCTTTGAAGTGACTCCACTGTCTCCTTACTGTGTTGATCCTCTTGAACTTCTGGAGGTAGCCAGACAAACTCACACGATGGCACTAGCTCCAGCCACAACTGCCCATAGGCTGTAACATCACAGCTGCCAGACCCCCATGACATTGCAAAGCCTTCTCCATCCTCAGTCAGATTCTTCCTTGCCATACTCCTCGAAACTCAAGGTCATTTGATAGCAGCCTCATTTTCCCCCAATCTGGCTGTATTCTCCAAATTCATTCTATTCGCTTGCCCTTTCTAAACAGCTATAATGTGCTTTTTCACCTAACCTTAACAAATCTGCAAGGAGGAAGGAGATGAGTAAAGGATAAGGCTCTCTCCTCTAGAAGCTTACGAGAGATGAAACTGAGGCTCAGAGAGGGTGAGCCTTCCGCCTAACGTCACACAGTGGAGAATGAAGAGCAGGCATTCACATGCTGCTCTGAAAACTCATACTCTTCATTGATGAGCTTTGCTGAGCCTCTCTCTTATCTGAGTAATCTTCTGAAATTACAGCTCTTTTCATGCCAGTCATCTCTTGTTCAAAAACATTCAATAGCTCTCTCCAGACCAATGAATGAAATCTGAACTCTCTGGCTTTGCAGTCAAGGTTCTTAATGAAGAGGCTTCAGTCTACTGACTTCATCTTATTTCTTATGATTCCCTATCACAAAGTCTATCCTGTAGCTACACTGAACTACAGACCATTTCCTGCATATCTGCAGACTTTCCACCTCTGATCTTTGCTTCTTTCTGAAAAGACTTTTCTTCCTAATCCTGCAGAGATCAAATCAAAGACTGTCTGTTTCAGCAGGGCACGGTAGCTCACACCTGTAATCCCAGCACTTTAGGCTGAGACGGGCAGATCACTTGAGGTCAGGAGTTTGAGACAAGCCTGGCCAACATGGTGAAACCCTGTCTGTACTAAAAATACAAAAATTAGCCAGATGTGGAGGCGCACAGCTGTAATCCCAGTTGCTCAGGAGGCTGAGGCAGGAGAATCACTTGAACCCGGGAGACAGAGGTTGCAGTGAGCCGAGATCAGGCCATTGTACTCCAGCCTGGGTGACAGAGTGAGACTCCATCTCAAAAAAGAAAAAAAAGAAAAGACTGTGTGTTTCATAAAGTCTTTTCCAGGACATGTGACTGAAAATAATGTTGTTCTTCTCTGATTGTCTATGTTCCTTTATCTGAATCACTATATGGCATCCACCATCCATCCATCCATCCATCCATCCATCCATCCATCCATCATCCATTTATCATCCATCATCCATTCATTAACCATCCATCCATTCATCATCCATCCATGCATCTATCTATCCATCTGCCCATTCATTATCCATTTATCATTCATCTATCCATCTGTCCACCTATCATCCATCTACCCATTCATGCATCCATCTATCATCTATCTGTGCATCCTTCCTTCCATCCATCCATCCATCCATCCATCCGTCTGTCTGCCCATCCATCCATCCATCTGTCCATACATTCATCCAGTGCTGACTGGGAGCCTCTCATGCACCAGGCTCTGTGTCAGGTGCTGAGAAGTTCACAGCGGATAAGACAGACAAATTCTTTGCTCACATGGAGATCACTTTCTTAATGGGGATATTAACAATGAACACATCAACAAATAAGCATGAGATTACTTCAGACAGCCATCAGCCCTGTGAATAAAATAAAACAAGGGCTTTGTTAGGTCATAGGGTCTAGGGAGAGATTTTTTTTTTTTTTTTTTGAGATGGAGTCTCGCTCTTGTTGCCCAGGCTGGAATGCAGTGGCATGATCTTGGCTCACTGCAACCTCCACCTCCCTGGTTTAAGCAATTCTCCGGTTTCATCCTCCCCAGTAGCTAGGACTACAGGCACATGCCATCATGCCTGGCTAATTTTTGTATTTTTAGTAGAGATGGGGCTTCATCATATTGGTCAGGCTGGTCCGGAATTCCTGACCTCAGTGATCCACATGTCTTGGCCTCCCAAAGTGTTGGAATTACAGGCATGAGCCACCATACCCAGCCTAGTGAGGGACGTTTGAGCTCATGTGGTCAGAGGTGACCTGACTTTGGAGCTGAGATCTGCAGGATGACAGGGAGCCAGCCACAGGAATATCTCAGGGGAGAGTGATCCAGGCAGAAGTCAGAGCCCTGCAACAGAATTGATCCTGGAATGCCCAAGGCTGTATGGGACAGGGACCAGGCCACAGAGGGCTCCTTGACCATGGCCACGGGGAGCAGTCTTGATTTGAATCCTGAAGCAAGAGGATGCAGCCATGGGGTGGTGAGCAAGGGAGTCGATCTCTGCTTCTGGTCACACCAGAGTAACAGGGATCAGCCCAGCCCTCCTGCCATAGCAACTATTAAAGCAGACAAAATAACGGAAACCACTATTTTCAGGTAGTAGACAATGTGCAGGGCTAGACTGCAATCCTGAGAGATGGGAACCCCTGAGAGGGTTTGCCCATCCTGCTGCTTGGTCACTACTTCCTGACCACCATGCAGAGAGCTGAGTCTGAGCATAGCATGCAGTCTCCCTGGGCAGAGGAGGCAGTGCCAGAGTGAGGACAGTGGGAACAGCTGGAATCCACAGTGGGAGTGCTGGAAAGGGAGCTGTGCACAGAGGGGACCCAGAAGTCCATGTGGAGGCTCTCTGTGAGGCTGGGCTGGCTAGGTGGGACCGCTCAAGGCTCACCAGAGAGCATTGCTACAGAGATGAGTAGAATAGAGACCCTGGAGTCTGGATGCTGATGGCAGGGGGAGGGAGGCAAGGGGATGGGGGCTCCCAACCCTGCCACAGTGGAGAGATCTGGTCAACCCCAAGTTTTCATGCTTGGCACTCAGCTGAGACACAGAAAGACCTCACCATAGGAGCAAGAACCATGTCCTAGGGCAGGGTATCTCAACCTCAGCACTACAGACATCTGGGACCTGATTTTTTTTTTTTTTTTTTATCATGGGGGCTGTCCTGTGCATTGTAAGATGTTTAGCAGTACCCCGGGCTCTACCCACTACATGCTGGTAACATCCCCTAATTGTAACCATCAAAAAATGTTTCTAGACATTACCAAATGTCTCCTGGGAGGTAAAGCTTCCTCAGTTGAGACCCATGCTCTAGAGTCAGAACGACTTTACACTCATCCTAATTAAGTCTAAAGCCAAGCCCTGATGAGATTTATAGGGGAGGCAGAGCTTGGAATCCTATCAAGTCCTATTGAGTTAGAGGGGCTTGGGAACAGTCCAGATTTCTACAGACCTGCACTAAGAAAACAAAGTTGAGCCTACACAAGGTTAAGGTGGTCATCTAGTAATTCAACTACGTAGTATAAAAGATTTTAAAGAAGCTACTATAAATATATAATATAAATGCATTCAAATAATTAAAGGAAAATGCATTCAAAGAACAATGCCAGAAGGTTGTACGATCCAGGATCCCTTTTAACAAGCTCCCTTGGTCTGCCATGTGAGAAAGGGAGCAGCGGTGATCAAGAGGAGATAGAAGCCCACCTTGGAGGTGATTTGATTCTATTCTATTCACTCGGAGGAGGCCGACTTGTGCCTCAGTTGTTCAGGCTGCACTTAACTTAGTATGCTCAACCTTGGTAGATACTCTCAAAGTGGGGGACTGACAAACTAAAGCAGATAAGTGAAGAAAGAATAATCAAATTATAGAATGAATGAATGTCTCAACATTGGGAACCAGGTGAGTAGAACGTTGTCCCAAAGTAGAGGTAACAGGCCTCCCTCTCAGAGGGGCCAACTGGAGGCTGACAAGGTTACCACAGAGAAGATTCCTGCGCTGAATGGAGATTAAAGCTGCCCAAGGCTAAGATTCTAGGATTCTTGCAAAGTTGTCACATAGGTTTGGGATGCTCAGAGATTCCAGAGCCGGAATGCCAGCCCAGGACTGGGCAGGGATAGAGAGAGGTCAGGAAAATCAGACACGACACAGTTTCAGTACCGTATCCCTCACACAGCCAAGTCAGACTCACCTGGGTTCAGCTGCTGGCTGTGCAAGCTTCAGCCCCTCAGAGCCTCAGTCCTCTCATTGGTAGAGCCTTTAAGACACAGGCTTTAAAATTCTCATGACTTATAAGATGATGTAAAAAGACCTCAGGTCCTATCTTATAGGTCATAAGAATTTTACCTATATATAGCATTTAGCTCCTATGTCTAAAATATAATAATTTTCAACTATTTGCTGATTGGATAAATTAAAAGACAAGTTTCTAAAGCACAGTACCTGGCATAAAGTCAGCAATCAATCAATGATAACCAGCATCAGTAGTTTTATGAGTACCCAAGCAGCGTTTCAACCTCCAGGACTGTGGATCATAAGACACTGCTGAAACAGCCAGGAATGAAACAAGAAAAGAATAAACATCCACTACCTTTAAGCGTGCATGATGTTAGATCAGTGATGCATCTCTAATTACAGAGGAATTTACCCTCTGACTGGAAGGAGTACACCTGTCAGGTCAGTTCCAACCTCAGCACCGCCCGGCACCACTGTTGTCATTGGCTTAATCATGTGTCTGTGTCAAGAGACTGTCATTTCCTTGAAGATAAGCGCCATGTGTGATGATCTGATTTTACATTCCAGTGCTTGGTATTAGGAACAATGAAACTAACTCAGGAACAAATACATTGAAAGGAAACCTTGGGGGATTTTCAGTCTCAAGTAGTGGCCCCCACCTCAGTGAGGGCCACTACTTTGCAATATTTTCAAAACCGTATATAATGTCTCTGTGTTGATGTCGATATGGACATTTTTGTTTGAAAGTCCAACAGCCAGAAGGCCCAATCTTCTTTGGGTCCTTGCTTAGAATCAGAGTACACTGCCACCAGGTGGCAGCAATTCCATGGTAACATCTGTGAGGTTCAGCAGGTAGGGTCTTGAACTGGGGTCTTGTTTTCCCTGATTCATCTTTTTGTGGGTTGGGGAGGCAGGGAAGATTTGGTGTTCTGAGGTGCTCTCACAGTGTGGGCATCTTTCATCCCAGCTCCAGAGTTTGGACGCCTTAGTCTCAGGCTCCAGTTCCCTGCACAGAGGAGGTGGATCTGGGGAACTGGTGCACCAGTGCCCGGAGAAAGCAGACCCCACCATTTGGATCTGTGACAGGCCTTTCTGTTCTTGCCCTGAAAACACACACTTGAAACACAATGATGAGTGAGAGGAGCGGGAATCTGGGGCAGGAACAATGTGATTTCTTGCAAGATCCCCTCAGCTCCCCAAAGACTGAAAAGACAGAAAGTAAAATTTTGAGGGCAAAAAATGGAGTGGAAGCACTTCACACTTCAGAGAGAACACGGGGCTGACAGTGAAGACCAACAAATGTTTAGAAAATTATAACAGACCACGGAATGCAAATTGCTGGGGGACAAAAGCGGCAAGCTGCTGTGTCGCTTCAAGTTCTTGACGAGAAACTTAATTTACTGGATCCACAATAAAGGTCCTCGGTTCCAAGTTCAAAGCGCCCCCCCACCTCCCCGCCCCCCGCCCCCTTGGGCTGTGGGGCCCTGACTCGTCCTGCCCAGAGCTGGCAAGGTGGAGGCAAAAATGAGGACTGCCACCGGTGTTCCAGAGCTCTTCTGGCTCCCAGGCCCTAGGCTGGGTGCCAGAAGGGAAACGTGGAGGTGCTCTGGGCCTCATGTGCACACTTGCCCCACTGCCTCCCTGTGCGGCCGATATTCTTACCCACAATGCACAGGTGAGAACCTGGAGCCCAGAGAGGTCAAGGGGCAGGCTGTTGGTCACCATCTGGCCAGTGGCAGCAGAGTGACTCCCATTTCCTCGCCTCCACACCAGATCCCACTACACCAAGAATACCGCTTTCTGAAGAGCACACTCACAACTGCAACCGTAACGCAAAAGAACACAGGCTGTACTAGAAATTGTTCTTCCTTCTGTCTTTCCTTCCTTCCTTTGTTCACTTGTTTGGTCCTTCCTTCGATTCATTCAAAAAATATCTCCTGAGCCCTTCCTGTGTTGCAGGGACTGTTCCAGGTCTGGAGATTGAACAGGGCAAGTAACAGATAAATTCTCCACCTGCATGGGGCGTACATCCTAGTGGGTGGAGAACGGTGATGCAAACTGAATGGCATCTGCGATGGTGATGAGTGCAAGCTGGGAAGACAGATGAGATGCACCAGGAGCACGTGGGGTGGTGGTAAGATTTTAAATAAGGTGGTTGGGACCTTCATTGTGACTGCACCGGTCGGGCGGGCACCCCGTTAGACTTTCAAACAATTTTCACACTTCTCTCTCTTGATCAGTGGAGAAGCTATTCTCCCCACTTCTGCATAAAGAGCAGGAAAGTAAAATGGCTCCCAAGGCTCCAAAGAAGGAGTAGAAATGACTTGCTGTGCCGTCTCAGCCCTCAGGTTTCCTGGCTGAGCTCTTTTCACCCTTTCTGGCTTTACTGGCCGGGAGGGAGGACGAATGGGGCCACCATGAAGGCAGCCACAGCCACCCAGCTCAACACTTTATCAGCCTTCATGCAGAATCCCTGCTGCCCACATGTGGAGGGGCAGGAGCACCCTCCCAGGGAACGTCCTTGTATAAGGCTGGAAGCTGGAGTCCAGAGCTTTGTACCAGTCAGACGCCCTGTGTCCCCTTTAGAAATGTAAATGACACAGCAAATAGGCATGTCTGAGCCCCTTGTAATCCTGAGGGAAGGGGAGCTGGGAATCAGTCTGGAATTAATGGAGATCCTGGATCATGGACGGGCCACAGGGCTAAACTGGGGCTCCTCATCGCTCTGGTGGGGATGTGGGCAGAAGAGTATCCTCTGGGGTGGGAAGGTGCCAACGGACTCTCCTCTACCTGCTGACCTGCACGTGCCCACTTGTCCTGGCCCAGGCCCAGGCTTCATGAACCCCACACATGTTTGCAGAGAAGTGAACTCTGCTGATAACATGCCATCCCCACGGTTATTACTGGAGCACGATGGCAGGCTGGCCCTTCACAGAGCCACAAGAGACAAGGCAATTTTGGGGTTCTAACGCAAGGTACACAAGCTAACAGCCCTCCTGACTTTCCCAGTGGACCTTTCCAGGAAGTTCCTAGAAAGGCAAGAGAGGGAAAGTGATGGTATAAATGCAGCCACTCTACTTTACTTACTTATTTATTTTTGAGACGGAGTCTCGCTTTGTCCCTCAGGCTGGAGTGTAGTGGCGTTATCTTGGCTCCCTGCAACCTCCACCTCCCAGGTTCAAGCAATCCTCCTGCCTCAGCCTCCAGAGTAGCTGGGATTACAGGTGTGTGCCACCATATCTGGCTAATTTTTATATTTTTAGTAGAGACGGAGTTTCACCATGTTGGCCAGGCTGGTCTCAAACTCCCAACTTCAAGTGATCTGCCTGCCTCAGCCTCCCAAAGTGCTGGGATTACAGGGGTGAACCACTGTGTCCAGCCTAAATGCAGTCACTTTAAGCCCACTCTAATGTATAAAAGGCACAAGTCGTTCACAGGCTCTGGTACTCAGATGATTACCAACAACAATTTGCTACTCCTTCTCAACAGACTAAGAATGGAGGAGAACTTCTGGTCTCATCCAACCACACTTCCTTCTTCTTCTAGGGAGGGAACCCCAGAAGAGGTGAGACTCCACCCTTTCCCATCAGACTGCATGCTCCCTGGGGACAAGGAGGCTCTTACTCATTCTACATGCTGAGTAGCTGGCACAGGTGGGGCTGCAATAACTACCAGTAGAACAAATTAAGGAAGGGTTGCTGGGCTCTGGTGATAGATGAATGGGACACATGTTTGTTGTAATCCCTGCCATCCTGGAGTCCATAGACTAGGAAGGACTCCCCACCAAGTGCTCATTTCACCCCCTCCTGGCCCTCAGTCCACCTGAGCTCACCCTCATCCTCCAAGGGACTAGATGGAGCAGCCCTGGGGACCAACGGGGCTCAGAGGCTGGAGACCTGAAAGTATCCTGGAGCTCAGCCTGAGGCTCAGCCCTCTGACTCCCCGCAGGCTTCTCTTCCTCCCCTAATCACCTCTCCTTCCTATTTCCTATTTCTCCACTTGTGGGAGAGATTTTACTGGCTATAGAGTCACCCACTTAAATTTCTCATAGCTGCAAGAGGCCTGAATACTGCAACTGCTGGATTATCCCAAAGACACAAAGGTGCCCATGCTCCCAGACTAGCCCAACAGCCAGGCCTAGGGACACTATCTGGGAACTTTTCTTCGTGGTGCAATTTGAACTGCAGGATCATTTCCAGAAGTACAGGAAAACTAAGGATCATTTTCAGAAAACAAACAAATAATGTGGACTTGCTAAGAGGACAACACTACAAAGAGATACAAGATGGAAACTTTCACTGACTTCCTGATAAAATACTTCCAGTCGACCCCTCTTCCTAATCTACTCTTCCTAACTTTGGGAGCTGTGCCTCAGTTGTCTGTAGGGTGACCATGTGGCTATGGAAGTCCTAAGACTAGCTTAGGATGTTTCTCTACCGCCACAGCACTGTGCCTCAGATGTTGGCCAGCCACCTTCCACCTGCACTACATTTGTCATGTCCATGCTTTTTTTAAATATTTTTTGAACATTTGCCTTTAAATTAGCCTCACTTTTAATCACATATATGACATATATGTGTATGTATGTATGTACAGGTTGAGTATGTCTAATCTGAAAATCTGAAATGCTCCAAAGAGCTCCAATGCTCATTGAAGCATTTCCTTTGAGAGCCATGTCGGTACACAGAAGGTTTCAAACTTTGGAGCACTTAGGGATACTCAACCTGTATATATATGTATGTATGTATATATGTGTATGTATGAGATCATACATATCATATATATAGTCTCATTCTAGCAATAATAGCAATAAAGCCATGATTTTGATATGGTTTATGTCCCGGTTTTATTCCTAATGCCTATAAACATACATACATAATTCAAAAGAAAAAATATTCCTCCATGACTGGGCCATCAAACTTAACCTTCAAGGCCATTGGCTGGGGCAGGCGGGTGCAACCTGTGATTGAGGGAGGAGGGGACATGGCCCCCTAGAGGCTAGGAGCCTTCCTCAAGGTCATATCACCACTGGCAGAGAGCAGGAATGGAAACCAGTGCTTCTTGCTTCTTCATGGGCTGGGTATTCACAAATGGGGACAGTTGGAATTAGGCCACACTGGGCTTCTTCCTGCAGCATACCCCAGCTGCCAAAACACACCAACATACATGGGGTTTTGTTTTCCTTTCCCTCTTGGGGTCGCGATCCTTATTTATGCCACAGAAAATCAGCAGTTACTTTTTGGGGACATAGTTGCTTTTGGGACACACACAAACACACATACACACTTCCTAGCCATCGCTGACAGAGAATCAAAAAACATTACAGCTCACGGATTTGGTGATCTGGAGGTTATTAGACTTTTTGTTAAAGAGAACCTTCTTGTGAAAAATGAAAATAGCCCTTACTCCTATCATTCAACAAACATTTAAGGAACACCTACTGTGTACCAGGCATTGAGCTCATCAGGGACTGAGGATACAATGGTAGGAAAGGCAGATACAGACCTTGCTCCCAAGCTGCCTTCTCAGCCAGTGGCCACCCTGTGGAAAACTGTCAATGCCTACAATAATCTCTGACACAGAGTAGGCACTCAGAAAATACCTGTTCAACAAGTAAATGGACATTGAACAAATAAAGATCACACACAATTATATACACACATAAATATCTTACTGTAAATATATAGGATATGTAGGTGCTTTGGAAAATAAGTATGGGGTGCTGGGGGTGGTGCATGGTGGGCAATCAGAAAAGACTTGCCTGAGAAAGTGATGTTTAAACTCAGTCCTAAAGGATGAGTGGGCCAGGCACGGTGGATCACGCCTGTAATCCCAGCACTTTGGGAGGCCAAGGTGGGTGGATCACGAGGTCAGGAGTTTGAGACCAGCCTGGCCAACATGGCAAAACCCCATCTCTACTAAAAAAAAAAAAAAATACAAACATTAGCCAGGTGTGGTGGAGCACTCCTGTAATCCCAGCTACTCAGGAGGCTGAGGCAGGAGAATTGCTTGAACCTGGGAAGCGGAGGTTGCATTGAGCCGAGATCACACCACTGCACTCCAGCCTGGATGACAGAACAAGACCCCATCTCAAAAAAAAAAAAAAAAAAGGATGAGTGGATGGTTGGTCAGTCAAGTTGGGGAAGGACAGTCTGGGGAAGAAAGAAGGAGTGTTTCCAGCAGAGAAACAGCATATGTGAAGGCCCTGGGGTAGAAAGGCCATGTCTACTGGATGCCCAGAGAGGAGGTCAATACCTGGAATGAGCTGAAAGAGGGGGAGAGTAGTAGGGGACGCAGCCAGGAGGCAGCTCACAGAGGACAGTAGGGACCCCACCATTTGGATCTTATTCCAAAGACCACAGGGAATCCCAGGAGAATTTAAGCAAAAGAGGTGCCCATTGGATTTACATTTCAAAAAGATCCCTCTGTTGCTGGGTGGGGAGTGGCCTAGATGGTCAAGGAGCCATTTCTGGATGACCAGTTAGGGGGCTACTACAGTTTTCCAGTGGGAGATGGTGGTGGCCTGGACTAGGCTGGTGGCAGCAGGGGTGGAGAGCAACAAGGACGGAGTCGGGGGTCAGGTGGAGTGGGGCCCATCAACCCCTGCTCACATGCCCCTGAGGGTACCCCAGTGCACTGTCAGCAAACTTTTTCTAGAAAGAGCCAAGTGGTAAACACTTGAGATTTTGCAGGCCTGTAGGAAAGAGTCAACAGAGCAGGCCCAATGTTGCTCCAAAGTCGGGCCCATTTGTAGTGTTGGCTCTTGCCTGGTGTCTGGGAATTGGGCTTTTAGGATGCTCCCTGTGGTACTAATTGACACGGTTGTTTTGTATGCCTGGAACACTGAATCCCATAAAGGCTGCCTGCCTAGACCATTTGTATAGCAATGTGATTTCTGGTGAACACCTGTGTTTCCTCTGAGAGTCTGGAAGTCAGAGGGTTGTGGCTGATCATGGAGGCAGGAAGTACCTGTGCAGTCAATAAAACACCCTCACTAAAAACCTGGACTCTGCATCGCAGGAAGGCTTCTCTGGGCAGAAACCCTGCACACATGCTGCTGCATTTCCTTGCTGGAGGAAGGAACACAGTCTGCATACCCGCTCCAGGCAGGAGGGAGGGAAAGTGAGAAGCCTGTGCATGGATTCCTCCACATTCTGCCTGGTGAGTGTCTTTGTCTTGCTGATGATGGAAACAAACCACATCCATGAGTATAACTGCTTCTGTGTCCTGTGAATCCTAAATTACCAAATATGTAGGTAATCTTGGGACCACCCCCCGACACAGGGGTCCATAGGGTTTCTGTCTCAACTACTCAACTCTGCCTTTGAGTGCTAGAACAGCCATGGATAACAATATGTAAACAAATAACAGGCTGTGTTCCAATAAAACATTATTTATAAAAATGGGCAGAGGGCTGGATGTGACCTGAAGGCCATAGTTTGCCAGCCTATGCTCATGGAAAAGTGGGGGCTCTCCAAATCCACTTTGAAAACCCTTTCATGTCACCAGTGAAGAAACTGAGGACCAGAAAGAGGGAAGGGAGAAGGAACTTGTCCACAGGTACTCAGGTTCCATGGCAGAACCAGGAGAACCCAAGTCCCAACTCTCAGACCAATGTGCTCTCCACTACTTAATACTGGCTGGTGGCCAGGGCCTAAAAGGAAGCAGATGGTAGAAAATGGCCTGGCCTGCCTCACCTCTGTGTTAGTTCTCGTTTGTTTTTTTTTTTTCTCTCTCTCTCTCTCTCTGTGTGGGAGGTGGGGCGGGGGGGGGGGGGCGGGGCGTTTAAGGTGTAGGTGCCACCTGGATTTTCCCAAACTTTTTTGATTATAAGAATCACCTCTGGGGGTTCTTAATAATATGGATGCCCAGGTGCCATCACAGACCCACTGCAACTGGATCACCGGGAGTAGGGCCTAGAATCAGCATTTTTAACCAGCTCCAAGGTATTCGGATGATCAGCCAGATTTGGAAACTCTGGGTGACACTCAGTGGCTCTTGAATGACTACCAGGAAGAAAGAAGCCCATAAGCAGAGGAGAGAAGGGGAAATCTGTCTTGGATCAAGGCAGAATGCATGGACCTCATAAAAACACACCGATCAGTGGTTTGTAGAATATGTTCTCCAAAACTGCTCCTTCAACTGAGCCTTTGCCATCAGAGATCAGGAACTGGCAAAGCCAACAGTTGAAGCTAATTTCCTTCTTCCCAGGGATTCTGCCTGCAATTCAGAATGCCATGCAGGTGCCTAGTGGTATCCTCAGCCTCAAGGCCCTGCAAGGCATGGCAAACTGAGACAAAAATGAGCTAACTTCCCACTCTGCCCACCGTGATGAGGGGCCTCTGAGCTGCACTAACCATCCCCCAACAAACGCTTCCCCCACAAGCTCCCCTAACAGGAGGTGGCTGGAAGCCACAGATCGCAGACTTGAAACTTCTTGCAAGCCTCATTTCCTATTTGGAAACTGTACTGATTCCATGTGTTCTGTGTTTTAACAGAAAAATGAGTGCCTGCTTGCCTGCTCAAATGTCTTTGATTAAGTTATTTCACACACTAGAATGACCTAGAGTCCTTTAAAAGATACTGACACCTGCAACCCACACCCAGAGAGTTCATTTTAATTGGTCTGGGTTATGCTCTGGGAATTAGGGTTTTCAAAAGCTCCCCAAGAGTTTCTGACGTGTAGCTGAGGTTGAGAACCACCAGGCTTGTGAGATGTTCTGTTTTTATCTGTTTAACGTATTCCAGGGCACACCACCATGTACCCACTAAGAGAACCTTAGGCACAATTACTGCCCACCATTCAGAACAACCAATGCCTTACCAAAGACAACTGATAGCTTAGCCAGTTTCTCCAACTCTTTTTTTACTACGAGCTACTCCCACAAAGAAAATCAATCATGAACAAAGACCCAGTTTCTCTCACCAAGATGCACTACTGCAGAGATCTGTGATTTGGGGCAGTAATTTTTTTTTAATTTTTAATTAACTTCTAACTGAAATTTAGTATTTGTTTCAATTTTAGATGCAGGCAATGAACTGCAGTCCTGTTAGCAATAGAAGATATTTTCATATCATGGTGTAGCTATCTTGAAATGTCACTTATGCTCATTGCTGCTTTAAAATCACAGTAGTCATCAGACTTGCTGCTGGATCTGGCTATGTAATGTCCTCGTTTTAAAATGTGCATCTATTACCATGTCACAAATTTGCCTTTTTAAAATGTTTTGGTAACGGTATTTCAAAATATTTGATTTCCTACGTATTAAATTTATGCATTTAAAATTATTCTGGGAAAGAGTCCACAGGCTTTCCACTGTTCAACCAGCTGTTGAATCTCAGTGGCCAGTGGCAGGGGCTCTGCAGAAGGCTTCCCAGTGGTGGTGGGTGATGCTGCACATTGAGCAAGCGACTCTTACCTGGGGGTCGGAGAGCCGGGAGAGGTCAGGGTACAAGTAGAACTTGATGCCCTCTGAGGCCCCGGGCAACGTGACCCCTCGTATCAGGAGGATCAGCAGCATGATGTAGGGGAATGTCGCAGTCACGTATACAACCTGTGCACAAGAGGAGAGGACAGAATCAAGAAGGGGGTGAGAGCAATGGGGTTACTTCACTCAGCACAATGTCCTTTGGGTGCATGTTGCACCAGGACCCTCTCTCCCAAGGCTGACCAGCATTCCCCCGCGTGTATAGACCACATTTGCTTGATCCATTCATCTGTACAAGCCAATCACAGAAGGACAAATACTGCATGACTCCACTCATGTGAGGTACCTAAAAGAGTCAAATTCATAGAATCAAAGAGTGGGATGGCAGTTGTGGGGAACTGGGAGGGGGGAAATGGGGCATCACTAATCAGGAGGTATACAGTTTCAGTAGTGAGATGTATCAGCTCTAGAGACCTGCTGGACAGTATTGCACCTACAGTCAACAACAATGCATTGGATACTTACAAATATGTTAAGAGGGCAGATCTCATGTTAAGTGTTCTTACCACAATAAATAAAATTAAAAAGGAAAAGGAAGCAGGGGTGATAGGAGTGGGCCACAGAGGGGGTAAAGGAAAGAAGGGCTTCCTGGTGCAGCAACAAGAAGTAACCCCTAACACGGCCTGTCCTCCTGCCTCATACCTCATCACAGGCTAGGTCTCTCAGTGCTGTCTACTGAGTGCCCGTGATGTGCTTGAGAGTGGTGCTTGTTGAATTTTTTTGACCACAACACAGAAAGAAATATACATCACAATCCAGCACACATAGAGCTGAAAAAGAAGTTTCACAACATAACACATGTGTGATACATGCTAATATTTTCTATTGTATTCTTTTTTTAAATAAGCTGGCCATGATCTTCTAAATCCACTTTAGAATTCACTGTTGGGTCAATACCCACATTTTTAAAGCCACAGCTCTTACTGAAAGTTAAGTATGCATAGTTAAAGAGAGACTAGGATAGCACAGGATAGTATAGGCTAGACTAACGTAGGATAGGATAGGATGGTATAGCATAGCATAGCATAGCATAGCGTAGCGTAGCGTAGCGTAGCATAGCATAGCGTAGCATAGCATAGGATAGCATAGCATAACATAGGATAGTGTAGCATAGCATAGCATAGGATAGCATAGAGTAGCATAGGATAACATAGCATAGGATAGGGTAGCATAGCATAGCAGAGCAGAGCATACTATAGGATAGGATAGGATAGGATAGCATAGGATAGGATAGGATAGGATAGGACAGGACAGGACAGGACAGGACAGGACAGGATAGCATGGGACGGGACGGGATAGGATAGGATAGGATAGGATAGGATAGGATAGGATAGGATGGGACGGGATAGGATAGGATAGGATAGGACGGGATAGATGGACAGGACAGGACAGGACAGGATAGGATAGGATAGCATGGCATAGGATAGGATAGGATAGGATAGCGTAGGGTAGGGTAGGGTAGGGTAGGGTAGGGTAGGATAGGATAGGATAGGACAGGATAGGATGGCATGGCATAGGATAGGATAGGATAGCATAGGGTAGGGTATGGTAGGGTAGGGTAGGATAGCATGCCATAGGATAGGATAGGATAGGATAGGATAGGATAGGATAGGATAGGATAGGATAGCATAGGATAGGATACAATAATGAAGGTGAGCATAGGGGAGGGAAAGGAAGAAAAGGGCAGAAATCTTTGGGGGCAGAAAAAACTCAGTGCCTGCCTGGAACCATTTGGGCTTGGTCCATTTGGAGGCAGGCGATTGGACCCAATGAACCCGAGAGACCCTTTTAGCTAGCAGATTCTGGATAAGAATCAAGACAGTGAAAGACACAAACCTCCTCTGAGCTTCCTCGCACAAGAGCGGCCTAGAAGGAGGCATCAAGGCCCGCAGGGACTGTAGGAGTTCCCGTCCCAGGGGCTGCTTGTGGCACCGGCCACACCCCTTAACTGAGGTCCCTGCAGGAGTCAGTGTCCTGCAAGTTCTGACTTTTCTCTTTTGTCACACTCACTCCTCCAATCACTTGGTTCTGTCCTCTCAGTGGGGCCTGCCTCCTCCGTCTGTTCAGATCAGCAACTTGTCAACATTTGGGGTCCAGGGACACTTCTGAGAATCTGAGGACCTTCCCTCCAAATGTGCTCAGATGCAGATACGCATGCAAGCTTTGGTTCAGAGACTCCAATTTCCCAGATAAAGAGTCTATGCCCTGAGACTTCCAGCTTTCTAAGTTAGCCTCTCGCTCCTGTTCAACCCAGGGTTTCTTTGACCAGTGCTTCAGTCCTCCACCCATTTGTTCATTCATGTATTCCTTTATTGACTCAGTTCATTCACCTACTCACTCACTCACTCAAACACTCTCATGTACTAAGAACTGAGCTAGGTCCTGGAAGGTAAAAATAAGACTGAATCACAGGAGGGAAATTTCTGCTTCAAGCGACTTCCAGTTGGTAGTAAAGAAAGACTTATAGACAGGAGGTCATGCCTCATGTCATCAGGGGAGCAAAAAGAATGGAAGAGCACAGACAGAGTGAGTCCCTCACTGCAAGAGCAGTCCAGAAGGGCTTCTCCAAAGAAGTGTCAGCCCATAAAGGATGATAAGGAATTCATTACTTGGAAAATGGGGATGGAAGGAAGACGGGAAAAAGACATCCTCACTCCATGCCCAGCCCTTTACACATGATAATAACAATGGCTGCATTTACTTAGCACTTCCACACATGAAACATTCAACAAGAATGAGTAGGCATGATTATCTTCTTTTTACACATGACAAAGGCCAGAGAAGTTACTCATAACTTGCCCAGGATTGCCCAGTGAATGAACGACAACCAGACATGGGGGTCATAGCAAGTCCTGCCTGACTCCAGGGTCACACATTCAACCACCAGGCTACCTATGTATGCAATCTGCAACCCTCACGACAGCCATGCAGACTCTGTGTTATTTTTCCATTTTAGAGATGAGATTTTCAGAAGAGTCAAGTCATTCCATTTGTAAATGACAAAGCAGAGATTTTAAACCCAGTCCTCAAAAATAGGAAATTAGAACCAGCAAAGGTTGGTGATAGTGGGTCCTGTGGACATAACCTGAAAGGCTGGACTATTTTATTCAGACAATGTCTCTGTTCTGCAATGATGGTAACCTCCCCAGCCCACTCATGGCCCCTGCACCACCAATTTCTGCATCCCTGTTTCCAAATCAACCATCAGCTCAATCGACATGTCAAGTAATCAACACAATCTCTTGCTATCATATGCAATGTAATCCAGAAAAGGTGCAGATCAAATATAAAAGAGCAGAAATCAATATTAATATTAATAAAAATAAGAGGCCAGTAATCAATAAGGCTTGATGGTTTCTGCAGAGAGCTAAAAGTGCTATAAAATCTCCAGTTTCACTTAGCTTTATACACAGCATCTATGATAGATCTTCGGCATTTCATATACATTCTTGATTCATTTCCTTCAAAATCACCCCCTCCCCCCCAACCAAAGCCAATCAGCTTAAGTCTATAAAACATCAGGTTGAGGCTAATAACCCATTGCTTTCATTTAGTAATTTCCACTTTTGTCTCTGTTGTGTGGCAGAAGATTAATTATCCAGAATGTCCAGGAGCTGAAGTGTTCCAGATACATAATATTTGGAACTCAGCTATCTTAATTCCCAATGCTTGCAAAATTTAAGGAAAAGAACCTTACCATGTAAAACATAAGAACAACTCAAAAATCATAAAAATTTGTCCTTCACCTGTGGGGCCACTTTGATGTGATTATGCTTGCTGGTTATGCTATGTCCAGTTTCCACTGGGTAGACTGAGCCAGTGGGGTGTCATTAAGAGGGTCACTTAAAACCTGGCCAAATGTAGCCTCACAGTTCCCAGGCACCATGTACAGAAGACTGCTCCTCAGTTACTACAGTGACATGGTTTATTATGTGGCTGATGATAATTTTGAAGCAATTCCATTGTTTAGAGTTCTGAATCGATGCTCTACTTCTACATTATATTTAGGAGAACTACATTCCCTCCACTGCTATTCACACCTTCATTTTTATACTTCTTTTATAAAACCATAAACCAAGGGAAAAGAAATCAAGGGAAATAAAATATTCAAATGAATTGCCCAAAGACCACAGTGCAGACAAAGAGTTAGGCTGCCAAAATGAAACCACTGGCTGGCAGGCATTAGCCCAGAAAAAATCATTTGTAAGCTGAGGTTTGAGAGCCTTGAGTCAGGGTACAAAAGGTGGCTTAGAGGCATCATTATGTAAGGCACACAAGTGGAGATTGGTATGAAGGTTGAAATTCAATGCTGAGGATAGCCTGTGTCTATAGCTCTTTTAAAGCCACTTTAAAAAGTGGCTCTGTAAAAGCTACTTCTAATCTGTTTCTACCCTTGGCCATGCCAGACACTTGGACATCATCTTTCACTTTTCCTGAGAACAGCTGTGCATTGTCAAAACCATACAGATTCTTGTCATCAAGAGACTGCACATAAGTGACACACATACTGCCACTCTTCCCTCTTGTGCCTTGCCAGACATCACTAATAGATCACAGCATTCTTTGCAGCTAAGCTTGGATGCAGCCTCAGAACCCTCCGCACAGCACTCCAGGCAGCCAGCCATAATCAGCTGGGATGAAACCCCTCTATCTGCTACCCTTGGTCTAGTCCATGTTTCATTTATGCTTTCTCAGACTCTCCTGCAGGTCAACAGAATGGTAAGACCTAGGTCTAGTCCTTGAGGAAGGAATTTATGCACATGAGCATCTAGGAATGAAACTCCTGGGATCATGACACCACACAATGAGGGTCACACAAGAAAAGGAGGCTATGGAGACAGGTTGGGAAGGTGCTTCCAGGGTCTCCGGGAAGGGATCCAGCCTTCTCCTGTCTGTGAACATGGGCTGGAGCTTGGTCCCCAAAGATAAGCAGGAATAGGAGAGGTTGGATCAGGCAGGGAAGATGTGGAACTAGCCAAGGACGCAGAAATAGGCAGAGGGTATTGTCTGCCCCCTCATATATTCAGGAACCTCCAGGTTGTCACTCAGGTATGCTCAGAGTTAGGTTCACCTCTCTTCTCAGCTTCCCCCACATTCAATCAGTGATCAAGTCTTGCCAACTAGATCTCCAACTACCTTCTGAAGTTACACCCCCTTTTTACCGCCATTGCTGGTGCCATTCATCACCTTTCTTCTTGGTCACTGACAGCCTATACTGTCCATACTGCAGCTGCAGTTACAAAAATAATAATCCTGCATGTCTCTTCCCTGTTCCTGAGTCTAACCTCCTCAGCCTCGCATTCAAGGTTGTGGGATATGATGAAAGGGTTGGGCTTAGAGTCGGATAACGCTGGTCCAGTCCTGGCTCTGCCTGGGCTTGCCGTGTGACTTGGCCAGTCTCCACCCTTCCCCAGACTACCAGGTTCCCTGCTATTGGGGAACGTGCCAGGCCTCTTAGGCCTCCTTGCCTTTTCTCAGTCTCTCTTTGTCCACAGAGTCCATCCCCAGCTCCTCGGCCACCCAAGACGTTTGTCCTGTGTGTGTCTGAGTCCCCACAGGCAGAGGATTCCTCCAAGTCAGGGCCCTGCCCTCCAGTTGAGAACTCATTGTCCTTTCTATCTTAAAGGTCTGGAAGACGAGGCTCAGAGTGGTCCATTTAAAATGTCTGTCTCGCTACAGAAGCCACCCTCTTAGCCTCATAAACCACACTGTCTGCCCAGATGTTGCTGAGAGGATGAATTGCCCCGTCCTCCCTGAGCCCCATCCCACATTCATCACCCCTGTCATTCCCGCATCCTCCCAGCACCTAAAGCTGCTCTCCATCAGCAATTTTCTTGCCTTGTAAGTTTAAGATTTTTACAATATAAGGGTTTGGTCTTTTATTTTCCCTGCTGCATCCACAGCACCCAGGACAGTGTATATAGCACATAAGGTGTGCTCAATACATATTTGTTGGACAGAGGAATAAAGAAGCAGGCTGAGATCTGGAACTCTGAGGTTACAATGCAGGTCATTAGGAACACTGCTTTGTGCTGCATCCATATGTGATGCTGGGTCCACATAAAAGGGGATTCAGAAAATTGAATCAGATTTTCAGAGGCATATTTATAAACAAGGACATCACAAAGGATTTGGCTTTAAAAGACAGACCAGGTCATATACAGAGGGCAGGACAGTTCAGGTGCAAGGTGCTTCCTAACAAAGTGTCCCTTTCAAGATGTCTGAGGCCCTAGAATTTGTCTGGAAGAGGCAAGAGGCCACAGCAGGGTTCAGGCATTATGCTGAACTATGCAGCATTTGGTGATGGGCCTAATAAGGTCTCTGACAAGGTACCATCAAGCCTGGCTGTTCCTGGCCACTGCCAGTAGTGGCCCAGACCCAGAAGGGTGGGCGTGGAGAAAGGAGGGTCTAATCTGTCAGAACCCTCAGTCCATGAAAGGAGGCATCACTGCCCAAAACACACCCCTTGGTTAAGAGTTTTCACTATTGTTTAATTCCCTTTTCACAGGTCAAGGCTTTCTGAATATAAAGGTTAGCACAATTGGTGGTAATTATACTGTATCCTGTTTTAATTGACGCTAATTGCTCATTTACATCCCAATACTGGGATTGTGGGGTGGTTTTCCCCCTACGCCCAGGACACGGCCATTTATTTCAGAGCAAGGAGATTGTCTGATCATTTGGAATGCCACAAACATTGTAGAAGGGCCACCCCACCCTAAGATTTCCAGGATAATGGAGTCAATTGGAAAGCCAAGTCTTGTTCAAAAGGCATCCAAAAAAGCAGGGCAGTGTGGGGCAAGAACCTAGGACCACAAAATCAGAAGATCCAATGTGCTGGGCAGCTGGGGCCAGTTCCATACCCTCTCTGGGCTGGCATTTACCATCTACGAAGAGGCAAGGATAGACTAATCCAAACTTCAATCATTCATAGCATCTTCCCAGTATTTTTTGGCCATATACACATAGCACCTTTGTATTATTTACTTAATATTATCTATATATTAGTACACTCTTTTATATTAAACAAATATACATAATGAGAAAACTGTGAATTACCACCATAAACAGAAAACTATGATCTCTTACTGCAAATGGAAAGTAACTACAAAAATAAATGTGACGAAAATAAAATGTGATTAAATTCTAGCCAAAGACTCTGAGTCTGAGCTGTGTTCTGTCTTTGTTCAAAAGCAGGAGAAGCAAGTTCTAGAGAGGTGCTAAAGATAAACCAGCACCTCAGCATACCTTTCACCTTAAGGGACATGAAAAGGGAAGAGCTGTCTCACTTCGTAATTGGATGCTCTGCAGTCTGGGTTCATGGATTATCACTGAAATCATCCCGTGGACCACGAGTGGAAAGAACTCTTTCTGGATTTGTGGGAAAGGACCAGATGGATGGTTTCTGAGGTCCTTCCTTGCTCTCTCAGTCAGCCAAAGGACCAGGACTCCTTGGAGCTATCCAGGGTCCTGACACGGATTTGGGTTGAACCTTCTGTGAACCTGATACCCAGAGCCTTGGAAAATGCTGCTATTAACTGAACACCTACTGGGTGCCAGAAATATCTCATACAGTATCTCTAACTAATTTTCACACCACTTGAGTAGGTTCTTTCCCCACTTTGCAGACAAAAATTCCTCCGAGCCTAGGCAGACAAAAATCTCTCCAAGCCTAGGGAATTCTAGGTCACAATGCTGGAAGTGCTCGGAAGTCTGCTCTCTCCAGCACACATGCTGCACTCTGCCACACGTGTGGCCAGGTGCTGCCATCTTGTCTTCTCCTCTGGCTGTTTTTAACCTCAAGTGTTCAGCTTGCCTGACATTTGGCAGCAACTCATAATCCATCGCCCACTCTCCCAGCCAGAGGACACTGTGCAGTCCCGCCTCTCCCCTGCATCCCCTTCCAGCCAGTCTCGCTTCTATCTCTCAGGTGCATCTGCCCATCCCATACGGCCAGAAAGCATGGCACTGAACATCCAATCCCTAGACAATCACTCTTTTAAATATTAACTGATTTTTCTCCCCTTTGGTTTTTTAGAGACTACTACCTGCATTCCCAGGAAAGAACACTAAAGCAGTCAACTAACAGTCTGGCATAACTCCCACAAAGATACTATTTATCTTTGGGAATAAAATGCAAGAGAATGCATATCTAAAGAAGAAAGGCCACCCTGGACACATGTGGCCTCCTCACAATTTTTGCCACTGTTGGAGGTGTTGTTCTAGAACATTCTAACAGAAATAGTAAATGTAGGGGAAAACTTTCTGTTTTAAGCAACCAAATTCTAAATAGGTAGAGTCATGTTTTCACAAGAAAACAGTGGCATTTCTTCAAGGGGGTAATGGTATTTTAACAATGCAGTGGTATTTCCATGAAGAGCTAAAGTTATAATTTTTGTACAAGTGCAAGTGGTGTATCATTAGCTGTGAAAATTAGCCCGTGTGTGGGGCCTAAAATAATCTAACTAAACACTGACCCATGTGGGATCCACGTTTCAGGGCACTATCCCTGGGCTGGGTTGAGAAGGAAGAGAAGAAAGGTGTTGAGGGGCAGGACTGGAGCTGGGAACAGCCCAGCAGGTGGTCTCCATCCCACCACAGCACAGAGACCATGACTCTATTCTCCCTCTTCTGCAGTAACAAAACCCCTCATTTTCAAAAGGACCCATGGCTGCCCCAAATAAAGACATTTCCCAGCTTCCTCTGTAGGTGGGCGTGGCCATCTATGTTCTGGCCAACAAGATAGAAATGAAGGTGCCAGGTACAGCTTCCAGGTCAAGTCCTTAAAGGGAAGGGCTGTAACCCATCCTTCCTTTCTTGCCCTTCCCATGGGCTGAAATGAAAACAGTCTTGGGCCATCTTAGGCCATGTAAATGAGGGCAACACCCTAAGGAAAGCAAAGCAACAGAACAGAAGGAGTCTGGGTCCCTGAAACTGGGCAGCTCACACCCATGCTGTTATGGGAGAGAGAAATAAACTATCCTGTTTATGCTTCTGTTCTCTGAGGTCTCCATTATAAGGAGTCAAACATGGAAGCTAAATATCTAACCACCAATTGCCTCTGTGATCTTGGGTGGGTCCTGTTGCTGTTTTGTTGTTTCTCACCAAATGGAGGCACTAGCCCAAATGATCCACACTGTTTCCTTCTACTCAGACAGGAAGAGAAGATTCTGAGGACAACCCAGGAGCTGAAGGTGGACCCTTAAGAGTGACCATCCTTCTACACCTGTAGTCAACCAGGAACAGCAATAAAAGGAATCAGGAAGTCTTCAGAAAGTTTTGTCTGTGTAAAGAGCAGTTAGAACAGCTTTACCAAAGATATCACCATGTCTTGGGAAGCCACAGGGTTTTTTGTTTTTGTTTTTGAGATAGAATCTCACTCTGTAGCCAGGCTGGAGTGCAGTGGTGTGATCTTGGCTCACTGCAGCCTCCACCTCCTGGATTCAAGCGATTCTCCTGCCTCAGCCTCCCAAGTAGCTGGGACTACAGGTGCATGCTACCACACCCAGCTAATTTTTTGTATTTTTAGTAGAGACGGGGTTTCACCGTGTTAGCCAGGATGGTCTCGATCTCCTGACCTCGTGATCCACCCACCTCGGCCTCCCAAAGTGCTGGGATTACAGGTGTGAGCCACTGTGCCTGGCCACCACAGGTTTAGCCTTCTCTGCCAGTTTAAAATGGGCCTGACAGGATGGCCAAATTTGGCATGGGCCCCATCACCAAGCACAAGGCGCATGCATGGGCTTGGCGGTCCATGAGACCTTCCTAAGCTTCCATCTTCTGTGTGAAATGAGGATAATGCCTATTTCAAATGATGTCGTGAGGATTGGTTAGAGATCACTCTGCAAAGCATCTGACATGAAGACAGCTCAATAATTAGAAAGATTGTGACTGTCTTTACTCACCATCACTGTGCAATAAGCAATGCCTCTCCAACCCAGTGAGTGAGTGGCCTTGGCTGGCAGAGAACAACATATCTGAGGGTTCAAGACCACAGACAAAGAGGCAGGAATCAGCTCTGTCTCAGCTGTGAGGGACACTGGGAAATGGCTCTTGACAATCCTTATGGATCTTCTCCCTGATAGATGGGGGCAGCAGTGGAAGGCTGGTGTTAAGAGGTGATAATCCATTGGCTGGGAAAATCTGAGTGAATAGAACCCAGAGATAAGAAAGACCTCTGGACAGAGAAGAAGCACACACAGCTGTTTGGAGGAGCTGCAGCAGCCAGACTCAAATGAAGGACAGAGGGAATCAGCCAGAGCGGCCACTATGGATGAGAATCCTCTCTGAAGTCCTAACTGTGGCGGCTGATGGGCCAGGGTGCAGACAGTGCCTAGAAGGAAGGGAAAAAATTATATCTGGATGAAACCAAATAAGATCTACTCCAATTTAAAAGGATAGAAGGAAATCAAAGCTGAGTTGAAGGGAAGCCGGGGACCCAAGTGCACCATCACAGACACACCCAACAGGGAGGAAGCCTGCCCTGTAAAGAGGGATGCCAGGCTTTCAAGAGTAGCCAAGGTCAACGAATATCTCCAACCTTTCGGATGTGCCAGGAACCTGGTGAGGAAGGAGCTTGGGGGCTCTCCATTGAGGGGTACATGGTTGCTAGGGGCTCACGCGCAGTTACTGGGGGGAAAGTTGCTGAGACTTCTCAGATACTGACAGGAAAACGCCCCTCCCAACCCTGAGAGGTCACAAGGGAGGGGTGTTTTCCTGTCAGGCATCATCGGGGCTGGGGTAAGAAATCTAACATCTAAGAGCTTAGGGAATAGTGTCACTCTTTCTTCTCACTGATGGCTGAGAACATAAAGATCACCTACACCCATGGCTCATTCCAGTCCTGAGAGTCCAAGACTCTATTATTTGGTAATGAGAGACATCCTAGTTGGACACAGAGGGCTCAAGAGGGAAAAATGCTTCACTTGGGAGAAATGGAAGATCAGAAGATAGCTAATAATAATAGGACTGACATTTATCATTTCCTTGATGTGCCTTATTCTTACATTATCCAATTCTAGAAGACAGAAAATATTATTCCCATTTCACAGAGATGGACACTGAAGCACCCAGAAGTTGTGCATTTGACCTATGATTCCAAAGCTAGATAAAGGCAGGATTCAAGCTCAGAGCCATTCAACTCCGAAGCCCCGAACGGACCCCTCGGGAGTTTGAGTTCCCCTATGAGCCAACTACATTCATCTCACACCATGTCCTCCTGTGTCCCCTGAACAAACCCTTCACTTCCCTGCCTGCAAACCTTTGCTTTCATGTCACCCTTCACCTGAGTGGGACAGTGGAGATGAGGAAAGGAAGGTCCTTTCCTCTTCTCTACCTATGAAAATCTTGCTGACCTTCAAGACCAGTTCAATGACCATGTCTTCTAGGACTCAGTAAGAGGCCATCCAGGCAGAACAAAACACTCCTGTCACAGCCTGCAACACACTGAGCAATGTGGCATGCAGATACGGGGAGCCATCTTGGCTTCAGAAAATCAAAGTTCACATCCAGCCTCTGGCACTCTGTGTGCATGTGGCTGACTTTTGGCAAGCTATTATCTTTCTAGGTCTTGATATTCTCTTCTATAAAATGGGGATAGCAATGCAGCAGATGAACTCAATCCCTTTAAGCCTCAGGCTCTTAATCTGTGAATCATAGACCATAGTTCCCACCTCTCTTGGTAGATGTAAGGATTAAATGAGCCCATGTCTACACAGCACCAGGTACAGTGACCTGACACATTAGCCCTCAGGAGACAGTAGCTTCCCTTCCTCCTTCTACTTAGCCCTTATTTCATTCTGCCTTGTAATACAGTCAGCTGTTCACAGACCTGGCTTTCTCTTTACTTGGTATCTACTCAAAGGCAAGGGCTTTATTCATCTCTACAGGCTCTGAAACACTTCCTGGGAAGACCTACATGGACTGCAAATAGTTGGTGCATGAATAAATTCAGACCTCAATAACACGGTAAGAACAAACAGAACATAACAGGACATAACCCCATATGTCTGCAATAGGCCCTGGTGTGAACAGTCCATGTTCTCATTTCAGTCTCTCCATCTGAGAGTAAAATACTCGCAGTTGAATTCCATTCATATCCATCCACTGAGCCTACAGTGTGCCAGGCCCTATGCTGGATTCTGAGAGCATGCTGATGAATGACCTGGGTCCCTGCCCTCAAGGGTGTGTGAGCTAACCCTAGAACAGATGTATATGACTGACAGTTCACAGGATGGCAGCAGAGGGCCTCAGGCATATGCACAGTGGTGTGAGCAGCTTGGCTGGCAGTGGTGTGCCAGAGAGCACCTCCTGGAGCTAAACTTTGAAGGAGGCACAGCATGTTCCCATTGCTCCAGAGTCCTGATCTAGAATGTGCTACATGAAGAAAGTCCTTAAAGCAAGAAGAACCCAGGACACAAAGCAGGCAGAGTTCTCCAGGTTGGGAAAAATCACCTCCAAGGAAAGACACAAGCACTGTGTGCAACGGTGACAAGATACTTAAATAGCAACCATGCTCATTAAGAAGGCTGAGCCCAATTTAAATCCCTGTCCACAGGATATCCAAAATTCACTCGATGAGGGAGTCTAGTGTTTAAGCCTATTTCATGGTGAATTAAGGTTAGCTAGGGAGTCAATGCTACTGATTTTTACGTAGCTCTACCATAAAGACCATGAAAAGAAAACAAACCCAAAATGAAAACAAGCCCAAGCAACATAAACATTCCAACAGTGCCCAGCCAAGCTTACACTGGTATTAGGAGTTATTATTTACTGCCTGGAAAACATACTCGGAACCTTGGCTAATAATGATTTAAACCCCATCCATCTCTCTTAGACTAGAAGGCTGGTGTCACCATGGTGACCAAGGGCACCATTAAACCACAAGTTCCCCAGGCAAGGATGTGCCAGTGGGGGGACACTGCCAGATGAGAAGCACCACCCCATGTCCTCTTACTCCCTTAAACACACTTGGGATGGAGTTGTGGAGAGGAGGGATCCCATACTCAGGGGCCGCATTTGGAGCCAGAAAGAGCAAGGTGCTGCCTTGTTCCTGCAAGCATCCCCTGTTCTGAAAGGCAGACTCTCCTCCCATCCATCCAATTGGCCAAGGACTCTGGGCTCTCCTGGGCTCTTCCTCAGGGATCCTGAGCAACATGGATCCCTCCCAGCTAACCCATGATGGTTGCAACATGCTCCTTTCAAAACTGCTTCATTTCTTGGAAGAAGAATCAATGCTCACCTCTTGTTCTCACCTCACTTGAAAGCTGTCTATCCTCTTTCTTTCATTTCTCTACTTGGCAGCCATCCCACAGGACACCAGGGTCCCCCAGGGACTATTAAAATAGTCCAACCTAATGGCTTCTTCATGCTTGCTCATCTCCTATCTTTGCAGCTTTAAAACTTTCCTTCATTGGACTTTTCTAGTTTTCTGCCTCCTTTCTCCATGATTTTTTTAAGTCTCTTTCACAGATTCATTACTTCCTGCTTTTTTTTGTTTGTTTTTGTTTTTGACACAGGGTCTCACTCTATTGCCCAGGCTAGAGTGCAGTGGTGAAATCACTGCTTGCTGCAGTCTTGACTTCCTGGGCTCAAGTGATCCTCCCACCTCAGCCTCCAAAGTAGCTAGGACTACAGGTGTCCACCACCATGCCCAGCTAATTTTTTAAATTATTTGTAGACATGGGGTCTTGCTATGTTGCTCAGACTGGTCTTGAACTCTTGGGCTCAAGCAAGCCTCCCACCTTGGCCTCCCAAAATGTTGAGATTACAGGCTTAAGCCACCATGCCCGGCCTCTTCATGCATTCTTTCAATCAATTAATCAAATAACCAATCAATCAATCACCTTCACTTAGCATCTGTTATCTGCCAGCTACTGTGTTAGGCATAGGAACAAGTCCTGCCTCACAGGTAGCTCTCAAAGGAAGCTGCTCTCTACAGATTTCCAAACTGCTTCCCAGAAGTGGGGCCTCACCCGGATCCTATTCTCTAAACACTCTCCTGGGTTTTCTTTCCTATTCCTATGGGTTTAGGAGCCACCAATGTACTGATGCTCTTTAATCCTCCTCATGCAGTGGTATCTCTTGAATTTAAGACCCATATTTTCAACCTCTTATGTATATGTCTACCTGGATTTCCTATGAAGACCTACAATTCTACATACTCAACACCAAAATTATTACTGTCTCCTCCAAATCTGTTCCTCCTTCTGTGTCCCCCTTTTAGATAATGGTGTCATCCAAGCTACAACCTCCATGTGTCTTCTTTGATTTCAGCCTCCCTGCTTCCCCCTCTTCAAGGATAAACCTTTTGACAGGGAGGAATGCATAAGCTGGCTCCACTTCCCGGAAGTTCCAGCACGCCATGGAAGCTGCTGTTACCCAGTATGGCCAGTTCCAATGGGCATGCCCAGCCCAGCACACATCTTACAACCCTTGCCCTCCTTCTCCCGCCTTGAAGCCTCATTAGCCTGGATTTTCCCTTCTTCTCAGGGAACCCTTCAGCTTCCTCTTCCTCTCAGCCCCTTACATGTTGGTGTCCCCCAAGTCCCATCTTCACTCTTGTGCTCTTCTCTCTTGCATTCTCATCCTGGCTGTCCCACTTGTTCCCAGAGCTTCAATTCCATCAGTTCTAAGAAACATGTTTTAAAAATGGTTCACCTTATTATCTCTGAAATCAGGATGGCTCCCACATGGCAGCTGCAATGTAGTTTCCACTGCCGGAATGGAAGGGACCAAGGGCATAGCTGTTCCTGTTTCATCACTATAGCTGAGCTAAGGGTTTTGTTAGATAAAATATTTTAAATTAATTTAGTCAATTGCTGTGTGAGATTTAGAATGTCTTTTAAAAAGATTACACTATGTCTCTGTAGAAAGGCACAGAAATAGGGATAAATTTTGATACTGTAAAGAAAATAGAAATCATTGGTGAGATGATCACACTTCCATATTTTCTTGCAAAGAAACAGCCAATTACTTTATGGATCCAAGAACCCCAAGTAAATGAAGCTATGTTACATTCTGTTACCACAAACTGGTTGCCAAAAAATACCCCAGAAAACACACCTGAGGTCAGAAGAATCTGCCAATTCCTTTGGAAGAAACTTCAAAGCAACAGTAGAGTCTGGTGTGACTATTCCACGTGTCACACAGGAATAATGTTAAAGCAGTGGATAGTAGATTAATTGGAAGTGTTTATACTTCTGGTAAATGTTCTTAATTGAAAGCATTATGTACCTTCTGGTACATAAAATAATGATGTAACTTAGATTAGACAAAATATGGCATATTAGAGGTTTCTCATTTTGGGAAGACACAGGTCCCTTAAAAATAAGACGATATCTACAGACCCTCACCCTAGAAAAAAGTACATATCACACAATCTCAGAATTTTTATACAATTCCAAGGAGCTCATGGATACCTTGAAACATCCACAGGCTCCAGGAAAAGAAATCCTAACATACATGCTAACGATTCCACTGCACACATCTCTCACCTGAGCTCAGACATACCTGTCTGCTACCCAAATATCTCTACTTGCAGAGTCACAGACATTGCAGAGTCACAGACATTAATGGGTCTACTTGCAGAGTCACAGACATTAATGGGTCCTCAAAGAATGGTCTCCCTCAACTCCAGCCAAAACACTGCCTCCTACCATATTTCTCCATTTCGCCTACCAGCACCACTGAGCACTGGGCACTCAAGCCAGAAAGCTGGGCTTCATCTTGGGCTGCTGTGTCTCCTTTACCCTCTACATTGGGTCACAGAGGGCTGACTCATACTCTTGCTTATTTCACAAATTCTTCCTCTCTCTCCACCTCAAAGTTGTCACTATCTCCTACCCAAACTACTTAATGGCATGTGTTCTGGTCTCAGCCCCCTCCTATTCATTCCACATGCCACATTTTATGGTGGCCTTTTTATAAAGCTTGGTCATAGAATCCCCTGGCTTTAAGCCTTTTGGTGCCTCTCCATTGCTCTCAATTTCTTACTAGGCTTGTCTACAATCCCTTCATAAGCTGATCTCTACCTACCAATCCAGCCTGTTTCTCTTCATATACCCTCGAGGGCTGCCCATTCTGGGCATAAAGAACTTGTTCCATTCCTTTCCAGAGCCATGTTCTCTCTCTCTCTCTGGACAATCCCATATGCTGCACAGGACCAAGTCTTAGATATTTGCCTTTATGTCTCCTTGACTTACCAGAATACCTAAAACCCAGTAGGTGTTTAATAAGTGCATGTTGAATTAATTTGAAGGCACATAGCTCCGTAAAACAATAACTCAGTATTAAATGCCATAGTGAGACAGAAAAACAGAGGGGCTTCCAGTCCCAGCTCTGTGACCTTGAGCAGGTTACTGTACCTCGCTAAGCCTCAGTGTGCCCACCTATAAAGTGGAAACAAAAATACCTACTTCAAAGAATTATTGTGAAGATTAAATGACATAACATAAGTTAGTGATTGCAACAAGAGCAGTACATCCTCTAAGGGGCAACCTGGAGACATGTAGAGGCATTTCGAGTCATCATAAAGATGGAGGTGATGCATTTGATGGCAAATAACTAGAGATGCTGGGAATCCTACAGTGTGGGGGACCATCCTCACACAGCAAAAAAACTCTCCTGCTTCTCAAGATTTCTGCATGTTCCACTTCCTGTGGGGTGGGGAGGAGCTGTTTATAATTATTCGAGTGAGAAGCTAACTCTGTTTTACATATATCCTCGAAGATTTTTTTAACCTCATTTTAATATAGACTGAATTTTCCAGAAATGCAATTACCATGTAAATTGAGGAAAGGCTGTCTCTTTAATTCAGTACTTTACCAAGCATTGTTCATCATTTCAGAAAATCATGTCACTAATGGCTGTACTGTCCGTGGAATGTGAGTGATTGACACAACCACCCTTTTATTAGTCACTATTCCAGCTATTGCATTCGTGGTGATTCTATAATAACATATGTGGCTAGTTCTTATTTAAAAATGTAAAACATGGAGAAAAAGTATAGACAATATTCAGTGGTGCATCGGCTCTCCTGTCTCACATCCATATGTATTTCTTACAAGCTGGTGCCAGCACCTGACTACTTCATTATGTTTTCTTGTGTGCTCGAGCATTTACATATTGAAATACATGCTGTTTTATTTATAATTTGCTCTCTTTTTGCTTTTCCTTTATAATATAGCTAGGGCATCATATCAATTTTCTTGAACTTATCTGTGCAGGCAGATTATTTATGAGTTGCGTTTCAGGGTGACAAAAGCCATGTTACAAAATCCTTGTCACAAACAAGGGGTGCAGGGTCTGTGAGTGGCTTGTAAAAGCCCTGGCACCAAGGCTGGCATAGAGTAAGCATTTGTTTCCTGGGTGTTGGTACTATTATTATCAATATACTGAGCCAATCACAATTATGACACAACTTAATTGTGATTCAGGATAAGGCTCTTCTCTGGCTTCAGCCGAGTGAATTATCGTCTGCTCCAGTGTTCTCACTGGGGGTTCTAGTTCATTACACATCAGGGGTTGTCAAACAGGAAAGAAGACAGCTGCTACCCAGCACAGAGCACAATGTGAGGCCTGTTGGTGCCACCTCCACTTTCCCAAAACACACCCCCTACTCAGGAACATCAATGGCTCCCCACTGCCCATGGGACCTTCCTCTGATAATTATGCTTCCCCTACTCTGAAGTCTGGCCCAGCCTATGGCTTCCCAACCCCTATAGCCATCCTTGGCTCTCCCTTTCCACACCACTCCTCCAATGTGAGGTCCAGTTCTAGCCCCTCCCCTTGCTCAAAGTGATGCTGAAATCACACCTCTTCCAAGAGGCCTTTCCAGACCACCCCGGGCCACTATAACCTCCTTATCCAAACTCGGTACCAACACAGACTGTGCCAGGATTTGACAACACTTACTCCAGAATCATGTTGATTATCTTCAGGTGAATGAATCCAATCTTAATTCCCCATTAAATAGAGAGCACTTTGAAGTTGGAGCATGGATTTGTAAAAACTGCAAGCAATAATGATGAGACTAACATTGGGGTGTTCCCTGTATGCAAGCATGGGGGAGTATTTCCACACATCGCCTCACTTGAGCCTTATAACAACCCGTGAGGTGGGGGTTTCTCAGTGCCCCCAGGTAAAGCTGAGGAAACAGCTCAGAGGAAAAGAAGGCCTGTGCCCAAGGTCACCGTGGAAACAGAGCAACCATTCAGACCGGGGCCTGCCTGGTTCCAGAGGTGGTGGAGCCCATGGACTCTGCTCTCTTCCACCCATCCATTTTCAAATTACCCAGCCCACCACGGGTACCCGGCACATCATAAGCACTTGGTCTGGTGGGTGGGTGAATGTTTGCCAAGGCAAGGAGGGAGGGCCAATGCTTGTTGAGGACTCTGTGGGTACCAGGGGGAAACGCACCAGTTTTGGGTTCTACCTTGGTAGACCTGGGTTTAAATCCTGACTCCTCCACCAACTGTGTGACCCTGTGCACATCACTTACCTCTCTGGGCCTCAATATCTTCATTTGTAAAGTGGATTTGCCAACACTCGCCTGACAGTCTGTTGTGAAGGTTAAGTTAAATCATGAAAGTGGAGGGCCCAGGCCAAAGTCCAGCATGTGGCAGGTGCTCTGCAAACGATGTGCCTCAGCTCAGCAGGAAGGACCTGGGTCTGTCTGACTCCACTGCTTTTGGGACTTGCTCTTCCCATCATTTCCCTGCTTCCCTCTCAACCCGCAGTCTCCCTCCATTTGCTCCTGGTTATCAGACAAGGGTTTCACACCTAGAGCTGCACACTCAGAATCACACACAATTTCTATCAATCCTTTCTCGATTGTCACTCCTCTTCCCCAAGAGAAGTTTTCCCTCTGCTCTTCCCTTAGCCACCGCCAGGGGTGAGGGAGAAGAGCAATTGGTTGAGTGACTGCCACGAAATGCTAGCATTTTCACCCCAATCAATCAAATGGGTCCTAGCACATGACAGGCATCACAGACTTGCTGGCTGATGGAATCAATCAACAAGTGACCACTCATAGCACATCCCATGTGGCTCACACTAAGAATAAAAAAATACATGCTCTAAGAGTCCCTGGCATGCAATGGGTTCCCAATCAACATAGGCAAAGAGGAAGGAAAACCGAAGAGAGGAAAGAGGGAAAAGGGAAGGAGGTTAGCTTTCTGGTCATTGTACACATGGTTTCTTTTCCCTGGAATCCCCTATTTCTCCTGCTTCCGGGAAATTAACAACTATCCACATTTCACCCCTCAGCTTAATGCCACTGGCTCCCCAGGGTCACGTTTATCTTTACCACAGGGAGATTTTGTAACTGTCTGTTTACTAGTCTGACTCACACTCCAGCCTGTAATCTTGTTTAGAGTTGATACCTGCAGTGCCTGGCACAGGACATGGTACACAGGACAGGCTTAATATTTGTCTCATGGAGTAAGAAATCTCCCTGGACCCACAAGCTTGACAGAGACACAAGAGGCAAACAGGGATGCTCAGCTGGATGCTGCTGCTGATAAGAGCTATGGCAGGAGTGAGGAGACAGCCAAGAAGGATGAGGGTGGGAGAAGTCAGGGAAGGCTTCCTGCAGGAGTAGAAGACAGCAGGGTGTGGCAGAAACAAAAGGGATGAAGAAGTAAGGGATGGAGAATCTGGGTCTGTACAGTATTCTAGAGGCAGAAAGTTGCTCTGGATTCATTATCATAGTTCTGCCACTAAAAATTGATCTCAAGCCCATTACTTAAACCTTTAGAGCCTCAGTTTTTCACATCTGTAAAATGGGGTGATTAGTATCTACTCCACAGGATGCTTGTATCAGCAGGAGATATTTTACTTAGCTAATTGTCACCTGTGTGTTCTGAAGCATATCACAGCCTCATTAGTAAAGTTAGAGGACTGAATTTGCTGATTAGCCCTCTGTCTATCCATCCACATAGCTATTCACTGCCCCCCTACCCATCTCCCAATTCCCTACCTATCTACCTACCCACCTACTCACCCACCCATCCACCCATCCATCTACTCACCCACCCATCCATCGACTTACCCACCCATTCACCCATCCATACATCTACTCACGCACCCATCCATCTATTCACCTATTCACCATTTTTTATTTAGGCACCTGGTTCAGCACCAGGCACTCTGTCCTTCGGGAGCTTATTTTACAATGGGACAAACATGTGTATAAACATACAGTAAAGTTATAAATATACTAAGTCTACACTAGAGGAGGTAGGAAGACTGGACTGAAACAGAGAAGGACCTTGAATGCTGGACTCAGGAGTGATATTAAGGCAAGGACTCTGGAACCAGACAGATCTGCATCCGCGTCTTGGCTCTATTACTTACTGTCTCTGAGACCTCGAATGGCTTCCTTAGTCTCTCTCTGCCTTATAAAAGGCGGGAGGGGGATAACAGCATGAGACCCTGGAAGGCTGCTGGGAAAATTAACAGAAAGGATGCTGCATGGTGCTTAGCACAACGCCTGCCTGTGGCCAAGCCTCCAGCAGTGTTAGCTCTGATTACACATGTTAAGGATTAGAGGGCAACACATAAACAATGAGAGAATGTATGGTGGTGGGATTGGAGGAGACAATTCTGTCTTTTTATTTATTTATTTATTTATTTTTTGAGATGGAGTTTCACTCTTGTTGCCCAGGCTGGAGTGCAGTGGTGCGATCTCGGCTCACTGCAACCTCTGCCTCCTAGGTTCAAGTGGTTCTCCTGCCTCAGCCTCCCAAGTAGCTGGGACTACAGGCATGCACCACCATGCCTGGCTAATTTTTTGTATTTTTAGTAGAGACGGGGTTTCGCCATGTTGGCTAGGCTGGTCCTGAACTCCTAACCTCAGGTGATCCGCCTGCCTCAGCCTCCCAAAGTGTTGGGATTACAGACGTGAGCAAGACTATTCTTTTGCTTAGAAATAGCTTGTTAAAAATATTGTTTGGACAATTTTTAAAAATCAGTGTCAGTGCCACAGGTGATGGGGAGTTACTGGTGGGTTCTGAGGGGAGAGCTACACAATGAAAGCCGTACAGAAGGAAGCTGAGTCTGGCCACGGTACACAAGAAAGCCAGGGCCCTGGCAGGGTGCACAGTAGGGTGGCCCACTGGTGCTACCATCCAGGTGTGAGGCAGGGCATGCCTGCATGAAGGTGCTGTGCTGGCTCTGTCACGTGCAAGGTGGCTAAGGCTATGGTCCTCAGTCATCCATCAAACATGAATCAAGGTGTTGCCGTGAAGGTATTTCATAGATGTGATTCACATCCATGGTCAGGTGACTTTATGTCCAGGAGATTATGTGGGATAACCGGGGTGGGCCTCAGTCACTCAGATGAAAGGCCTATAGAGCAGAGCTGAGACTTCCCCAGTGACGAAGAAGTTCTGCCTGTGAATAGCAGCTTCAGCTGTGTAGAGAGTCCCAGCCTGCCCCTTCTGATGGCCTGTCCCCACAGTCACCAATTCCTCCACTCGAGCTCTTCCTCTATATCTCCTACTGGTTTTGCGCCGCTGCTTGGATGCCAACTGACATGGGTGGCAACAGGGATGGAGGGGAGGGGTGGCCTTGGCAGGTTCTCTGGAAGGGGACCCAGCTCCACATCAATCCCGACTGCACTGGGGTGAGTGGGCCATTGCCCGCAGGTGACAGCAAGCGGGGGTGCCCCTGCAGCATGCCAGCTGCGGCTTAGCCATCCAGTCCCAGGCTCATGTCATCTCTCTCTGCTACCTCAAATGCCCCTTTGAGCTTTTGCTCATCACTGTTCCTGCCACATCTGTCCAAGGCAGCTCACAGGTCCCCCTGCCTGGAGCTGCCCAGACTTGCTGGCCTCGGGGTACCTTTCTCCACTGCAGCCCACCCTGGCTGCCAGGCTCACCCGACTCAATCATCCCAGCCTGGGCTCGTTCTTTCACAAGTAACGACACTCCACTGCCACTGCACGTGTCATGCTTTAACCCTGACAGAAGGGGAAACTACGGCCCAGAGAGGTGAAGCAGCCCTGGATGGCCCACGCTAACTCACACAGTTGGCAAGTGGCGGGGCAGGGCTCCTGACTCCCAGCTCCTGCTCATTCCACTCCCCTTGGCCACCATCTGTGCCTCATCTTATCTTATTTCCCCAGTTCCTGAGAGCTAATCATTCTTTTACCGTTCCCCATAGCACCTAGCACAGAGCTAATATTCAGTAGATACAAAATAAATTCCCCACTCGTTTCTGGCTTAGTTTTCCAAAGCACTGTGCCTCATCCTGCACTGAGAGCAAAACCACTTTGATTATTTGGTGCCTGCCAAACAGGAGGGTGGCTTCCCGTTTCCCAGGGAGACCCATGTGCACGGGGACAGCGCTGCACAGGCGCCAAGTGCCAGGAGGGGCTTGGTAAGGGTTAACTGCAGCACCACTGCCAGCCCCCGCCACTGGGACTCCTGGCCTTCTCCAGGCCACCAGCCACAGAACCCCCTCCCACCCAGCAATCACTGGGACTTTGGGGGGCCTTTGTGCTTTAATAAAGACGGTATTACCAAGTCGCAAAACTTCCCTCCTTTCCAAGCTTCCTTGCTGCCAGGGTTCCCGCTAAAGGTGAAGCCCTGTCATTCAAGGCCAGAGAAAGGGCTGAATCAAGATGCTGAACTCCTTTGACTTAAAGTCACAATCTACTGCTCTCCCCAAACCACAGTGGTGTGAGAAGTGCTCCCAACGGCATGGCGGCTTCGGTGTACTTGGGTTCAGGGCCCCGGGGCAGGGGCTCTCCTGTTTGGCCGCCCAGGCATTCTGCATGCATCTCATGAACGTTCTAGTTTCCTCTCTGAATGCAGACATCGGCCCTGGCCGCTGGGAGAGTCCTGCCACCAAGGCAGCTCTCCTCTTGCTTGAGACTGCAACAAAGGCCACTTGAGGGCCCAGAGACAGCGCTCTCAGTTCCTTTCCTGGGCCTGTCCTCTGCTCTTTCACACATCCCTTCCTTTTATTTCCCCAGTCCCCCTCTACTCCTGCTTTATGCCTCATTGAGCCATTAAACACTTTATAGGGTGCTCCTGTAGAATAAGTTTTCTGTGTGGGGCTCCTGATGGCTCTCCCCGCTGGTGCTCCAGCCCACCTTGGTGGCAGTGGGGGAGGGGAGGAGCCTCCTGCAGCCCCTCTGAGAAATGCCTCCATCTGTAGATCCAAGACCTGCTGGCTTACCCCATGGTAAGCAGCAGGTGCCCTCACCTGCAAAAACTGCCCCCTGCCCAGTGGCCAAGGGCCCCTCCCAGCTCCTCCCTGACCCTGATGGGCTCTGACAGCATCCCCCCATGATCTTAAGGCTTACGCACCATGCACATTTGTTTTCTCATCTGTGAAATGGGGACGATATTCGCACCTTCTGCATAGGGTTGTTGTGAGCACTGAATGAGTTAAGGCCTTGGAGCAGGGCCTGGAGGGAAGAAGGTGCCACTCAGGCCTTGGCCTTGCAATGACCATCCTCCAGACAACACGATCTGCTTAAGAGTCCTGTGCCACCTCCAATTCCTCTACTTGTGGGTGAATGAAGGAAGGGAAAGAAAAAAATCAATTCAAGGCTCTTTGCAGCTGTTTCTGTGTGAGTGTGTCTGTCTGTCTGTGTGTGTGGTTTTTTTTTTTTTCCTTGCCTCGGTGTCCTAGAGCTTTGAAAAGAATAAAAACAGAGCCCCAAAGCAGTGAAAAGGCATGATTCTTCTTAAAATCCCAGCTAATCCTGCAGCTTCCTTTAAAGTGGCAATAGGAGGAGGCGGGGAAGGGACCAGAATTGTTGCTGCAGCACCCTCCCCTCCCAGTCACTGCTCCTGGAGACCAGGAAATGAGGGGGAAAAATCCATAAATCATCCACCAAGAGAAGGACAGAAGAAGGAACCAGGCAGTAGGGAGAGCAAGGAACAGGAGCCAGCTGGGGAGGGTGTAGGGGCAGCGTGGGGGGACACTCTGACTGTCCGCTGGGCAGGGGTGGCTGTCTGCAGAGGGCAGTGTCCAGGCCAAAGGCCGGGTCAACCACCCCTGTTCAAAAGGCAAAGGACAGCAAGGTCTCAAAATCTTATATGGAACCAGGCCCTGCAGAACAAGGATGAAACCCTGAGAGGTGTCTCTGATCTGACCAGCTCTCTCCATTCTCCTGCCACCTCCTCCCTGGTCCTATGCTAACAGGGCTCCCTGCCACAGCCCCACCACTCCCCACCAGTCCATTCACAACAAGCAGCCACAGCCAGCTTGCAGGGATGAAAATAGACCGTGCTATCCCTGCTGGAAAACCTGTAGTGGTTCTCCAACACTCTTAGAAAAAATTCGATGACGCCTGACCCCCGCCGCTTCCCTTCTGATCTCATGCCACCATCTTTCTCAATCACTGCCTTTACTTTGCCGCACAAGTTCACCAAGTCCTTCCCACTTGAGACTTCACATGTGCCACTCGCTGGCCCCATCCCATCCTTCCCATCACAGAGGCCATCCCTGACCTCTCTGAGGAGGTTACCTGCCCTCAATGCTTCCCTCTCCCAGCCCTGTGCTCCCTCTCACTATACTTATGTTGCTTGTTTATTTTCCATCTTTCTACCCCATGGTAAGCCCCATGGTCTGGTTCACTCGCCATTGAAAAGAATCCCCAGCCTGGTGCCTGGCATAGCAGGTACACAGTAAACACTTGCTGGGTGAGTGAATGAATGAGCGAGCAAATGAGCAACCTCTCTAGCAAGTGAACATGTGGACATGGGAAATATCCCATTTGGGACTGGAAGGCTGGAGTGAAATTTTTAAGGATCCTTTAGAAAAGCTCTCTACTGAAAACCATCATGTTGCTTTTTAATATTTGAAATAGCTCATACTTTGGGTGATAGCAATTTACATATTAGCTTCTTGTCAAGTGAGAATTTGTTTGCATAAATTATTTTAATAAATTAGACCATCAGTCCACAAATTTTGTCTATAAAGGACCAGGTCACGGATATATTAGGTTTTATGGGTCACATAGTCTCTACTGCAATGACTCCACATTGCTTCCGTAGAAGCACAAAAACATCCAGGGATAATATATGGGTGAATGGATGTGGCTGTGTTCCATTAAAACTTTATTTACAAAAGCAAGCAGCAGACTGGATTTGGCCCTAAAACCACAGTTGGCCAATCCCTGGATTGGATTAAGGCCTACCAAAACCACAAGAGAAGGACACACAGTAACGAAAAGGGTTTTTTTTCGTTTTTTTTTTTTTTTTTTTTTTTTTTTTGGCTTCAACAAGTATGCACAGAGATACTAGAAAAATATCACAAAACCCTAATATTGCTGTACATGCTTTGGCCTAAGATAGAATTTACAATTTTGAATTTATGTGAAATTGTTGTTTCATAGAATATAAAGCATTTCAGTTGTATCATTCTGCATGTCTGCAATGTTTGTACAAATGGGAAATTCTAAGGGCAATTTTCATTCTGGAGGTGCTAGGGAGCTAATGAAGGTTCAATGTTTCTTGAATATGTGCGTGGGAAACAAAAATGGAGAGGACAGGATGTTTTTGGTATTTTTCTTTTTAAACAAAAACAGACTTGGTCAATAATTGGATGAGAGGTATCCAACATGGCTGAGTGGTTTCAGGCCCAGGAGACCAGGAGAAGGAGCTGGTGACAGGGATGGGCAAGATGGATTCAGTTGATGAAAAAAAACAATGACATAGGAAAATCACAAAGACGTCTCTACTTTCTGGTCACTTAATTTCAATTATCCCCATTCCAATTATCCAAAGTGAAACTTTGTATCATCCAGAAGATACTGTCTGGAAGTTATCTCCTGAAGAAAGCAAGCACTTTAGAATCCTGTGTTTTCTCAGGACTTAATATACAATTGAGAAAGGCTTTTTTTTCCATAGGAGATTTCTGAAATTTCCAATAGTGTCTAGAGTGAGGGAAAATATCTATGAAGAACTAAAACTGCAGCTATTTTATTGGAACGGGGAGATAAACTGCTTAATGAGCACCTACTGTGAGCTCAGAACTATGATCAATGCATTTGTGTTCAATCTGCACAGTAACTCCAAGCTGGAGATACAGAACAGATGAAGACTGGGCTGAAGGAAGGCAGCCTGGGTCTGAATTCCAGCTTGGCTCCTTCCAAGTGGGTAGCTTTGGACAAATCTTGCAACCTCTCTGGGCCTTATTTGTAAAATAAATTTGGTCCTCAAAACCAAGATGCCTCCCAACTCTGACAGGCTACATTCTAATATTCTGGAGCCATTCTAATATTCTCAGCCATGAGAATCCCCAAGTTGTATTTTTTAATGCTGGAGCTAATACTCAGAGTTAAACTGCTTACTTGTCTGAACCTCACCTTAGCAGGTCGCATGCTCTGCGGAGACAAGGCTGTCCAGTGTCTCTCTGGTGTATCCCCGGCACCTCCCAAGGAGCCCAAAGCACAGGGGGAATTCACTGATTTCACAAATGTCTATTAAGCAACAGTTAGTGGCAGGCATCTTGCTACCTACTGAAGCTGGGGTGTAGGGAATCTCCCTCCAGCTCAGAATAGCTGCTTCTGAGCATACAGATTGCTCATCAGACCCTGGGGTTGGGGAAAATCCCACATGCCTAGCATCAAAAGGTTGTGAGGCATACTGGGAGGTGCCCAAGGGGGTTTGTGGAGAAGAACATGTATGAATGTTGTCCCAGCAAGGAGATGCTAATGCCAGCGCTTCCTGGACTTCACCTCTGGTGTTCTTATAGCCCCATTTGGGATCAACTTATTCGTGACCTGATCTCAAATCCTCACTTAGAAAATCGCCATAGTCCCCACATGGCAGATGCAGGCCAGGTCTACTGATGAAAGGCCAGGTCTACAGTGTCTGCCTCCCTGAACAGGTGAAATGCTCACTAAATTGACTTAAAGTTGGGGATATTGTTTTAATATTCCTTGGAGATAGGAAGGGTCTGGGGACTTTTTCTTGAATTAACGAACATTTATTATAAATGGAAATTTGTGCTGAGGCTTGAGTATGGGCAGCAAGCTGGAACTTCAGGGAAGAGATGAAGAGGGAACACAAAGCCAGTTGCAGCTGGACAATAGCTGGGAGATGGGTTTCTTCCTACTCGAACAGCCTTGTGAAAAAGGATCTGGCTAGGGTCCCACAGGCCAGGGGCAGGGGTGACCTCTGCCCACGTGGGAAGTTTCAAATGACCTGATGTTTTATTTTTTGCTGTTTTTGTACAGAACTCCAAAAAACCTTTGGATGCTGGGCTCGTCTCCAAAGTGAAGCAAGTCATAACCAGGAACAAAAGTGCCAGATCCTCCCCTGAAAAGCTTACCTATCAATCCACGGACTTCGGGTTTCTCTAAACTGCCGGATGTGCCCCCACAGAACCTCATCATTAATAACGAGCTGGGAAACTGGGGACCAGGCTCTCACTCCTGGCCTGACATTTATTCATTATGTGACCTCGGGCAAGGCTCTTCCACTCTCTGAGCCTCAGTTTCTTCATCCATAAAATAAGGGCAGAGGCAGACCAAACCATTTCTAAGGATTTTTACAGCTCCAGCAAACCGCATCCCATCCAAGACACTAATGCTGGCCTTAGGCACAGGACACATGGAGGAGAAACCCAGTCTTCAGGAAAATACTTAATTGGCTCATCTGGTTTCAGCATTTCCCTTAAAAGTACTGTTTAGAAAGAGCTGCAACCAATAATCATTGAGCACCTACTATGTGCTATCTCATTAAATACCTCTTTATAACCAGTCCATAAGAAAATCGCCATAGTCCCCACATCGCAGATGACAGGTATGACAGTAGCCTATCCAGGACATAGACTGTATGGTCCCCAATGCTGGAAGTTAATCCCAATCTTCTGCTTCCCACCGGAGGGTCCTTGAGCAAATTATTGTATCCCTCCATGCCTCAGTTTCCTCATCTCTAAAATGGAGATAATGATAGCCCCCATCTCATGGGGCTGTTCAAAGCCTAAATGGAGCAGGCATGTGAAGCACAAAGGAACCACTCATAAATATTAACCATTACTACTGATAATTATCATACTGCCATCACTACCACTTCTACCAGAGACGAGAAAAAGGAGGTTCAGGGAAGATGTGTGAAAGGACACCACTCAAAACAACACAATGTTCTACATCTTAATCGAGAGTCCAGGGAGAGGCAAGGAGGGAGTAGCCTGGGGTCAGTGTTGAGGCAGGGTCACTATGCAACTATGGCCAGGCTGCCCGCCCTCCCTTAGCCCCAGGTTCTCCACTGGTAAGGTAGAGGCAGCGGCTCCCCAGATTGTAAGGATCTGCAGCACTTGCAAGTTGCCGGGGAGTGGAAGGCAGTGGATAAGTGTTCACTCCCTTGCCTTCCCCATAAGCCTCTTGTGAAATCTCCAAGATCATAGCTGTCTGCCCTTCCTCAAACTCAGTTCCTGCATTAGAATTCTCCAACGCTCAGACTTAATCGCCCAGTCAGCAGCAAAGGGCCTCACTAAGGGACTGAGTCTTCTCCTTATGGCTAAAGTGAAACCGCACTGCTGTAGCCCACAGCCTGGAGCCTGCAGCTCAAGGCCATATGAGGTCCCGGAATAGCCTAAGCATGTCCATACACAAACCTTGTGCAGGCAACCTCTCCTGCACCCATGCACAGCCACCACCCCGCCAAGCCCCACAGGCCTCTGTGTCAACTCCCATGAGGTGGTAACCACAGCAAAAGTAGTAATAATACCAACCATGAAACTTCCTCCCTTCTCTTCACAGTTCACAAAGCACTTTCATGTATTGTCTGGGTAGGGAAGAGGCTGTGTTTTACTCATCTTTAGAAACCCATTGAATAATGCTAAGTATATAGTAAATACTCAGAAACAATGACTTGAATTATCTTTATAATGAGATTTTTAAAAATTGCCACTTACTCAGCATTCACTATTACTTACTCACTCTGCTGAGCATGGACCATACTCAACTCTCCTTGCATTTCATCCTCACAACCACCCCATGTGGTGGTAAGCTCACTTATCAATCCTGTCTTACAGAAGAGGAAAGTGAGGCTCAGAGAAGTTGAGCAACATGCCCAAGGTCATGACTAGAGAGTGACAGACCTGGGGTTTGAATCCTTGCTCTTATTACCTCCAGCTTTTTTCCTGGAAGAGGCAGCAAGGAGGAGGATGGGAGACTGTGAGTGGAGTCTGAAGAAGTAGATCAATAATGACACAATTTTATAGTTGGAAAAAGAAAAATCCTATTGTCTTCATGATACAAACTACAAAAAGCAAATATAAGCAAAATCACCTTGGCTGAAGGAACATGAGAGTCTCTGCTCTACTTTCTGTGGTCCCTCTGCATCTGTGTGGCTGTTTTAAGTGCACCCTCAGCTTCCAGATAGCCCGTAGCATGGAGCACCTTGGCTTCCTTCCTGCAGATCCGCCCACCTCAAACTTTCTAGCAGTTTCTTCTTCATCCTACCCACCATTGTGGGAGCTGAGGGGAACATCTTTTGGAAAAGGGCCCAGAGTTGTTAAGTTCCTGTTTCCTTGGAGGTTTTATCTCCAGCAGCTGCCCCAGCCAAGAACTTAGAGTTTATGAGCAACTGCCTATGGGAAGGAGGCTGGCAAGGAGGGATGTGGTCAGTGCAACCCAGGCATGAGAGACGCTTCATTTCCCTCTTTTTCGTAAGAAAAAGATGAACAGCAAAATGAGGAAACCATTGGCATTGATACTCAGCCACAGGATTGGGGGTGATATGGAATGGTGGGGACTGTGGCCAACCAGAGCCCCCTGGAAGGAGATGGCAGCTGCTCAGTTCAAACACATGCCACTGTGTGGGCAGGCAAGTCCAGGGTTGCCAAATCTTACTTTCCAAGGGATGCCAGAATCAGATTTCTTTTTACCACATGAAATCTCCTGATTTCTAAATGTTGTCAACGAATTCTTCCCCTCTCCGCCTTTTGAAAGTAAACACAGAAGTGAGTTGGACTTGGCCACAAGCTGCATGTTTCTAACCTCTGTACTGATCCTTGCAGTGCACAGCATGCTCACTCCCCAGATGTCCCCATGGTCCCCTCTACTTCCCAGCCCCTGTGCAGTAGGTGACACCGTGTCTCAGGTTCTGGCCAACAGCCTGTGAGTGGAAGAGCCATGTGTAACTCCCAGGCCATGGCAGTTAAAAGCTAGCCTCCTCCAGTTTCTCTTCCCTGGTGAGGCAGCAACCCTGGAGGCTGCATGGTACAGGTGGCACAGCAAGGCTGCAAGATGAAGCAGCTGCTCTTCCCTCCAGACTCCAGGTGAGGGAGAAATACACCCCTGAGATCTTGGGGTCTGTCAGTGGAGGCAGCCAGCATCACCTGCCCTCACACACACCTAGAACCCTGTCTTCATTACCAAAGAACCCTTGTAGTAGTTCAGCATTTCCCAGTTTTCAAAGCACTTTAACCCCCTTACCTTGTATAACTCTCAACTCAATAAGACAGACAGGGCAAGGCTTTATTATCTCATAGTCACGTACACTGAGGCTCAGAAGATAAAACTGAACTGTCCTGAGGTGGGCGGCCAATAAGTGGTGAGGGTGGGTAGAGCTCACTCTGGTCCAGTGTTCCTCCCCGCTCCCAACTTAAGTGCTGGCCTCTGCAACATGAACTCCCTGTTACTCTCTAGGTCATCTGTGAGCTCGTGCCTTCCCCTGCCACGGTTAGCTGCTTGAAGATCGACCTCTTACCTTTCCTGTAGACTTGGTCCCCTTCCAGATACAGAAGTAACAGATGGTCCAGGCTGCCAAGAGACACAAGGCCAGCTCCCAGCGAAGGTTCCCGATGTGCTCGATCCCGTCAGAGATGGCCAGGACCCGGTGCCTGCAGAAGGGAGGGTGGAGAGTCACTGGGGCTGGGGCTGGCCCATTTTCAGCAAAGCTAGTACTGCAGAGGAGCAGGGATGGGCCCATGTGCTCATTCACCCACGTCCACCGTGGGCCAAATGTCTCCTCTGGGGAGGACTTGGGGCCTCCAAGAGGAACAAGACCCAGCCCTCTGGACCTTGGATCATGAATTCACTCTCTGGGGGAAAAGATAGGCAAGTCTGCAGATGTAGTACAAGAACAGCGTGGAAAGGGCTCCGATGGAGGATGCACCCAGCCTACCTTGGAGTTCCCAGGAGATCATATTACCAGTCATAAACATCCTATGTTCCTCCCTGAAGGGAGCCCATACATCCTGCCCTGCCAAACTTGAGGGGGGCCATTGGACTTGCTTTGAACATTGTTTGGCCAACAGGTGTCATTTCAGATAGAAGCTTCCAGAAACTGGTGGCATGGTTCTCCATCGTCTCTTCTCCCTAACTCTCCTGTCATTATGGAAGCCTGTGTCAAGACAGAGCCTTGAAAAGCCTGAGTTCCTGAGTGACCACCTGCCACTGTGTCAGAGACACAGTCTGAGCAGGAAATAAACTTTGTTGCTTGAAGCTGCTGAGCTCTTTGGGGACATTTATTACTGCAGCATAACCCAACCTATCCTGACTGCTACAGGGGGTCAGGGAGAGCTTCCTGGAAGAAGTGATATGTGAGTCAAATTGTGAAAGATAAGTGGAATTTGGTCAGAAGAAGAAGGAAGTGGAGACGGTTTTAGGTGGAAGGAACGGCATGGCCAGAAGTAGAGGATGGTGTGCTTTGGGAACAGCAAGCTGGGAGGCAGGGATCAGAAGGAAAAAGCAGGAAAGGTAAGCAGAGGCAGTAACACAGGGAGCCTTGACTATCATGCCAAAGTGTAGAGGCTTCCCAGAGGGCCCAGGCCACAGGACAGGGAGGACTCCGGGTGAGCTAAGCTAATGCCACTAGGCTCACTTCCCTCAGAACCCACCAATTCTTCAGAGTTGACGCAGGCCTGGCTCTCAGAACCCACGCTTGGGGTTTGTGTTCCTTTAAAGTCAAACTCGCCACGCTCCATATTGTGCAGAACTATGGCACCAACACAAACCCCCTCTCCAAGCTTGTTCCACGAACCCCATTCTGGCTGCCAAACCAACCCCCATCAGACCATGCCAGTCGCTTCGGCACTCTGTGAACGTCCTTTGAGAAAGGAGCTCCCATCCCACCAAGCATGAAAGCCACCCTCAGTGTCTGTCTCCCTGGGAATCCGCTTGGGGCCTGATTCTGCATTAATTACTCAATGACACCAATTAGCACTCATCTACAGGCTCCCTCCAGCCCCAGCCCCGCCAGAGAAATCAGGCAGGTCCCCAAACAAAATCAGACTGTGTGCAGCCATAGATTTACTCAAAAGGAAATCAGCTCTCACACCCATAGCCAGGAGAAGTGGGAACATCCACTTAAATACAATACACATTTACTGAGCACCTACTAGGCACCAGGCACTATGTTAGAGCCTAGGATAAAAAAAGGTAAGCATCATATGGCCCTTGCTCTCTACTAGGATAAGGTGGACCAAAAAAAGGTCCAAGTTATTTATGAAAGAAAGGAGGCAGCCATTTAATTATAGTAACAACTGTCATTTTATTTGCTTCCTATGTCTTAGCAGTCTTTGGCTTTAATTCATTTTAAAACTACAGGCCTTATTAAATGAGGCCTTTAAGAGAATCTATGAGTATAATAGAATAGCATGTCCCAGAGCATGATCCCTGGGCACCTGCCAGAAACACAAAACTTTCTGCACCCCCACCAGACCCACTGGGTCCCAACCTTTGCAAAGTGGCTCCCAAGGAGCTGCACTTTGTGATTTCCCCAAGGAGTTCTCATACACAGTAAGGCTTGAGCACCACAGAAGTAGAGTTTCTTGGTAATGAAGGAGTGATCTACAAATGCCACCTGAATCATTTTTAAACTTGTGTTTTGGAGGGAGGGAGGAGAGGGGTTTGAGGGAGGAAGTCATGGATCCCTTGAGAAGTTACCGAAGGGATGGACTTTCTCCCCAGAGAAATACACCGGCTCCCAAAATGCTGCAGGAATTTTAGGGTACCTACTGGCTCTCCTTTGCCCAGATTAAGAGCCCTGTGGGCTTACCCTGCCTTACACACGGCCACCAAAAGCATCCCCAATGCCCATCAGCTGGTGAACTATAAGGGACAACCCAGAGCTGGAAGGAATCTGGGCTGCTGCTGACGGAAACAGCCCAGGTGTACTCTGCACCAGCCCACTCCAGATGCTTAGCTTGTCACTGGAGGAACACACGAGGTCCCTACTGAGCCAGGGTGTATGCACGCGTATGCACATGCACACATGCACATACACACACACACGCACACACACACACAGACATGTGCCTTCTTGTTGAAGTAGTTGTTTTCTGAACCTGGGACCTGAAAACTGGAACCCACTTAGGGACAGAGGGAGAAAGCGGGACAGGCCCGCCAGGTACAAACTGGCTCAGATCCCCTCTCTTCTACAATGTGGATGCTGCAAATTTTTGAGTCATGCAGCCTGCTCCGGCACCCTCTCGCTTAATTGAACAATCTAATTCCCAGAATGGGAAGCAGATTACTAAAAGCTACGGAGGATGAATTGCTCTTTTGTTCTACCAGACACTATTTGAAAACATCCTCAAATTATTTTCCTTAGGTTTTACCAACGCTGACTTTAACTAGGAACAGACCTTTGGTTTCCAAAGGAAAGGGGGCTCAGGGGCCAGATTCTCAGCCTGCAGGGCAGTGGGGTTGTTTTGAAACCCACAAGGGCAGCCTTTGAGAGGATGGGGGCTGGGGCACTCAACTCCGGAGACTTGGAGAAGGCACAGCTCTTCCTGGGAAAAAGCTTTCTTAATGAGCCTCCCCCATGAAATGCTGGGACAGAAGAAAGGTCTGAATAAGGAAGAGTTTGCTGCCAACACCCTGGCCAAAAAAGACCCAGAGACAGACCTCCCCCGACACTGTTCAGGGAGCGGGAAATGCTGAAGCCTAGATGGGGCTCTGCAGAGGGATCCATTTACATAAGTAATATTTAGTGTGTACCTACTATGTGCCAGGCCCTAAAGCAGATTCTTCATGAAGCACCCTTTTCAGGCCATAGTAGAGTATTTCTGGAGCTTTCCACCCAGAAGCTGCTCAAATCCCAGCCCTGCTCCTTACCAGCTGCTCCACCTCGGGGAAGCGGCATCACCTCTCTGAGTCTCAGCTTCCTCATCTGTAAAATGGGAATAATGATACCTACCTTCAATGGCTTTTCAAGTATGAATGCATCTAACCCTCCCCACAGTCCTTGAGATGAGCACAATTATCATCACCATTTCAACGACAGTGAACCTGAGGTGCACAGAGGCGAAGTAACTTGCCCAAACTCACATCCTCAGCAAGAAACAGAGCTTGGATTTGAGCCCAGGGATCCTGGCTCCAGAGCCCACACTTTCAGCCTTGATTCCTCCATAACCCTAACGTCACCTGCCACTTTCCCTTCTTAACAAATTAAAGCTACGGTAAATGCATACCCCAAAGCTGCCTTACATGTCTTTGTGTACTAGGAGAGAGGATTGTACGGAACATGGCATTCACGCATTTAGTAATTTATTTAAACAATACTTACGAAAGCGTCATCAGTGTGCCAGACACAGAGCTAAGCCTGGGGGTCTTTAAAGAGCCCGTGGTCTAGTGGAGAAGACAGATAAGGAAATAGCAGCATGTGGAGAGGGTGGGCACAGAGAAAGGTGGGGGAAGCTCCCAGGCATAGCAGGAGACCCTTGTGCAGATCAGTATCAGAGTGTGGGGTTGGGGGTCCTGAAGGGTAGAAGGAAAGTTAGCAAAGAAGTGGGGGGCATATGCAGGAGAAAGGCCCCCAAGGGCAAAAGCCAGGAGGCTGGGGAGAACACCACGAGGCCAAAGAAGGGCATGGTGGGCTAGGTGAGTGCAGCTAGGGCTGGGTGAGAAGTAGGGTGAGGAGGCGGCCACATGGGGAGCAGGGGCTAGACTGTGAGCCTTGCTGAGGGGCCGTGGCTGCTTTCTGTGGATGACAGAAGCCTAGGGAAGTGGTCAACAGTGGTGAGTCCCCATCAGATGTGTGTTTTAGAACACTCTAGCTGCCATGGGAGGAATGAACGGTCAGGGTGGGGCAGAGGAGTCTGCCTCCATTTGAGCAAGCAATAGGGAAGGCAATAGTCCTGGAGAGGAATGGGTGACTGGAGAGCAGCAGAGGCACAAGAGGACTGCCTGGGGCAGCCAGCAGCAGGAAGAGCCAGGGCTAGGCTGACACCAGGCTCACGGCATGGATCCTTGGATGGGTAGGGTGGGTCTTTCGCTGAGCAAGAGTGAAGTGGTGCTTGGAATAGAGGAAGAGATCATGGCCAATCATTCTTTCAGATAAGATGATTTGGAGGTGTTGGCAAGACACTCAGGTTGCTGCAATGCCCAGAGGCTACTGGGTCTCCGAATGCCACCCAGAAAAGACGTGCAGACAGAGGATTCATACTTGAGCCCTCAGCCTTTGGGGTATCCTGGGAGACCTGAAGAAGGGGGAAAGATGGGGCCTGCGACCAAGCCCCCACAACCCCAACATCTCAAGGCAGCAAAAGGAAGGGAGTAGCCCTTGGAGAAGCAGGGAAGGAGTGGGCAGAAAGTCAGGGGAGCAACCCAAGGAGGGGTATCCTCAAGGCAGAGGGAGGGGCATCTCCAGCAGGCAAGTAGCCGACCTGCAAACGCTGCAGGCCAGCCTAGTGAGACAGGGCAATGCCTGCAGGACTTGGGACCAGGAGTGGGGAGGTCAGGAGCCACTGTTTGGTCTTAGAGTAGACTGGGTCAGGGGCAGATGAGAGGTGAGACCATGAGTCACGTGGCTCCTTCAGGAAGTTTGGCTCTGATGAGTTATGGAGAGGTGGTGGCAACTAAAGGGGCCACAGGGTACAAGGGTTGTTTGATCCACATTTGTTTTGTTTTCAGGTTGGTGTAACTGGGCTAGTTCACCCGAAAGAGATGGAAAGAGGGAGAAATTTCAGAAACAGGAGGGAATGGGGGATAAGAGAGGAGGAAAAGAAGTGAAGGCCCTTACGATGGTGGCAGGGACAGAATCCACAGGTGGAGGTGTTAGGCCATCCAGGCATGGAGATGTCCTTTCTACTTGACAGGAGGGAAGGAGTGGGGGAACCAAGAGGGTAGCTCAAAAGGAAACTACATCCTTCCTTATTAAGAGACTTGGAGGAAGGAGCGGAACTGGGAGGAGATGGCAGTGATGAGAACTGTGCTCGGCACCACCTGACACCCTCCCCCATCTCGCTTCATTCAGTCCTCATGGCAACACCACTGCCAGGGCATGATTATACCCATTTCATGGATGAGGAAGCTCAGGGAGGTGAAGCAACTTGCCCAAATTGATATATATACATATTTTGAGACAGAGTCTCACTCTATAGCCCAGGCTGGGGTGCAGTGGTACAATCTCAGCTCGCTGCAACCTCCACCTCCTGGGTTCAAGTGATTCTCCTGCCTCAGCCTCCTGAGTAGCTAGGACTACAGGTGCCTGCCACCAAGCCTGGCTAATTTTTGTATTTTTAATAAAGACAGGGTTTCACCATATTGGCCAGGCTGGTCTTGAACTCCTGACCTCAAGTGATCCTCCTATCCTGGCTTCCCAAAGTGCTGAGATTACAAGTGTGAGCCAACCATGCCCTGCCCCCAGATTGAGAGTTGAAACCAAGTTCTTCTGATGCTGACACTCCCCACTGCTACACCAGAAAGTGAGCCCAAGGTTGGGAGGGTGTCTCTCACTCAGGCCTTCTCCTGTGCCTGATGGTCGAAGGACAGTGGCTGGAATCCCACACATGTTCCCTCTGGGCAGCTCACACACAGCTGCTGAGTCTGGAGAGAAGGAAACAGTCTCCCACCTGAAGCTTCCGGCTCCCAGCACAAGGGCTGGTTTGCCCAGAGAGCAGAGCTGGAGCAGAACTCCCTCCAGCCTGGCACCCAGGAGGGCCATGTGGGAATAGGTCCCAGCCCAGCCTGGGGTGGCCTCATCTTCATGTCGTGCACGGAGCCGGCAAACAGATCACCTTTCTTTAACCTGCCACTGAGGAAAGTGCTGCCAGGGCCCTGGAGACCGCCCTAAAAGCTGGCGCTGAGGGGCTGAGCTATAAATAGCCCTGCTGGTCTCCCAAAGCAACAAGCACACAAACCAAAAAAGGCCCATCACCAAAACAAATGTGCTTTCCTGGCCCCCGCCAAGGGAGCTGGCCGCTGCCTTGGGGAGTCTGCTCTCACTTCTCCAGGAAGAAAGAAGTACAGTCCCCTGCACTCTCCACATTTATGGGGGGACTCCGACAGAGTCCACGGCAGGGGCCCCTAAACCAAGCCAGGGACTCAGCCAGGCCTCCTCTGCAGGAATTTCAGGCCTCTACATCACACACTCATTCAGTCCACGCTACAGTGATGAATAAGCAGGCTGTTCCACCCTCAGGGAACTTACGGTCTAGGGGTATAAGGGTGTCAACAAGGACCGTTACAGCTTGCATTTCTCACCTGCTCACCACGCCACATGTAAAATCTGATCTGACCTTCTCTGCATCTTCTCAGGTGAGGACAGCTATTATTTCCACTCTACAGATAAGGAAACTGTGGCTCAGGCAGGTGACATGCCCAGAAAGTGGGGACAGATCTTGAAGCCATATCTGTTCAATGTCAGAGGCAGAGCTCAGAACCACTGCCCTGTCTTGGGAAAGATGGGGAATTGTGTGATTATGAGTGTCAGTGGAGCCAGTACCCTGGGGAGCCAGGGAGTGCAATCAGGGACCGACATAGGCCTAAGGGGTCTGGAGCTACCTCTCCAATTCCCTCTGTCCCTGCAAAATCCTACTCTTTGGCCACACACCAGTCTCCATCAGTCCCCAAACATCCTGCACTTCCTCACATTGCAGAATTCACTCCTGTGATTCCCTCGGCTGGGAACATCCTTCCCAATTCTCCCCAGTTATCTATATTCTAACCATCCTTCAAGCACCAGCTCAAATAACACTAAGCCTCACAAGTGCTTCCTTGGTCCCCACCCCAACCCCAGGGCCAGCCCCTCCTGCCACCCAGGCTAAGCAAGTGAGCACCTCACTGTGTACCAGGGACTCCCAGGCCAGAGCTCAGCAAGCTTTTTCTGTAAAGGGCAAGGGAGTAAATTCCTTCAGTCTCGCAAGGCATACTGTCTCTGTCCCAACTATTCTCTATTCCTGCAGGGTGAAAGCAACCACAGGTCATTTGTAAATGAATGGGTGTGGCTTTCTTCCAATAAAACTTTATTTACAAAAACAGGCAGCAGCTGGGATTTGGCCAGTAGTTTGCTGACCCTTGTCCTAGGCTAATGCTTCCCAAAGAACACTAATCCTCCAATGTCCTGAGTTCCCAGGTCACACTGGGCTCTCATTTGAGAAAATACTGAACCCTAGACTTCCTTAGAGATGTTCAATGCTTAGTAGAATACGAAAGGGTCTGAGAAGTCCTGAAACAAATACATTTGTACAGCTTTATCTAACTGAATGTTTCTCAAATTTATTGAGAAGTGTTCCGCATTGAAATGGAAATTAAAACCACAAGAAATACCACTTCACACCTACTAGGATAGCTATAATCAAAAAGTCAGACAATAACAAATGTTGGTGAAGATGTGGAGAAATGGAACCCTCGTATATTACTGGTGGGAATGCAAAATAGTTCAGCCACTTTGGAAAGCAATTTGGCACTTTCTTAAAAAGTTAAACACAAAACCCAGCAATTTCTCTCCTGAATATAAGCCCAAGAGAATAAACATATGTTCAAACAAAAATGTGTGCACAAATGTTCATAGCAGCATTATTCGTAATAGCCCAAGGTAGAAACAACCCAAATGTCCATCAACTGATGAACGGATTCACAAAATATGGTCTACCCATGCAACAGTATTTTATACAGCTACAAAAGCAATGAAGTACTGATTCATGCTACAACATAGATAAAGCTTAAAAGTGTTATGCTACATGAAAGAAGCCAATCACGAAAGACCATAAGTTGTATGGTTCCATTTATATGCAATGTCTAAACAAGGCAAATTCACAGAGATAAAAAAAATAGCTGAGTGTTGCTTGGAGGTGGGAATGGAGATTAATGGTGAATGGGCAGAGAGCTCTTATTTAGAGGATATAAATGTTCTAAACTTATATTGTGGTGATGGCTTCACACTTGGTAAATTTACTCAAAGCTGTACACTTAAAAGGAGTGCATTTTATGGCATGTAAACTACAATAAACTTTCTAAAAAGTTAAGAAGGAAGGGCTCCCCCCTCCCAACCCTGTTTCTGCTTTTCCAAGGCAATACTTCCTAACATCCTGCAGAACACACACTTGGGAAGACGTGTCAGGCGCTTTTGTGTAGTTATCTTGTACACCATTGTTCAGAGGAAACTCAGGCTCCACAGAAATAGCTACCTTGTCCGAGATCACAAAACCGGTAGGTGGCAAAGCCTGGTCTTGAACCTGTCTCTTGATCCCAAGTTTAATGCCTGCGCTGCCCCTCTGTGGCTGGAGGGTGAGACTGAGGGCAGCAGGAGGGAGTGTGGGGAGGAGAGTGAATCTAAAAGTGGGGACTTTCCAGAGGAGCAGGCACTCAGGGAAATGCCTCAAAACTTAGGCCTCACCGGGAGAAGTGAACAGAGGTCCTGCAGGTCAGGAGGCAAAGTGCATAAGGGGAAGGTGAGAGACGGAGGAACTGCCGCAGCTGTGAAGAATCCATCACGGGTTCATAACGCAGCCATTCTCTCTCGCAGAACGTGGATCCCACGTGGTGGGAAGGGCCTCCCCCACCCCATGGCTGGGGTCCAGGCCCTCAGATTCCTGCCCATTACTCCTCCTCCCAGGACTCAAGCAGCTTAAAAATGCTGCCCAGGTCACGGCTGCCCTACAGGTTTCCCACATGTGCCCGAGGGGAAGCAAATCTGCATCAAGGAGCAGCCGAAAGCTCAGGCAAAGCTGGCCCACCTGTGCCCTGGCCCCTCCGAGGTGGTCTGCATTAAGGATTGCAAGAAGCCACTGTGTGTCGCGGATGGGTGGTGGCCAGGATAGGCGCGAGAGCATCAGGAGCAGCCCTGCACAAGGAGTTTGGAGTGGGGAGTCGGGGTCTGGTCCCAGCCTGGGTGCATCCCACTGGGAGACTGCAGGTGGTCACCTGTTTTTGGAATGTCATTTCATCCACCTCAGCTCTAAAATGGAAGTGAGGTTGGGAGGTCTGTGGAAGGGGAATGGATTGTGAGGAGCTACTGCTGACCAGCAATGTCACACTGTCCACAGCTCACTTCATGCCAACTGCACCTTTAAGTGCTGTCTATTTACACCCATTCTACAGAGGAGGAAACTCGAGCTTCGGCATTACCTGCTCAGGGTCCCAATTCCTAAGTGAAAAGGTCAGGTTGCCCCAGCTCTGGCGCTTCTCCCCCATCCTGCATGTCTTCCATCTGCCCCTTAGTGAGAAGAGCGCAAAGCACAAGCAAGGGATGTGTGTGTTTGGGTGTGCATGTGCGACCCTGGAGAGTTTTATATACTTCCTCATTGTTTTATTAAAAACAACCTGGTCGAGTTATTCTGCTCCTGACGGGTCCTGACTCTAAAGCCACTTCCTAAAGAAACCTTCTGAAACCCAGGAAGGACCCAACCCACAGGGCTTACATTGTTGTTGCTGGATGCTGAAGGCTTCTGTGAAGCCATTTCTCATGAGTTTCTTCCTTCATCCCTTCCTCCCTTTTCCTATGAAATATATTCCCCATCTGCTGAAAAAAAAAACAAAAAAAAAAACAAACTTACTTCCAGAGCCTGAGTCCACAGGGCTGCAGAGAGGCAGCACACAGCAGTCCGACTCTGCACCTGGGATAAAGCAGGCAGCTGACCACATTTCACACACAGGAAGAAGCCTGGAACGGCAGAGAGATGCAGATGGCTGGGTTTCAGACCAGCTCAGGCTCTGGCCCACCATGAGAGGCACTTTGGTCAGGTCCCTTAATCTCTCATGCCCTCAGAATCCCCCGTGTGAGATGAGAACTCATATACTGATACCACATCATCTATCCCCTGGGTGGATGGGTTAAATGAGGTCATGTGCTTAGAGGGCCCTGTGCAGGGCCAGGGTATACAGTAGGTGCTTAGTAACCAAATGTGACTTCCTTTTCTCTACTGCACCCATCAGGATGTAGAAAGAACCTCAGACAAAACTCTTGCAGTTCAGTAAGTTGCTGCTTCCTGTTCTATACTGTAAGACATCCAATGTGAAAAATACAAATACCCGTCTGGCTAATTTTATACACAAATATGTTTACTGTAATGATCAAGAACTCATAATAACAGGAGACCACAGCTATTCAGTATTTATTAAGCCCAGTTACTACTAGTAGTGCTGTAACAACAATTATTCCCATTTTGCAGACAAGGACAGTGAATTGCAGAGAGATTTAAGCAACAAGCCCAAGACTAACAAGTGGAAGCAGCAGGATTCAAATTCTTACTGTTGGCCCCAAAGCCCAGGTCTCTAGGTCCCCACACCACACCACGGCACGGCACTTTTAAATAGCATTTCAACAACCGTGCATACAAGCAGAACCTTGATCCTCGGCTGAAGGGCTTTCAGTATAGCATTCGGATGGCATCATCACCAGAAGCATTAACTGGTCCATCTGGGAAGGTGTTCTGGGCAAGGAGCCATCCCTGGCATTGATGGCTTAGGGCAAATAGACCTTGGGTTCTCCCTCGGGCCTCCACCCCTTACACTTAATTGGCAGTGGGCCAGGCATGGTGGCTCATGCCTGTAATCCCAGCACTTTGGGAGGCCAAGGTGGGTGGATTACCTGACGTCAGGAGTTTGAGACCAGCCTGGCCAACATGGTGAAACCCCATCTCTACTAAAAATACAAAAATTAGCTGGGTGTGGTGGCGAGCACCTGTAATCCTAGCTACTTGGGAGGTTGAGGTGGGAGAATTGGTTGAACCCAGGAGGTGGAGGCTGCAGTGAGCTGAGATTGTACCATTGCACTCCAGCCTGGGCGACAAGAGCGAAACTCTGTCTCAAAAAGAAAAAAAAATTAATTGGCAATGGAGAAGTGCTTCTTGGTGCCTGGCAGATGGGGGTCCTGGCTCTTGCTTCAGGGATGGCCACCAGGGTGGGTCTGGCTGGGGACAAGGGAGTGGAACTGCAGACTTTGGCATGCCCCTTCCTACTTCAGCAGCTTGGAAACCCAAATCCTGTTGTGTGCTGTATTTTCTTCTTTTACTTAAACCTACTTCCTACATTTTCTACAAAAAAGGACACAGATCACTTTTGCACTAAAGAAATCGAGTGTTCACTGGAAAACCTGCTTCTATGAAAGGGAACTGACGGAAGAGGAGAATTAAATTTCTGAACCTGGGAACTTGTATGCTTTGACAGACAGGACAAAAAGGAGAGTAATAGGAGTGGTACTAAGAGTACGGGGAAATACTAGCAGGAGGAGACTCAATTGTGAACAGAGTTCTCTCTTAGAGAGCAGGGCTGGGGAGACATATTTATAGGTTATATTTAATCTGACATACAAACATATCCCATTTATATGCCTATTGTGTTTTCATTGCTTACAACAATAATCACCATTTTTAACATCAGTTAAATATTCAACAATTAGAAGAAGAAGGTCACAACACCCTATTAGAGCAACAAAGTGTTGATCTGGGTTTGCTTTGGTGAATTGGCAAATCTCATGAGAGTGCTGCATGTGGCCCAAGCCCCTACTCAGCACAAGTCTGGTGTGTGTCCTCAATGGGACCTCCTCCTGCTCCCCCAAACCCTAATCAAGGATCCCCAGTGCCTCCCTGGTGGGGAGGAGTAACAATGGCCCTCTCCTTGAGAGAAGAGATCCTCTGTGGGGCAGCTGGTGGGTGGGTTTGCAGGGCACCAGGGCTGCTCGGGGCCACTAGGAGCCAAGAGGCTGGCTTTGGGTTCTGGGAAATCCCTCAGCGTTTCCAAAATTATGTTTAGTTAATGGTAAAATTGAATTTTTTTCTTCTGCCTACATTACAGGCATTAATTCATTTAAATAATTAAATGAACTAATATCAAGACAAATGACTTGATAACTAAATAAATACATAAAGATTAACAAGGTGGAAGCTTCTACTAGCTTCTTCTCAACATCTGCCTGCAAACTCTCCTTTGTGTTAAAATCTTCCATTCACTGGAAGGAAACAGTAAATGATGAACCATTCAGAAAGCATGCTTCATTTCACTTTTCAGGGCTAGATATTTCTGCCGGCCTATAGGTGCATATAGGAGAAAGAAAGAACTACTAGTTTCTTCACAATGTCTGCCTACAGACTACTGTAAATGGGATTCGTTACACAAACAGGAGGGTTCATTATGACACGTAACAGCTTATTCACTAACCCCGTGGCTCCTATTTTTTAAATTATGAAATAATCATGTTCCTAGTTTTAATTGTTTCTAATTTAAATAATACAAAAAAGTACAAAGCAAAAAGTAAGCCTCTCTCTCTATAACCTCACTTACCCCCGAGTCCCACTCCTGGGTAATCTGTTAATAGTTTCTGTGTATTCTGCCAGACATGGTTTATGGTTATAAAGGCATATACAACACATATATTACATACGATATCATATACAACATGCTACAGCTCACCTTTTTCACTTACTGTTAGCTTTTCTGTGTCAACACATTTTCTGCCTCATTCTTTTTTAGCAGTTGTATAATTTATCTAATACATATCATATTTAAGAATATTTTACATGTCCTTTCTAACTATCACATGCAGTGCTGCTGAGGACATGTTCAGGTTCTGTGTAACTAGTGAGGTCATATCGCAAAATAAACTTTCAGAAGTAGGATTTGGGGACAAAACTTATGTGCAGCCCCAGTGCCGCGGGTTATTGCTAAATTGGCTTCTGTTGCTGTTGTTTAGAAAAAAAAATGGGGACTTGAGAGTTCAGGCAGATTAAGAGCTGCTCATCTGCCTGCATCAGAACAAGTTCACTGAGGACATGTGAGATTAGAAGACCTCACAGCAAGTGGGAGGCTGTGGAGGAATTAATACATCAGAGAGACCATTCTCTTATTCCCTTCAGTGTATTCTATGGCCAAGCATGGCAAGAGTGCTTCCACCCTGTCTTTCCCAACAGTGCAGGGCACCACCACCCAGCTTCCACCTCCGGAGGAAGGAGCCTTAGGTTACTGCACCTGGACCACATCCAGGGCCTCCACCTGCAGCCTGGGGAGGCTGCCTTATCCCCAGGCCTGATCACACAACTCTAGGAATAGAACATTTGCAGGCATCCCACAGAATCACTGCAAACCCTTTAGAAAGGTACAGAGGCCCTTCATGCTCTTCTCCAGGCTCTTTGACTGCCTTGCCATTCCCCAAACAGCCTCCCACTATGGGGTCACCACCCCTGCTGCTCCCTCGGCCCTGTAGCTCCTGGGACCTCCACATGGCTTGCTCCCTCACTTCTCTCAGTTCCCTTGCTGACATGCCACCTCCTCAGAGAGGCCCTCCCTGACCCTTGAACACTTTCTGCCCCCTAAACCTGCTGACTTTTTCTTCAGGAAACTGATCTCAACTTAATCCAATATTTTCTGCTTATTTGGTTGTTGGTGCTCTCAGCTCCATAAGGGTGAGTCTTTGTTTTGTTCATGTTGCATTCCAGAACCTACAATGAGACCTGCCATATAGTAGGTGCTCAATAAAGACCTGTGAGTGCATAGATGCTCTGGCCCCTGCCTGCTCTTCAGTAAAGTCTCCCCTTAGCCCCTAGGATCTAAATGCAGTAGCATTGTGGGTAAAATCTATAAGCTGCAACACACAACTTCAGGTCTCTGTGCTCTTGCTTTTTTTATTCTCTCCACCTGGTATGTCATTTACTCACTCCATGGCCAACCGCATGAACTTCTATTTATCCTTCAAAACCCAGCTAAAGTATCACCAACTCCATGTAGCCTTCCCCAAAGTCCAGGTATCCAGGGTTCCCCAGCCTCACTCTGCAAGCATCCTACAGATATATCTGTTACCTCGTAATTCAAAAACTCTTTTTGTTTTTTTTTTCCTACTTCCCAGCTTCCCCTGCTGGGCTGTGTGCTTCTTCATGGAGAGCCAGTGTCCCACCACTCATCTTTCTGGCTACTTATAAGATGCCCAGCACCCAGTATTTACTAAGAAAAATGTCAAAAGAACAATTAAGTGAAGAAAAAAATGCACTAAGAAAGCTCACCATGCCTACTGTGAGTGGGAAACAAGGCCTTGCTTGATGAGCCTTCTCTAAAGAATCTTAAAAAGAATCCACATAGACTTGCAGAGATCTGGATAAAGTCTCCTGTGTAAAAACAGCTACTATTTATTAGCACTCACCACATGCTAGGAGCTTTGTAAGCATCATCTCATTCCATGCTCTTGACAAGCCTAAGGGGTGGGTACGTTTACCATACATCATCCCATATTCAGAGGAGCAGGCAGAGGCTCTTCAGGTTGCCCAGGGTCACACACTTGACAGGAGGAAGGGGCAGCTGCTTAAACTGGGCTCTAGAACTTGCCGCTAACATCTACACTTTAGCCACGGGGTAATGTGTTGGGGGTATGGTGGGGCCAGGTAATCCAAACTAGCAGAACTGGATGTTGCTACACAGCATGCAGTGCTGACCTAGGAAAGGGTCCCAAGGGCACTTCTGATGCTGAATCAGGAGGCATGAAGGCTACTGTAGGCAAACAGAGCAACTGTGCACAGGCCTTGGCAGCTTGGGCCCAACCATGACTCTGTACCTGTAGAGATGAGGCTGGAAGGGACCCTGTGCCTCCAGTAGCCAGAACTAACACAGGCACCCCACTTATGACCCATCAAAGTTCTCAGAATGTGTTATTTCATTTAATCCTCACAGCAGCCTGGAGAGGTTGGTAAGGCAAGGAACAGGGTTAACCCCATTTCACATATGGGAGAACCAATTGCAAAAAATCTTCTTACACATTAAAACCTTTCCAAAGAGCTTAAGATGGGCTGGGCTTCCTACAGGAGAAGTCTTATTCAATTCTCTTCTCAGCCTTGCAGGTGGGTGTTCAGGTGGGTGTTATCATTTCCAATTTACAGATGTGGACACTGAGCTCCAAGGGGGTAAGAAATATTCATTCATTCATTCAGTCTTCCATTCACTCATTTCAACAAATATTTATTGAGCACCTAGAATGTGCTGGCAAGACAATAATGAACAAAACAGACATCGTCCTTGCCAGCATGGAACTTAAATTCTGATGGAGAAAGAGAGAATAATCAAATAAATATACAAGGATTTCAGATAAGAACTATTAAGAAAGAGTGATGGGGCATTAAGAAAGAGTGATGGGGTTGAGAGGGACTGGGGTGTGGATTCCATGGGCATGGTCAAGGAGGGCTCCCCATATGACACTGACATTTGAATTAAGACTCAATGATAAGAAGGAGCCAGACACACAGGATCTGGTGAGAAATCTTCTAGCAAAAGGAAAAGCAAAAGCCAAGAGACTGACCCTGGGACAAGGCCCGTACATCTAAAGAACAGAAAGAAGGCCAGTGTGGAGGAGGGTAATGTGCAGAGGGGAAGATAGGCCTGGGAGAGAGGCAGGGAGTCACCCCAGTCCCACAGAAAGAACCAACCTTCACTCTAGTTCCTCTGATCCCAAATCTCATGTCCAAAGAAAATCAATTAAAACATTCACGTGACTCAAAAATAAACACTAAAAACAAAACTCCTCCAGTGAAGATAAACCAGAAAAACAAGGCCTCATCCTTCTGAATAAATAGAACTGAATACCCTTAGAGCTTAATTTGGGCCCGGCACACAATATGTGCTCAACATGTGTTTTTTGAATGGACACCGTGCAAAAACAGTTTTGATTGTATACACAGCAAGAATGGAGTTGCTCCCCAAACCCTGGACTAATGGGATTTGTGGGCTTGAGAAAGGGAAGTGAAGATGAATCAATGTCCATCTGATGCCACAATATTGGTTATGCACTTAATAGCATTCAATCCCACCAGAGGGTACAGGCTCAAAATTTAGAACTGCAGACACATTTAGATAAATGCACGGATGCCAGATGCATAATGGGTTACTAAGGGAAACGAGGATGGCCTAATTTTGAAGTCTGACATTAGGAAGACAAGCATCCCTGGCCCTGTAGGACCCCCATAAGAGTCAGAATCCAGGACTGATGTAGGGCCTGAACTTCTCTCGTGGGCTAAGCCAGCAATTTTAATTACATCTGAAAAGGGAATTGACACTTCAAGATGGGGAGTGGGCAGGCCAGGTGCCCATGGTCAAGGCAAAGCCATGGCCAGATGCAGGCAGAGAAGTAGTGCCTTGTGGATGATTTTAAGGTAATCTGTGGGCTTGTCTCAACTCTGCTTCTAGAGACTAGAACCTCATCTTCCATCTTTACTTCCCCTAAATAAGACACCGTGCTTTTCTTATGTGTACCAGGAGCTCAGATGTTTGTCAAATGATTGAACTATAATAGCAGACAGCCTAGGCAGTCTACTTTGACTGAGCAATGTGGCCCTGACTGAAGTCCCTGGAGTTGGAGGCAGTGTGAAAAGGACAACTGGAGCCCACCAAACCAGCCACACAAGGAAACAACAAAGAGAGGTGAAGGAATGTTTTTGAGGAAGCTTGATCCAATACTTGAAGAGTACTGTCACACAGAAATGGAATTAGGTATGCTCTGTCAAAGCCCCAGAAATCAACTTTTGGCTGAATTTAAGGAAGAACTTATTCCTAGCAAAATGTTTCCCAGACTGCATTTAGTGGAATGCTAGCATTCAGGGGGTGGAGTACACTGGGGCAGGGGCAGAGAGAGGGAAGGGATTCTAATTTATTCCATAGGAAAATAAGTTTGGAAATTTGGGTTCAGCAAAGGTAAATGGATATTCTCACTGAAGGACATAGCTTTCATCCATTCTCAAACTTATGTGGCTCAAAAGCTTTTCATAGGATGATATGAACATCTCACACAATCTCTATATTCTAATCTCAGCTCAGGGGCAAAGAGGAATTAGAGGTGTCTGACAAAAGTATAACTGTATGAAGGGGTGCGTGTCCCACTAGTATTTGAGTACTTTTAGGATACAGGATTCAACACCACATGGATGATACAGACAGAGATGCAATCTGAATAGAAAACTAGAACCATGGGTTCATTTGCCCATGAACTTTCATCTTGAGTAACCAAGTAGCTGGCAGGATGGTCTATACCGATGAGGATGCACACAAACTGCCCTTGCCTGCCCTTGGTGTTCAAATGAATGGATAATATGGATATTGCAAAGGGATCCTGGAATTAATCAATGCTGTTGGGTGAGAGGCTTAATGACAGCAGGTGTTCTTGCCAGAGCCCACTTTGACTCTTCTCATATAATATTTTCTAGGACATATTGCCTGCCTGTCTGCCTTCTTCATCCATCCATCTAGTTTATAAATATTAACTGAGGGCCTTCCATAGCCTGGCAATGATAAGTAAAACCAGACAAGGTTCTGCTTCATGACTGTCTATTGGGGAATACAGACAATGAACAAATACATTATACAAATAATGATTTAATTAAGGTTTTCCATATATGTTACAAAGGAAATGAGTGGTGCAAAAACAACAGTAACTAACACAGAGACCTTGTCCAGTCTGGAGTTTCAGAGTGAATTCTCTAAAGGTGAAAGAAACTGTTCTGCAGACCCCCAAATGTGCAGGTCCAATACAAGTCTCTGACATTCTTCCAGGAAACCTCAACCCAATGGGACTGGGAAAGACCACACAGGCCCACCCAGCCCAGAAGTCTCCTTTCAAGCACATATCTAACAGATGCTCTGTTTGAGACTATGATTCAGTAGGCCTGGGGTAGGTAACCAGGTGATTAAAATGCTGCTACTCTGTAGACCACATTTAAGTAGCACTACTCTATAAGGCAATTTAAAAGACATAAACAAATGGAGAACTAGCTATACCATGTCCATAGACAGGTTCAATCATAAAGATGTCAAATTCTCTCAAACTAACCTATGAGTTCAATAGACTTTTAATCAAAATTCCCACACAGTTATTTTGTTTTTTTATTGCTATTCTTGTTTAATTCAACAAACTGATTCTGAAATTCATTTAGAAGACTAAAACAATTTTGGAAAAGAACAAAGTGGGAGACTTGCCTTACAGGCTCAAGGCTTACAGTAAAACTATAGGTGTGGTATGGGCACAGAGATAGACAAAGAGACCAGTGGAACAGAACAGAGAGCCCAAACACAGACTTGTGCTTAAAGGAAATTATGTACAGAAGATGGCATTATAAATCAGAAAAGAATGAATGATCAGTAAGTCCTACTGGGAAAATAGGTTATTTATATATTAAAACCTGGATTTCTACCTAATACAACATTAAAAACATAAAATTCCAGATGGATTATATTCCTAAATATGAAAAAAAACTGTAAAACTCTTAGAAGAAAATATGGAAAATTTTTTCAACTTTGGGGTAGGGAAATATATCTTAAATAAGACACCAACTGTGCAAACCCAAAAGAAAAATCGACGAATTCGACTTCAATAAAATGGAAACTTCTGTACACCATAAATAAGAAAGAAAAGCCACACATTGGGAAAAGATAATATCTAGAATGTATTAACAATTTCTATCTGTAAGAAAAGACAAACTATCCAAATAGAAACGAATGTAAACCTGAAGTTCACAGGTACAGAAATCAAATAGCAAAAAACAGACAAAACAAAACATGAAAAGGTGCTTAACCTCACAAGTAATTAGAGAAATGTGAATTTAAAATAGTAAGTTATCATTTAATGCCCATTACACTGGCAAAACAAAAACTGAACAGACCAAGTGCTGTCCAAAATGTGAAGCTGCAGAAATTCTCACAAACTCTTGTTTGGAGTGTAAATTAATTTTTTTTTTTTTTTTTGAGACAGTCTCGCTCTGTCACCCAGGCTGGAGTGCAGTGGCGCCGATCTCGGCTCACTGCAACTTTCGCCTTCCAGGTTCAAGTGATTCTCCTGCTTCAACCTCCTGAGTAGATGAGATTGCAGGCATGAACCACTACCCAGCTAATTTTTGTATTTTTAGTAAAGACAGGGTTTCACCATGTTGGCCAGGCTGGTCTCAAACTCCTGACCTCAGGTGATCCGCCCACCTCGGCTTCCCAAAGTGCTGGAATTACAGGTGTGAGCCACCATGCCTGGCCTAGATTAATTTCTTTCTAAAGTAATTTTACGTTATATGATAAAACTGACAACGCATGTATGCTACAACCCAGCAATTCCACTCAAGGAAGCACAGACTAGACATTCACTCAGTGTGCTTAATAATAGTGAGAAATGGGCAACAGCCTAAATGCCCATCAAGAGGACCAAGAGGACCTGGATAAATACAACACAGGCCATTCATACAATGAAATACTCTGATAGAAAAATGAAAGAACCAAAGCTACATGTACCAATATGGATACATCTAAGAACCAATATTGAGCAAAGAAATAAAGTTGTTATAAAAAATGTAAATAATGGATGCCAGTATCACAAATTTGAAAAATATGCAAGAAAGACCTAGGTGCTATTTGGGGCATATATATATGAAAAGTATGAAGATTTATATGAGAGTGGTAAATCTAAATTCAGCATAATGACCTCTAGAGAAGGCAGGAGACGAATGGTATCTGGGAAAAAAATAAAAATCACTCATAAACCACTGCCCCACCACACACACATATACTACTATTAATCACCATCAGAGTAAGGGAGGCTTCTTCAATGAAGCCAGGACTTTTTAGATTGAAAAGCTTCAGAAAGCATTTAGTCCAGCCTTTGACCCATACAGGAAACTTCTTTCCAATACCTGGGGCAAGGGATCCTTCTACCTTTAAAACAAACTTGCAAGTCAGGGCCACTGTGTATGGTTATACAGGTCGTGCACCACACAATTCTGGAATGTATATTTCATAATGTAAATTATGGCCCCTTGGGTTGTTCAGTGTGCAATGTACACAACCACACATAGCAGCCCTGTAAGGGTCACAGATCCTTTGGAACTCTGATAAAACTATGCCAATTTCTGGGAAAATGCCCAACCACACAAGTACTACTTATAATTTCAGTGGATTCAGACACACCCCCAACAATGATTGGCAACCCTATACTGGTCAACTTCCAGGGATGGGTGCTCACAACCTTCTGAAGTGCTTCCAGATAATGCTATGCTATGAGACCAAGTTCTTCCCTACGCACATTTGAAACCTGCCTCTTTATAATCTCTATCCATTAAATTTGATCTCCTTCTTTTCCATATGACACTTCAGCTACTGAAAGAAAGCTAACCTATCCCCTCTAGAGACTTATGCTTTCCAGGCTAAATACACTCTTGACTTAGCTTATTGCAAACAGGCTGCATCTCCTCTTTTGCTCAAAATGAATTTTTAAACTGTCTATCCTTTCACCAAGTACTTCCTGCCCTAATAACCCACTATGCATGCTGACATGTTATCAAAGAACAAGAAAACATTTCTCTCAGCTGCCCCTTTGGGAAACCTCTGAAGATCTGCACTCTTGCTTCCGAAGCTGTCGAATGCTCACAGAAGCCAGGAAGTGCCAGGCTGCAAGAAGGATCAGGCTTTTTCCAGGAATAGGGGCAAGACCAACTGAGCAGAACCAGGACAGAGCCCCCACAGGCCAAGGGAGACAAGTTCTTCTCCACTTACTCCCAAAACTCCATGACAGGGGAGGTGGCATTCTGCAGAGACACATGGCTGTAGTTGCTCACATTCAGTTTCTGGAACTCCACACAATTCTCTACAGTGGAAACAAGACAAGAAATAGAAGAAAATTAATCTCCATGAAAGCTGAATCCTGAAAAACATTCAGAGCTGATGCGCAACTAGGCATTTTCATCTACCCACTCCAGGTAAACATGCGTCAAAGGGCAGTGGGGAAAATCAATACTTTACAAACAGTTAAGAGGCTTGGACTGATTAGAACAGGAGGAAAGGTTTATGGGGCAGGGGGCCTTCTCTCTCCCATTCCTAACCAACACTCCCTATCAAACTGTCTCCTCTACCCTTGTTCCCAAATCTTCTTTTATTTTTTCCACTTCCCTGCCTAAGTCCCACCAGTAGCATTTATCTGTCTGGCTGAAGGGCTGTAGTGGAATAGGGGGACTAAAGGAATAGATCGTCCATGGTGACCTTGGGGCAGTAATGCAGCTGAGACTCAGTTTTACTTTATGTGTAAAGGGGCTAATGCCACAGCTGTCTCATCAAGACGTGATGATTGGAGGAAATGGTGTGAATCAACATATGCCAAGAATCCCTGGTTTCTTCATCATTCCCTCACTAGATCCAGTCAATCAGAAAGGACTTACTGAATGCCTCTTCTCATTTCACGAAATTTGATGTCCCAGGGAGATTTAATCTCAAGTAAAAGCAACCTAGTGTTCATCCTTCAAGGCCCAGTGCCCCTGGGCCTTAACCCCATCTCCAGGAGGCCTTCCCCAACCTCCCTCCCCTGAAATCTAAGAAAGCAAGAATTCAAAGGCCCTCCAAGCAACCAACTTTTCCAACTCCCTTTATTTTGAGGAAGAAGAATCTAAGGTTCAGAAACAGTCAAGGGACCCCCACCTATACCCTCTTCCTCCTCTATAAAGTCACTGGCCAGCGTGGATAGAACTGTAATAAACTCCAGCCAGGGCTCCATCTACTTTGCCACGGGTATTGCCCAGAAAAGCCCACTACCATGGGACCCATGTCCCTCTGTTTAGAGACACCTGGGGCACCAGACCATGAGCTCCCCAAGGGCAAGGCCTCCTGTATCCATTCACCTCAGAGGCCCCTGCACCCCGCACCATGGCCAGCACGGAGCAGGAGCCCGGCTGGCTTCACTCTTGCATGTCTTCCATCTCACATATGTATGAATGCTCCAAACCACATCTGTAATCTCTGCAGGCAGGAATCACCTCCTATGTGTGATGTTTCACACATTGCAAGTGTTCACACACCTTTAGAGAAAGGGGATTGCAAACCAGTTGAAGAAAGAGGTTTGCAGTCCACTGGGGAAAATCCAGATTGTCTGCCTGCTTCTTGCTCCTCTTGGCAAGTGCTAACTATGTTCTGAAAGGAGGTGGTCTGGGGGTCCTCAGTCAGGCTTGAGAGGAGCCTGGAAACCTGAAATTGTCAGCAAGATTTCTGAATGTGTCCTGTGCCTTTTTCTGGAGAGAGGAGACCTTGACTTTTATCGAATTCCCTAAAATAGGATTTCTCAATTATTTTTTCTTCCTAGAGTTAAAAAAAAAAATTACTGGACACCCAAGTTGACCAGTTATTTTTATTAAAATATTTAACCATGTACAAATAAACAACAAGTTATAAAGTCTTTGTGATTACAGTATTCATACAATTATAAACGTCAAATTAAATTTATAAATTAAATACCAACTATACTACAGAACCAGCACAATTTAAAGTGATAACAGAAAATGGATGCATAGGATAATGCTATTTGGTAAAATTATATTGCTTTCCCAACAGAAAAATGAAACTGACATGTAAGAAGCAGAATCTGTTGAGTTCAGGTGGTTTATTCCTCCATGGACTATTTGAGATTTGATTACCCATTTTCCTCTGGTTACACTTCTGCAAAACCTTCATTCCTATGGTGTGTTGCATTCTCAACTGGACTTCACTTAGTACTAATGCTCTATCTATGAATTAAACCTTTCTGGTCTTTTTCCCTTGGCCATCATCATTCTATTTGCCATGAATGCATCTTAAATTATAAACATGCATAAAGTCAGCCACTGGAATCTCCTGACTATCCTCAGTTATAAGGTGTTTGCTCAGACCATCCAGAGCATGTGCATATTTTTAGAGTATCCTCAAAATAAGTACCCACAATTAAATTACCCTAGAGGACTCACAGGCCTCCAAGAAATTGTCCTTGAATTTTAGTTTGATAAACATTTCTATGAGTTCCCTGGCCAAAGGGAGGTTAAAAACTAGGGCCCTAAAGAGAGAAACAGCAAAAGCTCCACAAAATGCAACAGCCAGGGGTTGGCAGAGTAGGGGAGTAGGGCAGAGTCAGGCATCACATAGGGCTAGAAGCCAGACTGCAGCATCTCCTAGGTCTACCACCTGCTGTTCCTTCTACTGGTCACCAACATCCTACCCGATCTTACTGGATCTCAGCCCTCACGATGGCAGGCCACTTCCAGACACAATCTAAACACAGGTTATCATACAGATGGTGAATAGGTCAAAGTGTGTGCGCCAATTCCAGTCAAAAGGCAGCAGCTCTCTGGAGCACTATTGGAGAAGGGTTCTAAGGCCAAGACTAGACTGAGAAGGAAAGAGTGCTACAATTGATTAGCGATGTCTTCTGTGAGCATGGCCAGCTTAGACAGGGATTGGGCAGGGATATGCCTTTCTTGGATTATAAAACTCAATGCTAATAGGAGGATATATGGAAAAACAAACAATATATCAGTATCAAAAATAATCTAAAAGATTATCCATTCCAGCAGGAGTGGGGTTGGGGGCTAAATTCAAATGTCAGCTGGGTTGGATTGATAGAGTAAATGAAGAAAGTGAGCTGGGTGGGGTTTGTGCTAACTCCAGGACGGATGTGTCATTGAAGGCAATAGCCACCTCTTGGCTACAGCCACTGCTGTCAAGCAGGAAGGTGGGTCTGGTGTCACCAGATCGTTTAAGTTTTTAAGATAGGCTGGAAACCTGAATTTTTCACGTGAAGTCTTCCAATTTTTTAATTTTGGCAACCAAATCTATTTTTTAAGTCTGCCATTCACTGATCTAAAGCCTGGTTGGCCTGTAGGTCCTCTGTCTGCAGCCCTTGATCTGGTCTAACCTCAGTTTTACAGGGGAAAACTTGACACTAGAAGCAAGACTAGTATTGGAGCTCTAGTCCCCTGAGTCTAAGTCTAGTGCTCTTCCTCACACCCCCATCCTGCCCCCAAAGGGCTCAGTCTCTGCATTTGACAAACAGAGGACAGAACATCTCCATTCTCCTAACCATGCCAGTCTCTGGGCCAATGCTCAGCTCAGGCTTTAGGGCTGCAACTCACAGAACGTACCAGAACAGGTGCAGAGCTGACCCCAGTTTCAGCAAGACTACCCTAGAAAACTGGACTCATGACGAGAGGCCAGGGACCAGGACTGGCCTGAAGGGCATGAACAAACCCCAATCCCAGGTCACCCAGCAGGACCAGCAGAGAGACCTCCGTGGGGCCATACCTGTGTTCCACTCATGCCCACAGGTAGCCCAGGGTAGCTCAGTAGTGAAGCAGTTGCTCAGGTAAAAAATGGCCCATGCCAGGATGATGATGTAGTACACATTCAGATGGGCCTCAATCACCTGTGTTGCATAGCCAATGCCTGAAAGGACAAAAGAAAGGAAGGAATTTGAGTCTATCTTTTCAAAACAATCTGCCTTTGCAGTTGACATTCCCTGGGCAAAATTTTATTTTCTCATTAACTCAACACATACCTTCAAATAAAGGGCAAACTTTCCTCCAACACGTAATGCCACCTTCACTTGTGAACTGCCCCAGAGCTGTCTCCAGGAAAAAAACAGGAATTCCACAGCAAATAAAAAACACCACGTAGGGAATCAGGAATGCCCCTGTAAGGATGCAAAGGAATGAAATGAAAACTGTCCCTGCCGATTCATACTTGGCTCAAGAACTCTTTAATAAACATCTACTACAGGCCAGACATGATGTTCTTTGAACTTGAGTTCAAGTTCCCATTATGAAGACCAGAGTCAGAAAACAGCGCTAGGTTTCTGTAAGTCTACCTCACATCTCCAAGTCTCAACTTCTCCATCTGTAAAATGGAGCTTTAGTTTTTAATATCTGCACTGCTTCCCTCATAGAACTGTAATGCAGCTAAGATGATAATGTAAAAGAAATTGTTTCATTGGCTCATTTAAAAAAAATTTTTTACATTTCATCCTCCAGCGTGGGTCAAATTCATTCCCTCCCTGAATGTTGCACCCTTTTTCATTTTAAAGTGACCTCAACAGACCAGGTGAGGGGCACCCCTTCCTTTTACTTTGGAAGTGACTTGCAAACAATCTTTGTCATAAAGAAGAGCATTCTCAGGGAATTATACAATGAACAATATTAAGCCTCAAAGAATTAAGTACCCCTACACATGAGGCCCAGGTGTGGTGTCAACTTGCAAGGAGTTTGCAACAAGAATCTATCTAGCAAAGGCTGGCTTTGAATTGGTCCAGGAAAAGACCACCACTAAGCATTAGTGTTCCTGTCTTGAAACACAATACCCATTTCCTGGGCCTTTCTGTGAAAAAAATTAAATAACTGAGGTGAGCATGAACTATTACACCCAGAATGGGGATTTTTCCAAATCCCTCATTCTGTCCCTCCTGTCTAATAACGAAGCATGAAAACACATGCTATTTGCCACCATCTGATCTCACAAATGACGGCTTTAACTGAAAGTGCTTTTTGCCAAATGAAGTCTCCTTAACCGTAAGGATTAATAGCAACAATTTTGATGAATCCTGATAGCAGGATCATATCTATCAGGGTTTGAAAGGGTCTTAGCTTTTCTGGGCAAGCAGCTAATTTAAAGTTTCATATTGGGAAAGAAATACTTTATTGTTGGGATCTCAAAGGAGGGCAGTAAGGATGTTTTTAAAAAGGTAAACAGTTGAGAAGCAGATATCCCAACTACATTAGAAAGCAAAAAGTGTGGAAAAGGAGATAAGAGGATCTGTTTACTGAATCGAAATCTAAGTGATTAAAATCAGCTGCAGCAGGTCCCCTAACATGCTGTTATTTACCTGTGAAACCTCTAGAATCTAACGTATGACACTTTCAGAAAGCCTTTTGACCTGTGTATTCACAAAGCTACTAACCCTTAGGACAATAAACTCTACCAAACCAGGAGATCTATGAATCTCAAGAAAACTCTTGGCTAGTCAGAAAAAAAAAATGACTCATTTAAAAAACTTTACTCACTACAACCTTTTTTTTTAAAAAAAAAAAAAAAAATCTGTGACAGAATTTGTAATTAACCCAATTTACCGTGTTTTCTGCTTTTATGAATGCTTTTTGTTTTGGCACAACAATTTCCTGTATGGAAAAAAAAGATGTTAAAACAATTTGTGCCTGGGGACTACCCTAGGTGTGCACAGGTTTCCAAGTGGACGCAGCTTACAAACGCTGTATCTGCAGAGAGGCAGGATTCACAGCCGAGAGCACAGGGCACGTTGGGGGTCTCCAAGTCCACTCCCTCTCTCTCCCTTGCCAAGCCGCCAACACCAGCGGCCACTTCATTACCAGTGCAGAGCAGGCTTGGAGCAGCCTGTGCCTTCAGGATGAATGTCCCCAAAGAAAGGGCCTGGGCCAAGCAGTACCCTTCTCCCTCTCCCGGCAGCTGCTCGCACAGGAAGTCCTGCTCTGCACAGACTCATAGCCCGGTCCCTGCCAGCCAACTTCTGAGCCACCTTCGCTGGGGTTTGGGAATTTGCTGGAGGGGCAGGGGCACAGCAAAGAGAAGAGAGAATATACAGATACAGGCTCTTCCTTCGAGAAATTGTGCCACCGAAGGAGGTTTTATAAGATCCCTTGCCATGGACCCGCCCAGCTGTCCTGCCGATATGACAGGAGGGGGTCCTGAAGGCTGGAGCCCCTTCCCTGAGCTGGGAGAGTTACGGATTCGCTGCTGCATCTTTTGCCAAACTGACTTTGAGAGGCTGTCACCAGAAAGGACTCTCTCATCACTGTCCTTTCCCTCTCCCCTTCTACATCTCTATGCAGAGCATCAACATTAAACCAGTATTGCTGTTTGTCGTGGGTGACTCTCAGACCCGTAAAATAAACTGTTCGTTGTCAATTCTTCCACCAGAGGGGCCCCAAATATTGGCCCTAGAAATGGGCTTAAGAGCAGACGAAAGACTAGGCAGGAAACCATAGAGCAATGCCTCGCCTAAAAGTTCTCCCTGTTGTGAGTCCAGTCCCAGTTTAAAATAGGGCCTTTGACATCAGAATCTCATCTTTATTTTTGGTCGAGTGAGACTTCTCTGACCCTCAGTGTCCTCACCTGCAAAATGGGTAGACCCCTGCCTACGAAAGTGACTGAGAGGATGAGATGAGATGATATGGTCAAAGGTGCTCGGCACTTCAGTAAGCGCGCAAAAACTGAGACCACTTTGATCATCAGGAGTCCCTTCCCCACAGGCCGTTTTCCCAGTTAGGAAAGCTGAGGCTCCAAGGGGCCAAGTGCCCGAAACACCAGGGCGCCTACCCAAAGCAAGGGCTCCCTGGCCTCGGTCTGCATCTCATGCTGGGGACAGAACGCGGGCAAGTCCCCGCGCTGGCAGGTGGAACCCTCAGGTGCGAATTGGCACGTGCGCGTGCGCACTGGCACAGGTGGGCCGCGCTCCGGGGCGAGCTCACACGCGAGGTGCCTGGAGTCGAGGTTCTCCGCTCGGGTTCCGCTCCACGCAGGCGCGGGAGGGGGTCTCGCGCTCGCCCCTGGCTCCCCGCCCCCACCGGGCGGTTGGCGCCCCCTCCCCTTCTCCTCACTATCACCTCACCTCCTCCGTTCTTGTAGCACAGGTAGGGGAAGCGCCACACGTTGCCCAGCCCAATGATCTCCCCGGCCACGCTCAGCACGAACTCCACCTTGTTGTTCCAGTGGCCGCGCTCGTGGACCGCCTTGTCGCGCTTGACGCGCGGGTGGCGCGCGGGCGCCGCGCCCCCGCTGCTGCAGCCGCCACCCGGCGCCTCGGACTCCCGCGCCTCCTCAGCAGCCTTCCCATTGCCCAGGGGCAGCGCCTTCTCCGCCGTCATGGCCGCGCTGGCTGCCTCGTGCGCCGGCCCGGCTCTGCGCCGCCGCCCCGGGCGAGCTGGCTTTTCAGGAGGCGCGAGCGGGCGGGAGGGGGAGGCAGGGGGTGGAGCTGAGGGACCGGGCCAGACCAGCGCGGAGACTGGGACTGGGACGCGCCGCGGAGGCCCGGCCCGCAGGGCGCCCACGCCACCTCAGCCCGGCTGGGCCCGGGAGCCCGCGAGCACCTTGAGCGCGCGGAGCCCCTGCAGCGCCCGTCCTTCCCGCGGCCCTGCCCACTGGCCTGCTGGGCCAAGAGTGGAAGCGCCCATTCCGGCCTAGGCCGGCTCCACTCACCAAACCCCAAAGTTCTACCACCGTCCATAACCTTCAAATGCTTGGGCCTCGGTTTCCTGTTTCTAATAAGAGGAATGGGCTCTAGACCAGACTTCTCCAACTTGAACTACACACCAGACACCTGCGGGTCTTGTTTAAACTACACATCACGGTCTAGTAGGTCGCAGTAGGCTGAAGAGCCTGCGTGTCTGACTACCTCCCCAGGGACGCTGATATGTCTGGTCCAGGGACCACACCTTGAGGAAAAGGCAGTAAATGAATTCGTGGCTTCTTCCCAGCCCTAGACACTCTGCAGGTCTTGTTCATACTGGTGTCCGCAGCTCTCAACATAGTCAGGACCGTGTGGCAGTTAAGTGCTTGCGTCTGGAAACAGGTGAATCTAAGTTGTGTGATTTTGGCCAGTCATCTGATCCCTCTGTGCCTCAGTTTCCTGATCTGCAAAAGGTAATATCAGTAGTATCTTGTAAGTTTTAATGTAGGGGATGGATTTTTAGGTAAAAGGTTATTAAGAAATGCTTATAAAGGTCTTGATACCTTGAAAGTGCCCAATGAACATTACCCATTGTTAGTATTATACAATATGTAGACCTACACACATTTGTCCATCTTCTTGTATAATATTTGTCTCCTCACTTAGTTGTAAGGATGATATACACTGTCCTGTTCATTATAATAGCAACATAACCTAGCACAAGACTTGGTGCATAGTATGTGCTCAATAAATGTTTGTGGCTAGAGAGGAAGGGAGGAAGGTAGGAAGAGGAAAAGGGGAAGAAGGAAAGACTATTAAGCTGCTGGGGGCCACAGAGATGAACACTTCCACCTCTTCCATTGCACAGGCCTGGAAAAGTCCAGCCACATTGAGCCCCCACCAACCCTACTCTCCATCTGTCCCTCGGAGCTCCCTCTGGAGCTCTCTTAGGGACAGGCTCCTTGCTTTGAAGCCTTCAAACTCCTGCCTTCCGCTTCTCCTTTCATTCTGGCTCACAACTGCTCAAGTCGCTCCCAACCTCCATCTCCCCAGAAAGCCCTTCCTTCCACCATCTTCCCGTTTCCCCTCCCCCCACTATCATATTTCTTGAAAGAGTAAGTTGACAGGCTGCCAGCCCTGTCTTTACCTCCCACACGTTCCTTGGCCCACAGCAATCTGGCACCCACCCCCACCACTCCTCTGAAAATGCTGTGAAGTCCCGGACGCCCTCTCAATTTGGCAAATTCTACGGTTCCTTTTCCATCCCTATCCTGCCTGGCCTCTAGGTAACTTTCTGCACCATTGCTCCCTCCTTTGCTTCTTAAAATTCCCACTGGTGTGGTTTTCTTGGCATTGCCTGGCGCAGCTACCATTTCTCTCCCTGCTTCTCTGGTTCTCCTTTCTCTCTCCTTAAATTCAGCCTTTCTCATATCTTGAACCACTGAACTAAATGTGGGTGCCTCCCAAACCTCTGTCCCCATGTGCTGCCTAGGTTATGTTTAAAAGCAAAGATCCTGCGGTGTTCAGGGTGAGACTATACTGAATTCAGATGGATGTGGCTTTGCATTCAAGCTCTGCCCCTTAGGTGCTCTGTTACCTCTTTGCCTCATGCTTCTCACCTGTTAAGTGGGCTTCACATGAGTTCTGACCTCACAGGGTGGGTGTGTGGGTTAAAAGCCTCAGTAGGAGCTCTGTGAACAGTAGCTATTATTGTTGTTTATTATTATTTTTTAAAAGATGGAGTCTCACTCTGTCACCCAGGCTGGAGGTGCAATGGCACAATCTTGGCTCACTGCAACCTCCACCTCCCAGGTTCAAGCGATTCTCCAGCCTCAGCCTCCCGAGTAGCTGGGATTACAGGTGCCCACCACCACACCCAGCTAATTTTTGTATTTTTAGTAGAGATGGGGTTTCACCATGTTGGCCAGGCTGGTCTTGAACTCCTGACCTCAGGTGATCTGCCCGCCTCAGCTTCCCAAAGTGCTAGGATTACAAGCGTGAGCCACCACACCTGGCCAGTAGCTATTGTTTTTATTGTGAGGAGGAGGAGGATGGTTAGTTCATTCCCTTGCTTAAAAGCCCTAATGGGAGGCCAACAACCTGGCCAGTAGCTATTGTTTTTATTGTGAGGAGGAGGAGGATGGTTAGTTCATTCCCTTGCTTAAAAGCCCTAATGGGAGGCCAACATAGCAAGACCCTATCTTTAAAATTAAAAAAAAAAAAATACTTAGCCAGACGTGGTAGTGCACACCTACAGTCCCAACTACTCAGGAGGCTGAGGCAGGAGGATGGTATAAGCTTGAACTCCCCCAGGAGTTCTAAGCTGCAGTGAGCCATGATCATGTCACTGCATTCCAATCTGGACTATGGCACAAGACCTTGACTGCAAAAACAAACAAAAAAACCTTCATTGGACTTCCTTTTCCTACAGGATAAAACCAAATTCCTGGCCCTAATATTCAAAATTCCCCCTCAATCAAATTGTCCCAGCCTTTCCTTCTACCATTTTTGAATGCCATTTTTCTCCCACACTAAGACTTCGTTATTTTTATTTTCTTTTTGATGATCCTCAATGCTGTGTATAGAATGGGCAATAAAGGAAGGAATTTTTCTTTGACCTCAATGATCTTACACAGAGTAGGCACATAAGTAGCTAGGAGTCTATTTGTTAAACGAACAAGTACATCAAAAGTTAGACATATTCCTGGCCAGGCATGGTGGCTCACGCCTGTAATCCCAGCACTTTGGGAGGCCAAGGCAGGCGGATCACGAGGTCAGGAGATCAAGACCATCCTGGCTAACACGGTGAAACCCCATCTCTACTAAAAATATAAAAAATTAGCTGGGCGTGGTGGCAGGCACCTGTAGTCCCAGCTACTTGGGAGGCTGAGGCAGGAGAATGGCGTGAACCCAGGAGGCAGAGCTTGCAGTGAGCCGAGATCATGCCACTGCACTCCAGCCTGGGCTACAGAGCGAGACTCCGTCTCAAAAAAAAAAAAAAAGTTAGACATATTCCTGAATCTTACTATTGCAATATTAGGCTGTCACTCCAGAATCTGTGCAAAGCTCCTTTGAAACTAATTACATTTTCGCTTTGTGCTGGTGCTCAGCATAATTAGCTCCAGGAATTGACTTCCTCTGAGCAGCTGTGATTCTACCAGACCTGCTTGGGAAGTAACACTGAACCAGCATGAGAGGGCTGAAGCTGGCCATCATCTGGTCTGGGACCCAGGCCCAGTTCTGCTGATGGATGGTTCTGTGGTGTTGGATACATCGCCCAATCTCTAAGCTCTGGTGTCCTCGTTTCACTCAAATGAGCACAATTATTCCCATGTTCCAGGGTGGTCATCAAGGCAAAATGAGATCACACTCAGGGAAGAACGTTGTACAAATACTGATGTTGCAAACTCACCTCTCAGGTTTGAATGGTTCCCTTTGTAAAAGTTAGCCAGGTCAATTTCCTATTTGAATTTAGTAAGTAAATATTTAAAGTCCATCTCCTTGGTTATTTTATGGCCCTTAAAAAGCCTTGATCTTTTTACTCTGTCCTTATCCAGAAGAGCCCACATCCACTTCATCATTGCAGGACCTCATCTCTAGACCTTTGCCACTTCATCATTTCTTTGTTGAGGGACAGTGGGCTGAAGAGCACACACTGTCTGTGGGGTCGATATACAGGGATTGGGACACAAATGGGACACACATCTTATCCCCAGGGCTGGCCCTGATGCAACAGAGCACAGTGGGTAAGAATGTTGGTTCTGCAGTCACACTGCCTGGTTTCAAAGCCAACTCCAAATGACCTTGGAAAATGACTTCATGTCTCTGAGTTTTCATTTCCTTATCTGTAAAATCAGGGTAGTAGTAGTATCTACCTTTTAGTTGTCATGAGGATTAAGTGGGTTAGTATTTGTAAAGCACTTGGATTTGTGCCTGATATAGACATGTTTGTTATAAGCAGTCTTCAGGGGACAGAAATGTCATAACTCCCTTATTCCTTTCTTGGGGCAAGCACTCAATGTCTTCCATCTTCTGGAAACAGCAGCTGCTGTCCTGAGGCTCATTTAAACTTCAGCATTGCTCATTCATTCATTCATTCACCAAATGCTTTGGTTCTTTTTTTTTTTTTTTTTTTTTTTTTTTTTTTTTTTTTTTTTTTTTTGGATTTTCAGTAAAGATGGGGTTTTACCATGTTGGCCAGGCTGGTCTCAAACTCCTGACCTCAAGTGATCTGCCTGCCTTGGCCTCCCAAAGTGCTGGAATTACAGGCGTGATCTACCATGCCCGGCCTTGCTTTGGCTCTTTAATTATTTTCCAGATGCAATATCAGTCACTAGGGAGCAATACCAAGTATAAGGCCCACCTCAATGGTATGCTAGAGCTGGCTCAGACTAGCTCATGACAGCTGATTATTGCGTTTTCAGGGATTTTGCATGGCGCCATTGTTGGTGTCTTGAAATCTTCCACGGTGGTTGTATTTACACTGTGGGAATTTGCAAGTGCCACAGATCAGCCCTATGCACCCCAGCCAGTGTGCAAGCCCCATTGCAGGATGGCGGCAGAGGTAGAAGTTAACCAAGCCATCACAGAAATGAAAGTTAGAGGTGCTGGGCGACGTACAAGGGAAAGGGCTGCATTGCTATAGAGCTTGTAACCCAGCAATCTGGCCTTGGCAAGGAGAAAAAGGAGAGGTCCCTGAGCAAGTGACAGATGAGCAGGAGCCTGAAGGGAGAAGAACAGTGAACTGGACAAGGAGGGTCTGGGGTTCTGGAGGATGCTCGCCAGTGTGAAGGCTGGAGAGCATGGTGTGGAACAAGATGCGCTTGAAGGTGAAGCATTTTTAGCAGTGGGTGCCATGAGAGCACATTCACATTGTAGAAAGGTGACTTCTGCCGCAGTGTGAAAAGTAGATTATAGGGTGGGGTGGTGGTCGGGGGGCGGTGAAGGAGCTACCGCACTGGTCCAAGCAAGAGGTGATGGCAGCTTAGACTGGAGAAAGGAGAGTGATACTGAAGGCTAAACTCACAGGACTTGACTAGGTCTGGATATGAGGGTGAGGGGAGGGAAGATGTCAAGAACATCTCCTGGGTTAGTAGAGCTACAGCAGCCCATCGAGAGGGTAAAAGTCTCCCTCCACTTTGTGCCAATGCACCCACAGTTGTCTCACTTAGGGTGTGATAAACCAGAACCACTGGGTCAGTGGACTGTCTTCAGATGTGTAGATGGCTGCTAAACCAAAAGCCTACATGGCGAACCAGAATTGGAGAGGAAGCAGGAAGGAGTTAGATGCCAGGAAGAACTTCCTACAAGTCATTCAGTGACAGAATAATCTGCCCCAGGCATGGTGAGCCACACGGGAGAGGTAGACTTAGAAGCTGGGCTGTCATAGCCTAAGGCAGGGATACCATGAGGGGACTTCCCAGTCACTAGAGTCTGATATGGGATTTCTGAATCATGAGAGTCTGCAATTGTAATGTTCTGTAAAACCCTTATCTTGTTACTACCACCAGACTTTTTCTAGTAGGTTTGCACGTATGATCCCAATTCTTCACCCTTCCCTATATGCATGCCATCTGCCATGTAACTTTGCAGCGCCCCCGGCAATACACAAGTTCAGCCATATGACTTGCTTTGGCCAGTAGAATGAGGCAGAATTGATACACTGATATGTGTCAATCCCAAGCCTTGTGTTCTTCGACTTCTGCCATGACCACAGAAGGATGTCCCCAGGTCAGTCTGCGGGTCCAAGAGGAAAACTAGATACACACAGAGTAGAATGGCCCCAGCTGAGATGCCCCCAGGAAATCCCAGACTAATGCAGAGGCCTCACCAGACTCAAAGACGTATGAGCAAACCCAACCCACATCAGCCAACCTCCAGCCTCATGACTTACAAGCTACAATAATAAATGTCTGCTGCTTTGAGCCACCAAGTATTGGCTTCTGCTCATGCCCTTCCCCTTTCTGAAAGCTCCTCTCTGCTTATCAGATATAACCCATCCTCTTAAGCCCGGGTTAATGCTTACCTTCTGGATGAATTCTAAAATGATTTCTCTACCCTCTCAACTCTCAGGGCTCCTTGATGACAGTAATGCCCAAGATGAAGCATCATTTTGCAACCTTTACATACCCAGATTTAGGAGCTACCCTGGCCAGGTAACTGTAGAAACATTTCTTCCTTTGATGCCCTCAGTGCTGATTCGGGACATGATCTTTTTACTGTTAGGGCCAGAATCAAGATGGAAGGATGGGGCGACCTCTCCTGGTAACATGTCCTTTCCTTTACCCATTGGCAATCTCCTAAATTTTTACACCATATACTCATCTTCTGCCACAATGCCTAAGACATTTCTTTGAAAGAATAAAATACTATAAGAACTGCCCATTTTGTTCCACTGAAATATTTGGATGAGTGAACATGAACAGGTGATAATTCTATTTGTATACTATTTCTATTTGTAGTAGCGAATTATTGTTCCCAACTTCTCACTCCCTCATAATCATATTCTACATCCTCACTCCTGCTGTGGCCCATGGTCGACAGACTTTGCTTCTCCAGACCTTGACTTTGGGCTCAGCCATATGACTCACTTTGGCCAAGCAGAGGTTTGAAATGTGCTTGCATAGTTGGGCTTGCCCCCTTATCTGCCTACATTACTGTGGGAAGAACACTCTTCACTTAGCTGCTGCCTCTCCAGACTGGGCCCCAAAAGGAGATAATGGAGCAGAGATGACTTAGCCAAAACTTCAGATCCATAGCCTGAAGTAGAGCTGCCTCAGCCAACCTACAATCACAGGAATGAGAGATAAATGCTCATTGTTATTTGCCACTGAGATTTCGAGATTGTTACGCAGTACAGCTGACTGATACACTTAGCACAGCCTGTGCTTAGGCCCTCATGTACCCTGTCTCTATTATGCTGCACAGCATTATGGGGTAGGGGTGGTAATATCTTTACAGATAAAGAGACTGAAGCTTAGGTTGAGCAACTTGTCCAAAATCACACAGTGGAGCCAGAATTCAAGCCCAGTTCTCTGACTTATACTCTACATCCTAGAGGGTCCCACTTCAGTCCTCTTCTAGCCAGAAGAGGTTTCACCCACATGAAGTTTGTCTTCCCTAATTGATTTAAGTAGAAAATAGATGGAACAAAGGGGAAGTTCATGTCCTTTTTTTTATCTGAGGGGAAAAGCCCAAGAATGTCAGCTTAAAACTTTATCATTGGGCTGGGCACGGTGGTGGCTCATGCCTGTAATTTCAGCACTTTGGGAGGCTAAGGTGGGAGGATTGCTTGAGCCCAGGAGTTAGAGACAAGCCTGGGCAATATTGTGAAATATTTTTATTTTGTTTTTAAAAATAATCTTTGTGTCCTGGATGCTAACCTGGGAAGAAAAGCCCCTATGTGGGCCCTGTTTCTGTGAGAGAATGCTTTCCAAGTTCCAAAACACTGAGTTTATACTTGGCCTTTGTGCTACAGTTCTTCTGGATGTGGGCAGCATCTGTGTGTGTGAATGCACACAGTTCCCTCTGTTCTGAGCTTCCCTCTGTTTAATCTCCTTGATATCCTGGCTCAGATGTCTAAAGTCAGTGGTCTGTCATAGATGTTCACCTACAGGTAGGCTTTCAGGACCATTGCATCCAGCCACACAGGCTGTGCATGCTCAGCTCCAGGGACACCATTCACATGGTCACTCTGCAGTGCCCCCTGGAGTTGTGCAACAGGGGGACCCTGAGCCCCATATTATAGGTCAAAACTGCCCTTAGGTCATTCAGCTGGTAAACTGCCCTGCCACCCTTGTGAAATTAATCATGTATTTCTTGATGATTATAAGCCCATCAGCTTCAGATGTACAGTGCCTTGTAGCTGTATATCAAGGCCCAAACATTTCTTAGAGAGGATCGTAAACTAAGAACCGAACAACTGTTAAAGCTACATACAGCCCCAAATCATAACTGCTTGGTTCAGAGTCTCTCTGGAAACAATAATACCCTAAGCAATATTTTCTACCACTTTCTTTATTGTGACCCATCACACACACACACACACACACACACACACACACACACACACACACACAGACACACACACAATAATGGGGGAACTTTAAAAGAAATTTTCCTGGTAATCTAATACCTTCATCTCAGAGCAAGCCCCCAGTTGCCCCTAAAACCAGCAATGACTATTGTGTGTCTACCATGTGCCAAGCAATGTGCTATGTGCTGGTGGCTCAGAAATGGTTTTGGCCTTTCAGTGACATTAAAAAGATAATAAATGTAACTAACCTGTACAATGTGCACATGTACTCTAGAACTTAAAGTATAATAATTTAAAAAAAAAGATAATAAGCTGGTATGGCAGGCACTCAAACAGAGATGGGTACGGGGTTCTGTGAGGACACAGGGAAAAAGGGAAACCCTCCTTCTGGGGGATTGCATAAGACTTTGGGGGCAAGGTAACATGTAATACTAAACCCTTGAATTATGAGTGGGGAAAGGAGAGAAGGCTATTCCAGGCAGAGGGAACAGTGTAGGCACCAGATATGGGAAAGTGCCTGGTGGGCTTGAGGGCATCAAGTACCTAGAACATGTGGTTACTAGGTGCTTTAAATGTGGCTGGTCCTAATGGAGCTGTATAAAACACAGTCTAGATTTTGAAGACTTGGTATTTTTTAAAAGAATGTAAAATGTCTCATTAATATTTTAATAATGATTACATATTGAAATGATATTTTGGATATATTGGGTTAAATAAGTAAATTAATCTCATTGTTTTCTTCATATTTTTAAAAGTGTGGCTCCTAGAATACTTTAAATTACTACTAGGGACTGAATTGCATTTCCCTAAAATTCATATGTTGAAGCCCTAACTCCTAGTACCTGAGAGTGTGACTGTGTTTGGAGATAGGACCTTTAAAGAGGTGATTAGGGTTAATGGAGGACTCCATCCAATAGGACTAGTGTCCTTATGAGAAGAGGAAGAGACAGTGATGTGTGTGCCCAAGGGAAAGGCCATGTGGGGACACAGGGGAAGGTGGCCACCCATAAGCCACAGAGAGAGGCATCTGAAGAAGCCAACCCTGCTGACACCTTGATCTAGGACATCCAGCCTCCAGAACTGTGGGAAAATAAACTTCTGTTGTTTAAGTCATCTAGTCTGTAGCATTTTTGTTATAGTCACCCTAGCAAGCTAAGAATACTACTTATGTGACTCATGTTATATTTCAATTAATGGGGATCAATCTGGAAAAGTTGGGGCACTAGAAGGCAATAAATTCAGATTTGAGCCTTTTGTTCAGCTATGGGATGAAATGAGCCTGTGGACCTGCCTGATGTGCCACATGACTCACAAAACCCACCACTTGCTGCTATGTGAGCCCTGGCATCTTCCCACTCTTACATTCCCTGTGCAGTCTCTGAAGCATCCGTGGCTTTGACCCTGACACCTATGTGGTTGTCATACTCCCTGGAGTGGCAGCCCGAGCAGTGAGCATGCCTACTTTTCTAAGCCAGCACTGTCCAGTTGAGATATAAAGAGAGGAGGACTTGACTCTCATTCCTGGGCTACCTGGGAAAAAAAAATCGGCCCATGCTGCAAACCCAATTTAAGTACCCAGAAGCCAACCAAGTAAGTTCTTGGCTGGGCTATTTTAGGTCTCAAATTGGAGATATCGCCAAATCCAAGTCAGATGGCTTCCTGCCTGAGTCTGGGTATTCAGCTGTGACTTAGAGATTAGGCACCCCCCGTGGGCCATTTGCTTCACATCAAGCTGTGAGTTATGATGTGCTGTGCCCAAGTCTAACTGCCCATCTGTTCTCCTCTTTGGAGAATGGCAAGGGTACAGGTGTCTGTCACTGCCCCAAGCAGATCTTTCTCAGCTGTCTCTTTTGCAGTTTCCCTCATTCAGTCCACACGACAAATAGTGTGGTTTGTATTCTCATTATCTCCAATTTACATTTGAGCAAACCAAGACTGGAAGAGTTTGAATAACCCACATAGTTTGTAAGTGGAGTCAAAGAGACTTGCACGTGGGTCTCCTGACTCTAGAACCATCTTTTCATTGCCCAACCTGGCCTCAGTCTTATAGTGTCATCTGGCTTCCCAAGCTTCAATCATAAGACTGTATTAGTTAAGATAATGCTGGTGGCTATACCAGATAAACTCTGAAATCTCAGTACTTTAACACCTTTGAGGTTTATTCTTACTTATGCAAAGTCCTATGCAGATGCTTGGCAGACAGCCTTCCATGCAGTGATGCAGGGATCCAGATTCTACCCATGCTGGGGCTCTATCATATTCAACATGGGGCTCCCAAGATCTCTGTGGGGGACTTCCCATTGGAGGATGTGAGGGACAGACAGTACGGCAAGTGGTAGTTGCATTCCACTTCTAGTACAGAGACCCAAAATGATGGTTTCTTGAAGGCAGAAAACATGCCTCTTCTTCCCTTCTTTCTTCTCTTCGCTGCTTAAAGTGGATTTGGTAGTAAACTATCTTGAGCCACATAGGTGAGAGAAACATCCTAGGGATGGCAGAATACAAGAGAGGAGCCTGGTTCCTTGAATAACCTCATGGAACGGAGTCAGCAGCCAGCCTGACACTGTCACCTCCAGACTGTATGCAGGAGAAATGAATTTCTGTCTGGCTTAAGCCACTACCAGACTGTCTGCAGGAGAAATGAATTTCTGTCTGGCTTAAGCCACTATTGCTTTGGATACCTGTCACATGCTGCTGAACCTAGATCCCAAATACAGGGATCCTGCCCTTTTTGTTCGCAGCAGGACACTGCCCAGCAAATAGTGGCTAGAAAAAGATGTTACTCAACCCACAAGCCCCAGCTCTCGCAGAAATTTAGTTGAGTGTGTAGGGGACGGCAGAAGAAATAACTCCTTTTGGGCACACAATGCCTTTTTTATTGTGGTAAAATATACATAACATAGAATCTGGCATTTTAACTATGTTCGAGTGTACAGTTCAGTAGCATTAAGTACATTCACATTGTCATGCAACCATCACTACTATTCATCATCAGAATGTTTTCATCATCCCAAGCTGAAACTTCATACCAATCAAACCCTAACTCTGTATTCCCTCTCCCTGAGCCCCTGGCAACCACCATCCTAATTTATGTCTATGAATTTGGCTATTCTAAGTACTTCACATAAGTGGAATCATATAGTATTTGTCCTTTTGCGACTGGGTTATTTCACTTGGCATAATGTCTTCAGTGTTCTTCCATGCTGTACATAGTGTGTGTCAGAACTTCCCTCCTTCTTAAGGCTGAATAATATTCCACTGTATGTGTAGACCACACTTTGTTTTTCCATTCATCCATTGATGGACACTTGGGTTGCTTCCACCTCTTGGTTACTATGAATAATGCTGCTATGAACCTGGGTGTATAGATATCTGTTCAAAAAAAAATCTCTCTGGGAGGGGGAAGAAACTGTATCTTAACCATATGTGCTTGGCAGCGGCACATAACCTGTCAGGTCACATTCCATTGGCAAGAATTAGTCATAGGGTATGCTAGTTATCTCTTGCAACATGACAAATTATCCCAAAACTTAGTGGTTAAAGCCATAAATATTATTACCTTATGGTTTCTGTGGGTCAAGAGTTAAGGAGAAGCTTAGCTGAGTAGTTTTGGCTCAAGGCTTCTCATGAGGTTGCAGTGCTCAGAAGGCTTGACTGGAGCCAGATGACGTGCTTCCCAGGTGGCTCACTCCCATGACTGTTGGCAAAAGGCCTCAATTCTTTGTCATATAGACTACTCCATAGGGCTGCATGAGTATCCTCAGAACGTGGCAGCTGGTTTTCCCCAAAGTAAGTGATCCAGGAGAGCAAGGTAGAAGCTGCAATATCTTTTATAATTTACCCTCAGAAATTATATACCATCATTTCTGTAGTAATATCTATTAGTTACACAAGCCAGTCATATTCACTGTGGGAGGAGGCTACACAGGGGGCAGGGGTCATTGAGGACCATCTTGAAGACTGGCTACCACTGAGGTCACATGTAGTTGTAAGGGCATCTGGAAAATGAAGTCCCTGGCTGAGCAGGCATTTCCCAGTGATAGCCCTTCCTTTGGAAGGGATGATATTTGGTGAACAACTGGCCATCTTGGCCATAGAGCTCTCCCAAGGAGTCCTGGTGGTGTCTCTGACTATCTATATGACCTAGTCCTCAGTTTCCCCTCTGTACAATGAGTTTGTTCTTTCCCACTGCCTGGTACTACCACTAGTATTTTCTATGTCATCTTACAGCCTATGTCAAGCAGTAGGTGATGCTCACTGGTATAGGTCAGATCCAAGTCAGAGAGATTGGCAAGGGGCATCATTATACAAAGTTTGACTAGGGCTGAACTTGGGGGTTGGGGACCCTGGAAGCAGTGTAGCATGTCAGGTAGGAGCACTGGTTCTGGAGTCAGCTGTCTGGGTTCAAAACTCACTTGAAGTCTATATCCTTGGATGAGTAATCTAACTCTTGGGAGCCAGTTTCCTATATAACAGGAAAAGAAAGTAGCATTTATCTCAAAGGGTTATTGGAAGGACTGCTGATCTATATCTAGTGTTTCCTAAACTTTACCATAACTATCTCTTCAATTTTTTTTTTTTTGAGATGGAGTCTCGTTCTTTTGCCCAGGCTGGAGTGCAGTGGTGTGATCTCGGCTCACTGCAACCTCTGCCTCCCGTGCTCATGCGATTCTCCTGCCTCAGCCTCCCGAATAGCTGGGACTACAGGTGCTCACCACCACGCCCAGCTATTTTTTTTTTTTTTTTTTTTTTAGTAGAGACATGGTTTCACCATGTTAGCCAGAATGGTCTCGATCTCCTGACCTTGTGATCCGCCCGCAGTGCTGGGATTACAGGTGTGAGAACCGTGCCCAGCCTCTCCAATTTTTTTTTTTTAAATATTCATGTGCCATCTGTAGGGATTTGGATCATAATCCTGAAAACACAGTCTCAAAAGCTATAATCCCGTATGTTGAAATCCCTAAATATCAAACTTCCTAAAGTCTAAATCCCTAAAGTCTAAAATCTCTGTCATCTAGAATTCTGAAAATCTCAATCACAGAATAGTTGCATCACGTCAAGAAGAATTATTACCTTGTTATTTCCTTTATGGAGAAGAAAACGAATTTAAATCTCCAAACATAGTAACAGATTTGGAATTAGGTGTGATTAAGGTTTCTAGAAGTGCATTTCAAGGTGTTACCAATAAAGTTTGTTTTTTTCATTCAGCCCAATGCATTTGGCAGAAAATTCAGATGAGTAGCTTGGCCGGCCGTGCCATACGAGGGAAACTTTGGGTTAAAAATATGTTATTTTCCTGCATTGGCATTCCTTTCCAGCTGATGACATTCCAGGAGCTTTTAATGAATTAAAGCTACATTTGTCTGAAGAAATTAAGCAGTTACTGACTGGTTCAAAAATAATTATGTAGGCCGGGCACGGTGGCTCACGCCTGTAATCCCAGCACTTTGGGAGGCCGAGGCGGGCGGATCACGAGGTCAGGAGATCGAGACCATCCTGGCTAACACGGTGAAACCCCGTCTCTACTAAAAATACAAAAAATTAGCCGGGCGTGGTAGCGGGCGCCTGTAGTCCCAGCTACTGGGGAGGCTGAGGCAGGAGAATGGCGTGAACCCGGGAGGCGGAGCTTGCAGTGAGCCGAGATGGCGCCACTGCACTCCAGCCTGGGCGACAGAGCGAGACTCCGTCTCAAAAAAAAAAAAAAAAAAAAAAAAAAAATAATAATAATAATAATAATAATAATTATGTAAATGGTAGGATAAGAAGACACTTATGCAGTGGTGCTGCTGTTTGATCACCAATATTCTTTCCACCAAATTTGTGGTCTGTATAAGTACTCATGAAATGGATTTCCGGGTACCCAAAACAGCATTAGAATCATGGCACAGAAGAAGGGAAAACTTAATAGAGAATGCTCACGTCCATGTATATCGAATCATAGAAGAATTTTAAAAAGAGAAGTGCCAGGTAGAAGTTGAATATGAATATGTTCTCCAAGGAAAGCGATGTCCTAAAAGAAAAAAAAAAAGCAGCTATTCATTGTGATACATGACTTCAAAATAGAGTTAATGATCATGAAAGCTGGCCAGCTCTTACGGACTAACTCTGCGCAATTGCTCATAATCTACCCACCCCTGTAATATACATTTTCATATGTCAAATTTTCTTTTTCTTTTTTGTTTTTTTGTTTAGCTTTTTTTTACTGTTTTAAATTGTCAGCATTGTTTTTTTACAATCACTATGCTATGTATTTCTTCCCATCATCTCCAATCCTGAAGGTGTAAATTATGTAAAAGGCTTTTACAGAGTCTTAATTCTCTCCATGCATTTTTTGCAAATGTGACTCCATGAAAGTGCATTGTCACAACATTGATTTCGTGTGTAAGCATTGTGCAGGTACATAAAAACATTAAATCTCCCTTAGAAAATGAAAGGATGTCCTTTTTGTACATCTACATTCGTGAAAGTTAAAATTTGTCAAGATCTTGACTATTGGGCGATTGGTGCTATGATAATGCAGTGCAGACCCATCCATGTTTTTGACCACTCTTGTCAAAAGACTTAAGTTGTCCATCACTGTATTTCAGATAACTGCAATTAGAGAGCTGAGTGCACACAATTACCAACCGTAGTGATATGCATTTATACATTTTGTTTTTTGACCTATTTTTTATCAATAAGATTCATTTGTTCTTAACTGTTATACCCGTTTTTGCAAAAATATATATCTATTATTGCCTCTTTTATTATATAAAGTGTCCTATGAGGAGTTCTGTTGTGGTTTTATGTGTTTTTCGAATAAACCTCCTTTTTTTTTTTTTTTTTTTTTGAGATGGAGTCTCGCTCTGTTTCCCACGCCGGAGTGCAGTGGCGTGATCTTGGCCCACTGCAACCTCTGCCTCCCGGGTTCATGCCATTCTCCTGCCTCAGCCTCCCGAGTAGCTGGGACTACAGGCGTGCGCCACCACACACGGCTAATTTTTTTGTATTTTCAGTAGAGATGGGGTTTCACCGTGTTAGCCAGGATGGTCTCAATCTCCTGACCTCATGATCTGCCTGCCTCGAACTCCCAAAGTGCTGGGATTACAGGCATGAGCCATCGTGACCAGCCCCAAACCTCCTTTTAAAAATGTAAATAAATACCTTTAAAGTACTTAGTAAAATTCTTTTTCCAGAATTATATTTTCGGATTGTGATCTTTCTGGATTTCAACATTTGGGATTATGGCACTGGAGATTGTGTCTTTTGAGACTGTGATCAGCTTTCTGACTAGTATTATCTAATACATTCTTTACATATTTTATAATGGTTTTATTGATACATACTTCACATGTCATACAATTTACCCATTGAAAGTATGCAACTCAGTGGTGTTAGTATATTCACAGAGTTGCGTAAACCATCAGAGGAAATTTTCAAACACCCCAATTTTTGTTAATCCCCCCCAAAAGAAACCCTGCACCCTTTAGCAGTCACTCCTTATTCTCCCCACCTAAAACTCCTCCTGTCAGCCCTAGACAACCACTAATCTACTTTCTGTCTCCACGGATTTGCCTATTCAGGACACTTCATATGAAGAGAATTATAAAATATGTGACCTTTTGTGGCTGGCTTCTTTTACTTAGCAAAATATTTTCAAGATTCATTCACGTTGCAGCATTGATGAGTACTGCATTCCTTTCAATGCTGAATAATGTTCCATAGTGTTTTATTAATCCATTCATCAGTTAGTGGACATTTGGGTTGTTTTCAGTTTGGGGCTATTATGAATAATTCTAGGAGGATCCCTGTATAAATTTTTACATGGGCATATGTTTTCTTTGTGGGTATATAGTTAGAAGTGGGATTGCTGGATTGCATAGTAATTTTCTATTTAACCTTTTGAGAAACTGCCAGTCTGTTTTCCAAAGTAGCTGAACCATTTTATATTCCCACCAGCTGTGGATGAGAATTCCAACCTCTCCACATCCTTGCCATCATTTGTTAGTATCTGAGTTTTTCTTTGTTTGTTTATATGTTTTCTTGCAGCCATTCTAGTTGGCATGAAATGGTATCTCATTATGGTTTTGATTTGCTTTTCTCTTATGTTGACTCATTTTATTTATATTTATTTTAAACTAGACTTTACAGTGCTACCCTAAGTGGAAAGACAGTACTAGTTACCATAAATACAAGGTAACTTATAAATAATATAATGATCAAAACAACACGTGTCTGTATCACATGCTATAATTGATGTTTACCATATTTTGGGAAACCCTAATATAATCTAGGTAAGGATCTTATCAGTAGAACTGGCATAGAGTTAGTACTTAATAAATGTTGAGCTATGATTTTATTATTGTTTGTGAGGCATTGACAAAGGTATAAAAGGGGCTTTGATTTTGTTTTCTTCAGGAAGAGGGTGGGGTGGGAGTCAGAGATCAGAAGGTCCTTAGTAAAGAGGGGTCCCTCTGGTTAGAAAGAGCCGGCTTAGAAAAAATGACGACTACCAGAATATGGATGGCAGATAATTTATGAAGTAGGGCTAAATATAAAATCTGAGATCAGCATGCTGGGTGGCAGCTGGGAGAGTTCAGGCATTCTTTTCTGCAGGGTACGTTAGTTAATCTTAATTTTTCCTCACATCCTTGCAAAACATATTAATGTATGTGATCTCAGAGCTTATCCAGGGCAGTGATGAGTCTGGTTCAGCTTTAAATGCCGCCCTTTCAGCCCCAGCCTTCACTACAGCAGCTCAGACACTGGTGAAGAGGGCAGGGCAGGGCAGGGCAGGGCAGGGCGAGGCAGGTCAGGGCAGGGAATCCTGACCTGGCTGCTGGGATTGTTGTTCAGAGGAGTGTGGAAATTTGCCCCAGTCCCCAGCTCCTAGGCAGGAGATCTGGAACTAGAATCCAGGTCTCCTGACCCTCCTATCACTTTTTTTTCCCAGAGCCCCTTCTTGGACCTCTATTTCACCTCTTTGCATAATGGGACTCCCACAGATTACTTGTCAGAAGACTGAGATGTGCTGCCCAAAGGGTGGTCCCTACCAGCAGCATTGGCATCACCTGGGAGCTTGTCAGAAATGCAGGATCTCTAGTCCCACCTCAGACCTACTGAGTCAGAGTCTGCATTTTAACAAGATGTTCAGGTGATTCAAATACACAGTAACATTTCAGAAACCCAGACTAAGTTATTACAGCTGGGCTTATTCATCCAGAATGCTGATTTCAGCGCTTACTACGTGCCAGGTTCTGATAAGTGCTAAACATACAGAGAAGAATAATTTCCCCATTTCTGCCATCAAGAAGGTCCCTGTCTAGTCCAGGAGATAGATGAGAAGCCAAAGATCCCAGACCTCCCACCGATGTTCTTTTTTCTGTGATTGAAAAAAATAATTGTTTTATCGATTTTCCTAAAAAAAATGAATTGCCAAGAACTCCATAGTAAGCTGCTGTGAGCAGTAATATATGTCTACTCAGAAGCTTTGTTTCTTCACCTTTTATCTTCCTCCAGATCCTTTGGAAAATTTTACCCCACTCATTTTTTTAAAACTATTTTATTGAGGTATGACTGACATACAAAAACTGTGCATATTTAATGTATACACCTTGATGAGTTTGGAGAGAAGTATATACTTGTGAAACCATCACCACAATCTATGCCATAAGCCCAACCACCACTTCCTAAAGTTTCCTCCTGCCCTTCTTTTTCTTCCAACTTTTATTTTAGGTTCAGGGGTACATGTGCAGTTTTGTTACATGGGTAAATTGCATGTCTCTGGGGTTTGGTGTACAAATAATTTCATCACCCAGGTAATGAGCATAGCACTTGTTAGGTAGCTTTTTTATCCTGTCCCTCCTCCCACCCTCCACCCTCAGATGGGCCCCAGTGTCTATTGTTCCTTTCTTTGTGTCCATGTGTGCTCCCTGTTTAGCTCCTCCTTATAAGTGAGAACATGTAGTATGTGGTTTTCTGTTCCTGCATTAATCCACTTAGGATAATGACCTCTAGCTGCATCCTTCATGCTGCAAAGGACATTATTTTGTTCTTTTTTTATAGCTGTGCAGTATTCCATGGTGTATTTGTACTGCATTTTCCTCATCCAGTCCACTGTTGTGGGTGTCTAGGTTGATTCTATGTCTTTGCTAGTATGAATAGTGCTGTGGTGGATAAATGAGTGCGTGTGTCTTTTTGGTAGAACAATTTATGTTACTTTGGCTGTATACCCAGTAATGGGATAGCTGGGTTGAATAGTAGTTCTGCTTTAAGTTACTTGCAAAATCTTCACACTGCTTTCCACAGTGACTGAACTAATTTATATTCCCATCTGCAGTGTATAAGTGTTCCCTTTTCTCCACAACCTCACCAGCATCTGTTGTTTTTTGACTTTTTAATAATCGCCATTCTGACTGGTGTGAGATGGTATCTCATATTGGTTTTCATTTGCATTTCTCCAATGATTAGTGATGTTGAGCATTTTTTCATATGCTTTTTAGCCATGTATATGTCTCCTTTTGAGAAGTGTCTGTTCATGTCCTTTGCCTATTTTTAAGGGGGTTCTTTGTGTTTTGCTTGTTAATTTGCTTAAGTTCTTTATACATTATGGATATTAGACCTTTGTCAGGTGCATAGTTTGCAAATGTTTTCTTACATTCTGTAGGTTGTCTGTTCACTGTGTTGACAGTTTTTTTTTTTTGCTGTGCAGAAGCTTTTTAAGTAGGTCCTACTTGTCAATTTGTTTTTGTTGCAATTGCTTTTGGAGACTTCATCACAACATCTTTTCCAGGGCCTATGTCCCAAATGGTATTTCCTAGATTTTCTTCTACCTGGGGCCCTCTTTATGATTGTTGTTGTTATTGTGATGATGATTATAAGAACATTTAGCATAAGATCTACTCTCTTAGCAAATTTCAAGCATAGATTACAATATTGTTAACTATAGGTGCTATGCTCTACAAAACTCTAGAATTTATTCATGTTGTATAATTAAAACATTGTACCCTTTGACTGATATCTCCTTGTTTCCCCTTCCCCCCAGCCTCAGGGAACCACCATTCTACTCTGGGTTTCTATGAGACTATTTTAGATTTCTCCTATAAGTGGTATTGTGTAATATTTGTGTTTAGTGTCTGGCTTATTCCACTTAGCATAATGTCCTTCAGGTTCATCAATGTTTTCTTGAATGACAAAATTTTCTTCTCTAAAAAATGTTGAAAAACATTCTGTTGTATGTATATGCCACATTTCTTTATCCATTCATCTGTCAATGGACATTGAGGTTGCTTCCATTTCTTGGCTATCATGAATAATGCTGCAATCAACATGTAATCCAGATATCTCTCTAGGTCCTGATTTCAGTTTCTTTGGGTATATACCCAAAAGTGGGATTGCTGGATCATATAGTAGTACTATTTTTAATTTTTTGAGGAATCCCCACACTCTTTTCCAGAGAGGCTACACCAATTTACATTCTCACCAACAGTGTATAAAGTTTCCCTTTTCTCCACATCTTTGACAACACTCGTTATCTTCTATTTTTAAAATAATAGCCATCTTAATAGATGTGAGGTGATATCTCATCATGATTTTGATTTGCATTTCCTTGGTGATTAGTGATATTGAGCACTTTTTCATATATCTATAGGCAATTTGTATGTCTTCTTTGGAGAAATGGCTATTCAGTTTCATTGCCCGTTGTAAAATCAGATTATTTAAGAGGTTTTTACAGCTACATCGTAGGAGTTCCCTATATATTTTGGATAGTAATCCTGTATCAGATATATGGCTTATAAGTATTCTCTCCCGTTCCATACGTTGCCTTTTTATTTAGTTGATAGTTTCCCTTTCTGTGCAGAAGATTTTTAGTTTGATATAGTCCTACTTGTTATTTTTACTTTTGTTTTCTGTGATTTTGGTGGCTATCCAAGAAATCATTGCCAAGACCAATGTCAACATGGTTTTTCTCTATGTTCTCTTTTCAGAATTTAGTGTTTCAAGTCTTATGTTTAAGTCTTTAATTCATTTTAATTTTTGTATATGGTATAAGGATCCAATTTCATTCTTCTACACATGGATGTTCAATTTTCCCAGCACCATTTGTTGAAAAGATTATCCTTTCCCTGTGGTGTCTTCTTGGCACCTACTCATTTCTTTATTCAAAAATATTTATCAAGCAACTTTATAAGCAAAGTCCTGTTCTAGACACCAGGAACAGAGTAATCAAGAAATCAGACAAGGCCTCTCTTTTCAAGGAGTTTATTTATATCCTAGCAAGGAAAGAGAAATAAAGAAGACAATAGCAGAGTAGTGAGTTTTATCGAGAACATTAAACAGGCAAACAGGGTCAGGGGTGGGGTCTACTTTTGGTAAAGTGGTTGGGGGCAGCCTCCTGAGGAGGTCACATTCATGCCCATGCCCTGAACAGCATCCAGTACTGTGGCATCTCAAGGAGGAATGGTTGGTTTTGATGGAGCTGTCACTTGGGGTGTCTGCTCTGCCCTCCTTTTCATTGCTATAGCTGCTCTCTGGCCACAATGATTGGTGCAAGAATAAGCAAGTGACCCACGAGAACCAATCAAAGTCTTTTCTTGGGTTTGCTATATAGCCGCAAAGAGTGATCTGTTGATAGTGATTTCTCTGTGACTGTGAATAAATCAAGACATCACAGCACTGGCTTTTTTGGGGGTCTGTCCTCCCTCTCTCCTTCTCAGATATACTTCAGATAACAATTTTAATAACTGAAGCTGACTCCTACTTGAAAATTTTGAATGGCTAGCCTCTGCCTAACAGAGAGGTCTATCTATTGCCCCCACATTTGTTTCACAGCTAGAAGATGAGAAGAAGAACATGGGCTCAAATCCTAGTTCTGCCTCTTACCAATTGGGTGGCCCAGAGAAAAAAAGCGTAACTTCTCCAACTCTCAGTTTCTTTATTTGAAATGTGAGTATAATTATAGTCTCCAACTTATAGGGTCCTTCTGAGAAGTAAGTGCACTGTCACACGTACCTCTCATTCCCAGAGATTGTGGTTTGTGGATGAATGTCCACTCTCCCCACTGGACTGTAAGCATCATGTGGGCATGAACTGGAACTGATTTTATACGCAATACTATAGCCATTTTATTATTGTTGTCATTATAAAGAACAAAGTTATTACTGATTTTTGTCTTTTTAAATAGCTATACCAAGATTGTAGAAAGGCCTGGGCTAGGATACAACTTCTTAGGAGTCTCTTGTGAAAGTCTTGGCTTAGAATAAGTGGAAATAGCAGAAGGAGATGAGAACAGGCATCTATTGAGCACCTCCTGTGTACCAGTCAGTATGTAAGGACCTTTCCCATGTGATGCCCATTGATCCCTCACCATGATCTCACAAAGTGAGTACAATTGTACCTATTGTGCAAATGAGACATTGGAAGCTCTGAGAGGTTAAGAAACTTGTCCAGGGTGACACAGCTAAGAAATGACTTAGATGAAACTCAAACCAGCCTGGCTCCAAGGGCCAACTCCTCCTCACTTCTTCACTATGTGGTTCTTCAGAAGTGACAGGAAGAATCCATCCTTGGTCAGGGAGATAGTATTCTCTGGCAATTGAGGAGGGCAGAAGAGACGCCACATATGAACTGATGCTTCTGTGCTGAGAGGATGATCTTGGGCTGAAAACAAGAGGCATCAACCTGAGTGGCCAAAGACCTGGGGTCCCATAGAGGCCAGAGCTCAACTGCCATTTGTTGAGGTTCCTGCAGGCTGTGCTATGTGTTTAGATTTATCAACATTCCCTCACAAGAGCCCAGGAGATAGGGATGTTCTAAGTCAGACCGGACAGATGAGGAAAGTGAGGCTCAGAGAGGTGAAGCCATTTGGTGGATGCCACACAGGTAGTAAGAAGCAGAATCCGGATTTGAATGTTGGTCTGCCTGATTCCAGAGCCCATGCTGTTTACCAACATCATGTATATATATGCAAAACAAAACAAAGTGAAGTAAATGCTTCCTTGTGTAGTTCTGGATCTCTAAGGGAGAAATGAAACAACAAAAACAGTGGAGAGAAAAGAATCCCAAGATCACTTGGCTTTCATCCCTACACCGCTGCTTATACCTGGACACCACTCCAGCACTCCGTTCCTAGGCCCTGTCATTACCATAGGCAAGTAGGTCTCATCCTGTGTGCCCAGGGTCCTGCAGGCCTGTGAAGGCGATGGAGACTGCTTGGGGTACTTTAAATATTTCAAAGAGTTTAAGATTATGCAGATCCCCACTTGAAGACACAAGGGAAAAAAACACAGTAATTGCTTTTGTTGGAGGTAGACTTTCTTCCACCCAGGAAAGGAGGAAGTTGTGTCCAGTCATTAAACAGACCTATGTCTTGCTTTCAACAGATTGCTCAGCCTCTCCTAAGCCTCCATTTCCCATCTGTAAAATGGGATAATAGCAGCACCTACCTCAGGGGCTGACGTGGGGATTATCCACATTGACTGCTCAGTGCGGCACCTGATACCTGGTGAGCATGCAATTCAGCATGTCCCTATGTCTCTGCAAGAGTGACTCTGACCAGCTCACACAGGCCAGAAGATCTGATGGCCCATTATTTGTCTGATTGATAAAGTGTTATGATACACAATAATTCCTTTATAAGAGATGGTGGGCTAGGGCGGAAAAAAACAGTAGATTAATTAAAATGCCAGGCAAACTATAACTGAATACCAGCCCTGCACTTCCCAGCTGTGTGACCCTGGGTAGTTCAGTTCCCCTTGGGGAAATTCAGTCTCCGTATCTGCAGAGTGGAGCATTAACGGGGTTCTCTCACGAGGTCACCTCTTTAGGGCAGCTGGCACACAGTAGCCTGCCGACAGACAGAAGTTCTTTCCCTTTTCATCAGTGTGGTTAGTTTTTCAGAAGTAGTGCTTTAGGAAGTGGGAAGAAATGATAAAAGGCTGCCACGGTGGGGAAAAAGTGGGGACATCAGGGACGCCATGGTGCGGATTATGGCAGACCTTGGTGCATGCTGCCCAGACCCTCCTTTAGGGACACATTGCTGCCAGTGGCAGAGTGCTATCTGCAAGCAGCCTCTAGCACTGGCTCCTTCGGGGTCAGCTTCAGCTGTGGAGAACCCCTCACTGAGGTCGTGCCCTTCCCCGTTGGGTGTGTAGATCTCCAGCCATTTCAGCTGGTGCAAGATACCCTGGTAGTCAGGACTGGACCAGAGCTCCCCTTTCCCCCTAAAAAATCACACCCTCAAGACTTTTCCCTCTTTCTTCCACAGATATTGACCCCCTAATAAGCATCTTGCACTCAAAATCTTCCTCAGCCTTTACTTTTCGGGAAACCAACCTTCAACAGTTGGCACCGGGACTGGTCTGAGAGAGCGGGTGAGGAGGTGGGTTCTGGGAAATAGATCCGTCACCTCTGGCTGGGGAGAAGGTCCCCATCATTGGTGGCTGTTAAGCAGAGACAGCCCAAAAGTTAAACATTTAACCAGCAGGGGATTGGTAGGGTGTACCTCTGGAAGGGAATGCACTAGCAGCATGCTGCACTGGGTGTTTGACGTGGGTGCAGAAAATACTGGCCACAAGGGTGCATGGGATTGGATGACTATTGCCAAGCTACAGGGGTGGGCAAATGGTTTCCTTAAAGGACCAATAGCAAATATTTTAGGCTTTGCCATCCATAAGATTTCTGTGGCAGCAACTCAGCTCCACTGTTGTAATGCAAAAGCAACCATAGACAATATGAAAAACAAACAAAACTCTTTACAAAAGCAGGCCAAGGACCAAATTTGACACAAGGGCTGCAGTTTGCCGACTTTAATTTTACACAAAAGAAAAAGAATTAACAACTAAGGGTAAATAACGGACAGGCCGATGCCAGAGGTTCTCTTTGGTTGCATCCAAAGAAACTTTTTTTTTTTTCTAGCAGGAGAGAGAAGAAAGCCAAGGATGTAACAGAGTGAATTTTAAAGACAGTCAAATGACCAATCACGGCAGGTCTGCCAAGCTATGGTCATTGCTGTACAGCTGGTGGTTTTCTGAGAAAAAAAAAATCCAGATTGATAGAATTTGCTGATTTCCCACATTATTTGCATATTCCAAGCCACCATGGTGACCTCACTGAACACAGTTGGCGCCAGATGCTCAGAACTGGCTCTCACTGATGGCACAAGCCAGCTTCCTGCACATCATTGCTTCACTCACATCCCAGCCTTCCTGCCTTTGTCCATCTGTTCCCCACTGCCTTGGAAGCTCTTCCCCGTTGCTTTTCTCATAGCAGGCTCCTCCTCACTCTCCAGCTCTCAGCCAAACATCCCTTCCTCCAAGGAGCCCTCCCTGACTGACCAACCCAGCCAGATTCTCTCTCCAGCACTCTGTTGTTTTCCATCACAGCACTTTCCACAGTAAGCCAAGCCAATCTTTTTGTTTTTTAAGTGTGACATACATATATAAGAAAAGTGTAGGATCACAGTGGTACAGCTGGGTGAATTTTCACAGGGTGAACACACCTTCATAACCAGAACCCAGATTAAGTCATGGAGCAGGGCCAGCACCCGGAGCCCCCTTCACATATCCTCTCAGTCACTACCGCTCCTGAGAGTGGCTACTACCTTGAGTTCCAACATTGTAGATTACTCTTCCCTGGGTATGAGCTTTATGTAAATGGAATCCTACCATATGTACTCTTTGGTATCTGGCTCTTTTTCTCAACATTATAACCACATGGTTGAGCTTCCTCCACGTAGTTATGGTTTTGTTTGTTTCCATGACGTGAAGATACTGCCATTTATTTATTCTGTAGTTTGATGGCCATTTGAATCATTTCTGGTTTTGGCTGATAGTGCAAGTGCTACTGTGAATATTTCTATGTGTCTTTCAGTGAACGCATGCACACATTTCTGTTGGGTATATACCCAAGAAGCAGAAATGTTAAATCATGGAGTATATGTATGCTCAGTTTAGTCAATTCTGCTAGAGTTTTCACAATGGTTATATGTCAACACCTAACAGTAATGTAGGAGAGTTCCATTTGCTCCTTGTTCTTGTCAACACTTGGTGTTGTCTGCCTTTTCCATTTTAGTCATTCTCCTGGGTGTGTAACAGTATTGTTTTGGGTTTTTAATTTACCTTTTTATATTTATCTGAGGGTAATGACATTTAGCACATTTCATATGTCTATTGACCATTTAGATATTACCCTTTGTGGAATGCTTGTTGAGGTTGCCTGTCCATTTTTCCATTGGGCTGTTTGCCTTTTTTTTTTTTTTGAGACAGAGTCTCTCTCTGTCCCCCAGGCTGGAGTGCAGTGGCGTGATCTCGGCTCACTGCAAGCTCCACCTCCCAGGTTCATGCCATTCTCCTGCCTCAGCCTCCCAAGCAGCTGGGACTACAGGCACCGGCCACAACGCCCGGCTAATTTTTTGCATTTTTAGTAGAGATGGGGTTTCACCGTGTTAGCCAGGATGGTCTCGATGTTTGCCTTTTAAATTTACTTTTTGGCTGGGCGCGGTGGCTCATGCCTGTAATCCCAGCACTTTAGGAGGCCGAGGCAGGCGGATCACAAGGTCAGGAGATCAAGACCATCCTGGCTAACACGGTGAAACCCCGTCTCTACTAAAAATACAAAAAATTAGCCGGGCATGGTGGCAGGTGCCTGTAGTCCCAGCTACTTGGGAGGCTGAGGCAGGAGAATGGCGTGAGGCAGGAGAATGGCGTGAACCCGGGAGGCGGAGCTTGCAGTGAGCCGAGATCGCGCCACTGCACTCCAGCCTGGGCGACAGAGCGAGACTCTGTCTCAAAAAAAAAAAAAAAAAAAATACTAAAAATAAATAAATAAATAAATTTACTTTTTATACGAATTCTTATTAAATTCTGAGTATGAGTTTCATCGGATATATGTAACACAAATATCTTCTCCCACTGTGTGTCTTTCCTTTCCAATATTTTAATTACTTATAATGAAATGCAATTCATCATTTTTTTCAAGTTTTGTGCTTTTTTTCAGTTTAAGAAATCTTTGCATACTCAGGGGTGTATATATTTTCTCTTATGTTTTCCTCTAAAAGTTATATTGTTTTGCCTTTCATATTTAGAATGTGAACCATCTGGAATTGACTTTTGTGTATGTTATGAGCTAGGAGGCAAGATTATTTTTTTCTATGTGGATATCTAATTACGCTAGCAGCCTTTATTGAAAAAACATCCTTTCTTGACTTAATTACAGTGACACTTGTGTAACCATATACATGTGGTTCTCTTCAAGACCCTCTGTTCCATCAGTCTATTTGTTCATTCTTGTGCCAATACCACACTGTCTTAACTACTGTAGTTTTTTTACTAGGTCTTAAAATCTAGTAACATAAGTCCACCAAACTTTGTCTTATTCTTTAACATTATCCTAACTATCCTAGATATTTTGCATTTCCATATACATTTTAAAAATAATTTCTCAATTTCCACCCCTTCAACCCACTGGGGATTTTGATTGCAATTGTGCTGAATCTGTAGATCACTCAGAGGATGATTGACATCTTGAAAATATTGAGTCTTCCTATCATTAACACGGAATATCTTTCCATTTTTGTATGTTCTCTTTAATTTCTCCCAGTCATGTTTTCTAACTTTCAATGCAGAGGGATTGCACATCTTTTATTCGATTTATTTTCAGGTATTTGACATTTTTGGTGCTCTTACAAATGGTATTTTTAAAATTTCATCTTCCCAGTGCTTGTTGCTTAATATATAAAAATACAGATGAATACAATTAATTTTTACAGCTTAAGGTATAATTAAGCTGTAAAATAGAATACAATTAATTTTTACAGCTTAATTAATGTATAATTAAGGTACAAAAGAACTGCACATGACTGAAGTATACAGCTGGGGAATTTCGAGGAACATAACACACTATGAAACGTCACACAATCAAGATAATGCAGACGTGCATCATCCCCAGAGGTTTCCTTGTGCCACTTTGCTGTCCACACTCCTATCCCTTATGTTGCTTCATGTATCAATAGTTGTTGCTGAGTGTTCAGATATAACACAATTCACTTATCCATTCATGTGCTGATGAACATTTTAACTATTTCCACACTGGGGCTGTTAAAAATAAAGCAGCTATGAACATTCATGCATAAGACTTACAGTGGATATTTACTTTCATTTCTCTTGTCTTGGGTAAAAATACCTAGGAATGAGATGACTAGGGTCATAGAGGTATGTTTAACAGTTTAAGAAACTGCAATCTCTTTTCCAGAGTGACTATGTCGTTTTGCACTCTCACTAGCAGAGTGAAATTTCCAGTTGCCTCATATCCTTGCTAACATTTGGAGTGGTCAGTCTTAATTTTAGTCATTCTATTGGCTGCATAGTGATATCTATCTCATGGTGGTATGAAATTGCATTTCCCCAATGACTAATGATGTTGAGCACCTTTTCATACACTTATTTGCTACTAGAATATCTTTGGTGAAGTGTCAATTCAAACCTCTTGGCTATCTCTAATTGGGTTGTAGATGCAAGTCCTTTGTTGGATGTATATTTTGCTAATATTTTCTCCCAGTCTGTAGCATGCCTTTTCATTTTTCTAATAGTATCCATTGAGGAGCAACAGTTTTAAATTTTGAAAGAGTCCAATTAGCCTATTTTTTCCCCTTTATAGTGTGTGCCTTCTATGTCCTTTTAAATAAATCTTTGCCAAATCCAAGGTCACTAAGGTTTTCTTTCACCGTTTCTTCTAGTGATTTATAGTTTTAGCTTTTACATATAAGTCTATTATCCATTTTGAGTTAATGCCTATACATAGAGTAATATGGTAAGAACATGGGTTCAATTTTTGCTTTTGAATATTCAATTGTTCAAGGACTATATGTTGAAAAGATATCCTTTCCCCCATTGAACTTCCTTAGCACCTTCATTGAAAATCAATTGACCATACATCTGAGGGTCTATTTTTGGATTTTTCTCTTCTGTTCCATTGAAGTTGTATCTTTTGCCAATACCACACTGCCTCGATTACAGTGTGAGTCATAATAAGTCTTGAAATCAGATAGGCTAAGTCATCCAACTTTATTCTTTTTCAAAATTACTTTGGGTATTCTAGGTCCTCTGATTTCCATATGACTTTTATAATAAATTTGTCAAATTTCTCCAAAAAAATCCTTCTTGGGTTTTGACTGGGATAGATTATATCTTTAGAACAATTTGGGAAGAATTGGCATCTTAACAATATTTTGTTTTCCAGTTCATGAATATCATGTATTTCTCCATCTACTTAATTTGTCTCAGCAGTGTTTTGTAGTTTTTGATGTACACGACTTGTGTATCAGTTTTTTCAAATCTATCACAAAGTATTTCATATTTTTTGATGTTATTGTTAAGTTTTTTAAAAAAAATTTCAATTCCAAATTGTTTCTTGCTGGTATATAAAAGTATAATTAATTGTTGTATGTTAGCTTTGTATCCTGTAATCTTTTTAAACTCATTGATTAGTTCTAGTATTTTTTTGTATAGTCCTAAGGATTTTCTACAAAGATAGAATGTTGGCATGCAAATAAGTAGAGTTGTACTTCTTCCTTTTCAAACTGTACGTTTCTTTTTATTGCCTTTTTGTACTGGCTAGAACTTCCAGTATAAAGTGGAATAGAAATAGAGGGACTGCACATCCTTGCCCCTGTTCTGATCTTAGTGGGGAAATTAGTCTTTCGCCACTAAGTATGATGATGTTAGCTAGGTTTTTATAGATCATCTTTATCAAGTTGAAGAAGTTTCTTTCTATTCATAGTTTCTGTCATAAATGGTTGTTGAATTATGTCAATTTTTTAATTTCTTATTTTTTGCATCTATTGAGATGATTATATGCTTGCACTCTTTTTTGGTCTCTTTTAGTCTTTAAGTATGGTGAATTAATTTATTTTTAGTTGTAAAACCAACCTTACATTCTTGGAATAAACTTTACTTGGTCATAATCTTTTTATATATTATAGTTATGATTTATTAAAATTTTATACTTTTATAAGGATGTTTATGAAAGATACTAATCTGTAGTTTTTCTCCTCTTCCTCCTCCTTCTTTTTCTTCTTGTAATGTCTTCAATTTTGCTGTTGAGTTAATGCTGACCTCATGTAATTTTTTGGGAAGTGATCCTTTCTATTCAATTTTCTGGAAGAGTTTGTATAGAATTGGTATTATCTTTCTTAAATGCCTCATAGAATTTACCAGTAAAGCCATCTGGGTCTGGAGTTTTCTTTGTGGGAAGGATTTTAACTACAAATTCAAGTTATTTAATAGGCACAGGGCTATTTAGGATATAAATTTATTCTTCAGTAAGCTTTGGTAATTTGTGTCTTTCAAGAAATTTTCCACTTGATCTAAGTTGTTAAATGTATTGGTATATGATTGTATATAATATTCCTCTAATAACTTTACTATCAATAGGATCTGTAGTGATGTCCCCTCTCTCATTTCTGTATTAATTTATCTCTTCTCTTCTTTAATTTTTTTGATTAATCTGGCTTGAGGTTCATCACTTTTGTTGATCTTAAAAAGGGATTTTGATTGCCTTTATTATTTATTATTTTTCTGTTTTCTATTTCGTTGATCTTTTTAACTTTATCTTTTTTCTGTTTATTTTTTATTTGCATTTATGTTCTTATTCTAGGTTATTAAGCTAGAAGCTAGGTCATAGAACCTGTCTTCTTTTTTAAGTATAAATGTTATACTTATTATAAAATTAGCACATTAGTATAAATTTATTAGTATAAAATTTTATTTAAGCACTGTTTTAGCTGCAACTCACACATTTTGATATGTTGTGTTTTTATTTTCATTCAGTTCAAAATATTTTCTAATTTTCCTTGTAATTTCTCCTTTGACCCATAGCTTAATTAGAACTTTGTTGCTTAGTATTTTAATATTTTGGAATTTTCCATATTCTTTCCATATTGATTTATAATTTAATTCCATTGTGATTTAAGAATGTGATTTACATAATTTAAATTATTTTACATTTATTAATTTTTTGTATTGATTTTGTATCTAGTGACCTTGAAAATTTCACTTATTTATTCTAATTATTTGCTTTGGCCCTGAGGTTGGGAGCAAGGTTATGAACATCCTTACATTATTCCCAACCACAGGGGAAAAAGTACAATATTTCATTATTAAATGCAACATTTCATCATGTTAGGTGTGGATATCTTGTACACATGCATTATCTGTTTAAAGAAGTTCCTTTCTATTCCTAATGCTGAGAGATTTTTATCATGAATAGGTGTTAATTTTCTCAAGGGCTTTTTTTTCTAAATCTCTTGAGATTTTTTTCTGTTAGTATGGTAAAATACATTGATATTTGAATGTTAAGTCGCTCTTGCATTTTTAAATTAAACCTCACTCAGTTATGCTGTTATCCTTTTATATATATCACTGTATATAAATTTGCTAATATTTTGTTTCTGATTTTGCATCTGTATTCAAGATAAATATTGGCCTATAATGGTCTTTGCTGGTAATATCTTTGTCAGTTTTGGGTATCAGGTGTATGCTTGTCTCAAAATAAAAAGGCAGGAAATGTTCCCTCTTTGTTTTCTGGAAAAGACAATGTAAGATTGGCATTTTCTAAAGTGTAGGAAGAGTTGTCTTTAAAATAAAAAAAGAAAAAGAATATAGGACTGCTCAGATTCACTATTTCTGTTTTTGTTTCAGCAAGTTGTGTTTTTCAAGGGATGATGGCATAACATGCCCCTTTCAGCATGATAGCATGAACATCAGCTCCCTGTTAAGTTTCCTGAACCAGAGAGCTTGCTCTAGCTTATCAACACACAACTGTGGCCAATAGGCAAGTCCAGAAAAGTCATCTCAACATTTTGGGGGAAAATATTACAGGAGTGTGTGACAACATTTCACTTGTTGTTAAGCGTATGCTTAAAGGTTGTTGTTGGTTTCCAGCAGGGTGGGGATATATTTTAGAGTGCCTGAGGCATTCCTTTGCTAAGCCTATCTTCTGTGCTAAGATAGAATGGAAAATATAGGTTGCTAGAAGTCTCTCAACTTCCAAGGAAAACTGTTGTACATGTTCACACTACCAGGAGTGATCAGGAGAGTTGACCTTTTGGTTGGTAAAGAACCAGTCTAGAAATCACTTCCGCCAATCACCCCAAATACTCAGGCCAAGAATTTCCTGGGTGCTGTTAAAATAGTGCATGTCAGAAAATAATTCTCTAGGATCTGAGGGTGATGCTAGCAAGGTCAGGTTCAGAAACAAGTGCAGGCCAAGCCATGAGTCCCTCAGCTAAACTCACCTCCTAACAGAGGGCACTCTGCCCAGCAGCCTGCGCAACCCTCTCATTTAGGAAGCAGGGACTGTCCTAAGTTCTCAGGGTCACGGAGTGAGCCATCTTTGGCTGGAACAGGGCAAATGTCAGGGCAGCAATTTTACCCACTCATTGGTCCTGGGTCACTACTGAGGTATTAGGGCCTGCAGGTGACTTCTCGCCTGGTGGCCACAATCCTCCCTTTCCCTGCTGTGGTTTCTCCTTGTTTTCCTTTCTCTCTCCGTGTTTTCTCTCCCTCCCCATCATCCCTTCCTTCTCTCCCTTCCTCTCTCCTTTCCTCCTTCTCCCCACTCTCTCCACGTTCCCCTCCCTCACATCCACTCTTCTTTCCTCAATGTTTCCTCCAATGTTTCTAGAAATCACTTCCTCCAATCACCCCAAATACTCAGGCTAAGGATTTCCTGGAAGCTGTTAAAATAGTGCATGAGTCAGAAAACTGAGTTCCCCAACACTGGAGGAAGTGATTAAGAAACACTTCTGCCACCCTCCATCCCTACTGCATTTCCTGTTAGAGAGTAGAACCCTGGAGGTGGTTGCCAGGACACCAGACTGAAATGGGGACAAAAATGCACTCTGAGAGATTTGTGAGCAGGAGTAATAATTAAACCAATATTCACATCAATAGATGTCAAGCCACAGACCTTTTGGGTTCAACCAGCCTTTCCTGTCTGGGAAGGAAGGACCAATAGCTCTTTGGCCCTTTAAGGGGACTTATGCTTGGGACAGAGAAGGGCTACATAGCTGTACTTCTCGTGCTATGCACCAAGAAATCAAGAAAGAAGAAAGAAATTGCAAATTAAATTTAAATCTAGATAAAGAAAGAGGCAAATGTCTTTCCAGAACCAGAGGCTCCACTTCAAAATGGAAGTTTCTAGGCATGTGATAAGGAATCACAGTTTGAACCTTCAGAGCCCCTGGTACTCATGCCTCTGTGTCAGTGGTGCCCTGGAACAAAGAAGAAACCAGGGATTTTTGTAAAATCAAATTCACTGAGAGTAAATTTCCCCGGGGGCCTTTGCCAATGGGCAAACGACACAAGTCTGCAATTATGTAAATGACCACTAGGGGAGGCAGTGATTCGTGAAGATCTGGGGCAATAGACCCAGTGTGTGTAACTAAGATCAAATGGTATGTGTGTGCATGTGTGTGTGTCTGTTTTTTCTTAGAAAGGTCCAACTCTTTATCAGAACAATGGCAAATATTATTCAACTACTCTAAAACTATAAAGTCTTGATATCAGATTTAGAATAAAATAGAGAAATTACAAATCCAATTTGGATAGCCTCTTGTATTAAACTTCAGCTGGTTTCTAATGTTGCATATGTAGAGTTGGTCCTTGGTGTGACATTAGGAAGAAACAGTGGCTTTCTGGGCCTCCTGGGTCCCCTGCTCAACTTCTTATTTCTCTCTGTGAGGATTTCAAGTTATTTCTTTAAAAAGCCTTTAACTATTCATTTTCTCTTTTCAGATAAAAGGAGGTAATTACCCTTTTCAAACTATTTCAACTTGAGAATTTTCTATGCTAACTACCTCTCTTGCCTCATTTCTGCCCACCGCGCCCCCCAGCTCTACCCCGTACTATTCAAATATAATAATTTTTTTTCTACCTGAAGGGCAAAGCTGAATTCTTGTATGCCATACTCTAAGACTTTTTTTTGAGACACGGTCTCACTCTGTCACCCAGGCTGGAGTACAGTGGCGTGATCATAGCTGGCGTGATCATAGCTCACTATAGCCTCCTACTCCTAGGCTTAAGTGATCCTCTTGCTACAGGTGTGAACCACCATGCCTGGCTAAATTTTTTGTGTTTTAATTTATTGTAGAGATGTGGTCTCACCCTGTTGACCAGGCTAGTCTTGAACTTCTGGGCTCAACGATTCTCCCAACTTGGCCTCCCAAAGTGTTAGGCTTACGGGCATAAGCCACCATGCCTGGCTCCTAAAAAGATTTCTTAAAATATTCTTTAAACATACCCAATTTCCTCCTACTAGTTTTGCATGACTCTTTTCCTTTTTAATCAGGAGAGTGACCCCAGACAACTAAATTCTTACTTCCCTTCTTACTACTGCTTTTAAATTTCAGGCTATCAGTGTTATTCACTGCAAACAATGCAAAAACAAACTACCTGTTAAAACTCTACTAGTACAGCGCTTCCCCTCAGGCCTAAACTTTGGCAACTTTTTTCCCCTCTGGATATTTAAAATTTCATTTTAAAAACACTTGAATAAATGAGTTTTTAACCAATGTTGCAACAATGGGTCTTCTTCCATGATCGCAGATTCTTGGGAACAGAATTGCTCAGAAGCCAATGGGCAGTGCAAAGTGGCTTGTCTTCTGAGCCAGCTCATTTATTTTCTTGGGACAGTGAATGCTCTAATCACAACATATTTGGCTCCCTTTGTAATACTGGATTTCCTTAAGTGTCCTTGGACACTTTCCAGTCCCCAAATATTAGTCATGCCATTTGACAGTCAAACAAATCCCAAAGTCGACACTCTTAAACACATCCTTTCCTATTTGCATGGAAATTAGATTTTAAAAACATCAAAATGAAAACAGGCTTCATAGCCTGTGTCCACAAAATGCCTCTCCATTGGTAAGTGGTCTGTAAACTCTGCTTCCAAATAGTGGCTTTCAATTCCATTAGTTTATGATGCTTGAAAGGCTAAGCAGGAATTGCAAGCTGGCACACCTCAGGGTCAATGGGGGAGCTTTCCCTCTGTGCCAGCTTCATTGGTTTTGGCTTTGCTTGGGTCTGAGTGGAAGCACCTTTTGATCTTTTACTTTGGGCCTTTTATTATACACTAAAAAAATTAAATCAACTTTCTGTCTCAAATCTGTAAGATATCACAATCATTTTTTTTAAATCATAAGGTGAAAAAAAAACCCTGAAGCATCTTTGACTGCACAGAAAAAGTCACTGCCTCCATTGTAGGCATTAGGAATGATCATATGTCAATTATATCCTGACATTTTAAATTAACTTACTAATGTTTTATTAAGCACCTACTCTGTGCCAGATGCTGGGGACAGAGAGATAAATATGATGGTGCTCATCATGTCTGGGAAAGAGAGACCTGCGAAGAGATCTGAATAGAAAGCAATACATATTATTGGAAAGGTGAGGGGTGAGTTAGGTCTGTAGGAGCAAAATGGCTGACTTTTCATGGGAGTGAGGAAGGGCTTCCCAGAAGAGATGCCACTTGAGCTGTGCCTTAGAGACGGAGCAGTACCTACCTAGCAGGAAGTTGGGTGTAGGACATGTGAAAGGGTAAGATTCATGAAGGACTTTAAATGCCAGGCCAAGAAGTCTGGCATCATCCTCACGTGCATTTGGAAACCTTTATTGATTCATTGCTTGGTTGGTCCCTGGGTGCCAGAGAGATAGTGGTGAGCTGGAATCTTCCACTGGTTCCTCAGGTTCTCTGGGCACCCTCCTCTGACCTGGGAGGCTAACCACATCAGCACCCCGCCCCCCGCCCTCTGGCTGCTGGTTAGAGGTGGCAAATTAGATGCACTAGCAAGAGATCAGAGGGCGAAGGGAGAGAGTGATGGGCTATTTATCACCCCATTCCCCTCCCCTGTGGGCCAGCGGTGACTGAATCCCCTGGCCACTGCTGCTGGCAGGCTGCCCTCTCCAGACAACTCTCTCTGGGTCAAGGAAACCGCTGCCTCTCGGGACCCTCCAGGCTGGGTTGGCAATGGATCTCCACCGTTACTCATCCTGGGTGTCGCACCATCTTTGCTGTTCTCTTTAAACTCTGCCCACATCCTTGTAAGTGGTCCCTTTACCAAACTTTCCTCAGTTTCTCAGCTTGGTGTGTGTGCCATTGTCTCTCCCCAGGACCATGACCCCCAAAAATAATAAACGAGGTCCCAGTTCTCATGAAGCGCAGCTTGCACTCGCATAAGCAGGAGAATGACTGGGGCAGATATTTATGTTCTGGAAGAATCACAGGATGACAGTGAAGTGGAAGACTGTGACGTGATGAGGAAAAGGGCTGTTGCTTTCATCCTCAAGACAGATGCGGGTGGCCTACATCAGGGAGGGACCTTGGAGGACGAGGAGGGCTGGATGACAGAACCACTCCGCAAGCCAGGTAGGTTTGGCCAGACACAGTGAGTGAAGGAAGAGCTTCATGAAGTGCTCAAGCCCTGGCCTGTTTGACCAGATACAGGCTGCATTCCTGAGCTGTGGAGCCCAGGAGAAAGAGCTGACTGGCCATCAGAGGAAACGATGACTTTGATGTTGAACACATGAAGTGGTGTTGCCCAGAGGGCATCCAGGTGGGTGTGTCCAGGCAGCTCTTGGCTGTGTGGGTTGGAGTGTGTGGGAGAGGCCAGAGAGGGAAATATATCTGGATGTCATTGGGGCCTGGGTGCATAGTGAGGCCGAGGAAGTGGGTGAGATGACCAACAGGGACCGTGTTGAGTGAGCACCAAAGAGTGCTTTCAAGTGAGAGAGGAAGGAGGATGGGGAGAGAGAGAGAGGGTGACCTCACTCGCTGGGTCATACAGAGCACTCACCAAAGACTCAAGGGCCTCAGGCTCCCCACACCCAGGGTGTCCCCTTTTTCCAGCCACAGAGCGGCAGTCAGGGCCTTAGGCCACCCATGAGTCCAGGGGATATCACTGAATCTGTCTTTGATGATAAGGTTTGCCAGGTATCCCAGGCGTTTCATTGTGCTGGCTGTGAAGATGGGTAAGAAACAGGGAGGATGGTGAATGTGAGTCTGAATTAACCTCAGTATTCTGAAAATGGGATTTTTTAAAAAAAATAGCATGCCTGGTATGTTTGCTGGTGTGGCTGAGACCACCCAGCTGCAGCGTGATGGTATTGGGGTGGAAACAGAGGTCAGTTCCCGAAGCCCTGTCCCCCATACTAGGGGAGCAGAGAACAGGGCAGGGCTGGCAGGGGCTGGCCAGGTGGAAGAAGGGCCACGGGCATCCAGGGAGAGGTGACTGCTTGAGCAAACAGAAGAGAAGGACACGTGGACGGCTTGTTTGCTGGGGTGTGGCAGCAGATGTGCCTGCAAGAAGGTCGGCCCCAGGGTGCAGAGCCTCGTGTCACCCCAGGTGGGTCCTTGGGCCACAGTCACTGAAGGCTGCATGGGGGAGTGTTACCACCTACTTTGTCTTTAGAAAGACTCTCTTGTATCGAACACCTCCCCAGCACAAGGCACCAGAGGTTGAGCTTGGACTCCAGTTCAGGTGCCCCTGCAGGAGGAGTTTGGGATCCATGAGCCATACCCCACCCTAGCCATGGGGAGTGGGAGGGAGGGGCTGAGATTTGCCTCCTTCCACTCCCAGGAGCAGGACCTTGGACTGGGGAATGCAGGGGTCTGAGAGCGGAGGAGAGCTCCATGCCAGGCAATTTCCTGATGCCTGCCTCCTGTGTTGCTGAGAAGGTGGCTGCAGTTCCTGGGAGGCCCTCTGGGTTGGGGAGTGAGTGGCCCAGGAGACCCCCAGGAGAGAGAACAGAGCCTGCATAAGTGAGCTGTACATGAGGTAGGCCTGCTGCCAGCCCGGGTCAGCAGGGCCTGGAAAAGGTGATCCCTGCGGCTAGAGCTCAGGGGTGCTGGGACTCTCGAGGAACTGAGCTCACAGGAGGGCACGAAGCCCTGTGCAGTGGCGTAGTTAGCAAGAGGGGAAGGTGCTGTGGGCTGAATTGCATCCCCTGCAAATTTCATGTTGAAGCCCTAACCACCAGTACCTCAGAATAGGACTGGATTTGGAGAGAGGGTCTTCAAAGAGGTGATTATGTTAAAAGGAGGCCCTTAGAGTGGGTCCTAATCCAATCTGACTGGTGTCCCTCTGGAACAGAAGGAGATACCAGGGGTGCCCATACTGGGGAATGGCCATGTATAGAAGGAGCCCAGGACAGAAGCCTCAGAGGAAACCAGCCCTGCCAGCACCTTGACCTTGGACCTCCAGCCTCCAGAAGCCAGAGAAAATGAATGTCTATTGCTTAAGCCCACACCTGATTGATGGTGTTTTGTTACGGCAGCCCCAGCAAACTAACACAGAAGGCAAGATGATCGTGGGAATTGGGAAGTCATGGCATCTCTCATTCACCACACTTGCTGCAGCCATTCAACTCCTGCTCCCTGAATCTCCTTTTCACCCCAAAATAGAAGGGGCTTGAAGGATGAGAACATTTCCTATGCTTTAGTGCCCTGACATTTGCAAATAAATAAATCATTCATTCAAGAAAAGCAATCAGTAGACATATACTGATTGATAAGGAAGAACGGACAATGGACAGTTACTGTGTGTATCCAGGGACCCTGTGATTTCTATATAATCTCATTCAATCCTCAAAACAGCCCTTTCCAGTGCACCTTATTCATCCCTGAGCTGAATAATGCAGAGAGGTTTGGTGACTTGCCCCAAGTCACAGCCATAAGCAGCAGACCTGTTATCCAAACCCAGGCCAGCCAGAGTTACATCACTGCTACTTCCACTATCCTCTGTGCTGAGCACCTGGGGCCTTAAAAAGAAGACAGAGACCCTGTATCCCCTCACCAAGTCTTACAGTCTCACTCACAAGATGAGGTGTCCACAAATGCAACAGTGATGAGCAGTGCAGGGTGATACACCTACTTGCCGTATGAATGGTGCTATTGGGAATGGGGTATGTTCTCAAAAACACCTGGGGAAGTTGCCTGGTGACACTGGGCTGTATAGAGAGATGCACAGTGAGGACTTTGGCCCTGGAGACTTTGCTTTCAGACCTTACCCCAAGATGTAGTTTTCTTGGTTCTCAATGCCCAGCCCAGCTTTGCCTTAGCAACTGATTACCTGTCACCATCACCCTGCAACCTCAGCTAACATTCCTGGTTCTTTGACCTTGGCCTATAACCTCCCCATCTGTCCTGGCTGCAACCTGCCTTTCACACCCCTTGTGGCTCTGGGGCCTCCCACTATGCCCGAGCTCACTCACCAGCTCCTGGATCTGATTCCAGGTGGTAGGAAGAGGCAGAGATCATTCTGGGCAGGTAATGAACAAGATTAAGGGGAAAGGAGCACCTGTGGGGAACAGAAAGCCAGAGGCGTTGAAAAGGGTTTCAGACACTGAAAACAATCTCAATAATGGCTTCAGCATTGTGATCTACACTCAGCATGTGATCTGCACAATTCCTTTATCCTTTCCTAAGATCCATGCACATGCTTAGTCTGACTCATGATCAGTCTCTAAGAAGGCATCAACAGGCCGGGCGCTGTGGCTCACGCCTGTAATCCCAGCACTTTGGGAGGCCGAGGTGGGCGGATCACGAGGTCAGGAGATTGAGACCATCCTGGCTAACACGGTGAAACCCTGTCTCTACTAAAAATACAAAAAATTAGCCGGGCACGGTGGCGGGCGCCTGTAGTCCCAGCTACTCGGGAGGCTGAGGCAGGAGAATGGCATGAACCCAGGAGGCGGAGCTTGCAGTGAGCCGAGATTGCACCACTGCACTCCAGCCTGGGCGAAAGAACGAGACTCCATCTCAAAAAAAAAAAAAAAAAAGGCATCAACATATATGTCATCAGTCAAAATGCATATGAAACAGGTTGAAGAAGAATTTTAAGTCACAATTTACAACTCTGAGCTGAGAAAGCTCAGATGAGTGACAGCAAAGAAATACAAGAGACACACATGGAAATGAGTGGTGAGCAGGAGAAACTGGCAGGGGAGGGTAGTGTCCCGGATGGAGCAGAACATGAAATAGAAGGAATGCCGGTCCTCGCAGGACAGAAGTTTCTAGTAATTCCTGTGCTGTGCTAAAGGTGGCATGGAGGAGGTGGCACCTGCTATGGGGTTAATTGAGTGATGGAATCAGGGAAAACATAAAATGAACAATTCACACTTGGAGGAAGCTGGAGAACAGGAGAGACTCTGAGAAATGCCACAATATGCCTGATGGAGCTGGGTTCCTGTCAGACTTGTGGAGGTTTCCAATCTTAGTTCTGTACCCTCAACTTTTCCCAGGGGGAGTTCCTGGGGGCAAGACCCAAGTGTGGGCTCCTTGCCACAAATATCTTCTCTGGAGACATTCTTAGCTGGCTGGGTTTTAGGAATGTGGAGGCCATTGGAGAGCCTACATGTGCCCTGCGTTTTCCAGATGGGGAACTGAGGCACTGGCTGAGCCAGGGGCTGTCAGTGGCCTCTGCCAGCCCCAGCCTTTGCTCAGCTGCAGTCCTGGAGCTCTTGAACTTGGAGACTCAGCTCCCGATCCTTTCCTGAGTCAATCCTGTCCCACAGGGTTGTGTATGTTATGGGGAGAGGGGGAAGTTGTTTTAAGGCTGGGGTCCAAGAGCAGCACCCCAATATCAGGTGAAGGGCTCTGTTTCTCACACCCACCCTCTTTTTCTGTGGGTTCATCTGTAAGCACAAAGGCGGCAGGTTGATATAACTTCACTTGGCAACTCTCATTGAGAAGGACAGAGAGATTCCCAGGGGGAACATTCTGCAATGGGTTTGTTATGTCAGCCAGAGACATAGGCTTCAGAGTGGTGGCAGGCAGGCCACAGACCTGGCATCCCAATTAGGTCACATCTGCTGCTTGCTGGACTTCAAGTGTCATTGCAGCCTGCATTCTCCTGCCACACCCAGAACATCAGGCACCCTCTCTATGGATGCCTGCCGCAGCCAACCCCAGGAGCGGTGTTCCCACTGTCCCTGGCTGACCATCCATGGGACCCTGCCTATTGCCAGCTTAGTCTGTGCATTCTCCACTTCTGTCTGATCCCAGCTTCTTGCTTAAGTAAATGAGCAAATGCCTGGAGCACATTCGGGAGTGTCTGTGCATAGTAGGCACCTCGTGAGTTTCTATTCGTTTTATTACACCACAACCGTCCGTCTTCCTTAATCAACGACACTCAAGTGCCTACTCTGCGTCAGGTGCTTTCTATGGCTTCTCCCATTTAATCCCCCTCTACCCTAGAAGGTAGATTCAACAACCATAGTTCCTATTTTACAGATAAGGAAGTTGCTGCTCAAGAAGTGAGGTTCCTTGGTCAAGGTCAGGGAACGGAACGTGTGAGTAATGAGCCAAGGATTCAACCCCAATAGTGTCTGGTGCAAAGCTCAGGCTTTCTCCAACTTGAACATTGAACCTTCAACCCCAATCGGGACGTTCTTCCCCACTCAGCCCTCTACAGCCAGGCCAAGGGGCTTCGGTACTGACTGCTGGTGTGAGCCCGCATCTCCTGTCCACGGAACACTTACCCTACACTCACCAGGCACTTCTGAGTATCCCTGTGTTGTTCTAGTAGGACAAAGTCACCGACCCATGCCCAGTATCCTTCCTCACCCCTCCAAACTCTCCACCTCTCTCTGGACACAAATCTGGGAGCCCAAGAATTGGCTGAAAGGTGCTGCTGTTCCCACCAGCCACCTGCCTCCTGTATTTCTGGCAGGGAAATTATACTTCATTACCTTAAAATGTATTTAATAGGGCATTCATTCCTGAATCTTCCACGGAAACTTTTGAAACAGGAGAGAAAATACCTCAAAGGTGTGATTTAAAGGGCCTTCTCTATGGATCTGGCCTGGCCACATGGGGGGCCCTGCTTACTTCAGAAGGAGCCCCCAGCCACCCGGCTTCCCTGCTCGCATGGGTACCTGCTCGACCGCCCTGATGTGCAGCATGGAGAATTGCTGTGTGCTCTCGAGTGAGGCAGCCTGGATGTACACTTAGTAAGTACAGAGAGGGGAGGGAGAGAAAATGGACACGTTCTGCTGGTGGGGAGTCCCTGGAAGCATGGCTGTGGCTCCTGGGTCATCCTCCCCCTGCCTTCGTTCCTGCCTCAGGAGGATACACTTACTTCCCTTCTTTCCCATTCATGGGTCATACCCGGCCATTCACTGCCTGAACATGCACCCCAATCTCTAAGCCAACCCAGGAAATATGCCAGCAGCCTTGGCATCAATATCCAGCCATGCCTGGCAATTCTGAGCCCCAGGAAAGTAACACCCAGTGGGCAGGTGCTGCTGACCCCCCACTTTCCCTCTACATGCTGGCGGGTTTACTATGGAGAACTGGTGGGTAAAGCCCCTGCTGGGATGGCTTTGAGGGATGTTCTACGGTGTCTTTCAGAGGTCCACAACAAGACTAAGCTCCACCTACCCACAGGGTCACGTGCTCCATAACAGCCTTCTTGCCCCTGCCTCCTTCTCCCCAGCCCTAGTCAACTGGTATTTCCTAGGGTCGACTGCCAAATAAACTGTTCATGCTTGACCGCTTGTCTCAAGTGTATTTCAGAGAGCACCAAACCAGGACAGCTGCACACATCATTCCCAGAATCTCGCGGCTGCCCCCAGCTCAGGGATAAGCGCCCCCAAGGACTCTCCCTTGCTGATCAGCCACATGGTTCAGCCCCAGGAGCTGGGCTTCCCTCTCTCCCTACACTTCCTTTCCAACTTGCATCTCAGGCCACCTTCAGGACTGAGGCCTGACTCCCAGCTGGAGTCTTGCCCACTGAGGTCTTAAATACAGCCCATCATCTGGGTCCCACTCTTCTCTCCATCTGTCCCAGTGGCAGCCATTCCCAGCATCAACTAAGGCCCTTGAATCTGTTTGGGCCATGAGACTGGTACAGATGCAACCTGAGAATCAGGTCCTCACTCTTCCCCTCCTATCGGTTGAAGAACCTGACCTCAGACAGGCAGAAAGAGATGAAATGCCCTGGGCTGAGGCAGTTGTGTTTGGTGGAAAGATATCAACAGTAGGAGGCAGACCGCTGTGTGCTCCTATCTCAGCACTGCCATTTGCAAGCTGCTCTGCCTTGGGTGAGTTAATTTCTCTGAGATTCAGCATCTTAACACTTAAATGATACGTGGCGGAGATGGCTAACTGTCCCCCATGGTTCGTCCCCCCTCTTCCATAGCACAAAATGAGATGGGGGCTGCCTGGGCAGGGACTACATTTCTGGGCATTCCTTACACTGAACCGACTGCTATTTATCATTTAGTTGTCACCAACAAAATGAGTGGAAGGGAGGCCTATCACTTCCAGACCAGTGTGGTTGAGATGCCAACTTATCTTCTTCACCATCTCTCCCAGCTTCCTCCCACATTCAGGGGACTCCAGAGTTCTAAGCCTGGGTCCCTGAATCACCACATGGAGGAGAGCTGCCTGTTAACCAGAAGCACCAGCATTGTATTATTTGAGCAAAAAATATTCATTAAGCTACTGAATTGTGGAGGTTTATTTGTTATAGCAGCTGGCATTAGCCTAGCCAATATATAATCATATCTCCATGTTGTGAAGAGCTAAAGGGATCATACAGATAGCAGCTACATGTAATGAGCACTTACTGTGTGCCAGACTCTGTTCTTCACATGCATGGTCTGTCTCACTTAATCCTCAAAGCAACGACATTATCCATATTTTATAGCTGGGGAAACTCAAGCACAGAGATGTGAAATTATATACCCAAGATCACACAGCTAGGAAGTACTAGATCTGACAATAAATCTGTGTTCTTAACCACTAAGTTGAACTGTTTCCCAAATGCAGTGTTAAATAGCATTTAATACAGTGTCCGGCACAGAGTGAGTGTTCCCCAAATGGGCACAGTCACTGTTAATTAGGCTGAGCAAATGCATACCCCAGGAGCGTCTCCTCCTCGAGGCGCTGACATGGGTGTCCTTGCAGCTTATCCTGTTGCCTGATGCTCCACTGCCCCATCTGCTGGTGCCTAACTAACATCAGCTCCCCTCCGTCTCTATCTCAGTGCCCTTACTGGTCGGCAGACCCCTGCTCAGCCACCGTGCACAGGCATATTCCTTTCTTCGACATTCCCCTGGGCCAGGCAAAGTGGGGAAATCTGTTCAGGGTCTCCTGATGCCTGTTGGAGTCTTTGTCTAAATGGGGCTGAGGCTCTCACTCTGGGCAGATGAATGACACAAGGGCGCCCTCTCTGGTGGGTGCAACCCTGGGGTTCCAGCCTCACCTGAGTGCCCTCAGTTCAGGACACAGCCCGCCCACCTGAACCCTGACCAGTCACGGCTTCCAGATGCCCTGAGTCACTCCTCAACAGGAACCCCTCCTGTTGGGGAGCCTGAAATGAAACCCAAGATTTTCTGAGGCTGAAACATCCCTCACAGCCCTTCCCTGCAGCTGACAGCCCCACGGGGGAGTCAGCGAGCTGTCCCCTGCTCCCCTGGCAGAGGCCTCTGCGAGGTCCCCTGGACAGCTTCTGGCCTTGGCTTCAGCCCAGCCTCCCCCAGGGCTATTTCTGGCCAGGCGGGTAATAGATTTCTGCCTCCTTTTTGAGGGCCTTTTGTGTGCCCTCAAACCTGGGGCCAAATGCTTCCCCTCCAAAAGAAAAAAAATAATAACAGCCGTGCTTCCAGCCCCTGCACTAGGAGACTTGTGGGGCCAGACGACCCCGGAGTGAGCTGGCTGAGGTTTCATTTCTGGTAACTGCCCACCCCTCTTCCCTGAGCCTGGCTTCACAAAGCTCGCTTGTGGGACACCAGTGAAGCATCTAATGTGTGGGATATATGGAGGCAGGGGCGCCTGCCCTGCATTTCCTGGCATATGATTTATGAGGTGGGGCTGGGCTTGCTTCCCTCCCTCCCCAGCCCGACCCTGCCCAGTCGGGGAGATACAGAGGCTGGAATTCTCCCCGGTGGGGGTCCAGGATCGGGCACCCTGCCACACTGCTCCAGGAATCTGCTGTGTCTCCTGCCTGCCTGTTAGAGGCTAAAGGAAGCCATGATTTCCACATTATACATAAGGAAACTGAGGCACAGTTAGGCAGCTAGACTTGGGTCCCAAATGGGGGAGCTTGGGCCAGCAGAAATTGCCTTCTCTGGAGGCCAGCATTTTTCATACCTGTACTCATTGGAATCTTCTGGGAGGTGTTTAAAAATGCTGATTTCCAGCAAGAATTCTCAAGAGACTGACTCAGCCATGTTCGGTACACACTGTCATAGAGGGTGCACTTTAATAGGCATCAGACAACTCCTCAGGGATGATGTTGAAACCTGCAGAAGTCCCAAACCTGGCCTGAGCCTGCACCACATCCTGAATCTACAGGGGATGGGCCTGGGCATTTTGCTTTTAACAAAGCCTGAAAACTCCTGAATATGAAAGCCGAAAGGGACTGTGACATTGAAGAGTCCAGATTTCCTGTTTTCTGGATAAGAAGACTGAAGCTGGGAGTGAGAGGAGGTCTTGGCCAAGGTCACACATCAGGGTGGTTGGGCCTTTCCTTGAGGACAGGAGAAGAGAGAGGTGTGGGCTCTCCAGGAACCTGGAGGAGGTGAGAGGGAAAAAGGAAGAGCTTCACCAACCTGAATGCAGATAGACTTGAACATCCCTACCTCTGGGAGGCTGGAGTTGACGCCTGATCCCAGGCATCTGTCCCTCCGTCACTCAGGGTCAGAAAACCCCTCCCCACTTTCTGCAGTAGGACAGAAGTTCCTCCCTCTAGTTAGTGTCAGGGCTTAGTGTCAGCATCTGTAAGTTTGTCTTGAAGGCTGTGTCAGGCCCCTTAACAGATATCAGGTCCCTGCTCTCCAGGAAAAAGTCACAGCCATCCTCGAACTGCCCAAACATGGACCCAGTCAGCCTTTCCCCATGACCCACCCCCAGAACCCTGGGGCCCCTGGGGCACCCAGTCCCCAGGCCTGGGTGCAGGCTGCTAGGGCAGCATGTGGATGTATGCTTGCCTGAATTAAAAGGAAATAGATGGATGGAAGGGAAATTGTGTACAATTAATAAACGATGGTGCTTGGTTTGGATTTTCCATTGCTTTCAACTTTCAGAACATTGCTCCCATGAGAACGGACAGCTGTGACCCGAAAGAGGAAGGCCGGACATGCAGCCAGATGCCCGGGGGCTCGCCTCCCAGCCTGGCAAGTGGCTGGGTGTCTCGTGAGTGCTGCCATCCCTCTCTGAGTCTCCGCTTCCTTAGCTGTAAAGTGCAGGCTGCCAACTCTCCTTCACCCAGTCTCCGTCACAGCTTCCTGGGAGCCTGATTTGGGATGACGCAGGCGGAAGTTCCCAGCATGCATAGGTGCTGGATAGACAATTGTCCCCTAGAAGGGGACACACAAACAATTCTCAGAGGGAGCCCTCTGGCTTGTCCACGTGGAGATTCTGCACACCAAACACATTTTACAAACAGCACGTGTTAGCTAGCAGACATGGCTGTTCTCTCACTGTTGAGGAAAGGGGTGGAAATGTAGTCAGGTAAATATTTTTCAGGAAAGATCTTTCTCTCAGTACTTTTTCTGCCCCCAGATGTGTGAAAATTGAGAGAATGAATATAGAATTATCTTCTTGAGAGATTCTCCACACCGATCTTTACTGAAATTTAACAGACATATAGGAAAATGCACAATCCTAAGTGATAGCTCAGTAGGTTTCACGAACTAATCATTAGACATCCATGAAACTTGCGCCCAGGTCAAAAAGCTTCTAGCACCAGCATCTTAGAGTCTCTGTTGACCCAAAGTCCCCCCCAAGTCATGAGGCCCCCGCCCACAGCAACCATAACCACTATCCTGAGTTCTACCAGTCTGCTCTTTAACTGTATATGAATAAGTCCTACAGCATGTAGTGTTTGTTTGCTGTCTGGCTTCTTTACTTTGATGTTATGTTAGTGGTTTTAATTTGCCTTTCCCTGATTGGTAATGAGGTTGAACCTCCTTACATATACTTATTGGCCATTTTGTGAAGTACCTGTTCGAATCTTTTACCTAGATGTCTATTGGGATATCTGTCTTTTTATTGATTTGCAGGAGCTCTTTATTTATGATGGACACTGTTTAGGTATTTAGGTCCTTTATGAAGACTCCCTACCTCTTACTCAGACAGTTCATCCTGAAGACTTCAGGAGTTCTGGTCCCAATGGAAACCCATTGAATACAATCATTCAAGAGATTCCTCTCTAGCTCTCAATAGCAGCTTGATGCTGCCTTCTTCTTCAGAGTGCATTGTGGCTCTGCAGCACATAAAGAAGCTGGAGAATTTTGTCTCTGGGCTCTTCTTGCCTCTACCTCCCCCGTGCCTCTTTTTCACTTTTTGGTAACCTACCAGCTAGGTTCTGTTTCCATGGGCCTTGCTCTCAGCTGGCAAAAAAACAAATCACTTTTAAGGTGTATGGCAACCAGGTAGCTCCATGTCTTTTGGTTTCTGCATGGATGGGAGTGTAAGGAGGGTGGGAGTGGGACCTCAAGGAGTAGCTGGCACCCTCCTACTGCCTGTCACTGCACCTGGGACTCCCCCACTAAAGCTTTAATCCTCAATGACAGCAGCTATTTACAACATGGGGGAAGTATTTCCATATTTCAGCTGCAGGCTCAGGTGTCCTAGTGTGTACCCGCTGAATCCCAGTTTGCCTGTTGCTGAGCCCTGACCAGGTCTGTGGTGTTGGGCTGATTTTCGTCTTAGCCTCATCCCTGCCTGGGCCCAGAAGGAACAGCATGTGCTGCTGCCTCTGGCTCACTTGCATCCCATAATACCACGCTTTTGATCCTCAAACCTTATGCCAATCACACATTCCTATTCACAAGTCAGCAGCTCACTTTTGGCCTCCATTGGGCAAAACGCCGTCACAGAGCTTTACGGGAAACTTCAAGGGATAAGGCAGCAATGTGGGATCACAGGCACCACGGTAGATAGGCTGAGTGAGGGAGATGTTTTTCAGCAGGGGTCAGATTTAGGGAATCCAGCTGACTTCGGTGAACCAGCGGGAGGCCGAGCTCCATGCTGTTCCTGGACATCTCTTCTAGAGCTGGATATACATTACTCTCTGTTGCCTAATTGTCCCCAGAGCAGGAAACCAAAAGGTCTTGTGGAAGTTATTGCCTTGACATTTTGACTGAGCCATTTCCCCTCCAGGTGGGTGACCCAGAGCCTGTGTGTATTGGGCAGATACCAAAAATAACATTCACTGGTCTTAAAGTCATGTCCCCCAAAGCGTTCCCTTCTGCACATCTAAGCTCTGAAAGAATACTTTTTAAGGGTTAGGCATCTCCTCCAGGAAAGGCATTTTGTTGTCTTATTTGAGCAAAGAATGCACTTAGAGCTTCCAATTGACCCTGCCAGCCTGAGCAGAAGAGAGATTTCATCTACAAGGGTCACTATGAGGGTAAAACTTGAAACACATTTTCCTTTTTTAATGGAATACATGCTCAAGAGGAAAGATTCAAATGATAGAGATGGTCTGAATGCTCAGCCTAAATGTTAGTGCTTTATGGCAAGAACAAGCATGTTACCAGCACCATTTCCATGAGTGCATCGGTCAGTGAAAGCTATGCTATACTGTGGTAACAAGTGAGCCCCCAAATATCAGTGGCTTGCAACTACAAAGATTTCTTTCTTGCTGAAGTTACTTGTCCATGGGGGATTGGCTGTACTCTGTTCTGTGTCTCCTTTACCCTGGGACCTTAGTTAAGGGAGCAGCCCCTATCAGGGATGTTGAGGTCTCATGATGAAAGGAAACCAGAGAACTCAATGGTGCCAGGCAACAGCTTTTAAAGCTTCAACCCGGAAGGGATAAATGTCATTATTATTGTATTTCATTGGCCAGAGCAAGTCACATGGCCAAGCCAGTGGTCAGCATATGGAGAGAGCATCATATTTTGATCAACAATACAATCTTCATGATGGGCAAAGGTCAGAATGAGTTCTGCCTCTATAGAGCTTTTGTTTCTAGTACTCCCGGGACCTTCTCACCTTAAAGGATTGCTTGTCTGAAACCTCTTTATTCCACATACCCCTGACTCCGTGGGTGCTCCTTCCCCAGCATGCCCTAGTGTGTGTTCTGCAGAATGCTATTTTTCCGATGTCAATAGCTGTTCAGAGAGGAAAGGGTTCCATGGTTAAATAAGTTTGGGAAACACTGAGTTAAACAGGAGTCTTTACTACAGGGTCTCAGAGCCTTTAATACCTAGTGAATTGTCCATTTTAAAGAAGGAGATAGTCCACGGGGCCACGGCCTTGTCCTTCTAGGTCAGTGTTTGTCATTTTAGCTGTACGTTAGAATCAGCTGCAGAACTTTTAAGGCCATCCTGATGGCCAAGATTCACCCCAGACCAATATCCTTACCATCTCTGTGGGCAGAACAAGCATGGGCATTTTCTAAAAGCTCTCCACATCCTCCTCATGATTCCAGTGGGCAGCCAGGTTTGGGAACCACTTCTATGGGGATGGTCCATCTGGGAATTGGCTGTCCACAGGGTTGATCTAGCAGTCAACATTCAAGAAGAGGCTGGGGTGGATTGGTAGCAGTTTCTTGCACCTGCTGAATAGACAGGCTGCAGACAGAATGTCCAGGACAGTCCAGATGGGCCAGTGGTCTTTAGAACTGAACCTGCAAAGAGTGAGGAAGAGGCTAATGTAGAAACTGCCTCAGCTGTATTCCACATAGGTTCAATCTTGAGTCATCCCTGGGTAGGACAAAGAGAAGTCTTGACTGCTGCATCACGTGGTAACTCATGGGGCCAGAGCACCACCATCAGGGTCATACTCCTGCGTCTTGTACCTCGCCACTCACCGTATAGTAAGAAAGTAATCAGCTGCTCCATCTGTAGGTAGGGGTTGGGACTTACTCACCTCTGTGTCTCCCTGATTCAGTGCAGTGTCAGGCACATAGTAGTTGCTCACTAAATGTTGCACAACAGAGTGCAAATACATCCCTTGTCTTAAAGGAGCCCCTAACAATCTCAAGACTTTTGCTTCCCATGTCTGTTGTACAGGGTTCAATTCAGATAAACCACAGGGAAGCAGGGTAAGCTTATAGATTCCTTTGACGTCCAACATGGGGACCATCAGCACAGGTTTAAGGATTAGCAGCTTTACTGTGGCTGCAGAGGAAATGGAAAATTAAGGCTTATGTTTTGGATTATGAAATGGAATTGGTTCCCTTTATGCCTCTCAGGGGAAGAAAGAAACATTTCCATCATCTCAATTTATAAAAAGCAATCTTAAGGCCAAGAAGAGATAAGTGGAGTAATTCAGAAACCCTTAATTTGGGCCATTTCTTAAATCCCACCAGTCTGCAATTTGTGCACATGAACTTCCCTGAAAGTGTTGCATTTCCTGAGGCTGGCTGTTCCTCTGAGAGACAATCCAGCAGGTTGAGGGGACTGTGGCCTAGGGAGCAGGACAGGGATGGGAAGGGAAGGGTGGGAGCAGAGTGTGGTAGCAGATTTGAACGACAGGCTGAGCATATGCACTTTATCTCCTGGGCCAGTGGCTCGTGACCTCAGTGAGTATCCAGATGCTGTGAGACTGTGTAGAAAACATGACTGCCTAGACGTCCCCCCATACACAATTTTTGTTCAGTAGGTGTGGGATAGAAAGCACCTCTGGTGGGTGAATTTGAGCAGGCAAATGACTTCATAGTGTAGGAAGCCCAGCCGCTGGATTCAAAGCCAGCTCAAGTAGTGTAGCAGACACTGTGGTGTCCTGGTCTAGCCCCTCACCTGACCCCTTCAGTGCACATCTGCCTGACTACCACTGCCTGCCCTGCATCCCTTTCCTGAGGTCTCTCTCTGGCCCTAGAGCCACTCTGCCCTTCCAAATAGCAGGCCAGAAATGCTGGAGAATTAGCTCTTCCTGGGAGCAGCCCTGAACCAGTGACTGATGGGAGTGGGGTATAAATACCCCAGCTCCCTGGTCCATTAGGCAGGATAGCTTTGAGGTGCATGCTCTACCCAGTCTCCCAGATGCCCCCAGCAGTACTGAGCTCCAGTTGCCACTCAGGGACCACTTGATAATACACCTTTCATGGGCCTCCTTCCTATCCTTGTCTCACTTCCCACTGCCCAGCTGGTGTTTTCTGGAATCTCCTGCCCTCATACCCTTGTCTCAGGCTCTGCTGCTGGAAGGACCCAAAAGATGGGAGTCAGCGAGAGCTGTGTTGTGTGGCCTTGAATGCACTAACTGATACAAAACTACATATAAAACTACATATAAAGCATGGGGAGAGTAGACACAAAATTCAGCACAGTGGTTACCTCTCTGGGGTGCGGGGGGAGGGGCTGGCAGGGGCAGTCTTGGGGTTGGTCTATTTTCTCAGCTGGGAGGTGGGTTCAGGGATATGTATTTCATGATTCTTTATGCCTTTCATGTACATTTTATATTCCTCTTTGGAATGCATGACATAGACTCCATAATAAATTATTGTAAAATTATCTGGGGACCAGATAAAACCTATTTGCTGGCCGCATCTAGTCCCTAGGCCACCTGTTTCTGACACCTCCCTTACAGATAACAAAACTTGGACTCTGAGGGCTTTCAGCCACGATATATTGCTTCGTTTTACATTTTTACAAATTGGGAAATTTCACATCAAAATAGAAATGTTCAACTCCCTTGAAAGACAATCAGAAGATCAGACAGGGCTGGACCCACGTTTCTACAGGATAACAGCTGCCAAAGCTGCGTTGCTGGGGATTTGCTAGGTGGGGCGGAGTGCCTTCTGCTCCAACCCCAGAGCAGCATCCGTCCTTCCTGTGACCTTTCTGTCCTCCCCTATAGACGTCTGAGCCGAGCTCACAAATGGGAGAACCTCTCCAATGGTTCACCCATGCAATGCCCTCGGTGGAGAGCCCAGCACAGGCCCAGTGCTAAATAAGGCCACTCCTTGTCATTGTGGTTAGAGAAGATAACTCCAACACTCGAGGGGGCAGCCGGGCTTAGTGTCCTTGTCCTGAGCCTGCTGAGGTGCTGTGATGAGGCCAAGGTCACCGTCTGGACAGCAGTGCCATCAGGACTCCACCCAGTCCCTGGGGCGTATCTGCAGGTACATTGGGCCTCAACTCCAGGGAGCAGGGGCCAGGCCGAGCTCCCCAAGGCCTTGGGTGCCCCAGCCCAGGCCAGCTGCTCTGACAGAGCCCACACTTTGTAGCCAGAGGCGAGGCAGGGGCAGTGGGGGAGACCTGCCAGACAGGTGGCATCTCAGGCCTCCGGGATGAGTGGGACAAAGGGATGCGCTTGAGTTCCGCCTCCCAGAGCAGCTCCTCCCCTGGCCGGGGAACGGAGGTGGACTTCGGGGCCTGAGAATCCTTGCCAGCGGATGGAGGCTTTGTTTGCCTCGCTGAGTCCCCAGACCAGGGGCCGGCCGGAGAGAGGGCTCTTTCCTGAGAGGCTGGACTTTCCCACAGGAACAAAGTGGGGCTTGTTAGCCGGGCATGAATCTTGGCGTGAAGCGGCCCAGGCCAGGCTCGGCGCTGCCAGGCGGCGGCTCCGCGATATCAGGCAAATTCCGCCTTCCCCACAGCTGGGGCTGACAGCAGGAAGCCCCAGGGAGGCTCCGGACAAAAGCAGAAAAATGGGCCACGTTTATTCATTCACTGACCAGCCCGGGCCTGGCTGGCCCGGGGGCCCTGTCTCCATGGCTACGGGCGGCCTTCAGCTCTCCTGGTTGGCTCCTCTGTGACCACAGCCCCTCCACTGCCACACACCCCAACACATAGAGACACAGCATCATGAAGGCAGAGGCTGCCTCGGGACGGCTCTGCCCCAGGGAGCGTGGGGCCATCTGAGCCAAACAGAATAGAGGGCTTGGACACAGCCCCGGATGTGAGTTGAGCTCTGAATGTCAAGACCAGTCCTGGGTGAGTGAGGGGAAGGCAACAGGTTCAAATCCACACATCAGCTAAGCACCTACTGTGTGCGGGGCAGGGGTGCGTCCGTCATGCCAACTCGGTTTGTTCTCACTCCTCTGGTTCGAAAATAGAGGCTGGGGAGCCCATTGAGGGAGGCACACCCTTTGCCTTGGGAAGGTATCAGGCAGGAACTGTCATCGGCATTGAGTCTTGAAGGATGCATAGAAGTTTGCCAAGCAGGGAGGCAAAGGTCATTCCCGGCAGAAGGAATGGCTTGAGCACAGGCTCCGAGGCCTGCAAGTAATGTGTAGTGTGATTAGGGTAACTGAAAGGCTCTCTGAACTGGAGTGGAGGGAAGAGGACGCAGCTGAAAATGAGGCAGTTGTGGGGGTGGGACGACCGTGCAGTGTGACTCAGAGAACCGGGGCCATCTGCTCCCCTGTCACTGTCCTGTTAGAAAAGACCCCCAGTAATTCTGTGAGTTGTGAATTTCAGAGAGGACAGAGGTTAACGTACAGCTAATACTTTGCAGTTTACAGAGAACTTTCATATATTCACGTGATCTTATTTAGACCTATGACCACCCAGCTGGGAGGGAGCTGACAGATAAGGAAACTGAGGCCCAGAGTGGTGCTGGAGGTCTCTGAGCCAGGAAGTGGCCCGTCGGGACTGGAATGCAGGGCCCTGAGCCTGACAGCACTCTCCGGGAAGGGGCTAGAGCCCCGAGGGATGAGCGAAATGATCATGATCATCTTTGTCCCATGCTTGCAAGTTCTAGAACTGCTACAAAGGAGCAGCCACGAGTGTCCCCCGCTCCCAGACCACTCCAAGCTGCTTCTAGAGGGACTGGACATCCTGGAGCAGAAACAGGTCTAAATCCCAGGCAACTTAGAATCAGGGATATGATGAATGGGTCAGAGCCTGGGAGCAGGCACAAGAGAGGCTGTCAATGTCTGATGGCCCGGACCACCCTTCCTGTCTTTCACGGGCCCACTCTGCTTCTCTGGCCCTGGGTCTCCCAGATGGAGCCAATGGGCTGGGCCTGCAAGAACGACCTTGGGACCCAAAGGCTGGTGGGAGGGGGGTGCCATGAGACACTGCTATGACGTAGTGCCATTTAGCCTTCACAACAACCTCTGTTTTGCAGGTGAGGAAACTGAAGCTCTGAGAGCAGTAGCTCCCCTGAGCCGTGCAGCTGGAGAGGGCTGCGCCAACAGCAGAGCTGGGGCTCTTTGCAGGTGCGCAGAGGAAGGGTTTGCTTCCCTTGCCGAGTTTCCTCATGCTCACTTCCACCCCCAGCCCTCAGGTGTGTCTGACCTCTGCCCACTGAAAGGCGCCTTCCCTCTGCCTCTGGGCTCAGCTGTCTGCTTTCTTTCTGCTGCCTCTGACTTCTGCCAACTTGACATTGGCTTCCAGTTCCTTCTGTCTTTCAGAGTTTGACATTGTTGATCCTCATCCTGAAGTCTCACCTGAGTCTCCTTCACCTGGTTGTGCTACCCAGAAAAAAAATAAATAAGTAAATAAAAAGGAAGAAAAAGGAAAAAAAAAATAAACAAAACCAAGAAAAAGGAAGAAGAGGGCTGTGGGATTAGCACCAAAGCCTCCTGGGTGCAGACCTGCCCATTGGCCTCTTCTCAGGGTGCTTTTGGCTTTGGGTAAAGAAGAAATGATAATAATGATACCTAAAAACCATTTAGGACAGAAATGGCAAACATAGCATAGCAGGAGCGCCCTCCAATCTGGCACCTGAGGCAGGCATAGCTAATCGATCCTAGCACTCTCTCTGGCTCAGCTTGGCCTCAGCTTCAGCGTTCTTCTCAATGCAGGGATCAGGCAGCCACCACCAGGCAGAGTCGACACCCAAGAGAACCTGCACTTGTCACCCCTGCCTATGAGTCTGTGCTCTCCATCTGAGCCTCGTTTTTGCCCCATTTGTCCAGGCAGCTGTAATTATCTTCATTTTACAGGTGAAGAGACTGAAGCCCAGACTGATATTTTCTGCAACACACAGCTACTTCATGACAGAACTAAGGATGAGAACTGAGGCCTCTCTCTCTGTCCCTGCTCAGGACACATTTAAAAGGCCCCATGCAATCAAGGAGGTAGCATTTGAATAGATTTATTCTTCCTTCTTTTTTGTTTTCCAGTCCCATTTTCCACTGCTTTGGTCAGGGAGTGAGTCCCCTGATGTCATCCGAGGATATGAGGCATCGCTAAATCTGGCCATCCCCTGAAGCACCCAGCCTCACCGACTTCCTGAAGCGTGGATGAACGCTGCTGCCACAAATGTGCTGTGACAACCGCTGACAAGGAGAGTGAGTGATGTTTGTGCCATCCTGCTGAGCACGAGGGAGCTGCTTGGGGAAGCCAGGGGCTGGGGCATCTCAATAGCACTGAGGGCAGCCTCGGGGGGGCTTCACAGCACACCCACCCCCAGATCACTGCTGATTCTGGGGGATGCATGACAGAGCTTTCTGACCTTGCACTTCCCTTTGGCTGCTAAACTGAATGAAGCCTCCTTCTTAGACCCAACCCCCTACTGAGTGTCTCTCTCTTCTGTTCTTTGCCATCCCTGCCCCCAAACCTGGAAACTTCCTCTGCACCTCCACATGCAGTTGGTGCCAAATGTCTCCCACCTACCTGCCTGGGTCTCTGCCCCTCAGCTTCTCACAAGTGGCTGTGTTCTTCCACTCACCTGCTGGGACACACACTGGCTCACCAGCCCCCATCCTCTCCACACCGTCTCACCTGCCTGGCTCGCCTTCTTCCCCGTCACCTGTAGACAGGTCATTTCCCAGACATACCTGCCCTACTCTGACTAGTTGGCATGGTGAGGCCGTCACTCCCTTCTCTCCAGGGTCCCATGTGCTCTCCAGGCACAAATTCACCCAGACATTTCTTGATCTAGCTCTGTCCCAGAAAGCGTTACCTTTGCAATGGCAAATACCTGTATTAATTGCCGTGCAAGTGACACATACTTATCATGTGCTCGCCTGTTCCAGGCACCGATGGCTGTCTTTTTTATTTTGTGTCAGGTTCCAGTGAGTGAGTCTGACTTATGATTGTATAGACTTAGCTCACATCCTCCTTCCTCCACCTTGACAATTGTGCTAATGACAAAGTTGTCATTTACTGAGCACTTGCCATGTCCCAATCACTGTGCCAGGAGATTTACCTGCATGGGCTCACAAACTCTTTGCAGTATTCTTGAAAGAGAGGCAAGTATGTTCCTCTATTTTGTAGATGAGAAAACTGGGCTCAGAAAATGAAGTCATTTTGCCCCAGGTCACCCAACCAGCGAGTGGCAGAACTATGTTTAAAAGTCAGGATTATCTATTCCAGAGACCCTGTGCTGCCCACCATGGCACACTGCTTCTCCAGTCAAGGAAAGGTAGCTTAAAGATATCTGCTTTCCAAAATGCTTGAACATTTGTTAGAATATGGAAGAAGATAATATATGGTCCTGTCCTTGAAGAATTGATACTCTATTTGGGGAAACAAAGCAGCTGACATTGCCAGCCAATATTTATTTAAATTTCATCTCAGAAAAATAGCAAAAGAGATTTTATTTAACCTTTCAACAGTGATTATCTGATTATGTCTGTTTGAGTATTCTGTAGGATAGACAGCTAAGGCAGTCATGGACTCAGTGGGAAAAAGTTCAGCAATCCATTATTAATGTCTGTTTGGGGCGCAGGCATGGGTAGTGGAGGTAGATGTGCCACCAATTTCATTTTTCCTATATAGTAGAAAACACGAGAGTTTCTAATAAATTCCTAACTATATAAAGCAGACAAGAGAGGAAAGAGAAAGATACCTGTGTGATTGGGAGAGGCTGCCTGAGGAAGGTAAGATATGACCTGTTTGGGGTCATTGTACCCCTGGGGCATGAGGCATCATCAAGGCCAGATTGAATTTTCTAAGGTATGATAAAAAGTTTGGTTCTTCCATGTGCCTTGGTTCCTCTTCTCTAAAATGGCTAATTCTGTCCAATTAAGATCTAGAAGGCCCTTTCTGATGCCAATGTTTCTAAATAAAGATATCTAATAAGGGTGGAACACGTCACAGCTCTCAACCTCCTCTCAGACCCCCCAACAAGCCCATGATGCAGCCATTTTAGAGATGAAAAACTGAGGCCCAGAGAGCTGACACCCATGTTAGCAGAAGTTAGTGGAACCCAGTTCTGTTAACTCTAACCATTCTCTAATCCAAAAGTATATTTACAGATTTTCAAATAATTAGGAAATGTTAGTAATATTTAGAAGCTCCTCAGATGATTCTAGTTTTCAGCCATGGTTGAGAATGTTGCTAAAAAGTAGTGTTATGGCTGATTTCCGAGAAGGAAACAGAGGTTCAGAGTGGTTAAGCAACTTGTCCAAAGTCACACAGCCAGAACATAGTGGAGTGGGAACTCCACTGAGGCAGGCTGACTGCTTAACCCATGTGTCTGTTGTGCCCCAGGCACTGTCACATATTATTTCATTTAATTCTCTCAACAACTTTGTTTTTTTAACTCTGAAAACTAATCCAGAAAAGTTAAATAACCAGCCCAAAATTGCAGAGCTAATAAAAGGCAGCTAACAGTGTTTTCTATCTTGATTCTATTTGGGTGGACAAGTGTGTGTACTTGTCAATAGTCATTTGATGGGTCACTTAAGATCTGTACATCACACTATATGTTGATTTTACTTTTAAAAGGCACAAATAAACTGCCCTCTGGGTAACAATATCAAGCAGAGATATTGTGATGTCTCCTTCTTATTTGGAAATGCATTTAAAAGTAGAGTGAACGGATAAGGAGATAAATAAGTGGGCAGTTATGTGATAAAGATGGTGGGTCTATGGGGTTCATTACACGAGTGCTATTCTTTCAACTTTTCTGCATGTTTGAACATTTTACATAATAAAATGTTGCATGGGGGACAGCAGCCCAAACATTCCATGAGACTGAGTTCAGTGATGACAGAGATCTCTGCCTGTTTTGTTACTGAGTCTCCAGCACCAGGAATAGTGCCTGGCATGAAGCAGGTGCACAGTAAATATTTGCTGAACGGAAAATGATGGGAGGCTGTTTAGCCTATGGCTTTAACGCTTAAAGTAAACACTTACCTTGGAGAGAGGATTGGATGATATCTGTGAAACAAGGGCGGTGGGAGGAGGGACACTGGGCAGAGTAAGGCGAGTAGGCACAATAGGGCACAGAGATCTGGTGGCTTTGCAAGCATGAACTCAGCTGGTTCTTCTGGAAGCTGAGTGACATCCTCATCCCCAGGCGGAGCTGTAGCCAGAGCTGTGCTTTATACAGGCGTGTGCTGCCCTCATGTGGCCAAGCAGAAGAATATTGCGCTGGTGTCGGAAGGGCCTCTTTCCCCTGATCCCTGATGGGCAGTTAGTTACTCAGATGCTTGGAAGCAAAGGTTGCGGCCAGAGGAACCGTGTCTCTGGGGCCTGGGCTTCATGCCCCTCTCTTAGCTAGGAGATAGTGGTCAAGTTTAAAACTTCCTCTGGGCAGGGTGGCACATCTGTAGTCCCAGCTGCTCAGGAGGCTGAGGTGGGAGGATGGCTTGAGCCCAGGAGGTCGAAGCTGCAGTGAGCTATGATTGTGCTGCTGTACTCCAACCTGAGCAACAGAGTGAGACCCTGTCTCTAAAAAGAAGACAAGTTCCTGATGCTTCCTATTAGCTAATGTTCTCCCAGTGGGGGTGTGGGTTTCCCAGACCTCACAGCGGTCCTGAGATTTGAGAGAAGGAGCCGCCGTGTATAAGCACCCACTGCTGCTGCTACTCCTCCATGGGCTGTTTTATTTGGGCATCCCACTGACCCTGCCAGTGACCATACATGAGACCACTCAAGATCTCATTTACGGACCGGAAAGCAGGGGCTCGGAGAGATCAAGTCACATGCAGCACGTTGGGGGCAGGGAAACCGCCTCTGGGAAGTCCAGAGTGTAACAAAGAAGATGCTAGCTTCCCTCTGTGGGGTTCTGAGGACTCCCAAATTCTGGCTGAGGAAAGCTGGCAAGGAGCCAGGGAAGTTTGGAAAAGCCCCAGTACTCACGTACACACCCTGAGCCCTTCAGCTCTCACAGAGGCAAGTTGGAGCTGTCATCCACCCCTTCCACCCCTCCCAGACCCAGCTGTGTGACCCTGGGGAAAGTGACTCAGCCTCTCTGAGCCCTACCTCAATGTGTCAAATATGGATCATAATATCCTCACCTTTTAAGGTTGCTGTGTAAATAAATGATACAGTGCACACCACACATGCTCAGGAATGACTCCTTTTAGACCACAAGGCAGACATTGTATCTATTGTGTTCACTCCTGTAACATGTTTGGATGGGCCAGTTCTCAAAGACGAGCAGGGTAAGAGTTAAGAGTGAAGTCTTTGGAATCAGATACCTGGATCCAAATCCTGGCACTGCCTCTTCAGTCTGGGTGATCTTGAACAATATATCAATGTAGTGAGGTTGTGCTGATGAATAGGTTAGTGTGAATAAAGAGCATGGTGCCTGGCACATACCAGATGCCCAAATAAATGCTAGCTGATAGTAGGATGACTCAAAGATGGGTATTCAACGTTAGCTATTGTTGTGAGCGGTCGTGGTAATAGTGAATGAGTCATGCGAATTTCCCCTTCAAGGCTGCAGTGGCTGCAGCTCTGCCCTGACTTCATCTGAATATATGCGTTGGGTGAGAGACGAGTGGCAATGATAGGAGTGCCCTCCTGTTCCCTGGACACAAATCACCCTGCACCACCAGCACAAGGTCACCCAGCCCTCAGTCATGATGGTTCCCAGTGAAGGGGACCAGGCTATAGAGGCACTCTGCACCCCCTGAGCTGACATGGTGGGCTTAGGGTCTGGGCCGTGATGCAGGGGCTTTCCTCTTCTTGGGATGCTCACACTGGTCTTAACACACTGGCCTCGCTGGCATGAGGGCCAGCCTGAACAGTGGGAAGAGAAACAGCATGAGTGTGGTGGCCTTCAAGGCAGTGAATCTCAGATGTCAATGTGCACAGGACTTCCGAGGGGGAAGTGCATTGTGAAAATGTGGGTTCTGACTCAGTAGTTCTGGGCTGGGACCTGCCATCCAGCTTTTCTAAAGCTCCCAGGTCACCCTGATGCTCTTCATTCAAGACCTCACTTTGAGTATCAAGGTTTCAAGAAAAGCAGGCTGAATTTATCTCCCAGGTGCACTGAGGGCTCATTGCAGCAGGTCTGGCATCAGCCTGGGCTGTTTTGCTGAAGTAAGAGATGTGCCTGCACAGCATGGACCCCTGGGCAAGGCATGAAGGGTACTGACTGGTGGCCATGGGTGGAGACAAGTTTCAGGGTGTCTGATATCAGCTTGTCAGCATTGTTTGAGGGTCACAATGAGACTGATGACCTGCAACTGGCCTCAGGGGCTCCCTCAGGGAGCCCTGTGCAGTGCCAGGGCTGGTAACGCAGCATGTGTGCCTACACGATGAGCCCTCCATTGTGTGCTTCCTGATTCTAATATCTCAGGTGCATCAGTAGATCCTGATCTGAAAGAACAAGCACATGGTCGTTCCACATCAGTGTAACAACTGGAGCTCTCCCCTGACTCTCAGAACCCCTCACTATGAGGCAGCCTTTGGCCCTGATGCATATCCTCATTTTAATGGTCTTAATATCTTGTATTTTTTTCCTGAAATAAATCTTAGCTTGGTCAGCATAGCCATGTAAGGTCCTGGGAGTTTTACTTGTACTGGAACTCAATCTAACTTCCACCGTTAGTGCAATATGGATTAAAAAACTGCTTCCTGTGGGCAGGACACTGTGCTCAGCTCAGTGGACTTAGAAGTGGTTACAATTCCATTCTCTGCTCTCCCAGGAGAGCTGCAATTCACAGCCTTGGCTACACTGGTGTCGTCTGGGGAGCTTTAAAAGCTACTAAGGCCTGAGCTCCATCCCCAGAAACTACCAGTGGAATATTGGTCTTGAGGTTTTTAAAAGCTCCCCAAGTGGTCCTAATATGAAACCAAAGGTGCAAACCACTCATAGATAATGAACACAAAGCAGTAATGGTCTTAGAAGACCAGGTTGAGAATGGAACTAAGCCACTACCACTGTCTGGACCTTTGCGAAGTCCTGTCCCAAGGGTACAGTTATTGGTGTTAAATTTCCTACTCAAGGCTAGAGGTCAGCTGTGGAAGTCTTTCGTCTTTGAGGCACTGGTTGCCTTCCAAATGAGCGTCCAGGAAGACGGTCAATGCTCAACCCAAAAAACCCCTGCTGTCTGCAAGGGTGGAATTTCTGACCTCATCACGCCTGGGTGAGGGGACACTTGCAAACAAGGATCACATTTTTATGCTTCTCGTGACACACACTGGGGATAAAACTCAATGCCAGACACATTTAAGGGAATCCTGCAGGCCTCAAGAGATGTACCACCTGGGATTAATGAGAGCTTTACTTTGAGACTTGAGTCTCTCTTCCAAATTTCGAAGCTTCTCATGCCCATCACAGCTCTGGGTTTTGCATATTTGCTATTGACCTTGAGCAAGCCATTTTCTCTCTAAGCTGTATTGGCATCACAATCCAGCTATCTTGAATTGCTAGGCATCAGGGCCTCACAACCTCTGTAGCCACAGTCAACTACCACGTAGTGATGAGCCCCAGAAGGAACTAAGCTGTAGCCAGGCAAGAAGCAAAGCAAATTTTGGAACAAGTAGGGGCTCATACTTTCTCCAACCTGCAAGGAGTCAATCGTTGTCCAGTGAGCTATGATAAGCACCATGACAGTTAATCAGACAGTGAGCCATTTATTGGTTTTTATGTAGCTCTTTCACATTGCAGGCTTTCTACTGGGGAAAGAGGAAAAGGAAGATAGGGTAGAGTACAAAGAACTGCAAAGCCTAGATTCTTTGTGGACCACTCTTCTGGTGCCATTAGATGGGAATACCTTGCGGGAACCCCAAAAGATCCATTGCTGCTCTCTGAGGAGGAGTTAGAGTCAAACAGACTCTTAAACCCTTTGCACATTTGGTTTCTCTTGAGAATGTGAGGCATCGTTGTGGTAGGCCATTTTGTGTCACTATAAAAGAATACCTGAGACTGGGCAATGTACAAAGAAAACAGGTTTAACTGACTCCTGTTTCTGGAGGCTGTATGAGAAGCATGGTACCAACATCTGCTTGGCTTCTAGTGAGGCCTCAGGAAGCTTAAAATCATGGCGGAAGGCAGCAGGGAGCCAGCATGTGACATGGTGAGAGTGGGCACAAGAAGTGGTGGGGGGAGGTGCCATGCTCTTTTGAACAATCAGATCTCTCATGAACTACCAGAGCGAGAACTCACTCATCACCAGGAGGATGGTGCTAAACCATTTATGAGACATCCGCCTCCCTGATCCAATCACCTCCCGCCAGGCCCCACTTCCAACTTTAGAGATCACATTTCAACCTGAGATTTGGAGAGAACACACATCCAAATCATATGGAACATTTTAGGGGTAACTTTGTCTAGTTCATTTCACTTCTCTGGGGCTCTAGAACCAAATACACACGCTACTCACAGAATGTGAGCCATTTATTGTTTCTTTTAGTAGCTCTTCCATTGTAGGCTTTCTGGTGTTAAATTTCCTCCCCGAGGTTAGAGACCAGCTTTGGAACCAGAACTTGACCACTGATCATGTGATGTAGTCAGATTTGAGGTTGGAATCTCAGAGGGAAGTCAGTGACAGCCACTTTCCGCCCCAACACTCCAAGATTCTATTTTTTAGCCTCTGCGTCCTTGGATAACACAAGTTCTCAACAGAGTGGAAGGCATCCCTTCCTTTAAAAGTCAGAAGGGGGTTTGAGAAAGGAGACTTCTCCCGACTTGGCCAGATTTGCTGCATGGTGCAGAACACTGAACATCCAGCTGGCTCGGAGCTCTCCAGGGTCCTGACGGGTCCTGGCTTGGGTTCTCTGTGCCCGAGGCTGGCTCCTCCTCCCTGGCCCACCTCTTCCCCTGAAGGTGACTCCTCAGTTGCAGGTTCTGGAGAGCAGAATGCAGGACTGGGGCAACCTTGCCATGTCACCCTGGAAAACATCTATAAACCTATGTTTAATCAGTTTAAACCTAGTTACTCCCTGTCCCCAATGCTTTTATGACTTATTGAACAAATATTTTCCAGCTAGGTCTGGAAGTTTTTGGCTTTTTATTCTTTGATTGCATTTGTCCTCCGAGTAACACCTTCTCCTCTTCTCCTCTTCTCCTTCTCTTCTCCCTCTTGCCTCTCTCTCTCTCTCTTTTTAACCTTTTTCTTCTCTTCTCAGATTGAGTGTCTCCTTCTTCCAGGGGTAGAAAGAAACACGTTCTAATTATCTTCTGCAAAAATGATTCTCATAGACCTCACTGTATTCACATTCTGAATTTGAACTTGAATAATCCTGAAGTTCTCCATTCTAGAAAAACCTTATTTCTCCATAAGCTGCCATGTTGTTAGAAAACTGTCTTGCCCTTTGGGGATGAAAGCTTGACTGAAATGGATTGGCCCCATTTCCTACAATTGACCCCATAGCCCACCTTAGGCAAAGTGGAGGATCTTGGGTGCAACATCCACTCATTCAACAAACACGCACGGAGGCTCTTCTATGTGCCGGGCACTGCTCTCCACACAAGAAATGCAGCTGTGAACAAGACAGACACAAATCCCCACCCTTGGGGAGCAGCCACGCTCATGCAGGAGATGGGAGTGTATGCTGTGATACAGAGGGAAGCCTTCCCACTGTGGGATGAAGTAGAGAAATTGTTTATCTAAGAAATGAATGAGAGAGAGCTCTAGAAAAAGCACACATCCTTCCTCAGAACCCAAGAATAAAATATTCCCAAACATCTAAACTGATCTCAAAGTGTGCCGGTGTTGGCTGCAGTTTTGGATTTATTTCCATCCTGATGGGTGGGACCAAGGCTGGGAGCCTCCTCATTGGAGGAAGTCAGGGGAAGTGACAGGCCACAGGAGAAAACAAGGGGGAAAGGTTCCCTCCTCTGAAATCTTTTACTTGTTCCAGATGTCAGAGCACTGGGGAGAGAGGAGGAAGCGCAAAGAGGGAGAATGTTTGTGGCCAGTGGAGCTTTCAAGGGGTGAACTTTAAGCCTAATCACAGCTTTGCCTGAAGGGGCACCAGCTCTTCCTCTCCAATTCACAATCTGCCCAAAGCCTCCGACTGCTTATGTGTCTAAAAAGGGTTTCAGAGATTTCCTCATGCTCACACTCAAGGCTCTCCCCTGAGCACTCTCCCAGGCCCTGCGTGTGCAGCTGTGAAATGGTGCAAGCCTCTGGGAGGGCCGTCAGCCAATAGAGGTTGAGACCCACATATTTTAAACCAGAAATCCCAGTTCTGGGCATTTATCCTGAAATAATTTAAAATAGAAAACCTGCTTTTATGGAGAGGGGGAAGCACATTAGAACTGTAAAAGACCAGAAATAATATAAATGCCAAATAGTAGGGTTAAGTGAGTTGTGGCATATTAATTTTGTGGAATATTAAGTTTATCATTAAAATAATAAGCATAATGCCCAGTGGATTATAAATGTCAGAAATCCCAGAAATCAGCTGCTTCTCTTAGAAATGAGGAAACTGACTTCCAGGGAGGAGAAGTGACTTATCTGAGATTCTGAGCAAGCCAGGAACTAGTCAAGAACTGACTGGGCAAGAACTGGCCCTGAAGGCTGCCTTGAAGTCTAGTTCTTCCCAACATTACAAGACCTTCCAAAGGTGGCAGCTCACGCATCACTTGTTTTGGGGGAACACAAGTGGGATATCAAGTGCCATGAATTCAGGGGCATTCAGTGCCTTGGAAGGACCTTGTGTGAATGGAAGTGCATTGCCAAGGTCTTTCGGTCCCGATGGCTCCCGTGGGAGGGTCTCAGCGGTCTGGAGCTCCCGGGTCCTCAAGGCACTCAGACACTCACTGAGCTGACTGATCTTCACAAAGAGCCACAGGCATGGGGAGGTTCAGACCAGAGCCTTCAGCAGGTAACAGCCAGTCTCCATCTAGCATTTAATCACATTGTTTTTGTTTTATTTTTATAGTTACACTCAAATTTTGGCTAGTCACACGGATTTCCCACTTCTGGTAGTATTATAAGTTTTAAAGTTAAAAAATAAGTTTATCTGGCTGGGCTCCATGGCTCATGCCTGTAATCTCAGCACTTTGGGAGGATCATTTGAGCCCAGGAGTTCAAGAACAGCCTGGGCAACATGGCAGAACCCCATCTCTACAAAAAAAAAAAAAATTAGCCAGGAGTGGTGGTACACACCTGCAGTCCCAGCTACTCGGGAGCAGGAGGATTGCTTGAGCCCAGGAGATCGAGGCTCCAGTGAGCTGTGATTGCACCACCGCACTCCAGCCTGGGCAACAGAGTGAGACCCTGTCAATAATAATAATAATAATAATAATAATAATAATAGTTGTATATAAATAAAAAAGTGAGTTATTTTAAAGAAAGAATACTGAGTTGAAGAGTGTAAAGAGGGTGGCAGGGGTGGCAAAAGTTGGGAAGTGGAACCAGAATGAAGGAAATTCCAAAATTCCAAAATACTGCCTTGAGCCACCTTGCATCTAGAACTAACATCACCATGTACAGGGAACGATTAGGCGAGGGAGAGGACCTCAAAATTTATGTGCGAGTTAACGGCGTTTATGTAAAAAACAAAAAGAGCCATGTGTAGTTATTTTGGACGCTGATGGGATCATATAAGCCTTTTCATTTTTGCACGACTTCATGAGGTTGTGGTAATTCTGCAAAAAGTGATTTGGTGATGAGAGGAAAAACAAAGATGATAAGTTCAATAGGCAAAGAAAGGTTTTTGTTTTGTTTTGTTTGTTTTAAACAATGGAGACTTTGGACATGATGGAAGGATGAGGGGAAGATTTGGTAGCGAGGTGGATATTTATTCATTCATGCATTCATTCAGTTATTCTGTAATATGTGTTTATCATATACCTTGTGCCAGGAACTGCGACAGGTGCTGGACATACAGCAGTGAGCCAAAACAGATGACACCCCTGGTTTCATGGGGTTTGCATTCTAATAGGGCAAAATAAATCAACAAATGTCTTCTATGTCCAGTAGCTGAGCATGTCATGAGAATAAGTCCAGAGGAGGAGTGGGATGCTATTCTTTGCCAGTGGTCAGAGAAAGCCTGGCTGATGAGGAGTGTTTGAGGAAGTCCCGAATGAATGGAGAGAGTGAGCCATGGGAGATCTGGAGGAAGAGCACCCCAGGTGGAGGGAGCACTGTGTGCAAAGGCCCTGAGGCAGGCATGCTTGAGAAACAGCCAAGTGTGGTTGGGTTGGGTGAGTGGGGGGGAACAGTAGGGGAAGAATCAGACAAGTAGCAGGTCAGGATCACGTGGGTCCTCATAGGACAGAGTAAGGACTCTGGCTTTTTTCTGAGTGACATGGAGATCCACCAGAGGGTTTGGAACAGACATGTGTTGATATCTGATGCATTCTATGCAGATCCTTGTGTTGAGAAGAGACTCCAGGAGGGCAAGAGAGACCAGTGAGGAGGCAATTGCGATAGTCTTGACTGCGGATCCCAGTGGCTCAAACCAAGGTGGTAGTTGTTGAATACAAACATTAAATAAATAAGAAAGGAGATGGTAATTAACGGAGAATCAAGAGGCTGCAGAAGGCATGAGCGAATGAGATCAAGAGGACAGAGGTGAGGAAGAGGGGTGTTAGCCTGAACAGGGAGGTAGAGTGTTATCCCCTGGGGAGGAAGGAAAGGCAGACCACTGAAGAAGAGAGACACAAGGAGGAGGAGGTGAGGGAACATGAGGATGGTGGGGCAGGACTTTGGGCACCCCCAGGAAACAGGACCCAGGGTATCCTATGCATAATGGCAGGGGAGGGGAGATCCATAGGTGGAAGGAGAATGAGCATTTTCTGTCCTCCCTACTACATGGCGAGCTCCACGAGGGTGAGTCCTTGTCTGCTGGGGTCACCTCTGTCTACTAGACCCTAGTGCAGGGCCTGGCTTACAGTGGGCACTCAGTCAATTCTATAATTAGTGAATGGATGACATGAATAAGAGAATGGATGCATAGTTGGATAGGTGGAAAGACGGATGAAAGGAAGAATGGATGGATGGAAGGGAAAGTAGATGGATAGAAGGATGGAAGGTCATAGCCTAGAACAGCAGTCTGTTGCAACTCCTGAGCTGTAATTCAAAGTTTCCCCCACCCAGCTTTACTGACATATAATTGACAATTAACATTGTATATATTTAAGGGGCACAATGTGATGATTCGATATGTGTATATATTGTGAACTAATCACCACAGTCAAGCTAATGTTTGCACATTTCAAGTATACAATCCAGTATTGTTAGCTATAGTCACATTGTTACTGTACATTAGATCTCCAGAACTTATTCATCCTGCATAACTGAAACTTTGTGCCCTTTGACTGACATCTCCCCCCTTTTCCCCTCCCCCTACTGCCATGAACCACTGTTCTAATCTCTGCTCCTATGAGTTTGACTACTTCAGATTCCACATATAAATGAGAGCATGCAGTATTTGTTTTTCTGCCAAGCTAAGTGAGAGAAATCAAAGTTACTTTTAAATGAAGGAATGAGAAAAGAGTGAAAGTGTTGAATAGTGCATTGGGGGATAACAGATTTTTTTGGATAATTGACAGGTCAGAGGTTCCTTGGAGGATCAGAATGAGAGCAGAAGGAGTTGGTATTCTGAAGGGATGTCTTAATTGAGCTTCCCTTCCTGGCAAATGCAGTTCTTGATTCAGTATGGAGTTGAGAAAATTGCACTGTTCTTGGAGTTAGGGAGTCTGGGCTCACATGAAGCAGTTTTTCTTCCTCTGCAGGTCCAGAGGGAAGAGCTTAGTCCCTGGAGAAACAGACTGAAAAGACAGGTTGTCAGGCACCCAGCCAAGCTGAGCTGTACTTCACACTTAGGTAGACTAAATGTTTTCAAAAGAAATGGAGTCATACAGCACACACTCTTTCTCTCCCTTTCAATACCCTCCATCAATTGATAAGCATGGAAACTAAGATCCAAAGAGAGGAAGTGACTTATCAAATTGGAAAGGGCAACAGGGTCATAGAAAGCTGTTTAGAGGTGATGACACTTGGGCTGAGTCTGGGAGGGAGAGTAGGTGTTAACGAATGAAGGAAAGGGTAATCCAGGCAGAGGGAGTAGCATGAATGCAGATGAAAATTTGGGGCTCTTCAAGCTGTTCTAGATACATAGGGATGAGACTTGGAAAAAGGGTGGAGAGGTGAGGTGAACCAAGTCACAGATGACCTGGTATATTGAGCTTAGGAATTTGGACTTGATCCTATAAGCAGTGGGAAGTCCCTGAAGAATTTGGAGCCATTCATACTTTAGGAAGTAAGATATAACAAAAAAGGTAAAATATAAGCCAAGAGCATGGACTCTGGAGCCAGACTGTCTGGGTTGCTCAAATCCTTCCTCTGATGCCCATTAGCTGTGTGATCTTGGGTCAGTTACTTCACCTCTCTGGGTGTCATTTCCCCGTCTGTAAATGATACTGTCTTCATAAAGGTTTTTGTAAAGACAGTAGATGCTACATAAGTGCTAAGAATCATGCCTGGTGCCTACTAAGTACTCCGTGTCCCTGTGCTAGCAGTTGTCATGTTGTTACTGTTGTCATCATCATCATTATTACCATTAGTTCCATTTTTTAAAGATTCTTCTTAGTAGCCAATGTTTTTTAGTGGATGGAAGCAGAGTCAGACTGCAAGTAGGAAGCCCAGGTGTGAGTTACTGCAGTAATTCAGGCAGTAAGCTATGCCCTGTGGGCCAAATCTGGCCCACTGCCTGTTTTTGTAAATAAAGATTTATTAGAACATAGCCACACCCATTCAATTACATACTGGCTACTATCACTTTCACACTACAGCAGCAGTAATTGCAACAGAGAGTGTTATGGCCCTTAAAGCTAAAAGTGTTCACCATCTGGCTCTTTACAGAAAAAGGTTTGCTGACGCCAAAGGTCAGAGGACAGTTCAGCTTTGGGGCAGGAGACACTGGAGACACCGGAGACACCCTTTTGCCTTCTTCCAGCCTTTTTGCCTTTTGCCTTCCTCCAGCCATTTTAGGAAGGGACTGCCTACCCTCTCTAGGTCCACAATCCACCTGGCTCTGCATTTCCCAGTAGAGTGATCCAGGTGGGTAAGATGTTGAGATTCTCCCAGCTCAATTTCCCCTCCGATTAGTTTGTACTGCTTTATTGTTCTTTTTCAAATTAATTCTTGCATCTTCAAATCTATAAAGGAAAACAATATTGAGAGCAGCCTGTGACCTTTCTGGCAGCTTTCAATTTCTTTCCTCTTCATTTTTAGCTTTTATTACCCCCAGGATAGCATCTAATTATTTCTTGAATAATCACGTCTCCTGGGCTCAGAGGAAATTTGAGAAGTTTGCTCCCTATTATGTCTTCCAAATTAGTTTCTCTTCCATTTCGGTGCACTTTCCTTTGTCTTTTCATTCTTGCTTCAGCCAAAAATAGTATCTCAAATTGAGTGCTAAATTCTTCGGGATTTCGTTCACTTCAATTAACTTTCCTCAAGACTCGCTTTCGTTTTCATAAATGAGGTCTTTGGTCCTCAGGATCTTGATCCTAGGCCACTGGGCTGCCTTTTCATGCCAGCCCAGTCTGGAGCCCCCACCAGCTCCCTCTCTTGTGCTAATCCTTTGTATAGGTGTTGGTGGTGGTGTGAGGGCACAGGGAAGGGTAACAGGTGTAGAAAGGGGTAGTGAATCTGGTGATCGGGATTCTGTTACTTGTAAGCTGAAAGACATTGGGCAAGTTGACTTTAGTTTTTCTCATCTATCAAATGGGGGGAGATGCCCATCGACAGAGTAACTCATCAATGAGAGACATCCATGTGCTAATGATGAGGGCTGGGGGCAGGTGGAGAATCAGCCACCCATGATCAAAGCCACTCTTGAATTCTGGAAGTCTGATGCCTGAGATCTCAGCACTAGTTTACTTCACAGGAGTGATTCAGAAAGTAATTGATAATAATGTTTGATGATCGTAATAAGATCACCTGTATAGCAAAATACTTTTCCAGTTTACAGATTGCCTGCACACCCATTATGTTATTTCACAGCCCCCTGAAGCCCTGTGGGTAGGCTAAGCCAAAAACATCAACCCCATTTTACAGATGAGGAAACTGAAACACAGAGAGGTGAAGTGACTTGCCTGAGGTCACACAGCTAACCTGGGGCACAGTCACTTAAAACACCAAATCTCATCTTTTCTCATGGTACATGCTCTCCTTCCTTTGTTAGCTTTTCTACGGTGACCAAGTGGAGAGTGCTGTCTCCTGCATGGTTCTTTTGCTGCATGTGTAATATTCCAGCAGTGCAAAAGCCAGGATAGGCTCAGCCTGAACTAGGAGTCTGGTTACCACTTCAGTGGCATGGGCCCTACCTGACATGCGGGTCCAATGTCCCTCATGTCAGGCCAATGACATCCAATGATGGTCTGAACTGGTGGACATGAGGAGCTGGGTTGCATTCATCTCAGCACTCCCAGCTCCCACGGGGTGCTGGGCACCTCCAGGGGCTCAGTGGACTCCACAGGATGAGTGAGAACATGGGTGAAGTCGAGTGGACGAGGTGTGAGTCTTGGTTCTGCCACTTCCTATCTGGGCGGCCTCAAACAAGCCCCCCAAACCCCTCAGCCTCAGTCTCCTCACCTTTTAAGTGGGGGAAATAATGCCCATCCCACAGGGTGGAGGTAAGGTTCAAATAAAAAACATGAGGGTGACCCTGGAACCTCATCTGTCCTTTTTTGGGCTCAGTAAGCATCAGCGCTCCCCTTTCCTCGTCTCTTCTTTCCACCCTCACTTCCTCTTTCTTGCCCTCCCCTAAAACCTTATTTCCTATAACTCCTTTTTGATCCATTGATTAGGAGTTTTCACAAGAGCAAGTCTTTAAACACAAAGAGTGACTGGGGGTGGGGATAGGACCTTCTGAAGGGAGAGAAAGGGCGAGAGTGGAGGTTTCAGAACACCAGAGTCCTCCACAAATTCGCCTTAGACTGGCCCTGTTGGTGCTGCTGTTTTCTCTCATTTTCTTTCTCCTCTCCAAATATAAAACCATTTAAAAAGCACAACTAAAGAGAAATATGCATAAAGCTGTTTCTTAGTAGACGTTTTCAAACCAATTTTTCTCAAGGAAGTATCTTTTTCTCCAAGATTTGTATTGATAACCCCCAAAAACTTATAAGACCCAGGAAGCCTCTATGGCATCGTGGCTTGGGATCTTGGGCTCTGGGGCCAGGGGACTTGAGTTCAAATCCTGGCTCAGGCTTGTTCTAGCTCTGACCCTGAATCAGTTACTTTACCTCCCTGGACCTCAGATTCCTCATCTGTAAAGTGAGGGAATGGGGGTTCCTAGGTCATAGGGAAGTGTGAAGATTAATTATTATTAATTTTATTTTAATGATTTTATGACAAGTATATCTTGACTGTTAATAACTATTAATATGAATATACATAAATATATATTTAATAGTCATTAATCTATTAATATATTATATTGATATATATTAATATATTGTATTGATATATTCATATATAACATCATATTCTATATGACATATATTAATATATTCATATGTCATATATTAATATATTATACATTTATATATTTATATATTATATATGAATATATGACATATGAATATATTATATATTAATGTATTTTATATGTTTATATATTATATATTAATGTATGACATAAATGAATATATTATATATTAATATATTATATGTTAATGTATGACATGAATATATTATATATGTCATATATATTCATATATAAATATGTTAATATAACATATTAATATATGATCTATGAATGTCATATTTTATCATATTATAATATCATAATATAATATATAAACATATTGATATTATGAATATATTAATTAAACATTAATATATAATATATCGATTAATACATATTAAATTAATTATTAATATATTAATATATTATATTAACGTGTTAATATAATAAAATATCCTTATATTATTATATTGATATATTAATAACTATTACTATAAATATAATCTTACATATTATATTATATATTAATAATAACACATATTATTAATATATTTTATTTCTATATTATATAATAGTATTATATATTTATATAATATAACATATATTACATATAGTGAAAATATACATTATGTACGATAAATATTATATATGTTATATATATTATATGATATGATATTATATATCATATAAATATATAATATAATTTGGAAATAAAATATGTTACATAACATTATGTAATATATAATAATAAAAATATTAAAAGACCAGTTGGGTACAATCCTTCCACCTAGTTGAAAGCCCTCTGAACAGACCTGACTGGTAAGGGGGGCCCAGCAGAATGTTGTTTTCAGGCTGACTTCATTTTATGAGAGCGTCGCCTCCGCCCCTTGCCGCCCCCTCCTCACAATGATCATTTGCAGTGGATGCCTGAGACTTGATATTCCATTGCATTCCCTGCCCTCTGGCCGCTCAGTCATTTTGCTGCTTTAGTTTACTCAGGCCATGACCTTCCGGACCCACAGTGCTTCCCTCCTGGAATTTTAAGTCCTCTTAAACTTGCAAGTTGATGAGGATTGAAGAATCAGGTGTGAAGAATCGGGTGCAAGGCGGTGTTCTTAGGTGAGGAGGGAGCAGCTTGAGTCATCACAGAGCCCTAAAGCCCGCTGTGATTTCCAGAGGCCAGACACAGGTTGGGGAACACCCCCATGGGGCTGGAACCGGCAGCCGCCCTGCCTGGCTGCTGTGGTGGCTCCCGGCAGCACTGGGTGGCAGGCTTGTCCTGCTTTTGAGGACAGTGTCCCCTGCAGTGCATCCTGGAGTGAGCCTGGAGGAAGTTCTGCTGCTTGAGCACCGCAGCTCCTCTTCCCAGGCCCTATGTCCTTCTGGGTGGAGCCACACTTGCTTGGAGTGGAGAAGCCCCAGGTACTCTCTTGCCTGCCTCTTGGAAGCATGCTGGGCCCTGGACCGCGCTGACGGTCAAGATGCCCAGGACTTCTCATTGCCTGTGTGTTGCTCCAGGGTGCTCTGAGCAGAGAGCCAGTTCCCTTCTCTCCCGATCGTTCTGCCACCTCCTCTGTTGCCCCAGCCAGAAGCTTACAGTCCACTAGTGGAGTCCACAACCCCCAGCCCTGGCCCCTGTCTCTATCCCACCTCTTGCACCAGCCCCGTCCAACAAGCCCATCCTGGCAGGGCCGGGCCATGGCAGCTCCAGAAGTCAGTGGCGGGGGAGGGTGGAGGGTTTGAAAAGATTTGGGACCAGCCCACCTTGGCCAGCTCTAGCCTTCAGACAGTCTCCACTCTGGGGACTGCTCTGAGGTCTGCCTAGGGCCCTGCCCAGCCTCAGTCTCCCTCTAGGGGCACTCCCAGGCTCCTTGCAGCAGCCAACCATGTTGCTGCCTGACCCCCAAGCTCTCACCTTCCACCTGTACTCCATCACCATGGGACTGGTCCTTCCCAGGAGCCGCCTCACCTGCAGTGAGCCTGGCCTGTGCTGTCAGCAGGTAACCACTCATCCATAGGCATGCAGTGACACAGACTTGGGTCGCTTGCCCAGGGCCGCCTCACCACTGGGTGACCTTGGGTACATCAGCCTTCTTTCTCAGCTGAGCCATCATCGTGTCCCAAGGAGAACTGAAAAAACCCACCTTGCAGGATGGGTGAGAGGATCAATGCAAAAAGCACCCTGCTAGCTCACATCAACTCCTCCATCAGTGGGAGCATTCATTGTCTCATTCATTCATTCATTCATTCAATATTTATTATTTCCTCTGAGTGCAGCCCTGTGGATACAATGGTAGATGAAGACCAGACCTGGCCCCTGGCTTCATGATCTTGACCTTCTTTTGAGACAGACATAATAAATAGATGCACAGTTAGCACGGAATATAAGGGGAATGACTGGTGCTTTGAAGAAAGAGAGCAGCACATGCAGTGTGGGTAGGAAGCACTGTTTTAGCTGGGGGTCTCTATGAAGGCGATGTTTGAGCAGAGGCCTAAATCAGGCGGGGGACAGCCATGCAGCTGTCTGGGGAGGAGGGCACTGCAGTGCAAAGGCCCTAAGACAGAACTATGCCTGGAGTGCCTGAGGACCAGACAGCAAGGAGGCCAGCATGGCCAAGCAGGTGGAGCAAGGGAGAGAATGGAGAGAGATGGAGTCAGCAGGTTTGACTGGGGCTGCCCTGCAAAGGAGGCTTGGTTTTAGTCCAGGTGTGATGGGAGCCAGTGATTGGAGAGCGGCTGCAAGATGATCGGATTTACATTTTTGAAGGCTTGTATTGATGACTGAGTACCTGCTACTAGCCTGTGCTGGAGTCACCATGGGGGCTGTGGGAGGATGACCTGATTTTAACAGGACTCAGGTCTTTGCCATGTGTGGGCCTAGAATCCGGAACTCACCAAGGCAGGAGGGGAAACCAGCCAAGGTTCCCAAGGGTCCTAGACCCTGAGACTGTCCTGGGAGGCATGGCTGGCCACTTCCCAGCCCCAGAGCTTCCCTGAACCCTGGCCCCAGGCCCCCCAGTCCCCCTGTGGCCCAGGCAGTTGGTGTAGGTTCCCCAACCGCTGGCAGAGCGGTGAGAGAAAGGATGAAGGCTGAAGGCTCCCAGTGCCCACAGCCAACAATCGGGCAGGCTTCCCACATCCAGGCTCCAGTCTCAGGGCAACTCAGTTTTAGTAAGGAGACTGGTGAAGGGGGAGGGAAGAGGAGAGGAAAATGGGAGGAGGAGAGTGAGAAGAAGGAGAGGGAGGAAGAGGAGCAGCGGGAGGAGGAGGAGGAAGGGGAAGAGGAGGGAAACATCACAGCTTCAGCTTTCCTGGAACTAAATTTCAAATTCTATGCACGACTCATCCTTGGGGGAAACTATGTCAGAACCCTTCAGATCCATCAGTTTTAGACGCCTACAAGTTTTAGGAGTTGGAAACCAAGTAGTTTTAGAAAAAAATCTGTCCTAGTTTTGTAATTGGCTCCCAGGGCCCTGCTCAATGATTATTAAAATACTGACATGAAATCTCTGAGAGAAATTGCTCTGGGCCCTCTATTTATCATTTGCGTCGGTGAGACAAGTGGAGGCCTTTCTGTGGTGTGTCAGCTAGGGTACGTTTCAATGTCAGATAATTAACTTTAGTAAGAAAGAGTCAGATTTGCAAAGGGACTAAGGCCGAGACTCTGGTGGCCCTTGCTTAAAGGAAACTTGCTGAACAGAACTCAGGGCCTCAGGATGTCGTGGATCTGACTTACATTGTTTGTTTGAACAGTGGTTCTGAAGGTGAGGTCCACAGATCCTTCCCTATTCCCAAAGCACATGGAGAGGCTGCAGGGGATCCATGAACCTCCTGAAACTGCAGACAAAGTTCTATTTGTTTGGGCTGCTGTGTATTTTTTCCAGGCCAGTGGTTCTCTCAGTGTGAGGCCAGTGGTCATCTTACCTGGAAGCCTGTTAGAAATGCATATTCTCAGGCCGTACCCTAGACAAGTGGAGTCAGAAACTCTGGGAGTGCAGCCCAGTAACCTGCGTATTAACAAGCTCTCCAGATGATTCTGACACATGCTCAAGTTTGATGCACGTGAAAGCTATGCTCTATGGTAGGAGACAGCCGCTAAGAGTGGGGACCTGGGATCACACTGACCTGCGTTCAAATCTCAGTTTGCCCACTCAGCAGCTGTGTGGGCCTGTGCGAGTTCCTCAACCTGTCTAAGCTTCTGTTCCCCCATCTCTAAATTGGGATAAAACCTTGAAATACGGGGGACTTTTAATATAGCAATGATGACAGACAGCTTCACAGTCTCCATCAAGTGACAGATTGATGATGATGATGATGATGATGATGATGATGATGATGATGATTATGATGATAATGATGACGATGATGTTTTTTGAGGAGGAGAGTGACATGGACAGAAGTGTGGGTTAGAAAGATGCTCTATCAGATGGCTTAGACACCTGGCAGGGTCCCCAGGGACTGGGGTCACAGCTGAGCAGCAGCGGTAGGAAGGGCCATCTTCCTACTACATCAGAAGGCTGTCAGAGATCCAATGGACAAGACCGGCAAATGATTCCGTTCATTCAACAAATATTCACTGAGCACTTCTGATACGTCAGGCACTGTTCTGGATGCTGGGACACAGATGACAGAGTCCCTGCCCTCAGGGAGCTCTCATGCATGCGGGAAATAAATTCAATGAACAGGCAAGCTCATAGATGAATGAGGGTCTCAGAGCACAGCCACCGCTGGACAGGGTAGTGAGGTAGCGAGTGACAGGGGTCAGTAGGGTGGCCAGAGGAGGTGACATTGTGCAGAGAGTTGAATGATGAGGAACAGCCAGCCAGGAGAAGACCCTGGGAAAGAGCATGCAGGCATAGAGGGAACAGCCAGTGCAAAGGCCTGGAGAAGGGAATGGGCTTGGTGTGTTAGTGGGACAGAAAAGGGTGCGGGGGCCTGAAGAGTAGCTCTGAGCGTCTCCAGGGTATTGAAAGTTCTCAGCTTTCTGGGACTCCACTTCATCTGTCAAATGGACTCCTCTGAAGAGCCGTCATGAGGAACTGATGATGTGATGAGTATAACCACGTCTGGCACATAGTGGGCACTAGGAAAATGTACGCCATGGCCCCGCAATGGCCAGTTCAATCTCCTTCATGTCATTGCATGAGGATTCTAGCTATCACAAACAAAACCAGCTTGAGCATTGGAAATAAAAGTCCTGATAGTTTTAGGTCAATATCAGGTGTTAAATAGGAGGCAGTTTTCTGCAAGCAACAGATATTCATTGAGCATCCACTGAGGAAGATGCCCTTGGGGATAGAGAAGTGGAAATATCTCTGACCCCTATTCATGTCCAGGCCCTGCCATGTAGTAGCTTTGTGGTTTGGGGAAGTCCCAGCCCCCTGAGGGCAGCAGTCTCCTCTGAAGGGAGGAGAGGTTTCCAACAATACTTTAGCATTAGAAAGTATTTACGCAGTCAAGCTCTCTAGAACATGCAGTGATGGGTCCAGAGATGACCTTTGACAGAACTGGGGACCTTCTGCAGTGAACAGCAGGGAAGGTAGGGAGCATGGCATGGCAGGTATGGATTATGAGAAGCTGCAGACTCCCTGACTGGAAGATGACTGGTGAGGTTCCCTCCTTAACTTCACTGAGCCTTAGTTTCCTCCACTGTAAAATGGGTATGATCCCAGTATCCAATGTCTATGGGCAGCGGTGGGGATTAGATGGTGTCATGTTGTACAATTCTTAGCACAGTGCCTAGAACAAACTAAGCCCTCACTAAATGTCAGCTTCTATTAATATTCATATCCATATCCATATCCATATCCATATCCTTGTCATCAACGCTATTATCAGCAGGGGAAGCTGTGCCTCAGGGCTGCCTGTGCCTATGCCTGCCTTTGTGGCCAAGTAGGAGGATAGCCCTCTGTCCGCCAGGTCTAGACTGAGCGGAAGCCCTGGAAGAGAGGGTAGTGATGCTCCAGCTGTGAGGACAGAGGGGCAAGGGGCTTTAGAGAACAGGGCAGTGGCAGTGGGAATAAAAAGGAGCTGAATTGTGGTCACCTGCTCCTGGAAGACTTCCTAGATCACTTTGGGTGCTCCCAGAGCCCCTTGCACTTACCTTCAGGAGGCAGAGATCCTGCTGTGGTGTGAGAGCCTGTGCCTCCGTCAGCCTGAGGGCTCCTTGAGGCTAAAGCCTGGCCATGATCTACCTGTGTACTTCCAGGGTCAAACTCGGTACCCGGAACGCAGTGGGTGCATGAATGAACAAACAGATGAATGAATAAAATGAAGAACACATGCCCAAATGAATGGAAGTAGGTGGGCTGGCTGGTCCAAGGAGGAGTAAATTTGGGAATCGGAATCGGGCGGGCAGAAATACTTGTCTCTCCCCTGGAAGATCTGCACTTAACGGCAGTTGCGCCTCTTTCATTGGACACCAGGGGGCGCCATCACTGCAGAGCTGGCACCGGAAGGCTGAAGGGATCGGAAGGCTGAAGGGATCAGAACGCCTCAAGTAACGCCGACCTGATGGTTAGGGCGGAGGGACCCGGTTCTTCCAGGACACAAACCAGCCTCCCCTTAGGCCCAAGTGGTGGATTCCAGAAGGAAGAACTTGCTGACGACGACAATCAGCTTGCAACAGCGGCGGCGAGCTGCGCGTGGCTGCAGGTCTCTAGAGTCCACCCCAGGCCCTTTCCCGACCACCTCTGGGGGCGCTGGCGCTGTCCTCTGTCTGTTGTGCGAGGAGTCCCCAGGAGTTTCACCGGCCTGAGAGGGAAAAGGGGGCCTTCGACCCTCTTCAGAAAGTCCTTTCCTTTCCACGAGTAACACCTTCATCAGGTAACAACGGCGAGAAAACTGCCCAAAAGCACCTTCGGGTTTGTATAATAATTTCAAATTTACAGAAAGCTGCCGCAGTAGTAAAAAGAGCTATTTCCCCCAAGCCATTTTAGCGGGGAAAAAAGTAAGTTACTAACGTGATACTCCACCACCCCCCAAATATTTTGTGGATATTTCTTACAAATGAGGACATTCTCTACCTAACCACAAGCACCAAAATCAGGAAATTTACATCAATGCATTGTAACCACCTAATCCTCAGACTCCAGGCAAGTTTAACCAGCTATCCCGATAATGCCTTTCAGAGCAAGGGATTCGGTCCCGAATCCTGCACGGCATTTAGCTGTCATTTCCCCCTAGCCTCCCTCATTCTGGAACAGCTCCTCAGTCTTCCATAGACTTGCACAACCTTGATGCTTTTGAAGATTTTAGGCTACGTATGTTGCAGGAGGTCCCACAGCTCCAGTTTGGCTGCTGTTTCTTTCTTATTGGGTTCAGGTTGCCTGTTTTCAGTAGGAACATCACAGAAATGATGCTGTGTTCTCATTGCGTCCTAGTGGGTAGCACACAATTTCTCTTTGCCGCATTACTGGTGCAGGAACGTCAATCGCCTTATTAAGGTGGTGTCCGCCATTTTTTCCTTAGTTCTTCTTTTCCCCTTTGTCAGCAATAAGTATTTTCTTGGGGAGGTACCTCGGAATGATGTCATTCATCATCAAAGTTTAGTTGTAGCATTCTTTGGGGATTTTTGCCTGGATGAAGTTGTTACTAACACAGTTGCCAAATGGTGATTTCCTGATTCCATCATTCCTCCTTCTCCTCCTCCTCCTTCTTTTGTTTAGAGTCAGGGTCTCGCTGTGTTGCCCCAGGCTGGAGTGCAGTGGCACAATCATAGCTTACTGCAGCCTCTAACTCCTAGGCAAGTAATCCTCTTGCCTCAGCCTTCCGAAGTAGCTAGGACTACAGGCACATACCACCACAACTGGCTAACTTTTTAAATTTTATTTTTTTGTAGAGAGAGGGTTTCACTTTGTTGCCCAGACTGGTCTTGAACTCCTGTCCTCAAGCAGTCTTCCCACCTCAGCCTCCCAAAGTGCTGGGATAACAGGCATGAGCCACCGTGCCCAGCCTCTGTCATACCTTCTAAATGTATCAGTTGGCAATCTAACTGTAAGGAAAAGATCTCTCCTCTCCCCACTCATCCATCCATCCATTCATTCATTCATTCGTATATGTACTTGGTAAGGATTCGTGGATTCTTGTTTTATTTAATGGGTTATAATCTATTACTGTGACTATTTCTTTTGACATTCAAATTTCCCTGGCTTTGGCCAGTGGGAGCCCCTTCAAGCTGGCCCCTCTGTCACTTTAACATGCCAACGTCCTTCCTTGAACATTTCCTTATTTTCTGGTACGAGATATTCTAGGCTTATTTAGTATTCTTGCACCTGCTTTCGGTGTTTAAAGGAATCATGGGTTTATTATCCTGCAAAGGAGTATTTTGGAAACTCTTTTCCTCTAACCCCCCCAGCCCTAGGAAACCACACTACACAGGAGGTAAGAGATTGGACTTTGTAGTAAGACTGATCTGGGTTCAAATCCCACGTCTTATCAGCAGTGTTTCCTTGGACAAGTCTGAAAGCCTCTCCTCACCTGTAAACCAGGCATTTGTAAAATGCTGCTGCTCCTTTAATATTCCCCCAGCACCACCATGTAGCCAATGGTCTGGGAAATTGCTGGAGGGGATTCCTTGATCTGCCTCAGAGGGTAGGGAAATGAGTGAGTGCCTCTAACTTGATTGAGCTCACCTGTGGTACAACATTACCTGTCTGCATTCCCACCTCATGCCTTCCTACAGGACTCACATTTATTCCCTGTCTTCCAGCTTGTGGAATGGCAGACGTTCATAAGAATGAGATAAATTTGGGTTGGTTCCAAGTCCTTGCTATTGTGAATAGTGCTGCAGTAGTCTGGATTAAGAAAATGTGGCACATATACACCATGGAATACTATGCAGCCATAAAAAAGGATGAGTTCATGTCCTTTGTAGGGACATGGATGAAGCTGGAAACCATCATTCTCAGCAAACTGTCACAAGGACAAAAAAACAAACACCACATGTTCTCACTCATAGGTGGGAATTGAACAATGAGAACACTTGGACACAGGAAGGGGAACATCACACACCGGGGCCTGTTGTGAGGTGGTGGGACGGGGGAGGGATAGCGTTAGGAGATATACCTAATGTAAATGACGAGTTAATGGGTGCAGCACACCAACATGGCACATGTATACATATGTAACAAACCTGCACATTGTGCACATGTACCCTAGAACGTAAAGTTTAAAAAAAAATGAGATAAATTTGGAGTTTTATGAGAGGCACCCCTCACATCTTAGTGCTGCACTGCAATGTGCTGCCCCTCAAGCTCAGCTGAGATAAAATATCTGGCCTGCAGTAAGGCTCAACAATTGATAACCCCTGCTATGCCTCTGCTCTTCAAATGGTCGAGTGAGTTGGGAAATGCTCCATTCCAGAGCATTATTGGAGATTTATCATAATGCAAGTTAGGATAATACAAACCCTACTAGTACAGACTCATAGTTTGCTTCTGGAAGGTGGGGTCTGTGCCTTCCTTATCTCTGAACTCTCCACAGTGCCAGCAGCTCAGAGCTTGTCACATAATAGATAGGCAGCAAATGCTAAACAGACCAACAATAGGCTCACTGAAGGGCTTGGGGTGTAGCCTGTGGAATCCCTGGAGTGGGCTGCAGACTGGAGACAGAGACCCAGGGAGGGTTTCAGGTATGGGGTGATGGAAGCTCTGGCTAAAATTCTCTCCTCCTTTCCCTCTGTTCTTGATGTTCTGCCTTTCAGTCCCATGTCTGTAGCCTCTCAAAGGCATCGCTGCATCTCTAACTGCCCTGCAGTGGTCCCAGCCTCCATCACCCCATAGCTGAAACCCTCCCTGGGTCTCTGTCTCCAGTCTGCAGCCCACTCCAGGCATTCCACAGGCTACACCCCAAGCCCTTCAGTTAACTTATTGTCTATCCACATCCATGCCAGCTCCTTAGTCTGGCATTCAAGACTTACAACTCTCCATCCTGTGGGCTAGTCCCATCCCCAGGTAGAACCCGGAATCCACGTTTAAGCCAGCTTGTACCAAGGAATCCTGCTTCACTGCAGGATATATTAATAAAACCACTCCTGGTTTCTTTAGATTAATATTTGATGGTATACTCTTTTCTATCCTTTCCCTTGAAGCCTCATTTGTATCTTTATATTCAAAGTGGGTTTACTGTAGACAGCATGTAGTTGGGTCTTGCTTTTTTATTGAGTCTGACAACACTTGTCTTTTAACTAGATAATAAGCATCATTTAAATTTAATGTGAATATTGATATAATTTAGTGTGAATCTACCATCTCACCATTTGCTTTCTATTTGTCCTATCTGGTCTTTGTTCATTTTCCCTCTCTTTTTTCTGCCTTTTTGGGAATGTTTTTATGCTTCTTTTTATCTCCCTTGTTTTTATCTCCCTTGTTAGCTTATTATATGCTCAATTTCTTAGTGATTGCTTTAGAGCATACAACTTATAACTTTGAATTTATCACAGTCTATATTCAAGTACGATTCTGAAAATATAATAATTATATTATGGAATATAAGGACCCTACAACAGAATACTTCATTTTACCTTGCTTGGCTTTCGTCCTATCACTGCCATGCATTTTACTTCTACTTGTATATAAACCATGTAATTTATTATTATCATTGCTTTAAATAGTTAATTATATTTTTAAAATAGTTTAAAGTATATTTTTATTACCTCATATGTTGATCATTTCCTGTACTTCTCATTCTGTTGTATATATCCATATTTTCCATGTAATTATAATTTTTCTTCTGCCTAAAGGAATTTCTTCAATATTTTTTAAAGTGTTGGTCTATTTGTGGTGAAGACTTTCAACTTTTATATGCCCGAAAAAGTCTCTATTTCACCTTCATTTTAAAAAACCAGCTTAATTGGGATATAATTTGCATATTATAAAATTCACCCTTTTAAATTGTATAATTCAGTGTACGATTCAACCATCACCACTATCTAAGTTTAGAACATCTTTATCGCCCCCAAAAGAAGTCCTGTACCCATTTGTAGTCACTCCTCATTCCATTCCTCCCCATAGCCTCACACAACCACTAATCTACTTTCTGTCTCCATAGATTTGGCTATTCTTGACATTTCCTATAATTAGAATCATGTGGTGTGTGACCTTTTGCATGTGACTTTTTTCATTTAGCATGTTTTTGAAGCTCAACCATGTTGTAGCTTATATTAGTACTTAATTCCTTTTTAAGGCTGAATGGTATTCTATTGTACAGATGTCTTAGTCCATTTCATGTTTCTATAACAAAATACCTGAGACTGGGTAATTTATAAACAATAGAAGTTTATTTGGCTCATGTTTCTGGAGGCTGGGAAGTCCAGGAGCATGGCACCAGCATCTGGTGAGCACCTTCATGCTGCAGCATTCCATGGGAGAAGGCAGAAGGGCAAGAGAGCCAGAGAGCAAGCACACAGGGGGGCCAGACTCACTTTTATAAGAAACCCATTCTCAAGATAACTAACCCACTCCCATGATACTGACATTAATCTATTCATGAGCCCTCAGGACCTAATCACTTCTTATTAGGCTCCACCTCTTAACACTGCTGTGTTAGGGATTAAGTTTCCAGCATATGAACTTTGGGAGACACATTCAAACCACAGCAATGGATATACCACATTTTGTTTATACATTCGTCAGTTAACAAAGGTTTGGGTTGTTTTCACTCTTTGGCTATTGAAAATAATGCTATTATGAACATTCATATACAAGTGTTTGTGTGAAAACATATTTTCAATTCTCTTGGGTTCTCTTCCACCTAGGGATGGAGTTTCTAAATCATATGGTAACTATGTTTACCCTTTTGAGGAATGGCCAGATTGTTTTCCATACCAATGGCACTATCTTACAAGCTCCCTAGCAATATATTAGAGTTCCAATTTCTCCATATCTTCACCAGCACTTGGTTGTTCACTTTAAGCTTTGAAGATGTTTTTACTATACATAGAATTCTAGGTTGACAGTTTTTTCTTCCAGTCCTTTAAAAATGTTCCACTTTCTTCTGGCATTCATTGTTCACAGTGCAAAGTCTTCTGTTATTCTTTTCTTTTCCTTGATTCTCTGTACATAACCTATGCTTTTTCTCTGAGTGCTTTTAAGATTTTCTCTTTATTAGTAATTTTAAGCAGTTTGATTTTAGTGTAATTTTCTAATGTTTCTTTATGCTAGGGCTTGGTTGAGGTTTTTGGGTCTGTGGATTAATAGTTTTCATTAAATGTTTGGTCATTATTTCTTTGGATAGATTTTCAGTCTGTCTCAACCCTTCTTTTTTCCTCTCCTTTGGGGGCTCCATATAAGTATTAAGTGCCTTGTTCCATAGCTGATGGATGATTTCTCCTCCTCCCCTTCCTTTTACTCCCTGTATTTTATTTTGGGTAGTTTCAATTGCTCTCCATAAAATTCACTAGGATGTTCTTCTGCTGGGTCTAATTTACTGTTAATCTTATTAATATCCCAGCCATTCTACTTTTAATCTCTAGTTGTTTGATTTGTGGCTTGTTTATATATTATATATCTCTCCTTTACATACCTATGCTTTTCTTTGTCTTCTTGAATGCATAGAGTATTTGTTTAATAGCTGCTTTAATGTCATTCTATCAATTTTATCATCTGTGTCATTTCTGGAACCATTTCAATTGAATGAGTTTTGTGCTCATTATGGGTCACATTTTCCTGTTTCTTTACATGCCTGGTAATTTTTTTTTAAATGTATTGTCAATTTTATATTGGGTGTTAGATTTTGTTGATGTTCTTTAAATATTTTTGAACTTTGTTCTGAGCTGCAATTAAATTACTAGAGAACAGCTTGGTACTTTTTGAGGCTTGCTTTTAAGCTTTGTTATGTGGGAACAGAACATCTTTTAGTCTAGATCTAATTTGGCCCCACTAATGAGGAAAAAGCCTTCTGAGCAGTCTAATTAATGCTGTGTGTGTTAGAAGTCTTCCCACTCTGGCTGGTGTGAACAAAAACCATTATAGGCTCTGTGTGGGTTATGGTAATTGTTCTCTCCACTCCTTTTCAGTGGTTCCTTCCAAAGCCTTGGGTAGTTTCTGCACATGCATGTGCTGATTCATACTCAGCTTAAGATTTGAAGGGAACTTTTGATAGCTCTTCAGCACTCTGTAGCATTCTACTGTCTGATACTTTGGCCTGATAAGTCTAGCCTCCATGAATTCTTAATTCTCCCTCCTCAACTCAAAAAGACTACCAGTCTCTCTTTGGGCTCCCTCTCCCTGTTCTGTGGCCTGAAAAGAACTTTCAACACAAACAAAGTAAGATGGGTGATCACAGAGCTGTCTTCCTTGGTTTCTCTCCACTCAGAGATCACTGTACTGTGCTCCTGTTGTCCAATAACTGGAAACCATTGTTTTATATAATTTTGTCTGTTTTTCTTTTTTAAGGTGATGTGTGTGTGGGTGGGGGGGTGTGTGTGTGTGTGTGTGTGTGTGTGTAAGAGAGAGCGAGAGAGAGAGAGAGAAAGAAGCTGGTCACTGTTACTCCACTGTGGCCAAAAGAAAAAGTTCCTATTATTTGTTATTAAATCTTTATCAATTTGCTTGGTAAAACTGGTTTCTCATTGCTTTAAATTTCTAACATGTTTCACTACTATCAAGTTTTAAATTTTTTTTTCAAGTATATACAAGCCATTTATAATGCCTCTTTTGTTCACATAGCCTTTGCTCATTTTTCTAGTGAGGATGTCTTAGTGTTTCTTACTTATTTTTATCTGCTCTTTAAAGCTATTATCCTTTATCAATTTGTTGTGGATAATTTGTCATCTGTTACTCTTTAAAATAAATTATTTTATTGCAATACACATATAGAAAAGTGCACAAATGATAAGTGAATTACTTGATGAATTATCACAGTGAACATACCTCTGTGACTACCACTAAGTTCAATAATTAAAGCCTTGCCAGCAACCTAGAAACCTCCCTTTGTGCCCCTGCTATTCATTACCACTACCTTCTTCCCAAAAAATAACCATATCCTAACATCTAACAACATCAGTTAGGTTTGCCTGTTTGAACTTTATAGAAATAGAATCATACAGTATGTCTTTTTGTATCTGACCTCTTTCATTCAACATTATAATTGTGAAATACATTCACGTTGTTGCATGCAGTAATAATCTGCCCTTTGTTATTGCTGTGTGAGTATACAATTTATTGATCTGTTCTACTGTTGATGAAAATTTGGGTTGTTACCAGTTTGGGGCTATTTTGAGTAACAACTGCTTTCTCTTATTTTTCACATTTAGATCTAAAGTCCATCTACCATAATTTTTTGCATGTGGAGTGAGGTAGGGGTCTGGGCTCATTTTTTCACTGTGTAATTATTCAGTTGATCCAGCTCTATTTATTGAGCTCTGTTTCATTCCACTGGCATTTTTGCCCATCTTTGTTTTAATATCACTATTGTGGGCTGAATGCTTGTGTCCCCCCAAAATTTACACATTTAAATCCCATCCCCCAGTGTGATGATATTAGGATGTGTAGCCTTTGGGGGGTAATTAGGTCATGAGGGTGGTGCCCTCCTGAATGGTACCCTTATAAGAGAGGCCCCAGAGAGCTTTCTCACACTTTCTGCTGTGGGAGTACACAGCGAGTTTCACTCACGTCTGTGTGAAGAGACCACCAAACAGGCTTTGTGTGAGCAACAAGGCTGTTTATTTCACCTGGGTGCAGGCGGGTTGAGTCCGAAAAGAGTCAGCGAAGGGAGATAGGGGCGGGGCCATTTTATAAGATTTGGGTAGGTAAAGGAAAATTACGGTCAAAGGGGGATTGTTCTCTGGCGAGCAGGGCTGGGGGTCACAAGGTGCTCAGCGGGGGAGCTTTTGAGCCAGGATGAGCCAGGAGAAGGAATTTCACAAGGTAATGTCATCAGTTAAGGCAGGAACAGGCCATTTTCACTTCTTTTGTGGTGGAATGTCATCAGTTAAGGCAGGAACCGGCCATCTGGATGTGTACGTGCAGGTCACAGGGGATATGATGGCTTAGCTTGGGCTCAGAGGCCTAACAGCGAGAAGACATTGTCTGTGAATCTGAATGTTGGCCTCCACCAGACACTGAATCTGCTAGTGCCGTATTTTGGACTCCCCAGCCTCCAGAATTGTGAAAAATAAATGTTTGTTGTTTAAGCTGCCCAATCTATGGTATTTTTGTTATAACAGCCTAAATGGACTAAGATAATCACACTGTCTTAGTTACTGCAAGTTTATATCTTGATAGCTAGGAGTGCACATATTCTTACCTTGTTCTTTTCCATTTTTATCAAGGAGGAGATCAGCTTCTCCTTCTTGCAAACCAAAACAGTGATAATGCAAATCAAGGCACATTTGGAATTCTCTGCTGCAGAAGCCTCCCGAGGCTCATGCCTGGAATCTCTTAACCCACCCTCTCCCACCTGCTTTTGTTTCTGGGACTGAGAGTCTGGATTCTGACAAGCCTGAGTTCGAATCTCGTGTCTGCCCCTAACTGTGAGAATTTGGGCAAGTTGCTCCTCTTTCTGGGCCTCTGTTTCCTCATTTATAACACGGGAATAGTCATAGTACCTAACTCAAAAGGTTACTGTGAGGCTTAAATGAGACTATATAAAATGCTAAACACAATGCAGCAATGGACAGATCAGCATCACCATGATCATCACCGCCCCATAGTTCCTGTCACCGGGAGAGGACAGACCCTCAAGTTGACCATCTTGCTGCATTCACACTGATCATGGGGTCCCTTCTGAGAACTGAGCTTCAGCTTTTTTCTTGAGCCAAGGCCTCTCTTTCTGTCTTCCCACACACTGCTAGCTCAGCCCTTGGCTCCAGAGACTCAGCCCCTGTACTCTCCCACGTGTTGTTAGTGGGCCCAGCTCCAGGCAAGTTTCAGGGTTGGAGGCAAATGCCAGCTCCACTGAGGTCTCCCTTGCCCACACCCCCATCCCAGTGAAGAGGAGGTTACCAAAAGGAGGAAAGGAAGGAAAGAATCCTCTTTCCCTTCCTCAGGCAGGAAGGACTGGGTGAGAAAAGGTGTGGAGGTGAAAACAGGCATGACAAGTGTTCTGGTTACCTATTACTGCAAAATAAATCACCCTAAAATTTAGTGGCTTAAAATAACAACTATGTTATTCTCTCTCATGGTTTCTGTGGGTCAGGAAATCAAAGAGGGCTCAGCTAGATGGTTCTTGTTTGGCGTCTCCCCTAGGTTGCAGTGAGTCAGCGGCCTGAGCATCTCTGTCTTCATGTAGTCTCGGGACCTCCCCATGTGATCTCTGCGTGGGCTAGTTTGGGCTTCCTCACAGCATGGTGGCCTCAGAGCAGTCAGCTGCCTTACATAGTGGCTTGGAGCTCCAAATGCAAATGTCCAAAAAGACTCAGGTGGAAGCTGCATCGCCTTTTATGATGTATCCTTAGAGGTCAAATACAGTTGACCCTTAAACAACATCAGCACCAACCCCTTGCACAGTCAAAAATCCATGCATAACTTTTGACTCCTCCAAAATTTAACTGCGGATAGCCTACTGTTGACTGGAAGCCTTACCAATAACATAAACAGTTGATTAACACATATTTTATATGTATTACCTACCGTATTCTTACAATAAAGTAAGCTAGAGAAAAAACGTTATTAAGAAAACCATCAGGATTAGCCAGGAGTGGTGGCAGGTGTCTGTAATCCCAGCTACTTGGGAGGCTGAGACAGGAGAATTGCTTGAACCCAGGAGGTGGAGGTTGCAGTGAGCTGAGACCGTGCCACTTGCACTCCAGCCTGGGCAACAGAGTGAGACTCCGTCTCAAAAAAAAAAAAATTCAGGAAGAAAAGATATATTTACTATTCATTAAGTGGAAGTGGGTCATCATAAAGGTGATGATTCATTGTCATCATCTTCACACTGAGTAGCCTGAGGAAGAGGAAGGATTGGTCTTGCTATCCCAGGGATGACAGAGGCAGAAGAAAATCTGGGTATAAGGGGACCCGTTGCAATTCAAACCTGTGTTGTTGAAGAGTCAACTGTAATGTCATGTCTACCGAACTCTGTTGGTGAAAATAGTCAGAAAAGCCTATCTAGTTTGAAGGGGAGGGGACGTAAACTCCACCTCTCAATGAAAGGAAAGTCAAAGTCACACTATAAGCAGAGCATGTGGAATGGGAGATAATATTGCATTCCTCTTTGGAAAATACAGTCTTGTCACAGCAAGTCTGAAGGACATGCAGGAAACAATTTTGGCTGTACCAAGAGAGTCTATGTGGTAGTTTGAGGAATTAATCTTGTGGAGGTTGGGAGCTAGCAGTGAGCTTGTTTGAAAGGATGTGTTTAGACTTGGCCTGGAGGCATAGGGGAGCAAAGAAGGTCTGTAAAATCAGGAGCTTTGCATGGCTTGGAGGGAGGTAAAATTTAGTCCTGCTCTGGGAAAGGATAAAGAAAGGAGAACTACTTAGGGATGGCAACAATACCGTACGGCTGTCTCAACCTGTGTGCCTCTGGGACCCCCAGGGTCTTCTTCTTCTGTGCTGGGGCTCAAACACACATTGGCATTACTTTTCCACCTGCCAATATTACGGTTATTGCTTTTCCACCTCCAAGAATTTTGTGAAGTTTTGTTTTGTTTTTGCAGGATCGTGATTTTCCATTAGTCAGGGGCACACTGATAGTTCTCTTTTTCTCCCAGAGTATTAGCAATTGCTAATGCAGCATCATCTGCAGTTGTTTTAGTGCTGTGGGATGTAACAGTGGATGAGACTGGGTGAAGGGTGCACAGAACCTCTTTATCCCAGCTTTGCAACTTCCTGTGATCTCTAATTATTTTAAATAAAACGTTTTCAAAATTCATATTATATTTTTTCTTCTAAAAGTTCTAGTTGGCTGTTTTCCTCTCTGCTTTCACTCTACTTCTTTTATTTCCATAAATATAAGATTTTCTATTCTGTACCTGATAATTCTAATGTTTGATCTCGTTTCGTGTTCTGTTTCTGTAGCCTGTTAGTTTTCCTGGTTCTTATTTATAGTGCTTTGTTTCTGATATATTTTTTAATTTTTAACTCTGAGATTTTTATTTTCTTTAGAACATTTATTTTTGCTAATTCTTTGAAGTCTGGATTTAAGTTGAATTTTTCCAGAGCAAATTTCTTTTTGCTTCTGCTGTCTGCTGGGAGTGGTCCCAAACCTGGTTGCTGCTACATTTAATTTTCCACTTAAGGCTTTTGGACCATGTAAGTAACACAAATTCTTAAGGGATATTTCATGTTCTTGTCATCTAGTAGCAGGGTCAAGGCAGGTGAGTTTTGTTTCTGTCTACTGTGGTGGGCTTTGATTTTCCACTCAACACCTGCAATTTTGATGAGTGCACTCCAGGACCTCTTGCCTGGCCATGGACAGGGCAAGGTGGACGCTGGCCCTGACCTCTGTATACCTGGTCTGATGCAGACTCTGAGAAGCCTCCTGCAGGGAGCCCCCAGCACTGACTCTCCCTAGCTGCAAGACTTGATGGAATTACTTCATCTCCCTGTAATGGAGATTAAAGCAGCACCTACCCCACAGAGTTCTGTTGAGTATTTATACCAATAAGCCATGAGATGGGCTTACTCCAGAGCCCAGCCTCCAGAGGCCTCTCAGTGAGCTTGAGCTGCTGTCATTACTAAGGCCTGGAGAGGGTCATCTGGTGCAGGATCAAAAGCCCTGTATTGTAGGGTAGAAAGAGCACAGGCTCTGCAGTCAAAGATCCAGGTTCCAGGTCCAGCCGCGCCATTTGCTAGCAGTGTGACTTTGGACAAATCAATTCATCCAGTCATTCACCCATCTGTCTATCCAGCAACAATTTGTCGAGTGCTTTCTCCACCTGGAAGTGATTCCATGCCGGAGATTTGTTAGTGAACAAGGCAGTCCTAGCACCTGTCCTCATAGAGCTCAGAGTCTCTTAGGGAAGACAGGTGTTGAACACAGGTAGAGAGGCAAGGCGCTAACTCAGTTCTCAACAGGGGGGCAATTCTGCCCTACCCAGAGGACATTTGTTCATGTCTGAAGGCATTTTGGGTTGCATAACTTTGGGAGAACTACTGGCATCTAGTGAGTAGAGGCCAGTGATGTTGCTAAACACCTTGTAATGCACAGGGCAGCCCCACAGCTAAGAATTATCCAGCCCAAAATGTCAGAAGTGCCAAAGTTGAGAAGTTCTGTTCTGTAGAATGCGTGGCAGGGGGTCCTACTAGTTAGGAGGTGGTGTTGCGGAGTCAACCCTAAAGAAGTGACAGTGGCAACCTCAGGGACGAATTAGGCAGTGTGTGTGCGGGTGGAAGAGAGGTTGAAGGGAGAAAGAGTGTTCCTGGCAGAGGCAACAGCATTACAAAGGCCTGGAAACAAGAGAGTTGAGCAGGGCCTCTGGGGACCTGAGGCAAGTTTATTGCTCCTGGGATACAGAGGGTTGGGGGCAGGGTGACAGGTGAACTTGAATGTGGAGGCACATGCTATAGGGAATACTGGCCACTCCTGACATTCAGTAGGCCGGGCCCGAGCCCTTAAAATGCATTATCTCATTGCATGCTCACCATAACACTCTCTAATACGTATTCTTATTTTGTCCTTTATATAGATGGTTCCAAGAAGTGACAAGTTGAAGGTCATGATCCTTTTGCTGACACAGAGCCTGGCACATGGAGGCACCAAATGCATGTTAGTCTAGGCACTGTGGAGGAGCTCAGATTGTGTTTGTTGATTGACTGAGTGAGCAAATGAAGAACGACTAAACCAAGCACAAAGCTGGGCGTCCTAAGGTGGAGCTGGGCTAAGGAAAGTGACTGTCTCTAGGGCCTTCACAATTGAGGCAGGACCTTATCCACCATTTGACCAGGGTGAGGAACTGTGCAGGGCACCCAGGTGTGACCCAACCATGTCCATTGTTCCTCTCTGTCCCTTTGATGGACAGCCTGTACCCACGACACTCTTTCCAGATGCTGCCTGCATCCTAGTTCCCTGTCCTATCACCTCTGCATGGAAAGATGTGGAGTTGGCCACATTGATCCCAACACCAATGGGATCACCTGAGGATGGATCTGGTGACTGACCTTGTGCCTTCTCACAGTACAGGCTTTGGGATCCACAGCAACCCAGGCAGAGTTTGTAACAGTGCAGGTTCCCAGGCCCCATCCCAGACTGCCTGAGTCACTCTGGGCCTGAACCCAGGAAGAGTTAACCATCTGGAGACTGTAGATTGTAACAATTTCCTTGGGTGACTTCCAGGCAGGCTAAAGTGTAAGAAAGGGTGCCATGAATCAGCAAAACAGCCAGCACTTCAACTTGCAACCTGAGCATCCCACAGGGGTCCCAGCCATCGTAGTGCCAGCTACATTTGCTGAAGTGTGAGGCCTGGACTGCAGGCAGGCTCCAGGCCAACCCTTCCTTGCATGACTTGCTCAGGGATCTGTATGACATGCTGGTGCCATTCTCTCCATTTTACAGATGAGGGACCAGAGGCCCAGAGCACTGAAGTACCTAGCTAAAAAGCTGGAACACCATATTACCCTGCCTCCCTGACAGCTTTCCTCCATCCAAGTGGCCCAACTGTGGTTCAGAAAATACAGCCTCATTAAAGACAGGTGCTTGAAACCATGGCCTGGAAGTGGTAATCTGGTTGAGCTCACTTTGCTGGATGGTGAAAGAGCCCAGCCTGCCCTGCCCTGCCCTTCCTTCTTTTTCCCTCTCCTCTCTTCTCCTCTCCTCTCCTCTCCTCTCCTCTCCTCTCCTCTCCCCTCCCCTCTCCCCTCCCCTCCTTTCTTTTCTTCTTTTTCCCTTCCTCTCGTCTCCCCCTCCCCTCCCCTCCCCTCCTGTCCCATTCCCTTCCCTTCCTTTCCCTCCCCTCCCCTCTTCTCCCCTCCTTTCTTTCCTTCCTTCCTTCCTCCCTCCCTCTCTCTCTCTTTCCTATTTTCTTTCTCTCGTTCTTTCCCGAGTCATTGATTCAACAGAACAGCCCACTGTGGTTATTGGAATGCACTGGGAGAGACACAATGTGCTTCCAGCTCCAAAGGAAAGATGAGAAGAATCAGAGAACACAGAGGCCAGAAAGGCCTGGCGAGGAGCTCAAACAGGGACCTATCAGGGCTGGTGTCCGGTGTGAGGGGGTTTGAGCCTCTGAGAGGTCCAGACAAAGCCATCTTGCGCCTAGGCGCTTGTCTGTAAACGCGGGATCTTTGCTTAGTGGCTAAGAATGTGCCTGCTGGGCTGAGTCTAAGACCTGGAGATGCACCCAGAAATCAGTGTCTGGTTGCCCTGAAACATGTGTTGAGAAGGAGAGCCTCAGGGTGGCACTGATGTTTGGCGGATAGGTTCAGAGATCTGCATGGGACTCCCAGTTAAGCCCCTTTGCTGTGTGAGCATTCATCAACCCCCAGCCCTCTCTGAGCCTCAGTGTTACCTGTGTGATGTTGGATTGGAACTGGTTGCTTACTAAGGGTCTTCTAGTTCTAGACTTTAAAGTCTTAACCTCCTGGCCTGACATAGGGTAGGTGCTTAATAAATACGCCATGAAGAAATACATTTGCTTTTACACAAGGTTTCTCCTCTTCCTTTGCTGGAACTGAGGTTGGTGCAGTGTTCAGCTCCTTCTTTCCATACCATTCCAACCAACTATCATACCACCAACTCCGATCAGGCTCTTTCTCTAGCTCCTGTCAGCAGTCTCCACCTTCCAGGTACACCACCTGGCTGACTGTCCCAGCCTCCCCCTCCCCCACCCTCCTTCCCAACACTCAGAGTCTTGTCCCCTTCAATCCAGCCCCTGCAGTACAGCCAGAGGGGGCTTCCCAAGACATAACTAAAACTACGTTCCTCCCTGCAAACCTTTCCCCCGCACTCCTGCGTTTGGCCTAAACCACCCTCCCAGTGCTTTCCCATCATTCTCTCCAAAGCCTGGCCCTGAGGGTTAAGTTAAGAGGAGCAGGGCAGGGTGAGGCCAGACCACCTGTGGGCCCCTTTCTCAGCCAGCTCACCTCTCAGCAGTGTGGAGAAAGGAGGATGCACTGGGCCCACACACATGTTGTGGACATCAGTAGCCCCACCCTGCGTGCAGGAAATGTCACAGTGCCATAACTGACTCGAGGGGAGGGCAGTGGGGGACAGGTGCAGGGAAGGTCTTTGCTCCCCCTTTTGTGGCCAACCCGAAGACACAGTAGCCTAGATCAGCAGGAAGAGCAACCAGTAGGAAGCTAAAACCCTGTTTGTTGTGGCCGTGCCACTGACCAGTTGTGAGCTGGAATGAGCCCTCAGCCTCTCTGAACCTCAGCTTCCTCATTTGCAAAAGGGGCTGGCATCATTCACCCCTCTTGGGTAGGATTCCATGGATTATGGACAGAAAAAGCATTGTAACCTCAGGAGTGCTTTGTGTGTACTTGGTGCTGTTATTGGGCATTACCCAGGAGGGCTGGCCGCCATCCAAAATCCACCATCCCTGTATCCTTCCACTTTCAGCAGCTTCCAGTAATAGCCTGCCCGATGAGGCTGGCTGCTTTTCTGATTTTGGCTCTGAGGCGAGTATCGATCTGGGGTGTGCTTTGCGAGGATGGATGAGTGGACACCCAGCCACTCTCCAAACTGGATCTCAGGCTCTAAATGATTCATGTGTCAGGCTGCAAATAGTACCTTTCGTTCTGGTGCCTCCAGTTTGCTTGGGAAAGCATATAGCCTCCTCAGCACTTTGGAACTTGATGCCGAGGCTGAGATGTGGTCCTGTTTGCTAAATTTAGGGTTGGCTGTTCCTGTGTGTAAACAGGATGCTGCAGAGTTGGGGGGGACAGGGCTTGTCTCCTTCTTTATTCATATGCAGTTGGAGGTTTGTTTCCTTCTTGGTAAACTGGAAAGAAACCTGGGATAGGAATGAAGAGGTGTGCATTTGGGTTTTGACATTCTCTTCAACTGGCTGTGTGACTTCTCCAAGTCTTGCCTTCCTGCTTGTAAGACAGAGACATCAATCTCAAAAGCAAACCCCAGGCTGTAATGAAGCTTCTAGGTTTGTTGGACTCTGCACATCCAATAAAGATTGCATGGGGCCATCGTATGGGACCACATGCAATCTTTAGGCTCGCAGATGGGGCATGAGGAGATGTCCATTGGCCCTGACTTCATCCCTGGGCAGCTAAATTTGGGCACCTGGGTCTCAGAGATGCTCCTTTGCTCTCTTTTGTCCCTTGGCACTTAGGACGGACCCAGCATATAGCAGACTCTCAGAAAAGTAGTCATTGGGTGCATAAGGGCACCATTACAGTGACAAAGATCAGCCCATCCCCCAATCCCACAAGGAAAAATCACTAGAGAGAAATATCCCAAATAACCCCCTATCTTGCCTGTAGGTGACCAGTACAGCAGGATCCCTGGGAGAGCAGGAACAATGGCCTGGAGTTACATTTTTTAAATTTAATTTGTTGCCACCCTTTGAACCCACCTCACCCTAGCTTCACCTGCATAAACATCTGTTAGAGGGAGCCGAGGCTGTAATGTCTTCACATTAGAACAGAGTCCACCATGGAGACAAGCAAATGCACAAGAACTTTCTCCACTTTTAGGTTTACTGAACCTAAGAGTAACCCACACAGAAGTCTGCTCCTGAAAACTTTGCAACAGATAGGATCTTCACGGGAAAGCTTGACTGCCTCGTTTTCACCACCTGTGCCCACGTTAGACCCCCATCTCCCTTACCACCATAGCACCATAGCACATGTAATTCTGCTATACATCTGCCTTGATCACCGCTGCATTTTTCGCACCTAGTGCAATGCTTGGCACATGTGTATAAGCTCAATAAGTATTTCCTGCTTTGTTGGCTTGGTGAGTTAATTAATGGAGCAGACAAACCTCTGAAATTTCAGTGGCTTAGTGTATAAAAGGTTTATTTCTTGCTCATGCAAAGTCTCTTCTGCATGTGGTGACTCAGGGACCTCCTGGTTCTGTCATCTCAACTTAGGTAGGGCCCTGCAAGTCTCCATGGCAAGGAGGGGAGAGACAAAGGAGGAACATCAGTGGTTATCTGTGTCAGCCTAGAAATGATATGCATCCCCTTGGCTCATGGCCCATCAGCCAGAGCAAGTCGGGTGGTCCCAAGTTAATAGCACAGGGGGTTGGGGAATGCAGGGAAGTTCCTGGGCTATTTGAAATGCCCTCACTGCTGCCCCACACTTTGAGCTAAGGCCCCACCAGGGTACGGCCCTTGAGCATTCAACTCAGGCTCACCAAGCAGCTGTGTGTGCCAGATCCTGCCCGGGGGCTTTTGCAACATTTCCCTCATGATCCCCTCCCAACACTCCAGGGAAGTAGAAAATACTAACTGCAATTAGCAGAGGAGGATGCAGAGGCTCATGGTGGTCAACCACTTGCCCAAGTTCACACGGACACCAAGGAGCAAAGCCAAGACTCGAACACAGGTTGGTTTGCTATTTAACTCCAACCCCAGGGCTTTCTCTGTCATGGCCCAGAGACATTCTGGGTATAGACAGTCAAAGGGGCCTTCGAGACAAGGAAGGGATGGGACCAGAGAACACAAGGGAACGTGGTAAGGAGAGAAGAGCGGAAAGGATCAGACACAGCCTGGCAGTGGCTGGAGAAAACGTATCTGTCATCTTCCCATGGTGTTGTTCAGGAAGGAAGCACTGGACTGGGAGAAATAGCTACTTTTATTGACCAGAGATGAAGAAAGAAGATGCCTTCTAAACAGGGCTTAATTTATTGGCTGCCTTGCACAAAAGTCCTTTGGATGCTCAAGAGAGTCATTTAGATTTTGTCTCATCTTTGAGAAATGGGGACCGTCACTCCCTGCTTTCAGGTTATTTTTGAAATGAACACTTTCTCCCCACAGAGAACCTGTTATTCAGAGTACCTTTTTTCCCCATCAAATTCTTTTTTTTTTTTTTTTTTTGGTCTAGTTGAATCCCAGAGGGGATAATAAATATATGGAAACCAAATAAAAGGAAAGACATAAAAACAAACTCCGTTTTCAACAAACTCCTTCTAACAGTTGGGTTCAGGGTTGCTAACAGGTCTTCAACTGCTCTTAGCAAACGCTTAAGAGTCTCTGTTCTGAATACAATTACCGCAATTTGGAGAGGCCCTTTGCTAAGGTGCTAGCCTCCACAGACAACTACCCAGCCCAGGCCTGTTTGAGTCAGGGGAGCTGGCTCTGTTGGGCAGCTCTCCAGAGTGACCCATGGAAGACCACTTGGGCGCGGGGCAGTGCTTATCTTGAGAAAGTTTGCCTTTCTACCACCTCCACATCTGCCTCTCCAGCCCTAGAACTTACATGCCCTAGTTCTGCCCCACTTGTGTTTCCTGGGACAATCTATAGGGGCACCTGTTTTATCAAATTTCTCACTCAGCACATAAAAAAGTAGGCCACTGATTTGTTTCACAGAACCCGAAGCCTTAACCGTCAATTTCAGGTTGTGTTACATCAGGTCATAGGTGGCTGCCATAGCTGGGGAAGTGTGGAAACCAGGACAAGGCTTTGGTCCAGGGGCCACAAGTGTTGGTTGGGGAAGGTGCGTGGAGGTGCAGAAACTCTCCCAGAAAAGCATCCCTGCTGCTCTGATCATGTCACACGCTGCTTGAGCCCACCCATGGCTCCCTGTGTCCATTAGGATGAAATCCAACAAATCCCCATCATGCGTCTTCTGAGGACTATAGTGTTCCATCCTCTACTAATTCCGGCCTGTATCCCATGCTTTCAGTGTCCCGCATCACACTCCGGGGGCTGAGTCACTTCCAGTTTCTTCCATGTCCCATGCTGCTGTCACCTGTTTGCCTTTGCTCCTGCCGTGCCCACTTCCAGGCATGCCCTTCCTCTCTCTCCCATTCATGCACACATATGTGCACACACATACACACATATGCACACACATAGACACATGCACACACACGTATACACATACACACATGCATGCATATGCATTGCTATAGATTGAAAGCTTATATCCCTCTCAAATTTCTATGTTGAAATCCTCACCCCCAGGGCAATGGTACTAGGATGTGAGGCCTTTGGAAGGTGATTAGGTCATGAGGATGGAGCCCTCATGAATGGGATTGGTAACCTAAAAAAGCAACACCAGAGTTTCCTTACCCCTCCCATCATGTGAGGACACAGTGAAAAGAAGGTCCTCTACAAACCAGGAAGTGGGCCTCAACAGATACCAATTCTACCAGCGCCTTGCTCTTGGACTTCCCAGCCTCTGGACAGTGAGAAACACATTTCTGTGGTTTATAAGCCACCCAGTCTATGGTATTTTGTTGTAGCTGCCTGGACAGACCAAGACACTCTACACAAGCACGTGCTCACACACACTGTCCTCTAGGACCACTCTACTCACTGCCTAAGATTAAACTCCGGATTGCCTCATCCCAGAGGCCTCTCTGGCTGACCTTGGGCTAAGAAAAGGGAACTTTGTCAGTCCTGCCTTGTTTCCCCCTCATACAGGCCAGTGAGCTTGGATGGAGAGTGGCGGGGGGTGTCTCATTGATCTGTGTCCCCTTCCAAAGGAGACTTTGCTACGTTCTACATTTAGCCAACAGAAAGTCTTGGGCAGAAAATATAAGGAAAAGGACAAAGGCCATCATGATTCATTCTTTTCCGATTTATTTTTCTTGAAAAGTATAGCAGCATTAAAGAAAAAGAAAAAAAAGAGACACAACACAGAACTGTTTTCATTCTCTATTTTTCCTTCTCCTTGTCCACATTTTTTTTTTTTGAGACAGAGTCTCGCTTTATCACCAAGGCTGGAGTGCAGTGGCACAAACTTGGCTCACTGCAATCTCCGCCTCCTGGGTTCAAGCGATTCTCCTGTCTCAGCCTCCCAAGTAACTGGCATTACTGTGTCTCAGCCTCCCGAGTAGCTGGGATTACAGGCACCTGCCACCACACCTGGCTAATTTTTCTATTTTTAGTAGAGACGGGGTTCCACCAAGTTGGCCAGGCTGGTTTCGAACTCCTGACCTCAGGTGATCCGCCCGCCTTGGCCTCCTGAAGTGCTGAGATTACAGGCCTGAGCCACTGTGCCCGGCCCTCCTTGTCCACATTTATACACAACTTAATAGTTGTAATCAGTGCTGACAAACTTGGCATTTCCCCTGCTAATGAGAACATTTCTCCTGGTTCCATTCTTGGGCTCAGTCCCGGGTAGGCACAGGAAGCTTCTACCCTGAGCTGGAGCCGGTGGCAGCCCTTTTCCTAAAACCCTCCCTGCCAGGTGCTTGGGTTCCAGTTCCATTCCAGGCGCCACCCCAAATCCTTCCTCCTCTCTCCACCTCCAGTACCCCCAAGTATCACTCCACATAGGTGCCTTTGTTCCTTAGTGGGAGGGACTTGGCATTCATGGAGCCCCTATGACATGCTTAGTGCTTTCCATAGAGCAGGCCAGTTAATGCCTGCAACAGCCCTGCAAGGCAAGTACTATATCCCTTGCCCTACATATGTGGAAACTGAGGCTCAGAAGTGAGGCAGCTTCTCCACCAATCCAACCCTCCAACCCTGAGTCCTGGGACCTTGACTGTTCCTGAATCAGCTGATCCCAAGTCACCCACCTGGTACCCCAGGCACCTAACAAACACAGGGCTGCCAGATGGCTACGCACACTCCTGTTAGGGGCCAGTTCTCCAGGTCAGGGGTAGAGTCGGGCTCTAACAGTGAAGTGTGTCCTTTCTGAGAGTAAGGGAAAGGTTTGGCTGAAAGCACAGAGGCACCGGACAGTCAGGACAGTGTGATCTCGGGAAAGTTCCTTCACCCCTGTCTCAATTTCCTCATCTGTGAAGTGGCATCTACCTGATGGATGTTGTGAGATTAAATGAGCTGGTGAAAGCAAAACATCCAAACAGTGCCTGGCACATAGCAAGCTCTATATAATTGCCAATATTGTGATTATTATCATCATCTCTGACTGTGGTACCTCATTTCTAGGCTGAATATGCTCACCCCTAGTCTTCTGGACTCTCTACTATTTTTAATTAGGGAGTTGAAGCCTCACGAGTCATGGGGTTTCCTGATAGATAACGATGATTGCAGCCACACTATGTGCCAAGTGTTTTTTTTTTCTTTTCTTTTCTTTTTTTTAAATTATACTTTAAGTTCTAGAGTACATGTGCACAACGTGCAGGTTTGTTACATATGTATACATGTGCCATGCTGGTGTGCTGCACCCATTAACTCGTCATTTACAATAGGTATTTCTCTTAATTCCATTTTTAATGTCCATCCCTGGCAACAATATTGCAAAATAGGAATCACTACCACCAGTGTTTAGATGAGAAGATGGAGGTTCAAGGTTCCATGGTGGGCCAGAGGCAGGGCCAGAAATCGCATTCGGCTCAATGGGGCAGCAGGACCCCGGCTGTCCCATTCACCTTCCTAGCTTCACTGGATGATATGGTGCTCAGTGCACGGAGCCACGGGGCCCACTGGGCCCTCCTCCTTGAGGATTCTGATGAGCGTCCTGTTATTACTTGGATGGTGTGACACCCTTTTCAGCAAGGAGCAGTGGGAATAGAGTGGGTGGATTTGATTTTCTAAATCATCCCGGCTGTTGGCCTAGAGAGGCCGAAAAGACCAGTACCCTGTCCTCTGGGCCCGTCCCAGAGCCTGTAACCTCAGCATAGGTGCTGGTTACCATGGCGGCCATAGCACCTCTTCCCAGGTCTCTGGACAGTTCTCTTGGGAAAGCTGGGGTAAAAAGGTTTTCTCAACCCTTCCTTCCTATCACCTTATTCACTCATCTCCACTTACGTTTAGAGGCCTGCTCCATGCCAGGCTCTGTGATAAGCAGTAAGGATACAGAAGTGAGCCAAAAAGATACAGTCTCCTCCCAACAGGAGGAGGAAGAGGATCAAAAAGACACAGCCCCCTCCCAACAGGAGGAAGAGCTCCAGAAAGACTCAGTCCCCTCCCAACCGGAGGAGGAAGAGGACAAAAAAGACACAGCCCCCTCCTAGCAGGAAGAGGAAGAGGACCAAAAGATGCAGTCCCCTCCCAACAGGAGGAGGAAAAATACAGGCCTGACAGCAGGGCCCTCAGGGAAAGATGCAGGCCACAGAAAGATAGAGCGTGCCTTCTGTCCTTAGAAGACAAGATGAAAGCTGAGATCTGAATAAGTGCATTTGGTGTTGGGGGAACAGGGAGGAGGCCAGTGTGGCTGGAGCCAGGTGAAGCTGGGGAAGAGGGAGAAGATCCCCTTAGCTACTAAGACAAGAACAGCAGAGTCGTCCTCAACTCTCTCCTCACCCTCACATCCATCGACTTATCTATATTCCCTTCTAAAAGTTTCCCAAACCCATCCCTTCTTATCCAGCCCTGGGTGCTTACTTTGGGTCAGTGTTCCCCTTCTCTGTGTGATGTTGCCATGGCCACCTCTCCAACTGTCTGCAGCCTCCATCTGCTCTCCTGGAATCTATCCTTTCCCAGCTTTCTGAAACTAATTTCTGGCTGTGTCACTCCTCACCTGCAAAACCTTCGATGGCTCCCCATGGTCTATGCTGTGCTGTCCAATTCCGTAGCTGCAAGCCACAGATGGCTATTTAAAGGTAAATTAATTAAGGTTAAATAAAATGTGAAATGCAGTTCCTCAGTTACATGGACCACATCCCAAGGGCTCAATAGGCTCATGTGGCTAGTGGCTACCATATTGGACAGGATAGATACAGAATACTTCATCCCAGAAAGTTCTTTTGGACAGCATGGACTCTGTGGGAAACAAAATCCAAATTCTTTGGCCTGATATTTAAGGCCTTAAACAATATGGCCCCAGCTGGCTCATCCCGGCTCATTTCCCACCAGCCCTTCCCACCACACTCAGCTCCAGCATGTCACATGAACCTACAATTCCCAACCCTACCTGTGGTAGTGTCCTCTGTACCTTTCTGGAGTTTACCTGTGCAACACATGCAGTGCAACACATGCAGAGATGTATGGAGTGTGTATGGACCTGTGTGTGTGTATATGTATGTGTGAGTGTGTGTGTGTCTGTGTTAGTGTGTATGTGTGTATTTTCTCATTTTCCTCCCTTTCTTACACTAAAGTTTCTTTGGGGGATGACAAAAATGTTATGAAATTAGATTATGGTGATGGTTGCACAACTCCATAAATATAGTAAAAGTCATTGAATTATTACTTTAAATGAGTGAACTTTATAATATGTAAATTATATTTCAATAAAGCCATTTTTAAAAAGAATGTTACATATACTGATATATACTGGTTTGCATCTTGTTTGTTCAAGAGAGCCTGGCACTCTTTCCCCATCACTGAATACAGAGCTTCCTCATTCTTTATACAGCTGCAGAGTATTTCACTGTGTAAATGTTCCATCATTTATCTACCATGTCTCCAGCTGATGGCCTCTTGGGGGTGTTTCCAGCCCTTTACTATTCTGGACAATGCTGCAGGAATAGCATGTTCCAGGTGTGCACTGGTGTATCCATGGAACAAATTTCTCCAAGTGGGGTTGCTGGATTGCAGAGTAGCTGCAGTTATCATTTTGACAGATGTTGCACAGCTCCCTCCATGGAGCTGAACAGAGTTACACATTCCCACCTGCAAAGGATGAGAGCACACGTTTCCCCAAGCCTCACTGATAGCTTGCATCAGACTCATATGATCTATCAGTGCGCTTTTAAATACATTACTCTTATAAGGGAGCTTGAGCAGCTTTATAGATATTTAAAAGGCTTTTGGATTTATTTCGGGGGAAACTGCCTGTTCATGTCCTTTGCCCATTTTTTATTAGATTGCTGATCTTTTCCATCTTGATTTCTAGACGTTCTTTATACATTGTGGTTATTAAACCTTTGCAATACATTTTTTCCAATTTATTTTTTGTCTTTTGTTTTATTTGCCACATAGAATTTTAAAAGATTTTTTAAATCTTGTTAAATTAATCAATCTTATCTTTTCTGGATTTTGAATTTTTGAGTATCAGAAAGGCCTTACCCACTCCAAATTTTTAAAGAAGTTTGCCCAAACTTTGACACTTCCTGCCTCCATGCTTTTGCAATTAAATTAAAATTAAATAAAAATTGTGATCCACTTGACATTTGGTCCACATGGCATTTCAAGGGGTGTGCATTGGTGTATGGTGTATGGATCGAACCATCCTTTTCCACATGATCACCTGTTTGTCTCAACATCATATATTAAGTATTTACACCCCACTGATTCAAGATGTTGCCTTTATCATATACTAACGTCCTGGGTGAACTGGAGCCTATTTCTGGACTTTCTATTCTGTTCTACTGGTATGTCTATCTCTTCATGCACCAAGACCACACTAGTATAATTATTGCAGTTTTAGGGTATAAAACAAAATTTAATCCAACTCCTCTGTGAAGCTTTCTAAGATATCCTTAAACAACTCAAAGTTTAACTATGATGCTCTCCTGGATTTTGTTTCCCCATAAACAAACCCCAAGACAAGGATTCAAGTACAAGCAGTTTAATTGCGAATTGATTCCAGAAAATACCAGTGAGGGGAGAGGAGTGGCAGGGAGGAAAGGCCAACAAAGGATGCATCATTAAGCAACCCACCACTGGGGGCCACCGGAGCTCAGTCCCACCAGGGTCCTCGGGGCCTCAGAGTCATCCTCCCCGAGGGCGAGGGAGCTGGAGAATGTACACAACAACTCCCATCAGTTACTTGTTGAGGGCTGCTCACAGCGGGTACCAACTCTCCACCAGGTCTGGCTTGCCCAGTATGTGGGCTGATGGTGTGTCTGCTGTCAGAAAAGGGTTATCAGGCAAAGAGTTACACGTTTGCCCAGAAGATTGGAATGAGGCAATACCAGCACCTTTGTTGGATGCCATGCAAAGTCACCCCATCAAAAGGATGCTAGATCTTCTCTAAAGATGATGTCTAAAGACCAAATATTTATCGGAGAAAAGCCCTTCTTCCTCCCCTGGACTTAGCAGCCCTCCTCACCTCCACCTTCTTCCTTTTACTTCTTGGGGTCCCACCCAGTAAAGGGGATCAACCTAAGCCCTCAGAAAGGTCCTGCCCTTTGGAGGCAGCAGTCTGATCTCTGAGTAGCCATTTTCGACCCTTTCTACCCACAGAATGCATCTGGCCTGTCTGGGACATCACAATCCACACACACAGCCTGCAGACTCCTCTCCATCCCCAGTGTTGTCTGCAGTTTTCTGACATGACAAGGTTTCCTGCTTACAACTGCACTCACCGTTCCAGCAGCTACTCTGGCAAATATTAAATCTATGGTCAATTTAAGTCCTCAGTGTTCTCCGTCAAATACATGGCTTTCAAGTTAGATGGAGATTTCCATCTGAACTTGAGGGATTGCAACCTTACTACCACAAATCAGGACAGGCTCTTTGTCCTCATTTAATTCCATCTTAATAAACACAGTCCCATGGTGCTATCAGCCCTTTAAGATATCCATGAGCCAGAGTTGGCCTTCCATGCCACACTGGCCTAGGTTCAGCCAAATGGTCATACTCTTTCTTGCAGAAGTGCAGTCAAATGCATTTCCCTTATTTCTAGCCCCACCCCTCAACCACCACCACCATCTCTATCTGTGCCTACCTTCCCCTACTATAGAACCCAGCTAAAATGGCCCAGGTTTGCTTTCCTGAACATTTGGGTTTGTGCAAACCTGAGCTTGTGTGGGTCCATCTTCTTTCCTGGGCTCCCCATGAGCCCAGGAACACGTGTGTTGGATCAGTGGATGGATGAATCCTCAGCTCGGCTCCCAGAACCTATGCTGCGAGCTCACCTTCCCTCCTGCCTCTCCCCTGTGCCTCACTTTGCCCTACACCCCTCACACCCCTTCCCTTCCATGCGTTTCCGTGCCCCGATCATGTGCTCTGTCTGCCTGACATGCCTTGCTCCTGTTTCCTTGTGCTCTTAGAAACATCCTTCTAGGATGGATGGGAGTCAGCTGGCCTGGCTCTTCCCCTTTCTAGATCAGTGCCTTTGCTGATCTGTGACTTTGTTTCCTCAACTGCAAAATGGGGATGGGAAAATGATCTGAAGTCAGGTTCCCCAGAAGCAGAGCCTGAGATGGGGATGCTTATGTGTGGGGTTTACTGGGGGTATGCTCACAGGAGAAATCTATAGTAGAAGAAGACAGGCAGGATAGGGGCCAGCGAAGATGAGGTTCCCAGAGAAGTCCACTCTCAGCCTGATCCCATGCGGACGACAGGTGTGTGAATTGCACCGCAGAGGTGCGGAGGCTGTTGCCACCCAGTGGTTCCTGTAAGCCAAGGACAACATCCCCAGGAGAAGGGAGCAAGTGTGAGAAGCTGGCACCTCCACAGAGCTAGGGGCTGGGGAGGCTGGGGTATCAATAGCCTCGCTCACAAACACCTGCTCTATAGCATTGCTGGGGGGATGAAATCAGTATATTTCAAATACTAAGAAGAGTAATTGACATTTAACAGAGTTTAATGATTGTTTCTGTCATTTTGTTACTTTTTCTTTAAAACCCAGCTAAAACTCCACCTCTGAAGTCTTCCCCACTGGCCATTTAGAGAATTAATTACTCCTTTCCCAGGCTATGTCAGCACTTGGTGTATTTGTCCTTTTTATTTAAATTTTTAAATTGCACCAGTAAAACACAGAAATATTGTTGTAACAGGATCTGAAATAGAGTAGAATGTCCTCCTCTCTAACCCACATTCTCCCTGGGAGGAAAACCCTGTTAAATCTTTGTTGGTGGCACTTTGTAACTTGAGCATATCATCCTGCCTTGTTTAGGAGGAACTGAAGTTTCCTGGCCACATTTAGAGTCTTTTAATGGGAAAGACCTGGCTTGTAATTCTTTTAACCCCTGCTCGAGAAATGCCTGCTTAGAGTTGAGCCAAACTTTCTTGATCATAGTGGGGTGGGGTGTCAGAAACACATTTCCAGCCTCCGTGCCCTGGAGATTGCCACTCAGGAGACCTGCACAGGGCCAGGAATCTCTTTCCAGATTCTGGTAACAAGTTCTCCTGGTAAATTAGGTGAAAATCCAGCTTGGAGAACGTTGTGTTAAAGGTGGCTTCCATCATATGAACATCTTGCTTATCAATTAGTTTAGATGCCTCCCTTTTGCTTCATAGAATGATATTTTGGGTGTGGGCACACACTTTTACTGTGGCTACAATAGTAGCGCATGGTCATTGTGGGAACTAGCATATTTTTAAAGTCACCTTTAGCTCCAGCACATGAAAACCACGTTTAAGGGGCATTCACAGGCCCCATGCATATTTTCCAAGTCTGGCCCTGGGACCACCCCGCCATTCCCAGTTTTGTTCTCGGGTATTTCCATCCCCTGCTTCTGCTACAGACTGATGGGAACCAGGGCTCCTTTCTCTTCTCTTTATGAACTTGGGGATGACAGGTGCACCTGCTCACCAAGCACCAGCCGCTTCCCCGTCTCTTCCTCATCCTGCAGAGGAAAGTGGCCACTTCCCCCATTGCCTGCTGCCCTCACCATCTCTCAAGAAGGCCTCAGGTTTTAAGAGTGTCAGGGCCCTATTTTTAGTGGACTGAGACTTCTCCTGGGTGGCCAGATTGTTGCAGCTTCCTCATGACCAGATGTGTGTCTATGTTGGCAGTGGAGCCTCCTGTGGCCTCAGTCTGCACATGCTGGTCACCTCGCGTAACCTTTGCTCCATCCGGGTAATTCTGCGTGTGCGAGTGCACACACACACACACGCACACACACATTGCCTGCCCATTCTCAGAGAAGGACACTGAGGCTCAGCAAGGACAGCTGACCTGTCTAAGCTCCCACACACAGTAGGGACAGAACCAGAACAAGGACTGGGATTTGATCCCTCACCTCCCACCCTTCCCACTCCTGTCAGTTGCAGTGAGGTGCTGTTCCCACTCCATTCCCATGACTTCTGCATGTCTGAGGTGGACATGACCCCCGACATCCCGCCAGAGTGAGGAGAGGGCTGTGTGTGTATGTCTGTGTGTGTCATGAACAACATTGATCTTCCACCTATTCACCCAGAGCCCAGCAGCTGCCAGCCTGCTAGCCAAAACTATGGCAGCTATAACTCTGTTTGACCTTCTCAAAGTTTAAAATTTTTTTTATCAGTTGGTGACATTTAAAAACCAAGAGTATTCACATAGAAATCCAGATGTCCACCTTCTCTGGAAAAAAATGGAAAACTGGCAGTCCAGGCCCACATCCCTGCTTAGCCACCATCCAGTGGAGTTGGGTAGTGGCTGTACCCATTTGACACCACAGATGCCACAGTCCGCACTACTCCCTATTACCTCCCCATACAGAGCCAGTGCCTGCTGCTGTTTGCCACCTCACATACACTGTTGCTTTTTCTTATTGGTAGATTCCAGAGGAGAAAGCCATAAGCCAGAACCAGCCCACCTCCCTAGGTAATGCCTGGTCCTTCTACATATTTGAGTTTGAAATCCCTGCCATCCCCCAAGTCCCTACCCAATAATCTATAAATCTCAGAGCCTTGGCATACAGTAGATGCTGAAAAAGAACTGTAGCCCCCATTTACTGAGTGCTTATCCTGGGTGAGGCTGTGGAACCTATCACCTTTTAACAGATGAACCAACGGGCTCAGAGTTGAAGCTATGCCCAAGGTGAGTTTTGTCACTAGGACTTTTGTGGTGTCACTCACTTTTGCACTGAGCTACCTCTCATGGTGCGGCTTTTCATGCCTATTCTTTTTGCCTTCTCAATTTGCTTGCTGGTTTCAGAAGGTTTCATAAAAGATAGTAATTAAGGCCAAGCCTCAGCATTGTGGCTGGGCAGAGACTGAGAGAGGAGAAAGGCATTTCACAGGAGGAAAAGAAGAGAGAGGAAGACATGGTACAGTGCTAAGGGTGTGCTGGGAGGGGCACTGGCAACCCAGGTGGGGAAGGAGTGGAAAGGGCACTTGAGGCCAGAGTGTGAAAGGCCCTGCATGGCATACTGGGGCTGTGAGACTTCTGAGAGCACTGGGGAGCTATGAAGTGTTTTAGAGCAGGACTGGGCATGATGAAGGCTAGCGTGGCAGCAGAATGGAGGCAGAGAGGATGGCGCTGTGAGAGTCCAGAAAAGAGGTGTCAGGGACCTGAAGAAGAGCCCTTCAACAGAGAGAAGAGCAGATTCCAGGCCCCGTCAGGGAGGACATGGTGCTGGGGTGGGCTGAGGGACAGTGCCTGGAGCTGGCCATCTGGAGGCACTGCAGTGCCATTAGCTGGCACGAGGATGGTGGGAGGAGATATGGATTGGGTGCATCCCTGGGGTGATGTCCTCTGGGTGCCCAGGGAGAGGACAGGGCCGCGGCAGGAGATGCAAGTGCTGCCTGCCAAGCTGAGCGCCAAGCAGCGAGAAGGGAGTGCTCTGGGCCAAGAAGGGCCTGGAGACACCCCTGTCACACCTGCTGGATCGCCTTCTCCACTGGCCTCCCTGGCCCCCTCTCTCCTTCCTATGCCTAAGCCTCCAGGCGTGAATGTCCTCTGCCCCATCCCAGGGCTGCAGAGAGCAGGCCATGTTGAATTTTGGCCCTATGAATGGGCATCCCTGCCACTCCCAGGAAGCAGATGTTCCAGATACTGAGACCCCAGGGTCCCCCCAAGCTCTTCAACTCGTCAGAGCAAGGCCTGGGAAGGGGAATTACTATGGTCAGGCCCTCCCCTCCCCATCTCCTCACTTCCTGCGAGCAGTGCATTTGGCTTTATATAAAGCCAATAAATAAATAAACAAGCCGGCATGATTAATTGATGGTATGGAGCAGACCCAGGCACTGGGAGTCAGGTGGCCTGGCTTCCTGGTGGAGCTCGGCTTTTCAAGACCTGGGGCCTGAGCCAAGGAGGGGAAGCCTGCTTTGGGGAGGTGCTTTCGGTGCGTGTCTGGGGTTTTCAACTTTCTCCTCAGGCAGGGCCACTGTCCTGGACTCCTCCTGGCCCTAAGCAGGGCCAGACTGGAGGCTGGGGGGCTAAGCGTGTCCTTGCCTGCTGCCCTAACCTTTCTCGCCTCTGAGGGCCCTTAGGCTAAGCTCCCAGGGATTGGACCAGCGGTCCCCTCCTCCAAAGCGGGTCTCCCTATCTGCCTACTCCACACCCAATTCACTCCACAGCCAATTCGCTCCACCCCGTGTGGCCAGTTCACAGGCTCGGGTGTGCTGGGGAGGCTTGGGGCACCCTGACCCCTGGGGAAGAATGGGGAGGATGCCTCCCAGGGCCAGGCTGGCTGTGGGGGTGGGGCGGGGACAGGGGCCTGTGCTGATGGAGGTACCTGGAGACACGCCCCGGGGCAAGACTGGATACCCTTCCCCGCAGCCCCACTGGTGCGCGCGGAGGAGGACGCGGGCGGGACCGCGCGCTCCGGTCCCGCGGGGCGCTCTCCGTGAGGAGTTTGGGGAGGGCCGAGGGGGAGCGCGCGGGGAGGAGTGAGCAGGGAGGGCGGGAGGGGGAGGCGGGCAGAGCGCAGTGCAGCGGTGGCAGAGGCGGCGGCGGAGGGAGGGAGGCGGGCGGGCGGCGGCGGGGCCGCGGGGCAGGCGAGCGCGGGGCAGCCGCGGCAGAGGAGCCGCAGCCGCAGCGGGGCCGGGCCGGGCCGGGCGCGCACCAGCGGCAGCGGCGGCGGCAGCGGCGGCGGCAGCATCTCGCTCTCGGAGCCGGCGCAGGTGAGGCAGGGGCGGCCGGGCCCGGGCTCTGGGCCTCTTCCCCTCTCGCTCGGTCTCTTGTCACTTTCCCTGCTGGCTTCCCTTCCGCGGGCGCTCGGCCCCGGAGACCCCCGCCGGGCCAGGGCGGGAGCGTGAGCCGGAGCGTGTCTTGGTCCCTTCGCCCCGCGGAGGCAGGCGCCTTGTCAGCAGTGACCTTGAGCGGGCACCAGGCGGCGGGCGGGGCGGGCCGGGGTGGGCGTCCGCGGACCCGGCGCCTGCGGGTGAGGGAAGGGGGCGCGCCTTGCGCCTGCTGCGCGAAAACTTTCCGGGCTCGGAGCAGCCCCGGAGCTGGGGGGGCGTCCGGGACGCTAGAACCCCCTATTTCTTCTTCCCAGATGGCTCCGACTTCCCCACCTGGCTTCTCCTCAGTGTGGGGGCCCCCTTTCTCCTGGCTCTAGTTCCTGCAGGCTCGGGACAGGTTGAGAGCTGCAGAGACTCACCCTAGGCTGGGGGCTTCTCCCTTCCCCAAACGTGATTTGCAGCTGCTAAGAGCACAGGAGCCAGGAGAGCTAGGAGAGCATCTCTGCCAAGTGCTCTCCGCATCTCCAGCCTCACCTTTTCCTAGCTCCCCTCCTCCTGGCCCCCCTGGCCACAGCCCTAACCCCAAGCACGCACGGGTCCCCCACCTGGTGACACAAGAGCTCGGAAGTCCCACATTCAGTGGGTCCTCAGATCCACAGCGTGATTTTTCAGCCCAGTGCCTAAGCCTCCTTCGGAAGGTGGACTTGGGCAGTTGCCTCAGGCCCTCAGGACGAGCCAGTATAGCATGTTTCGGGACACTGGGACTCACCCAGGGCCTGGCCACCCCTCCTTGCCCTGAGGCCTCAGGAGGACGGGATACTCTGGCCTTTGGTGATGTCCTAGCTGTAGAAGCACTGCTTCCTAGAACATTAGCCTTGGGAAAGGGACATGAGGCCCAGAGAGGGTGAGTTGGCCTCAAGGTCACACAGCAGGGGGCAGGAGTGAAAACTGGGCTTTCTTATAACGGGTTAGAGTGGATGGAGAGGACTGCTGTTTGGTTCCTACATCTGAGGGATTTGGGCTCTGGGACACTGTCTCTTACTAGCTGTGTGACCTCTGGCAAGTCGCTTCCCCTCTCTGACTCAGTTTCCCCACCTTCTAGGGCTACTCTAATGGCTGAATGAGTTAATATTCTTAAAGTTCTCACTGTTATGCCCATGCTTAGTGTATGGTCTGTATCCAAAACATTTTGGCTACCAGCTGGTGTAATTTCCTTTCTGAGCCCTGGAAGGGAAGCCAGAGAGGGTTAATCATTCCCGTGGCCTTCCTCTTCTCTGTGTGGGCTGGTAGGGGGCAGCACCTGCTGGGCTCTTGAGCATCTGTGCCTGTCTATAGAATGTTAGGTAGAGACAAGATATCCCAATGCCCTCAGAAGCCCACTGGAGCCACTGGGTGGGCTAACTCTGGGCTGTGATTTCCTGCTGCTGCCATGGGAGAAACCAATACCTGATGTCTAACGGAAATGACGACAAAACCCAGCCATGGCGCCAGGAAGAGGCCCCCTCTGCATACAGTCTGGTGGGAACAGCATCATCTTCAGTCCTCCTCCATCTGTACCACTCTTCTCCACACCTCTGTGCGAGGTCATTCCTTCCCCCAGGGGTACTATTGGCAACAGAGGAGATGGCAGAGGGGTGAGGCTCATTCATTCATTCATTCATTCACTCACTCACTCACTCCCTAAGCCTTGATTCTTGCCTTCTGTGAGTCAGGAGGCACTTAGAAATACAGAGAGATCAACCACAGCTAGCGGAAATCAAGCTCCTACCAGGTGCAAGCACTTACTAAGCACTCTCAGAGACACACTCATTTGTTCATTTGATAAATTTGTATTAAGAACCTAATATGTGCTCAGCACTGTTTGATGTGCCAGAGGCATATTACTAAATAAAACAGACCTGGTCCCAGCTACGTAGGCCGGCTATATAGTTTGTCATCCAAACTGAGATACCTTGAGAGTGAGAGAGGGCACGATTAATAAAAATACCAGGACCACAGAGCATAAACCAGGAAGGTCCAACCACACTGGGCTGCAGGGCCACTCTGCAACCTTGTGGAGTTTATATACCAGTGTCTGGGGAGAAAGGTTAATATTTTTTGAGCAATTATTTTTTGCCAGGCTGTGTACGAAGCGCTTTTGGGGTTTCATCTGATTTAATCCTCACAATGCTATGAAGCCGGTGTTACCATCTACATGCAGCTGGTTAGTAGTAGAGCTGGGACCACCTCTGCTACTGACCTGCTGGGCTACCATGCTTCCCTAGAAATGGGTGAGACCCAGAGTCCAAGTGCTTGCACTGTCTCCAAGAGGACTTGTAGGCAGTAGCACAAACGATGTAATAGATGTGCAGTGGGAGCAGACAGAGTCTGCCTGGAAAAATCAGAGGCAGCTTTCTGGAGCAGGAAACCTGTAACCTGGACCTTGAAACATGAGTTATGACTTTGACAGACTGTGGGGAGGACATTACAGGTCCAGGTTGCTAGGGCTTGGAGGTGTAGGGGTATACGATCTATTTAGGAATACCACCCCCACAATAGGTCCAGATCCAATGGCAACAGGACAAGAGTTAGGTCTGAAACAGCAGGAGTCAGCAGAGATTAAGTCTAAGCCTGGTGCTATGGGACATGGTAAGTTCTGAATTTTAGAAGGATGTTTGGAAGATTTGACTGTTCTGTAGGTAGAGAGCAAAGAGAGAATTTGTTGTGCAGGATTTCTCTTGATAAGAATTTGCTATAACCCAGTCCATACTATGGACTGCCTGAAAGGTCATGGAAATCTTTTTGTTATATGGAATCACTGCAGAAGAATTTTGCTAGCATTTGTAACAGCAGAACAGTTTCACTAAGCAAACTGATTGCCAGCAAGAGAAATATTAACCTACTTAAGGGAGAGGATTTTTAGTAGCATAATTTGCAAATAAGAGAATATGCTTATTATAAATTAAATCTTTTCTTTGTGTTAAATTGCATACAAGAAACTCTAACTTCCTCCTCCCTTCCATCTTCTTTGTATCTCCCCTGTTGTCATATAAATCTGTTGCAGAGTAATAAAACTGCATTTCTTTAGTAATGTCTTATTTCTCAGACTTTTCATTAATTCAAACTGGCCTCCTTTCCACCCTCTCCAATTAAGTGGAATTATTGAAGCTTTATGGTATCTAAAAATTAGAATCTGCTAACTGAACCCAAAAAAGGGAGCTAACTATTGGGGCCTTGGGATTGAAAAATCAGGCTAGAAATATTTGGGAAGCAGAAGAGAATTGGACGGGAAGGAGGAGGGAGCAGGGCCAGCTTTGTGGATGTGTGGCCTGTGCTAAGAAGGGCTTTCCCGCTAGATTTAATGCTCTGCAGTCACCGTATTGCAATTCTTAGCAGTTTTTGAACAGGGGGCTACACGTTTTTATTTTGTACTGGGTCCCACAAATTAGGTAGCTGATACTTGGAAGGAGACAGCAGGGAAGAGGTGGGTGAAGAAAAAGGTAGAAAGAAGAGAAGAGCTATGGATAGGGCAGAGAGAAGAGAAACTAGCATGGTTTTAAGCCCCTGCCATATGCCACTTGCTATGTGAGATGCTTTTCCATGTGTATCTATTTTCATGGCAGTCCTAAGACGTAGGTGATATTATCATCATTTTAAAATATAGGTTTTATTATTATTCAGTTATGGCGAGGCCAACCACTCAGGAAATGATGGCCTCTAAAAAGAATTTTACTTGAGATTCCTAAGAGGCGAGGACATGCTATGCCACACAGGGCCACATGGGGAAGCCCTAGGGTCAGTCAGGAGGCAGAGGGAGTGAGGGGAAGATGGGGTAAGAGCCTTTACTGTGGCCTCCACAGGGAGGGATGGGTGAGGCAGGGTAAGCAGGCTCGGGGTTGGCTACTTTGAATAGTTTCAGCAGGCTCTGGGACACAGTGGCTGTTCCTAGTAGTATGGTACCTGCCCCCGGGTGACTAGGGCAGGGCAGTGTGGCCCAGTGGGCAGGGGTTCCATAAAGGAAGCGGTTGGGAAGATGGGCTGAGCATTTATGAAAGGGGCCCTCATGGGCCAGTCATTCACTATGTCAAGTAATTGGCTCTCTCTGGGAGGGACAGCCCCTCCAGGGTTAGCAAGGCCCCAGATGTCAAAGCATCAAATGCAGAAGCTAGAAAACATGGTTATTACAATCCCCATTTGACAGATGAGGAAACTGAGACTCGAAGAGATTTCCATAAACTGCCCAGCCAGAATCACTCAAGTAGAATGGCTGTGCGGGCTAAAAGGTGTGTGCTGATCCGGAGTTCTAGGAAATGGCAGATGTTGGGATGGTGTGGGAGTGGGCCCCATAAATAGCATCTCTCTTCCACACTCCTCCAACAATTTGAGGAACAAATGAGTGGCAGGTAGAGGAGCCGAATATAAATTTTCTCCCTAATAGAATAGAAGCAAAGTTGGAGGTCCTGGCTTCATGTGAGGGTGAGGGTCAAATGGGGGCCTACTAACTGATTCCCTAGAAGGAAGACCATGTGGAGGTCCTGCCCAGGTAGGCTTCACTCAGGTACAGAGGGCACAGCCAGGACAAGCTTTCTGCGCGCAGGACTCCCTCCCAGGAGGAGAAAGGGCAGAGACGCTGATTGTAGCCCATCCCTCTTCCCATGTTGACCAATAAGAGAAGACACCCCGCCTCCTGAGGGTGGAGCCAGGAAAGGGGCGGGCAAAGGCTGGAGTGAGCCGCTGAGGATTGTCTCCAGGGGAGAGACCTTTGAAGAATGACGGAGGACTGGGGATGTTCGTGCTAAAGCCTGTGACCGCCTTTCTTCCCTCATATATAACCGTCTGTAAGGCTGGGCATTTCACAGGGCCATAAGGAGAGGGGCTGCATAGCTTCCATCAGGCTTCCAGAGGGCTCTGTGACCCGAGAAATAGGAAGCAGACCTAAATTACAGAGAAAAGGAATGATGGGAGTGGGGGAATGCACAAGCCTCCGCTAATCTCATTACAGAGTAAAGGGAATATCCATTGGTCTTAGGAGAATGAATATGACAGGGACAGAAAATGCCTCCCTGTTTTTTCCAGCAGCAGCTCAGGTGCTATAAATACTGTGACACTGTAACATAACATCTAGGCAGGATTCTGGGGAGATGTAATGACCCGGTTCCTTATTTAAAAATAAAAAGTGGGACTTAGGAAAATGACCAAAGATTGTGCTGGGCAGAGCCCAAGTGAATGACCGTGCAAGCAGATGAACCTGGAAAGGCTGAACAGGTCCTTTTAGTGTGTCCGTGTGCAAAGACAAACATCAGCAATGAGCTGCACCTGTGCGATGCTCCATCCTCTCTATACCATTCTGCCTGGGAACGAGTCAGTGCTTTCTAATTGTGTCGCTGTGATCTTGGGTAAGTGGCTTCAGCTCTGTCTGTCTCAGTTTCCTCATCTATAAAAGCGATCCTAAGAGTGCCTGCCTCATGAGTACTTTTGGGAGAATGACAAGGACTAAGACAAGTCAAAGTCTCAGAATAGTGCCTGGCACACGCGGTAAGCACTTTCGGATGTCAGCTATTAGTGTTACTATCGTGATCACCTTGTAATTTACAGAGCACTTTTCACATATAATTTTTACCTTCTAGTCCTCACAGCAAGCCTGTGATGTGGCTAAATACCACTTCCTTTCCCCTACAAGGTGGCTACTCATTAATGAAGCCAGATCTCAAATCCGTTCCTTGGGTTTTCAGTTCCAAGCTGCTCTCACTGCTGTGGTAGCCACTCTGGGTAGCGGGAAGCCCACTGGTATGAAGATGTTGCTATCAGCTACTTCCTGGCTTCATGAGGTTGGGAGACTGGAAAACAGTGAAATGTTAGGCCCTGATAAGGGGGAGGTTGTGAGAAGAACAAGGAGTACCCAAAAAAGTAAAACTGGGCCTCAGTATCTGTTGTCCAGTTGTCACTATGTTTCGCAGAAGGTGAGACTGACTGGCTCTTTTCTTTTTCAAAAAAAAAAATTTGTATGCTCAGACGTAGGCACATAGTAGATGTGTGTGAAGAGTGATAGAGGACTGGAGATGTTTGTGCTAAAACCTGTGACCACCTTTCTTCCATCATACATAACAGTCTGTAAGGCTGGGCATTTCGCAGGGGCATACGGAGAGGGTCTGCATAGCTTTCCTCAGGCTTCCAGAGGGCTCTGCAACCCGAGAAATAGGAAGCAAACCTAAGTTGCAAACAAAAGAAATGATGGGTCTTGTCTTAAAAAAAAAAAAAAATTGCATCCTCAGACCTGGGCACATAGTAGGTGGTTAATAAATGTACATTGGATGAATGCGTTTCTTATGAAATACAAACTGTCACTCCTCAACAACAACGATGGGTACAACCACAATGAAAACAACTCTCTAGGATGAGGCCACCTTGCCTAAGTGATTGCTGTTCAGTGTTTCTCAGAAACTCATGGTAGGCTGTCAACTCGTGATTAACTTGAAAAATCTGCTTTTGGCGCTATTTGGAGAAATGAACTGTTGAAGTGAACATCTAGCAGTCATAATATAGAACTGGGTGAACCATGAAGGGTGAGGGTATAAGGAGGGTGCAGCATATAGGTGGGATATAAGAGGCTTCGTATATGAGACTGGTATAGAGACAGATGCCACATTGAATGGAATTTCTCCAACGCTGCCATCAGGAGTAGATAAGAGCATGAGGCCAGGAAAGTTCTACTCTCTCAGCAAATCAGTGCCTTTCTTGTCCTCTTCCTCCTCCCCCTCTTCCTCTTCTCTCTCTTCTTTTTAGTGTACTAATTTGGTTTGGTTAGTCATTCGTGCTATAGAAATATCTCCAGTTCCTTACTCTCTAGCCACATGATAAATTGAATTGGTTTACCTCTTTTGACATTAGTCATAGCCACATGCCTTACTTTGGCCAATGAGCTTTGAAAAGTGACATGTGTCATTTCTGGATGGAAGCTTTAATAACCACCATGCTGTTTGCTATTTTTCCCCATTTCTTCTCTTGGCAATCAAGGCAGCATGGAGATGGAACCTCCCTCAGTCTGGTTCTCTGAGTGAGAATGACACAGGGCAGAGCTCACAGCCAACCCATGATGGACATGTAGCATCAGTGAGAAGTAAGCCTTTGTTTTAAGCTATGGCACACTGGTCATGTTTGTTACTGAGCATAACTCAGTCCATTCTAACAGATGCCAGTAGGGCATGGACTGAAATAATCACAACTTGTTTGGAGATGTTTTTGAGTCTTTTCATTCCTTCAAGAATGATGCCAAAAATGTTAGTGTTTGAGGTATTACGAACACAAAATGGGGGAGAGACACAGCTCTGCAAGGTAATGGCTAGTCTCCCTACTGTGCATGGCATTTGTTGACTTCTCCAGTTTCACCCTGTCCTCATCTCTCCATGCTATGCCTGACAAGTCCACAACATCTTTGAAATGGGACACTTGTTTGCACATCTCCAGGCCTTTACTCATGCTCTGCCTAGAATGGGACATATCGCAGGAAATCATGTTATTTGTTGAGTGGCTTGGGTGGAGACAAGCGTGTGGGGGAGAGGGGAGCATTGGGCTTTTTCTGTGAGGCACAGAAGGCAGAACACTTAGGACAGAGAGTGAGATTCCTGTGCAATGTGAACGAGTTTGTTACCAATAGAGCTTGGTCTGGCACAGGAATGAGCTCACCACACTAGAAAGTTTCCAAGCAGAGGTGGGTGTCATGGAGGGGGATCCAGGTCATCAGAAGTATAGCACACTCTCCAATCCTGTCTCACATGACTTTCAGGAAGATTGCCCAAAGTAGGTTGATTTTAGCTGGAACTATATATGTATTTTTTCTCTTTTCAAAATAAAAGTAGCTTTTTTCACATTGTCTTAGTCTGTTTGTGCTATTGTAAGAGACCACTTGAAACCGGGTTATTTATAAGAAGAGAAATGTATGCGTTCACAGTTCTGAAGACTGAGAAGTCCAAGAGCATGGCACTGGCATCTTTCAAGGGTCTATTTACTGCATCATCCCATGGTGGAAGGTGGAAAGGCAAGCGTGAAGGACAGCAAAAGGGGGCTGAACTCACTTTTAAAACAAACCCAATCTCACCATAATGAACCCACTCTGGAGATAAAAACATTAATTCATTCATGAGGTCAGAGGCCCCATGATCTAATCACCTCTTAAAGGCCCCACCTTTCAACACTGTTGCATTGGGGATTAAGTTTCTAATGCATGAACTTTGGGGAACACACTTAAACTATCACATCCCCCAATTATAGAGATGTTATATAATGATTATGGAAAATTCAAGGGGTATTGAAAAATACAAAAAAGAAAGTAAAACTCTAATTAAACACCACAAAACAAAGCTAATCTCCATTAATATTTTGTCAAATGTCCTTCCAGACATTTCTCTATGATTGATAGATAAATAGATATTCTGTTTTTCTGTCCCTTTCTTTCACTCAGTAATAATGGTCATCTTAAATATCAATAAATATACTTCTACCTTATATTTTATAAGTGGCTTTGCCATGATTTACTTAATGTATTCCTTTCTCATGGGCACCTATGTTGTGTCCAGAATTTTGCTATTATAGACAACACTGTGATGAACATTCTTGTATGTGGACCCCTGGACACATGTCCAGGCATCTTCTGAGGATGAATTCCTAGAAGTGGAGTCACTGAATCAAAGAGAACTGTTTAGGGTGAAAGAAGAGAAGAGAGCTATGATATGATCAGGTAAAGAAATCCTTCCTGGCTTAGGGGCAGCTTGCAAAGGGTCTGACAGAAGAAAGATGAATAGGTGATTGTGGCTGGGCTGGAAGGCCGGAGGGAACCAGGATATAGGAAGTAGAAGAGAGGGAGGAGGAAATAGGAGCTGGTTTTCAAGGCCCGTAGGGCTTTAGAAGACCATCCCACAGGTGAAGGGTAAGAGTGGATGACGGTTATGATTTATGTAGAGTCAGGCAATTGTAAGTGCTTCTATGTGCACAGTCCCTTTGGAGCCTCACCACCACCCTGCAAGGAATGTCTCCATCCCCATTTTACAGAGGAGCAAAGCGAGGCCTGGAGAGGATGTGGCAAAAGGAGCCGTTGTCCTCAATTATAGTATGTGGGCTTCTTCACAACTCCAAACCTATCCTTTGCACATTCCCCAGGCTGGCTCGTGCCTCCAGTCTTTGCAGATGCCATCTTGTGGGAAGCCAGCTCCTGCTCACCCTTGCAAAGGAAGACTGGTCACATGAGACTTTTTTTGTGAAACTGTTCCTCAGACTCCCTATCCCCACCACCCAAAGCAAGGCAGAGCTGGTCAGGGTCCAGGAGGGATGTTCTGCAGGTCATTGTCAAAGTGTTAACAATTGTGTACTAACTGTTGAGCCAGGGAGCCTGCTTTTGACTTCAGTGAATTGGATTTCCTGACTCAGCTGACTTAAACATATGGCCCTTTCTTACCTCACATAATCAAAGGTGGATTAGCTCTGGAGTTGGTTAACCCAGTGGCTCATCCATGCCATCAAAACCCATGGTCCTTCTGTCTTTCTGCCATTGTCAACCAGAAGGCATTATCCCTGTCCAGAGCATCCCCTGAATATCTCACAGCACCCCAGGGACAAAAGGCAGGAGGTATCTCTGCGTTTCTTTTATCAGGGAGGAATTCTTTTCCAGACATCCCCACCAACCTCCTCTTGTGTCTCATTGGCTGGAATTGGGTCACGTGGCCATGCCTAAACCAATCATGGCCGAGGAATGAGCCCAGCAGGGATTAAATGGACCAGGACTTATCTCTGAGTCAGTTGAGAGCACAGGCAGAAACTGACACAGTCAGGGCTCTGCCAGCCAGGAAGTAGGAGGGAGTGTCCACTGGGGAGCAGCCCCTACCATCTGCCCCAACTGTACGCTGACTCTCCTGCCTCCCATCTAGGCAGGGAGCTTTGTGAGAACAAGGATTGAGACTTATTCCTTCCCAAGTCCCTTGAAGGCTAGCACAGGGCAAGGCACGTGGTAGGTATTGAGAAAAGTATTGGCTGAATGAATGAACGAATGAGTGAGTGAAATCAGTAGATGTTTCTCCATCAAACCCTGAGATTTAGGATTTGCTGCACGCCTGTCAATTTGAGGGGATGGTTTAGGTACTTCAGAGAGCATAGGAATGGCTTTGTCCTCAAAGATGTTGCAATTTAGTTGTCGAGAAAATGCTAGAACCTAAGAAAAATTTGGACTTGAGGCCTGGCCTCTAAGGCAGACTGTATGTGCCATGGGGTGGGGAGCAGGGAATACATCCATAGGAAGAGGCCCCAGAGATGGGCAGAGGTATGTCGTGGAGAAAAACATCTCTGTCCTCAAACAGTGGAGGAGAGTGCGATAGAGCCTAAAGGGGACTCTTTCTGGAGGGCCTACTGTATGTTGGGTATTGTCCTTATACTTATTTTATCTCATCTTTCCTGTGTCTCTATGGAGTAGATCCTTCTGTCCCCATTTTATAGATGCTGAGGCTCAGAGGGTGAGGTTGCTTGCCCAAAGTCACACAGCCAGGAGGTCATAGGATCTGACTTACAGCACAGATCTGTTCTGAAAAGCTGGCTCCCTTCTGCAAAGGGGCTGTGATGACTATTCAGGGCCCACATGAGACCAGCAGGTGGTGGAGTGACTGAAAGGGAAGCCTGGAAACTGACAAGAAGGCCTAGGAAAGGCGTGGTGCAGTGAAAATGCAGAGGAAAAAAAGCACAATGGGAGAGGTGTTTGTAATAGGATTCAGGGTGGGCTTGAGGAGCCATGGTCTTTGGCATCGAATCTGACTTCAAATCCCTGCCCTGCCAGTGAACAGCTATGTGACCTTAGGGAAAACACTCCCTTCCCTGTACCTCAATTTTCCATCTGTAAAATGATGATAATAGTTCAATGTTTCCAGTACCAAGCATATCATAAAAATTTAATAATGGAGCTATTCTTACTATCAATAGTGTTGTTATTGGTTTGGAACTTGGTAGGTAACCAGACCTAATGGCGACTCCTTGGTGCAGGGACCCTGGGCTTCTATTCTATCTTGGTTACCACCTCCACATTTCACCTTGACTTCATTGGCTTTCCTGCCAGTCTGGCTTTCCATTCTTCACCCAAAAAGTAAAGGGATTGGGATGGTTGGTTTCTAGCATTCTCTCTTGCCCAAACTCTGCCCTTGTGTGAGGTGGAAAGGGGGAGCTGCAATGACTAAAGGGATCAGAAGTGAGTGAGGGGGTGTCAGGGCTGCCTTTGTTGCTGTGAAGCAGAGGGAAGGCAGGGCAGGGGATGGAAGGAAGAGCAACCAGGAGCCAGAGGAGGCTACAGAGTCAGCAAGTCCAGGCAGCTGCGGAAACCCTGCGCCAGGCCATTTGGAGGTGGGCACGGAGAGGAAAGGCTGAAACCAAAGGAGGCAGAAGAGCATGGAGAACATCTGCATCTGACACCTGCCCTCGCTGTGGGAGAACCAGAGAGAGAGAGAGAGAGGAATCAATCGCAGCTCATCCTGATGTTTAATACCTGGGAGGCAGGGCTTTGAAGACTGTGTGTTCAAAGACTGAAATTGAATTTCCCCAAAGTTTGCAGGAACACTGCAATTATGCCGGAGAACATGTCTATGAAATCCCCTTGGAATCTATTTTTGGGCACAAGGTTTTATAACCAGAGTCAGAAATTGAGTGGAAGTGTGTGGGAGGCTGACCCTGGACAGTTTCCATGTTGGAGAGGAGGGGAAAGAGTATTTTTATCTGCAAACACCGTGTTTCATAGGGTGAGGCTGGGGAGGAGGCAGTTTCACCACTTTGGGTTTCTCACCCACTGTTATGTTAAGACGAGAACTATCTTTGACAGAAGTTGTTCAAGTTCCTTACTCAGAGTGGGTGGCTGGGGGCTGGGATTGAGGTGGGGAACTTATGTGGGACTTTGTATGTTGCAACCAAGACATCTGAGACTGACTTTGCCAGAGACTTTTTCAGATCTGTCTTGTGGGAATGTCACCATGTTCAGGGAGCTTTGTCTAGCTGAAGATTGCCTCCTGCACTGCTGTATCACTATTAGCAATTGCTATGTGACAAACTGCTCCAGAGTCAGCATCTTAAAATAGTAAGCATGTCTTGTTGCTGAAAAATCTACAGGTCAGCTAAATGATGCTTCTGGTCCTGGCTGGTTCTCTCACTTGTCTGTAGTCTGCTGTAGGTCAGGTAGGTAGCTCTGTGGATCCTGGCGGGCTCTCTCACTTGGTTAGGGGTTGGCTGGCTCTAGGCTGGTCTGGGATGACCTCAGTTGTGACAACTCTCCTTTACTCTATGTAGTGTCTGCCCTAGCCTGTGTTTGTTCACGTAACAGTGGTAGAGTTATGAGAGAGAGAGAGCAAGCAGCATGCAAGGACTCTTGAGACCTAGGCTCAGAATTGGCAGTTTATATGGTTTGGCTGTGTCCCCATCCAAATCTCATTTTGAACTCCCATGTGTTGTGGGAGGGACCCGGTGGGAGGTAATTGAATCATGGGAGCAGGTCTTTCATGTGCTGTTCTCATGATAGTGAATAAGGCTCACAAGATCTGATGGTTTTAAAAAGAGGAATTCCCCTGCACAAGCTGTCTCTCTCTCTCTCTCTCTCTCTCTCTCTCTCTCCCTCCCTCCCTCCTTTGCCTGCTACCATCCATGTAAGATGTGCCTTACTCCTCCTTGCTTTCCACCATGATTGTGAGGCTTCCCCAGCCACGTGGAACTGTAAGTCCATTAAACCACTTTCTTCAGTAAATTGCCCAGTCTTGGGTATATGTTTATCGGCAGCATGAAAACAGACTCATACAGCAGTGTCATTTCTAGTGACACTGTTGGCCAAAGCAAGTCACAGGGTCACCCAAAATTCAAAGAGTGGGGACATAGACTTCCCCTTTTAATCACAAGCAGCCACAACATCACACTGGAAATGGCTTGCATACAGGCCAGCCATTAATTAGGGCCATAGAGACCTTCAGTTTGCACAGCTGCCAAAATCAGCATTGACCTCTAGGGCTGTCAGCAGAGAGGGAGGGGGGAAGGGGGCAGGCAGACATCCCTACTTAAGTCTTTGTAATGCCCAAGATCCCCTTAATGTGCAAAGAGTTTTCCAGAAGTGTTTTATTGGTAGAATCAGGAAAATGTATATCCCCAAACAATGAGTGATCAATTTTCACTCATCAGACTGACAGAAATTGAAAAATGTGATGCTATCAAGTATTGGTGAGAATGGAGAAGAAATAGGTGCCATATACTCTGCTGGTCAGAGTTTTCATGCCACAGCCCATTGAGGGCAATTCAGCAGCACCTACTTGAATTAAAAATACATTCATGTGTTAAACAGCTGTGGTCCATCCACCCCGTGGAACAGTACTCAGCAATAAGAAGGAACAAACTATTGATACACACAACAACCTGAATGAACCTCGAGGAGTGCAAAATGCCAGTCCTAAAAAGTTACATACTGCATGATGTCATTTATGTAACATTAGTGAAATGACCTAATTACTGAGATGAGAACAGTCTGCTGGTTGTCAAAGGTTAGGGATGGGGGAGAGAGCCATTCGGCTGTAAAGGGGTAGTACGAAGGAGTCTTGTGGTGATGGTCCAGTTGAGTACCTTGATAGTGGTGGTGGTTATGCAAAGGTAATGTGATAAAATTGCATGGAGCTACATATGCACTTGTGCACACACACAGACACATACAAAGATGGGTGCCTGTATGACTAGTGAAATCTGAAGAAGCTCTGTGGATTGTAACAATGCCCATTTCTTGGTTTTGGTATTATACTTTATTTATGCAAATGTTAACTTTGGGGGAGGCTAGGGGAAGGAGTGCATGTGTCTTCCCTGTACATTTCCTTGCAACTTCCTGTGAACCTTTACTTCCAAATAAAAAGTTATAAATAAAGACACAGGTGCTCTGGCCTGGTAAGCCCACTGCATGGTGCCTGCAACAGAGACATGGTCCCACGCCCAGAGAGGCTTATGCAGAGATGATCACTGAACATCATTTGATATCAAGGCATTGGAATGACCTAGATGTATTTGTTCACCTAATAATCATCTATTGGCTTCCTACTATGTGCCAGGCAGTGTGCCAGGCTCTGGGGATATAACCATAACCAAAATAAACCAAGTTCCTGTCCTCGTGGAGTTTGCATTCTAGTGATTGCCCCACAAGAGGGAGCTGATTCCACATAACAGAAACAAAGAAATGAAGTAGGCTCATATCTCTATTGCTAGAATGGTTCTATCTCTGGAACATATCACCGCAAAGAAACAGCAAGAAGCAGAATCAGGCGTTTGTTACGCCATTTGTTTTAAAAATAGCAAAGGAGCCACAGTCAAATGAAGGAAGCATCAAGCTTTGCTGTGTACTTTACTGGGAGTTAATCCTGTCCACCTAACTGGAATGGAAGCCTGTGAGGGCAGGGGGTTTTGTCTTTTTTGTTCCTTGCAGTGCTCCCACACCAGAGCAGGCCTGTCACATAGGAGGCACTCACATATCTGCTAGGGAAAAGAGTAGATTGTACCCATTTCACAGGTTGGCCAATGGAAGCAGGAGGCCCTTAGCCATGGCATATTGGATTCTCCACTATAAGAGTTATGAAATGTGCGTTGAATATCCATGACTTTAAAAATACCAGATACTGTTTCTTTCAACTGTGTCATCAGAAACATATTTCCCCAGCCCCCAAAAAGTGTGATTGTCAAGCCTTAGATCCACAGGTTGTTGGTTGTGGAATGACTTCACACTTTTGTGTTTTGCGATACAGTGTGTCAGGCAGGCCTTCCTGCATTATCTCATTTAATGTGCCTATCAATCCTGTCTGGAAGAAAATGGACATTCATACATCTTCTATCTGCCCCCAGGCCCCAGCCCCTGATGTAAGTTTGTAGGCACACAATGACAGGTGACTGGAAGCAGAAGAGCCTGTTGCAGGATCCAGGGCTGCCAGTGAGTAAGGCCCAGTCACCCACCCACCCACCCACATAGGAATCCCCCAGTGAGTGCACAGTGTCTGGCGGGTGTGGGCTCCCATTTTCCTCTGCTCCTGGCTCATTCTGTCCCCCACCACATGTCCTGGGGTCAGTGACTGCTCCTGGGCATATCGCTGTGAACCAGGCCTAATGCTGTCCTCATAAACTTGCAGGCTAGTTGGGAGGACAGGGAAGCAGGCATAAGGTCTACCCAGTGTTGCCCTGGGGAGGCCGGGAACCCACATCCTGGAGGTTCATAACCCACAAGGTGCTGCCACTCCTCACTGTTCCCATCAGAGGATCATAAACCATCCTTTCAAGTGCCAGCCAAGATGATGAAACATGAAGATGCTCTTGAGGTCACCAAGAGAATCATTTCAGACCCAGGGATCCCCCCAGAACGTGCGCATCCAGTAGCTACTGTGATCGTGACCTCGATGTGTCCCCTCATCCATCTCCTGTCGGGTCCCTGTGAACATTTATTACCCTGCTGCAGAAAAAGTCTGCGAGGCCAGATGACTTGTCTGCAGCCGGCAAGCCTCGGCGCCCACAAAGCAGAAATTAATGAATGACGGTTGGGGGGAGAGGCAGGGAATAGGACAGCAGCTATTTTAGGCTCACTTTGCCAAAGCAGATCCTAATGCCTGCATCTATGTGTTAACTCTGCCTGCCCTTTGAACAGAAATTGAAATCACATTGGCTTGGATTTTGTTTGCTTGCCACCTCCAGGCTTGTATGTCTTATAAAAATATGCAGATTTTGAACTAATAAAAAATAGAGCCACTTTGAAAATCAATTCTCTCTCTCTCTCTGATTTAATATAATTCGTAAAAACTTTCTCAAACCCAGTAAAATAAAGTTGGAATCTCATGAGTTCAAATTCTGACTTACTTTCTAACTGTAACTAGGTCTCTCTGGGCTTTAGTTTTCTCAGTTGTAAAGTGGGGATCAGACCATCGCAGTATTGGAAGACGAAGCAAGATATGTGGGAAAGCTCCTAGCACCTGTCATTCCTTGGATATGAGACTTCTTAGACATAAAGGAAACCATCACCCCTTTCTGCAACTATGGAAATATGGTGTTCATGGATCATCTACTTTTCCCTGAGCACCTCCTAAGTGCAGACATGTAGAAACCCTGGAGAACCCATGGTGCCCTCTGGAGCTGGCATTCAGCGCTGGGCTCAAGTGTTGTGGAAATAGACCTGTGTTTGGGTGATGTCTTGTCTCTGAAAAGCAGCAGTTTGTTTCCATGGATAAGCCAGAGCATTTCTCCTCCTGGTTTCTGGCTTTGTCAGGCCCAGAGTCGGGGAGCTGACGTGGAGAAACAGAAGAGGTGAACGTGAGCTGGGTGGTGGTGGAGCAGACTGCTGAGTGAAGCCCTAGGGCCCCACAGAGGAGCTGTCTGGATGCTCAGTCCAAGGAACCACAGCTGGAAAAGCCCAGGACCTCAGGCCCCTCCAGGACAGAAGGGACAACTAGTCTTGGTCCTCCCATAACTACTGAGGTATGTGGGGCCTGGAAACCAGAGAGGGAAGAGGCTTAAAGTGGTGGCCCTGGGGACCCACCTCATCGTACTCATGGCACAGAATACCTTTCTTCATGGTATGATCCATTGTACGGTTATTTTATGATCGCTACTGTATGAACAAGAGATGTAGAGTTATTCCTATCCCCATATTGCAGACAAGACCCCTGAGGCTCCAAGAAACTAAGGAACCTTCTAGAAGTCACACAGCCTGCAAGGGGCCAGGTCAGAATTTCCCTGCAAGGCTTGTGCTGTTTCCATTCCTGTTTTAAAAGAAGCATTCATATTTGATTTGAAAGCATCTGGTTAGAAAGAACTGGACACCCTGAGTAGGCTTTTGGAAAGTGCCTTCCACACAGATAAGCAATTCAATAAAGAAACAGCAAATACTTGTTCAGCACCTACTATGTGCCAGGCACTGTCTTAGGCATTTGAGATTCATCGACGAATAAAGTGGTTACTTAATAGGTGGTTATGGATTTGAGTTGGAAGAATTTGATTCTAAGTCTTTCTTAAAATGGGTGTGGGCCTCTTATAATTCATAACCAGGTGAGAATTCATATAATTCATATAATTCATAACCAGGGCAGTTGACATTGCCCGTCAATAAGTGAATGATTTTCCTCTAGGATCTGATTTTGCTGCCCTTCTTTTCTTCTCCACACAGCCCTGGTGCACTCGGACAAACCCTGCACGGCTCAGCCACTCTTCTGTCTCTGGGGGTGGTTCTGAGAAAAGTGTTATGCATCTGCCTCATGCCGTTTAATCATCAAAAGGAAAGTTTAAAGTAGCTTAAGAGCTTGAGTAAGGTGGCAACCTTTAGAAACCTCAGTTTCCTCATCTGTAAAATGGAGAGAATAGTAACTTTTGTTAAGGGGTGAAGGAGATATATAGATAGATAGATAGATAGATAGATAGATAGATAGATAGATAGATATAGATATAGATATTCTGTTTTTTTCTATATGTTAGCTCTCTATCCATCTCTCTATCTCTATCTGATTGCTCTGTCTATGCCGGCATGTGCAAATTCTCAGGAGGTGCCAGCTGTTAGGAGGATGACGGGGCGCTGTTCTGCAGCAATGGCTGCCCGCGCAGTGGATTGGATGTTGTGTCTCTTACTGATTTTAAAGGGGCCTCCTTCGAGAATCAGCAGTTTGTCCCCCCCTATGTCAAGCCTGGACGGAGAACAAAGTTGTAGCTGTGGCTTTCTCTTTGCCCTTTCAAAACAAAGAATTGTATGCTTTTGACATGAACATTGTTGTTGCTGTTTGACTGCCCCCAGAGCCTTTGTGTCTGCTCTGCAGTTGGAGGACAGAGTCCTCTGCATGTGGGGGACAGGGATAGGCGGTGGACTGGCAGTGGATTGGCAGGCACTGGCACCCTCCCTTTGGTTCTGGACTCTCTGTAGAGCTTCTGTGGCTGCCCACTGCTCCCTTTTGGGTGTTCCCCATTCCTCTGTTCACCCTACCCTCACTGAGGACCTACTTTGTGGACCTGCCTGCCCAAGCCCACCTCGGGGTGGAGGGTGCGCAGCAATGCTTGGATTGCACGTCAGAGTGTGATAAACCAGGTCGGAGACTCACATCCACCAGCCTCCCTCCACGTGCTGGAGTACAGCATCTGAGTGGTTTCCCGGCAACCAAACGAGGCCAGGGCAATGCTGGTCCATGACAGGGTTCCCCGTCCTCAGCAGGATGAGGAGGATGGTGAGAGCTTTCTAGAAAGCTAAGAGAAAGGAGGCCCTTTTATCCTGAGGTTGTGGCCTTTCTACTCTTTCAGTGTTAAAATGGCCTTTCTTCTATAATGTTGATGACCAAGGAGGTCTTATTTTTTTTAATGTTGGTATCTGGCAATGCTAGATTGACTTAGTTCATGTTTTCTTTGTTTTGTGTTAATTTTACTGGCCTGAGACATCCTTAAGTCTGGGAAACACTGAATTATTCTATTTGGACAGGAGGTGTTATTTTATTTAATTTTACTGCCAATTCTGTGAAATAGATGCCTTTCCCGTCACACAGTTGAGAAAACTAAGGTGTGGAGAGGCACTTCCCCAGAGCAGCAAAGGCAAGCTTCATACCTGGTTCTGACTCCTACCAAAACCCTCATGTGCCCCGCCACCCACAAGCTCCAGACTACTCTAAAAGAGGCTCAGAATGGCTAACGGTGGTAGAGCTCATAGAATATATGGAGATCTGCACCAGGTAACGCAAGGATTTGCTCCTTATCTAGATCACAGGAAGGCTCAGGTGTCCCCATTAGCTGAATGGTGCTAACACGTGGGCCTACAGCTTTGGCTCTTCAAATCTGATATCCTTTGTGTTGGTCAAACCCTCACATGCAATCCAAAGAGGATCTCTACTAGTCATGGACCTGCCCTCCTCCCCACCCCCACACCAGGTAATGACAGGGTGGACATTGGCCAGGTGGTTTCCACATCTGCACCATGGAGGGAAAGAGCCTGGTGATTGCTTCACTTTGCCTTTTTCAACCGAAGGCCACCCTAATACCTTTGTGGGCTGCATCCCAAGATGTCTTCACTGCATTTCCATCCTCAGTCAAGCGAGGAATTCCATCCCACTGGTCCAGTGTCCAGGGGTAGTTAATGGCTTGCATTTTGGTGAGTCAGCACTTTGAGGGTTTTGTAAAGGACTTTGCTGGTTTGGCTGCATCCGCTGGCCATAGGAGGCCTGGCGCAGGAGACATCACACCACTGTGGAGGGCTGCTCACCTTAACGTTGTCCCTGTCTGAGAGCAAATTTTCTTTCTCCGGTGGCTTTCTTGGGGGACCTGGGTCATTTGGCACAAGCCAACAGGGACACATCTATAACTAAAATGGAGTTGGACTAATTTTTGAGTAGCTGGTTTCCCTGCTGATCTTGAACAGCAGGAATTAGAGGCAAAAGCCCCAAAGAAACATGTTGAATGAAGTAAGACAAGCCCCCATTCTAGGTCTTCACTCTGGAGAGTCAATGTGCAGTTGATGACAAGCTCCTTAGGGGCCAGTGTCTCCCCTTGAAATTGATGTGCCCTTCTGACCCACCACTGGGGCCCTCTGCTGGGCTGGAGCTCAGTGGAGAACAGCAGCCAAACTTGGTTGTTTTCTGGGTCTTTGCATTTGAGGAGCAAACGCAAACCTGGTATGTTTTGTCTTCTGGGCATTCTTAGGAACCTTATGAGGCAGACAGGTGTGGACTGGCCTCTCTCACAATTGGAGAAACTGAAGCTAGAGGCAGGAAAGTGATAAACCTTGGTTTTCTCACCTGGAAAATGGAAACAACATCTAATAACTTCCTCATAGGGGTCATGGTAAGAATTTAATGAATATGTAATATGAATAAAGATAATGTGTGTATTTTATATATATAATATCAAAACCAGTGCTTGTCCCATAGGAATTTTCAATAAATATTGGCTTTGGCTGTTATTATTATTATTTCTAAGGTCACCCAGCTAATAACTGGCAGATGTCTTGCGGCCCAATGGTTCTTTTTTACTGTTATTTTTTTGAGTCAGAGTCTCACTCTGTCACCCAGGCTGGAGTGCGGTGGTGTGATCTCAGCTCACTGCAACCTCCACTTCCCAGGTTCAAACAATTCTCAGGCCTCAGCCTCCCAAGTAGGTGGGATTACAAGTGTGCACCACTACGCCTGGCTAATTTTTGTATTTTTAGGAGAGATGGGGTTTCACCATCTTGGCCAGGCTGGTCCTGAACTCCTGCCCTCAAATGATTGGCCCTTCTCAGCCTCTCAAAGTGCTGGGATTACAGGCATGAGCCACCTCATCTGGGTCCAATGGCTCTTTTTATTTCCATCTTTAAATCACCTAATTCTTTGTTTTCCCACTAAAATTTGAAAGTCTGCTTAGAGCGAGCTTTCTCCAAAGTTGTTCCCAGAAGATTCTAAACTGAAGAAAACTATATTGACCTGAAATACTACTGGAAAGGCAGCTTACATTTGATTCATTTTGAAAATCAAGCATCAAAAACATTCCTTAGCCCACCAAGATAATATAAGTTAACAATGCCTGGGCACTCCGTCTGCACCAGGCACTGTACTGAGCATTTTATGAGGATTATGTTGCTTAATCCTCACAGCAACACTTTGGGGAAAGGTACTTGTGTTGTTCCCATGTTAAGTATAAGGAAACTGGGGTGCAGAAGGGTTAAGTGGCTACCCAAGGCAGCAAGTAAAAGGCAGAAGTGATCCCCAAACTCCTGCTCTTTAATCCCTAAGGTGTATGGGTATTACAAGGCCTTCCATGTAGTTGCAACTTTTCTGTACTGCTTATTTGGGCCTTGCATGACCCATATCGTGGTCCCTATCAGCTGCAGCTGTGTATTCTCAGTAGCCTGTGGGCTTTCAGAAGGCAGGGCTCTAGCCCCTCAACTGTGCCTCTCTAATATCCCAGACTCCTCTTTGGGCTTCAGTCTCTTCATTTGTAAAATGGACATATTAGGTGGCATCTGTACTACATGCCACTCCCACCCCAGTGATTCAGAACTAGTGGCTTAGTGGCTTTCAGGAATCAAGGCTCACTTCATCTGCTCTTGGTTTTATTTCTTAAAAGGTATAGGGCTTACTGGTGAGAAACTGTTCTCAATTTACTCATCTGTGAAATAGGGTGATTCTGAGGATTTAGTGGGAAGGCAACAAGCACCTAGCACAGTGCCTGGAACACAAAAAGTGCTGAATGATTGCGTGCTTTTTTTTTTTTGAGATGGAGTCTCGCACTGTCGCCTAGGCTGGAGTGCAGTGGCATGATCTTGGCTCACTGCAAGCTCTGCCTCCTGGGTTCGTGCCATTCTCCTGCCTCAGCCTCCCGAGTAGCTGGGACTACAGGCACCCACCACCACGCATGGCTAATTTTTTGTATTTTTAGTAGAGATGGGGTTTCACCGTGTTAGCCAGGATGGTCTCGATCTCCTGACCTTGCAATCCGCCCGCCTCGGCCTCCCAAAGTGCTGGGATTACAGGCCTGAGCCACCACGCCCAGCCAATTGTGTGCTTTTAAAAACAGACGTGATACTATTCTATTGAGACACTTGTCACAGATACTCATGGGTGTCCCAAGACATAATCTCTGTCCTCCACAAGACTAACATCAGTTTGAGGAAACTGTCTAGAGTTTGAGTGATCTCTTGGTGCTTTTCTGTGGGGAACAGTGTGACCCAGGCTGTCTTTTATCAGAGAGGCATTGACCTGTCTGTGTTTAGAGAAATTAAAATTTCCACCCTATATGCTTCAGATGAGGGCAACCACAAGGCATTAGGCCAGTGGGAATCAAGAAAGGAGGACCGTCTCAAAAAAAAAAAAAAAAAAAAAAAGAAAGGAGGAAAGAAAGACAGGGAACCAGGAAGAAAGACGAGCTGGAATAAGCATTTTGCAGCTTAGCCCCAAGAGGAGAATGAGAGACACATTAAAACAGTCACCCCTGCTGCAAATGGATTCATTTGATTGAAGGTGGTCACAGATGTCACGTAAAAAGAAATTTAGTTTTAGAAATGGGAAGCCTTCTCATATAGGGCTTAAAGAAGAAATCAGTGAGGAATGGAACTAGAATTCTGGTTGTCAAAGATGTGTCCATCATAAACGTTCAGGCATAAGTCCCTGCTGTCACACATGTATGGGATCATGTGTGTTCCTGCATGTGCACACATGCCCACCACTAGACCATAGGGTGCTTTGGGGCACATTAGGAAAAGGCAGCCCCCTCTGGGTGGAAGCAGCCACATGGCACATTGCTTGGCCAGTGGACAGTGGGCTGGATAGAAGCCCCCTCTTCTTCTCTGCCCAGGAGTGTGTGGTCCTGCACAGGGGTATACGTGCACACACACACACACACATACACACACTCTCTCTCTCTCTCTCTCAGGCAAGTGAGGAGACCTTTAGCCAAGGTCTGGTAATCTCACAGTGAACTGGAGACACCTCAGCTGGAGTCCCCACGGAACACCCAGCAGTACTTGCCTTCCAAGAGTCACTTCCACAAAACCCACAGCTTCACGCTGCTTGCTCAGCTGCCTGCTTGAAGATCATCTGTTCTGTTCTGTACCTCTTCAGGACCCGTCTGGTCCCAGCGAGCACACTTATTGGCTTGACTTCAGAATACAGTTTTATTCCTGCCGTTAGATACCTGCTTTTGCTGGAAAACAAGCCTCAGGCCTTTGCCGTTTACAGAGTGCCTCATTTGATCCTCACAGCAACCCCAGGGATTAAACAGTGGGGACTTAGCACACCCGTTTTACAGATGAGGAAATGTTCTCTGAGAAGAACCTCAGAGAAGGAGAACATCATCGGTGGCCTGGATTTAGAGAGTCTGTCTACCATCGCCTGGTCTTGAGTGATCTCAGTTTGGCTTTTGCTAAATTCCCTCAAAACTGTGAACATTCATCTTCTCCCAGGCTTAGTTTGTCCCTGTCCCCTCTGACCTGAACCTCCATCCTGACCAACTATCTTCCATAATGAACTTAACGACAGCAGAGACTTAAGCACTGTCTTGATTTTATCATTGTCTCGAGTAAAATAGCCATCCAATTGGCAAAGATCACCCTTGGAACTTGTTGCCATAGACTTAATTAGACTTTGTTGCTAGTGTGACCCCTTTGTGGCCATTGCCATGGTCATCATTTGCTACAAACCTGCTCCTAAGAGCTGGACCTTGATCCGGACATATTGGATGCTTCTTTTTAGAAATTGCTTTCAGAGCTTAGGTCCCATTGCCCCAGATACTCTAACGATGATAAATCTTCATCCTGATTTTCATTGAGACAGATAGCATATCAGTGGCAGGCCTGGAGTGGCTACTAAATAGATAATTGTTGAATGAACCTATTAATTTGTGAAACCTTTGAGGGTGATGTTTAATAAGACTCTTTCAGTTGCTGGTGACCAGATCGCAGCACAAACTAGTTTAAGCAAGAAAGGGATTGGTTCACATAACTGCAAAGTACAAGGATGAGGGTGTCAGGCACAGCTGAATCCAGAGGCTGAAATCATATTACTAGGGCTCAGTTTTCCTCTCCTTCTCTCAGCTCTGCTTTTCAGCATTCCAGGTGGTCACCAGTTGTTCTAGGGCTGATGTGGCTCTTATATCCAGTTCACAAACTTAAACAAAGATTAGTCTTCTCCTTCCTTTATCCATAAACAGATCCCATAAAGGGGCTGGCATTGGCCCTGCTTAGGTCATGTGCCATCCCTTTAGACCAATCATTGAGTACCACAGGATGAGCTACCATGATTGGCCAGACCTGGGTCACTTGCCCACCCATGAGATTTGAAGGCAGGGAAGCATGTGATTGACAGTTTTACTCAAGCCCCATTGGATGGGAAAGGGACAATTCTCCAATGGAGCTGCTCACTACAAGGGTAGATGAGGTTTCTGGAAAGAGCACAGTGTCAGAAGGGTAGTCTAATAAAGATTATAATTTAAGTCCCAGATACTTACTTGGGAGGCTGAGGCAGGAAGGTTGCTTGAGGCCAGGAGTTCGAGGATGCCGTGAGTGAGCTATGATCATGCCACTGCACTCCAGCCCAGGTAACAGAGCGAGACCCTGTCTCTTTACATATATATATATATATATATATATATATATATATATATATATATACACACACACACATATATATACACATATATATACACACACACATGTATATACATATATACATATACATATGTGTATATATATATTTCTAGCTATAAGGCTTTGGGTAAAAAAATGAGATAAATAAAATAACAAGTTATTGAATGATTTACCACTTATCTTAAAAGTGGTGCTGGCAGTGATAGTTTCATTGCTAGCAACCTAGAAATAACTGATCTGGTGCCTCTCTTGGGGACTGCTTTGTCTGGCAGAGGATCTTAAGGTTGGAGTTTATATTATTCAATTACCATATTCCCCTTTCCCCAGTTCCACATGAAGAATGAGTAGTACCATGAATTCAGCAAAACCCAAGCAACACTGACCCTATTCCTGCCTTCCCAACCCATGAGGAAGTTTTCCAATATCACAATTAATTAGCGGTATCTTCCCTCACATTCCTCCCTCTGTGCCTCTTTCTGTGACTCATCCAAAGGATTGGAGAGTGTGGTTACAAATGCAGGCCCTGTGGCCACATGAACCTGGGTTCTGATTCCAGAACTCTCCCTTGTGATTTGACTTCTATGAGCCCAAGTTTCCTCATCAGTAAAATAAAAAAAAAAATTTTTTTTTAATTAAAAAATAAAAAAGTAAAAGAAAAAAAAAACCCTGGCAGAGGGGTTGTAAAGGTCAGATGAGATAATGGAGGTGAAGTACACATACAAAGACTCAGTGGCCATTTGCATGATTATTATTAGTATCCACATTCGTTTTATGTCCCTGTCTTTTACCCAATTGCATACAGAGGGCTAACATGGGCACAGCACATTACCGTTTGCAGGAGTGTGTGCACACGATGAATGGGTTTGCCTCCTCTTCTGACCTTTGTTCTTTGGTTACAAAGCTGCTTCTGTGGCCCCCTGCCATGTGCCTGTGGTTGTCCCATCAGAAGCCGGTGGGATCATGACCTGACCCAGTAAGGCCTTCCACTTTCAGCTCTTTGTTTAACCAATGGTCACCAAGCATCTGCTCTGGGTAGGGACAGACTAGATATGGAGGATTTGGGGGTTTCTTGTGTTAGCCTTGGATCCATTCACCTAGACCCTCACTGGACTTGCTTCTGCCCTAGTGGGAAGTTCTTGCACTCAGAGTCCACAGGAAACGTACCCCTAAATGCCACCCATCTCCCAGGTCTGTCCTCTTAATAGGTTACACTCACTAAGCATTTCCCATGCACTTTGTAAAGATTTGACATCTACTTACTTATTTAACCATCACAATGGCCCTACAAGAGAAGCATTGTCACTGTCACATTTCTTTTACAGCAAAGAAACTGAGGCACAGAGAAGTTAAGCCATTCAAACTCCAGGTGCATGAAGGAGCTGGGGGTGCAAGCTAAGCCCATAGTCTCAGCCAATATCTGAGACCACAGTGCTGTGATTTGTGCTTCCTTTCTCAGGTTTTAATCTGGGAGTCCTCCCTACCTCTGGTGGTAACACATTCATTTAAATGGGAGTCAGTGGCCCAAACTTGCTATCAGGGCAAAGAGGATTTCAGACTTTGTGGTGGAGGCAGATGGAAAGTCCATGGCAAAATTTATGAGGCATGGATGGAAACACTATGCCTTCGAGGTTTCTTTCCATCAGTCTCGTGTTATGGAATCAATATTGAAAGAACAAGGGATTTGAATATGGAGTCCTGGCTCAGATCCTTGCTGGTTTGCCTGGTGAACTCCTACTCATCCCTCATGACCCAGCTCTAATGCCTCCTCCTTAGGGCAGCCTTCCCTGACTGCCTCAGGTATCTCTGATCGCCCTACATTGCCAATCATCCATTCATATAACAAGTACATTCTGAGCATCTACTGTGTGCCTGAACATCATGAATTCTCTATACCAAATTGCAAATTCTCAAAGACAGGGACTGGGTCAGCAGAGTAGTTCAGTTTGCAGGCTTTGGAGCCTGTAGGTTTGAATACTGGTTTCTCCATTTACTAGCTGCACGACTTAGAGCAAGTTCCTTAACATTGATAAGTCTCAGTTTCCCCCTCTGTTAAATGGGCCTAATAATAATAGGACCTGCATCTTATAGTGTGGTGTGAAAATTATAGTCTGAATGTAGTAGATAACCAATCATTGTTACCAAGTAGTAAGTGCTTAGTCAATGTTACCTGTTGTGAAGTCTGTTTTTCATACTTGTATCTTGAGGACCAACCACAGTGCCTGCACCCAGTGGGCGTTCAGTGAATGTTTGCATGAACAGGTGAGTGAGCGAGTGAGTGAGTGCATTGGGCACTTCACCCCTTTGACTGTGAAGCCCCTCATATTTGAAATGGGGAGACATTTGTCTGCCTTCCAGCTTGTGAGGATCAATGGGGGTGCACGGGACATGACAGCACTTTGGAAACGAGGAGGTTCCCAGCACACAGCAGAGAGATTGCAATCATTTTGCCTCTGGTGACAAGGGCCTGGGGCCAGGCCTCCACCACCCCCAAGCGTGGAGCTGCTGGGGGACGTGGCCACACAGGGAAGGTTGGGGAATGTGTTAGGCCATTCTAGCATTGCTATAAAGGAATAACTGAGATGGGTTACTTTATAAAGAAAAGAGGTTTAATTCCCTCATAGTTCTGCAGACTGAGAATACAGGAACCATGATGCTAATGTCTGCTCAGCTTCTGGGGAGGCTTCAGGAAGCTGACGATCATGGCGGAAAGTGAAAGGGGAGCAGGCATATCACATGGTGAAAGCAGGGGAGAGGAAGGAGGTGCCGCATGCTTTTAAACCACCAGATCTCGCGAGAGCACACTCACTATAAGAGGACAGCACCAGGTAGATGGTGCTAAACCATTCATAAGAAATCTGCCGCCACCATTCAGTCACCAAACACCAGGCCCCACCTCCACATGGAGAATCCCATTTCAACATGAGATTCGGTGCAGACAACATCCAGACTCTATCAGGAGGGGTGTAGGAATCTGCTGACTGGGACATCCAGCCTTCAGGAGGCCCACCTCAGACATGTCCTAAGGGTGCCTCTGTTTTCCCAGGAAAGCCATACATCCCAGGGAGCTATGCTCAGGACGAATGTGTAAAAGGTTTCTATTAATCAATGAGAGGATCAGTAACCACCACCCTGGCCCTTACATTTGGGGGACACCAAAGGAGACCTAATGTCCCCCGGGTCCTAGCCTCTGACTTGTGTGCTGAGTATGGATTCACTGTTCATCCTCTGGATGAAGATGCCAAGGCATCAGGACACGATGGCCTGCCCAAGGTCACTCCACTGGTGAGGACCAGAGCTGACATGCACCACCACACATCCCAGCAAAGTCTGGCCCGATCCCTGTAAGGAATGAGGGGAATTTTAAGAGCTCGATAAAGAGGTCGCTCCCACAGAGACAGACATTGGCTGCACTGGTCTGTGACAACCTCCATAGGCCAACCTACCACTCACCTGGGCCTCCAGAACCCTCAGAAACCACAGGCTCTTGCAGCAGGAGGAAACTGAGACCAGCCCATGCAGCCTCCCACTTTACAAATGGCAAAGTGGAGACCCTGAGAAGACCAGTGATCTCCCCTAGGGCCATAGAGCAAACTGGTGGGTGGACACAGGATGTCTCTGGTGCCAGGGATCTTCAAGATATTATTTTTAAGATGCATGTCAGGATCTGACAGAGAACAATGTAACCAACACCATTCATTCATTCATTCAACAAATGTTTACTGAGCACCTACTATGTGCCAGATCCTTTTCTAGGTGCTGGGGCTCCAGCAATGACCAAAACAGACAAAGATCCCTCGTGGAACCGACAGGTTATTAACATCCTCGAACCATATACCGACCACCAGCTTAAGAAAGAAAACATTATAAATATCAATATCATTGAACCCTCCTGCTCTCTTATTTCTTCCCCTCTTCTCTCACCCTGGAGATACCACAATCCTGCATTGGGTTTACCATTCACAGGCACCAGATGTATGTTTTTAAGCTTTCCATAAATGGCACCAGATTGCACATATCTTTCTGCAGCTCATTATTGTTTGAGTGCATATTCACATGAATCTGCTTCATCTTGTGCTGCTGTATAGAATTACCTGGTGTGACTATACAACAATGTGTTCACCCATTCTCCTGCTGGAGATAAAGCCACAGTGAACATTCCTGGGCACATCTCCCTGTGCAAATGGGCAAGAGTTTCCCTCCTGCTCCAACTTTAACTTCAGTGTTGGCCCCTCCTGACTATCCCCCAAACTGGACAAGATCTGGAAGCTCCTTCAAGCCTATTCAGGGATCCCAGACTGGGATGGTGGGTGTGATGGGAGGGTGTGGTAATATCAGAACATTCGTACTGAACAGACCTCCCTAGAGATGGTCTGGGTCCCTGCCATTTGTAAGGGAAAGAGGATCAAATAGTTGAGCACAGGGTGGATGTGTATATGTGAGACAGCACATGCATTTTCTCATAAACATTCCTGTGATGTAAGGTATTGGTTGTCTATTGCTGCATAACAACTTACCACAAACTTAGTGGCTTAAAACAACATACATGCATTATCTCACAGTTTCCATACACCATAGTGCAGGCAAGTATCCTCTGCTTGGGGTCTCACGAAGCTGCAATCCAGGATGTGGCTGGTGTCTCATCTACCAGCTCAGGGTCCTTAACCAAGCTCACATGGTTGGTGGCAAAATTCATTTCCTTGCAGCTGTAGACCTCATGGTGCATTGATTCTCTCTAAGGCCAGCAGGAGAGAGATAGAAGTCTCTGACTTCCAGATCCCATACTAAAGGATCACCTGATTAAGTCAGGCCCACCTACAACAATCTACATTTGGCTTAAAGTCAACTGATTGGAAACTTTAATTACATCTGCAAAATCTATTTACCTTTGCTATATAACCTCACATGACCACGGGATGATATCCCATCATATTCATAGACCCTCTCCACACCCAGGAGGAGATTTTTAGGGTATGTACACCATAGGCTGGGAATCTGGGGGATGATTTAGAATTCTACCTACCACAGATTGGTACTATTATTATCCCCACTTTAACTCAGTGAAGTTAATGGGTTAACCCAAGTTACACAGCAAGCAGGTAGGTGGGGCCGGGATCCCAATTCAAGTCTGAGTTGGGAGTACAAGCTCTCTCCCTGCTTCCAGGAGCTCTTAACACTTTTCTGAGAGGCCCCCAGGCTTCATAAACAGACAAGCCTTCCATGCTCCCAGGCCCCTTCTAGGAGAAGGGCCATTTTCTTGGTTAGACCTGGGCCCCCAGAAGCCAGGGCCAGCATCTTGGTCCCCCACAAACAAACACACAATAAGTGCTCAGCAGATGCTTGCTTGCTGTGGGCAGCTTGCCTGTCTTTTCCTTTCCTCCCTCTGAGCTGGCCACCCCTGGGAAGTGCCGGGCACATCTCTCACGCCAAGAAAGGAGTCCAGGGAATACCAGCTTCATGCTACAGAATCTCATTTCACAAACAGTTCGATGAAGGCACGATGTTTCAGTAAACCTGGGGATGCCCATCCAGCCTTTATTAAACATTTTATTATCTTTTCCTTATTATAAAAGCAATACATATTCATTTTGGAATAGAGAATACCAGTGAGCAAAATAAATTTAAAACATTTTTTACGATCCCAGTATGTGAGAACCACGGTTTGCACATTGGTGTCTACCTGCAGGCAGTGTAGCAACTGGGAGCATGGACATTGGAGCCACACTTCCTGGGGTTTAATTATGGCTTCTCTGTTGCCAGCTGTGTGACCTTGGACAGTATTTTATCCTCTCTGTGCCTTAGTTTTCTCATCTGTAAATGGGCATGTCCACAATACCTGCTTCCTAGGGCTGTGGGAGAAGCAAACAGGATAACACAAGAGAAGTACTTAGAGCAGGGCCTGGCATACAGAGAGCTTTATGGCTCGAAAGCTTACTCATGCCATACAACTTAGTCATGAATGTTGCTTTGATAAAAAACAGGATCCTATTTCATATATTACCTTGTAATGTTTCTTCATGTCACATATTATTCTTTGCCAACAAATATTCATCTACAAAATAAATTTTTAGCCACTATTGTTTTAGAGTAATCTTAGGTTCACAGCAAAATTGAAAGGAAGGCATAGGAGAGAGGTCCCATAGACTCCCTCCCCATCAAACAACATCCCCACTGCCAATATCCCCCACCAGAGTGATATATGTATTACAATGGATGGGCCTACATTGACACATCATGCCCATTATTGCATTAGGGTTCATAGCAAGTGTTGTACTTGCTGTGGGTCTGGACAAATGTATAACAACATATTCACTATTATAGTATCATACAGAGTAGGTTCACTGCCCCAAACATCCCCGCTCCACCTATCCATCCCTCCCTTCCCCCAACCCCTGTTGACCACTGATCATTTTCCTGTCTCCATAGTTTTGCCTTTTCCAGAGTGTCATAGACTTGGAACCTTATAGTATGCAGCCTTTTCAGGTTGGCTTCTTTCACTTAGCAATATGCATTTGAGATTCCTCCATGTCTTTGTATGGCTTCATAGCATGTTTCTTTTTAGCACTGAATAATATTCCATTGTCTGGGTGTACCACGGTTTATCCATTCACCTACTGGAGGACATCTTGGTTGCTTCCAAGTTTTGGCAATTATTAATAGAGCTGCTATAAACATCTGTGTGCAGAACTTTGTGTGGACATAAGTTCTCAACTGCTTTGGGTAAATACCAGGGAGTGTGATTGCTGGACCACATGGTAAGAGTGTGTTTAGTTTTGTAAGAAACTGCCCAACTGTCTTTCAAAGTGGCTGCATCATTTTGCATCCCCACAAGCAGTGAATGAGAGTTCCTGTTGCTCTACCTCCTCACCAGCATTTGGTACTGTCAGTGTTCTGGATTTTGGCCATTCTACTAGGTTTGTACCATGACATAGTTTTAAATGGCTGAATCACCTTCCGCATAATTTATTTAAGCAATCCTTTATTTTGGATTCAGGTGTAGTTTCATTCTTTAACTATTATAAACAACAGCATAGGGAACTGCCTCATAAGTAGGTTTTTGTGCATATCCTTAATCGTTAATTTTCTCCCCCTTAGGGAGGACTTTCTAGAACTAGGATTGATGGACCAAAGAGCCATTCTGTTTATTGGAGAAATATTTGCAGTGTTCCTACTGGGTGCCAGGAATATGAAGTCAAATTGTCTCCCAGAAAGCCTTTGCTACTGGTTTACTGCTCATCAAGGGTGTGTGTGTGTGTGTGTGTGGTTCTGTCCCTCCTCCCTCCCCATCCCCATCCCTAGGGGATGAGTGTTTAAACTTACCTGCCCAACAGATGAGCCAGGATGATGGTAGTTCTGTGGTTGTGACAGCTCCTTGCATCACCCAGCTGCCAATGTCTTGCTCATAGAAGGTCTGAGGCTAGACCACTGTGGGTGGCCACAGAGTTCCTCAAGGCTCAGTGGCACCCCATCCCTGTCAGGAGAAATGGCTGGAACCCACAAAGGGGATCCAGCTGAGGTCCAAGGCAAAAACCTTGGATCTGAGGTCCAAACCAAGTTCCAGAGACTGGGGTCCTGCTTTTATCCTGCTCTCCTTCCTCCCTTTTCTCTCTCCTTCTTTACCTCTCTCCTTCCTTTCTTCCTTCTTCATTGATCTTAGAAACTGCCAGATCCTGTGCTAAGTGTTCAATGCACCATAAAGACAATACACATCCAATCTCTGCCTTTATGGAAGCAGTGGAAGAGACAGATATTAAATACATACATTCACAAGTACAGCATCACAAATTGTAATCCAATCACAAAGGGAAAGCTTTGCACTGCTATGGGAGAGAGCAGTGGGGAATGAACCCTCAGCTTGGTCATCAGGGAAGACCTCTCTGAGGAATTGGCACTTGTGCTGAGGCCTGGAAGATGAATAGGAGATTGTGAAGAAAAGGGTGGGGAAAGGGCATTGCAGGCAGACAGTACAACATGTGCAAAGACCCTGAGGCTGTGGCCTTGCATGTGGCTGGAGTGTCCCCTGCCCAGGGAGGAGGAAGACAGGCCGATCACCAGGGACTTGCAGTTCTGAACAGCAAATGCAGAGACTGGTGGGTGGCCCAGCTCAGGGTCAAGGCCAAGATGTGAGCAGGGCAATGTTGGCATGGATGAGAGTAAGCCAGGGACAAGTCACAGGCACCCTGGGCTACACCGGAACTCCTGGTGGTGGTTGCTGCTCCACTTGTGAGCAAAGAGGGGTCTGTTGATGGGGGCGCCAGGACTGCACCAGAGCCTCAAATTTGTTTTTATGGCTGAAAACATATGTGGCCTGATTCACTCTTTATTCCTGTGAAAATAATATACCAATAATCAGAAATTGTATGAACCACAGATATACATAGCTACGTGGTTGAAGCTCACAAAAGTCATGGTGAATGAAAGAAGGCAAACCCACAAGGGAACGTGGTCAACGATTCCATTCACATGAAGTTCAAGAGCAGGCAAAACTAATCTGAGATGACTGAAATCACAGGGGACCCAGCAGAGGCACAAAGTGGGCGTTCTGGAATGCTAGTCATTTCTGTGTTTGGACACATAGGTGTGCTCAGTTCGAAAAACTGCAGTATCTAGTCACTTTTCTGAATGTCTGGGCTAGTTCAATAAAATGTTTACTACAAGCAAATCCCACTTCCCACATCGCCTATGTAGAGTTCTTGCCTAAAATGTTTAATAGGAATTGAATCATTGGGAAACAACTTGACAAATCCAAAGTAACGGAATTCCCCAAAATATCAATATTGCAAGAAAGAAAAAGCCTGGACCGTTCTAAATTGAAGGAGACTAAATAAAGAGATACGGTAGCTAAACACACGACATGATCCTGGAGAGACAAAAGTAGCTTTAAAGATATCAGCACAACTGGGGGAATTTGAATATGGGCTGTAGACTAGATAATACAGTGCGTCCCTGTTGACTTTCCTGGCTGGGATGGGTGAGTTGTGGTTGTGTGGGACAATGTCTTTGTTCTTATGCTCAAGCACTCAGAATTGAAATGAACTGGCATTTCAAATGGCTCAAGAACAAAGGGTACAGAGAGACAGAGGGCACAAATGAGAGGAAACATTAACAACTGGTGAATGTAAGTGAAGGATATGTGAGTATTTACTGCACTGCTCTTGCAAATCTGTAGAACTAAAATGTTAAAAAATAAAAATTTGCAAAATAAAAGAAAGAAAAATATGTTACTTCCTATTTTAGATAAAAGTAAAACCCCTATCACTCATCACTTTGCAGCTGTGTGTCCCTTGCTTTGTGAGGCACTTGCTATGCATTGTGTATACTCTCATGAGTCACCTAGGTCTTTACAAGTAGTAAGAATCCAATCAAATAACTGCAGCATTTATTGGCTCACATATTTGAACAATCCAGGAGCAATAGGTTTCAGGTCAAGCTTAATCCAGGACCTAAAATACGTGACCCATTTTCTCTCCCTCTGTTTCTCAGCTCTGCCTCTTCTGGTTTGGTTTCATTTTTAGACACACGCTCTCTTCCAGGTCAGTAGGTGGCTGAGAGGACCAACCAGGTAGAGAGTAAATTTCCCAAAGGGAGAGGGGAAAGGATGCTAGGAAGGCCACCCCCAAATGGTTCCCACACAGGCATGTAATCCACAAGGCAGATGGTTGTACTCCTTGTGTATTTCAGGAACTCAGAGAGCTTATGTGATTCTTCCAAAGTTTCACAAGGGAAGGACAGCAGGGATTTGAAACCTGGATCTGCCTGCCCCAAAGCTTAATATTGGCTTCTTTTTTTTTTTTATAAAACCACTTTTCTTATTATGGAAAGTGTGAGAAAATAGCAGGAAAAATGCTTCTGACCTCCACCCTGATACCATCATTTTTGTATGTTCTCTTTCATATGTTTTTTTCACATCCAAAGGCTTGCTTTCTCTTCCTTCCTTCCTTCCTTTCTTTCTTTCCTTCTTTTTTTTTTTTTTTTTTTTTTGAAACAGGGTCTCACCCTGTCACCCACGCTAGAGTGCGGTGGTGCCATCACGGCTAACTGCAGCCTAACCCTCCCAGGCTCAAGCGATACTCCCAACCCACCTCAGCCTCCCAAGTAGCTGGGGCTACAGGTACATGCCACCACACCTGGCTAATTTGTTTCTATTTTTGGTAGAGACGAGGTCTTGCTATGTTGCCCAGGCTTGTCTCAAACTCCTGGGCTCAAGCAATCCTCTTGCCTCAGCCTCCCAAAGTGCTGGGATTACAGGTGTGCACCACCATGCCTGGCCTCTCTCTCTCTCTCTCTCTGTCTTTCTCTCTCTTCCTGTCTCTCTGTTTTTTTCCCTTCTCTCTCTCTTTCTTTGTTTCTTTCTTTGTCTCTTTCTTCCTCTCTCTCTCTCTCTCTCTGTCTCTTCCTTTTTCTTTACATATTGAAATTAGATGTGAGGACCCTTGAAGAACTACCTGGACACACTCCATTAGGGAGCACCTAGGGTCAGCTGTTGCAGCGATGTCCTGGGAGCTGGCCTGAATTTGGCATTAATCCTTTTGGATGTCAGGTTCCAGCTCTGCCTTTACCACTTGGTAAACTGAGTCTATTCAGGCAGCCGATGCATTTGTGGGAAACAAAAGCAATGGTGACGGAACTGATGGGAAGGCCCTTGGGTTCCAGATACTCTCATATCAGCACTCACATCTTAAGCCTCACAACATTCCTAAGCATGGACATTACTACCCCCATTTTCCAGAGGGGGAAACTGAGGCTCTGCAAGGAGAAAATGCACCCAGGTCACCCAGCCAACCTCTGGCAGAGGCAGGAGCTGAGCCACACCCAGTGCAGTTTCTGGGTGTCACAGCGGGTGTTCTCTGAATAGTTCTGGGAGCATCCTTTCCCCCGACTGGCTGAGACCCCTAGGGATGTCAGCGTGGATCCCCTCTGGATTATAAGAATGTGAATCAAAGATTCCTCTGTTGTTAGAGAAAGCCCTTTGGCTTCCCTTCAGCCCAGGAACATTGTCAAGTCAAGTGGTAGGATTCGTGCTAATAAAAACAAGTGTCATTTTACAGCACTTTCTATAAATCTGTTAGTGACCTTTAATAAAAATTTATGACCCTAATAATCTTGTTCAGCACACCCTGGTTGGATTACTGCTCGGTGGCCAGTAATCTGCAAACCTTTAAAATGTAGTGACAGCATCCTGGGCCCACGCCAGAGGTCCTGCTCCAAGTGATGGGAATGGCATGCGTAATAATTAGTCCAAACTGCCTTGTGCGGAATGCAAAGCTGTGTTTTTGACAGAGGCCACTGGGCTGGGGATCCTAGAAAGAGCAGGAACTAGAAGACAACAGGGCTTTCCAGAGAGCCCATTAAACCAGCTGTTAACCAAACTTAGCTGCATCTGCCTGATCTTTTCCTTTTGCGCATTTCTGTCCCTCCATGTCATTAGAACAGGATGACAGAAATAAAGGGTGCCCCGTACCCAGCTGTTAAGGACAAAATCCAAAGGCCTCTTCTGAACCCACAGGTGTATTCACACTTTGCTTATGGGCTTGGAAGCTGGAGCGCCAGGAGGTTGGAAAGCTGTACTGACTTGTGTTTTGGGCATCTTGTTTGTTTGTGGTTCTCTCCCAGCAGAAATCTGAGGCTGTGATTTTAACCAGTGGAGGCGTATTATCTCCAATGATCGCCAAGAGTTTGCAGACCCAAAACACCTTATCAATTGTTTGCATGGCTGTCACACTGCATAAAATCATATTGCTTTTGCCCCGAGGCTCTCTAGCAGTCAAATACATACATTTGCATAAATATTACTATGTAACTCAGGACCCTCTGCCCACAGTGCAAACTGCAGGGGCCTCAGTCACTTTGGCTTTATTGATTATTCAGAATTCATGGAAATATGGCATCATGGTGATTTTAAGGAGATGTGCTTTCCTACGGGGTACAGACTCCTTCCGAGGCCACCAGTGTCTTTGGGTCTCTCCTTGACTAAGCAGACAAAAATGTTCATCACCTCACCCCACACTAGGTGGCTTTTGAGCTTCACCACCAGTTTCCTAGTTTGAAGAAGGGGCATTTAGTAAGTCACCAGGGCATCCACCCCAAGCACTAGAATCAAACTGGGATTCTAGGATCACAGACTCCAAACAAGAAGAGACCTTGAGACTGCTAGATCATTTCTGCTCAAAGTGCAGGCCTCTGACCTGCAGTATTGGCATCACCTGGGGACTTTCCATAAATTCCATAAATAAAGACTCTCAGACTCCTCCCTAGGGTGACCAACCATCCTGGTTTGTCCAGGACTAAGAGACTTCCTGGGATGTGGGATTTCGGGGCTGAAACTGGGCCGAGGACTAGACCTACTGAGCTGGAATCTATACTTCGACAAGGGCCGCACATGATCTGTGTGCATGTGGAATTTTGAGAAGTAATGGCCTAGCCCATACTGCCTGAAGGTATATTTGGAAACCGAGGCACAGAGAGGGCCCCAAACCACAGAGCAGTCGATAGCTGAACTGGAACCAGTTCTCCGGACTCCTGGTTTTCTGCCTGCCACTCCACCCCTTTTACCACCACCTCCCGTTGCATTCCAACTCTGCTTTCTTCAGGGAAAAATCCTGATTCGGGAGATTCAAGAGGGATCCTAATATCTTAGGGTATCTCCAGGATAGTGTGATTCAGGCCAGCCTGCTGATCATGCCTGCTGCCCCAGAAGAGAACTCTATTTAGATGAGACATGACCACATTTGGAGCTAAAATGTTCTAGGATCTTGAAATCAAAGGACCTTCGAAGTCATCTGATACACCCTCCCACTCAATGCAGAAAACTCTTTTACAGCCTCCATGCACCAAAGCCAGCTCTCCTTTGGATGTCTGTAGTGATGGGGAAGTCACCACCTCATATGGCAGCAGCTCTGTTGTTGTAAAACACTAATTGTTCTTGTATTCTTTTCCAATATTAGATTTATTTCTGTTCTGGCTGCACCTCCTATGTACCAATCCGGATTCTGCTCTCTGGAGTAGTTTAGAAAGTCCAGGCCTTCTTCCACACGAACATCCTTTAGATATTTAAAAACTAATATCAGGGCCGGGCCCCGTGGCTCACACCTATAATCCCAGCACTTTGGGAGGCCAAGGCAGGCGGATCACCTGAGGTCAGGAGTTCGAGACCAGCCTGACCAACATAGTGGAAACCCCATCTGTACTAAAAATACAAAAAAATTAGCCAGGTGTGGTGGCGGGCGCCTGTAATCCCAGCTACTCCTGAGGCAGAGGCAGGAGAATTGCTTGAACCCGGGAGGCAGAGGCTGCAATGAGCCAAGATCACACCACTGCATTCCAGCCTGGGCAACAAGAGCGAAATTCTGTCTAAAACAACAACAACAACAAAAAACCCAATATCAGGACCAAGACTTACCTTCTCTAAGCCAATCTTTCCCGTTAAAAAAAATGTTGTTCTTTGGGTAAAAATGATATTTAGATGTCACTCCTAGCAGCAACCTCAAACTACCATCTTGGTCATTATCTTCAGAGAGAGAGCCGCCTGGCGATGACCCTTTTAAAGGAAGTCAAGCAGCATCCTCCAGCGAAGGCTAGTTCAGCCCAGCAAAGAGGGCATCATTACCGTGCTGGAATACATACTCGACCTCTCTTAACGCAACCTAATTTTAATTTGGCTTTTTTTATTTTAAGCAACTGCATCACACTCTTAACTCATATTAACCCTGTCAAACGTGCCTCTCAAATTCTCAAATCTTTCTTGCATAAACTACCACCAGGCAAATTCCCAGCTGATCTGTACTTAATTTTCTTTTGAGTCCAGATGCCTGACTTTTATCTATCCTTGAATACCATTTTCTCTATGGCCAGCCCAGTGCTTCCGCCTGTTGGGATTAACTTTGGCTTTTACCTTGTGAATGAATCATCTCTCCCAACTGGACTGACCTCGGGTAACCCACACAAATTTACAGAGCAGCTATGCAGGTGTTCAGGGTCAGAGTACATAAGTGTGGCATGTGTTCCTGTCTCTGGGGGGTGGGGGTGACAATTTGGTTATAAAATGAGGACTCACCTCCAGGGCTCAGAGGCGATGCAAACCATGGCCAGGGTCTCTGGGCACAGTCCCTGAGGGAGCCCTCGTCTAGGGAGGCTGTGGATAGCCCGCATTGAAATTGCCTGGGAACTTGTCAAAAATATTTATGGGTGCCTGGGCCCACTCAGCTCACTGACCCAGAGTCTACGGGAGGGGCCCAGCTCCTGTATTTGTAACTCCCCAGGTGATTCTGACACAAGCCACAGTTTAAAGGGGTGAAAGAGATGAGGTTGAGAGGTGAGCCCCAAACACAGCGTTCAGGGAGGAGCTGGGAGGTGAGGAGAAAGGAGGGTGGAGCGGGGCCCTCTGGACCTGCAGAATAGGAATGGGGTATGGGCTGGGGAGATCTGGGGCCAGGAAGAGGCTCCCAGGAGACTGTGTTGGGCGGAGGTCTGGCCGAGGCTGTACCTCCCAGTCATGCCCTGCTCAGGGAAATCTTGCAGCCTTTCCTTGCTGTAACCCCAAAGATGTGGCCCTGGGTTCAAGACGCCATTCATGTCCTGCCTGGGGTCCCAACAAGTCCTCTTTGGGACAGGAAGAGAAAAGCATTTGGCAAATATCCCCAAACCCTGGTTTCTCAAGGACTGTGGCTTCCCAGAGGGTCCCAGCCCCCAGTTCTGAGAAGGATTCCCCTCCCCTCTTACATTCTGAGCATTTTGTTGTTGGATGTTTGCTTCCTGAGGCTGAATGTAGAGCAGTTGTTCTACCATTTGCAAGCCACGTGACTCAGGACAGATCCTCTAACCTCTCCATCTGTAAGGAGGGGACAGAACAGTGCGGCTCTCCTCGGGTTGTGTGAGCAGTCACGATTGTGCATGATCCACTGAGCGCCTACTGTGTGCTGCCTACTGTATGCTGCCCATTGTGCTGTGCTCCATGCTAGGGGCTGGGGATACAGCAGAAAGCAAGCAGGCGAGGAGCCTGCCCTGAGCTGGGTAAATTCTCATAGTGACAGACAGCAAGCGGAATGCAGGAGGTTGTTAGATGGTGGGATGTGCCATGGAGAAAAATAAATAAAATAGGACCGAGGGATTGGGAGTTTGAAGTGCAGAAGGGGTGGGGGGGTACAATTTTAAAAAGGAGGTCAAGGAAGGTGACAACTGAGCAAAGACTTGAAGGAGGTGAAGGAGGCAGCCCTTAGGATATCTGGGAAAGAATCTTGTGGGATGGGAACAGCTACTGCAAAGGCCCTGAGGCAGGGGCACGCCTGGGGGCAAGAGTCAGTTTAAAGTGACCTGGTGGATAATGTGCAGAGAAGCTGCTCAAAATTCTCATGATGGGCTCTCTTTACCGGTGTTGTCATTCCTGGTAGAGTCACAGGATTTCACTTCTCAAGCACGGGGCAGTTAGGGCATGATTCGGGAGTTAGATCGATCTGGGTTTGAATCCCAACTCTAATTCTCAAGCTGTGTGACCATGACCAAGTCGCTTAACCTCTCTGAACCTTTACCCGATGGTGACAACAATGAGACCTATAGTTCAAGTTTATTGTGGGGATCAAATGCACAGAAGCATGGAGCTGACTCTAACGTGCAGGACATTGGTGAGCCTCTGTGAGCTGCCCGCGTTGCCCTCCTATCTTACAGGCTGGGAGGCCACACCCCAATGCCACAGGCCATGTGCCTAAGGTCACGCGGCACCAGGAGGTCGGAAGCCAGGATGGGGCCCCAGCAGCCACCCTGTGGCCACTGAGCGCCCCCACCCCTGCCCACCCCTGCACTATCTGTCCTCGTTCAGTGATTTCTTTTTAGAAAGGAAACAACAGCCCTTGATTTTGAAAATAGATCAGAGTTCTTTACCTCCAATGAGGTTGTCTCAGTTGTTTATTTTGCATAGTAAGAAAGGAGCTTGAAATTTACCCAGAAGACTGGAGAGAGTCCTGGACTGCTGGAGGTTTTTGGCCACCAGTTCGTGTCTGCCTGTCTCCCCATCTTGTTCCTTCTAACGGCAGCTCTCCTACTCAGAGCACGCTGCTGGATCTGGGGTTGAAGGGGTCTGGGCTGCCACTGGGGGACACGTTAACTTAGGCAAGGAGCCCCTTTCCCTCGACCTCTGTAGAATAGTTACCTTCACTTGTCCTGCTGAGCCCTCGGGCTTTTTATAAAGACCAGAAATGGTCCCTGTGAAAGTCTCCAGTCAGTAGCTCATGGGCAGAGCATTCTGATGGCGTGGCACTTCAGTGGGACTTCCTGATGCAGACTGCAGCCCAGGCTGACACGCCGAGTGCGGGAAACCCCAGAAGGATGCGTTCTCACCCAGCCTTTCCCTGCTACCTGGCTTCTGGGGGATTTTTATGAAGAAAGGGCAGTCTCAGGGACGCACCCAGCCCCCTCAGCCTCCAGAGATGTCTCTGAATCACCCAAAGACATAATATTGTGGTGTCTGAGAGGCCCAGGCTGAAATTCCCCACCACTGCTCACCAGCTGGATGACTTTGAGCCAGTGGCATTACCTCTCTGCCTCAGTTTCCTCATCTATAAAATAGGGAGAATGCCTAACTCCTCTGACCATTGTGAGGACTGCTGGACAATGTCCAACAAGGAGTAGGTGTTGGTGGAGACCACCTCGGAGGTGGTCCTGCCCAGTCCCTTCATTCTCCAGACAGAGAAACTGAGGCCCAAGAGAGGAAACACAGTCAGCCAGAGGCCAAGCAGGATCTCCTGGGTATCCAAGGCTCTGAGCCCCAGTGAGGATGGGAACTCTGCCTGGACCCTTACAGGAATCTAAAGGAGTGGAAGAAATAGTCCTGGTTGCCTGGTAACTCCACTAAAGTGGGAAGCCTGGAAAACATCAGGTGGTGGAATTTTAAAACTCAGAGAGTCGTGGGGGCAGAACACTGTGTTCCTGAAAGGGCTAGAGAGCCTCCCCTGGCCAGCCGTCACTACCCAGGCTCTGCAGAAAAGCAGGTCTCAGGGCGGGGCTTCGTGCCTCTCTGCCACTTCCGGGCACTCCTCCAGTGGAGCAAGAGGAAACACATGTAGGGGCCTCCGGAGCTGGAGGGACTGAGCCTCCTTCATTCATCCATTGGCCTGTTCTCTGGGCTTCCACCCATCTTACTATGTGCTCAGCTGACAGAGAAGATGGAATCTGCTCAAAGTTTCCTTATCTGGTGTATGCATAGAAATCCCTTACTGAACAAGAGGCCGCAGGACTTGCACCTGTGAGAGCTGGGCACCACCAGCCTCTGGGCAGGCGTCCTGGAAGAAGAGGGATTGGTTGGGCATTGGTGGGGTGTGGAGAGTACAATGACTTACTGAAGCAACTCAGTGCCAATCAGTACCTGGGGTATCAGGGAGAAGGAAAACAGTGTTGTAGAGAGAGACAGAAAGGAACTCTGGGCTCAGAGGAGCAAGGTTCCAGGTCTGGCATCTGGCTCAAGGCCAGGGGTGGTTATGCTTTTACCCCCGAAGGAAACAGTTGCTGCCCGTGCCCACTCTGGTCATCTCTCTCCGTTGTGGCCAAGTCTCTGCTTTTAAAAGCAGCGTAGTAGCAGGGAGCTGTAGGGCCAGGGGAGAGGGAATGTCTGACCCACCAAAACCGATAGCACTTCTGAGTTAGTGTATTTGGGGACTCCGTGCCCAGGGGACTCAGGTAGGGCAGCCAGGGGTGCTGCATGCTGCAGGAAAGCTCTAAGCAGGTGAACTCGATTCTGTCCCTGTGGCGCCACAGACTTTTTAAAACCAAAAGCAAGTTCTTAAGTGTATCTGACTCTTGCTTTCTTTCCCTATGAAATGCATAGTGAGGGGCATTCAGGATATCCCTAAGAAGACTCTTCCACCCTAAAGAATCCCTCTCTAGGTTTTTCTGATGAGGACAGAAGCAGAGCCCTTCTCTGGTCTAGTGGAGCAGCCCTGGTCTCTTTTTCCTTCTGTGATTGATCTCCCTCTGCTGCCAGCTCTGATACCAGCTTATCCCCTGCTGGAGGCGGGCAAGACTCCCAGAATGAGAGGTGACACCATGCCTGTGACTCCTTCAGGAGCTTAGATGCCAGGAGGGGAGCTGAGCCTAAATTTTAGGAAGAAATTGAGATTTGGCATGCCCTCCAAGCAACCTCAAATGCAGTTTCAGCTGTAAATTCCCACACATCTTTGCTTTTGTTCATTGATTCAGGCAGTAGTTATAGAGTCCTAGTAGGTGCCAGGCACTGTGAATGTGCTGGGGGTACAACGGGCAAAACCAGATAAGGGTCTCTCCCAGCCCAGCCAGGAGGCAGCCCCTATTCCAGGAACCCCACAGTTACGTGTCAAGTTGTGCTTGCTGAGAGATAGGTGCATGCCGTGCACAGAGCTGTGGGAGGTTAGTAAGGGACAGCAGGGACAGCCCAGCCAGCATGCTCAGGAAAGGCTTCCCCAAGAAGTGACACTGAATGGAGGTCTGAAGGATGAAGAGGAGTTAGCTAGGCTGAGGGAAGACTACAGAGACAGAGAGCTCAGCCTGTGCAAAGGGCCTGTGGCCAGAGCTCCATAAGCAAGAAGGGCATGGTGCAGGCTGAGGTGCGTGGGTGCCAGGCAGGAGCTGTATGGATTTTATTCTTCATCCTCAATGCAAAGGGAAGCTTCAGGGGGCTCAGAGCAGGGTAGCAGGTATATGCAGTGACATGGATCAATTTTCATTCCTCAAAGATCAGATGGTAAAGGGATGGGGTGGACAGGAAGCCCAACAGGGAGCCACCATGGTTGCCTAGGCTGGAGATGCTAGTGGCTCAGAGGAGGAGACAGCAGTGGCAGGAACAAAGAGGAGCAGCTGGGTCTGAGAGCACCTTTGACATTGGTGATGGAGTGGGTTGGGGGAGGTGTCCAAATAGCTCCCAGGTTTCTGGATAGGCATGGGGGCAGTTGCTTGTGCCTTTTCCTGAGATGGGAGGGACTGGAGGAAGACCAGAATTGGTAGAAAAAAAGATCAATGTTTCCTTCTTTCCCAAATCAGGCAAAGGTGGCTTTCTCTATTGCCTTCCCTTTTCAAGGCACCCGCTAGATCAAATACCTTGCTCTTGTGTTTCCAACAATCTTTTATCATCTCTCTTACCTCTGAGAACACGCATATTAAAAATGCGCCCAACAGACCCAGATCCCAGGCTCACAAAAGTGTTTTGGTGAATAGGATTAGTTCCTAAGTCCCAACAAACCTTGTGGGGCCATGCCAGGAGGAGGGGAGCTGTGTAACCTGCGGAAAAGCCGAATCCCATGACCAAGGAGCCTTCCAGAGGTGCCTTCGAGTGACACACTGTTGTTGCTGCAGACAAATCTTTCAGAAAAGGAACTCCAGCCTTTGTGAGTAGTTTAATTGCCCTGGAGTTGGGGGCCAGGCGAGAGGGGCTTTGATTTGTGGGAGAGGGGGTATGTGGTGCAGGTCTCCTTGGGGACCCCAGAAGCTACTCTGTTGTTAAGGATAAACCAAATCCTCTCAGCCGCTGACCACTTTAGTGTGAGACCCCAGGGGGCTTCCAGGAAGTGGTTTCTAATGATCTTCTCATTAGAAACATGCTGCGGGGGTGACAGCTGCAGGTGATAAAAGGAAAAGGGAGCAGGGTGCCGGCTCTGGAGCTCAGTGATTCTGGGTTGCCATCCCCACAAAAACACTCCCTGGCTCTTAGACTCTGCTCAGCCTCCCTGAGCCTCTATTTCCGCACCTGTCAGATGGGGGTAATGGCACTACTGAGATTCTGGGGTGGACATGAGCAGTCAACGAGGCCACTTGTAAGATGCTTGCTGTCCTGTGGGGTCGCAGGCTTTGGGGTTAGTTGGCATCATTGTTAAACAATATCAGTGACCCCAAGGCATTCTTTCACTCCTAAGGACAGAGCAGGAAACATACAAAGATAGAGGAGACCTGACCCTGTCTTCGAAGAGTCCAAAGTCTTCTGAAAGAGATGGGTGTGTCTTAGTAGTCCCTGCCTCCCCAGGGGAAGCCCCATGCCAGGAAGGTGTCTGGGAGGTGGTCCTTGCCATATCCTGAAAACAAGGTGTGTGGCTCAGTGGGCTCAGCTTGGACCCCCTCTATGCCGCTGTCTGCACTCCCCTCCTGCAGCTCTGCTTTTGTTTCTAGTGCCCATGCTGCCAGAAACTCTTCTCTAGCAGGCCCCCAGAGGGTTACTGGAGTCGCCTTGGCAGTACCTGCAGAGAACCAAAACCACCTGGGAGCGTGTGGTCACTCTGGTGCGGGGCCCCTTAGGAAGTGACTGGTGGGTATGGGTCCCTGGGCTGGACCACTGCTGAAATGTGACCTACCCCAGAGCTCCCCCTCAGCATCAGGCTTGCAGCTGCCCTACTAGAGTCATGCTTGAGGCCATACCTTTTTTGCTTCATTCTTCTCCCAGGGCCTGTTTTTCCCCTGTCCCTGGCTGGTGTCCCCTGGGAGTGCTCCCATTGTAAATTCCCCCATCTTAGGGTCAGCAGGAAGTGTAACTGTGTTCCCATTTCCAGATGAGGGAACTGAGGATTGGGAAGTTTCAGCCACTTTCTTTTATTATTATTATTATTATTATACTTTAAATTCTAGGGTGCACAATGTACAGGTTTGTTACATATTTATACATGTGCCATGTTGGTGTGCTGCACCCGTTAACTCGTCATTTACATTAGGTATATCTCCTAATGCTATCCCTCCCCCCTCCCCCCACCCCAAAACAGGCCCCGGTGTGTGATGTTCCCCTTCCTGTGTCCAAGTGTTCTCATTGTTCAATTCCCACCTATGAGTGAGAACATGCAATGTTTGGTTTTTCGTCCTTGTGATACTTTGCTGAGAATGATGGTTTCCAGCTTCATCCATGTCCCTACAAAGGACATGAACTCATCATTTTTTATGGCTACATGGTATTCCATGGTATATATGTGCCACACTTTCTTAATCCAGTCTATCATTGATGGACATTTGGGTTGGATCCAAGTCTTTGCTATTGTGAATAGTGCCGCAATAAACATACGTGTGCATATGTCTTTATAGCAGCATGATTTATAGTCCTTTAGGTATATACCCAGTAATGGGATGGCTGGGTCAAATGGTATTTCTGGTTCTAGATCCTTGAAGAACCGCCACACAGTCTTCCACAATAGATGAACTAGTTTACACTCCCACCAACAGTGTAAAAGTGGTCCTATTTCTCTACATCCTCTCCAGCACCTGTTGTTTCCTGACTTTTTAATGATTTCCATTCTAACTGGTGTGAGATGGCATCTCATTGTGGTTTTGATTTGCATTTCTCTGATGGCCAGGGATGATGAGCATTTTTTCATGTGTTTTTTGGCTGCATAAATGTCTTCTTTTGAGAAGTGTCTGTTCATGTCCTTCGCCCACTTTTTGATGGGGTTGTTTGTTTTTTTCTTGTAAATTTGTTTGAGTTCTTTGTAGATTCTGGATATTAGCCCTTTGTCAGATGAGTAGGTTGCAAAAATTTTTTCCCATTCTGTAGGTTCCCTGTTCACTCTGATGGTAGTTTCTTTTGCTGTGCAGAAGCTCTTTAGTTTAATTAGATACCATTTGTCAATTTTGGCTTTTGTTGCCATTGCTTTTGGTATTTTAGACATGCCTATGCCTATGTCCTGAATGGTACTGCCTAGGTTTTCTTCTAGGGTTTTTATGGTTTTAGGTCTAACATTTAAGTCTTTATTCCATCTTGATTTAATTTTTGTATAAGGTGTAAGGAAGGGATCCAGTTTCAGCTTTCTACATATGGCTAGCCAGTTTTCCCGGCACCATTTATTAAATAGGGAATCCTTTTCCCATTTCTTGTTTTTGTCAGGTTTGTCAAAGATCAGATGGTTGTAGATGTGTGGTATTATTTCTGAGAGCTCTATTCTGTTCCATTGGTCTATATCTCTCTTTTGGTACCAGTACTATGCTGTTTTGGTTACTGTAGCCTTGTAGTATAGTTTGAAGTCAGGTAGTGTGATGCCTCCAGCTTTGTTCTTTTGGCTTAGGATTGACTTGGCAAAGCAGGTTCTTTTTTGGTTCCACATGAACTTTAAAGTAGTTTTTTCCAATTCTGTGAAGAAAGTCATTGGTAGCTTGATAGGAATGGCATGGAATCTATAAATTACCTTCGGCAGTATGGCCATTTTCACGATATTGATTCTTCCTATCCATGAGCATGGAATGTTCTTCCATTTGTTTGTGTCCTCTTTTATTTCATTGAGCAGTGGTTTGTAGTTCTCCTTGAAGAGGTCCTTCACTTCCCTTGTAAGTTGGATTCCTAGGTATTTCATTCTCTTTGAAGCAACTGTGAATGGGAGTTCACTCATGATTTGGCTCTCTGTTTGTCTGTTATTGGTGTATAAGAATGCTTGTGATTTTTGCGCATTGATTTTGTATCCTGAGACTTTGCTGAAGTTGCTTATTCAGCTTAAGGAGATTTTGGGCTGAGATGATGGGGTTTTCTAGATATACAGTCATGTCATCTGCAAACAGAGACAATTTGACTTCCTCTTTTCCTAATTGAATACCCTTTATTTCTTTCTCCTGCCTGATTGCCCTCGCCAGAACTTCCAACACTATGTTGAATAGGAGTGGTGAGAGAGGGCATCCTTGTCTTGTGCCAGTTTTCAGAGGGAATGCTTCCAGTTTTTGCCCATTCAGTATGATATTGGCTGAGGGTTTGTCCTAAACAGCTCTTATTATTTTAAGATAAGTCCCATCAATACCTACTTTATTGAGAGTTTTCAGCATGAAGGGCTGTTGAATTGTGTCAAAGGCCTTTTCTGCACCTATTGAGATAATCATGTGGTTTTTGTCTTTGGTTCTGTTTATATGCTGGGTTACGTTTATTGATTTGTGTATGTTGAACCAGCCTTGCATCCCAGGAATGAAGCCCACTTGATCATGGTAGATAAGCTTTTTGATGTGCTGCTGGATTTGGTTTCCCAGTATTTTATTGAGGATTTTTGCATCAATGTTCATCAGGGATATTGGTCTAAAATTCTCTTTTTCTGTTGTGTCTCTGCCAGGCTTGGTATCAGGATGATGCTGGCCTCATAAAATTAGTTAGGGAGGATTCCCTCTTTTTCTATTGATTGGAATAGTTTCAGAAGGAATAGTACCAGCTCCTCCTTGTACCTCTGGTAGAATTCGGCTGTGAATCCGTCTGGTCCTGGACTTTTTTTGGTTGGTAAGCCATTAATTATTGCCTCAATTTCAGAGCCTGTTATTGGTCTATTCAGAGAATCAACTTCTTCCTGGTTTAGTCTTGGGAGGGTGTATGTATCCAGGAATTTATCCATTTCTTCTAGATTTTCTAGTTTATTTGTGTAGAGGTGTTTCTTGTATTCTCTGATGGTATTTTGTATTTCTGTGGGATCGCTGGTGATATCCCCTTTATCATTTTTTATTGCATCTATTTGATTCTTCTCTCTTTTCTTCTTTATTAGTCTTGCTAGAAGTCTATCAATTTTGTTGATCTTTTCAAAAAAACAGCTCCTGGATTCATTGATTTTTTGAAGGGTTTTTTGTGTCTCTATCTCCTTCAGTTCTGCTCTGATCTTAGTTATTTCTTGCCTTCTGCTAGCTTTTGAATGTGTTTGCTCTTGCTTCTCTAGTTCTTTTAATTGTGATGTTAGGGTGTTGATTTTAGATCTTTCCCGATTTCTCTTATGGGCATTTAGTGCTATAAATTTCCCTCTACACACTGCTTTAAATGTGTCCCAGAGATTCTGGTATGTTGTGTCTTCATTCTCATTGGTTTCAAAGAACATCTGTATTTCTGCCTTCATTTCGTTATGTATCCAGTAGTCATTCAGGAGCAGGTTGTTCAGTTTCCATGTAGTTGAGCAGTTTTGAGTGAGTTTCTTAATTCTGAGTTCTAGTTTGATTGCACTGTGGTCTGAGAGACAGTTTGTTATATAATTTCTGTTATTTTACATTTGCTGAGGAGTGCTTTACTTCCAACTATGTGATCAATTTTGGAATAAGTGCGATGTGGTGCTGAGAAGAATGTATATTCTGTTGATTTGGGGTGGAGAGTTCTGTAGATGTCTATTAGGTCCACTTGGTGCAGAGCTGAATTCAATTCCTGGATATCCTTGTTAACTTTCTGTTTTGTTGATCTGTCTAATGTTGACAGTGGGGTATTAAAGTCTCCCATTATTATTGTGTGGGAGTCTAAGTCTCTTTGTAGGTCTCTAAGGACTTGCTTTATGAATCTGGGTGCTCCTGTATTGGGTGCATATATATTTAGGATAGTTAGCTCTTCTTGTTGAATTGATCCCTTTACCATTATGTAATGGCCTTCTTTGTCTCTTTTGATCTTAGTTTGTTTAAAGTCTGTTTTATCAGAGACTAGGATTGCAACCCCTGCCTTTTTTTGTTTTCCATTTGCTTGATAGATGTTCCTCCATCCCTTTATTTTGAGCCTATGTGTGTCTCTGCACATGAGATGGGTTTCCTGAATACAGCACACTGATGGGTCTTGACTCTTTATCCAATTTGCCAGTCTGTGTCTTTTAATTGGAGGATTTATCCCATTTACATTTAAGGTTAATATTGTTATGTGTGAATTTGATCCTGTCATTATGATGTTAGCTGGTTATTTTGCTCATTAGTTGATGCAGTTTCTTCCTAGCATCGATGGTCTTTACAATTTGGCATGTTTTTGCAGTGGCTGGAACCAGTTGTTCCTTTCCATGTTTAGTCCTTCCTTCAGGAGCTCTTTTAGGGCAGGCCTGGTGGTGACAAAATCTCTCAGCATTTGCTTGTCTGTAAAGGATTTTATTCCTCCTTCACTTATGAAGCTTAGTTTGACTAGATATGAAATTCTGGGTTGAAAATTCTTTTCTTTAAGAATGTTGAATATTGGCCCCCACTCTCTTCTGGCTTGTAGAGTTTCTGCCGAGAGATCCGCTGTTAGTCTGATGGGCTTCCCTTTGTGGGTAACGCGACCTTTCTCTCTGGCTGCCCTTAACATTTTTTCCTTCATTTCAACTTCGGTGAATCTGACAATTATGTGTCTTGGAGTTGCTCTTCTCGAGGAGTATCTTTGTGGCATTCTCTGTATTTCCTGAATTTGAATGTTGGCCTGCCTTGCTAGGTTGGGGAAGTTCTCCTGGATAATATCCTGAAGAGTGTTTTCCAACTTGGTTCCATTCTCCCCCTCACTTTCAGGTACACCAATCAGATGTAGATTTGGTCTTTTCACATAGTCCCATATTTCTTGGAGGCTTTGTTCTTTTCTTTTTACTCTTTTTTCTCTAAACTTCTCTTCTTGCTTCATTTCATTCATTTGATCTTCAATCATGGATACCCTTTCTTCCAGTTGATCAAATCGGCTACTGAAGCTTGTGCATTTGTCACATAGTTCTCATGCCATGGTTTTCAGCTCCATCAGGTCATTTAAGGACTTCTCTACACTGGTTATTCTAGTTAGCCATTCGTCTAATCTTTTCTCAAGGTTTTTAGCTTCTTTGTGATGGGTTCGAACTTCTCCTTTAGCTCAGAGAAGTTTGATCATCTGAAGCCTTCTTCTCTCAACTCGTCAAAGTCATTCTCCGTCCAGCTATGTTGCATTGCTGGTGCGGAGCTGCGTTCCTTTGGAGGAGAAGAGGTGCTCTGATTTTTAGAAGTTTCAGCTTTTCTGCTGTTTTTTCCCCATCTTTGTGGTTTTATCTACCTTTTGTCTTTGATGATGGTGACGTACAGATGGGGTTTTGGTGTGAATGTCCTTTCTGTTTGTTAGTTTTCCTTCTAACATTCAGGACCCTCAGCTGCAGGTCTGTTGGAGTTTGCTGGAGGTCCACTCCAGACCCTGTTTGCCTGGGTATCACCAGCAGAGGCTGCAGAACAGCGAATATTGCTGAACAGCATATGTTGCTGCCTGACAGTTCCTCTGGAAGTTTCATCTCAGAGGGGTACCCAGCTGTGTGAGGTGTCAGTCTGCCCCTACTAGCAGGTGCCTCCCAGTTAGGCTCCTTGGGGGTCAGGGACCCACTTGAGGAGGCAGTCTGTCCATTCTCAGATCTCAAACTCTGTGCTGGGAGAACCACTACTCTCTTCAAAGCTGTCAGACAGGGACATTTAAGTCTGCAGAGGTTTCTGCTGCCTTTTGTTCGGCTATGCTCTGCCCCCAGAGGTGGAGTCTACAGAGGCAGGCAGGCCTCCTTGAGCTGCGGTGGGCTCCACCCAGTTCAAGCTTCCAGGCCGCTTTGTTTACCTACTCAAGCCACAGCAATGGCAGGCCCCCCTCCCCAAGCCTCGCTGCCGCCTGGCAGTTTGATCTCTGACTTCAGCCACTTTCTTGAATGCCCCACCACTGGTGGTAGCTGAGGCATGCCTTGGACCTGTCATGATTTGCCTCCAAAGGCAGAGGGAGACATCAATTTCCAAAAAAGGGCAAAGGAAGGGGCAACAAATTGTAATGTTTAGACATGAGGGTGGGTGGTGACCCTGTGTAGCTCAGGGAAGCTCAAGTGGGAATTTTCAGATGGAGAAGGTGGGAATGGCATTGTAGGAAGAGGGAACGGCATGTGCAAAGGCACAGGGGTGTAAAAGGCACTGCTTGTTGGTGGAACTTCTGTGACCCCGTCTTCCAGCCTCATCATATTTCTCCTGACTGCTTCCCTGCTTCCACCTGAGTCTCTCCAACTTATTCTCCAAACAGAAGCAGCCAAAGATGTCTTTTAAGAATGTAAATATGATCATGTCTCACTGAGCATCTTCTCCAAAAACAAAAACAAACAAGCAATAAAACCTTTCAGTGGCTTCCTCTCCCATTTGGAAAAAAAAACCCAAACCCCTTTCCATGTCCAGCCAGCCGCTGGCCTCATCTCTTTCCCTGCTCCCCTTCACTCACTCCAGCCCCTGGCTGACTCTGTCCTCTGAAAGCTTGCTCCTGCCCCAGGGCCTTAGCATTTGCTGTGCCCTCTTCTAGGGGAAGAAACTCCCTTCCTCCGGAACTTCCCAGGGCTGGCTTCTTCTTGTCCTTGAGGTCTCAGTTTATGCCATGTCTTAGAGAAGTCACACCTCAGCACATTGCCCTGTTGGTTCCTTCAAAACACTTGTAACATCTCTAGTCATCAGACTGGTGCCATTGTTTTCTTGTCCATTTTGCATCTCTCCACTAGAATTTGAGCTGTGTGAGGTCAGGGACCTTATCTCTCTCACCTCCTCATCCCAAGTGCCTTTAGCAGTGCCTGACACAAAGTAGGTGCTCCTGAAAAATTACTGCATTTGACTGGTGTGTGCGGAAGGCCCAGAGGTTGGGCAGGAGCCAGGGTGAGGTGGTGAAAGGCCTTGAATGTCTAGGTACAGCATTTGGACATCGTCCTCTGAGTAAGAAGGAGCTCCCAGTGGAGGTCATATTCTCAGCCAGTTCCTGAGGGGAAAGGAAGGAAAGATACAACATCTGCAGAGTGCTCTGGGATGTTGAGAGCTAGACAGGTTGGCTGTCAATCCTGAAATGGGCTGCTCACTTCTCCCCATGCTCAGTCCCTGACCCCATCCTGTCTTAAGGGGTACAAAAGAGAAATGATGCGATGAAGTGGGGCTGGACCCCTGGTTGACACCCTTGGGTCCTTCACACCTTCCCACACATCAAGGCCTTCATCTCTTTAGTCCCCAGCAACTTCCTCACCACCTTTTTCACCCCCTACCTTCCCTCCTCCAAACTCCCAGCCATCCCCACTGCCTCTGAAATAAGTCAGACACCTATTCAAGTTTCTCCAGGACAGACCTTTCCCCACCCCTGTGGACGCTGAAGACTTATTCTGTTTGGACTCATCAATCCAGGGATTGTTTTCCCCGCTCTCTCAGCTATGTTCTCCAAGAGAAGAAACGTTTTGTCCTCTCAAGGCATTGGATTGTAAAGTGTTATTAAATATACCAAGGAATGGTAAATAAAGCATCGATGAAGAAGGAGGAGGCACGTTGAATTGGGTAGATTTTTAAAATCAGGTTTCCACAGTTTATTATGAGGGAGGTTTTCTCTTGTTACTCCTGAAAGCAAATTTTGAGTCAGCCTGCTTCAAAGGAAGGAAGGAACTTCTCTTAGTAGGAAGAAATAGAGAGAAAGAATCACTTCTGAAATGGTTAAGTGGGAAGGTGGAATTAGTGTAGGCAGGTGACTCCACGTAAGTCCAGGGACATGGGGCCTGTTCTTCTTCGACTGATGTGTGTAGCCATCACCTGGGCTCTTGTACTGTGGATTTGATGGGCTCTGGGACCTGGCATTTCTACTAATTGCCAGGCAATGATGATGCTGCTGTTCCAGGGACCATACTTTGAGTAGCAAGGGTCTGGATGACTGGAGTACAGTGGCTTGCAACCAGGTTAGGTTCTTCTGAAGCACCCAGGGAATTTACAAAATAGAATTTACTTGGTCCCAACCTGGGGGATTCTGATTGAGCAGGTCTGGAGGGAGGCCCAAGAATTTGCATTTCTAACAAGCTTCCAAGCTGCTGTTCTTGGTGCAGGGGCGTTGACAAACTCAGAGGCACAGCTGTCTTAACAGGTTTCAAATCCCAATAGGAGAGGGAGGAGAGTGGAGGGGGTTGAGAAAGGGAAGAGCAGAGTTAAGCGACAGAGGGATTGGTGTAGTTGAGAGTGAATGAGAGACAGCACATAGCTTGTCATTTCCATTTGACCAGCAGTATTTCATATTATGTCTTGACCTCTGCGCAAGCTGGTTATTCATGTTTTGCCAGGCATATGTGCTTTTATTGACTAGTTCCTGCTTGTAGGAAAGCTCACGTGGAAGCATCCTGTGCTCTTCTGGCATTTTTAAACTGTGCAGGTCTTCCAAGCACCTTCCAGGCTGAGAGGCCCCCGCTGACAGCCCCTACAATAGTGATGTGGAGATGAGGAGGCCACACACCAGTCACTGCGATAGTATTTCTCTAAATGTGGTTTGTGGACAGCTTCAGCAGAATCTCTTGGGCGTTGTGAAAATGCAGTTTCCTTGGCCCAAGGCCTTGTGACTCTCCAGGGAGCCCCAGAGTCTGCGTTTTTTTTTTTTTTTACCAGCTTCCCAAGAGATTTCAATACACTGAGGACCACTCCCCTATGGAGACAGCCTCCCAAAACCCTGCACACCACACAGTTCCAAGCACTCCTGTTACCACTTTCCTCCTGGGACCTTCTGCACTAGATTGCACAGGATAAATCTATGCTGGAGGGAGGCGGATCCATAGGTTCTCCTTTCTTAGCTTTTTGGAATCCCCTCTTCCACATCTTCCTGGGAGGTCCCCACCCTTTCTTTCAGGACCTGCACCCTCCAGGCAGCCTCTCAACCCATACCTATGTCTCCTCCACTTCGCTCGTCTATGTTCATTTCCCGCCTCATCCACTCGGATGCTCAGCCTGTACAGCCTGGAAACTCTGTTGTCTCCTCCTTGAGTCAGCCAGCCACTAATTGAGCAAATATTTATCAAGACCTTTTATGTGTCCGGTTCTAAGTAGGCCCTGGGTTACAAGATGAACCGATACTGCCCTAGAGAAGCTCACAGTCTAGTGTGGGGGACAGACAGAGGCACGGATACAGTAATAAAAATACCCTAGTAAGGACTCTGGAGTCAGGCTGCCAGGGTTTAAGTTCCGAGTCCACCCTCAATATCTGTTACCTTGGGCAAGTATCTTATCCTCTCTATGTTCCACTTTTCTCATCTTTAAAAAAGGGAGAACAACAAAGCCTGCCTCAGAGGGTTTGTGGGAGGGACAAGTAAGAGAATGAGTACAGAATGCCTAACTCATTTCCAGGAGCCAAGTAAGAGTTCAGCAATAATGAGGTTGATGCTGTGTAGGAAGGAATGACTCCTCAATCTGCCTAAAATTATCAAGAAGGCCTCACAGAAGAAGGGGGTATTGGAAGTGGAGGGACAGGATGAGAAAAAATGTGTTGAGTAGAGAAAGGAGAGGAAGGGCAATCCAGGAAGCAGGAACAGTATAGAACACGAGAAAAAGTGCTGTAGGGTCTGCTCAGCAAAGCTGGAGGGTGGAGGATATCGTAGGCTATAGTAAGACGTAGGCTGGAGACTCTCACTAAGCCTAGGTTTCCCCCTCTGAAAAGGGAGGGCAATAATGGCACATGCCTTATGGAGATAGAGTGAAGATTAGATCAAGTAATCATGGGAGCTCAGTATGCTACACTCAGTAAGGGTTAGCTGGGGCTGCTGTTATTGAGGCTAAGAAATACTCGTTGGTGAGTGACTAAGGTGCACATATTTACATCCAGGGATTCTGCCTTTGGCGGAGCATTCTGGAAACTGCATTGGGAGTTCCCTTGTGGGTAAGTGGATCAATTCCCCCTTGAGGCCCTGCCTGGTTTCTGACGCCCCCCAAGTGGGTCCCTCAACTCAGGCACCTTCCCTCCCCATCCTGCCCTGTCTCCATCAGGTGTGGTTGAGTCCTTTGGACTCTTCAGAAAGCAAATTCACCCACAGCCAATGAAGACTGGGCACTTTGAAGTCTTGGAAACAATGTTTCCAGGATGAGGTGATGGGCTGCAGCAGATAAGAGTGGCTGCGTGGCTTTCACATAAGCAAAGGGGGGTCATTGGTGGCTGGCCTGGTGAGCATGCCACACCTCATGGAGGAGCCGTGCAGGCCTGCTGCTCTGGGGCTTGCCTTAGAAATACCTATCTGAGAACTCTTCCCTTTAAATTTATTTTTTCACTTTGACTTTTTTATTGAGGTGGGATACACATAACATAAAATGTACCATCTTAGCAGTTTTTAGGTGTACAGTTCAGTGGTCTCAAGTGTATTCATATAGCTGTGAAACTATCACCACCATCCATCTCCAGAACTTTTTCACCTTCCTTAACTGAAACGCTGTACCCATTAAACACTAAATCCCTGTTCTCCCCAAGCCCCCAGGAACCACCACTCACTTTCTGTCCCTATGACTTTGACTGCTGTACATACCTCATGAGTGGAACCACACAGTATTTGTCCTCTTGCGACCGGCTTATTTCACTCAGCATAACATCCTCAACATTCATCCTTTGGATTTCCTTTCTTTTTGAGGCCGAACAATATTCAACTGTGTGTGTATACTGCATTTTGTTTCTGCATTCATCCACTGATGGACACTTGCGTTGTTCCCATATTTTGGCTATTGTGAATAATGCTGCCACAAACATGGGTGTGCAAATATCTGTTTGTGTCCCTGCTTTCAATTCTTTTTGGTATATACTCAGGAATGGGATTGCTGTATCACGTGGTGATTCTAAGTTTAAGTTTTCAAGGAATCGTCATGCTGGTTCTGTCTCTCTACATACAGTACTTATGCACCAAGACCTCCCTGGATTCAGGGCGCCCTGTAACATCAATGCATGGTGTTATAATGACACTTAAGTGACTAAGCCATAGCTAAAGTCTAGTTTTCTTTGTGTGTTTTAAAGATCTTGCCTTATAGCCTCACCTCATTTCTGACTCCTGCAGAGGACTGCCCATCATTTTATTTTCTCTGATGTAGCTAGGGAAGGGTGGTGGACTTCACTTGAAAATGGTGAAAACCTTTCTGCTTGAGGATGGCCCAGGTGTCTGCCCCTCTGATCTGGGGCTCAGGGACTCCCTCTGGGCCACGTGGTGGGGTCATCAGCCCAGAGAAGCTGATTTATACCAGCCAGGCCACATCTGGGGCTGAGGTGGGCAGAAGAAGGCCTATTTATTTGTTTGCCACAAAAAATAGCCCCATTATCTGGAATAGAATAGTCTCCCCTTGAAGCCTCAGGCTCCATACATATCCAAATCAGAAGAGGAGACTATTGTACTGATTTGCCAGGGACCCATCATCACCCCAAACAGAAACCTGAACCTGGTATAGTCCATTCTCTTCTAGTTCACAAGGTTAATGGGCATCAGAAGACAGCACCAAATTGAAACAGGGGAGTAAGACAGATGGAGCATGACTGGCATTAAGCTAAAGAACTGCATCTCACAATGGACAAAGGCTTTCCAGAAGGTTATAATCCTTGACACTAGCTAAATCTACTACCACCTTCATCCATTCATCCATCCATCTATCCATCCATCCATCCATCCATCCATCCATTCATACATGCATTCACCCATCCATCCATCCATCCATCCATTCACCCTTCCATCCACCCATCTACCACCCAGCCATTCACCCACCCTTCCATCCACCTATACATCCATATCCCCCCATCCATCCACCCATGAACCCATCTGTGTTACTCCATTTTCATGTGGCTGAGAAAGACATATCCAAGACTGGGCAATTTACAAAAGGAGGAGATTTATTGGACTTACAGTTCCATGTGGCTGGGGAGGCCTCACAATCATGGTGGAAGGTGAAAGGCACATCTCACGTGGCAGCAGACAAGAGAAGAGAGCTTATGCAGGGAACCTCCCCTTTTTAAAACCATCAGATCTTGTGAGACTTATTCACTATCATGAGAACAGAACAGCATGGGAAAGACCTGCCCCCATGATTCAATTACCTCTCACTGGGTCCCTCCCACAACACATGGAAATTTGATATGAAATTTGGGTGGGGACACAGCCAAACCCTATCATTCCACATCTGGCCCCTCCCTAATCTCATGTCCTCACATTTCAAAACCAATCATGCCTTCTCAACAGTCCCCCAAAGTCTTAATTTATTTCAGCATTAACTCAAAAGTCCACAGTCCAAAGTCTCATCCAAGACAAGGCAAGTCCCTTCTGCCTATGAGCATGTAAAATCAAAAGCAAGCTAGTTACTTCCTAGATACAATGGGGGTACAGGCATTGGGTAACTACAGCCATTCCAAATGGGAGAAATTGGCCAAAACAAAGGGGCTGCAGGCCCCACTCAAGTCCAAAATCCAGCAGGGCAGTCAAGCCTTAAAGCTTAAAAATGAACTCCTTTGACTCTATGTCTCACATCCAGGTCACATGGATGCAAGAGGTGGGCTCCCGTGGCCTTGGGAAGCTCAACCCTGTGGCTTTGCAGGGCATAGCTCCCCTCCTGGTTGCTTTCAGGGGCTGGCATTGAGTGTCTGTGGCTTTTCCAGGTGCACGGTGCAAGCTGTCAATGTACCTACCATTATGGGGTCTGGAGGATGGTAGCCCTCTTCTGACAGCTGCACAGAGCAGGGGGGCAAGCCCACAAAACCATCTTTTCCTCCTAGGCCTCCAAGCCTGTGATAGGAGGGGCTGCTGTGAAGACCTCCAACATGTCCTGGAGATATTTTCCCCATTTCTTGGAGATTAACATTCAGTTCCTTGTTACTTATGCAAATTTCTGCCGCTGGCTTGAATTTCTCCTCAGAAAATGGGATTTTCATTTCTATCACATTGTCAGGCTGAAAATTTTCCAAACTTTTGTCCTCTGTTTCCCTTTTAAAACTGAATGCCCTTAACAGCACCCAAGTCACCTCTTGAATGCTTTGCTGCTTAGAAATTTCTTCTGCCATATACCTTAAATCGTCTCTCTCAAGTTCAAAGTTCAAAGTTCCACAAATCTCTAGGGCAGGGGCAAAATGCCACCAGTCTCTTTGCTAAAACATAACAAGAGTCACCTTTCTCCAGTTCCCAACAAGTTCCTCAACTCCATCTGAGACCACCTCAGTCTGGACGTTATTGTTTATATCACTATGAGCATTTTTGTCAAAGCCATTCAACAAGTCTCTAGGAAGTTCCAAACTTTCCCACATTTTCTTGTCTTCTTCTGAGCCCTCCAAACTGTTCCCACTTCTGCCTGTTACCCAATTCCAAAGTCGCTTCCACAGTTTCGGGTATCTTCAGTAGCACCCCAAGCCTGGTACCAATTTACTGTGTTAGTCTGTTTTCACGCTGCCGATCTTTATTGGCATACCCGAGACTGGGAAATTCACAGAAGAAAGACGTCCATTGGACTTACACTTCCACGTGGCTGGGGAGACCTCACAAACATTGTGGAAGGTGAAAGGCATGTCTCACATGGTGGTACACAGGAGAAGAGAGCTTGTGCAGGGAACCTCCCCTTTTTAAAACCATCAGATCTTGTGAGACTTATTCACTATCATGAGAACAGAACAGCATGGAAAACACCCGCCCCCATGATTCAATTACCTCCCACCAGGTCCCTCCCACAACATGTGGGAATTCAAGATGAGATATGGGTGGGAACACAGCCAAACCATATCACCATCCATCCATCCATTTATCCTATCCATCCACCCATCTGTCCATTCACCCATCCATCTCATCCCCTCCCTTCCTGAGCTGAGGTCAGAGAGAATGGGAGTTAACTAGTCTAATAAGAGAGAGGAATGCTCCATCTGAGGGAACAGCATATGCAAAAGGCCTGTGCTGGAAGAGAGTTTGTCACCCAGTAGAGCTGGATCAGAGAAATTGGCAGAAGGATGACATAAGATGAGGCTGGCGGGGGTGAGCAGAGGGCAGACTCTGTGGGCTTATGGGACCCTTTAGGGAGTTCTGTCTATACCAGTGGTATCCAATATAATTTTCTGTGATGATGAAATATTCTGTGACTGTGCTGTCCAGTATAATAGCCACTGACCAACATGAGCACTTGAAATGTGGTGAGTATGACTGAAGGACAGAACTTTTGATGTCTCACTTTAATTAATTGAAATTTATGCCAGATGTGGTAGCTCACACCTGTGATCTCAGCACTTTGGGAGGCCAAGGTGGGAAGATCACTTAAAATCAGGAGTTTCAGACCAGCTAACAAAGGAAGACCCCGTCTCTATAAATAATAATAATAAAAAAATTTAAATGGCCACATGTGGCTAGTGGCTGCTGCACTGGAGGTGCAGGTCTATACTCTGAAAATGGCTGGAGGCCAAATGAAGGGTTTATGCAACAGGTGAATCAACATGGTCATGGTCATCTCTGGCTGCTCTGTGGAAAATGAATTGGAAAGATGATGAGAGGATGCAAGAAGACTCAATGAGGAAGCTTCTGCTGTGGCCCAGAGAAGAAGACTGGCAGTATGGCCTAGGACCAGGGGCAGAAATGGAGGTAGGGAGAAGTGAAGAGATTTGGGAAAGACCAGAGATGGAAAACTGGTAGGATTTGGTGCTGGGAGAAGTGTTGGTGATTTGGAAGCAAAGCTCTTGGAGTTTCTCCCAGGTTATGTCTCTGGATGACATAGTGGGATGGAAAGTGGTACTTTCATTGAGATAGGGAAGGAACCCAGGACCAGGTTTGGGGGAGTTTGGGAGTCCTGAGGTCGGCTTGGGTCACAGTGAGCATAAGTGGCTTTTGAGTTGTCCAGGTGGAAATATCAATTAAGAAACTGGGGCTCTGGCGAGAAGTATGGGTTGGAGATAGAAAGTTGGATTTGTGAATATGTAGAAGTCAAAGCCATGGGCCTTGATGGCAGAGTCAGGGAACAGCGGGAAGCCTAGGCCCAAGCCTCAGGGGCCTCCCACATTGATGCTGGGAGGAGAAAGGTGTTTCCACAAAGGGGACAGAGAAAGCATGGCCAGAGATGTTGGAAGAAATCCAGGAAACTGTTAGTCAGGAAAGCCGGGAAGGTGTTAGTCAGGGCAGCCAAGGGAAGAGATTGTCTCCAGGTGGAGGGGTGGGGAATAGGTTGAGAGCAGGTGAGAGGTCAATCCAGCTAAGAACAGAACCACTGCCATCGGATGTGTGGGTGCAGAAGTCAGTGGTGACCTAGTTCAAGGGCAACCAGCTGGGGACAGCCGGCAACCCTCAGGCTGATCTCCTTGCTGATTTGCTGACAATAATCACCTTCTCCTCCCAACTTATATGCCCAAGTGCTCCCATCTCCACAGCCAATTGCACTCCCTGTTCTATTGCCAGTCCTCCACTTTCTCTTGCTGACATCTTTTCAGGTGCATTACGTGGGAAAGCAGAGGGCAGCCTGGAATCAGAAGATGAAGACCATTGTGTGTGGAATTCATCCTCTTCCCTTCACCTTTTCTGGATGTCTGCCTCCCTTTCCCCTGTGAGAGAAGAGTTCTTTTGTGCACCTCTCTGGACTTTGCCCATGGAGTTTTATCTCTTCACCTGCCTGCTCTTTTATTCATCACCATCAACTTCTTTTTCTCTCTTCTCAAACCTCTTCAGACTTCCTCTATTGAGGAAAAACTATTCCTTCCTTTGATGCCTTCACTGTCCTAGGAACATCTACTGTCCTCTCCTTGGCTTCCCCAGTCTGAGTTTCCAAGTGAGAGCTCTCCATCGGCTGCTCGCCCCCTGCCTCATTCTCCGAAACCTTACCAGGGCCATCTCCTTGCTGGGGACAGATACAGGGGACCCTCCTCATGTTCATCCTCCCCACTTCCCCACAGCAGTTGATGCAACACATGGGATGGGGACCAGTCCCAGCCATCCTCTTATTCATGAAAATCTGTGCCTTGGCTTCTTCAATGGCAAGTTTTGAACCTAGATGCTTAGGGGAAGCGAGAGAAGAAAAACCGAACAAAATAAAGCAGAGAGCTAGGGCCTGTTTGATCTCACGGTGAGATGTCAGCACCCTTTCCCATCCACCCCACTCTGCCTTCCCTGCCTCACATCCACCACTTGACTTCCTGTTTGCCCAAGTCCTCTGAGCCCATCTCCTCTCCTTCCTTATTGTTCTAGTGGGCCCATTTCCCTGCCAGTCATGCCTTCTTGTCTTCACCTATGGAAACCCTCCCCATGGGCTGGACACAGCTCAGATTCCTTGTTCTCCACAATCTTTTCCTTTCCCAAATCGTTGTACTGCAGAAGGGGCTGCCCCCATTCCCCCTACCCCCATTGCTCCCACCAAGCCCTGGAACCCCACTGCTTTGCTGAATCACAGTGTCACATAATTTCCCTTTGTAGTCCATCATTCACCTGGCAATTAATCACATCCTGCTGTGCCAACCTCTGATGCTGTGCACTTGCAGGGCGCTTCTTGCCTTGTATGATTATGTAACGCCCCACATGTTGTCTCCTCAACCTGAATTCTGTTCCGATGGGAGTTGTGGGAGTAGGCAGGGGTGCCTTATCTGTCTTTGAATCCTCTGAATCTCTTAGTGGAGCGCCTCAAACAGGAGATGCTCAATAAACACACAATGATTGATGGGCTTGTTGTTGGTTTTTCTCTAGCCCATCCTTTATTCTGCTGTCAGAAAAATTTTTCTCAAGGATCATTCCCATTATGTAACGCACTCTGCTTCCTCGCTGTAGTCAGCAAGTGTCATTGAATGTCCGCTGGGTGGGTGGCGCCAGGGAGGGGCTTTGGGGGTAAAGAGGAGGTGAATGAAGAAACAGCTGATAGAGGCCCCCATTCTTAAGAGCTCACAGAGCCTAACACACTCAGGAAGTGATGACAAGCAAAAGACATATATGGAATTAAGCCATGAAAGAGGAATCGCAAACGTCACAGGAAGCCAGAGGATCGGGGGTGTCTTAATGGTCTCCCAAGCATCCAGGCTGACTTGGGGAGGTGGAAGGACTTGAGCTGGGTCTCCAGGATGAGACGGTTTGGGATGGGACAGGAAGAGAGGAAAGGATTCCAGGCAAGGAGAATTTGGGGAGTGAAGCAATGCAGGTGCCAGCATCATCATTTCAGCATTTGTGACCTCTCAAGTATCCCCAGGACAACGTGAGAAGGACAGAAACCACTCTGATTTGCAGAAACCTAGGAGTCTTTAGCGATTTAGGGAAGGCCATCGACATGCCCAAATAGACAATTTGTACAGGCTCTCACAAACATTGATATCGGCCAGAACTCTCTCCAGATAGGCAGAAGGAGTGGGCTTTGGATGAAGTTTCTGGGCGGGGTCTTCACTGGGGCTCTCAGGTCGCCTGTGATAGACAGCAGCTGCCAACTAGCCAGGCTGCATGTGTCAATGTCTTTGCAACGGGGGTCCCACCCAGGATCAAGTGGGTCCTCCCAGGTTCGAGGGGAACACATCAAAGATCCTGTGAATGCCACAATGCCACAGGTCTTCTGTCACACACAGGAGAAGTGTGGAGCCTCCCAGCTCACCCTTTGATGCTTTCCTGGTCACATAAGAGGCTTTGAAACATTTGAGAATGAAAGGGAACCCAATTATCACCCCAGCTGGAACTAACCAAAGATGAAGAAATTGGGACCTTAGGGGACATGCTTACGAATTTTCCAGGCATCATACAGGATGATTAGTGGAGACAGATGCAGACTCAATTCACAGACCTCATCCCTCAGGCCTGCCTCCACTTTGACTCCTTTTTCACTTTTGTGACTTTTTTTGGGTGAAATCTCAAATTGCAAGAACAATACAAAGAACTCCTGTGTCCTTTAACCAGAAGCACCATTGTTTCTACTTTCCTCGTGTGCTTTATCTGTGTGCGTCCACACATGTAGAGATGCATCTTTTGAATAAGTTGCAAACCTCCTTACACCTCACCTCTAAATGCTTTAGTATACACTTCCTAAGAACAAAGACACTCTCTGATAAGCCCTGTGAAATGATCAAAATTTGCAAATTTAACATTATTCCACTGCTATTGCTTAATCCACTGTTCATACTCACATATCATCAACAGCCCCAGTGAAGTCCTTCAAAGCTTTCTCCCACTAGCTTATTTTGAGTACAACCCCCCTCCATTTTTATTTTTAACTTTTTACTTAGCAATAATTTCAAACTCACAGAATACTACAGAGAACAACCATGTATTTTACCCAGCTTCACCTATGGTTGACATTTTACCCCACTTGCTTTACCATAGTCACACATTCTCTCTCTCTCTCTCTTTTCTCCCCCACCCACCCCGACATACGTAGTATTTTTTTCCTAAACCATTTGAGAATAACTTGCATTCAACATACGCCTTAACCCATAAATCCTTCATGGTATATTACCTAAGAAGAGAGAATTCTCTTATATAACTGTAGTGCAATTTATACATTCTATAAAATTAACATTTTGATATGATATGATACTTTTTTGTTGAGAGGAAATTCACATAACATAAAATTAACCATTTTAAAGGAAATAATTCAGTGGCAATTAGTACTTTCACATTGTTGTGCAGCCACCACTTCTATCTAGTTCCAAAACATTTCCATCACCCCAAAAGAAAACCCACCTGCATTAACCAGTTTATCCCCATGTCTTCTCCCTCCAGCTCCTGGCAACCACCAATCCTCATTCTGTCTCTGCGGACTTATTGATTCTAGACATTGCATATAAATAGAATCATGGAATATGCAGCCTTTTGTGTCTGGCCCTTTTTCATTTAGCATTTAGGTGGAGCATGTATTAGTACTTCATTCCTTTTCATGGTCGAATAATATTCCATTGCATGTACACATCACATTTTGTTTATCCATTCATCATTTGATGAACATTCGGGTTGCTTCCACCTTTTGACTTTTGTGAACAGCGCTGTTGTGAACATATGTGTATCTATATTTGTTTGAGTCCCTGTTTTCAATTCTTTCTGGCATATACCTAGCAGTGGAATTGCTGAGTCAGATAATGATTCCATGTTTAACTTTTTAAGGAACTGCCAAACTGTTTTCCTTAGCAGCTACCATTTTCTATTCCCACCAACAACGTACAAGGGTTCCAATTTCTCCACACCCTTGCCAAAACTTTTCTCCTTAACTTATTACAGCCACTCTAGTGGGTGTGATCTCATTGTGGTTTTGATTTGCATGTTCCTGATGGTGAAGTTGTTGAGTATATTTTCATGTGTTTGCTGGTTATTTGTATATATTCTTCGGGGAAATGTCTGTTCAAGCCCTTTGCCCATTTTTAAATTGGGTTGTTTGCCTTTTTATTGTTGAGTTGTATTAGTTTTTTCTGTATTCTGGATACTAGACTCTTATCAGATCAATGATCTGCAAGCCTGTTCTCCCATTCTGTAGGTTGTCTTTTCACTTTCTTGACAATGTCCTTTCATGAATGAAAGTGCTTTATTTTAATGAAGTCCAATTTATCTATTTCCTTTTTGTTGCTTTTGCTTTGGGTGTCTGATGTATACTTTGATCTAATCTGATGCCCTTATTTTGTCAACTTTGTCAATTGACCCATTTTTTTTTCCTCCAGCACAGGATCCAGTCTAGGATCAGATACTGCATTTGGTTGTCATATCTCTTAAGCCTCCTTTAATTTGGAACATCTGCCCAGCCTTTCTTTGCCTTTTATGACACTGAAATTTTTTGAAGAATATAATCCCTGTGCTTTTTAATAGAATGTTCCTTATTTGGGGTTTGTCTGTTTCCTCTTGATTAACTTCCAGTTACGTGTTCTTAGCTGGAATGCCACCTTGGTGGTGCTGTCTTTCCCAGGCATGTGATGCCATGTGCCCCACAATGGAGATGGGAATTTTGACCATCCGGACAAGGTGTCATTTAATTTCTCCACTGCATCATTATTATTTTCTCCCCAATCTGTGGGGAGATGCTTGAAGACTAGGTAAATAATGCTGCTTCTCCACAAAGTTTCCCCTAGGCTTGGCCTTCATTGATTATTCTTGCTTGATCCATCTTTACTATGATTGCTGATTTTGCAACTCCAGCATTCCACGTTTATCAAACAGGCCTCTGCATGCTCCTTCAAGCAAGAGCTCTCCGTTCTCTCCCATGGATCCACAGATGCATCCACTCTTCTATGTGAACTCATGAATTCAGGGTTTTGTTCCCCAGAGACTTATAGTTAATTACCGTATTAATTATTTTGGTGCTCACATCATCCCAGATTTGGCCACTGGGAGTCCTTACAAGCTGGCGTTTGCGTCCTTGTGACATGCCTCATCTTTGCCTTGCTGTTGTTGTTGTTGTTGTTGTTGTGTGAGTGCGTATTTAAGCATCTCCTTGACTTTCCGGCATAACAAGATGTTCCTGGCTCATCCTGAACCTGGCCTGCCCCAGTCCTGCTGTCAACCATTTCTCCCAGGATCTCTGATTCCTGTTAGAGGAAAATGATTAATTAGAGACCAAGACCTGGGCACCAGGCGAGCACACCCCTTTGGTAGACTCCCTCAGTGTATGGGGAGGAAGCAGGGGGTGCTGAGCTCAGGGCTGGGGGGCCAGAGCTACTTCCCTACCCTATTGTGGGGCTTAGGAATCCTCTGTGGTCACACATATGAAACATCCAGCCCACCATGGCAGGGACCCAAAGCAGATTATCCACGGGCATTGTTTCATGCCGTACCTTTTTTTTTTTTTTAGCTAAATCTCTATGCATACCTGTGATTATTTCCAGGTGAATGGGTCATGAAAAATCATGTGTTTTTTAAACATAGAAATGGATGATTTTGATGATATGTGAGCACAGAGCTCTGATGGGTTTTACACAGGCCAGACATTGTGTGTACGTGTGTGGGTGTACATGTACACAGTGACTTTTTTGTTCTACAGGGTGAGATTGTAAAGTTATCTGGTTGCTGCTCTGTTTCTTCCAAGAGACTATAGGCTCCTGAGGCCAGTGACTGTGCCTGCTTTATCCATGACCCAGCACCCAATACAGTGCCTAGCCCCTGGCTGGGACTCTGTAAATGACTCTTGGGTCAACACTAATGGCCAAGTATAGCTCCCCTATATGATGCACTTGCAACACGCCAGGTACTGTTCAAAGTGCTGTACATGAATAGACTGTTCTAATCCTCGAAACCCTACTTTCATCCTCCCTATTTTATAGATGAGGAAATTGAGGCTCAGGGAAGTTGACTACTTTGCCCAAGTTTATACAACCTGGAAGTGACAAAGCCAGATTCACTCCTAAGCAGTCTTGCTCCAGAGTCCATGCTCTTAACTACAACAGTATAGTAAGGGATGGGTGGAGGGGTGGATGAGGGATGGAAGGATGAATGGGTGGAGGGGTGAATGATGGATGAATGGGTGGATGGGTGGATGGGTGGATGGGTGGATGAGTGTGTGGGTGGATGAGTGGATGGGTGAGTGAGTGAATGGTTTTATTATGTATGAATGGATGGATGGGTGGATGATGGATGGATGGGTGAATGGATGGATGGGTGGGTAGGTAAATGAGTGGGTAGGTGGATGGTTGGATGAATAGATGGGTAGATGAGTCAACCAGACACAGTGGCTCATCTGTTTCTCTCCTACACTTTTAGACTTCGCTTCTCCCCGGGAACATCTCCATGCCCTCCTTTCCCGGTCCCTCAGAACTCCTTCCTTTCACAGCACATCTCCCTCCCAGAGATGAACCCTCAGCTGCATCCAAGTTAGAGCTGAGCAACCAGAAAGAGAATAATCTCCATTCTTGTTCTAGACCAGACATTGCCAACTGGCATCTTAAAGGCGAGATCTGGCCCCTGGATGTTTTCTCTTTGACCAAAAGCAGATGAAAACAACAGTAACAACTAGAAAAAATATTTAGTATTTAAAAATCAGAGAGTTGAATTTTGATTTCCAGCTTCTTTTTTAAAAATTGGAAAATTTAGGGACTTGGGCCCTCATATACGGGGCCACCCTTGGCTAGGGCTGAGGGTCAGCTGTCCATGTGAGATGAGACTTGAGACTCTCCATTTGCAGCAGTCCCCACTCAGCCCTCTCACTTGTCATCAACTTGTCTCCTGGATAGCCTGAGTTTGCAATCCCCAGTCTAGACACTACTCCTCTAGTCAGCTGGTTCCAGGTGGGATTAGTTTTCTTGGCTACAGCATCCTACCTTAGGCTCTTCTGAGCAAATAGTTGTCTACAAAAGCTATGCTGCCCCATCTTCTACCTGCACCCCTGCTGTAGTGTATCCTGTTCCATTTCTGGTCCTCTGTGTGTTTCCTTCCAATTCAATTGTTGTCCCAAGGTTGTTAGTTTCCCTGAGTTCAATTGCTAGTCATCCTGGGTGTACCCCAATCCCTCCTGCCTGGGGTCACACACCCCCACTGTTGGTCAGGAATCCATTCACATTGTCCTCCACATCACTGATGGCCATGTTGAAGGGGCTCTGAGGACAGAGCCACGTGGCATGCTATCAGAGACGCCCCTCTGGGATAACACTTCCAATTCATTTGATCATCCAACCACTCTGAATCCCTCTGTACTATGATCTGGCCTTCCTTTCCACAACATTTCCTCCAAAACATCAGGAGAGACCTTGAATGTTCAAACACCATGCCTCCGTGTTACTCTTGTCTGCCTGGAGAGCCCTAGGAAAGCAGGCAGGAGGCAGCAATGGGGAATGGGGTGGGGAATGGGGGCTGGGGTGAGGACATCACAGCCTTCCCCACACTCTTTCCTTATTACAAGGGCCCTCCTCCTCCAGAAGCTTTCTGGGAATCCCAGTAAAAGTAACTGCCTTCTCCTGCCTTCTGGCCTCGCCCAGGTCTCAGATCCCTGAGATCACATCACAATGCCTGCACTTCTCCAGGATGTCATTCATCTCAGTGGCCACAAAACAACAAGCCCCCTAGAGAAACCAAGAGTTCCCAAGCCAGTGCCTTGCCCTTGTTGCCTCCAGTGCCCCCTCTGCAGTATTTGCAGCCTGAAAATGATTCTCCTTGACAGAGAAGGAAGAGGCCGATTTAGAGAGGTGCTGTGCTGTCTTCACCTTCCTTTGGACCACTTGTGTCTGTCTGTCCCCTGGAAACCCCTGTCCTTTCTGTCCTGACCTCTGACGTAGTTCCCCAATCATTCCCTACCTTCAGAGCAAGTCCAGTAGGGTGAAAGAGCACCTTAGATAGACATCGGTTCAAATCCTGCTTCCTTGTCCTGTGGATGAGTAGCTCAGCCTCTCAGACCTCAATCTCCTCGTCAGTACAAGGGGAATAACAACATCACCCAGTGCTGGCTGATTCCCATTCACTACCACACTGGGGTGGCCAACCATCCTAATTTGCCTGAGCCTAAAAGGTCTCCTGGGAAAAGTCTAGACTTTCAGTGCAAAAACACCAATAGTACCCAAGAAAGCCTGGATGTACGGCCCCCTCTGTCAGTACTCAGAGCCATTCTCCCCTCTTCACCTTGCTCTGTGCCCAGGGATGCTGATCTCTAGGGACTGCACCCCTGAGCACTTCTGCCCTCCAGCCTTAGCTCGAGTTTAAGCAATGGGAGACATCAGCAGGAGACTAGAAGGTGGCAGGAGAGAGAAAGGTCAGGCATTTCTTCCTCACCCCCTTTCTGATTTGAGGCCTCTGCCATGGTTCCAGCAGTCACCGGCCTCCACTGACACTCTTTCTCCTCCTTGTCCCTTCAGGCCTAGGTGTGGCAACAACTCCGCACCCAGTCACTAGTCTCTGGGTGCCTTGATATCTGCTAGGGTCTGAATGTTTGTGACCCCTCAAAATTCCCATGTTGAAGTCCCATCCATCAAGGTTCTGGTATTAGGAGGTGGGGCCTTGGGGAGGTGATTAGGTCTTGAGGGAGAAGCCCTCATGATAGGGATTAGTGATTCTATAAAAGAGACTCCAGAGAACCAGCCAGTCTCTCCCACCATTTGAGGATACAGTGAGAAGGCAGTGTCTGAGGCCCTCTCCAGACTCCAAATCTGCTGGCACCTTGACCTTGGACTTCTCAGCCTTAAGAACTGTGAGAAATACATTTCTATTGCCTATAAGCTACCCACTTAATTGTATTTTGTTATAGTAGCCAGAATGAACAATATTCTTCCCATAACCCCATGCCTGCATTAAAGTCCCTCATTGGAGCCATCTGGAGTGAATTCTGCTGGGCTTTTGGTGACTTTTCATTTTCTTAATAGTGTCTTTCCGAGAGCAGAAGTTTTAAATTTTGATGAAGCCCAATTTATCTATTTGTTCTTTTATGGATGGTGCTTTTGGTGATGTACATAACGAATATTTGCCCAACTTTGCCTAAAGTTGCAAACGTTTACCCCAATAGTTCTGTCCCTTGTTCTATCAATTATTGAGGGAGAAGTATTGAAATCTCCAACGATGATTGTGAATTTCTCTAGTTCTCTTGTTTTCCATCAATATTTGCGTCATGCATTTTAAGCTGCCTTATTAGATGCTTAATCATTTAGGATTGCTATCTCCACTTTATGAATGGACTTCCTTAGCATTTTGAAATTACCTTCTTTATCCCTGCTAATATTCTTTGCTCTGAAATCTACTTTGATATAAATGTAGCCACTCCAGCTTTTGATTATGTTAGCATAGCATATCTTTTTCCATCATTTTACTTTCAACTTATTTGTGTCTTTATATTTGAAGCACATTTCTTATAGACAACATAGAGTTGTACTTTGCTTTTTAATCCAATCTGACAATCTCTGCCTTTTAATTGGGAAGTTTAGACTACTTACATTTATTGGGATCATAGATATGGTTAGCTTTAAATCTATCATCTTGCTATTTGTCTCCTGTGTTTTTGTGCACTTTTTCCCTATTTCCTGTTGTCTTTGGGATTAATTGGATATCTTTATATTATTTTATTTCCTTTGTTAGCTTATTATCTCTAATTCTGTATTTTGTTATTTTAGTGGTTTTTTTTAACTTATCACAGTCTACCTTCAAGTAATATTATACCACTTCACATGCAGTATGCCTTACAAAAGTATACTTCAATTTTTCCTCCTCAACCTTTATGCTGTTATTGTCATACATTTGACTTTTGCATGTATTTTAAACACCATACTTCTTTGTTGTCATTTTTGTGTAGGCAGCATTATCTTTTTTAACATTTTAAATGTTTTTTAAATCCTATATATTTGCCTACATAGTTGCTAAATACTCTTCCTTTCTTATGAGGAGCTGTATTTCCATCTGTTATTTTCCTTTTGTCTGAAAGACTTGCTTTAACGTTTCTTATAGTACAGTTCTGTTGGTGATGAATTCTTTCAGCTTTTTATGTCTAAAAATGTTTTTATTTTACCTTGATTTTGAGAGATATTTTCACTGGTACGTATACAGTGTGTTTCTTCTTTTTTCTTTTCATCTAAAGATGTTGCCCCACTGTCTTCTCACTTGCATTGCTTCTAGTGAAAAAATCTGTCATCATTATCTTTGTTCTTCTGTTACAATGCTTTTTTTTTTCTGGCTGCTTCTAAGATTTTCTCCTTCCCACTTGTTTTCCACAATTTGATTTTGATGTGCCTTGGTGTTGCTTTCTTCATGTTTCTTGTGCTTGGGGTTCTTTGAGCTTCTTAGGCCTGTGTGTTTATAGTTCTTATCAAATTTGGAAAATTTTCAGCCATTATTTCTCAAATGTTTGTTTCTGCACTGCCTCTCCTTTCTCTTCTCCTCTGAGGACTCCAGTTGCATATGTGGTTGGCCACTTAAAGCTGCCCCACAGCTCACTGATACTCTTTTCAGTTTCTTATTCTCTCTTCTCTCTGTATTTCATTTTGGGTAGTTTCTATTGCTATCTTCAAGTTCACTAATCTTTCCTTCTGCAGTGTCTAATCTGCTATTGAGCCCATCCAGTGTCTTTTTCATTTCAGACATCATAGTTTTCATCTCTAGAAGGTTGGTTTGTGGTTTTGTTATATCTTCTATGTCTTAACTTTTTGAACATGTGGAATATAGTTATAATAACTGTTACAATGCCCTGGTCTGCTAATTCTAACATCTGATTCAGTTCTGAGTCAGTTTTTATTGATTCATTTATCTTTTCACTTTGATTGTAATTTCCTGATTCTTTGCATACCTGGTAAGTTTTTATTGGATATCAGACACTGTGAATTTTACCTTATTGGGTACTAGATATTTTTGTAATCTTATCGATATTCTTGAGCTACATCTGGGACATAGTTAAGATACTTGGAGACAGTTTGATCCTATTGGGTCTTGTTTTTAATACTTGTTAGATAGGGATAGAGCAGTGCTAAGTCTAGTGTTAATTGTTCCCCACTGCTGAGGCAAGACCCTTCTGAATACTCAACTCAACGTCCATGAATCTTGAGGTGTCCCAGTCTGGCTAATGGCAATAGGCACTATTTCCAGCCCTGTCTGACTGCCAGGCCTTGCTCCCACTAATTATTTCCAGTGGTTCCTTCCCTGGACTTGGGTAAGTTTCTCACACACAGGCCCTGATTAGCACTTAGCTGAATACTCAAGAGTGACCCTCTGCAGGTCTCCAGAGTTCTCTCTGTAGCTCTTTGCAGCTCTTTCCCCTCTGATGCTCTGTCCTGGACTCTTAGCTCCATCTCCTCAACTCAGAGTCCACCGGGCTCCACCTGGGTACCCCCCAGTTTGAACCATGGCCTTGAAACCCTCTCAAGGCAGTGTTTGGGGCAATCACTGACTTACCTATTTTGTTTTTCATCTCTAGTTATCATTGACCATTGTTGTCTGATGTCCAGCATCGTGCAAACAAACTGTTGTTTTGTATATTTTGCTCATTTTTTTCATTTTTTGCAGGTGAGAGGGCAAATCTGGTCTCTGTCGCTCCTTCTTGGCTGGAAACAGAAGTTTCCCAAGCAGTTTAAATCAGGGAAACAATGAAACAGTTTGATCGTTAGAACAATTCCTCTTTCTAGAAGTTCTTCCTAATCTCCCTGGGGTCTTAGACATCCAGCCCCCTTGGCCTGAGTGAGCCCAATCTCCTAGCCTCCTGCAGCCCAGGAAGGAGGTTTGAGTATGAAGCCAGCCTTTCAAGACAAGTCCCAAGAGGAGAGGCTGTGCATCTCCTGGGAAATGACACAGCCTGCCCTACTGTCACCTTGCATTTCTGTCTGCAGGTCCCTAGCACTCTGAGGCAGGAGTGCTTGGGTGAGTGAAGCGGCATGTCATTATTGGCAAAAGCAGGGGAGTTGATGCTGGGAGAATGCTCATGGGCTGCAGGAAGAGACTGGCCTTTACATTGGAATAGCACATCACGTGCCAGTCTTATCCACATCTTGACCCCTGTGGGGTCGGCAGGCAGAGGCTTTCATCCGCCTCTTAGAAGTTTAAGTGTAAGAGGTCTCCAGGCTGCCAAATGGCAGAGTTTGCATCCCTGAGCACTTGTGCAGAATTTAGGGCCCTGGGCATCCATTTGGGTAGGTCCAGGGGGCCCTCTGCCTGGAGGCTCATCCCTGAGAGGCTCAGCAGGAAGGCCTGGGAGTGACACTTGCAGCCGCCACTGCAGCCTCCCTTGCCAGCAGGAATCTCTTTGAGCTAAGGCCAGGGAGTGCTTTATGAAATACCCACCAGGGGATCATTTGCTGACTCCAGCCCAGCCTGGTCAGTGCAAAGCTGGCAGGGATTGATGAGAATGACTGAGAGGGCACAATCCTGGTCAGGCAGGCACAGGGCTGTATGGAAGGAGGCCTGAGGATGCTGCGTCCTTGTCGCGTGCAAAATGCTACCTGGGAGGTGCTAGTGGAATTTTCCACTAGGGCCAAATTGTGGCAGATCATTCTAGGCAGCTGCTTCTGATTCTTGTCTCCCCCTGCCATCTGGAGGGCTCAGAACACTGGAGAGGGAGAGGGGAACAGGATGGGCTTTAGAGTCTCTGGCACGTAAGCAGGATGGAGAAATTTCACCGCTGTAGGCACCTAAGAGCTGGAAAGTCATGTTGCCTGGTGTCCTCAGTCTGTCACTGGAGGAGGGAAGGGAAATGCAGGAGGCTTTTAGAGCTGTTTTCTGATTACTTGGGGTGCAACATTCCTAACCACTGGAACTCTCAACCAGAGACTCCAAACCCGGGGCTTCAGGCAAATCCCGTGACTATGTTGAATGTTATGGGTTTTAAACTGGAATTAGTTGCCAACATCCCCAAATTGAGAGATGCCATGGAAGTACCTGGATTTCCAACTTCTCTTGAAAATTGGAAGCTCAGGCAACCTTGAGCTGAGTAGTGACACTTTCCATATCCTCACAGTACCTCCTGCTCCGTATTGTCTCCCACAGAGAGGCCAGTGATACCATTCCAATTCCCAGGGACATTTATCTCGGGGTCCTGCGAGTGTTGGAAGGCTCTTTCTTCTATCACGTAGGAACAACCAATCCCATACGCTGTTGTGTCTCCCTGACACACCCACCCCAACCCTCTGATCCTTTGAGCAAAAGCCCTGGTTCCACATAACAGGACTTCCCCACCAAACCTGCCCCTCAAGAAAGTTCTCTGAAGCTCATAGTTAGGAATAGAGGAGATTTGTATTTTGGCAGAGGACACGCATGCTAATGGTGGAGTTCTGGCTGCCAGGAGGCTCACAGGGGAGCTCCTTTAGGGGAGTAAAGGTCCTTCCTGGTGACTTGTCATGGGGTCAAGGTTCAGAAGGCATTCATGCACTCTTCTGTGGAGAAGACAGGTCACCCTGCTGGAGGCAGGGGACTGACTCAAATGACTTGTACTGGGCTCAGCCCTCAAAGCCTATGACTGGAGGCTCCCAAAGATGTGGTTTATATTTTCTGTATGTCACAGCGACCCCAAAATTGTGTTTTCTCAAGGCCACAGAGAAGATCCTGGGGCTATTTTTGGAATCAGGGAGATTGTTCAGTTGGCTGGAGTCAGGGACTGGCTTGGGGCATCTGTGAGAGGCCATGGAAGCTGTGTTTTCCTAGTGGAGAAGTTGTTTGGGCCACCCCTGGGGATGTCTCCAAGGCTGAATTGGACACGGCCCCCAGTGGGGTCACCTTGGGATATGGTGCTATGGCAGATATTGGAACCATGGAAACCAGGGTCTCACCATGCAGCTGCCACCAACTGACAGTGAGATTGCCGTAAACAAGTCACGTAGCCTCAGATGCCTTGTGCATCACTTAGGAGCACTTTGCCTGTAAATAACAGAACATGTGATTGAAAGTAATAAAGTAATAAGCACCTGGTAGTGGGAGGTTCCTGGGTTGATTCAGAAAGGAACTCAGTCGCCATCTCATTGTGTCAGCCTCATGGTTGCAAAATGGCTGCCATGGGTTCAAGCCCCACCTCCTCACAGGGAAGCGTCCAAAGTTAGGCAGAAAGGCGGCAAGGAAGAAGGGTTCTCCTTGTGCATCTCTCTCTCTCTTGATCGGGTTGGGCGGTGGGGCATTCTTACCTGGGATCCTTTGAGCGGAAGTCTTAATGGCTAAAATGGGTCAGATGGCCACCCTTAGCTGGGAAGGAATCTAGGAAAGTGAGTATCAGGCATTTCTTGTCTCTGTTATGTCTTGGCAGCATGGAGAATGGGGAGGAGAATAACTGTTGGGGGGACAGCCAATACAGGCTGCCCTGCCTCAACTATAGAATGGAAACTGGACTGAGGATCTTGTGCCCAAGGGTGCAGGCTTACCTAAGCTTTGTTGCTCAGAGCTATTATTTCAGAAAGTGCTGGTATATTAAAAGTTAAGTTAGTCTACCTCCCCTGGCAGGTTTTCAGTTTTTCTTGCATACTGTTCTCCCTTGTGAAGGGCCTAGTGCTTCAATATCATGGCCTTCCTTCATTAAAATTTCTATCCCCATGTATTACCATCAGAGAAGAAGGCATTTGATGTGAAGAAATTCATACTAAAGTGTTAGTGACTAATAGATGCCCTTCTTGGTCCCTGTTGATTAATACATGAAGACTTGTTAACTTAAAAAAAATGAAACATTATTAACAGTTCTCCAGTGGGGTGAGACTTCTAAGAGAAACAGATTGTTTCTGGGAAGGAGCGGCAAATCCAGGATGGAGGGCATCCTGTCTGCTGTTATTGCATCAGTGGATGGCAACCCTGGTGTGGAAACCTTTTGGAAGCGGAGGCAGGGTGGGAGAAATAGCATTCATGGAAGCACTCATATGTGTTAACTCATTTAACCCCCACAGCGATTCTATAAGACAGCCATTAGAATTCTCATTTTCTTGATGAAGGGAGAGAAACTCAGAGAGGTCAAGTCACTCATCCAAGGTCACACAGCTGGGAGGTGGAAGAGCAAGGATTCCACTCCCAGGCCCACATGGCTCAGGGCCCCTGTTCCCAGCCAGCCCCTGCATCTCCTTACTTTTTATCAGCTTCATGTTGAGGGAGCCCTGGCTCAGCAAGGCTGTCTGAGGGCCTGGTCAGAAGTCACACAGAGATGTGCCCCCCTCCATTTGAGTGTCCTCAGATGCCCTTATGGCAGGGCTGTGCCCTCCAGCCAGTCAGGGTGAGAGGAGGAGAGCAGGACAGCCACCAGGGGAACAGGGATAAGCAGCAGTTCCACTGGGCCTCACTATTCCGGGGCTGTCACCACAAAGAGGCCCAGTAACATTGCGGGGACACAGCCAGGACTTGCTCAGTGGCCGACCCTGTGCAGGGCTGTGTCCCCAGAGCCACCTGCAGAGGACCTGGCAGAGCTGGCTCATCCTCTTTAGATGCTAAGAGAAAGACCCAGGGTAGGGGAAAGGACCCACCCATGCCCAGTGTCCCTTTGTGGCAAGGCCAGAGCTCGATGCTAAGCCCTGCCAACTCCTCCTCCAATGTTTACTCCAGCTTGCCACAGTCATTAACTTTGTCTCAGAGCGTTTCACCAGAAATTTGTGACGCACCTACTGTGTGCCAGGATCCCTGTGTAAGATCCCTGACTTCACTGAGCCTTAGAACAAACACATACAGTGTAGGGACATTCCTGAAAACAGTAACTGTAACACGTAAAGGCCCCATAGAGGATACTGGCCTGCCCCGGGGTGGCAAACTCAAATGTCTCCAGGGCCATGCTGATGTCATGCTGCGTGAAAACGGGGAGACGAGCAGCTGGGAGTGGTGGAGACTGCGGCCTCTCTATGGGAGTAGTCACACCCAGCACCAGAGTTGTTAATCTTATAGGGAGTGTGAGATCCAGGAACCTGGTATTCCCATTTTTTAAGAAAGTACAGAAATCTACACTTTTATATGTCATTTTCCTAGCATTTAAAACTCTCTCCAAGCCCACCACAAAAAACCATCTGCAGGCTGGATTCAGCCCATGGCTCCTGCCCCACTGCTCCTCAGGCACAGAGAAGGGAAAATTTTTTCTAAAGTCACACAGAGATAGCAGTCAAGCCAAGCCTAGAACCTGAGGGTCCCAGTCCAGGCTGAGGACCTCGGGACCTGCTTCACATTAAGTTCAAAGCCCATTCTCTCTTCTGGATGTGCAACAATAGTTCATCTTTGGTAGCAACTCACTTTGGGTAAAGATAGCCCTCCTGAAACCTCTTTTATAAGAAATAAAACTGGGAAATTAGCAGCAAGCTATGTTAAATCTTCTGGCACTTTCCAAATGTTGCTCTGATTTTAATCCTGATGCTGTATTTGATATGGAAGCATTTCTGATCTTTCTTTCTTAGCATGTAGGGGACGCTGGCCTCCTTTCTAAGGGAGGAGGAGCCCATTGTATGGAACCCAAGTCTGTCTTCCAGGCTGCCAGGACTTGTGCAGGGCCAGCCTGGGATTGGGAGTGAGGGCCACTTTATATGGTCTGTCCCACCATGTCCACAGTAGCCCCCTTGCAAAGATCTCCCTTCCCAAAGCCTGGACCTCAAGTAGCTTGAATGCCACTGATTAGAGGGGTGGCAGCTTGATTAATAGCACAGGCTGAATGAGCTCAATTGGAGGCCTTGCTCTGCCACTTGCCAACTGTGTGACCTTGAGCAAGTCATGTCACCTCTTTGAGCCTCAGGATTCCTCATCTGTAAAATGGGCTAATAATGTTTATCCTAAAGGAAAGATGGACCTATCACTTGGCTATTAACAGTAATGTTAATTGCAACAAACCAACATGTAGTTCAGCCACATTCGGATATAAAAAGTGTTGAGCAACAACAAATTCTGCAAATGTTTTTTCTTCTGATTTATGCCTAGGTATTTAAGTAGCATTTTACTAAGTGCCAGATCCTGTACAAAACACTTTACAAATACTGACTCGTTTAAACCTTGTTACCACCCTCCCAGGTAGATGATACTTTACAGATTTACAGATAAAGAAATTGAAACACACAGAGTAAGTAACTTGCTCCAGGACACGCAGCTGGGCTGCAAACCAAGTTGTGTGGCTCGGGGTCTGTGCTCATAACTACTCCCTTCTATTCTGAAACACATTTTCCAATTTGGAATTGATCCACCAAAAGAAGAAATAATTCTTTCTCTACCCGAGGAAGTAGTTGAAAGACTGTGCCATCGAGAAACCAAAGACATGGGTTCAAATCACAGCCCTGCCTCCCACTGGCTGTGTGCTCACCGCCCCCCACCCCCCCGCCACAAACTTAGCCTTGCTTTCCTCATTGCCAAATTGGGCTAATAGCACTACCTACCTCTCAGTTTGGAGAAACAAGGAGTCAACCACTGGGTGTGAAAGTGCTTTATAAAGTTTTAAGTGCAGTATAAATGCAGAGTATTAATAACAATAACTTCACCTGAGCCATTTTACAGATGAGGAAACTGGGGCTCTGGAAAATTAAATATGCAGGATCATAAAGCTGTGTTACCCAATAGCAAAGACATGGAATCAACCTAAATGCCCATCAATGGTAGACTGGATAAAGAAAATGTGGTACATATACACCATGGAATACTATGAAGCCATAAAAAAGAACAAGATCATGTCCTTTGCAGGGACATGGATGGAGCTGGAAGCCATTATACTCAGCAAACTAATGCAGGAATAGAAAATCAAATACCGCATGTACATGTTCTCACTTATAAATGGGAGCCAAATGATGAGAACACATGGACCTGTAGAGGGGAACAACAGACACTGGGACCTCTTGGTGGGTGGAAGGTGGGAAGAGGGAGAGCATCAGGAAAAGTAACTAATGGGTACTGGGCTTAATACTTAAGTGATGAAATAATCTGTACAACAAACCCCCATGGCACAAGTCTACCTATGTAACAAACATGCACATGTACTCCTGAACTTAAAAGTTAAAAATAAAAAATTTTAAAATGAAATTGTGTTACCACTCAAAGGTGGCCGTGTTTAACTGTTGCCTGCTGCTGTCTGTGAGGATTGGGGAGACTCAGCCAAATCAGCAGGCGAAGAGCAACGCCCCACACTCCCAGCCTTGGACGGACAGTGAGAGGTCAGTCTGTCCCCGAGGATAAGGGGTTTGTCCTGATGGCTTCTCCACTGGCTTTGCCCAGTCTTTGTCACAGATTTGGGTGTGTTTACAATCAGACACTAAGAGGCTCAGCCCTTCCACACGCACAGCATCGATACCCATGTGGGTTGTAAGAGGATTTCTGCTTTTGCGTTGCTTGGCAATATTTTGTTTAAATGAATTTATGCCAGAGATTAATATAGTTTGTGAGCTGAACTGCTTACTTGGCAGGAAGTGGGAAATAAAGAGGGCTTGCGGAGATTTGGTGTGAAAACAGCTTTTAGAATGAGCGCATGCAGGTGAAGCTTGGGCAGTGGAGCTGGACTCTGGAGGAAGGATCCCTGGGTTTCATCCCCACTCGGCCACTTCCCAGCTGTGGGACCCTCCACCTGCAACCAAACCTCTATGCCTCTGCCTCTGAAAAACAACAGCCTCTACCCACAGGGCAGGTGAGGATCGGCTGAGACGACGCCTGTGGTCTCCCAAGCACCGGAGAGGCATGTGGCACACGGAAGGCCCTCGGCGGGAAATGTGCCCTATCAACAAATGAATGATCAACACATCCTCCTTCTTTGTGGAGTCCATATGTGCGAGTTTGCCTCCTCCTTAAAATGTATTTACCCAGATAATGTATGTACCCAGATAATGTATATACCCAGATCAATACTCATGGTGCTTTTGCGGTGATTTGTAGACGTGTGCAGAGGTGGAAAATGGCAGTTGCCCGCAGCGCGTTCCCAGCGGAGGTCGAGCCAGGTGACGCTCTGCCTTCCTGCTTCAAGCTCGTCCCATAAGCAGGGGTGCCTTCTGCAGTCTGTGCAGTACCGCATATTTCCCCATCTGTGTGCTTTCTGTTGGTGGTTTTGCTGTTTGAAATGGCCCCGAAGCGTGGTGCTGCCGTGCTGTTTTGTGTTCCTCAGCCCAGAAGGCCCGGCTGTGCCCTACGGAGAAAACCGTGTGTTAGGCAGCTTCATCCAGGCGTGAGTTATGGTGCCGTTGGCCGGGAGCCCAACGTTAATGAGCCAACGATAGATATTAAATAAGGTATCTTTAAACAAACAAAAACAAACAAACAATACTTAAAACAAGGTTATATACTGATCAGTTGGTGAAAATGTTGTGACCAGAAGTTCCCAGGAACCTGACCCTGTATTTCCTAGGAGCAAAGGTTCAGTACTTGACAATTCAGCACCCACAGTGACTTTATAGAGCAGAACTACCAGAAATAACCAGCATCAACTGTATAACCACAGTCCCTACCGTGGTGACTGCCTTTCTGCTTCCAAAGGGATGCAGGAAAGAGGTTGGTTTTGGGGTCTCCCACCGTGGCAGTTGCTATGAGGAGCAACTATGGTAAAGGCTGTGAAAGGAGATTGTAAACAGTGAAGTCCATGGGTCGGAATTGTGAATGCCATCACTTTCACTATTGCATGGACGCCCTACTACATGTCCTGCGTTGAGGCCTGCCTCCGGGTGTAGGGCTGTTGTTGAGCTTTAGGGCATTAGGAGAGAGCTGCGAAAGGAGGCAGAGGATGTCCTAGAGGACTCCACAGGCATCTCTTCCCTGCACGTTAATCATTCGCCAGAGCTTGGAGGAGGGCTGCTCCTGGCTGCTGTTCACTCTGTGTCCACCACCCAGTCTGGCCACCATTGCCTCTTGCCTGGATGGTGGCATGGCCACCTCACTGCTCTCAGCCTCCCTCTGGGAGTCCTGCATCCACTCTCTACCCACAGCGGCCAGACTTCTCACCCTTCCACTGTACATCTGTTAATGACTCCCCATTTTTCTCAGGAGAAAGTCCAAAGCCCTGGCCATGGGCCCTGAGGCCCTGGGTTGTCGGGCCTCTGCCATGTCTCTAGCTTCCTGTGAGGCCATGCAGGTCCCCGCCCCCTGCTCCAGCCACACTGGCTTCCCTGCTGGTCCCGGAATGTGCCACGCCCATCCCGCAATAGGCCTTTGCATTGCCCAGCCTCTCCCTTGCCCCCAACACCTGTACCTGCTCCCCACCTGCATAGCTTCAGGTCTCAGCTTGAGTCGCCTCCCTGATGACCCTGGCCCAGGATCATCACACAAAGTGGGCCCCATGATGTAGCCCCTCCTCCACCCCACCTTTTTTACAGAACCTATCTCAGGTGACATTTCCTACTTATATAAGTGACCATTTGATAAACGGCCATCAGACTGTGAAGGCCACGAGGTCAGACACTGGGTCTACCTTAGCTCACCACCACATTCCCAGAGCAGGGGAGAGGGCCTGGCACATGGTAGGTGCTCAATAAACATTTAGTAAGTGGAGAAATTCGTAATGAAGAAGATCCAGGCTCTTCCCTTGCGGTTCACCGACTGGAAGGACAGTAAGCTAGCATCTATTACACCCGACCTTGCACAAGGATCCAGCGAGGGGGAGAGGTCATTTTTCTCACATTTTGGAGGATGATGAGGCTCAGAGAGGCTGGGAGAACTGGCCCAGGGTCACATAGCTAAGAAGTGGCAGGAGCAGGATCTGAACCCAGGACTGGCTAACCCAGGAGCCTCTCCCTCCTGCCCCTGCCCTGTCCTCCCATCTTTGTTTGTCCAGGCCTCCATATTACAGTTTTATATATGAAGGGAGGCATCCCTTAGGGTACTGAGGCCTTGACCTCATGTCACCAGTCTTTCCAATATTCTCTCCTTTCCATAAGCTGGTCCCAAAGGCAGAGCGAGATGGAGCCCATGCTGATGCTGCCCCCGGGGACCACTTGCTTGTCTGGCTGGCTCTGGCACATCTCCTTGCAGGAAAGCACCCGCCTCTTAGAGAAGCCCAGTCAATCTGACAGATTCAGAACCTGCCATCCACACTGTGGGGCATGGGGAAGCTTTGGCATCTGGCAGGCCTTAAAGGAGCCACAGGATGCTGGGAGGGTGAGAATTAGTTGACTCACCCACTCTTGTTTTACACATGGGGAAATGGAGGCCCAGAGAAGGGAGACAACTCATCCGAGTCTGGGGAGTGAGTTTCAAAAGCAAAATGAGAAGCCCAGGCCCTGGACTCCTGGGCAGTGTCATTTATGTTTGCCTCAGTGTCTCATTGGTAAATGAAAAGTGTGTGTGTGTGTGTGTGTGTGTGTGTGTGTGTGTGTGTGTGTGTGTGTGTCTCACTACCAGTCTATCAAGGTAACTGAAATATCACCATTAATTCTTTTTCTCATAGAGAACTTTCTGCTAGCTCTCTAAAGGAATGAAAATAACCTTGGGTAGGTAATGGGACAGGGAGAATCCTAAGTCATCAGCCAAATTATTTATTCATTGACATCTCCATTCATCCATTTATTCACTCATCCTTTTCTCCATCTATTCATTTATCAGCCTCTCTAACTACCAATTCATCCACCAGTCCATCCATCCATCCACCCATCCATCCATCCATCCATCCATCCATCCATCCATCCATCCATCCCCTTCTCTCTCCATCTGTATCTCCATATATCCACTTTTCTTTCTAGCCATCCATTCATCCATCTATCCTTTCACCAGGTTCTCACTAAGCATCAATTCTGTGACTGGCTCTGTGGGGTAGAGATGAAAAGGCTCACTCAGTTCCAGCCCCTGCAGATCCCCCAGGACCCTGGCAGCAGCAGATCTATGAGCCCACATTTCCCCCTGCTTGTGAGGATCACACCAAGAGAGACATTCACATCCTGGCCTCACAAAGAAGAGATGGCAAAGTGGAAAAAGGCCGGAGTCCCCAACCCTGAGCCCTTTACCCTGTCTCAGTCTTTTATAACGAGGTGTGTGTGCTTGGGCAATGCCTCTCTCTTCTGGGACTCAGTGTACCCATCTCTGCTGTGGGGAGGTTGGACTAGATGAGAGTTTCCCAAACTCCAGTTGTTTCTTTCCCTCCCTCCACACCTGGAGATCAGAACACCTGTACTAAAAAGTACTGAAAATCTTTATTCAAATGAGCTCACTTTTTTTCAACCAAAATAAACTTATTTTAGAGTGAAACTTTATTGCTACCATAAATGGGAAAAAAATGGTAACAGCTGTCATAAATAGAAAGTAACAATTTTAAAAAACTTTAGAAAAAGAAGGCAGACTGCTGATGCTATTAAATCCTGGGTGGATACTGCATCCTACCAGTGGAGGTCTGCTCTCCTTGTTTAAGAGAGAATTTAGCAAGCGTCAGGGAGGTGTTAAACATACAATACGCGCACTAAACTCAGACTTTCTCCTTGGAGAGGTGTCCCAGAGTGTGCCTCCCATCCTTGGGTGGCAATGGGAGGGGGTCCCTGCTGAAGGGTCCCTGAGTGTGGGGGCACCACTCCCACCACAGAGGGGTAGCCCTGGCTGCATCCTGGCCACTCTCCTCCAAGCCTTCTGAATACACTCTGGGCCCGGCCCCTCTTGAAAACTCAACACCTCCCCCTCCTCCACAAACCGCCCAAGAAGCCAAGGGTCAGGAAGCCATGATCCGGATTCTGTAACTCAAACCGGGGAGTATCTGCGTCAAATCCTGGCGGAGTAGGAAACCAATATGGGAATCTGAAGCCATCCCATTCAGTAGTTCAGCGGGAGCCAGGGGCAGCCCATCACTCAGAGAAGGCCCTGACCCGTTCTTATCTCCCCTGCAGCTGCAAGACTCCTCCCCCTGGCTCCACCACCCCTCACCTTCTCACTCTTGACCCAGGCCCCCGAAGCCCATGACAGCATAGGGTCCCAAGGTATGGCATTTTTGAATGTCCCTGGGGCACTATCAAGTATAATCAGGAAAAAGAAAATGTGTCTCTTAGCTAGGCCAATGCCTTAAGTACCCACAGACCGTTCATTCCCCTGCAAGGCAGGTGGCCTCGTGCAGCCAGAGACCTTGTGTAGCCAGAATACCACGTCCTCACCTCTGAGTTTCTGGGGCCTGCTGAACCTCCTGCAGCAACACTGACATCAATGGTATTATTTACTCGAAAAATTGTTCCATTTTGGATTCAGATTTCAGAAGGACATTTGAAATACCAAAGCTGCCGCCAGCTCTGTTAAGGACACAGAAAGGCCCGCTTTCCCATCTGGCCTTGGCTCCAGCCTGGTGCCATGGTGGGGGTCGGGTATCTTTGCACCACCAAGCCCCCACCCCCACATCTGAACAGCCAAGCCAGAAAAGTCCAGAAAAAGGAAAACATTTAAAAAACACAACATTGGGCTTTGCCTTAGAAAGTGCTTTTCCTCAGAAAGTGCTTTTCCTCTTTAGTTAATAGTTACAACCTCTTATATGGGTCTTACAACTCATTCATTCATGCATTCATTCATGCATTCGTACTCATTCATTCATGCATTCATTCATTCCACCAGGGCTGATGTTTGACTGACAAGCAGGGTCAGGAAAGCCCTGTTGGTTATTTATAGCTAGTGTCCCCCTTGGCACATGACAAAGCCGTGCTGCTTGCTAAATACTTAAAACCTCACCCCTGTGTTCAAAAACATTGATTGAGCACACAGTGACATTTCAGGCGCTGAGATTGTCAACCCCTGGGACACACCAGTGTCCAGGCACAATCCCTCCTTCAAGAGCGTATGGCCACCACAGGCAGAGACACACCCACCAATGCAACACAGGGATTCTTGTGATGGAGACCCAGACATAGCACCTGTCCTGAGAGCTGGAAGAGGCAGAGGGGCCTCATATCTCGGCCAGAAATAAAGGAAAGACATTTTGGAAAAGTTACTGAGGGGGTGAAATTCCACACGTTAGACTTACTAAATCTCTGAATGACAGAGCAGGAAGGTACCTGAGAGATCTTTGAGGCCACCATTCCCCAAAGTATATTCTAAGGAATGCTAGTTTATTCCAAAAAAAGTTTTCAAGGTCAAGTTAATATGGGAAATACTGGGTCAAACCAAACTAAGCTGGTTTCTATGATGCAGGACTTATCAGAGCCTTAGTCATTGCCTTGTGAAATCTACAAGGGGGATGGGAGCTACAGGAAGCTTCTTGAAAGACTAGTGCTCCCCAGAGATCACTCTGAGTGACCCTAAGCTAGTCCAACCCTTTTTCCACAGACAAGGAAACTCGGGCCCCAAGAGCAGCTGGCATTTGCCTAACATCTCACAGGGAGTAGAGGGTGGAGTTGGAATTAGAACCCAAGGCTTCTCCCTTGGAAGCAGGCTGTTTAGGGCATGTTGTTTGGGCCTTGGGTGCTACTGGCACATGAGAAGAATGAGGTTCACGTGGGCTGAAGCAATCCTGGGAGGCTTCCTGGAGGAGGCAGAACTTGTGGAAATCCTGGGGCTCCTGGAGCCAATGACTCATGACTTTATTGACTGAACAGTGGTATCACAGAGAACCAGGTACATACTGGAACCTCATTGTCACCCAGTTTTCCTAGAGAGACCTTCAGGATGCAGGCAGGCCTTCCGCCCAAGGAGATTAGTCCCTGAACTTTCGAAGGATAAAAGTGCTTGGAGGTGTATTTTCATCTTCAATGAAGCCTCCCTGATTGCCACCCCAAGTTAAAATGATCCCTTACCTCCACCCCTGATTTCTTCCCTTCCATTCTTCCTTTCAAGTTTTGTTTTTGGGCTGTGTGAGATCCTCACTAGTTTATAAACCATTTGAAAGTAGAATGGGTGGTTTATTCTTCCTTGTTTGGTTGTTGATCAAGAACTCAGTCACCAATTAGGCACGGTGGCTCAGGCCTATATTCCCAGCACTTCAGGAGGCCAAGGTGGGAGTATTGCTTGAGCCAGGAGTTTGAGACCAGCATAGCAAGATCCCATTTCCACAAAAAACATTTTTAAAAAATTAGCTGGGTGTGGTGGTATGTGCCTGTACTCCCAGCTACTCAGGAGGCTGAGGCAGGAGGATCACTTGAGGCCAGGAATTTGAGGTTACAGTGAGCTATGGTTGCACCACTGCACTCCAGCCAGGGCAACAGAGAGAGCCCCTTCCTCAGGGAAAAAAAAAAAAAAAAAAAAAAGAGCTGACCAAGGCCAGGCAGAGTGCTCAGTGTTTTCCATACATCCTTTCCTTTTACCTTCACCACAGCCCTCTGCAGGGGTTGTTTCTACCCCCATTTTATGGAAGATAAAACTGAACCTCAGGAGGCTGAAGTGACTTGCTCAAGAACATGGGCCAGGAAGCTATGGAGCCGAGATTCAAGCCCAGGCAATGGTTTCCCTTTGCTGACCGACCTGTGAAATTAGGCCCACCTGAGTCATGGATAATCCCACGGGCATCCTGCTCTTCTGGGGCAGTGGCTCACCTGAGCCCTGATCCTGATTAAAGCCTCTGCAAGGCCCCCAGGCCATGCTCTGAGCTCAGCCCCATCTCAGCTGGTTGACTGTAAGAGGATCCAGGGTGAGAAGTGCGGTCACCTGCAATTTAGAAGGGCAAGAATCATAGATTCCAACAGCTGGGATGGCTTCAGCCTCCCGCATCCACTGCCTGCTCTGCTTGGACTTGCCCCTGGCCTTCTGGGGTCCCAAGCTCAGTTACTCACATATCATTCCAGAACCATCTATGTTAGAAGTCAGGGGATTTTTCCAATTTCACCAATTACTTTCCATCCCAGGCCTTCACCTTTATTTATGGACAGAAAAACCTGGATGCAGAGTTCATGGCTGCTGTCAATGCAGATGAAATTTTAACAGTGGTGACATCCAAGAACCATCCTCCTCACAGTCCTGGTTTAGGCCAGGGGCTGGGGTCTCCTTTCTTCCATAATTAAAAATTCACTAGTGAGGACAGATTGCTCATCAATCTTTCATCCCAAAAGTCCCCGTGGAGAAGATGGGGGCACGGCTGATAAAGACAGGCCTGGCCGCCCACAGCTCTAGGATGACACTACAGTCTACAGGAGTTCAGGGCCTTGGGTAGGGAGCAGGTGGGCCCAGGGGAGCCTAGGGGGGCCCCTGGAGCACGGCTGGAAGGTGCTGGGCGTGACAGGTGGCCAGTTTTCAGCTTTCTGCCTCATATGGGCATCAGGGAGACATCAGGAAGAGGCCCACAGAGGGTCAGCAGACAAATGTGTGGAGCAAAACAGTCAGAGGGTGTCTCAATGACCGTGCAGCTAGTGCTGCTCCAGATAAAGCTTAATGGGGCGCTGCGTGTGTGGGCTTCTGCACAGGGCCAGCCCGGGAGCACAGCCTGGTCAGCGATGCTAGTTGTTCTTATCGTCATGTTGACGTGGTTACTTCTGTGCTGTGAGTGCCATGTAACTTCTCTGGGACTCAACTTCCTCATCTGTAATGTGGGAGTAATAGCAGTGCCCGCCTCATGGAGTTGGAATGAGGAGTAAATGCTCAGGTGTTTCAGATTTTAGCTTTGTGCCTGCTCAAAGGAACCCCTCCAGGTTGGCCTTATTAGTAAGATTGCTATTGTCAAAGGGAGCTAACTCCCCGTCTCCTGACATGGCCGCAGCCTCATGGATCCCAGGCCAGAAGGAAGGGACAGCCTGGTAAGCAAACAAAACACTGGCACTGCCACTCCCTGGCTGTGTGGCCGCTGCAAGCTCCACCCTTCTCCTGACCTCAGTTTCCCCATCTATACAAAGCAGTTGCTGGAGCTGACGATCACTTCTAGCTCCAGGTTCCAAGAAACCCTGCATTTGGCTGCCTCTTGTCGGGCTCGTGTTTTTCCCAGAAAAGATTTGGGGCGGGGAGCTCTGGGGCTCCCAAGCTGGCCCCGTGACTGCTCTGTGTTGGCCTCGTGGCTGTGGGTTCCCTGCAACTCTGCTCCTGGATCTCTGTGAACTCTGGGATGGGCTGTTTTTCTGGGAAGGGGACAGGCTGGCTCAACAGTGGGAGGAATTTGAAGGGTGTGCAGTAGAAGAGAACAGGATGGAGGGAGGGGGAAGGGAGGATCAGGGCCCAGCAAGCTCCAGGTGCTAAGGTGAGGGTAGCAAGGGTGGGGTGCCAGAGGACAGAGCAAAAGCTCAGGCTCAGGCCAGCTGAGCAGCACAGCAGGGCTCAGGAGAGCTCAGCACCAAGTGCCCGGTGTCATCTCATGGTCAGTGAGGTAGAATGGAGCCTTCAGACACTTCTCAGGACCTGGTTAGCCCTGGATTGGGGGCTGAGGGTGTGAACCCTGTGAGTGAGGAGGACACAGGGAGGCAGGGCTACTGTGCCGGATACCTGCCATTTGCCCCTCAGGATCTGCTCAGCACTGGTATCCTGCCTGCTGTGTGTCCAGGGAGGTGGCTGGTAGGGGCTGCACCAATGGGCTCCCTCTCCCTCTGGCTTCATGTTAGGTTTGGCCAATGAGAAGCTCTGGTGAGATATAGAGTGACCGGGAGAGAAGTTAGAGTATGTGTAGCCTCCCAGCTCCCTCCCTCAGGGTCAGGGTACCTTGGGCTGGCTGGATGCTTTGATCACAGGTGACAGCTCCCATCAAGCATCTGCTCTGCACAGCCCTCTCTGGAAGCCACCCCGTCCTCCCATCTCCTTCGGGACTAGGGGTGCGGGAAAGGAATCCCCCCTGCTTTCACTTCTCCCGGGAGCTGCACCGTCCTTCCAGGTTTCCCTACTCCTGCCACACCTTTGTAGAGTTCCTCCCTTAAACCCTCCTCAAATGACAGGGATACCCCCAAGTCCCTGACTGATTCAGTCCCCAGAGCCACAGGCCAGGAATATTGCAAAGGGCCCCAACCCCAGACTTTGTCCAGAGCCTGACTTTACCTTCTCACCCTTGATTTCTCTAAGGGACAAGCCCAGCCGTCTTCCTCCAGAGTTCCCAGTTTGTATGTCTGGATCCAGCAAAGAGGGGAGGATGCCCAGCCAAGCCTGGGAGATTTGTCTCCAGGAAGGAGGCGCAACTGAGCTGTGCAGGTCACAGCATCAGACACCAGAGCAGAGGGGAGCCCATCCTGCTGGCACCTGGCCCAGAGATGCAGCCCTCCCCAGCGGAGCCAGAAAGCCTGACTTTGCATGAAATCCTCTGGTTTCTATACTGGGATTGGCTCAAACAGTACGTTTAAAACTGTTTCAGTCAGATCTGAATCCCTGGCCCCCAGTTTGTGACTTGGAAAATACAAGCCCCCTTAACGTGCTTTTCTGCTCTCGTTTTCTCTTAGGTTTCCCTGTACTTAGAGCGTGGACTGTGAACCCCCAAGCAGACGGTGAGTGTGAGAGCCATGAGCCCTGGTTCACCTGGGGGCACCCATAGAAGCCCACTAGCATCTGTGTGCACCCAGAGCTTCTGGCAGCCTTGATTTAGAAACGCCCAGTTTGCAAACCGCCTCTCTGTGAAATCATCCACCCCAACTACCCAACACTCAGCCTCCCTAGCCCACTTCCCAAAACTGAAGCCCTCAGCAGTGGCTTTCAAAAACTCCTTCTATTAGTAGAGGAGGAGTAAAGGCAGAAGCAGGTCTGAAAGCTGCAGTTCGGGCTTATTTCCAGCCGGTGACCGCCTCCCCTGTCCTCGCAGAGCCTACGCATTGCCACTTTACCTTGGTGTGATATTCCACCAAAAGAGAAGTGCACTTGGCTTACTAAATGTCCTTTTGGGATAAAGAGCAATATTCCTGTGTGGGCTCTGTGGCTGTCATATCTGTTATTTACACGTCAGTATCTTTTAACGCCATCAGATGGTTTTTCAATTACTATCTCCCTGAGGTCAGTCCACTGAGGGGCATTTTCGGTTTGAAGCCTTGAGAAGGGGAAGCCTGGATGGGGCCTGGGAGCCTGCAGAGGTCCTTGGAGCTCAGTGGCCTTTTGAATTGAGCTGGCTCTGGGACCACAGTCTTTGGCCCCTGTCTTGGGTTGATGGAGCCACTGTGGGCTAGCCTGAAACCCTCACCATCATGGTGTCCCCGAGAAAACAAGCTTGAGGCTCTGAGCCATCTGTTTACAAACAAGTCTTAGGAGACACAGCCACTTTACCCTGGGGGACTATCTGGCAGTTCTCTGGAATGGGCCACAGAGGATCCCCTGCCAGTGGCTCCTGGGTGGCACTTCCCTGACAGCCTTGGGGGTGGGTGTGTGTGCAACTGGCTTCCTTCCTAGGCTGAATTAGCCACTGCTCCAAGGTTTGACAAGAGAGAGCCTGCCCCACCCAACACCCCCTCCCTGCAAACCTGTCACAGTGCCCAAATCACCACCATGCTTGTCACTCCTTGGAAGAGGATGGGGAAGAAACCTTGAAAGCTTCCATCAAAATATCATCTATAGGTTAGCTGTGGTTACTTCTAAGTTTAGAGATTATGGGCAATTTGGGTTTTCTGTGTTTTCTAAGTTTTATGTAATAAGCACATGTTTCTTTCATGGTTTCTTCCCAAGTGCTCTCTGGGGAGGTCTAGAAACCCATGGGCATACAAGTGTGTTGTAGTAGTGATCTGACCAGATTGGCCCCAGAAGACAGCAGGCCTCTGGGAGCTGGGGCGTGGGTACCTTTTGGTGGAAAAGCAAAAGGTGATGCTGGGGAGAGACTAAAGAGCTGGCAGGGGCGAAGCATGCTTCCTCCTCCGATTTTGCTGCTGCCGTGAGCTAAAGACCCAAAGCATGATAATTTTCTGAAAATAATGTGGACTTGATCTGTCACTTCTGTTCCACTGCTCATCACCTCGATAGCCTTGTCTCTTCCTCTCCACACTCAGCTCCTCCCAAGGCAGGGCCTTGTCTCCTTGTTCATGCCTGGGGCTCAGTGAGGTGCTAATTTGCGTGGGAACTGGTATTTGCCGTGCCCTACCATGTGCCAGGCACAGTACTAAGGTTCACCTCTTACATAGGTTCATCCTGAGAACAAGACGCAATGATTATCCCCGTTCTGCAGGCGAGGAGACTGAGGCTCAGAGAAGTGAAGTGACTTGCCCAAAGTCACTTGACCATTAAGATGCAGGACTGGAACCCAGTCCATCTGACTTCAAATACCTTGTTTTGCCACCATATCCCTGCAGAAATAACATTACGTTTGTAAAAGACTGGACAATGGATAAAACAATGTATTCATAGTTTCACTTCCCTGCCACGGCATGTTTGGGGTATTTTTGCTCTCCTTCCTGCTTTTATCTATATATGTATTTTCTTAGACACAGTCTCATTAGTGCATCCTTGTCTGGGCTGTTACACAGCTGTGGCTATTCTAGTGGGGTCAACACAGCGATAAGGGTTTGTGTCCCAGATGAGCAAATGGCCAGGTGGGCATGTTGGCCATCACCTGGTGGGGGCCAGGTGGGCCACACCAGCTCGTGCTCCCTTGGGGCACACACCAGCTTTGCGTCTTCCTGGTCCTGCACACTCATGTTGCTGGCAAGATGGGAAGGCAGAACAGGACACCAGGGCTGGATCTGGGAGCCGTCCTGCTGCTGCCCTGCTCAGCAGCTCGTCCCTGTGTGAAGACCAGCACTCTCAGACCCTCTGGAATAACGGCTAAGCCCTTGGTCTTTGGAGACAGGCAAAACTGAATTTTAATCCTGACTGCTTCCTTCTCAAGCTATGCATGGCCTTGGGCATGTGGGTGACTCCACCCCTTTGTGCCTTCGTTTCTTCACCTGTAAGATGGGTGTCCACTCCACAGAATGCTGAGCAAACAGCGAGGCCACCTCCTTTCGTTCCCTTCCTAAGTAACCAGGCTCTCACCTGAAGGGCAACTTCATTTTAGCCGGGGATGGCTGTCACTTTCTTGTATTGACTATAGGCGGGTAGATTGGGTTTTATTTTGTTTGTTTCTTTTTATTTTATCTAAAATTATAACAGAAACCCTGGGAATCTTTTAATATGTGTGATGAGACATTGTTATACCCCTGAGAGTGGCATAACCTACTAGAAAGTTTTAAAGGCTTTTAAAAAGTTTCCTCTTTCAAAATATAAGGAACTAGTAATTTCACTTCTAGGACATTTGCCCTGAGGAAATAACCCAAAATGTATACAAAGATTGATCTACAACGATGTGTATCACAGCAGTATTTATATTAGTTAACAATAGGAAACAATGCCAATGGCCAGCAGCAGGGAACTGGGAGTCAGTTGTGGCAATATAGATCACAGAAGGAAGATTCTGGGCAGCCATCGAAACTGTTTGAGATGAATTTTTAATAATGGAGGAGAAAATGTTCACATTTCAGTATTAAGTGAAAAGGCAATTTGCCAAAATTAAACTGTATTTTTTTAAATAGGTAGACAAAAACAGAAGTAAGCAAGAGAGAAAGAAGTGGGGAGAGAGAGAAAGAGAAGATAGAAGAAACAGATACAAAAGTGTGGGAGGATAACAGGTGACTTGTTTTTTTCTTTGTGCTTTTCTGCACTTTCTAAATTTCCCCTAGTGGAATGTTCACTGTTTATATAATCACAAAGAGGAGTTAGAGTTAAGAAAAAATCCTCTGCCCCCACCAATGAGTGTGTGTGTGTGTGTGCATTTTGCTAGTCAGCTGTATAAGAAAAATGGTTATGTTGGCACTTTTCATTCTAAAGTGCTCTTTTTCTCAAAAACAAATTTTTTTATTCAAAGCCAAGGTCAATGTCACATAGTCTTCCTTCTGTCCCTGGAGCTGCAGTTCTGAGGGAGCTGGCTTTGAGCCTGTATTCATGTATTCATGTTAGGGCTGCCATAACAAAGTGCCACAGACTGGAGGGCTTAAACGACAGATTCATTTCTCACAGTTCTAGAGGATAGAAGTTTAAGACCAAGGTGTTGGCAGGGCTGGTTTCCTCTAAGTCCTCTCTCTTTGGCTCCTAGACAGCTGACTTCTCCTATATCCTCACCTTCTGAATATGTCTGTGCTCAAATTTTTTCTTATAAAGACACCAGTCAGATTGAATAAGGGCCCACCCTAACGACTTCATTTTAACTTAATCACATCTTTAAAAACCCTATATCCAAATATAGTCCCATTCTGAAGTGGCAGGTGTTAGGATTTCACCATATGAATTTGGGGGACACAATTCAGGCTGTAACAGGGACAGCTTGTTCCTGGCAACTGAGACCATTTATTTTGCAGAGCACTGAACTTGGAACTGTAGTGGGATCGGGGGAGGGAGGTAAGTGTGGAAGGAAAACTCATGTCTCCATCCTTAATAAATCTCTGGAGAGGTGTGATGCAGACACCTAAGTAGGTGGTGCACTTGGTTACCACCTTACCTTCCCAGCGAGACCCAGAAGCAACAGTACAACCATCCCAGCTGAGCCCATCTATCACAGAGTGGCTGCTCAAGGCCATAGCAAAATAGTTCATCCTGAAAACATTAATTTTACTAAGAAACTCTCATGAAGTGAGAAGAAGTGAGTTAGAGATAAACAATTTGATAGTTGAAATGGGCTTCTGGACATTAAAATCTGAATATAAAAAATAATTTTTCTTAGCATCAACTCCAAAGTGATTTTGATTTATAAAATCAGTGGTGGAGAGAAGGACTAGGATGAGCAAGTTGGATGTGGATGGTGATGGTTGCTGAGTTTAGCAGAAACAAAGCTTCACCTCTGTGGACCTTGACACTGGCTTCAAGGTCCTTCTGTCCCTTGTCAGCTGACCTTCTTAGATCACTGTGGGTCAAAACCACTCTGAGGGGCTGGCCGTTGGACTGTTGGAGCTCAGTGTAAGGTGAGAGTGTGGCAAAGATACCCTCAAATATCTCTGCAAATGTCTTGCTTCCTGTCTTTGCCTAAATCCAAAACTTGGAGTCATCCTTGACCCTCCCTTCGTTTCTGCTCATGTCTTGACTGTCATTGTCTTCTATCTACTCCTGGGGACATCACAAAATCCAGGTCACCACCATGTCTTGCCTAGACCACTGGGTCAGCCTCCTGGTTGCTCCCGCTCCTACACCTGTCCCTGATCACCCACCCCATGGCAGCAGCCAGACAGGTCCTTTGAAAACACAGATCTGCTCGCATCACTCCCTGACTGTAACCCTCCAGCAGCTTCCTGATGTCCTGAGGCTAAAATCCAAGCTCTCCTGACAATAGTGGTTTAGGGTGCTTCCTGCCTTCACCTCTGGCCTCTGATCCCACCAGCCCCCTGTTCTCTGTGTCCAAGTGATGCTCAGCTTCCATGTCTCCAATGCTTCTCACTCTACTCACAGGGTAGAATCCAGGACCGTGCATGAGATCCTGGAATTGAGGGGACACTTGATTGAGAAAACAGCCCCATGACATATGACAACTTGGTTTCAGCATTTTTCTCTTATTCTCTTATAGCAAAGTCTCTTCTCTCAGCAGCTTTTCTGGGAGACTGAAAATTGGTCACTATTCCTAGAGGTCTACTTGGTACTGACTCTTTATTTCTTGCCTAAATGTCTTGGGACTCCGTGCTGTGGTAGATGTTAGCAAGGGAGTCAACCAAATAAAGTCCTGTGGGCCTGCTTCCATCCTGCCTCTCATAGAACCCTCACAGCCACTCTGGGACATAGGTCAGTGGTATTACCATTATCCCCACTCTACAGACAACAAAACTGAGGCACAGGGAGGGGAGGCCACTTGCCAAAGCTCACCCAACTACGATGCGGGAGAAAAGATTAAAACCCAAGTCACGAGACTGCAATTCAATGTATTTTTCTCATTTGTGTTTCTATGTTTAATCTTGTGATTTTTGAAGGAAATGACCTGGCGCATTGTGCTTTCAGAGCATCTGTTTGTTACCTACTAACAAAGCACTTTTTCTCTTGAGCTCAAGCTGTTGAAACTGTACAGCCCTACAGCGATTCCTGCCACATCTGTGTAAATAAATCCTTATAACAACCAGCTGGAAAGCAAAACGTTCCAGGAGGTACCAGATCATTTATATGATACCTCTTCCAGCTGGCCAGTTTTCTTGGTGGCACGTAATTTATTCATTCATTCAGCAAATACATACGGAGCCAAACACTAGGAATACGGCAGTGAACAAAGTAGACGTGGTTCCTGCCTTCAGGGAGCTGACATTCTCCTAAGGGAGATGGACAATAATCAAATAAACAAATGCATATGTAATATGCCGTAAAGGCTGTCAAGGAGAATACAGCTGGGTGAGAGGAGAGAGGGGGAGGGGCTACTTTATATAAGGTGCTCAGGGAAGGCTTCTTGGAGGAGGTGACCTTTCAGGCTGGAATGAGGGAATGAAAACCAAGAACAACATTCCAGGGAAAGGGACAAGCAAAAGCCTGAGGCAGGCTGAAGCTTGGGATGTTTGGGGAACATCAAGGAAGCCAGGAAGACAAAGGACAGCACAGGGGAGGGAGAAGTGAGAGGTGAGGTCAGAGAGCTAGGTGAGGGGCTGTGCCTTAATTCCAGGGGAGGTGGGGAACTCGAGGGTCTTGAGTGGGCTGGGTGGGGGATACAGGCTCCCCAAGCTGCTGTTTGGAGAGTCTGCTGCAGGGGGCAAGGGCGGAAGCAGGGAGAATGTTACCATTATCCGGGTAAGAGATGATGGCAGCCGGGCCAGGACAGTGGCAGTGGAGGAGAGAAGTAGCTGTGTTCCAAACAGCTGTGACAGTTGAGCTGACCTGACCTAGTCTCACACTGGGGGTGAGATTAGAAGGAAAAAGAAGAATCAAAGGTGATGGGGTGTGTTTTGACACCAATGGTGTTTTATAAGTCATCAAGGGCACTAATCACCCAGAGCTAATGCAGACCCCACAAGTTAAAGGGCACAGTCTGCAATAAGACTGCCCCCACTTAGATGCCAACTACCAGGAGGGTCCCCAAGCTGCCCGCAGTTCTGACCAGCTGGCAACAAACTCAGGGGTTCCCACAACCCCCTCTGGTTTGATAATTCACTAGAATGACTCACCAAACTCAGAGAAGTGCCGCTTTTATGATTACCACTTTGCTGTGAAGGATACAAATCAGGACCAGCCACACACAGGGTGAGGTCTGGAAGGGCCCTGAACACAGAGCTCCCACACATTTTTCAGGGCATGAAATCAAGGCACATCACCTCCCAGGAACATCATTGTGTTCACCAACTGGAAACTCCACTGAGCTTTGGTGTCCAGAGTTTTTATTAGAGCCTCATCACATAGACATGATTGACTGAATCATCAGCCATGAGACTGAACTCAATCTTCAGCCCCCTCCCCTCGGTGGAGGCCAGGCTGGCTCAAAGCCCCAACTCTGTAATGGCATGGTTGTTCCTTCTGGTGCCCAGCCCCCATCCTGACTCATCTCATCTCTTAGCATAAACTCTAAGGGGTTCATGAATAACAAAGATACTCCTACCATGTGGGAATTTCCAAGGAGTTAGAGTTTGCCTTCCAGGAACCAGGGATGAAAGCCTGTCAAAGTTTTATTATACAACCATATAACCAGTTGGAGGCTGGTGCTATTTACTAAGACCAGCAGAAGACCAGAGAGGGGGCAATAGGTTTGGTACAGGAAAACAGAGGGTAATGGTGTGGATGTGTTAACTTTAAAATGTTCATTAGATATCAAAGTGGAAATGTGGCACAGGCAGTTGGAGTTATGACTCTGCAGCTCAGGGAGATATCAGTATATAGATCGTATTTAAAGCCATGGGGCTGGATAACTGAGGAAGCCAGTGTCTTTAGGGAGAAAAAAAAGAGCTCACAGCTATGCCTTGAAGTGTCCCACACTTAGTAGTGGGGAGAGGAAGGGCCAGCAAAGCAAATAGAGGAGGAGGGGCCAGAGAGGTAGGAGGAGAACCAAGGGAGTACGCAGGGGTCCCCAGGCAAGTGCTTTGCAAGGAAGGGTGAGCAGCAGTGTCAAATGCTTCTACAGGCCAAGGAAGGGGAGGACCAAGAAATGGCCTCTGGACTCGGCAAGATGAGGGCCACAGTAATCTTGAGCTGAGTTGCTTCTGGAAAGGAGAGGTGACAAAAGCTAATTGAAGAGGACCAAGGTGGGAACGGTTAGTGAGGAAGCAGAGATAGGGAGTGAAGAGCCCAGAGGGGCTGGGGACCTGGGGAGGGGTTAAAGTGGGAGCTTTCATAGCACAGGTGTCATAGCACACCTGGTGGCCAGAGAGCATATGCAGCACCTGCCGTGTGCCCAGTGCTGAGCCAGGAGTTGTAGGTGTCTTCTGGAAGCTCAGAGTGTGGTTGGAGAGGAGAGATGGGAGTCACCATCCATACTCTAGAACAGAGAGTGTAAAATGCGATGCTGGCTGGCAGAAATGTAGACAGGAGAAACCATTTCTAACTGGGGTAATCAGGATAGGCGTAACAACCATAGCTATTTCTGTTGAGCATCTTCTGTGTACCTGGGAATATGCTGGGCCCCTGAAATGCATTCTCCTATCTAACACTTATGACACTGGTGGTGTCTCCATTTTACAGGTGAGAAAACTAAGGCTTAGAGAGATGGAGTCACTGGTCCAACGTTACACTCTTAGGAATTGCCAGAGTTAGAAGTGAATGACGATGGGAAAGGATGTCTATAGGCAAAGTTCGGTAGGGCGAGGAGACGGGCAGAAATGAGGACTCAAACACAAGAGAAGCCTATGTGAGTTTGGGAGATCCTGGGTGAGGACCCAGTCAGAGAAGAAGTGGAACACGTGAGTCCCATGTGAGTCGCTCAAAAGAGGGACCCAGTGCCCCCCAAGCACATGTCACTGATGGTGTAGGCTCAGGGAGCTCCTTGACCCCTTGGGCTGCCTTCCTCTGGCCAGGGGAGAGTGCAGATGTCGGTGGACAGGACTGAAGCAAGAGAGAGCTCAAGGGGAGAGGAGTGGAGGCTGGACGACACCGATGTATCCCTGACCTTTGCCAATACTTTCCCACACCCCTCTGCCCAAGCTCTCCGCAGCCACACCCCAACGCCAAACATGCCCAGGCCAGGGAGGTGCCCCTGCTCATAGCCCTCACAGTTCCTTGTCTTTAAACAGGGTCAGAGGGCCTTGCCCACCCCTGCCAGGGAGCGTAATTATGACCTAAAACAACATGTGGGGAGACAGCATTACGAAGAAATGTCCCCCCAAAACCAGGAGTCACACCCTCATTCAGGAGTGGTGGGAACCACCCGTTCTAACAGGCAGACGGTGCCTCCTGAGGGTGGATTTGGAGCTGTTTGATTTGGAAATGTCTCTGATCTATGGAGACACCCCTGCGAGCCCTCAGGTTCTGGTTTCTCATCTGTGAAAAGGGTGCATCCTGGTTGAGTCAGGCTGCAGGTTGCCTGCTGAGAGGGACTGTCAGCGAGCCCAGCCGGGCAGGATGCACTGTTATAACCTCGTGTGGTCACCAAGTGAAGCTCTCCAGCCTCTGCTGGGCTTGACACAGTCTCTTGGCATGCCAGGGCTGCAGGGGTCTTCCATGCCTCCCAGTTCTCAGAGGGGTAGACCGAGACCCAGAGAGACCAGCCTAAGGTTCCCTCCAGCATGTGTTGATATTTCCTTCCCAAATCTTTATAGCATGAAAGCAGAGGAGAGAGATATGAAGGGAGGGGAAAAGGAAAAGAGATGGGGAGAGGGATGAGACCCAGGAAGATATGTGGATTTGGGAGGATGGAGGCTCACTTTTGCTTGCGAGAAGGAAACTTGAAGATTGAACAGGGCCAAGAACATTCTTAATTTGGAACCTATCATTCCATCACTTTACCCGGAAGTCCATAACCCCACTACTCCATTCACCTCATGCAGTGAATACGTTTAGGGGTTTAGTTGCAGATTCTTGGGGTGAGTGGGCTGGGGAGGAGAAGCAGCTAGAAGCAGAAAAATGCTTAGTGATGCCGCCTCGAAGGCATGACATCCTGCTGTGCCTGGGCACACGTGTATTTGAAAGGGGCTCAAAAATTGGGGGTGGGGAACTGGGATGGATAGTATCTGTGATCTAGAGGCCAGCCGTGAGTGAGCTGCACTTTCTTCCAACCCATTTAGGGTTGGAAGAAAGGCTCATGCCCTTCGGCTTCAAGGAATGTGATCATCAGACCTCCAGTGCCAGAGCTTGGAATAGTGGGCCAGATAAAAAAAAATTTTACACACACACACACGATATATATTTTTTCCTGTCATATATATATATATATACATGTATATATATATTTATGCATATATGTGTATATATGTGTGTGTGTGTGTGTGTGTGTGTGTATGTGTGTATATGTATATGTGTATGAGAAGCACAAGAAGACAAAAAGAGAAACAGGAAGGAGCAAAGGAACCAGGAATGGTCAGACTGAGTCAGGATTTTTCCAGGGCTGCGATGAGCCCATTGGCGGAAATGGAGATGGTGAGGTGACATCAGAAGCCCCATTGTGGCCGAGGATGGGAGAGAGGGAGCTGCAGTCCTTGAAGGGTCACTCAGTGCCAGGCCAAACAGCCCACTCCCCCGTGAATTGATCAGAGACACTGCAGTGCCCCAGCCCCTTAGGATGACAGTGATGTCCACCTCATCAGCCCTGAGCCATCTAAAGATGCTGAGAGTACCAGTGAGGGCTGCTGCACCTTGTGATTTTGTATGCATTCCCATTAAAACAAAACAAGACCCAAAACCTAGTTGGCAGAGGAGCTGGCTCTTAAAGGGTTAACCCTCAGTTACCTGGACCTCCAGGTAGGCCTCCCCTTGCACACACCTGTCAGAGGATCTCCCGCTGCCCAACCAGTGGCATTTCTATACTGGCAAGTGCTTTACCATCCAACCCCCACCGATGGCCTCTGTTGGCTGACTTTCTTTCATTTTCTTTCTTTTTACACACACTTGGAAAGCTCCCGGCTTCAGCCAGGCGCGCCGAGGAGGCTTGGAGTAGCAGGGCTGATCGATGCCGGGAGGCTCCTTGCGGCTGCCAGAGCCGTAGTCATGGGTGGGGGCGGCTGTGGGCTCTGCAGCAGCGGCTCTCTGTGTCTCTGCCCTGCTGCTGGCAGCCAGAGTTCCAGACAGCTCCCTGCCCTCCAGACCCTCAGCCCAGAGTCCCAGAGCCCAGGGCACAGGAGAGGCCTGCTCCTGGGTTACAGCTTGCCTGGTACACACCCAGGAGGGTAAGTGAGGGACGTGGGTGCAGTAGAGCCACGGGGTCCTGAGACAGAGCTGATAGAGCTGTTGGTGCCAGGGCTATGGCTGTTTCGATTGGAGGAGGAAACAGCTCAGAGTCCGTTCCTGCTCATTCCATGAAGCAGCGGCAGGACTTGGCTCTGCCAAAACTCAAGGTGGCCCGGAATTCCGGGGAAGGAAGGTTGCTGTTGGCTTGCAGTCAAGGCAAGGGGGTTATAGGACTTCCCCAAAGGACCTGAGCTCTTTCCCTCATTTTTTACCAGATGTTTATTGAGGGCCTTGTGCACGCCAGCTCCCTGCTAGGCACCAGGGGATTTAGTAGGACTGAAATAGGCCTCTCCCCAGCAGCGCCCCTAGTCTTGCCAAGAGAATGGTTTCTTAGATAACTGTAGTACCATGTGAGGTGTGATAAGAGAGGGTCTGGCCAGGGGAGGAAGAGGCCAGTGGGGCCTCAGGGTGCTGGAGAAGATTTTACAGATGAAGGGCCATTTCAACCAGGTCTTGGCAGATGAGTAAGAGTTCTTCAGGGAACAAAGGGCAGCCAAAATCTTATGAGTGACTGCAAAGAGATTTGAACATACAAAATGTGATCGTATGTGGTGACGGGCTCGGCAGGTCTGAGCAGAGGCTGCAGAGAGCCAGCAGAGGAAACTGACAGGGCCTCATCACCAAAGGCCTCCAAGGCCAGTTGAGGGAGTCAGGACTTGGTCTTACAGACAGGTGAGAGACACTGAAGATTTTAATTTTTTTGTTAAGAGGTAAGGTCTCACTATGTGGCCCAGGCTGGAGTGCAGTGGCACAATCATTGCTCACTGCAGCTTCAAACTCCTGGGCTCAAGTGATCCTCCCACCTCAGCCTCCCCAGTAGCTGGGACTACAGGCACAAGCCACCATGCCCAGTGGCACTGCAGACTTTATAATGGGGGCTTGATGTGGTCAGCTTTGCATCTTAGAAAACTACAGTGTGGATGGAGTGAGGAGGGAGACAGGGACCTTCCAGAGAAGAAAGCTATGACTTAAAAATCCTAGAGGCCAGTGCTTAGACCAAGGCAGTGGAGTCAGGAGGTAGACAGCAGGGGACAGCTCTGCTCTTTTCCGAGTTTGAGTGACAAGGGTCAATCGTGAAGGAAAAGGAAGTGTCAGGGATGATTTCAAAGTGGACAGTGAGGCCTGGGTGGGTGATGCTGCCTCTTGATGAGAGAGGGGACAAGGGGAGAAGGAGCAGGTGGAAGAGAGAGGGAGGGAGGTCATAAGGTCAAATCTGGTCACACTGGGACCTGACTTCGATATAGTATCACCCCCCTAGACCCCTGCCCTAGCAAGCTTCATGGTAAACCCTGGTGATGCTGAGTCAATGCCAGATTTATCATCCACACACCCTCCAAATCTACATGTGGTCACTGAACTTGTGATAGCTGCCACACTCAAACAGAAAGATCTCACCCTGCACCTACAGCAGGCTTAGCTTGGCCCTCGCTGCTTGGGGTTGCACCCCCTTTCCATCTAAGTGCAAGTGTGGAAAGTGGATGCCATGTCCCTAGTGTGGATAGATTTTTCAGGTATTGAATGGCAATGCCACTGAGCAGGTTGGTTGTGCAGAGCCTACCCTAGAAATGGATCATTTAGAAAGGTTCTGTGTCCTGGCCAGGGTGCCAGGTGTGCAGGGGTCAGGGATACCTGGGGGATGGCTAATGGGGCACTGCCTTGGCTCACCACTGACCCCTCTCCAGGGAGTCCAGGGACTCTGCCTGGCTTTGGAAAAGACCTTGGCTTAGGAGAAATGGAAATGTCAGGGAGCAATGGTTTCTAAGGTCCAGGGCTGGAGGTCTGGGAGTGCCCAGCTTTGTGGGGGATTCCTGGTTGGAAGTACTGCAACTAAACAACTTCCTTTGCAGCTTCCTCCACTGTTTCAGGCTCTGTTCTGGGCTTTCCACTGCCTGGGCTTATTCAACCCTCACACAAGTGGATCAGAGAGGAGAAGCAACTGGCCAGTGTCACACAGCCAGTACGTGGTCAACCAGCTTCCTGCCGACCGCCAAGCCAGTGCCACATCTTGTCTCTGTGTGAAGTTGGAAAAGATAGAACATTTTTAAAAAGTATGAGATTCATACCTGAGTTGCCAAATTAAATGTTTTTAAGACAAAGGTTGATGGGAACAGTCTCTCTCTCTCTCTCTCTGTCTCTCTCTCTCTCTTTCTTTCTCTCTCTCTCTCTCTCCCCCCCTCCCCCTCTCCCTCTCCCTCTCTCTCTCTCTCTCTCTCTCTCTGTGTGTGTGTGTGTGTGTGTGTGTGTGTGTGTTTAGACTCCGTCATTACACTTACGTTTACTGTGCACCTACTATGTGCCAGGCCCTGGGGATACAGCAGTGACTGAGGGAGACTTAGGGAGGAATGGATAGGAGTATGGGGAAAGGTCTTATACATAAGCAGGTGTGTAAAACACACATACACACAGACACACACATTAGTGCTCCAAACCGTTGTAAAAGTAGACACATTTACCTGGCACAGACACACAGATACACATCTCCAAAACTCCCCTGCATGCACATGTGTACCTCCGCTGCACACACGTCCACCCACAGGATTCAGACTGACTTCCAGAGTTAACTAAGTAAGGGAACTGGACCTCCAACCCAATATACAAGCCAGGAGGATTGGAAGTCTTGCACTCCCTACTTCACCAAAGACTAGCAAAGGACCTTAATCCTGGCTTTTAACTCCACCCCCCTGGTCAGGGGCTGAGATCTTGGGGTTAGATGGTGCGGACTACAGCTTTGCCCAAGGACTCTGCTAAGAGTCATTGCCACCATCTATTAAACACAAGCCAGGCTCTTGACATGCATTGCCTCCTCTCACATACACTCTGGCCGTGGAGTATATGGGTACAGTACTACCCTCATTTTATAGATGAGAAAACTGAGGCTCAGAGAGCTGCGTTATCTCACCGGGGGTCTCATGCAGATCACAAGCGGCAGAGCCCAGATTGAACACTGAACTCCTCCACTGGAAACAGCAACCCGAGTCCTTAGGTTGTTTTTTTGTTTTTGTTTTTGTTTTTAGAGATTAAAGTCTTGCTCTGCACCCAGGCTGGAGTGCGGTGGTACAATCGTAGCTCGCTGCAGCCTTGAACTTCTGGACTCAAGCAAACCTCCCATCTCAGCCTCCAGAGTAGCTGAGACCACAGGTGCATACCACCACAGCCAACTGATTTTAAAAAAAAATGTAGAGGGCTGGGCATGGTGGCTCACGCCTGTAATCACAGCACTTTGGGAGGCTGAGGCAGGCAGATCACTTGAGGTCAGGAGTTCAAGACCAGCCTGGCCAACATGGCGAAACCTCATCTCTACTAAAAATACAAAAATTAGCTAGGCATGGTGATGCATGCCTGTAGTCCCAGCTACTCAGGAGGCTGAGGCAGGAGAATCACTTGAACCCGGGAGGCGGAGGTTGCAGTGAGCCGATATTGCACCACTGCACTCCCACCTGGGTGGCAGAGTGAGACTCTGTCTCAAAAAAAAAAAAACTGTAAAGATAGGGTCCCAGTGTGTTGGCCAGGCTAGTCTCGAAATGCTGGCCTCAAGCAATCCTCCAGCTCCAGCCTCACAAACTGTTCTTAGGTCTTTATTTCCTGACAAGCTAAGGAGCCCCAGCTCTGGTTCCCAGAACTGTTCCCCAGTTTCCCCCCAGCCTGCCCTCTCTGGTCCATGACTTGTCAGGCAGGGAAAAAGAAAGACTTTGAGCCTAACAGAGGCAAGGAGGCTATTGCCCAGGGATGGTGAACAGGCCAGCTTTGGAATCAGACCCTGGGCTCCAGCCTCAGTCTTTCCATATGTAGAATAGAGATGATACTAGCATCCCACATTGACCTCTGTTGAGCATTAAATGAGAGGACGTATGGAAATGCTTAGCCTGGAGCCCAGCACATAGGCTAGTATTGTTGTCGCTATTTTCTTGTTACTGTCAGCATCTGCCCATCACCCATGAACAATTTCCTGAAGACCCATTTTGTGAAGTAGTTAGTGTGTTATTCCCTAGAGATGTGGAGTGGGCTCATACTCTAGTGGCAGAGATGGAAGTATTAATAAACGAGGATGCTTTGGTGCAATAGATGCTTGGAAGGATGTCTGTACAGTGGGGACACAGAAGGCTGTGGCATATTCTATTAAAAGCAGCAGGAGCACTTTTAATAGACAGGGTAAAAAGGGCATTCCAGGAGGAGGGATCAGCAGGGGCTAAAGCTCAGAACAAGAACAGTTGAATGCACTGGGAAAGCTGTACATGGAGGAGGGGGAGCAGGTTTTAATATCCACAGGCCCCACACCCACGAGCTGTGAAAAAAGTAGGCTGGGTAGAAGACAATATGGAGTGGTGGAGACTGTGGCCAATTGGAAAGGGCTTGATGGCTCTAAAGGGAAGTAGGACTCTGCTCCATGCAATTATTAATATGAAGAGAAGCTGGCCTAGTGTTACCTGGTCTTCCAAGTTTTCCAGAGATGTCAGGGACCCAGGTTTTTATGTGGAATCTCTTGACTTCAAAACACTGAGCCAACACTGGGAAAACCAAACAGAATAGAAGGGGGCTGCCAGTTTGCAGTCCTAGTTTAGACCCAACAGTGGGGCATGTGGTGGTAGGTGATATGAGAAGCTATGGATTCCAGACTCTGTGCAGACAGGCTTGTGTCTGATAGCTGGGGGCCAAGACCTGGCCCACAAGAAGCACCCAATCAATACTTGGTCTGCAGAGGAGTTAGGGAGTTTGGACTTCATCCGGAAGGTTAGGGGAGACTGTGAGGTTTGGGGCAGAGAAGTGAAACAATGGGAAGTGTGTTGTATGACTTTAGCCCACCTGCCATGTGGAGGCTGGCTTGGAGAGAAGAGATGGCAGCTAGGGAGGTGGGTGGATGTCTTAACAGGGCTCCAGGCAGAAGGTGATGGTGACCTGGGCCATGGCTACGGGGTGAGAGGGGAGGAGAGATCCTAGAAGGGTCAAATTTATGCAGAGATTGACTTGGAGAGTGTGAGGGAGGTGAGGCCAAGGTGCCTGCCAGCTCCCTGACCCACCTGGGTAACTCAGTGGTGTTTCTCACCAAGTTGGGGCATCTGGGAGGAGAAAAGTATGGAGGCAGAGGGAGGAGGGGTGATAACTCTAGCTTGGACCATGTTAAGTTTAGATGCCTGTGGGACTCCCAAGGGAAGACCTGCCACCCAGTCAAACATATATCTCTCAGGGGAGGGAGGGCTGAAGACAGAATGATACCTCCACCCTGACTGGGTCTTACCCTCCTCCAGGGACCCAAAAGACCTTCATTTCCTTTGTGGTTGCTCTGTCGTCTGAGAGTTAAGTCTATTTATTGGGCTTAGATTTGTTTTTTTTTCCTGGAAAGACTGAAGGAGAAGGTGGATTGATATGTAATGCCAGAACGAAGATCTGTGAACACCTCAGCTCTGATTCATTTTTCTTAGCCCTACCCCCGTGATCTGGGCAGCTGGGGGAGGAGGAACAGAGGGTAGAGAACAGCTGGGTTACCGGGGCCCCACAGTAACCACATCAGTAAAATCTCATTTCCAGGAGCTAAGTCTGAACTCTGTTATCATGAACGCTTGCAAGAGGGCTCTTACCTGCACTTGACAGAAGCAAAGGCTTTGCTAAGCAGATTGACGGTGTCACAAGCCCACTTAGGAGAGCAGGCTTTTAGCAGCAGCATTTGCATTCCAACAATGAGTGTGCAAATTATAAATGACTACTTCTCTATTTTTAAAGCGATTTTAAGACTCCTCATCTGCTGTCAAGAATGTCACTGAACATACCAAGGACACTCACAGCAATGCTGTGATCCTTTTGAAAAGAAACGATTCTATTAGAGAACTGACGTGTATCGAGCATCTGCCAAACACACCGGGCACCGTGCTAGGCATTTTAGAGGCATCGGCTCATTTAGGCCTCTACCCCAGGGGGATGAAGTCATTATTTTCTTACCAAGGAAATGAAGCCAGGCCCAGAGAAGGTGAACTGCTGCTGTAGGCTTGCTCAGCTCAAGAGGGCCGGGGTCACCAGGGCTGGATGCGGGGTCTGAGTTCTTCCTGACACACCTCATCATCGTTTCTCACCAGTTCAGGTTTCTGCCTCTTGGCCAGTGGAAGGATGGCCTTAAATAGGGCTTCACAGCCTTGAGAGAACAGAGGGGATGTGGGAGAAAGTGAAAGAGAGGGTGCTGAGAAGTTAAGAAAAGAAGGAGGCTCAGTTCAGAGAGAAGAGAAATGAAACAGCCCCAAAAGTGGAGGAGGAGGGAGGCTCTGAGGTGTGGTACCAGGTGTGGCCCAGTTCAAAGCCCAGTTTGCCAGGAGCTCACCTTGGGCAAATGCTTTATCCACCTGTGAAGGGTGGAGTTTGGCCTCCATGTCAGTTTCCCTCCAACTTCAGTCATTTGTTTTTATCTGTAAACAACCCACGCGATTACCCATTTAGTCTTGTTTTCATCAGTTCACCATTTTACCTGATTATGTTCTCTTTAAAAGAAACTTTTTAATGCAATTAAGTGGTTTATAATATCGCTTGTCATCAACAGGAGCTAAGCATTAAAATAAATACAAAGAAATAAAAATCATCCTATGATTAAATTCCACCTCGCTGCCGCTGCCTGAGTTCTGCTCTGTGTCTCTCTGTTAGGAGGGAGAAGGTCAGAGGTGTTCAAGGCACATTAACCCTGAGCCAGTTCTTTTCTCCCTGAGACAACCTCCCAAGAATGAAAGGATGCAGGCACCATGTCCTGACTGTGTGGCCTGAAATCCCTTCTCTGAGCATCATGGTCTAAGGACACACTCTGTGGAAAGCGAGGGCCAGCCGTCATCTTAGAAACTTCCACAACGGCAGAGTCTGGGAAAGTCCCGGGATGTGAGCAGCCTGACAAGGAGAAAAAAGGGGGTGAAGAGTGGGTGGGATTCCAGAACAGACCCCCACATTCTGTGACCAAAGGAGTGAGAATTTTTCAGTGCTTTCTCCATTTTGATGAGGGCAGGGAGGGGGCAGAGGCCAGGGCAGGAAGTGGGGAGGGGGCTCCGAGGGGGCTTCAACCCAGCACTGCCTCTGGCTGCCAGGAGAGCCGCTGGAGCCTCAGCTCTTCCTCTGCAGGCGCGGGGAGGACATCCTGGGCCTTCTTCACCACTGGGCCTCAGGTTGTCCAGGGTCACGTTCAGGGTTAGGCAGCCTGGATCCCTTTAATCCCATATTAATGAATTATGTGCCCAAGAGCAGGCTTAGCTGGGGGGAAATGAAGACAAATAAGAAAGAGGGTAGGGAGGAGGGCCATGGCTGGAAGGGACTTGGGGGATGGCTCCTAGTGGGGCTCCCCTCAGCCCTGAACTCCAGGGGCCTCCATTTGGGCCCTGCCCAAGTTCTAAGGTGTGGGTCTCCCCCATAGCTCTTGCTGATGTCAGGTGTGAGCTGCTGTGTGTACATGCAGGCTCCTGGGCGTTCCCCTCCCCGGGGTCCTTCCCTGCCAGGCTCTGGTGAGCCACCAGTCTTAATGAGGAGGTGCCTGGGGGAAGACTGGGAGCCAGATATGTACTAAATGACTGAGACAGACAGAGAATGCTAGGTTGAACAGGTCTTAGAGACCTTCTGACTCACTGTTCCTCCACAATCAGGGGTTCAAATTATGACCTCCATTTATAAATGAGGTAACCGAGGCCCAGCAAGGGGAGACTCTCACAGCCAGCCTGGGGCACAGCCAGGCCAGATCCAAGGCCTCTGACTCAGGCAAGGCCTCCCTCCCCGTGTTATTCCTCCACTCAGGGGGTTGAGGCTGAATAAGCCACAATTGGAGCCTGTCCCAGGGACCAGCCAGTGGCTGCCCCCCTTATTATGGGCCCAGGACTCAGGGTATGACCGAACTGGACTCCTCTGTGCCAATTCTGAGTGTTCCTGGAGTGTCCTGGCTCACGCTGGGCACCAATCATGGCCTCTGGGGACTCCTTCTTCTTTTTTGCCTAGAGAGTGGCCACTCTCCTGCCCTTTACCACACTTGGCACACTATCCCCTCTGTCCTCAGAGATTCTTGAGAGATCTCAGCAGGGCAAGCCCGCAAGGCCGGACCTGGTGCACAGTAGGCTCACAGACCCACAGGGGTCTCCTGGCTGGCACCCTGTGCTTCCTGGTTTTGTAGGCTCCGAGAATGTCCAGGTATTGGAAGCTGGGGTGTTGCTGGGTGGTGAGTCACAACCATACACCCGACCTCTTTCCCAGGGACTTCTTAGTCTTGCCCTGCCCCAAACACTTCATCTGGGCTTTTGCCTGACCGCCATGTGTTTTCTATGGTCAACCCCCTCATTCCAGCTCATCTCCCTCCCCATGCCCTCACTCAGCCCTCTGCAGGGAGGGAAAAGGTTGGTTTTCTGGGAAGCAAGGTGAGTGATCCCCAGGTGCCCTCAGGACAGTTGCAGGCAGGCTCTCAACTGGGCAGAGGGCCCCTGTGCAAGCCAGAGTCAGCACTGCCGGGCCAGGGGCAGGGAGGGGGCGGCAGATCCCACTGATTAGGAACCAGAGCACCAGCCCCGTCTGGAGTTTGAAACCAGAGGCTTGTGAGTAAATCCACGGCCAATGCCTGTAAGCAGAGCCAGTTCTCGCCGTGAAAGGGCCTTTTGTTTTACCCCATGGTTCCTGGGTGAACTGTGATTCCATTTTAATTAAATATGCAGCTGCTAGGGCTGAGCAAGCTGCCCTCACCCTCAGCTCCAGGCTGGTAGGGGGAGATGACATAGGGTAGATGGAAGTCCGATGTCTGGACTCTGTCCAGCCAGAAAATGGTGAGCAAGGGGCGGGCACAGAGCCTGGGGGCAGGTGACTGGCTGCCAGTCAGCAATGGGTTACTACTCAGTGTGGAGGAATCCACTCTGTAAGGTGCCAGCTCTCCTTGGGCATCCAGTTAACGGCACTTCTGGGGACACACTTGGGAAATGAAACCCCTAGGCCAAGAGAAAGATATTTTCTGATTTTACACAGGCCCAGCAGGGGCTCAGGGCAGAGCTAGTAGAGGGCAGTGCAGGGGTGTGGCCCCCATGGCCCCCCACCAGCCCCAGCCCCTCTGCTCTCCAATACTGTGCTCCTACCACCTGGTGGTTTCTTGCACAGAAATGGTGCACTGTTCAGCAAGGCGGTACAGATGAAACTCTGAATTGAAAGGCCTGTGGGAAAGCCTAGCACAAGCTACCTCTCCCACCTTCCCCTTGGTTCTGTGTTATCTCAAATGTCTTCTTCTCAAAGAAGCCCTCCAGAATCCAGGTAATCGCCTTCCACCCCACGTACTACGTTCCTCCTCCATCAAAAATGATCTTGTTTATCCATTTGAATTCTTGCCTGCCGCCCCACCCCCCACCCCCTTATAGAACACGAGCTCCATTCCATGAGCACAGGGCTTTATTTTTCTCATGCAGTTCTGGCACAGATCACGTACTCAGTCACGGTTGAATGAATACACTTAGGTAATACGTGGGGGCAAAGACTCCACCTAAAAATGTGACCTAATTTCATGGTGTCAAAGTCCACTGTGAACTCCACGTTGCTGGAGCTTGTCCAGTTGGGAGAGGTTCCCTGAGCCCCTGTCAGATTCGGTGGCGGGCCCATGCTGGACAGTGCTGAGGGTACAGAAATGAAGCTGGCGCCATGCCTGCCCTCCAGGGGCTCTCAATCCAGGTGAAAGACATTAAATTAGAGTGCACTGGGAGAACAAGGTGATGTGGGGGCTGGAGGGAGCCCCTGCAGGGAGGGGAAAGCTTCCTAGTGAAGAGGAGGGTCCGGGAGCATGAGCAGGAGTCTACCTGGGACAGAAGAGCCAAAGGTGGAGTGCTCAGGAGGGCGAGGCCAATTCTGGGAACCAATGGCGAGAAGCAGTGGAAACAGGTGAAGCCCAGGGGTGTGGGGTAGGCGGAGACCTGTCAAACCCACACCCAGCCTCCAGATTTTGTTCTGAAGGCCGTGGGTAGCTACTGAAGGTTATTCAGCAGGGGCAGGGAGCTGCCTGAGCTACATGTTTGAGTCTCCTCTGCTAGCCTCACAGAGTGTGGACTAAGGCCCCAGGGATTCAGGGCTTGCTTCCGCTCCCCCTGGGAAAATGGAATATGATCCTGGGCACTGGGTCCCTCTCTGAAGCCAATTGTTACTGCAGGCCTGGGCAGAGGGCCGGGGCAGTAACACAGGGCAGGTGGGATCACTTACCTGTTATCAGATATGCTTTTCCCTGAAGGGGATAAAATAAACGTCTTATTAGATCCATGGCTGAGAGAACAGGTGCCACATCTGTGTCCTCTTGGTGTGTGCTCCAGGCCGGGGACTGCATGCAGGTCATCAACCCTGCTCAGTTGTTTCTAGGATTGAGAAGCTACCTTGGAAATGCCCTCCTCTTGGTTAAATGCATTTATGCAGTCAATCAGCAAACATTTATTCCGTGCAGACTCAGGTTTCCATGTGTTTGCTCGCTTCCTTGTTTACTTTGATCTACTCAACCAGAGATACTCCTAGAGCTTAAGTAGGTGTGGGGAGTGCAGGGATGAAAGCTCAAAGGTAAGAAGCCGTCTAGAGTAAGTTGTGGAGGAAGTTGAGGGTCATTCATTTTAAATCCCTGTAGCCTCAGGGTGGCATTCTCTTTTTCTCAGGAGCGTGCATGGTTGGGAGGCGTAGAAGCCACACTTCTTTGTATTCCCTCCAAATTTTGTCACTTAAGAACACAAAGCTTGTGACATTAGGCTACATGTATAACTTGTGTCATCCTTCTTAATCTTGGTAACAACCAATGAAAGTACTGTAATTACCTCCACTTCACAGGTGAGTAAACTGAGGCACAGTTGACGTTAAGCCATTTGCTCAAGGGCACACAGTTTGGAAGCAGAGAAACTGGAATTTGAACCCAGGGACTCTGGCCCTTACATCCTGTTTTTAATCACTACGGAGTTACCACGTTCTTCACATACCCCTGCAGCAAGCTTCATTTACCTCAAATTATGCTCAGTTCACTTCTTTGTGAGGCCTTTCTGGAATACCTCTCAGAGAATCCTGTCCCTTCCCTGAATTCCCATGAGACTTTTGTGTTCTGAGGGGTCTTTTCCCGTTTGTCTCATCACTTACCTTCCCCTGATATCTGCCTTTGAGCAGAAACTGTGTTGTCCATGTTCCTGCCCCCCAGTAGCCCAACTTGGAGTTTAATCCAGCATCCTGTTCAAATCGGCTCCCGAAATGTGATGTTTACCCAATAGATGATGTCATCTTCCAATTTAATCCTTGTCATGTCCTTTTGAGGGGTGGTAGCTTGAGGGCCATTTAACAGAGGAGGTGACCAAGGCTCAAAGGCTTCAGGACGATGGCAACAATAAAAAACAAACTGCAGCAGCTGAAATGTATGTAGAGTTTACTTATATGCAATAGATACTATTATTGTTGTTTTCTTTCAGCAAATGTGGAAACTGAGGCACAGAGCTTTGCCATAAGTTATCAGAGGTCACAGCTAGCAAGAGGTAGAACCGAGATTCAAACCCACTAAGTCTGGCTCCAGACCTGACATTCTGAACCATTTCACTCAGCTGCCACACAGCTGGCTATAGGGGTGAGGGGGCACTTGGCAAATATTTGGGGATGGCTTGATGGCCAGTTACTCGTCCCTCCTTTAGCTCTGCTCGTGGTTTCCTCCTTCTTTCCTTCTTAACCTAGGGGCTCCTCCTAACTTCCCTGCCATGCCTGCAACTCCCTGTAGAAGGGGCCGATGGAAGTCCTGAGACACTGTGCCTGTGTGTGTGCCTCTGTGCCTGTGTGTATGTGCCTCTGTGTGTGTGTGCCTAGGTGCCTGTGCCTGTGTGTGTGCCTGTGTGTGTGCCTATGTGTCTGTGTGTCTGTGCCTGTGTGTGTGTACCTGTGTGTGTGCCTGTGCCTGTGTCTGTGTGTGTGCCTGTGGGTATGTGCCTCTGTGTGTGTGTGCCTAGGTTCCTGTGCCTGTGTGTGTATGTCTGTGTGCCTGTGCCTGTGTGCGTGCCTGTGTGTATGTGCCTGTGTGTACCTGTTTGCCTGTGCATGTGTGTGTGCGTGTATGTGTGACTGTGCCTGTGTGCCTGTGTGTGTGTGTGTGTGTGTGGCCCTGTGTGTGTGCGCACCTGTGTGTGTCTGGGTGTGTGCCTGTGTGCGTGTGTGCCTGTGTGCGTGTGCACCTGCGTGTGCGTGTGCCTGTGTGTGTGCACGCGTACTCGCCTGTGGTGTGCCACGTGCCCTGGTTTGCTAAGAATTCCTCATAGAGAGTGTGCCTGGGGGAAGCCACACACATCAGAGCTCTCTCTGGCTCCCTGCAGCCTCCTTCGTTTGGGAAAGATTTTCTTGACTGTGTGTTTCTCCCATCCCTGAGCTGCTGCTGGCAGCTGGCTGTAGAGTTTTCATCTTAAAGGACAGAGAGAAGTGGCCCTTCAGAATAATTTGAGCCCCTCTTCAGGAAACCCTGGTTCTCTTTTGAAACTAAGCCAGGGAGGAGCAAACGCCAAGGAATTCACAATCCTGTCTGGGACTTTCTGTTTTCCTCTTTGAAGAAATATGAGCTTTTTTGATTGCTACTAAAGTGATGCTTAACCGTTCTACAGTGACAGCTTCTCCCTCTGCATCTGTTATATGGGGCATGCTACTAAAAATGTTCTAAGAACTTTGATTTCAAAGCCTTGGCATCTCCCTTGAAGAAATCAGAGACACATTGAAGACATGCAAAATTAAATTTGTGGTCACTGCATGAGACCGGTTACGAAGTTCATTCCTTCAGCAAACATTTATTAAGTGTCTACACTGCACATGATGCTGGAAAGACAGTGATGTTCATACCCACAGAGTCCCTGCCCTCATAGAACTTTGGTTCTAAATAGGAGAGAAAGAAAATGCACTACTAAATCAACTCAGTTGTTTCAGTTTGCCATGAACAGATCCCTCCCACCTCGACCTGGAAGCCATTGAAGGGCTGGGGTCTTCTGCTTTAAATGGGTCTTTAAGGTGCTGGCAGGCGTCTGTGCTGGGAAGGATAAAGAGCAAGGTTGATGTGGTTTAGTGAACAGAGGCTACTTAGCTTGGGTAGTCAGGGAGGGCCTCTCTGCAGAGGGGACCTTTGAGCTGAGAGCTGAGTGACAAGCGGGCAGCTTACAAAGATCTGAGAGGAGAGAATTCCAGGCAGAGGACCCAGTCAGTGAAAAGTGCCAAGTTGGGAATGAACGTGGTGGGTTCGAGGAGCAGCAGGGAGCTTGATGTGGCTAGAGTATGGTGCTCAAAGGGGACAGCAATAAGAGACGAGGTCAGATTGCTGGGCAGGGGTCAGTTCACATAGAGCCTTGTAGGCTATGGAAAGGAGTTTGGATTTTATTCCATTAAGCAATCTTCATTTGTGTCGATTAACAAATGATGTTTGAATCCTGAAAATGTGATGGAGTATGGTCATATTTACAGGTGGCTCTCAAAACAAAATTTCCAAGCATCAAGTAAACATAATTAAGATAAATGTAATATGCTTAATGGAAGCGCAATGTGGTCTGTTTATATGAGATGTGGCAACTTGGTATAATGATCACCAGGGTTTAAGTTTCAGCTCTGAGATTTCTTAGCTGTGTGACTTTGGACAGGTCATCTACTATTTTTGAGCCTCTGTTTCCTTATCTGCACCGTGAGGGTAATAGTTTATTTACAGGGCTGTTGTGAAGATGGAAAATGATAATGCCACAAATAATTATTTTATAAACTGGTGGGATGGAGCTGGAAACGTGTATTATTCCACTGAGAACTCTTCACTAAGGTACACCTTACTAATTAGGACCTTAGATTGCACCTAGAAGAGGAGATGCCCACTGGAATATCTAAGAAGACTAACACCCCGCTTCATGACCTGAGAACCTCCAGCACGCCTCCTTCCCCAAAAGGCCCCCAGACATCTGACAGTGTCCTGTAACTAAAGGCCCACTTACAGCAGCAGATGCTAGCCCTTCAACGGCTTCCGGGTTGGAGTGGGAGGGATCTGTCCAGTGTGGGCCTATGAGAATCTAGGAATGCACTGCGGTCAGCATCCTGGAGCCAATCAACTCAGAGGCACCTGGAGCTATCCAAGGTCCTGATCAGCTGGGGGCTCCCGAAATATTGCAGTTAACTTTGAATTGGTCTGTCTCCGATTGCATTGGTCTTCGAATTGATGGTGGTTGCTGCATCTGGACTGAGTGTGAGTATCTGGGAAAATAACTGCATTTGATATCAGGCAGACCTAAGTTAAAACCTCTAACCAGCTGGTGACCTTAACCGCTTACGCCTCCATTTCCTCATCTATAAAATGGGGGTGATGATACCTCTTTCTTTTTGCCTGTGTGGATTAATGAGCTAAAAAATTGAAGTAATCTAATAAAATGCCAGACAAATATAGATGCTAATTAAATAGACGTGTTTCTTTTATTATTATTATTATTATTATTATTATTATACTTTAAGTTCTAGGGTACATGTGCACAACGTGCAGGTTTGTTACATATGTATACATGTGCCATGTTGGTGTGCTGCACCCATTAACTCGTCATTTACATTAGGTATATCGCCTAATGCTATCCCTCCCCCCTCCCCCCACCCCACAACAGGCCCCGGTGTGTGATGTCCCCCTTCCTGTGTCCAAGTGTTCTCATTGTTCAATTCCCACCTGTGAGTGAGAACATGCAATGTTTGGTTTTTTGTCCTTGCGATAGTTTGCTGGGAATGATGGTTTCCAGCTTCATCCATGTCCCTACAAAGGACATGAACTCATCATTTTTTATGGCTGCATAGTATTCCATGGTGTATATGTGCCACGTTTTCTTAATCCAGCCTATCATTTTTGGGCATTTGGGTTGGTTCCAAGTCTTTGCTATTGTGAATAGTGCCACAATAAATGTAAGTGTGCATGTGTCTTTAGAGCAGCATGATTTATAATCTTTTGGGTATATACCCAGTAATGGGATGGCTGGGTCAAATGGTATTTCTAGTTCTAGATCCCTGAGGAATCACCACACTGTCTTCCACAATGGTTGAACCAGTTTACACTCCCACCAACAGTGTAAAAGTGTTCCTATTTCTCCACATCCTCTCCAGCATCTGTTGTTTCCTGACTTTTTAATGAACGCCATTCTAACTGGTGTGAGATGGTATCTCATTGTGGTTTTGATTTGCATTTCTCTGATGGCCAGTGATGATGAGCATTTTTTCATGTGTCTGTTGGCTGCATAAATGTCTTCTTTTGAGAAGTGTCTGTTCATATCCTCCGCCCACTTGTTGATGGAGTTGTTTGGTTTTTTTTCTTGTAAATTTGTTTGAGTTCTTTGTAGATTCTGGGTATTAGCCCTTTGTCAGATGAGTAGATTGCAAAAATTTTCTCCCATTCTGTAGGTTGCCTGTTCACTCTGACGGTAGTTTCTTTTGCTGTGCAGAAGTTCTTTAGTTTAATTAGATCCCATTTGTCAATTTTGGCTTTTGTTGCCATTGCTTTTGGAGTTTTAGACATGAAGTCCTTGCCCATGCCTATGTCCTGAATGGTATTGCCTAGGTTTTCTTCTAGGGTTTTTATGGTTTTAGGTCTAACATTTAAGTCTTTAATCCATCTTGAATTAATTTTTGTATAAGGTGTAAGGAAGGGATCCAGTTTCAGCTTTCTACATATGGCTAGCCAGTTTTCCCAGCACCATTTGTTAAGTAGGGAATCAAATAGACATGTTTCTGCACAGACAGTCAACTCTCAGAGACAGCCTGTTCTAGGCCGGGGTATTGGTAATGAGAGCATGGACTCTGGAGTCCCTCAAACCTAGTTCAAATTCCAGCTCTGTTTTCTCATGGCTGTGAATGACTTAACCACCCTAAGACTCAGTTTTTCATCTGTGAAATTGGGCTAATACTGCAGACTTAGTAGGGTTTAAGAACTAGAATTTAGTAAGTGCCCAATGGAGACTTATGGATTTTGATTTATTTTTCAGGTGACCTTCCCTTTCATTTTCTTTTAAAAATAGAATTGAATTTGAAATCCATCTCTAACCTGATAGCAGGTTTATGATGCTTCCCTGAGACCCATTAGAAGAGATAGCAAATGGGCTGGGCGTGGTGGTTCACGCCTGTATTCCCAGCACTTTGGGAGGTCAAGGCAGGTGGATTGCTTGAGCCCAGAAGTTTGGGACAAGTCTGGGCAACATGGAAAAACCTCATCTCTACAAAAATTACAAAAATTAGCCAGGCGTGGTGGTGGTGCATACCTGTAGTCCCAGCTACTCAGGAGGCTGAGGTGGGAGGATTGATTGAGCCCAGGAGGTCGAGGCTGCAGTGAGCCATGATTGTGCCACTGCACTCCAGCCTGGGCAACAGAGCTAGATCCTGTCCCAAAAAAAGTTGGGAGAGGGGACAGTAAATGGAAGCAAACAGTCATATTCCAGGGTGGCAGTGGGAAATGAAATGAAAACTAACTTGTGTTTGGGTTGAGCAGACAGGGCCACTGTGGGAGCACCATCACTCTCAGGAGAGGTGGAAGTGGTGTGGCCGTGGGTGTTTCATGTTCATGATTACAAGACAAAGATCCATTCTTAGAAGGGACAAGGCCCTGGAGATATGGGAGGAAAAAAAATGTCTGCAAGGTTTATTACTCAAGTTTCCATTTTCAAGGGGAAATAAGAAGGACATTCTGGGCCTTTGCATGCCTGGAACTTTTCCAACAGAAAAGCACAAACCTGGGATGGGCAGAGTCTCTGTGGGGCAGAGAGGAAGGGCCATGGGTGTGGGAGTCCCCCAGGCTTGGCCTCTGATCCCTGCTCCACCACATAGGTGAGTGACTTTATTTATGTTTGACTTATAATTATACATAATTTCAAACATATTGAAAAAATCTTGTCAAATCTCTCTGCCATCCACTTCCCTTCTTTTTGTATTATTTGCCTCTATTGAGTATTCACTCAATACTATTAAGTATTCACCTCTCTTAGTCCTGGCCTCCTAAGCTGAAAATCAGGGATGATAGAGATACTGAAAGCACTAGGAAGATGCAGGAAGAGAAGGATCAAGTCCTTACCATGGCTGTTCTCCATATCTGTGAGTTCCTTCTTCTTCCCAACCTTCCACATGGTTGAGCCCTGGACCAGTGCAGGCCTCAGATCTCCTTCTCCACCTTGAGGTCCTCTGATCTGCTTCCTGCTCAAATTTGGCCTCTGCATGCACACCCACCTTCTAGAACTTGACCCCTATTAATTCTAGATGCCCCTTACCTTTGGGTATCTTGTCTCAGTCCCTGTGGTCTGCCCTGATCCCTGGCTGATGAAGATGCCCTGGAATTGAAGGTCAGGAATTGAAGGTCAGGAAACATGGATTTCTATGGCACTACTTAAATGGCCTTCAGCAGTGCAAGCCTAAGCTCCCTCGTCTGGGATCGGACCAATTTGGTGTTATAAAGTGCTTTCCAAACTTGAACCATCGAGGCTGTTAGAATTCTTGGCATTATAGTTATTCATCCCTTTTGAAGCAAGCATTATAGGAGAGGATTACAGCCATTGAGGAAAACAGAAATTGAGCAATAAGAGAAGCTGAGATCAAGGAAAGGCGTGTTTTTAAGACAGGTGAGCACATGCCATGCTTGGAAGTGGTGGATCCATGGATCCACTGAGTGATCCAGTGGAGAGGAGCATGAGGGGTGATTTGAGGGGGAGAGAGCAGGGCGCCACAGTGGTGAGCTCTGTGCAAGGCTTTGCTCTCAGTGACCTCTGGCCTCAGAGGCCATGGGGGTCAGCTAGTGTGTTTGAACCTGATCATTAAATCAGCAGGACCATTGGAGAGTTTTGAGCATGGGGTTGGTGCCTGCTGTATGGAGGACAGATTGATGAGGGCAAGTCCACTTGAGGAGGCCCACAGAGTGCGTTGTGGAACATGCAAGTGAAGGGGGCTGTGTGTGCACTGCACTGAATCCCCAGTGCCTGCATGGACTAATGAGTCAATTACACATTCACAGAAGACCTGTTTACAGTGCCTCAGGGACGTCTACTGGGGAGGGCCATTCATGGTGGAAAATCCAAGACATCTTCCTCTCAGAAGGGTGAGTTGACTTAGGGGTCACCAGCACTGTAGTTATTCCAGTTGTAGGCAAGCAGGGGATTGCTGAGATAAAGCGCATGTAGACCAGGAGTTATAAGCTCACATACCTACAGGGACAGGGCACGGGGACAAGAAGGTGCTTTGGAGCCTTCAGTAGGAAGTCCTCACCTGGTGTCACCACTCCCCAGCTTGTAAAGTGTGGGGACTAGGAGGTCAGGGAGCCCAGGAGCTGAGCCTTGTGTCAGTGGACATGAACAGCTGGCCTTTGAAACTTGGTCCTCAGTTCCCAAGTCTTGAAGGCACATGCACGGGTGCACATGCTTCAGGCTCTTCCTCCACGCTGATGTTGTGAGCACAACTGGCCTCCTTCCTCTTCAAGGGTTTTATTAGGCAGGGAGAGTGCCTTGGGGCAGGAGAACCCACAGAAATCCATTGCTCCCATGGCCCTGGGTGGCCACTGAGAGCAGTCTTCCACTAAGAACGACGCAGAGTGAATCCAAGAGCAGCTGTGCCTCTTTCTTCACATTGGAGGGGAAAGGCTGGGCTGTCATGCAGGGGAGGCAGGCACCTGCCAGCCCTAGGCAACCCACAGGAGGAAGAAATGGCCCAGGAGGTGGCCCTGGAGCCTTCAGCGAGGCTGAAGGACACTCTAGAAGGCTTTTGTTCTATTTTTTAAAATTAAGAAATAATTTTCATACAGTAAAACATACTTTTAGCGTACAGGTCTGTGAATTCTGACAAATGCATACAGTTGTATAACTACCACCCTAATCAAGGCACAGAGCAGTTCCATTACCCCCCAAATTTACCCCTCGTCACTTTGTGGTCAACCCTTTTCCCTCCTCCAAATCCCTGGCAACCACTGATTTACAGATTTGCCTTTTCCATAATACCATTGAAAAATTGAATCATATCAAAAATCATATCATATCAATGTAAGCTTTGGGCCTTCCTTCTGTCAACACAGTGGCTGGAGATCCAATTGCATGTATCATAGTCCCTTGCTTTTTCTTGCTGAGTAGCGTCCATGGGAGGGATGCACCAGAGGTAGTTTATCCATTCATCTCATCGTCCATTGAGAGACATTAGGATTGTTTTCAGTTTGGGGAAATGATGAATAGAGACACTTTATTTTTTTGTTTGAAATAAGTTTTTGTTTCTTTTGGGTAAATGCCTAGGGGTGGGGTTGCTGAATTATGTGGTAGGTTTATGTCACACCTTATAAGAAACTGCACAAACTCTTTTTCAGAGTAGGCATTGCGATTTTACTTTCCCACCAGCAGCAGATGAGAGCTCCAGTGGTTCCACATCCTCACCCACACTTGGGATTGTTGGCAGTGTTTATTCGTTCTCATTATTACTTTAGCCATTCTGACAGGTGTTAGGAACTTTACTAAGTACCTCACAAGTGCTGGGCACTGAACTAAGTGCTCTTTGCACATGATTTCATCAAGGGCTGGGTCTATGATCCCATTTGGAAAACTGAGGCCCACAAGAGTTTCTGAGATCCTGTGGGACAAGGGCTGGTCCTGTGTTTGGAAACTTGATTGCCTGATCCAAAGCAGACCCTGTCCCACAGCGCCATTCTTCAGGGACAGCATTAACATATACTTGCATCGCAGCGGAACTGCGTTTGGCAACAGGCTCATCTCTTCCAGTGTTCTAACACGCTTCTCAGCACAACCATTTCTACCCTGTCTCCTCTGGTGGTCTGTAAGCCCTCTTTGGGGCTGTACCTTAGTCATCTCTATATCTCCAGGCCTGGGAAACACTCAACAAAAGTTTACTAATGAACTTACTAATGAGCAAGCCTGTAGAGAGACCAAATCCTATAGTGGGTCTCTAGCCTTCTAGGACTCTGACAGCCTCTCTGGGCCACTCCATTTATCCCCTAGAGTGGGGATGGGCAAATGGGAGTGGCTGGAGTTCAGGAGGACCAGGCCATGTGTTGCTCTGCCAGCAAGATCTCAAAGGAGGCCCACCCTGACCCATCCCCACCTACAGGTCCAGGTCCTCCCAGTGACTGGAGTCCCAGAGTCAGATGCATCCCTACCCAGGTGTGTGAACTTTGTCCCCTTCTTGCCGCCCGCCCAGTTTATGCCCTTAAAAGATGTCGGGATCTGGGAACCTTGATACCAGCCCCAGATTCCTCCTAATATCTAACACACAGGCTCACGCAGCACTGCCAGCCGCAGACAACTCTCTTTGAATCCAGATGGACTTAAATATAAAAGGGAGGCTATTTCCAGTTGGATCTATTTCTAGTTCTTTTCTTCTTGAATTTCCAGTCACTTAACCTCTCTGAGCCACACTTTCTTCGTCTGTAAAAATGGGCATAAAAAGCATCTCTACCTCTTAAGATTGTGGTAGAGACTCCGTGAAATAGTGCCCGTCAATCACTCAGCAAGGGAGCCCCAGAGGAAGTGCTGAGTGGGTGCTGGGTGAGAGATACGTGGGTTGAGATCCTTTCCTCCAGAGATCCATGCTTCCCTCCATTCTGGTGGATACTGGTGGAGTCAGGCTGGATGATGCCGGCCCAGAGATAGGCAGAGGAGGTGATGTGCTCTTGTTTTTGCCTTTGAAGCAGAGTCAGGTGTATGGCCTCAGTGCCCGGCCGTGGAACTGCTGCTGTGAATTGTGGACCAGGTTGCCATCAGAAGGCATCTAGGGATGTGGAAGGGGTTCACAAATATTGGTGAGTGCCCACTGCTGGGCACTCAAGACAGCATACAGTATGACTGATCCTTTACAAATATTCCCTCTCCTCCTCTAGACCAGCAAGTCTCAATAAGGTGACTTTTGCCCACCCTTACCCCTAGGGACATTTGGCAATGTCTAGAGACATTTGACCATCATGACTAGAGAGGTGCTGCTGGCATCCAGCGAGTAAAGGCCAACGCACAGGGCAGCCCCATATCAAGAATTTTCTAGCCCTAAATGTCAACTGCACAGTAAGATCCCAGTGCTGAGCACAGCACCTGAAATACGGTGAACATGTGATAACTAATATTTGAATGAATGAATTTGCAAAAATACATTCTATCCATGAATAAGTAAAATCCACGAGAGAATACTCCTCAGTGTACTAGTGGCACGGGGAAATTGCTGAAGGTTCTTATTTTCCTCTTTTTTAAAAATTCTCACTATGGATTTGTATTGCTTATATAATAAAACTTTTATTTAAAGGAGGAAAACTCAGAATAACATTAGGAAGACATAAAATGTGAACTGAGTATATACAGCAACCAAATTCATTCACTTAACCAATATTATTGATCTCTGGCTATTTGCCAGCCTTGTTTCTACGCACTAAGAGCATGACAGTGAGAAACAAACAAACAAACAAACAAACAAACAAAAAAACCAGAAACACTTGCTTTCTTGGAGCTTATGTTCTAGCAAAAGAAGACAATGAAGAATTAAACTAGGCCCAGCGCGGTGGCTCATGCCTGTAATCCCTGCACTTTGGAAGGCCAAGGCAGGTAGATCACTTGAGGTCAAGTGTTCGAGATCAGCCTGGCCAACATGGTGAGACCCTCTCTCTACTAAAAATACAAAAATTAGCTGGGTGTGGTGGCATGCACCTGTAATCCCAGCTACTCAGGAGGCTGAGGCAGGAGATTCACTTGAACCAGGGAGGCAAAGGTTCAAGATCGAACCACTGCACTCCAGCCTGGGTGACAGTGTGAGATTCTGTTTCAAAAAATAAATAAATAAAAATAAATTAATTAAATAAAACAACTAAACAACCCTGTCTCTTTATATATATACATATATATTGAGACATATATACATATATATTGAGACAGGGTCTCATTTTGTCACCCAGGCTGGAGTGCAGGGGTATGATCACGGCTCACTGCACTCTGGACCTCCTGGGCTCAGCTGGTTCTCCCACCTCAGGCTCCTTAGTAGCTGGGACTACAGATATGTGCCACCACACACAGCTAATTTTTTGTTTTGTTTTTGTTTTTTTGTAGCTATGGGGTTTTGCCGTGTTGCCCAGGTTGATCTCTAACTCCTGGACTCAAGCAACCTACCTGCCTTGGCATCCCAAAGTACTGGGATTACAGGCTATGATATTTATAACACAATAGATTATCTGGTGGTGCTAAGTGTGTGAGGTAAACTCACTCAAGGTCAGGGCGAGATGTGAGGCAGAGATGGGGAGGACTGTGTAGCTGGCCAGGGGAGAGCCCACTGAGGAGGTGCCATGTGAGCAGGGACCGGAGCAGAGCTGGGCAGTGGGGTGTGACAAAGGGACTCAGTCTGGATGCCACATGTGTTTAAGCAAAATGTGCACCACCTTCTCTGGAAGGTCTCCATCAAGCTTTGAGGAATGGCAGGAGTTCTTGCTTTGGAAATGCAATCCATCCAGATGCTCCCTCTCACCCCTCTGAGGAGAGGCTGGTGGCATGTTTCTAAGCTGTGCCTCCTTCTGAGAAGGGGCCAGAAGGATGCACATCCATTTAAAGATGAGATCCTCAGGGGTAAAAGCAAAGATTCTCTCGAGGAACCTCAGAGGTTCTCCCCCTGGGGAGACAGACTAGTGCCAAATCCCATCACTTCTCCTCTGCCTCACATCCCTAGTCACTCTCTCTACTGGCCTTCTTTCTGTCTCTACCACTTCCAAGCTGTGTGACTTTGGGAAGGTTGTTTAAACTTCTGAGCCTCAGTTTGCTCATCTGCAAAACGGCAAAAGTAAGATCTGCCTCTTGGGATGATGGAGACTCAGATGAGATGACCCAAGGAAAGCTCCTGGCCTGGAGCCTGGCACCTCAGGTGCTGGCAGGGTCCCCTTCCTTTCTCCTCTCCTCTGCTCCCAGCATCCTTCTCTCATCCTTGCTGATGACTTGAGCTAAGGGCCCCAGGTTACAGATGTGGGACAATGGAGTCTCCAATGCCACTTTTTTCAATCATGACAGAGCAAGGACATAACTGGGTAAAAATGATGACATCATGGCTTCGGTCAGAAGTAAACAAATACCACTATTTATCTCCTCTAAAAATATCTTTGACTAATAAAAATGACCACTAAGGGGACAGCACTATAGGATGGAACACACAGGCTGGGCAAAGGCAGGGAGAAAGTCAGTATGTCAGAAACTGTTATTGAAAACCTACTATTTGCCAGGCAAGGTTCTAGATTGGAGATAGGAGATAGCCCATGGTTAAACAGAGAGTTTGGAGAGTCTAGGTTCTCATGTAGCTTATATTCTAGTGACAGAACAGAGGGAACACGAAAGCAAATAGAGAAGTTAGTTTTGAGGGCACTACCAAACAGTGTGATGTGATGGAAAATGACGAGGGGAAAAGCATTAGGGAGGGAGGTAAGGGAAAGCCTTTGGCAGAGGAGCCCTGGAGCTGAGCTCTGAATCACAGAGGGAGGTAGACACACATCTCAGGGAACATGTTTCAGGTAGAGGGAATGGTGAGTGCAGAGGCCCCAAGCAGGAACAAACTTGCATGTTGGTGAGACAGAAAGAAGGCCAGTAGAGAGAGTGACTAGGGAAGGTGAGGCACAGGAGAAGCTGCAGAGATGGGTAGAGTCGGGTCTTGCAGGTCAGCGAATGGAGCTCTCACTGGATCTTTTTTTTTTTTTTTTTTTTTTTTCAGACGGAGTCTCGCTCTGTCGCCCAGGCTGGAGTGCAGTGGCATGATCTTGGCTCACTGCAAGTTCCGCCTCCCGGGTTCACGCCATTCTCCTGCCTCAGCCTCTGAGTAGCTGGGACTACAGGCGCCCACCATCACACCCAGCTAACTTTTTGTATTTTTAGTAGAGATGGGGTTTCACCTGGTTAGCCAGGATGGTCTCGATCTCCTGACCTCGTGATCCTCCAGCCTCGGCCTCCCAAAGCTGGGATTATAGGTGTGAGCCACCCTGCCCGGCCTCTCACTGGATCTTAATTACAGTGCAAACCATTGGAGAAGTTTGATCAGAGGTGTGGCGTGACCTGTGCTTTGGAATGATCCATCTGGCTGCTCTGTGGGATCCAGGCTACAGCAGGGCAGGTGTGTGAGCCAGAGAGAGTTGCCGGCATCCAGACCAGAGGTGATGGCAGCTTGGACCTGGGTGTGGCAGGGGAGGAGGAGGAAGAGATCCAATTCAGGATCTATTTGGAGACAGCACCAGCAAGACTTGTGGATGGGTGCAAGGCATGCAGAAACAGAGGGGTCTAAGAGAGCTTCCTGGATTTTGTCTCAACAACTGGGAAGATAGTGGCCATTTGCTAAAGTGGGAAACCCAGAGGAAGAAAAGGCTAAACCAGGTGAAATTGTGTTATGCTTGGGATGCCTGTTAGATATCCCACAGTGACACGAGTAAGCAGGTGGGTATTTGTGTGTGGAATCAGGAATGAGTGCTGGGAAGTGGTGGAGTGGGAAGTTAGGTCCTTAGCATTGCTCAGAAGTGGAAAATAATTAAGGAGTTAAGGCAGGAAGTTCAGGGAATGCAGCTTCTGCAAGCAGTGGCTGGGAGGATATTACGTGAATATCAGTCACGAGCAAAATGTCCCTTTCCCTCTGGAAAGAGCGGGCAGCTCAGCTCTGTGGACATTCGGGACTGTGACCTGTGCTTCTCCAGTACATGCAGTTCACCACCAGGTACAGAAGCGCCCATGGGTGTGAGGATGCACCTACAGAGATCCAGGGTGGCACCTGTAGAGCCTCCATGGTTGTGTGGGGACACTTGTGGGCTGGGTCAGGCCACCAGGAAGGGAACAAGAAAGTTCCCAAGGTAAAGCCCTCTCTGAACTCAAACTTCATGTCCCAGGGGATTAGCTGGACTCCAGGTGTTCCCGCTGCCTTGCAGGAAATGCCTCCATAGCCTCATCCCCTGCCTGTTCTCCTGGTCCCCATTCCTGCCAAGCTGGCCTCTGCCTCCCTCCTCTGTGTTCTTGCCTTCCCTGAGCTTTCCCGCAGCCCCTGCCTCTGCCCCCTCCCACCCCATCTCCACCTGGGCAGCTCCTGCTCTGCCTCAAGTCCAAGCGGAAAGCTCTCTTCCTCGCAAGTTTCTTTGGCTTAATAACCACCATCCCTTCAGACTGTCCCTTGCAGGAGGGCAGCGGCTGTGTCTGCCTTGCTTGCCACGATGTTCCTAGGGCCCAGCAAGCAGCAGGCACCTGGCCAGCGATTACTGCCTTGAATTTGCCAAGGAGCTGCTGTCAGGGTCCTGGGCACAGCTGCTTTGTTTGCTTTCCAGTATTTGCTGAGTTGTTTCTGATGGCGGGAGATCAGTGTCCCATGTAACTCTCTCCCAGCCCCATGACAAGACACTGAGCTTTTGCATTTGTATTGGCCCCTTGCAGTGGGAAACAGGGTGCAACCGGCAGTCAGAAGACCCAGGTCAGTCCGAACCCACCAGAGACATCCTGTTCATCCCATGACATCCTAAGGCCTCACTTTCCTCATCTGTAAATTGGGAGTCATTAATTCCCTCACAGCAGGGATTAAATGGATCACACTTGCAAAGTTGTCCTACGTTCATGAAGTATATTTAAAACAACTTGCATCTTTTGCAGTCAGCCACCTCAAATGAGAGATTCCTGAATGAAATATGCAATCAGGGCACGGATCCTAAGATCCCAGCACTCTCCCACTGGGTGAGTGAGAGAGGTCCCAGGTAAAGGATCTATACCTGCTCAGGCTAGGACAAACAGGGCTTAGGGTCAAGGAACCAGCTTTTCCTTTATAAGGCACTGTTTGGATATAGTGCAAGCTAGGTGGAATACTCCACAGGCACTTTATTGGGAGTTGGGGAAGTACTGAAAGAAATAATGTGTTCATGGGCAGGCTCTCTTGTTTTTGTTGTTCCCTAAACACTTGGACATCAACATTTCACTGCAACTGCAAGCATCACACAGAATGCAATCCTTCCAAGCCACGGGACTTCTAGGTGTCAGAGCCAAGATATCACAGCCTCTTTGCAAGGGCTTCAAGATGCTGCACAGTCTAAATCATATCATGTACTCCTTTTGCCCAACAGTTGAGCAAACCGAGGTCGTGATGACAAATGCACAAGAATCTTCTGAAAGAAAGCAAATGCAGGAAGCAGGTGCCTGATTTAAAAACAAGCAAACTTTAATTAGAGATTGAGGGCCTGCTGCTGACATGGAAGTTCAGCTGGGTTTTATGACTAGTCATTAAACATTTACTAAGTACCTACTCTGTGCTGAGCACGGTGCCAGGACAGAACTGCCAGGGTAAGCAATCTATGCTGCTGGTAGATGCAGAATGCATGGTACCAGCTGGAGCCATGTGGTGTGGCTGCCCTTGGTGTCTTGTGTGGTCTGACCTGCCTCTTTCTCCCTCTGACTCCCAGACAGTCCTCTGGTAGCCCATCACAATCCAGGGCCCTGCCCTTCTCTTAGATCACCAGGCTCAGCCCCCTCTGGGACTCTACACTTACCGTTCCCTCTGCCTCCAGCACACTTCCCAGATCTTACTGGCTCCTCCCTCTCATTCCATTCTCAGCTCAAACATCACCTTCTCTGAGGAGAGGCCCTCACTGCCCAACTGCAGACCTTCTGCCCCAACCACACGTGCAGGATTCTCTCTACCCCACTTATTTAATTTTCTCCAAAGCACATATAATTCTGCAATGATCTCGATAGTTTATTCATCTCTGTGTTCATCATCTGTCTCCCCACTGGAACGTCAGTCCGAGAGTCCATCCCTGGATGGGCACAGTGCAGGCAGGTATCAGGTGTCCCTGTGTGTTGTTGAAAGAAAGATGTAGAATGTCTCCTTGAGGACCCTCAGTCCAGAGAGAACCAGACAGAACAATGGCCGTCAACTTGGGGGTTGAATCAACAACTTGCAAGGTCTGTCTCCAACTCTCAGCCACGGATACCCTCAGCAGCCCCTGCAGCAATTCTGGCCAACACGCCCAGATCCCCGGTCCCCCCAAGAAACAACGACCCCAAAACTAAGGATTTCTCCCTGGACCTGGCTGCCACACAATGCTGCTTTGGAACAGGGAAGGTATTTTTAAATGTTCTTGCAAGCGCCAAAGTATGTCTCGTTAAAAATAAGATTTGTGTTCATTGAAATGCGGTTCAGGCTCACCTCTCTGCCTCAGTGTTAAAATTAACCACATTGTGCGCCCAGCAAATTCCGACCAGTGTGGGAATCATTTGGGGCGAAAAAGTTGGGAGCTGATATTTGCTGAACTTGGATCTTATTTGTGCTCTGTGTTTACCTAACAAATCCTTCTCTAGCACTTACTCTGTGCCAGGCACTGTTCGATCTGCTTTGCAAATATCAATGCCTTCAACCCTCACACAAGCCCATGATGCTCCCCGTTTTACAGATGAGGAAATTGAGGCTCAGAAAGTTAAATCACTTGACCAGGGTCAGATGGATTGTGCCCTTGGAGGAGTTTTTTCCAACATTTTGGCTATAGGGAAGACCTTGTTTCTAACCAGCCCTACAAAAAGCTATGCACTTTCACTTATGTCCTTTTTAGGGAATTCAGAATTCCTTGCGATGCCTAGTGAGGAATTTTCTGCAGCATTTCCCTTCTCCTCCTGCCTGTGGACTTGGCAGCCTCTTGGGACCCTGTGGATGAATCGCCCACAAACATCATTTTTGGAGTCTTTCTGCAGTTCCTCATCACTGTGGCTGTGGGCCAGCGCTCCCCGGCTGGCTCGTGCCCCTGCCTTGCCCCAGTTCTCTGGCCAACCCTTCTGGATTTCCTTTGTGGGCTCTTCCAGATCTCTCATCTTACCATCCCCACCATCCAGCTAAATCTCCTCTCCCTGAATGACTCAGCTCAGATTCTGCCTCTTCCCAGAGCCTTGTGGGGCTCCTCTGGCCCCATTTACCCTCATCTTCAGAACTTCTCTTCTCTTGCACTTGTGGAATCTACTTGCATTGTGCAAGCTAGTCCTGTTGTGTTTGCAATAGAATCTGTTGCAGAATGTGGGGACATGGCATGGTGGATTCAAATCCTGGCCCTGCTGCCTACTGGTTGCATGACCTTGGGCAAGTGCCATCATCTTTGGGCTTCAATTTCCACATCCATAAAATGGGCAGAACAGTAGTCCCCAAGCTCCTGTAGGGTTGTTGTGAAAATGTGACAAAATAATACATGTAAAGTCTCATAGCCTGTACTTAATCTATGACGGGGGTCAGCAAATTTCTGTAAGAGGCCAGATTACATATTTCAGGCCTTGCAAGTTAGATGACTTCTGTCGCAATGATTCAACTTTGCTATATAATATGTGAAAACGGCCATGGATACACACAAATGAATATGACTGTATTCAAATAAAACTTTACTTACAAGAAGCAATTGAAGCCTGATGTGGCCACAGGCTGTGGTTGGGCCAGCACCTGGTCTATGGAGAAACCTATGTGATCTCTGAAATGCTATAAAAGATCAGAGAAGAGAGAGTTCTCGCCCCACTCCCAGGCATGAAAGTTTCTGTGAAGAAGAACAAGGCGTGGGAGCAGGGAGACAGGGAGGGGGAGGCAGGGAGGAGGGGCTGCGGACAGGGATAAGGCCCAAAGATGAGGAAGCAGAGGAGGGTGGTAGGGGAGGAGCCGCACTGAGCATTTTGCAGGGGTATCGTGGGAAGGGCCGGAGGTGTCGGTTGGGACCAGGCCAAGCTGACCTTACACGCCACCCTCATCCACAGAATCACTGCTTCCTTTATGTAACAAGTATTTGCTGAGCACCTGCTCTATGCCACACACTGTTCTGTGTGCTGAGGCCACAAGAAGAGCAAGACACACAGAAACCCCTGCCCTCATAAGAGCTTCGGTTCCAGTGGAGCAGGGAAACTGAGACCCAGAGAGGCTAATGACTCCCCCAGAGTCATGTAGCTGGTACACAAGTGTTCTTTGGTTTTTAGAGTATTCCGCGTTTCCTATTGATATATTAAGATGAGCACAGGATTTGGGGTCACACTGACCAGGACTTGAGTCTCGTTCCCCTGCCATCCAGCCCTGTCACCTGTTCTGAGCCTCAGTTCCTCTGCCTATACATGGCCCGTAATCCACACTCCCCCTGTTGATGTAGGATGACCGGAAGAGTGGCTGTCAGTGGGTGGGACCTCAGCCTATCCCTGCCATTAGAGCCCCTGGATCACTGCATTCTGAATCCCTTGGGCCTCTCTGTGACCAGGGTGCTCAGAACTTCCACCTGCCAGGAGGCGTTAGAAACTTTTTTGAGCCAAATGGAGTCACTTGTGCTACATTCATGGAAGGGGAAACTGTGGGGCGGCACTTTGAGGCCCACCTTCTGGGTCTGTTTCTTTGTTTTGTTTTGTTTTGTTTTGTTTTGTTTTGTTTTCAAGACGGAGTCTCGCTCTGTTGCCCAGGCTGGAGTGCAGTGGCATGATCTCAGCTCACTGCAACCTCTGCCTGCCAGGTTCAAGTGATTCTCCTACCTCAGCCTCCCAAGTAACTGGGATTACAGGCATTCACTACCATGCCTGGCTAATTTTTGTATTTTTTAGTAGAGACAGGGTTTTGCCATTTTGGCCAGGCTGGTCTCGAACTCCTGACCTCAGGTGCTCTGCCCGCCTCGACCTCCCAAAGTGCTGGAGTTACAGGTGTGCACCACCATGCCCAGCTAATTATTGTATTTTTAGTAGAGATGGGGGTTTCACCATGTTAGCCAGGCTGCTCTTGAACTCCTGACCTCAGGGGATCTGCCTGCCTTGGCCTCCCAAAGTGCTGGGATTACAGGCGTGAGCCACCGCACTGGGCCCTTCTCAGTCTGTTTCTAAGTGAAGGGCAGCTGCACAGACCCCACCTTGGCCACTCAGGAGGCGAGCCCTGTTCTGGGCACATTTGCAGCATCATCTCCACGAGCTGCAAGCTCATTATTCCCATTTTACAGAGCAAGAAGCTGAGGCCCAAGAGAATGAGAGGTGCCTCCCCTACAAAACTTCAACTTATCTTTAGCAATCGTTGGTTGAGCATCCACTATGAGCAGGACTCATGGTCTTCTTTAGTACCATTCTCAGAACTTCCCTGGGAGGTAGGCCTGGTCCTCCCCATCCCTCCCACATGGCTTAATCTTTCTTTCTCTCATTGAGTAAAACTGCACAGTACAATGAGCAAATCTCAAGTGCACTCCTGGGTGAATTTTTACCTCTGTTTCTACATGCATGACCAATACCCAGATCCAGCTGTAGCACGTTGCCACCTCCCCAGGAGGCCACCGCCCCTTCCCAGTGGATCCCTCCTTGCCCTCCAGAGGAGACCACTGCTCTGACCATTACCACGGTAGATTAGTTTCACCTACTCTGGAACCTCATATAAATGGAATCGCATGGTGTGTTCTCTTCCTGCCTGGCTTATTTCACTCAACATTGTGAGATTCATCCATCACCCATGTGCTCCAGGTATCAATGGTCCATTCATTTTCAGAGCCGTGTAGTATTTCATTGTCAGACTACATCACAAGTTGTTCATCTGTTCTCTTGTGGGTGGGCATTTGGGTTGTTTCCAGTCTTAAGCTATAGTGAATTAAGTCTCTATGAATATCTGTGTATAAGTCTTTGGTGGTCATATACATATATATGTTTTTCTTTTTGTTTTTTTTTTTTGAGATGGACTCTCTCTCTGTCACCCAGGCTGGAGTGCAGTGGCGAGATCTCGGCTAACTGCAACCTCCACCTCCTGGGTTCAAGCAATTCTCCTGCCTCAACCTCCCGAGTAGGTGGGACTACAGGCACGTGCCACCACACCTGGTTAATTTTTTGTATTTTTTTTAGTAGAAACGGGATTTCACCATGTTAGCCAGGATGATCTCGATCTCCTATATATTTTTATTTCTCTTATGTGGAGTGGGATTGCTGGGCCATAGGGTAGGTGTAGGTTTTGCTTTACTTGAAACTACCAAAACTTTTTCCAAAATGGCTGTTCCATTTCACACTCCCACCAGCAACGTATGAGAGCCTCTGTTGCTCCATGTTTCCAGCAACACTTGATACAGTCAGTCATTATAGGTTTCGCCACTATGGTAGGTGTGTGATCATACCCATTACATAGAAGCAGAAACTGAGCCTCAGAGATGCTGAGCCCCTTGCCCTGGAATCTAGGGCCTAGATCACAGGGTTACTGAAGACAGAGTAGAGACTTGGACTCTGGGATTCTGGATTTCGGGACTGTGTCACAGCCACAGTTAGAGTCATGGAGCTCATGGACAGAATCAGAATATAAGCAATAGTTATTAGTGTTTTCTGCACAGGAAGTGGATGGTTGAAAACCATCAGCAGCAGTGTTGGACCAGGCTGCTGGTCTGTGGACTCTCAGCTCAGTGCTCATCCTCCTCTGGCACAGTGCCTCGGGTTCCCTCTGGCATCCCCAGGGAGATCCCAGGTTCCCCGGTAACCCTGCCATTCCGAGTCACGCTGCCGGGAATGCATCCCCATGAGCTTGCCAAGAAAGATTGTTCTTTTGGGAGCTGGCAGGACACCATCTACATTGTGCAGCCCAGGGCCTTCTCTGAGTCCCCCTCCCAGGGGTTTTCTGTCCCCAAAGGCACTGATTGTTCCTCTCAGGAAAACAACCCGTTCTGAGGTTGGGAGATTAATGAGGATGATGGAGCTTCAGGAGACTCCTGCTTGGCCCTGGCCCAGCCGATGGTTTCTGCAGCCCTGGGATCCCCTGATGGCCTTGGGGATTAAAGCTGAGGAAGAGGACACCAAAAGTCTGAGATCCTATACCAGCTCTGCTCCTGTCTTGCCGGGTGACACTGGGAAAGTTACCTCCTATCTCTGAACTCTTGCCACTTTCCATAAATGGAAAGACTAGATGAGAAGCCAGGAATCTCAGCCAGTGTCTGGAACCCCAGAGCCTCCCAAGATTCCCTATGGCAACTTGGCGGTTTTGCCACACCTGTTGGCCTCCCAGCCTAGTGATTCTCAAGTCCTAAGGTGAATGTGATTCTCCAGGAATCCTGCTAACTGCAGATTCCAGCTCAGTAGATCTGGAATGGGATCTCAGTGCCTGGACTTCCATCAAGTTCCTAGGTGACAATGAGGCTGCTGGCCCAAGGACCATACCCAGGCAGCTTCTTTTTTTTTTTTTTTTTTTTTTGACACAGAGTCTCACTCTGTCACCCAGGCTGGAGTGCAGTGGTGATCTTGGCTCACTGCAACCTCCGCCTCCCAGGTTCAAGCAATTCTCCTGCCTCAGCCTCCCGAGTAGCTGGGACTACAGGCACCCGCCACCATACCAGGCTAATTTTAGTAGAGACGGGGTTTCACCATATTGACCAGGCTGGTCTCGAATTCCTGACCTTGTGATCCGCCCACCTTGGCCTCCCAAAGTGCTGGGATTACAGACGTGAGCCACCGCGCCCGGCCCCAGCTTCTTATATTGTCCTGAAGACAGCCTCCCACGTTATGCCAAGCTCGTCATTCCCTCCAGCTCTTCAAAAGGACTCTGGACCTTTAAATAATCATTCTGAGCCAGGTGTGGTGGCTCATGGCTGTAATCCCAGCAATTTGGGAGGCCGAGGCAGGAGGATTACTTGAGGCCAGGAGTTGAAGACCAGCCTGGGGAATATAGTGAGACCCCATCTCTACAAACAATTTAAAAATTAGCCGGGAAAGGTGGCACCACACCTGTAGTTTCAGCTACTAAGAAGACAGGTGGGAGGATTGATTGAGCCCAGGAGGTTGATGCTGCAGTGAGCCATGATGATACCACTGCACTCCAGCCTGGGCAACAGAGCAAGATGATGTCTCAAAAAATAACAATAATAATAAGAACAATCATTCTGATTGAGCTCAGTGTTCACCGTACACTCGGCCTAAGCAGCCTGAGTGAGAAGGGAAGCCTCGGAGTGTGGAGTGAGGCCGCAGGAGAAGCATGCTCATGCCTGCAAGGACGTTCTGCCGAGTGTGCGCAGGACATCCTCGGCCCTGCCCTTTTTCTGGTGCCAGGTCCATCCACGGGGGCAGTCAGCACAGGGGCTAAGGCATCTGGAGGCCTGGACACCTCCAGTCAGCAAACCTGGCTTTGTAACTTTGCTCTGCCAGCAACTAGCTGTAGGGCCTAGGCAAAGCCCCAGCTTCGCCATGTGTGAAATGAACACGTTAGCAGCATTTGCGGTACAGGGTCATTGTGCAGGGGAGTGAGGCCATCCATGCCAAGTGCTTGTTAAGGGCCACGCATCCCTGGACATGAGGGACAATTTTAAGGTTTCCTATCTTGCTCAGAACTGAACACATGGGGTCTCTAAGGCCCAGATTTTGGACAGTTTCCAGAAGTCAGATTCTCCCTCAAATAACTAGCGCTTCTCTAGGTTATCCTAGAAGCCCATAGATTTGGGCAAAACTCCCAAATGCAACCCTACATAGAGCCTCCCTGCCAGCACAACTTCCCTCAGACACCAGAGACAACAGAGGGCTGCCAGCCAGCAGCCCAGGGGAAATTCTCCTCTCCAGGTATTGGTGTTTTTATGCACATTTCTCATCCTCTCTACCCCAGACATAACCTAGCATGCATGAGCTGCCAGCTAAGTCTTCTCAAGTCAGTGTCCACCTATCACTGCCCCTGCTCAAGAGCCTTCCATAGCTCCCATAAGTGTGTAGTTCAGCAGCATTAAATATATTCACATCATTGTGCAACCATCACCACTATCCATCTCCACAAATTCTTCATCTTCCCCAACTGAAACTCTTATCTAAAGACTTTATATGGATTGTTTTCGTTGAATCCTCCCTAGAACTCTAGGAGGTCATTTTCCCAATGACCTCTTCTCTATAATTATTATTTTGTCTGAGCCCCATTGGCCTTAGTTTTCTCATCTGCAAAATGGGGCATAATAACCCTCTGAGCTTTACAGACATATAGGGCCCTCAGGCTCAGCCTTCTTGCACCTCCCCTCAGGTACACCCTCTGCCCAGCAATTCTGAATTGTGATCCAGATGGCTTTTTCTGGTGCTGGAGCCTAAGTGGTGGGAGGAGGGGTTGGGGAACCTATCCCCACTTCCAGCTCTTTCTTTCAGCTTTCTCCCCCGGGCGGAAAGGCTGTATTGTGACCCCAGGCACTGAGCAGTCGGCAGCGGGGACTTCACCAAGGATTCAGAAATACCAGGGTTTACTCAGGCCCTTGTTGACATGTGGGGTCTGGGTGTGTCCCAGCCCGGCAGGCCCTGAGACACAGGCCCAGGTGTCAAGTCAGCCAGCCCTTTGTGAATGGCTGTTCCCACCACACTCCCTGCAAGGGACAGACAAACCCAAGAATCCCACCCTCATATCCCCCTCCTCACCGGGTCTTCCATACCCACACATCCTTCCCCTACCGTGCAGTCTCCCACCCCGAAGTAGTCCACTCCTCCTTCCCCCACACAGCTGAGACCTGTTTACTTTTTAAATTAATATTGTAAGCTTTGCAGGGTTCCTTACACTCATGATCTAATTTAATCTTAAAAAGATCATTCCAAGTAGATATTACTACTTTTAAATATGTGTGCTCCATGTTTTACAAGTGACTTTGTGTATAGAGAAATGTAAATAATAATTATAAATTAGAGATAAGGAAAAAAGAAACTAATAATTACCCAAAATGCCCACCAGGGAGATAAGCATCATCTAGACCTTGTTAAAAGGATGAGATGGACTGAAAATCAATAGAAGAAAAGGTTGATATGGAGAATGCCCCTTGCCTAGTATGCTCTGAGAACGCCAGGCAGACAGATGGCCCAGGCAGATCCTCCAGGCAGAGGACCAGATGATTCTGCTCTAGGGAAAGTCACCAGCACCAAAAGAAACAGCCATCACCACTGCTGTGTGGGGGCCTCCCGGGGCACAGCTCAGCCACCTCGGTGAAGCCCACCATTCAGCGACCACCTTACCCCACAGAGCTCACAATCAGCAGTTTCATGTTTCCCCCTTATGTGGAATAGACTCCTAGGCTCAGCGGGCATCGGAGGGAGGCAGGAACCAAAACCCAGAAGAAAGAAACTGGGAGAAAATAGAGGCAAAGCAGAAAGCAGAAGATAACTTCCAAAACCCACTGCAATTAATTAACATTGCTGGGAGATAAGACAAGAGGGAGAAGCAATAAAAGGACCCCTGGGAGAACAAGAAGAATCTCTGGAAACAAATTTTTTTGAAATAGCAGAATTGAACGTGTCAATAGGATTTATAATGGGGGGAGACAGGCAGAGTCTGGCTGCTGAGTGAATGTTTGGGGAAGGACCAGTGAGAGACCAGAAAGGATCTGGGTTTGAGCAAGCAGGACCAGGCAGACGCCGTATTTGCTGGGCTGACAGCTCCCAGAGGAAAAGCAAATTGAAGAAGGCTTCTTTTTAGATGAGTTTAGTCAGGGAGTCTCCAGGACGTCCCAGTGGAACAGTTTGTATAGAATGGGGCACTCTACCAGCAAAGAAGCAGTAGATAGGAACCCAGAGAGTAAGATGGCGTTGCTCTCAGAGTCTGGAGCCTGGCTCAGCATAGGCTATTTCTACCCCAGCCAGTTCTTGCTGAAGGATGGTACCCAACCAAGCCTCTGAGACACTTGTTAACAATACAGAGTCCCAGGCCTGGGATCAAAACCTGGATGGGGACACAGGAATATGCATTTCAACAAGCTCCCCCAGAAATCTGAAATTGACCAAAATTTGAGACCCTCTTGTTTCAGGAACAGGTAGTGATCAAAGTTCTAGGGAAGAGACTGAGCATGCAGTCAGGGAGGCAGGGGGTGAACAGGAAGTAGAGGTGGGGTGCCATGCAGGAGCTTACTCTCTGTGCCAAGTTCTGCCATCCTGGTGCAGTGAACTTATCACTAACTTCAAAATAGCAACAGCTCTTCGAAATTCAGCAGCAAAATCACTGATTCAGGAAGCAATTAACATAGACATTCAATCAATTATTCATTGCATTACTAATGTGTAGCAGTAATCAAATTGGCCTTTTAATATGTATTTTTTTCTTTTAATTAACCCTGTCCAAAACTAGAGTATATTCCATGCAAAAAAAAAAAAATGTATTTGGCTTGATTTTAAAAAGAAAGAAGAGGAAAATAAAAACCATTTTATCTCATTATCATTGTGTCAAAGGAACCTGCGGGCAGAAATTGCTTTGTGTGTTGATTGTCTTGTTCACATGATTTGAGATGCACCAGGAATCTGCACGTCCCGTCTGCAGATGCCTGAAATTCCATCATTAGTGATTAGATGAAGCCTTATTGTGTTCCTGTCTCTGGTAGAATAGAAAGAGCACTGGACTTGGAGCTGAGAGATGCAGCTTCCAATTTTAGAGCTGCCCCTAAGTTACTGAGAAACCTTGGGTTACCTCTGTGAGCCTCAGTTTCCCCCAATGAAGAGACTGAAGTTAGACACTGCCAAGAAGTCTTCCAGTTCTGACATTTTCTCATGTGGCCCCTGCAGATGCCCCTTCAACCCATTAATATGAATGAGCGTTTGCCCCTTCCTGGAGGAAGTGAGCAGTGGGGGCAGGCACCATCATTCCAGAACTGTTCATCTATCATTCCATGTAGTGTAGTTGGAGTATGTAGTTTCACCACACACCCCCTCCTGCTCCTAATAATTGCTAATATCTACTAAGTGCTTCGTATGTGCCAGGCACTATGTGGTATTTTTTAATTGTGCTAAAATACACATAACATAAAATTTACCATTTTAGCCATTTATAAGTGTGTGGTTCAGCAGCATTAAATATATTCACATTATTGTGCAACCATCACCACCACCCATTTCCACAAATTTTTCATCTTCCCCAACTGAAACTCTTGTCTAAGGATTTTATGTGGATTGTTTTTATTGAATCCTCCCTAGAACTCTAGGAGGTAGGGTCTGTTTTTCGGCCTGTGTATTAGTTAGCTGTGGCCATACTGATGCTGTGTAACAAACAACCATAGTTCTTCAGCCAGATACAGTAACACAACAGTAAACACTTCTTAGCTTAGCTCCCAAGTCTGCAGATGGGCCAGCGGGCAGCTGATCCAGGCTGGCTTCATTTGTCTCTGAGCCTCCGCCTGCAACCAACAAGTTTAAAATAGGGATGCTCTTCTTATGGCGATGGCAGAGGCATGGGGGCAGGTGGAAACCCACAGTACCTCTTAGAGTCTAGATTCCAACTTGGCACACCTTGTTCTGTTGGACAGAGCAAGTCACATGGCCAAGCAGAAAGCCAAGGGGTGGGGAAGTTGACCCCCTTAATGGGAGAAACTGCAAAGTCACTTAGCAAAAGACATGAATTTTGGGGAGGCTCAGGAATGGGAGCCAATTGCACAATCTTCCAGAGCTCCGTTTTAGAGATAAGGAATTGCTATCTCACCAGACTGTTTAAAGGATTGGCCAAGGTGCCAGAAGCGACACAGGACACTGCTGGGTGCTGAGTGGGAACCCAACGATGCTCATTTCCTTCAGTTAAGGAGTCATCCAGGGTGCATTTAAACAAGGGAGCACCCGACCTCCCCACCACAGTGATTGTGACTTTCTTCAACCCCTTCCAAGCCCATCCAAAGCTTTGAGCTTGGCGTTCAGTGCTACTAGGAGCTGAGCTGAGTAGCCTGGCTGAGCTTATCTGGCTTTCCTCTCCTTCTAGGCCCCCAACTCTTGCCAGACTGATGGTCCCATGCCCATGTCCATGCCTTGCTCACGTGGACTCTTTCTTATGGAAACGGCCCAGGCTTCTGCAGCCAGTTCAGCGGCCCCTCCTCCAGGCAACCTACCTCTAGGGACTCCAGGCAGCATGCTGGCTCCCCTGGCCTTGTGTGGTACAGTGGGTTCTCACAGCCCATGGGGCGTGAGGCCACGAGTCACCTACCTGGCCCTCTGGCATCCCTGCTGAAGGCTCTGTTCCTGGCACCACCAGGCAGTCCTCCTGGCCTCATACAAGGACCTTCCCCAGCTTCTGCCCATCTTGGGGGAGCTAGAGAACCCCACGGCAATGGCATTGGCCCTGTGGACACCAAGTTGGTTTGGGGAATATTCTGCCTTCTTCACTTCATGTAACCACAGCATGAAGAAACTTCCAGAACACCTTCTTCCTCCCCAAACTTCCACCTTTCCCCCACCACCAGTTCAATGTAAATTCTTAGAGCAACGGAGATGCAGAGAAATTTGTCTCTTTTCGTTTGTGGCCTGGGATATGTGAAAAGAATGAAGCAGGCCAACTCACTGACCCAGAATTTTATATTTAAACCTAGCTTTCCTTGTGTGCTTCAGTAATGGCAGTGAGAATTTATCTTCATTAAGGATTGGAGAGTAGGGGCCTCAGATGGGCAAAGTGGGCCTCTCGGGGCATGGCAGTGAGGAGGGCCTTTCAGGCCTTGGTCAGTACAGCAGGGCGTTGAGGTGCTGCGAAGTCCTGGGGAGAGTAGGTCTCATTGCAGGGGGCAGGGAGCCTTTGCCTCTCGCCAATGGAGTTTTGGGCTGGGTTCCAGCAGGGACTGACTTGTGCCAGGTCATTGCTCAACACGCCAGAGGGGTTTCCATGTAACTCTCTCCACCAAGAGGCCAGCCTTTGTGTTCAGATAACTTTGGCTGGAGAAAGTGAGGAATCCACCTTCTTAACCCTGCCTTAATTACGAGGGAAAAATCAACTGAGATATTTTGATAAATATTTCATTGTTTCAGGTGCAACAAGTAGAGCCCATGATGGCTCCAGCCCGGCCTACTGGGGAGACACTGGTTTCTTAAAATCACTAACAATGGACCAAGCTGACCTCACAGCTAAGCAGAGTGGGTGGTCGCCTTAGTGATGTGAGTCGAGGGGTGCCAGGCAGCTCCCTCTGCTGCAAATCCCTCCCACTCACCAAACTGCTGCCGCCTGCAATTCCACAATGAGCACTTTAGTCATCAAATCATAAAATGTCAGCTTGTAATTAGCCTTGGAACCTGTCTAGTTCAATTTCCCAGCTCAGAGTGCTCTTGGAAGATACCTGAACGGGCCCTTTATTTTAGAGTGAATTAGTGGCAGAGCTGGAACTCGAGTCTGACCCTGCACAGTGAAGGACGCTAGAGGCATCTGCAGCTTCTTCAATGGGAAGGTGGGTTCTGAGTCACAAGATGGGCAGCTCCCCAAACAGAGGAAGGGGTTCAGACATCAGGCATCCAAAGTAAATGACCAGTGTCCTAGGGGCAATCTGGTGGGCCGGGCTGGATTTTAAATATTCTTCCATCAAAATGGCCCCAGGCTAGGCTACCAGTTTAGCTTCCCAATTTTGTTTTCTGTCTTTCAACTCCTGGAACTTCTCTAAAGACTTCTGGCCAAATAGGTATCCCAGTCTGTGTTAGGCAAATAGAGCCAGTAGGTGGAGGCAAGCCTGGGACCAAAAAGAGCAGTCTATGCTGTGAACCTAGCTTTAGTGGGTGTTAGGGTTCAGCCTCCGGTTGTTGACCCTCAGCAAGTCCCTTCACTTCGGGACTTGCCTCACCTCCTTCACTTTCACCCCAGAGTGTTACACCTGAGCCCCTTCAAGCTCACACACTCCAAAAAGCTCTGAACGGTACACCTTAATATTCTTCCTTGAACTGACTCCCTGTCCTCACTGTCCATCTTAGCTTCATCCTAAGGATTAATATCCATGAGGTCAGGGATTACATGCTAGTTGCACATTTTTTTTCTGGTTCATAAAAATAATCTATAACTACTAAAATAAGAAAAAAAATACTGGTCAGGGTGCCATCTAGAAGCATCTGTATCACTCCTTGGGAGAGGAAAGGAGTGAAAAGAGTTGGCCCCCAATCCTATTTCTAGCACTTCCTCACCGTGGGACCGAGGGCAAGTCACTTCACCTTCCCAAGCTGCTGCTTCTGTTTCCTCACCTGCAAAATAGGGTTAATTCTTCCCACTAGGGATGTGAGTGAGGGGTGGCTCCCGTTAAAATATATCACCTGCGTAGCCAGGATAGTGTCTTGAATACAGTAGGTGCTCAATAAAGAGGAGCGATTGTTTTTATAATTGTCACATTTTTCCCTATTTCTCTTGGGTGGAGCAAGGGCTTTGGGGCCACATAAGGACTTGACGCTTGGCTCTGATACTCCCTGGAGTGTGAGCTCAGATCATTCATGTCACCCCTCCTCAGTTTCCTCATCTGGAAAAAGTGAACAGCGATACCACGTCCCAGGGTTAAGAGGAGGATCCATCGAGATGGGGAAGAGTCTGCATATAGCAGCAGCTGCAGAAGTTATATTCGGCAAGTTGTTGTTTCTAGCTGATGGCAACTCTATATTCTTTCTTTTTGTCCCTGACACTGTCGGCTGGTAGGGTTTTATTTTGCCTGTCTGTTGTTCAAACAAAAGCCAGGCAGGGAAAATGGAAGACCGAGGCTATGTGACAGCCACAGCTGCTTGTCTGCATTCTGAGCAGTGGAAACCAGGCAAACAGAAAGACACGGCTATAGGTCTGGAGCCAATGGCTGAGCCTGGGAACACATTGGGAAAAGCATCTGAGTGGTTATTCAGGGATGTTGCCTGAGCTTATAAGGAAGTCACACACGATTCCCAAACTGAACAGGAGGCCGTGGTTTCCTGAGGCCTTGAGTCCAAAGGGACATTTCTGAAGCAGTGAAAACCATAAATAGCTGGTAGTAGACTAATTGTTCAACAGCCAGAACTGAAGTGCAGGAAGCAAGCTTCCCCCTGAGTTTCAGCCTCCTGAACCTGTCTGTTTCAAGCTTAGAGAATCTAGGCTTTCTCTGCTGGGCCTCATGTTCAGGAGATTTTTCTTTCTCTGAACATCAAGTGTGTGGGTTTTCACACCATGGGACACCCATGAGCCCTGATCCTACCAGGTGCCTAAAAGCTGCTTTGAAAACCTCCTGGACACTCATGGCTTTGGTGTATGGTTGTGGAGGGTGGAGAATATGGCACTGGATGAGCAAGCTGGCTTGGTTCACAGTACCGGGGTCCAGGAAAGCACCCCATGGGCCTCCCCATTCTTCCTTTGTGGCCGGCAGAGGTAAGCGAGCTGTCCTTGGTGTGGCAGCAGCCCTGCACCTAAGGCTGCAGGACCTACAGTGTCAGGGGCACAGCCTGAGCCCACTCTGGGCAGGACCAGGCTCGCCCTCTTTGTTCTTAACTCTGCTGAGGGACAGAGCCTGCTCCAGCCACAAAGGGCCTCTTCACCTTTGCCTTCCCCTCACCTGGGTACAGGTGTCATTTTTGGAGTTGGCCAAACAGGATATACTGTCTTAGCCCTTCTCAGAAGACAGTCAATGCTGCCACCTTCACACAATTTACTCACTCTTCATGGTCCCTATCGGTACAGTTTGACCATTCATCAATCCTCACCATGAAACCAATAACCATTCATTTGTTCCCTGAGCACCCACTGAGAGGGCCAAAGTGGATGAAACGCAGTCTCAGCCCTCAAGAAGCTCCCAGGCTGGTATTGTTTTCCATCACCACATCCTATTCCTCAAGCCAAGCACACATTCCCCATGTTCCATGATTAATTATCAATAGAAATAATAACTTGAATAACTAATACTTATTGAGGGCTTGCTCTAAACGAAGCACCTGTGGAAAACACTTTGCATGAATTTTCTCATGAAATTTTCACAATGATCTTGTGAAGCAGCCCCTGTCATCATCTCTATTTTTCAGAAGAGGAAACTGAGACTCACAGAAGTCATGCCCAAGACCACCCAGCTGATAAGGGAGGCTGTCAGATTGCACAGCCAGGCTGGCAGGCTCCTGAGCCCACACCCCCCTATATGGCATTCCTATCAGCATCAACAAAATTAGACTGAGCAAATGCAGGTTAGATTTGCCTGTCTCCTAACACAGGAGACATTATCATGTCCATTTGGTGATCCCAGAAACAGAAGCTCAGAGAGGCCTGCAGAATTCCCTGAGGTCATAGAGCTGAGACTTTTGTTTCAGGACTTGTGGTTGCAAACCCACTTTCACTGCAACATGTGGCCCCCTAAATTCCAAAAGGGCATTCTGTCCCTGGGTAGGCTTTGATTAGCTATGGCTAAAATGAAGCCTCTGGCCCCAGTTAGATTGTGGTTGGGAGGAAGATTGACACCAGGAGAGACACCTCTAGAAGGAGGGGCTGGTCTAGATATCAATGGGTCTCCCCAGTTATGGTGAGGAGAGGGAATGGGAGAGTTCTAAGCTGTCACAGTGGCAGGGCACAAGAACCAAGCATGGGCCCCACACATTGAAGACCTATCATACAACTGGCACAGTGTCGGATGTCTTATTGGATGTTTATATCAGTGGAAATCCTGTTTGTACGTATCTGAACCCAGAACCTGACTTTGTGTTAAATCTTAACCCACTAATATATCCTGAAATTTCCAGGAATTAGACAATCAAGGAAATTGATGGAAAACTGTCCTTCATTTTGTTCAGAACTTCACCAAGAACTGGCCCCATGTTAAAAACTCAGAACCAGCATGTCACTCAGGTCCCACTGCTGTTACAGCCACCCTGTCTGTGTTAGTAACTGTCACATTTCCAGTGATTTGATGTATATCTATGAATGTATTTATTTAGCCCTCACATCAAAATGTCAACTATAAAGAAAAGAGGCGACAATATTCCGTTGAACGTTGCCTTCTCTTCAATCTAAACTAATTCATCCCAAGTAGGATCCATTATCTGACTGTCTCATTATAGTCACACTGGAAAAGCACATCTTGTTGTTATAAATGACTTTCATTTTATTTCTCTTCTTTATTACAGTTGGGGCATCATATGCCTTTTTGAAATTATGTGTATTGGTAGGTTATATGATGTGTGAATTTTCTTGGAAGATAAAGAAAAAAAGTAAAATGATGTTGGATCCAATGGGACCAAGAGCCACCAGCACAGTGGATAGAAACAAAGGCCCTGTACTGAATCCTGCCCTGCCTCCTAATTAGCTAGGACCTTGCATATGAGCATGAACATCAGCTCTTACCCCGGGTCTCTGAAGTCATTTATTGAACTTGGTTTCCCCACTAACTAGTGGGTGAACAGTGGGTATCAACAGATAATGGAATCGAGGGACAGATGGATAAGCTGGATGGATGGACTGATAGGTGGATGGATGAATAAGAGAGTTGGAGGGTGGGTGGAGAAATCAGTGGAAGGAGGGGTGGGTGCATGGGCAGATAGCTGGTGAACATCTGGACTCATGGATGAATAGACATAGTAGGCAGACAGACAGATACATGGGTGGGTGGATGAGTGGGTGGACAGATGGGAAGGTAGATAGGTGGATAGACAGCTGAGGGGGTCGGTAGGTGGAAGGATGGATGGATGAAGTGAGGGAAAGCAAATGATGAGGCACAGAGAGTTTTATTCGCTTGCCCAAGGCCACACAGCTAGTAAGAAGGACTGGGACTCAGCCACTCTAACTCCAGAGTTCATTCTCTTAATCACTGTATTACGTTTGTTGAAGTAACTTAGCCAAGTCACCAGCTAGCAATAGGTGAAGCCAAGATTTGAATCCAGGTTTGTCTGATTCTCTACTACCCCTCTGGCCTGAAGACTGGAGGCTCCACATTGAAGACCAACTATGAATGCCACAGGACCCCAGACCTCAGGCAGCTGGGGTTTAAATCTGGCAGTCACACCATCAGTTCTGAGTTTAGAAAAATAATTTGCCCAACAATGTAATGTCTGGGCTGGAGGGGACCCCAGTGATCAAGAGGCTGTTGCAGTAGTCTAGGCAACAGACAATGAGGACTCGAGCCAGAGATATGGCCAAGGAGGCAGAGAAGCAAAACAGATTCCAGAGGCTTTCAGAATTAGAGTTGTCAGGACCTGGTGACTAAGCCCACGCGAGAGATGGGGAACAGCAGAAATCACAGAGGTCTAGGGAAACCCGGACACAGTCATTTACCTTCCCAAGCTGTGCTTCCTTCATAGAATGTATTAGTTAGGATAATAAAGGCTAGGTTGCTGCAACAAAGAGACCTCCAAATAGCAGGGTAGAAAACTTTTTCTAGGGTCTAAATTGGCTGCTCTAGCCTGCCAAGAGTGCTCTACTCCACGAGGTCATGCATTGACCCAGGTTCCTTGCATTCTGTTGCTCTGCCACCCCTTAGGATATTGTCCTCATTTACATGGTGGGATCTGTGTCCCAGGCACATTGCATTCACAGTTCCAGGGACCAGGTGGAAGACACACACCCCCCAGTGTTTTAAGTCAAGTCCTAGAAGTGACACATATTATTTCTACTCATCTTCCATTCAGATGAGGATTTAGTCACATGGCTACACCTAGCTGCAGAGAAGGCTGGAAAATGTGGTCTATCTAAGCAGCCGTGTACCCAGACAACTCTCAATTACTCTGGGAGAGTAGGAGAGTGCATTTGAGAGAACAATAGGAAATCTGTCCTATCTGGGAATTGTTGGGATGCAGAGTTATCATCAGAAAAAAATGAGATCATGTCCTTGTAGCACCTGGCAGCACACAGCTGGCAGAAGGTAGAAGCCCAGTAATGGTAGGTGTCATTGCCATCATTCCTAAAGGGTGTGTAAGTGGCACATAAAGGAGTAGCAAGGCCTCTAAGAATTAGGAGGCTCTGGCCACAAAATCAATTCACAGTGGAAGAGATCAGGGACATCCTGGGACAGTTCCAAAATGAAAAGTCATACACACTAGAATCTGTAGGGGAGAGGGGAGGGGAAGGGAACGTTTTAGACAGGGGGAGACAAGATCAGCCTGGAGCCAGGGTTGAGCTAAAGGCAGACAATTCTGGCAAGGAGCATGCCCCCACTGTTGGGGAGGAGGATGGGAGGAGCTGCTGGCTTAATAGCCACCGGTGGAGCAGACTTAGCTGGAGAATAGGGATGGAGGGGCAGGGAGCCAATCAGGAAAATAGAATCCACTCCAGGTATTTCAAACAGAAGAAATTTAATGCAGGGAATTGGTTGCACCGGGAACAAAAGAGCTGAAGCCAAATAGGACAGCCCAGGTGAGCAGCAACAGAAGAAGGTTGCTGCCAGCCTATGGGTATTATTGATCAGCCCCCAAGGGATTGGTTATATGAGTCTTTTTCTGACAGACAGGTCCTCTAGACTCAGCTGACAAGATCGAGATTCTAAGCCTCAGAGCCAAGGCTAGACCTAGAATGGATCTGGTTGTACCCTGAAGTTTCTTTCTCACCAGGGCTTGGGGTAAGTTCCTGGAGTGGCAGCCCCATGAAAACACATGGTCAGAAGTGTGAGCTAGTTTGCTGTAGTTACAAGGTGGAACTGAGTTCCACAGGTGGGGAAGTTAAGGCATAAACAGACTTGGTTCTAAACCTGGCTCCACTGTGTGTTCTTGGACAAGTTGCTGTGTGTTCTTGGACCAAAAGTTGTGTGGTTTTTGACAAGTTGCTTAGCCTCTCTGGGCTTCAGTTTCCTCTTCTGCAAAATGGGGATGCTAATACTGTCCTCTGAGAGTTGTTTTCAGAGAGTAAATGAAATATTCATAGTCAGGTGGCTGGAACACTGGCCTAGTTTACTTCCTGTCCTCTTTCAGAAGCCTGGGCTGCACAGTACTGGGTGCTCAGAGGCAGCAGCCACAGCATCAGCCCCAGTCTTGCCCTGTCTGTAGTCAGACTGTGCAGCTGATGCAAAGAAAGGATGCAAGTAGCGGGAGCTGGATACCCAGCCTCTGGGCTTCCCCACCCTCCAGGTGCAAGGAAGCCCTGATTCTCAGACCTTACACGTCAACCCCAAACCAACAATGCCTGACCATCTCACCTGTGAGAGTGGAAGGGGGAAAGCCACATAACATCCTGTTTACCCATCCAATGAGGGTCAGAGCAGTTTTGTTGTGGCCTAATTGGATTATTGATTTGCCAGGAGTTAGTGCGGAAGAGTTGTTAGGATGCTAGCTCCTAGGGTCAGGTGAAACTGGGCTTTATTCCTGATCCAGCCACTGCTCAGCAGTGTGACCATGCAAAAGTCACTTAACCCCTCTGGGCTTCAGTTTCCTCATCTGTAAAGCAGTGTTGATAGCGTCTCCTTCATTGCTTAATGTGAGAATCAGGTGAAATAATACATGCAAAGTTCCGGCTCAGTGCCTGGCATACAGCCAACCCTCAATATAAGTTACCTATATCATTACTGCTCTATCAATTTTTAAAAAAGGAAAAACAGAAAGGACTTGTGTCAGCCTATTTATACAATATGACAAAGTTGAAAAGAAATTAACTAGGGAATCAGAACATAATGGTAGAAAATAGGATGGAACCATAAGAAGGTTCATTCAAAGCATGTATGCTTTAAATTTGGTTTTGAGTTTCCTAGCAGCCAAAGCAAAGAGGAAAACCAAATTGATTATACATACATACATAATTGCAACACACCTTATGCAAAGAAAATCATATTCCTCATAGATTATAAGGATGGGTATTCCATAATTTATTTAACGAATCCCCATTGATGGGCATTTAGGTTGTTTACAATTTTTCTAATAAGCAACGTTGCAGTGAATATTCTAGTACTCATATGTTTGCCCAATTCTTGAATATTTACATAACACTGCTACCAATTCAATGATCAACTTGAGGTCCAAAAATTCCTAGTCCTCCTGAAGGAAAAAGACTGTTTGGGCAGGGTGGAGGTCCTAAAAAGAGATGGAGGACTAGAGATTGAAAGGCGCTGGAGGTGAGGGGTCAGGGAAAGGGGTGATTCAGGGAATCAGATATCCAGCTGCTGTTGCCCACTGAGTCTTCCCTCCTTCCCCAAGACCCAGCAAGAGAAGACCCATAGACTAGTGAGGGAAAATGAGGCAGAAGCCCCACCCCTGGAGGGCAGCTCATTCTGAGAACATACCACTTAGGAGACTAAGAATAGTAACTCCCCCACCCACGCACAAGCTCATGCCCAACTCTTCAGCCACACCAAGCTACTCACTGTTCCTCCTCGTACCAGTCAGACTGCCATGGGACTCCTCTTGATGTCCTGCCAGCCTGAGGAGCCCTCCTCACTGCCTCTAGCCCCTGGTAAGCACCTGAAGGTGCAGCTCATCTGATCTCTCTACCATAAGGGCTTTTCTCCCCACCCATGGCACTCAAGAGAATCACTGCACCTCCCAGATGCAGTGTCACAACTGTTCATATACTAGCAGACCTCATCCACATTCTGAGTCCTCTAAGAGCAGGAACGTTGTCTTGTCGAGTTCCTCACAGAGGCATGTTCTAAAATGAACAAGGGATACAGCTTTTGCATGAGATGCTGGGTGGTCTTCTTCAGCCCCTTGGAGAGGCAAGATATTAAGTGCAGAGTCAGACTGGGTTCAAATCCTGACTGTGATTTGCTAGCTCTGTGACTGTACTAGCCTATTCTCATGCTGCTAATAAAGACATACCTGAGACTGGGTAATTTATAAAGGAAAGAGTTTTAATGGACTTACAGTTCCACATGACTGGGAAGCCTCACAATCATGGCGGAAGGCAAAAGGCACGTCTCACATGGTGACAGGCAAGAGAAAATGAAAGCCAAGCAAAAGGGGAAACACTTTATAAAACCATCAGATCTTGTGAGACTTATTCACTACCGTGAGAACAGTATGGGGGAAACTGCCCCCATGATTCAGTTATCTCCCACTAGGTCCCTCCCACAACACATGGGAATTATGGGAGCTACAATTCAAGATGAGATTTGGGTGGGGACACAACCAAACCGTTATCAGTGACCTTGGGCAAATCACTTCACCTCTCTGAGCCTCAACTTCTTCATCTGTAAAATGAGGATAATGATAATACTAGCTGACACATTCTGATCCACTCCCCTGTGCCAGGCATTGCAGGGATTCACTTATTTAAATGCCAGGGGACCGCTGGGGGGTTAACCAGTATGATGCCATGCAACATAGCACATGTCTCATGAAAGGCAGCTGTGCCCCACCTCGTCCCACTCTGGCTATATGTCCATACATCCACTGACTTGTTCCCATTACTCATTCAATCAGTTGAGCACTGTCTGTATACCAGGTGCAGTGTTAGGTTCTGAGGGTGTAATCGTATACAGTAAAAATGTTCTCTACTCACAGGAGCTCTCAGCCTGGTGGAGAAGACAGAAATTACATCATCACACAGATAACTACACAATGACCACTCCAGGCTAAGTGCAAGGGGAGACTTGTACAGAACCCTATGTGAGCACAATGGGAGTGGCTTTTGATTAGAGGGTGATGGAAGGTCATTCTTCAGCAGTGACCTGGATGATCGGAAGGATTTTCTTGGAAGAAAGCAGGGCACGAGTGTTCCAGGCAGAAGGAGTAGTACATACATAGGTCCTGGGGTGGGAACGAGTCTTGTGCACTGGGGCCACTGAAAAAGGACAGATGCTCTGGAGCCTAGAGAACAAGAGATGGTGCTGTGAGGGGCTGGGGAGAGGTGTGGGGTTTGGATTTCATCTAACTGCAGGAGGGCCGTCAATGGATGTAAGCTACAATGTGCTCGAATCCAGCCCCCAGAAGCCCCTTCTGTTGGGGAGTGTATCACAGGGGGCAGTCCTGGAGACCCAGGTGGAGGGTATTGCATTCCTTCAGGCGGATGGCGAGCTGGCAAAGGAGGTGGTAGCAGAGGGAAGGATGTGCAAGGTGCTAGATATAGAATCTACAGGATTTGGTAATGGGGCAAGGGGCTGATGGGAGCCAGGCAGCAGGCTGACCAGCTGTGGGGCCATATTCCAAGATGGGGAAGACTGAGGGAGAAGCATACTAGAGAGAAAGATGGGGCTCAGCTGGGGCTATGGGGCATTTGAAGTGCTTTTCAGCTCTCAGAAGACGGCCCAGCTGAGGGGATGTTCCTTTGGTGTTCTGATTACATCAGAGTGAGAGCCTCAGTGAGGTACCCCAGGTTGGCCGCACCTCCCAGGAACATCTGCTGAGCTCCATCCGTCCTGGGAGGACAGGCCCTGGGCTGACTCCAGCCGTCATCAGAAGCTTGGAACATTCCTACTGTGGAGCTCTAGCACATGAGGTTTCCCGCCCTGGCCTGCCTGCGACACGCCATTATAAAAGACAGCTACTACACGATGCCTTTCGCTGGTTTGTTCAGAAGCCCAGCGACTGCCTTTGAGTTGCTCCCATCTCATTATCCCCAGAGTTTCTACTTCTTTTTGTGAAAATTTAATTGCCTGCTAGATTTGAAAGGGTCTGGGCCAACTGTTAAGGTTTGAGAAGTCAGAGTGAAATGCACTGTGATCAAAGGCTGCAAGAGGCCAGCATCTTTCGTGTTGGCAGCTCCTTAAAATCGGAGCAACTTTACTCCTCCCAAAACAGAAACCATATCACTCAGTGTAGAAACTTGAAAGAGTGTTCAGCTAGCCCTAGCATTTGAACTGCCTTCTGCATCTTTAAATCGTTTTCTCTCTGGAAATGGAATACCCGGGACTCATTCTGAGCTCCCCGCGGAAGGAACACGTGCAGAGTTACCACTGGTGGAACTTGTGTCTCCTTGGATGTTCTTTAAACCTCAAGCCCAAGATAAATCTTGAGGAGCCAATGAGTTGTGCAGATTATCTCCATACTCCCAGAGCTTCTCAGAGAGCTGGGATTGGAAGTCGGGGGGCTTGGAGGCAAACTCCAGCACCCTGGGCTGGGTGACCTTGAGCACATCTCTCTGTACCCTGGATCTACATCTGTAAAATAGGCCTAAAGACTTCCCTGTCTAATTCACTAGTTTTTTTTTTCCTTTTCTTTTTAGTGGACACACAATAATTGTACATATTTATGGAGTACAGAGTGGTATTTCCATACGTGTGTAGTGAGCAGATCAGGGTAATTAGCATATCCATCGCCCCAAACGTTTATCATTTCTCTGTGTTGGGAACATTCAAAATCCTCTCTTCCAGATTTTTGAACATGTGCAATAAGTTATTGTTAACTATGTTCACCCGATAGTGCTATAAAGCACTACAACTTATTCCTCCTATCCATTAACTAACCTCTCCCCATCCTCCCCGCCCACTACATTTCCCAGCCTCTAATAGCCACAGTTTTACTCTCTACTTCCACGAGCTCACTCCAAGCTTAAATAAAGTGTGAAAATGCTTTGTAAATGAAAGCATCACACCCATCAGCAGTTAATATCGTTCATCTTACTACCCCTCCTGGGGGGACTTGCATTTCAAAACTGAGGAGCCTGGATCAGCAGAGAGTGTTTCTTAGGGAAGAAAAGCATTTCTGAAATGTTGGAAAACAAATTAGTGTTTGAAGGGCAGGGATAACAGGTGTGAGGTTATGTTGAGAGCCACAAGGTATATAAATAGCAGAGGAGGTGACAGGAGCAGCTGGCCTCACTCCTGGAGGGTGCAGGGCCACCTTCTGTTACTCTCCTCACTCGTTCTCTCCTCTCCTCTTTCCTCCCCTCCCCTCTCCTGTCTTCCTTTCCTTCTCCTGCTGTTATTCCGTGCTCTCCCCTCATCCATCTTTCTCCATATTTTGCTTCTGAGTTCCGTTCTTTCTTTCTTGTTCCAAAAAGGCTATGAGCTGTAGACATTAGGAGTCTTTCTCTCAAATGCATCTCAAACTGGGTTAAGCACAAAGGGGTTTAAGGGTTAAACTGGGGGTTTCCATTATTCCACTTATTGGCTTGAGTAACTGAACAGTCATAGGAGGTCAGGCTTCAGGCACAGCTGGATCCAGGGACTGGGAAGATGTCCAGAATGTATTCACCCCTTCCTCTCCATCTCTCAGTCCTGACTCCCTTATGCTGGCTTCACCCTCAGACATCCTCTCCTTGCGTGGTGGTAAAAGTGCCCCCCTCCTCCCACCTTCTCAGAAGCTTTAGGTGACTTCCTAGCTTAGCCAACCGAGCAGAAAAAGAGAAGGGAGCACTTAATTCCCTGCAGTCCTAGCAATGATCTTAGGGCTGCCTCTCAGTGGCTCACAGACCACGTGCACTTCCATGAACCAGTCACTAGCTGGAGGCTACACAGCTTGGTTTGGTCAAGGCTGGGATGAATCATACCCATCCTGGGAGCACCAACAGGGTCAGCCCCATCAGAGCCTCACAGTCTGAGAGTGCGGGTGCTGGGGGGTTGAGCATTTCCCCAAAGGCAGTTCTAGCTGCTCTGACCCAAAGAAGGAGGTAAATGCCAGCAGAGGCCCCACTGGCATCTATATGGAGAATAAGTTCTGAGGACATGCCAGAAGCACACTTCAGTCTGCTTGGGAGCTTACTGATGACCTGTCGTCTCCTTCCTTGTCTTGCCTTATTTCTACATTATGTCCCTGTATCACTGCCTGGCCAGGGGCCTTCATGCTACCATCTCTGACCAAGATGCATCCCCACACTGGAGGCATGCCTGGCCACACCACTTGATCTTCGAGTTTGCCCTCCTCCCCTATAAGCTTGGTCCTTGCCACCATGATGACTCACCTTCCTGTTCTTAGCAGGATGGTATAGCAACAGCATGGACTGCAGGCTCACACGGACTGGAGTTCAAACCCATGCCTGCCAGGTACTGAGATAAATGACAGTGGGTGAAAGATAAAAACAGAATAATGGTGTAGAATGTACCCTCTGGTACACAGGCCCCACTCCAGTCACTTCAGACCATTCTTCCTTCCCTGAACTCAGCCCTCAGTGACTGTGCCCTGCAGTCCCTGCCTAAATGCCCAGTCCGTTTCTCCTCTGTTCCCAAGAGGCCAGCTCCAGTGCCTGCTCCTCTAGGAACCCCAGCTCCTGGGTCTCACTCCAGCCAGACCTCTCCAGGAGCTCTGTCCACCTTTCCTGCATCGGCTTTCCTACCAGAAGGCTCTCCTGCCTCCTTCCATCATGCTGCAGCAGGGGCACAAACTCCCTGGGAATCTAGCTTCGTCCAGGCAGCCCAGATGCCGCAAAGGCGGTGAGAGACCCAAGCCCATCTGGCAAAGCATCGGCAGCTTGACTTTTCTGATGAACTTTTTATAAGTCCTCAAAAGTTCACACTTCCCAAGCGTCTGCCTACTCTCTGGCATCTTCATTTATCTCCTCAGTGGGTGACATTTCTGGGCCCCTGGAACTGTGCCTTCCAGAACGCAGTGGCCACCCAGGGCCCAAGCTGCATATTTACCTCTGCATCTCAGAGCAGAGACCAAGGCTGGGAGGCCAGAGATGCCAATTAGAAACACCTAGCCAGGAGAGGGAGAAGGGAACCACTTCTCGGGACTCAGAGTGACTCATGGCAGGACAGTCTGGGGGCTTCACCACCATCACAGCCTGGTGTCTGGAGAGAAAGAAAAAAAGCATGAACTGAAATATAGCCTAGTCTGAGATTCAAATCCTGACTTAGCTGCCTACCAGCTATGTGACCTTGGGCAAAGCACTTCACCTCTCTGAGCCTCACTTTTGCACACTTGCAAAATAGGGACAATTGTACCCACCCCAGAGGGTTGCTGTAAGAATTCAGTGACAAGATATGTGAAAGAGGCTCAATGAATATGAGTTTGTTATTAATAAAATAAGAAAGAATACATAAATAGGAGTAATTAAAGTTTAATAAAACAATATAAATGACAGAATAACATTTCAGTTCTGCATCTGTTCTCTGAGCACACACTATGTGGTGTCCTTGCAGTTTCTCAAACACGCCAGGCACACCCCACCTTCAGGGGTTTCGCCCTTGCTCTTCTCCTCCCTTAGGAGCCTTCTTCTCCAAACATCTGTGCTGCTCACTCTAGTCTGTGCTTAAGGCCGCGTCCTCAGAGAGGCTTTCCCTGCCCCCTTCTATAAGACAGAAGCCCTTCCTGTCACTTGCCACTCGCCCTGCCTTGTGCTTCACAACGGCAATCCTCTCCTGACACAGTCAATTTTTATTTAATGTTTAGTTTGTTCAGCATTTGTCTCCCCCACCACTAGAAAGACAGCTCGAGGGAGCAGAGACCTTGTTCACCCTTGTCCCCCCAGTGCTAGTGGAGAGCCTAATACCTACTAGGTGCTCAGTAAAAATTTGAGAGCAGTCACATAGACAAATCAGACATATCCCTGGCCTGGAGAACCTGGGTTTTCCGTGAGCACTGCCTGTCATAAAATGGGCTTCTGGCCAAGCACAGTGGCTCACGCCTATAATCCCAGCACTTTGGGAGGCCAAGGAGGGCAGATCACTTCAGGTCCGGAGTTTGAGACCAGCCTGGTCAACATGGTGAAACCCTCGTCTCTACTAAAAATACAAAAGTTAGCCAAGCGTGGTGGTGGGTGCCTGTAATCCCAGCTACTCAGGAGGCTGAGGCAAGAGAATTGCTTGAACCCGGGAGGCAGAGGTTGCAGTGAGCCAAGATTGTGCCACTGCACTCCAGCCTGGGTGACAGAGCAAGACTCCATCTCCAAAATAAAATAAGAGGGCTTCTGACCTGTCTCTCACAAAGAAAGCCACAGAGAAGGTGGGATCTGGGCTCTGGGGTCCTAATCAGGCCAGCTATGCAGGCATCTGGGATGATAGCAGCCATTCTAGTGAAAACAGCCACTGCCTTTTGCTGCATGCTCACTCTGGACCCTGTAAGGAACCCTTCCCACACAGCATCTTATGGGCTTCTCCCCACCAGCCCCACAATGGAGGTGCTGCTATTCCTCCCATTCAACAGGGGAAGAGACAAAGCTCAGAGAAGAGGCATAACTAGTCAAGAATCACTCTGTCAGGGCCAGAGATGTGTTGGAGCATTGGAGCCCAGATGTGTTGGCCACCATGGCTGGAGCCCTTAGCACCAACATCAAGGTGCCACAAGGAAGCCAGAAGCCCAGCACAAAGAGATGAATGTGACCTTGCACAGGGAGGTCAGGGAAGGCTTCCCGGAGGAGGCAGCATTTGCTCTGGACCTTGACAGATACATAGGAGTTTTCTAGGTGAAGGGGAGGAGACAGAAGCATAATAGGTGTTAATCCTGTGGTCCATTCAACAGGCAATCATTGTACTCCTGTGTGCTGGGCAGAGATAATGCCCTTCTGGGAATGAAGCCCTCAGATTCCAAAGAAGGCTGAGAGGAAACAGCCAGTTGCTGTGAAACACAGAGCAGGGCCTGGGCCTGGCTGAGAGAAATCTAAGAGCAGGCATTGAGCACCTACTGTGTGCTCACATTTTATCCTTGCCGTTTGATGTGGAAGGTGCTATTCCCATTTTCAAAGAAAGGCACTGAGGCCATAGGCTTTGGGCTGCCTGTGCTTGGCAGGGGCGAAAAGGAGGAGAGTACCCTCCTGCCTGTCACATAATGGGCCTCTGACCTGCCTGTGCCCAAGAAAGGTTCAGAGGGGATAGGTTTGGGGTCTGGGGTCCTGATCAGGCCAGCTGGCAGAGAATGGCAGGGAAGGGGCCTAGAAGTTCCAACTCCCTGGCAGGTGGCCTCAGTAGCCTCAACAAGGTCTGACCCACACCCAGAGGTGCCTGTCACTGTTTGTGTTACTTGCTTTGGGACCTTGAGTAAATCATTTTATTCCCCTGGGCCTTCTGTTTTCTGAACTCCAAAAAGCTAAATGTGATCTTCAAGGCCCTGCTTCTGGCTTAGGCATTGCAGATTTCTAAGTGTGGTGTATTAGCTTACTATTGCTGCTGTAACAAAAAACCATAGACCAGGGGATTTAAAATTGATCAGCTGACAGTTCTGTAGTCAGAAGTCTGACACAGCTCTACCGGGCTGAAATCGAGGCAGAGCCACATTCCTTCTGGAGGCTGCGGGGGAGAAGAATCTGTCTCTGGGCCTTTTCCATCTTCTAGAGGCTGCCTATTTCCTTGATTCACAGACACTGAATCTTCTGCCTCCCTTTTCCACTTTTAAAGGTCCTTGTATTCCATTGGCCCACCCAGATCATCCAGGGTGATCTCCCCTGTCTTAAAGTCAGCGGTGAGACACCTTCACTCCATCTGCACCCTCATTTCCCTTTGCCATAAGCTGACATATTCACAGGCTCTGGGGGTTTGGATGTGGGTGTCTTTGTGCAGCCATTATTCTGCCTTCCACACCTGGAAACTGAGACATTTCTGAGAGGCCTTGGGCAAGCTGTCTCCCCTTTTTGGACCCAGTTTTTTCTCTTCTGTGAAATGGTGTGGCTGCTTTGAAAACAAAGTGAGAGGATGAGTGTTCAGGTGGGTTACAAAGGGTCAAGCGCCATACATGGGGTTAATTCTTTATTCCTGGGGTATTTCTATTGCCAGCAATGGCAGCTGGCAGCCTCTCACCGGGCCCTCATGCCTTCCTATGCCTTGTTCTGAAAAGCTGCAGCCCCCACCCCCGCCCCACTAGACCCCCAGAAAACAAACGTGGGTCTGTGTACCGCTCCTGCTCATTATAATCTCTTGCTTCTTTTCACAAAACCCCAGGGGCCCCTGGGATTTGGGAGCTGGGGGATGTCACTCAAGGATGCCTATTGAGTGCTAAACAATGGCCCCCTCATGAGGTCATAGGGCCGCTTAGCAACCACCCAGGCCCTTAGTAACGGGCCCAGAAGTGTTGATATTTACCCAACAGAAACTTTGGATTATCTCGATAACACCCAGTTCCTTCCAGAGAGCTGCAGGCACTAAAAGCAAGCTCCACCCACTCCGAGCTGCTGCTCTGGCTCTTCCAAGAGCAGGCCTATGGAGGGGCAGGGAGTCCTGGGTTTCCCCCCCAGCTCTGCAATCCTCTGAGGGCCTCAGTTTCCCCCACAACATGGGGATCAGACTAAATAAGTACTAAATATTTAAGTAGTATGACTGTATGTCCCTGCTGGCCCAGAACAGTTCCATTTTATCAAGACTATTAAAAGAGGCGTTTTCATTCTCAAGAGTTGGAACATCAACCTTCTGGTCACCCACCTCTAAAAGGCCACTTCCAGCCCTCAATCCCATTGTTCTTCCCCTCCACCCTCTTTCCCAGTCTGAATTAATCCTGAATAGTTTCACCTAGCTTTTTCAAGGTCCCTCTCTGTGTCAGGCATGGAACAGGGCGCTGAGGAAACTGAGGCAAACCAGACGTGGTCCCTGCTTTCAGGAGCTTCCAGTCCGGGAAAGAACACCGCTTAAACACTCTGCAGAAATCTAGGTCTGAATCTAGAACCTTGCAATTCTCAGACTTATTTGTGTTGTCTTCACTAAGCTATTTTAGTAAATAATAATACTCCATAGAATTCCGGTGGCATTTTGCAGTTTCTAAAGCATTTCTGTTATGTTCCCTCATTTAACCCTGACATCATCTGAAGGTGTGATTTTAATATATTCCCATTGCACAGATGGGGAACTGGAGGCTGGAGGCCATAGAGGACAGAGCAGTTGGATGCCCTTGAGGAGCAATTCAATCTCTGCCTCCTTGCCTTCGAAATGGAGATGTTAGCTCCCACTTCATAGAACTGTTATGGAAAGTAAATGAGACAGCACATAGAAAGTCCTTTGGAAAGTGACAGCTGCCTAAAATGAGTGTTTCTGCCCTGAGCTGTCTGTGGCCTCAGCAGTTGCACTTCCTGGATGTTCTCCAGTTCACCTGCTTCTCACATGCCCACAGACACCCATTTGTAAATTTCCTGACCCATTTTTGAGCACAGGGAACACATCTTGGTTGGAACCCCAGCTCTGCCTCAGGGCAGCACTGTGGCCTCGGGCAACTTCTAGCCTCAGTTTCTTCATTTGTAAGAGGAGATAAGAACAAGTCATCCTGAGGATGGAAGGAAGCAAATAACATAAAAGCAGTGCTGAGGGGAGCCAACCCAGCACATAGCTGTTGCTCACAAATGGGAGGTTCTGGATTGCCTTTCTGATGTTAAGTATGTGAGAAGACTTTGAACGTGTTTGTGTGAGAGGGAGCTATGGAGGGCAGCACCCACAAGATGGGATTTTTCCCTCACCCCAGGAGCCAGGCCAGCACTCACTTTGGGCGGAAGGCAGGACGCTGCCACCTTCTCTAAGGTTGGCTTCCAGCCACGTTGCAGCAAGGGGGTTCGGCTGACGAAAGCTGTTCCCTCTGTGCCCCACTCACCTTGCAGGAGGAGAAGGGCCCCCTCTTCCCCTTTTCTTTACAGAGTAGCTCCACAGGGGCAAATCTGTCAGATGCCATGGTGATGCCTATGTGGTTTCCCGCCCACGCCCCTCGCCAGTGCTATGAGTCACCAACCGGCACCGAGGCGGCGGCCGTGGGAAGGGTGTTCCCTCTCCGGCTGCAGAAATGCTGCCACAGGCGAGCTCTAGAAAGCCAAAACTGGGCCCCAGGATAGGCACAGTGAGGTTCCTTATGCAACTTTTGACATTGTTCGGAATCAGTGTTACAGAAAGCCCAAACCCAGCCCCATGATAGGCATGGCTACATTTCTTATGCAACCTTGGCATTGTTCAAAAGCAGCGTTAATGTTCGCAACTTCCATTTGCTGAGGGCCCTAGGGAGCTGGCCCAGCCTAGACTTCATGTCCTGCTTCCCACAGCCCAGGAAGAAGCTAGAGTCCCCTTTTCAACAGATGGGGAAAGTGAGACATGCTTGGGGTCACATGGCCAGGACATTCCCAGATGTGACTCCCCTTTACTGGCAGACCAAGGTAGCTTTTGGAATTGGAGACAGACCAAAACAGGTAAATATGATTGATACATTGTGTTCTTGTTTGAATGAAACATAATTGTGAGCAATTGTGTACAGTTGCCGGGCTGAAGGTTTGAACTCTTGATTTCTTAAAAGGAAAGAAAAATCTATCTCTAAATCTGAGTTAGCCTAGAATAGAAATATGTTTACAGCAAAATATTTCTTTATACAAAACTTTGCATTGCCAAAGCAGGGCTGTGGAATATGCATGCGTGTTAGTGGGGTGTTACAGAGGAAGGAACTGCATCAGGGATTGTATCTTGCAAGTAGCACTGACAGTGATCACAGATCCGCATCTGAGACGTTGAGCTTGGCCGCTTTGGCCCCATCTGTGCCCATGGTGGGCTTGATAATCGGCACGTCCATTCACCACTGCCTTGCCAGGTCCTAAAGCCATACTACCTGCTTCACTGCAGGCTGCGTCTCTCATCTTTCCCCCACTGAATTCACTGATCACTCCTCCATCAGGTACTCTAACTGTCCCATGAGCTCCTTAAGAATAGGAGCTGAGCTCCAGGAGGCTATGTGTTGGGAGAAGGGGGCAGTAGAAAATACGTGTAGTTATTTGAGCGACTTGGTATGCCCTGCTGTCTCTGGCTGGAGTCCCCTTCGTAAAACATTCGCCCAGGCCAGAAAGAGACCTAAATGAGAGTAGAGGGAGCAGAAGGTCTCCACACACATTCCCACCTGCCTCAGTGCTGTCTGAGCCTCAAACTTGCCTGATCCAAGTTGGGTAAAACCAGACTGTACCATTCAGCCACAGGAACAGCAGGCCGGGCCGTATCCTGCCAGCAACCTGCCTGATTGGAGGGTTTACTTTGCAGCCAGGCCTTGGCGACCGTGCATAACAGCTTCTGTCTCTCCCAGAACAACTGTGAATGTTTCCCCTTCGCCTTCACCATGACCTCACCCGGCATGGATTTCCTACTATTTAAAACTCTTCTGCAACTCGTTCCATAGACCGGGGTGACATTGATCCTTGCTATAATCAGAGGAGTGTGTGAAGCTGGTGCCCAGGCAGCCTGGGATCCTGGAGGGATACATTAAGACTTGACAGGGTTCCCGTGAAATGGATTTCTGTGCATCAGAACCTGTACTCCTGTTGACTTTCATTGGAGCATTGAGAATGTGTCCTGCTGGAAGGGAGAAATGTTTGATGCAGCTGTACTTCAGAGGGCACTAGACCTTTTTAAAAAACTATCACATAGACAAAAAATGTGCTTTCTGGGGTGTAAAAAAAACTGGTCTATAATATTAGGATCAAGTTTATTTCTATGCTAAATAAAAAAGGGAAAAATCAAAATTTATTATATAGTTAAGTTCATCTTGAGGAGACTGAAGAAAAAGAAACCAATACTATTCCATGGCCAGGTAAAACACTCTGTCTACATTCCAATATGGTCCTGATCTTCAGGAAATTGTTCTGTTGCATTATTGCTATTTACTTCCGTTCTAGGTTTCAGAAAAAAAATTAATATGTCTTATCAGCCTCTGTAGTAAACACTTATTGCTTTCATATTGGTCTCAGATCTTCACTTGCTTTTTCTGTTGAAATTTCAGAGGCTCTATTCTCTGTAGCTAGCCAGCCACAAGAGACTCCCTTGGGCTAAGTTCCCAAGACCTGTCATGTGATACAAGTCATTGTCATTATTGCTTCTTTGGGCTGTTGACAGAATGTGATCCCATAGCAAGATATGAGAAATATATAGGATTTGGAGTCAGGCCATTTTCTTGCTATGTGGCCTTAAGCAGGTGACTTAACCTCTCTGAGCCATGTGGCTCCCCTGAGTTCTAGCATCACTAGGTAAGGTCAGACGCCCCTCCTCAGTGGGCCCCTCAGTGGGCCCCTCCCCTGTGCTGGCCATTGTTCACCACCCTGTGCTGTACTCTTCACTTTTCTATCTTCCCTGGACTCCGAGAGCTCCCTGCAGGCAGAGTCTTTGTCATTTCTGTCCCAGCACAGGGCCTGGCAGGGAGCACAGGGCAGGGGTTTGAGATGGTTGAGAAAAAGAAAGAAAACAGAAAAGGAAGTGAAAAGGAGAGAGGGAGGTAGGGAAGGAGAGAGAAAGGAATAAAAAGTATGGAAAATGCAAACTTTAAACTTCTTTGCAATTCGGATTTATTTCACCACTGGCTGGCCTAAGTGATAGGACATGCTAGTATTGCTGCTGCCTCTCACTTTCCAATGTTCAGCACCAGTGTCGCCATCATCTTACAGATAACACACATTGAGCACTTATTTATATGCATGAGCTTGTTTGCTCTCCCAGGAACCTGTGTGGTAGGCACATTTTCTTTCTTTTTCTCAACCATCTCAAACCCCTGCCCTGTGCTCCCTGCCAAGCCCTGTGCTGAGACAGATGTGACAAAGACTCTGCCTGCAGGGAGCTCTCAGAGTCCAGGGAAGATAGAAAAGTGAACAGTACAGCACAGGGTGGTGAACAAAGGCCAGCACAGGGAAGGGGGCCACTGAGGAGGGGCATCTGACCTTACCTAGTGATGCTAGAACTCAGGGGAGGAAGCCACATGGCTCAGGCACCTCCATTTGACAGACAACAAATCATGATTCATAGGAGAAGTTGAGTCACTCACCCATGTCACACAGCTGGCACATGGTTTTAACCTGATCCCCACAATCCCAGAGCCAGTGCATTTAATCAGTGTACCCTCAGCACTTAGTTTGGGGCTTGACAGGCAATTGATTTCAATAAAAAGTCTTTGAATAAATGAATGGACCTGGTCATTTATCTCATTAGATGCTCAGTCTCACTCTTAGTTCCATCTTCCTGGCATATGTAATGATTAAAACAAAACCTCTGAGGCTAAACAAGCCTGGGTTCAAATATGAGCTTTCCATGTTACGCTGGGAAAGTCATTTTCTCTACTCTAAGCATTGGCTTTCTTCCCACTAAAATGGGAATAATATTGGTGCCTTCCTCCCTTAGACTGGGTTCTTCCAGAAGCAGATCATAAGATGACGATTCAAGTGCAAGTAGTTTATTTGTGAGGCGTGGGAATGCTGGTAGGGGAGTAGGGAAGTGAGACAGGAAAGGGAACAAGGTGTTATCAAGCAAGTTAATTATCACTGTGGGCACCTGGATCTGGGAGCTAGTGTAAAACCCACAGCTCATGGTTTTCCCAGCTGAGAGGGAAGGGAGCTGGGATAGCTATACACTATCTATACACCAACTGCCAACACCCATCAATCATTAGCTGAGAGGGAACAGAGCTGGGATATCTATACACTATCTATACACCAACTCCCAACACCCGTCAATCATTGGCTGAGAGCTGCTGGGGTTGGTGAGTTGCATGTGCTCACCAAAGAACATGCTCAGGCAGATGCTGTGTGTGGTATCAAACCAGCTTGCCCCATGGTGGTTAGATCTGTGGGATTGTGGACAAGGAAATAACAGCATCTCTGCACCAGCTCTTAGTGTTGCTATGACGATTAAGTGGGTTCGTTTCTATATAGCTTGGAGAATGGTCTTTGGCACAGATTAAGCCCCTTATGAGTGGCAGCCTTCAGGGGCTTTTCCTAGCACTCTCTGTGTGATACAAACAGATGCCTTTGGGCTCTACTCCTTAGAACCTCATCACCAGTCTACAAACGGTGATGTGGTCCTGCTGAGTGTCAGGTGCTGGGACACAGCCATGAGCTTGACCAGCCCTCCAATGTTTGTGACCCCACCAGGTGGACAGAAGATGAATAAGAAATGACAGAGGCAGTGCCCAGACTCCTTGCCCAGTGCTCCTCCCAAATGCCATGGAAAGGGGTGTCACACATGTGGAGGGTGTTGGGAAAATGGTCCAGCTGGGATGCCCAGTGAGTATTTTTGTAGCATAGGAAACATGTTCAGCAAATGTCTAAACTGAGAAATTTCCTGGGGAGATTCCCTTCCACTTTGGCATAAGATGATTTTGCCTTACAAGGGACTTCAGTTTCCCTAGACAGGGACTTGGAAAGTCCATGCCTGCAGCCTCCCTGAGGACTAATATTCAGAACTTTCATGGAACAGATGCATGAGAACAAGGATCTGTCTTCCCTGACACGGACCAGCTGTGTGGCTTTAGGCAACTCTCTCTCCCTCTCTGGGCCTGTTTTCTCATCTGTGAAATGGGTACAGTGAGTGGAATAATGGGCATAAGAGTGCTTTGGGAAATGTAAGCCAACTGTGTCTTATGGAGCGGGAGATACGACCATTGTCGTTACTGTTGTTGCTGTTGTTAGGAAAGGTGTGACCGTGGGCCAGCGACTTCCTCTCTCTAAGAATCCTTTCTCCCTGTTGCGTGTGGTCAAATCCTCAAGGGCCAGGAATGTGAAGACAGCCCCCTGTGTCTTACTACCATAGAATATGACTTTACCAGGCCCGAAAGGACTCATGTTCCAACCCCTTGTAGCAGGGAAACTGAGACCTAAAGAGGAGAGAGGACTTGCCTGAGGCCACACAGCCTCAGTGGCAGTCGGTTCTGGGCCCCAACCAGAGCCGCTGAGTCCCAGCCCACTGCTATTTCCTACATCTACTGTGAGCTGTACCCGCCTGCCTCTTTGCCCCCGCCCTTGACCCGAGCTGCTCTCCTCTCCCCAGACCGATACAATTGACCTGCCCCAGCCAGTAAAGTCTCGGAGGGCACAGGGGCCTCTCGCTGCTCAGTTCCCGGCTGCTGGAGTGTTCGTCTCTGCAGCAAGTCAACATTTTTGCCTCTGAGTTGGTGTGTGGCAGATGGCACAGCAGAACTGAGCCTTGGGGTCTATTTTTGACTCAGAGAGGACATTGCGCAGATGCTCAGTGCTCACTGATGGCAGCGGAGGGTCTGGAGGATGGGACAGCATTAATCTATTGGCTTTGGAAGACCCACCGCCTGGGCTCAAATCCTGGCTTCATCACCGTTAGCTGTGTGCTCTCAGATACGAGGTCTTCCTCTAAGAGCCTCAGTCTCCCCATTGTAAAGTGGAGGCTGCAAGATCAATAGGTTGTACCTCATCAATTTGACAGGCTAGTGGCCTCTCAGAGGAAGATGAATATATGGTGGTGGGACTTTGGGGGCTAATTTATAGCTCTGAGAAGAAGAGGCCATAGGAAGGTAGGGACCTCAGAAGGGAGGAGTTCCTGCAGGCCCAAGTCAGGGTCTGGAATGGAGCTGTCCAAGGTGCAGCCCCTTCACACCCCATGTAGGGGCTGAGTGGCCCCAGCGGGGTGGAGAGGTTGGCAGCTGGGGCGGGACCAGGCAAAGTCCTGGGAACAGGCCCCTTTCTTTGTTCTGAGTAGGTAACCCTGGACAGAGGGGCTGGGCAGGGTGGGCCCAAGGGAAGGAGGTGTCCGGCTAAGGTGGGTGAGGGGGACACACAGGCATCATTTGTAGGGGAGGCTGAAGGTGGTAAAGAAGTGGATATGGGGAGAGGGTTCTCAGCGTGCTACCTCCCTGTCTTGCCTCCTGCTGGAGTCAGGCAGATGGGGTCTTATTGCGCAGAATCCCAGCTCCAGGGGGCAGTTGGGGAGGCTGAGAGATGGGTGTGGAAGAGAGACTGGCACACAGAGAGCCTGCTGCATGCACAACTGGCCTCCGGCATGCATGTGCCTGTGTGCGTACTAACATGGTTTCTTCCATGCACGTTTACTATAGAAAATGAGGAAAATGAAGACATTTTGTTTAAGAATCAAACATCCTAACCCCACCAACATTGACATTTGGGGAATACTGTATCTTTCCCCTTATATCTTGTTTTGCATACCATAACCATAGTAATTTTCTTGTTGGAATCGTGTGAATTGAGACCCTATATCATTTCAGTTCTCTACTCTGCATTTTTTATTTGAGGTTATTAAGATATTTTCCTAGGTCATAAAAATTACTTGAAAACATGTTTTTTGATAGATGCCTAATATTCTATCCTATGACTCCTCAGTAATGTACTTAACTAATCCCCTAGGACTTGACATTTAGATTGTGTCCAAATTGTTGCCATGATTTAAAAAAACCACCGCTAACAATAAGAGAACACCATGATGAACATCTTTATGATCAAATGATGTCTGCATTCCCAATTACTGCATATTCCAATTTTGCAAATTTCTGTCCAATCCCAGAGGAAACAGACCATTTCTTTGCTTTTCTTAAAATGGTTGGGTTTTTAAATTTTGTTTTGTTTTTATTTTTTATTTATTTAATTTTTTTTTTTTTGAGATGGATTCTTGCTCTGTCAGCAAGGCTGGAGTGCAAAGGCACGATCTTGGCTCACTGTAACTTCCACCTCCTGAGTTCAAGCGATTCTCTCGCTGCAGCCTCCCAAGTAACTGGGATTACAGGCACCCACCATCATGCCCGGCTAATTTTTGTATTTTTGTAGAGACGGAGTTTCCCCATGTTGGCCAGGCTGGTCTCGAACTCCTGACCTCAGGTGATCCACCTGCCTTGGCCTCCCAAAGTGCTGGGATTACAGGCATGAGCCACTGCACCCGGCCTAAAAATGGTTTTCTTTCATGTGTGTGTATGCTTACAACGCATATTATTTAGTTTCACTTTTGTCTTAGTCCTTTAAAATGGCATCATACAGTATGTAATCTTCTGAGACTCGCTTCTTTCCGACTTTCTTCTACTGGGAAACATTGTTTCTCAGACTCCTCCCTGTGGTTCCTGCAGGTGTGGTTTATGCATTTTCGTAGCTGTGCAATATTCCCTGCCATGACGATATTACAGTTTATTGGTTCATTCTCTGGCTGTTGGGCATATGGTTGTTTCCAGGGTTTGGCTCTTTCAAACAATACTGCTGGAGACATTCTCAGCCATGGTGCCATTTTCCTAGTAAAGGAACACAGGAGGAAAAACAAATTCTGGAAGGGGCGGGTGGAAACAAGAGTTGAGCAAATATAGCTTGAAGTGAAGTGTCTGCAGGACATGAGCTGATTTGATTTTGGAGGAAGACTGTCAGGAGCATCATCTGTGGGCTTGGCTGAGCTGCAGAGCACTTAACTCAGGCTTAGCTGCCAAGGTCAGTGATCTGGGGCTCTTGAGCACAGGTGGAGCCCTCTTCTGTGCACCCCTTCAAAGAGGCAGAAGCATCGTTTGTGAAGGGAGCCTGATCCACACACCTCTTCATCTTGGTGCCATTAAAATCTGAGCCTCCCAAAGTGTGGAGTGTCTACTTCCAGGGTATCTAAGAGGATACTAGGTGTTATTAAAAAGAGCTCATCACCTGATGGGAAAACTAGTCCATTTCCAGTTCTCTTTCAGTCTTCCAGGTCCATCAAGGCAAAAGGTTCTGCTGGAAGTAGTCTATTTTTAATGACCTTCCCCACAAATATTTGTTAAACTCTGTTTGATGAGAGACCAGACTTTTGGCCTAGGCCCCTAGGCAGGTGATAGGATCTGTCAGACATAAGGATGTTCTGTTGTTTTCTTTGTAATTCGTTGTTGTGCTCATCTCCTATTTGTGGTGAGTGGCACTGGTTTTGCACCGATGGTAATGATGAAATTTTCCCTTTAAGAAAATTGTTTAAACTTAAATCAAGCAGATTAGGGAAAACACTCATGAGCTCAATGATAGAAGAGATAGTGACCATGATGGCAGTCATATTTGATTGACTGAGGTTTGAGAAATGCTGACCTAAATCAGCAATTCTCAAACTTCTTTTCTGAAGACTCATTATGTTCTTAAAAATTATGAAGAACAGGGCCAGGTGTGGTGGCTTACGCCTATAATCCTAGCACTTTGGGAGGCCGAGGCAAGCGGATCACCTGAGGTCAGAAGTTGGAGACCAGCCTGGCCAACGTGGTGAAACCCCATCTCTACTAAAAATACAAAAATTAGACGGGCATGATGACATGTGCCTGTAGTCCCAGGTACCCAGGAGGCTGAGGCAGGAGAATTTCTCGAACCCAGGAGGTGGAGGTTGCAGTGAGCTGAGATCATGCCATTGCACTCCAGCCTGGGTGACAGAGTGAGACTCTGTCTCAAAAAAAAAAAAAAAATTATGAAGAACACTCAAAGAGTGTTGATTGTGTAGGTTATATCTCTCCAAATTTACAATACTAGAAATTAAAACTGATTTTAATACTGTTTCTTAATTCATTTAAAAACAACAATAACAAATCTATTGTGGTACAGAAGTAACATAGTTTATGAAAAATAACTATATTTTCCAAAACAAAAACAATTAGAAGATTAAAGTTATTTCATATTTTTACAAGTCTCTTTAACAATTTACTTGAAGGTAGTTGGATTCCTATTCACATCTGCATTCAATCTATTATGATATGATTGATGTTTTAATTGATGTATATGAAGAAAATTCAGCCTTACATAGACATGTTTTTGGAAAAAGGAGGAGTATTTTAATAGCCTTTTCAGATAATTGTAGATACTTTTCTTTGACACTACACTCCCAAACTCAACAAGCTCAGTGTATTCAAGCTCAGACTGCCATAACAAAATACCACAGACTGGGTGGCTTAAACAACAGTAATTTATTTTCTCACAATTCTGGAGGTTGGAAGTCCAAGTTCAGGTTCAAAAGCAGTCTGCTATTAAGCACATTCATCAAGTTTTTTAAATTTTATGTTCTGACTTAAGCCAGGGGCCTGCCAGGAATCAGTAGCAGACCAGAAGGGACAGAGGAAGGAATGATTGAACTGAAATATAGAACAATAGAAACTACCTACCTAATCAAAATAGCAAAGAGAAAGCAGGCTGGAAAACAAAATGAACAGAGCCTTGATTTAACAAAAGATTTAACACTCGTGTCATTGGACTACTGGAAGGAGGTGAGAAAAAGAGGATGGGGCTGAAAAAGTACCTGAAGAAATAACGGCCAAAAAATCCCAAATTTGGTAAAAACACACAAACCAACCCTACAGATTCAGGAAGCTGAGCAAATTCCAAAGAGGTTAAACCCAAGGAAATCCACATCAAGACAAAAAATACATTTCTAAAAACTAAAAACAAAACAAAAATCTTGAAGGCAGTGAGAAAGAACATCTCACCTATGGGCGTAAAAATTTTGAATGACAGCAGATTTCTCTTCAGAAACCATTACAGTCAGGAGGAAGTGGCACCTTTCTCAAATGCTGAAAGAATAGAACTATCAACCCAGAGTCCCATATCCAGCAAAAATATTTTTCAAAAATGAAGGAGAAATCAAGACATTCTCAGATGAAGGAAAGCTAAGATAATTTTTTGCCAGAAGACCTATCCTAAAAGAATGGCTGTAGTTCTCCAAACAGAAAGGAGACAATTTTTTAAAAAGAATTCTTGGGACATCAGGAAGGAAGGAAGAACATGATAAGCAAAAATATGGGTAAATGCAATAAACTTTCCTTCTCTTCTTGAGTTTTCTAAATTATGTTTGACAACTGAAGCAAAAATTGTAACACAGTCTGATGTGGTTCTAAATATATACAGAAAGAACAAACAGAAAACAAAATATAAAATGACAGACTTAAACCTTAATATATCAATTATTACATTAAATATCAATGGCCCAAATACACCAATTCAAAGACAAAGATTGGCAGAGTGGATTGAAAAACATGACTGACTACATGCTAGCTACAAGAGACTCACTTCAAATGTAATAATATAAGCAAGCTAAAAGTAAAAGGATAGAAAAAATCACATGCAAACATTAATCAAAAGAAAGTGGGAGTGGCTATATAAATATCAGATAAAGTCAACTTCAGAGCAAAGTAAATTACTGGAGATAGAGAAGGATATTATTATAATATAATGATAAAAGGGTCAATCAGGAAGACATAGCAATCCTAAATATGTGTACACCAAACAATAGACCTGTAAAATATGTAAGGCAAAAACTGATAGGAGTGACCACAATTACAATTGGAGACTTCAACACTCATCTCCCAATAATTGATACAGCAACTAGGCAGGATATCAGCAGGAATACGGAAGAACTTAACAACACCATGAGCCAATAAAATCTAATCAACACATATAGAATGCTCCCCGTAACAGCAACAGAATACATGCTGTTTTCAAGCGCCCACAGAACATATGCTAAGGTAGACCATATCCTGGATCATAAAACAAACATTAGCAAAATTAGAAGAATTGAAATCATGGAGAGTATTTTCTCTGGCCACGGTGGAATCAAACCAGAAGTCAATAACAGAAAGATATTTGGAAAATATCCAATCACTTAGAAACTAAATAATGCATATCTAAATAATCTGTGGCCAAAGAGAAAGTCTAAATGTAAATTTTAAAAATATATCAAATTGAATGACAGTTAAAATAGAACCTATCAAGATTTGTGGAACCAGCTAAAGCATTGCTGTGAGGGAAATTTATAGCATCATGCATAACTAGCAAATAAAGAATTCTGAAATCAACAATCTAAGCCCCTACTTTGAGAAGCCAGAAAAGGAAGAGCAAAATAAACCCAAACCAAACAGAAGAAAGGAAATAATAAAGTTAAGAGTAGAAATCGATAAAGTTGAAAACCAAAAAATGACAGAGAAAACCAATGAAACACAGAGATATTTCTTTGAAAAGATCAATAACATCAAAAAATTCTAGCAAAACTAACCAAAAAGAGAACAAGACAGAAAGAGAAGACACACATGACCAAAATTGAGAATGAAACAAAGAATAACGCTACAGACCCCACAGACATCAATACAATAAGGAATACTATGAACAACTCTGCACATATAAATTTAACAACCTAGTAGAAATGGACCAATTCCTCAAAAAACACGAACTACCACAATTCACCCAATATGAAACAGATAATTTAATATCCCTATAATTACTAAGGAAATTGAATTTGTAATTTTTAAATTTCCTAAAAAAAAAATCCCCAGGACCAGGTAGTTTTTTTTTTTAATTATATTTTAAGTTCTAGGGTACATGTGCACAACGTGAAGGTTTGTTACATATGTATACATGTACCATGTTGCTGTGCTGCACCCATTAACTCATCATTAACATTAGATATTTCTCCCAATGCTATCCCTCCCCCCTCCCCCCACCCCACGACAGGCCCCAGTGTGTGATGTTCTCCACCCTGTGCCCAAGTGTTCTCATTGTTCAATTCCCACCTATGAGTGAGAACACGCAATGTTTGGTTTTCTGTCCTTGCAACAGTTTGCTCAGAATGATGGTTTCCAGCTTCGTCCATGTCCCTACAAAGGACATTAACTCATCCTTTTTTATGGCTACATAGTATTCCATGGTGTATATCTGCCACATTTTCTTAATCCAGTCTATCATTGATGGACATTTGGGTTGGTTCCAAGTCTTTGATATTGTGAATACTGCTGCAGTAAACATACGTGTGCACATGTCTTTATAGTAGCGTGATTTATAATCCTTTGGGTATATACCCAGTAATGGGATCACGGAATCAAATGGTATTTCTAGTTCTAGATTCTTGAGGAATCACCACACAGTCTTCCACAATGGTTGAACTAGTTTACAGTCCCACCAACAGTGTAAAAGTGTTCCTATTTCTCTACATCCTCTCCAGCACCTGTTGTTTCCTGACTTTTTAATGATCACCATTCTAACTGGTGTGAGATGGTATCTCATTGTGGTTTTGATTTGCATTTCTCTGATGGCCAGTGATGATGAGCATTTTTTCATGTGTCTGTTGGCTGCATAAATGTCTTCTTTTGAGAAATGTCTGTTCATATCCTTCACCCACTTTTTGATGGGGTTGTTTGATATTTTCTTGTAAATTTGTTTAAGTTCTTTGTAGATTCTGGATATTAGCCCTTTTTCGGATGGGTAGATTGCAAAAATTTTCTCCCATTCTGTAGGTTGCCTGTTCACTCTGATGGTAGTTTCTTTTGCTGTGCAGAAGCTCTTTAGTTTAATTAGATCCCATTTGTCTATTTTGGCTTTCGTTGCTATTGCTTTTGGTGTTTTAGTCATGAAGTCCTTGCCCATGCCTGTGTCCTGAATGGTATTGCCTAGGTTTTCTTCTAGGGTTTTTATGGTTTTTAGGTCTAACATTTAAGTATTTAATCCAACTTGAATTAATTTTTGTATAAGGTGTAAGGAAGGGATCCAGTTTCAGCTTTCTACATTTGGCTAGCCAGTTTTCCCAGCACTATTTATTAAATAGGGGATCCTTTCCCCATTTCTTGTTGTTGTCAGGTTTGTCAAAGATCAGATGGTTGTAGATTTGTGGTATTATTTCCGAGGGCTCTGTTTGGTTCCATTGGTCTGTATCTCTGTTTTGGTACCATGCTGTTTTGGTTACTATAGCCTTGTAGTATAGTTTGAAGTCAGGTAGCGTGATGTCTCCAGCTTTGTTCTTTTTGCTTAGGATTGTCTTAGAAATGTGGGCTCTTTTTTGGTTCCATATGAACTTTAAAGCAGTTTTTTCCAATTCTGTGAAGAAAGTCATTGGTAGCTTGATGAGGTTAGTATTGAATCTATAAATTACCTTGGGCAGTATGGCCATTTTCACGACATTGATTCTTCCTATCCATGAGCATGGAATGTTCTTCCATTTGTTGGTGTCCTCTTTTATTTCATTGAGCAGTGGTTTGTAGTTCTCCTTGAAGAGGTCCTTCACATCCCTTGTGTGTTGGATTTCTAGGTATTTTATTCTCTTTGAAGCAATTGTGAATGGGAGTTCACTCATGATTTGGCTCTCTGTCTATTATTGGTGTATAGGAATGCTTGTGATTTTTGCACATTGATTTTGTATCCTGAGACTTTGCTGAAGTTGCTTATTAGCTTAAGAAGATTTTGGGCTGAGATGATGGGGTTTTCTAAATATACAGCCATGTCATCTGCAAACAGGGACAATTTGACTTCCTCTTTTCCTAATTGAATACCCTTTATTTCTTTCTCCTGCCTGATTGCCCTGGCCAGAACTTCAAACAGTATGTTGAATAGGAGTGGTGAGAGAGAGCATCCCTGTCTTGTGCCAGTTTTCAAAGGGAATGCTTCCAGTTTTTGCCCATTCAGTATGATATTGGCTGTGGGTTGGTCATAAATAGCTCTTATTATGTTGAGATACGTCCCATCAATACCTAATTTATTGAGAGTTTTAACATGAAGCACTGTTGAATTTTGTCGAAGGCCTTTTCTGCATCTATTGAGACAGTCAAGTGGTTTTTGTCTTTGGTTCTGTTAATATGCTGGATTACATTTATTGATTTGCGTATGTTGAACCAACCTTGCATCCCAGGAATGAAGCCAACTTGATCGTGGCGGATAAGCTTTTTGATGTGCTGCTGGATTCAGTTTGCCAGTATTTTATTGAGGGTTTTTGCATCGATGTTCATCAGGGATATTGGTCTAAAATTCTCTTTTTTTGTTGTGTCTCTACCAGGCTTTGGTATCAGGATGATGCTGGCCTCATAAAATGAATTAGGGAGGATTCCCTCTTTTTCTATTGATGGGAATATTTTCAGAAGGAATGGTACCAGCTCCTCTTTGTACCTCTGGTAGAATTCGGCTGTGAATCTGTCAGGACCAGGTAGTTTCACTGCAGAATTTTACCAAGTGTTTAAAAAATTAACACCAATTCTATACAATGTCTTCCAGTAAATAGAAGAGGAAGAAACAATTCCAATATATTTTAAGGAGCTACTATTATCATAATATCAAAACCAGACAAAGACAATACAAACAAAACTGCAGACTTAACATCCGTCATGTGTATACATGTGAAAATCTTTAACAAAACATTAACAAACAGAATTCAACACTGTGTAAAAAGAATTATGCATCATGACCAAGTGGGGTTTATTCAAGGGATGCAGGGTTGGCTTAACATTTAAATACCAGTTAATATAATCCACCATATTAACGGGCTAAAGAAGAAAATCACATGATGGTATCCATCAATGTAGGAAAAGCAAATTCAACACCCATTCGTCATAAAACACAGAAAAAGTAGGAATAGAGAGAAACTTCCTCACCTTGATAAAGAGCATTTTTAAAAACTATGTTATACTTACTGAATGCTTTCCCCTGAGATTGGGAACAAGACAAGGATGCCAGCTCTCATCATTATATTCAACATAGTGCTAAAAGCTATAGCTAGTGCAAAAGACAAGAAAACATATACAAATTCAAAGGAAGAAATAAAACTCTCCCTGTTTGCAGATGACTTGATTGTCTACATAAAAATCCCAAGGAATCTAAAAACACAAACCTCCTAGAAGTAATAAGTGAGTTCAGGAAAGTTACAGGATACAAGCTAAGCATACAAAAAAAAAATGTATTTTCATACACTAGCAATGGATACGTGGACACCAAAATTTTAAATACAATGCCATTTACAATCACTCAAAAAAATGAAATAGGTATAAATTTAACCAATCTATAGGATTTGTATGATGAAAATTATTAAACACAGATGAAAGAAGTTTTAAAAGCCTAAATAAATGAAGAGACTTGTGTTCATGGATTGGAAGACTTAACATAGCAAAGATGTCTGTTCTGTGCAATTTCTATCAAAATCTCAGAAAAATCAGTATAGATGTAGAAAAGATTATAAAATTTATAAGGAAAAGCAAAGAATTTAGAATATCTAAAACAATTTTGAAAAAGAATGAAGAATCAGTTTATCTGATTTCAAGATTTATTATATAGAAATCATGACAGTAGTATTGACAGAGATATGACACATAGATCAATGGACTGAGTAGATGACCCAGAAAGAAACCCACACAAATATGCCCAACCTATTTTTAACAAAGGTACAAAAGCAATTCAATGGAGTAAAGATGATAACCTTTTCAACAAATGGTGCTAGAGCAATTGGACATCCGTAGGAAAAAATAATGAAAATGATAATAACTTCAACCTAAGTCTCACACCACATGTAAAAATTAACTCATAATGGACCATGGACTTCAATATAACATGTAAAACTCTAAAGCTTGTAGACAAAAAGTAAGAGGCTGGGTGTGGTGGCTCAGGCCTGTAATCCCAACACTTTGGGAGGCCAAAGTGTGAGGATTGCTTCAGCCCAGGAGTTCAGGACCAGCCTGGGCAACTTAGTGAGACCTTGTCACTACTAAAAATAAATAAAATTAGCTGGGCATAGTGGTGCACACTTGTAGTCCCAGCTATTCAGGAGGCTGAGGCAGGAGGTTTGCTTGAGCCTGGGAGTTCAAGGCTGCAGTGAGCTATGATCATGCCACTGCACTCCAGCCTGGGTGACAGAGTGAGACCCTTTCTCAAAAAGAAGAAGAAGAAAGAAGAAAGGAGGAGGAGGAGGAAAAGAAGGAGAAGGAGAAAGAGGAGGAGGAGGAGGAAGGAGGAAGGAGAGGAAGAAAGACAGGAAGAGGAAGAAGAAGAAGAAGAGAAGCAGAAGAAGAAGAAGAGGAAAGCAAATCCATAAAACAGGCAAAAAAATCCTGTGACAAGGATAAAAAGACAAAAAAAAAAAAAATCCTGTGACAAGGATAAAAAGCTAAGCTATGGACTAGAAGAAAATATTTGCAAACCACAAAACCGATGAGGTACTGGTATCTAACATATACAAAAAAGTCTCAAAACTCAGCAATTTAAAAATCCAATTTAAAAATGGGCAAAAGACATCTCAACAAAGAGTATATATAGATGACAAATAAGCACGTGAAAAGATGTGCAACATCATTAGTCATTAGGGAAATGCAAAATAAACCCTCAATTAGATATTATTACACACCTATCAGAATGGCTAAAATAGAAAATAGTGACAACACCAAATGTCGATGAAGATGCAGAGAAATTGGATCCACTTGTACATTGCTGGTGGGAATGTAAAATGCTACAGTCATTTACCATACTGGAAAACAGTTTGACAGTTTCTTAAAAAAAAAAGAAAAAAGAAAAATCAACTGCCATACAACCCAACAATTGCACTCTTGGGCATTTATTCCAAACAAATGAAAACAATTTGTTCACACAAAAAACCTTACATAAATGTTTATAATACCCCACAACTAGGAGTAACACAGATGTCCTTTCACTGATTGATAGTTAAACAACCTGTAATGCATCCACGTAGGGAATACTACCCAACAATAAAAAGGAGCGAACTCTTGTTACACACAACCACCTAGAGGAATCTCCAGGGAATTCTGCAGAATGAAAAAAGCCAGTCCCAAAAGGTTATATACCACATGACTCCATTTATATAACATCATTGAAAGAACAATATTAGAGAGATGGAGAACAGGCTAGAGGTTGCCAGGGGTTAGGGATGAGGGGCATGACTATAACAGGGTAGCCCAAGGAAGCCTTGTAGGGATGGAACAGTTCTACATCTTGATTGTAGTGGTGGTGGTGACACAAAACTACAGATAACATTTCATAGAGCTACACACACACACACACACACACACACACACACATCAAACTGCTGCATGCAAGCGCTGTAGATTGTATGATGTCACAAGACTGGTTTTTATGGCATGCTGCAGTAGTGCAAGTTAAACTTGGGGAAGTCTGGAGGGAGGTGCATGGGATCTCTCTGTACATTTCTTTGCAATTTCTTTTGAATCGATAACTATTTAAAATAAAAAGTTACAAATAGGGCTGGGGGCGGTGGCTCATGCCTGTAATCCTAGCACTTTGGGAGGCCTAGGAAGGTGGATCACCTAAACTCAGGAGTTGGAGACCAGCCTGGCAACACGGTGAAACCCCATCTCTACTAAAATACAAAAAAGTTAGTCAGGCATGGCAGCATGTGCCTGTAATCCTGGCCCCTTGGGAGGCTGAGGCAGGAAAATCGCTTGAACCCGGGAGGCAGAGATCTCAGTGAGCTGAGATCATGCCATTGCACTCCAGCCTGGATGACAGAGTGAGACTCCATCTCAAAAAAAAAAAAAAAAAAAAAAACCAAATAAATGAATAAATGGATTGAGAGAGAGAGAGAGAAGGAAGCTGATAGGGAGCCCTATAGCATCCAGTGCCCTCTGCTGCTGCTGTTTGTCGGGCGTTTCTAAGACCCACGGCACTTATGCATATTATATTTTAGTTACCCCTCACAAAAATCCTGAAAAATAGGTATTATGATCTTTATCCTCCAGATGAGGAAAAGGAGGCTCAGGAAATTTAAGTCACTTGCCCAAGAAAGTATCTCTGTCTCTCCAGGGCACACACCTGTGACCACTCTTTCACACCCCCTCTGCCCTCACAGGCCACACACAGGCCATCTGTAAAATGGGGACAACGGTGGCATCTTATGAAGATCCAGCAAAGATAATTTATGTAAAGTGTTTACCAGAGTAGCTGGAATGTAGTAGGTGCTCATGAAATAGTTATCAAATGAATAGAATGGCTAGATGCCCGATGCATGTTAGTGAAAGGGGCAGCCCTCTCTCTGGGGCCTGCCACTCAACCTTCCCAGTATCAGACAGAGAGACCCCTGCCAGCAGGTGGACTTGCACTCCTGAGATGGTCTCTGGACCCAGGAGGGGCAAAGCCCACCCAGGCTGGTCTGAATGCAGAAGGCAAGGGCCAGGTCCTTGTCAAACCCATCCCTAGCCTAGAGCCAGCACATCGGGGACACTCCACACCACGGTTACCTTCCCTTCTCCTTTCTGACCTGGGTCCCTGTCATGTCACCCACCCCTAACTAATGCCATCTTTCCCCTTTTCCAGAGCTGAACTTCGTCACCCAGTCCCTAGAGCCAGCAAGACATGGGCCCCAGTTTCCAGACCCTGACACCTCTCATTTAACCAGAAGACGTGGAGGGGTGAGTTGGAGACGGGGGCTTGACTGGGGGGTATCAGCCTGGGAAGAGAGCTGCTGGGGGTGGGGGTTGCCAATGGAGGGTCAACTGAGCAGGAACCCAGTGTTTAAAAGCAGCTGTCCTCTCTGTCATCCTATTGGGGACATGTGTATTATTTATGCAACATTGGGCTGGTTTGGGGAAATTCCCTGGAAGCCCTATGGCATTTGAATTAGGAGCATGGTGTAGACTGTGGAGGAGGAAGGCCCCATCATGTCACATGGTGGATGGTTGTCAATCCAGGGTCTGTCCCAGCACTGGCACTGGGGAGCCCAGGCGGATCTGACACTGCCTCTGCCCTGGGAGGATAGACCGGTGCCTGAATGAAAAGCCAGCCACCTCACCTGGTCCTGCTTCATTCTTCTACCCTCTGGGCCATGCCCCAGCCTGCACATGAAGCGTTGGAGCTGGGGTAGTCAGGTGGGCTTACTGGGACATGTGCTAAGTGCTGACAGAGAGGACAGGAGTGGCAGTAGTATGTTTATTGGTTATTGAGAGCTTGGCAGCTGGACTCAGTCCCAGGTTCAAATACTAGCTCTGCAACTGGGACAGCCCCTCTGAGTCTCAGATCCCTCATCTGTAAAACGGCATTTTGCAGATGATTCATGTAAAGTGCTTAGCAGAGTAGCTGGAACATAGTAGGTGCTCATTAAATACTTACCAAATGAATAGACCTTCTAGGTGCATGATGCATGTTAGTTAAATGGGGCAGCCATCTCTCTGAGGCCAGAACACCACTCAACCTTCCAGAGCCAGCATATACAGCAGCTCTGTGAGATTTCTGTGGCTCCTTGCTGAAATCAACCATGTCTTCCTCTGTGCTCCTGAAGCCCTTTCTTGGGGCCTCTGCTATTTGCCTTGCTTGGCCAACCTTACATTAGGGTGATATACAAATCTTGGAGTGCATGCCCCATGGACCCAACATGTAAGAGATCAGAGCTCTCACTGCTCATCTTTCAGCATCAGACACAACTTACGTTGCACAAGCTTGTCCTCGGAGCCAGAGCTTAGAGTTGCCATCTCATCTGACCTTCCCAGTAGCCGCCATTAGCCCTTTTCACAAATGAGAAAACTGATGCCCAGAGAGAAGAAACTTTGCAGCCAGCATGCAACCCTGAGCTTCTAACTGTGCAAGCAAGCATCACTGGCTTCCTACTGCCTTTGTGCCTGCCTGAAGATGAGTAACCACAGACTCAACTCAGGGAGGGAGCAAACAAGCAGATGGGCCACATGCCTCCCTGTTCAGCCTTCAGACACCACCCAGACCTCTTGCTTCGCTAAAGTTTGGTTTCTTGCCCAAGCACTTTGGGACGAACCAGATTGTTTCCAAACACATTACATAATTGCTCACATATTTATTTAATGCCATCTCTTGAATATTAAATGACCCATAATACAGAACAGAAACTTGAGCATCTAAACCCAGCAGCTTTTGACAGGCATAGGTGGGGAAGGAGGTTGAGGAGAGCCATCCACAAGCCATCCTCAGGGAGAGGCGGTGACGTCGCTCCTCTCCTCCTCCTGAAATGGGTTGACAAAGGCTTCCCATGCCCATCAGTGGAAACCAGGTAGTGGAATTTTCACCATGGAATTCAACCTGTTTTGTTATATAATAACAAAGATGCATCATCTTCTCTCTAAAGGATGCTCGAAGCCAGGGCTTAGCTACCTGTTTATTTGGTTACAAGTGTTTATTGAGCACTCTCTATGTGCGGTCATTGTTATACTTTTATTCACCTCTCATGTGCCTTTATGAATGGGACAAAGAGACCCCTGGCCTCAGTGGGACTGGGGAGGGATGAACAGGGCCCAAGATAAAGTGGTAATGTGAGCAGAGGGCCCCTGTGAGGAGTTTGAATTACAATCTATGTGCAGTGGTGAAGTTATTGGGGGTTTCCAGTGGTCCGATCAATGTTTGAGAAACATCCTTCCAAAGCCAGGAGAGGATGGGGGGGTGAGGGGCACATCAGAAAGGGCCAGATCACAGTTCTAGGTTGGGGGTGCCAGGGTGGTGGGGCGGGGAGAATCCAAGGAGGACATGAGGGCCACCCAGACCCTAAGTGATGAACTTGTAGCCTCAGAAGTGGGTCTGTCCAAGGTGATTCTAAGTTTCTCCAAGGGCAGCGATGGAGGACCTGACCTGATGGCCAGTAGGAATCACAGTCACACCAATGTTAATAATCATCTCAGTGCCTAGGAGTCCCTAAGTACCCACTGCGTGCCAGGCATTGCGATGAGCCCCTTGTCCTCACTACCAGCCTGTGGCATGTACAATTTTGTTATCCTCATTTCACAGAAGAGGAAAGCAAGGCCCAGAGTGGTTAAGTCCAACGCCTGGATTGCCAGGAAGTAGCATCTCTCTCCACACATACAACCCATGTTGGTTGAATGAATTCATAGTCACAAAAATCACCATAGCAATCACTTAATGCAGGGCTCGCCTTGTGCCAGGGCCTGTTCTAAATGCTTTAAAATTTTTAATCATTTAGTCCTCACAACAGCCCCATAAGACAGGCATGACCATTCTTATCCCCATTGTACAAAGGAAGAAACTGAAGCAGAGTGTTCAGTGTTAATCCCACCCGAGTTGGGATTTGAACCCAGGTAGTATGGCTCTGGAGTTCAGATTTTCAGTAAAATGAAGTGCAGGTGGAAGAAGTAGCATCTGCTGGGAACCAGCACTCTGACCCGGCACTGTCTGCGTTTCCAAGTCTGGGGTCAAAGCCACTGGCTCACTGTCGATGGGACATTCAGCAGCACTACTTTTGGGGCAGGCCTGGGCTGAGCCCGAGGGGAGGGAGTGTGTGCCAGCAGACCCTCAACCCTGAGGGCTGACCTGTTCTCTCTGGAGCCAGAGTGAAAGGTCCTCCCAGAGGCTGCCCCTCCTGCAACTGCCAAGATGTTCCAACCACAAAGCAGCTCGAGTCACTGCCTCAATAAGGGAATCAGGGAATCTTGTCACTCTCTTTGCCAGCAGGAACATCCAGAGAGGAAAACCAACTGAGGGAAGTTGTGGAGTCAGAAAACGTTTATGGAAAATGTTTTACCCCAAGACTGTGCCAGAACGACAACTAAATCCTCCCCAGCAGAAACCCTTTCTAACTAAAAATGACAGGCATCTTTCCTTATAAATAAGTTCAATCGGCAGAATTTCCACGTCAGCAACGTATTAGGCAGTTGTAATCAACACCAGTTTACAAAGCAACTGACTCATCCCTCCTTAAAATGTGGGCAATAATTCCCATCTGAGGGGCCTTGCTGGGGGATGGGAGCCCTTTGTAAAAGGTGGAAATTGGCACAAAGTAGGGCTTTAAAAGGACTTGAGGATTCTTAAACAGCTTATCCTTTTGGGGAGTTTGAACTTTTCCCTGCAATCCTGCTCTCTTCAACGAGAGAACGAAGGAAAAAAACGTGAGCCCTGTCTGTGGCCAGACTGCCCCAGTCTAAAACTCAGGGAAGGGAACAAAGAGGTTGCATCAACACACACCCCAAACCTCTGGTAACCACTCGTCAGAGCCAGGGAGCTGTCGCACTAGGCCTCACTTGGGGAGGAAGCGTGGTGCGGTGGGACACTCCGGCCGCAGGTCGTCTCCCCTCTGCCAGGTGCAGGTCCCGGCTGTGCAGTCCTGGACAAGTTTCACTTAAGTGCTTCTCACCTCAGTTTTATATTCTTTAAAATGGGAGTCCTCCTTTTTGAGGATGTCGGAAGGATTCGATGGAAGAGAAAATAGGATATGCCCAGCTTAGGGCCTGGAATATTGACAACTGCTCAGTGAGTTTTGTTCTTTTGGTGGTCCCCGGTGGGAACAATCGCCTCAAATGGTGAGGACCTCAGGCGCCTTTGCTGGGACTGTGTCGGTCGCTCTCAGCCACCTGAGCACTGCGAAAAGAGAGTCTGTCATCTGTATTAGTTTGTGAGGGCTGCCGTGACACATGACCACAAACTAACAGAAATGTGTTGTCTCACGTTCTGGAGACTAGGAGTCCAAGATCAAGGTGTCAGAGGGCTTGGTTCCTTCCGAGGATGGGGAGGCTGACTCTTTCCCGGCCTCTCTCCTGGCTTCCAGTGGTTCGCCGGCCATCTTTGGAGCTCCTTGGAGTAGAGAAGTAGCACTCTAGTCCCCTGCCTTCACATCGTCTTCCCCCAGTGAGTGCCTCTGTGTCCAAAGATCCCCTTTTTGTAAGGACACCAAATCATTCCAGATTAGGGCCCATTCTAGTGGCCTCATTTTAACTTGATCACCTCTGTAAACACCCTCTGTCAACGCCCATCTGTACCTCACATTCTGGGGTATGAGGGGTTAGGACTTCAACCTATCTTTTTGGGAGGACATAGTTCAACCCTTATCCCTATCATAATGATTTGAAGCTGATTCTGGACAGACCACCAGTTCTTTCATGATATTTAAGTTCCCAAATAGACTCGAAGAATATTTTACATCATTCTCTAGAAGTCTGACATCCTTCTAAAAATCACTGATATCTTAGCTTCCAGGAGATGCCCATTGGCATCTTAAACTCCAATCTGAGACTGTGGGGTCATTGTCTTACATAAAGAGCCTGTAAGTTTGAAGCTGAGCTCTTTCTCAGCACAACTATATGCTAGACTCTGGAGACACGGGAAGCCAGGGACTTAGCTTTCAAGGTGGTTACAGGCAGGAAGGCCACAAAACAGGTAAGTACGCAACTGGCTGTTGTTGGATAGGGGAGTACCAGGAAGATCGTTCCCAAAATAATCTTCAAAGCGTGAGAGAAAGAGGTTTTCTTCCTGGGTCACCTCCTGTCTTTGTTTCCCTAGAGAAGTAATGTCCTTCCTGGGTGGTCTGAGAACCTCTGGGGAGCCCCTACTCCCTCTCATCAGTCACTTGACTTTCATTCTGAGATAACACCTGCTCTTGAGTCTTCCCCCGGGAAGGTGGGAAGTAGCACAGAGACATGAGCCCATCACCCCCGCTTGGCTGGGATGCCCAGAGAGGTGGGGGGTCAGTGCTGGACCCCCTTTATTGCCAGCTCTCCATTTTTTTCCTCCCAAGTCATCTCATGGATCTGGGAAAGTTAACTAAGCTTCCCCATCCCAAATATGAGCAGTTCCCACATTGCTTGAACTGAGAGCCTACAATCCATATTCACACACTGACACCAGCACCAAGCAAGTAGCCGGGATCACGGGCATGAGCCAACGCACCTGCTTAAACCGTATTTTTAAAAGCAAAAGGCTGGGAAGCGAAGGAAGTCGCTAGGTTGACTAAATAATATGTTTGCAGCATAGATGTTCTGCTATTTGTCAAACAGGAGTTGCTGTGATTAGCAAAATATCAATTCACATAAAAGTGAAAAATATATTCAGGGGTGTGTTCCTTACACCAGAAATATTTAAGATAAAACACACGTTGGCACACGAAGGAGGAAGATTACAGTGGCTAGGAAACTTGCTCATGTGGAAAGTGCCCCTTCTCCAAGGATGCTGGAGGAAGGACAAGTTGCTCAGCAGGAAACAATAAATGTTTTCTTCCTGTTTCTCTATGAAGAGAAAGTGATCAGGCACATTATAGGGCACAAGCAAGGAGTGTCATGGGGCCCAGAGGCAAGGTGGGTGGGGGACTCTGTTACCCTTTTTTCCCCTTAGTCCAGAGAGGCTTCCTGGAGGAAGCAAGATTCTGTGCTGTTTGGCCCAGGCTCTCCTGGCCTGGCATTTCCCCACGTGACTTGTTTCAGTGGAAGCTTCCTTGGGTTGGGCCAGATGCACGCGTCGTAGCCACCCTTTCCCCACGTTCCCAGGGCTGCTCCATGCCAGCCAGTTGTACAGAGAGTCCTCAGAACAAAAGAACTTCCAGGTAGCCAGGGCTGAAGCCAGGGTATTGCTGATAGGATCAGGAGCCTCATGCTCGTGAGAACAAAAGCCCAAGAAGAAGCCAGGGGTACAGAGTTATGCCCGCCACCCATGTTGCTTTTGACAGAGACCACTGTTTTGCCGATTACCGCACTGTGAAGGCCAGCCCACAGACCTTAGTGGCCAGCCCTGCTCCCCTGCCCCTCCCCACCCCACCTCCCTCCTCACCGATCCTCAGGCCAGAAAGGGAGGCAGCCCTGCTGGCAGCCAGGCCTCGGTGCCGTGGCCACCTTGCAGGGTGTGGCCATACGCTGCAGACTTCTGCAGTGACTGTAGGTGCTGGAGCCGAGCAGTCAGAGAGGGTACTTGTGTCCGTGGCCTGAAACCCAGCGGGGACACCGGGTGATTCACCGCCATCTCTGGCCAGGTATGGGAGGCTGGGTTCGCGAGGCACTCCCCACAGCCCTGGACTGGTTGGTCTCCTCAGAAGCCTGGGTCTCCAGTTCAGGGCAGGGCAGTGGTGGGGAGGTAGGGGGTTCCTGAGATGGAAAGAGTATAAGGAGAGGAACCTGTGAGGCTTTGAGTCCTTGTCTCAGAGGGAGAGTGGAGGGCAAGCCCTGGCCCAGGCAAGCTCTGTAGGTATTGATGAGGAGCCCCAGGAGGGACTGTCTCTGGCCTCACCCAGCTCCATAGGAGTGCTCCCTCCAGAGGGCGGTGAAAGAGTACAAGAGCGTGGGCTCTGTAGCCAGAAGACCCAGGTTCAAATCCTGACACCCAGGTGTCCATTTGGACATTTACCTCCATCTCTCTGTGCCTCAGTTTCCTACCCTGTAAAATGGGGGTGGTGGTAACAGTTCCTATTTCATAAGGCTGTGTGAAGATCAAATGAGATAAGCGAGGGAGCCCTTCAACACAGGCAAGTGTCCAGTAGGTGCTAGCTCTGAGCTGCCCCCTTTCCCTCCCTGAACATGGGAGCCGCCCTCAGAGGCAGCAAGGTTGATGCTGGAAGGAAAACTACCTGCCCAGCTCAGAGGTGCAAATACAGAGGAGATGACCTAGGTCATGGTGTCAGTTTCTGAGTCAGACAGATTGGAGTTTGAATCCTGTGTTTGCAAACGGTTTAGCTGGGAAGGCTTACACACGCTCTCGACCCTTTGACCCCATTTTAAAAACCCATGAAATGGGGATAATAATAGGACCTAGCTTGTGGGTTATGTATAAGGATGAAATTACGCTGTACACATAACGGGCTTATCCCATGCCTTATACTTAAATTGGGAGCTAGTGTCACCACCACCACCACCATCATCACTATCATCATGGTTACTATTATTGTTATTATTATTAGGAAATAGAGACTCAGAGAGGGGAAGGGACTCGCCAGCAGTCATGTAGCAAGTCAGAGGGCAAGGCAGGACCCAGTCCTGTCCTCCTACCCCTCAGTCCCTATTCTTTCCACTCCCCACACCCCCTCACTGGCCCTAATGGGTCCTTCTTGGCCATCCGCACACTCATCACAGACAGCTCCCGCTGACTTCATTGGTTCTGGGCATGGGTCTGGGGGTGCCACACAGGGGAATCTGGCATCCCCCCAAGAGGTTGAGCCAGCAGACAGCCCAGGTTGGAGGCTACCTTGTCCCCGTGACCCACAGCACCCCTCTAAAAGCCCTCCCAATCCCTGTGTCCAGGGATCACTGGCCAGGGAAATCTCTGAGGGGGCGGGATATAGCTTTGGAGGAAGCTGTCAGGGAACTGCAGAGCTCCTCAAGCTCCTTGCACCCCAAGGAACTCCTTAAATAGGGAATGATTGGAACCCCAGCTTCCACCAAAGCTTCCCTGGGCTTTGAGGACAGTCTGGGGGTCATGCTCAAGGGTCTTCTGCTTCTGTTGGCCGGTACACACCGTCTTTGCAGGCTTTGCTCTGTCTCTCCCACCTCCTGGCCCTCCCAGGCAGAGATGAACAGAGACAAAAGAGGAGGCAGAGGAGAGAGGAGAAGGAGAGGATGGGGTTTGCTGTAAGGAGAAGGAAGGCTCACACACCTGTTTTAATAATACAAATATTACACACACAATAATCCTCATCATTCCTATTTATTGAACACTTACTGTGCACCAGGCACTGTGTTAAGGACTTGATATATACTGTCCCAGTTCATCTTCACTACAGCCTTATCAAGTAGAAAATTATTATACCCACTTTGAAGATGAGTAAACTGGAAGGGTCTTATTCATCTACTGTGTAATGAATACAGTTGCGAAGCAGATGATACAAAACAATGACAGAGAATGAGTGAAATATAACAGGGAGTCCTGGGGACTGTGGCAAATTGGAGAACCTTTTTTTTTTTAATTGAGGCATGATACACATAGTAGATAAAGTGCACTAATTTTAAATGTACCACTTTTTACACGGGTTTACACTGGTGTAACCACCGCCCAGATTAAAATATTTCTTGTAGCCCAAAATACCCCTTCTGAGGTATTCGAATTTATTTTTTCCAAATAATATTCTGCAAAACTGTCCCAGCCGAGAGGAACCTAAGGAGACATGGTGACTAAATACAATGCAGCACCCTAGATGGGGACCTGGAAGAGGAAAAGGGTGTTAGGCAAAAACAGAGGAAATGTGAATAAAGTGCGGGTGTTAGTTAGTATCAACATATCAATATTGATTCATTGATTATGAGAAAGGTATCATTCTAATAGAAGATGTGAATAATAGGGGAAACTGAATGCAGGACAGACAAGAACTCTCTGTATTGTCTTTAGGAATTTTTTTGTAAATCTAAAACTCTTCTAAAACAAAAAGGTTATTTCAAGATATTGTACAGATAAGGAAACTGAGGCCCAGAAGAGCAAAGCCTCTTACTCAGGGCCCCACAGCAGCAGTGGACTAACTACAACCAAAAGGCTGGTCGGTGCTTTAGCTGCCAAGGGTGGAGTTAGGGGATGAGGGTGTCAGGGGTGCTGAGGTCTTCTTGAATCTGTAAGTGCCTTACAGCAGACTCACCTCTGCAGGAAGCTGGCTACACAGCTTCCCCTCTGCTGCCTCCTCCTGAACTGTCCAGGGCTGTTTGTTGAAAACCAGTTCTCCCACTGGCCTTGGCCCCAGAGGGAGTGTTCATAGGTAGCTCCTGTTCTGAGAGCAGGATGTCACCGTTCCACTCCTGCCAGTCTCGATGCAGGTATCTCTGAGCCTCCCATGCCCAGCACAGGGGTGGCATGAGCACAAGGTGTTGGTTGAGTGTTGGATGGATAGGTAAGTGAAAAAATGAAGGATGGAAGAAATGAATGGCAAGCTGGGTGGTTGAGGGGATTCCAGGGTGTTAGAGACTGCCAAGAGCATGGACTCTGCAAACAGATGGCCAGGGTCAAACCCTGACTCTCCCACCTCTAGCCAGGAGAGGTTACTTAACCTCTCTGTGTCTCAATGTCCTTGCCCCAACATGGGGAAAATAGTATACCTGTCCTTAGAGGGCTGTTCAGGTTAAAGGAGTTGATTGACATGAGGGAGGGAAGTAATAAATAGAAGAGGGAAGGAGAGCTGGGGAGATGATGAATTAGTTGTCATATTGAGAGATGGAAACTTGGACAAAGCCATAAGACTGGCCATTCTCCCAGAAAAGAGGAAGAGGAGCAGCACTGTACAATGGTTAGAGCACAGATCTGGAGGCAGAGCTGCCAGGGATCAAATCTCAATGCCGTCACTTACCGGTCATGTGACTTTGGCCAAGTGAGTTAACCTCTCTGTGCCTCGGCATGCTCATCTACAAAATGGGTGTGATAGCAATGGCACTCGCCTCAGGACGTGGCTATGAGAACTAAATAGTTGCCTGGTGTGGGTATAGTGCTTAGAATTGTACCTGATACGTTTACTACAACCCTGGCATATCATGAGTGCGTTTTAAATAAATAGGAAAGGTTTTGTGCCAGAAGCCCACCCCCTCCCTTGAAGAGGCTCCCACGTTCAGGATGCAGGTCCAGGCGTCACAGACTCACTTACCTCCTGGGTCCAGGGCAGAAAGTGCCCTTAATGAAGTCAGCTGGAGAGGGGATGACCTAGTGGCCACATGTTCATCTCTGTGGCCTCATCCGCCTCCAGCCAACTCTGGATGGGCAATGCTCACGATATTTTAAGAGAAGACAGAAATCTGGATTCTTATGCACAATCCCCCCATTTTTAAACATTGGCATTTAATGCAATTTTATTTTAAGCTCTGAGCAAAACAAACAAATGTATTTTCAGTGGGCTGCTCTCACAAGTAGCTGGTTTGTAGATTCCCTCCAGTCTAGTCCTGCCAGTTCACTTTCTTTTATTTTTTTTTTTTTCTGCATTTTAGAGAAGAGGAAACGGGGGCCTAGAGATAAATGCCTGGGCTCTGATATATTTGACCACTTAGTGGAGCCAAGTTCTCCTCTCCCCTGCTACCAGCCACATCCAGGATCCCCGAATAATCAAGCGGGGGAGGAAGCATCAAGGGGGCATTTTTCCTGTGAACCACGGTTTTTCCGATGGCATATTTGAAATATGATTTAGGTTAGCCAGACACCATTTGCACCATGTGTCAGAGGTGCTGCTGCATATAAAGCAGGAGCCTTCACCACTTCCAAAGCTGTAGCAAAGATTCGCAATTTATGGAACCCAACTTCACTTCTAGCCCTGGCCCAGCAGGCTGGGCACCAGGATTCCGCCTTCCATGAGCAATGAGGGCTAGGGTGGCCTGCCAGAGAGGAGTAAGTTCTATGGTGAAGGAAGTCACAAAGTAAATGCTAGAGAGGCTAACAAAAGTTGGGGGACATGTTCAGGAGAAACGTTTAAGAGTGATTTTTTTAATAGAAAGTTAAAAGCTTGTCATACTCTGAACTTGGATTGTTTTATTCTTTTCTATTGAAAACTGCTGTCTGGTTCCCACCTACTCAACCTGCCTGCACCTCCACCTTCCCATCTACAAAATGGAGACAAAATCATAACTCACTTTGTACAGCTTGTGATGAGGATGGAATATGACACTTGTGGAGGATTAAACAATAAAAACCAGCCATTGTCACTGTCAGCAGCTGCCAGCCCACCTGTTTGCACAAGCAGTGGCTCAAGAGCCTTTCACTCTTGGCCTCTCTTTACCCTCACTATCCACATCTGTGACCTTCACTTTGAAGAGTCCAGTGCATCTATCAGCTGTGGAGCACCTATTGTGTGCCAGGTCCTGTGCTAATTCTTCCACCTGTGTCCTCTCCTGTAGTCCTCAGAGCAACCCTGGGTGCCGACATCATCGTCACCATCTCTGCAGCTGAAGAACCTCAGGCTCTGGGAGAAAACATGAGGCATCCAAGGTCACCCCCAGGTGTCAGTGTGACCTTGAGCAAGCCCCATTACCTCTCTGAGCCTCCAGCTTCTTCATCTGTAAAAGGAGGTTCAGGACACCTGCCCCAGGCTGCTGTGAGGCTCTATGAGGTAATGACTTCAAAAGTGCACCATCAGCTGTAGATCCCAGACAAACGGATGGTGTGGATGTGAGTCCTTCAGAGGCCTACTCCTGTTCGGGATTCAGCACATTTTAGCAGTAAGGGCTACTGAGAAAAGTTATTTCAAGTGTCTTTTTCTTGGGTGGTTTCCAAACACATCTCCTTTCTCCAGCTAACAAGTCCAACACTGGCTTCAGCAGAAGCTATGCACACAGAAAGTTACTTCCAGTGGAATGACCAGGAGGTAGAAGGGAGATAGGCATGATGGTCACAGGGAAGAGAGGATCCCAGGGAAGGTCTCAGGCTGTGCAGTCAAACAGATATGGGATCAAATCCCAGCTCCTCCACTTACTAGCTGTCTGATCTTGAGACAACTAGCTAACTTCTCTGAGCCTCACACAGGGGGTTATTATGATGAGGGGGATAAGCACAGCAGCTGAGAAAAGGCAATACACACGTACTGAAAAGGAAGCCTCCTCAAATAGGGCACAGCAGTACACATACACGGGACCACGAGGAGCTGGAGGGTGGACACTGCACTTTTCATCTTGGCAACCTGGCTCACAGTAGGTACACAGCATACATTTTTAAAAATAAAAATTTACATTCATTTTCCTTTCTGCCTTGTGCCCACCCACATAATCCCCCTTGTCTTTCAATCCCCAACCCCACTGTCCCACCTCTGTGAACTGTGAAAGAACACAGACTGTTACCTGACAAACGTGGGTTGAAGTCCAAACACTGCCCTGCCTGGCTGGATAGTCTTGGATAAGTTACCTCCCCTCGCTGACTCTCAGTCTCCTCTTCTGTAAATGGGCTAATATTGCCTCCCTAGCAGGGTTGCTGTAAGAGTTAGAGATGATGTATGTGGCTGGCGTGGCCTCTGACACAGAGTAGGCATTCTGAAAGTGGCAGCAGAAATGCTGTTGTTCCTTCCAAATGTAGCCCATGGCCACCTCTGGCTCTCCACTCACACTCAGACTAACTCCCTAAGGAGTTCACAATCAACTTGTCTCTACATCTCAGATATCACAATACAAGCACCTTGGGTGTATATATCTCTAAAGAGTGACATTTCACCTCCGTTCCCACAATCACTTTACACAGTTTCCACACTCTCGCTGCTTCTATATTGGTTGGACTTGGAGGGATTAACAATGTCCTTAAAACACCTTAAAAAGGAGCATCAACAGACAAATCATTCTGGATCAAGAACAAATGGCCCAGAGATTAAACACCTGTCCATAATCACCGACATTATCCACTGGCTATGGGTTTATTCATGCCCATGAAAGTTCCCAGACTGAAAGTTCATGAATGAAGGATTTTCTGGTCCTGGATACCATCTTATCCTCAAAGATAGCCTGCAAACTCTTCACTGTTACTTGACTGATTGTTTATGGGGGCTTCTCTGATGCCTCCAGATCAAGGCTAAATTCTTGAGTGGTAGGATTGGCTCTGCTTCCCTGTGAGGATTTGTGTGGGGGCAGGTGCAGGGCTTGGCAGGAAACCCACTAAGGTGGGTCACACAGGGGCTGGGGTGCCACAGAGGGACAATCTACTCCTTGGGATGTGTGCCCCGGAAGTCTGAAGCTGGCAAGGGTCTCAGGCAAAACCTTGTCCAATGTCTGGCTAATATCCATTTACCTTGCACGAAATGCAGACCCTGTTCTGGGAGCCCCCTCCTCAGAACTGCAAACAGAGTCTGCCCTGTTATTAGCTGGAAAAGTCTGGCTTTAACACCTGACACTGTGGGAGGATTGCCACAGCCACATGCAAGGGGCTTGGAGAGTTTATCTGCAGTGACATAGTCTAGTTGCCACTCTGAACCTGCAGTGATGTGTGGCCTGCCGAAGCCACGTATGCCATATAGTTTGTTCCAATACAAATCAAAATAGAAAGGCACTCTTTTTTATTTGGGTAGGCAAAGAAAAAAAAGAAAAAAAAAAAAAGAGGCCAGGTGTGGTGGCTCACGCCTGTAATCCTAGCACTTTGGGAGGCCCAGGCAGGCAGATCACTTGAGATTAGGAGTTCAAGACCAACCTGGCGAAACCCCAGCTAAAAATACAGAAATTAGCTGGGTGTGGTGGTGCCCGCCTGTAATCCCAGCTACTCGGGAGGCTGAGGCACAAGAATCACTTGAACCCAGGAGGTGGAGGTTGCAGTGAGCCGAGATTGTGCCCTGCACTCCAGCCTGGGTGACAGAATGAGACTCTGTCTCAAAACAAAAAAAAAGTAAAAGAATATTTTTATAATCTCTAAGTCCACCCTCTCTTCTTCTGCATTCATTTAGGATTTCTCTCCACCCGCCTCCCACAGTGAGGAGGTGAGGGGTTCTCCCAGCCTCCACTATTACCTCGCAAGGGCAGGAGTCTGATCTTAAAACCGGCACCCCCCTCCCCTGCTGCTTGCTCCAGCACTGGCTCCAACACCTGGGCCTCTCCCTCCAGGCCCCTGAGCTAATTACAGGCTTCCCTAAATCATTGTAAGGAAAAGCTAATTAAATCAGGGTTGGCCATTAATTTTCTGGCTAAGGACAGGCAGCCGACACCTCTCTTCAATTCCAGAATCCAGAAACCATGGCTTGGAGCTTCCTTTGAGGTTGGGAATAGAGTTTTATCTGTTAGGGCTGATTTTAGGAAGAGCAGCATGTCCCAGTGACCATGAGGGATCAGGGTGGGGACCTGAAAAACTGGGCTGCAGCCAAATGTATATGGTAAAGGGTATGAGGAGGTGAAGTCAGATGTCCCTGCACCCACCAATAGCAGTTGTATGATGTGAGAAAAACCCCTGCATTCGATCCCAGTCCTGCCACTTGCTAGGCAGGTATCCTGGTCCAGAAGTCTCCACATGCAAGGCAGGCAGCATCAGTGCTGGCACAGAGAGTGGAGTGAGTTCTGAGCCAATGTTTGTTGAATGAACAAGTGACTGCTGAGTGCCTGGCTCAGTGCCACACATACAGTAAACACCCAAACAATATTTGTTCTCTTGTCCCTCTTGGAATCTTCTTTTGGAACTATAACATTCATGGGACGAGGTGGCTTAAGTTCCTAAAACCTTTCTATCAAAACATTCATTGGAAGCTTTCCTCCTTTGAGATCAAGGGTGAGAGATGTCAGAGGTGGGGTAGGGGCAGGGGACACAGGAACTGAGTTCTCCACTCCTAGAACTCCAACGCCTCTCACGTACCATCAGATGCCAGCCTGCCCTGCCATGCTGCCATGCGTCAGCATACCTCTCTGTAAAGCTGGGCACCTTGACAGGAGTCCCAGCTGTGACTCTTCTCTCTTTCTTGCTCTGTTCCCTCATTAGCCAAGTCCTCAATAGCCCCTTGAAAGGCCCGGACATTGCACATTGCACCTTCATTATTCACTCCCGCCTCGGCCACTTTATTGCAGACGGTGAGTGATGTGCTTAGCTAATTCAGGGGACCCCAAAGGCAGGAAACAAACAGGGCAAATCCACAGTATGGCTGAGGACCACTCTGTGTGTCAAGTTCAGCACAGTGCCCGGAGTACAGATTCTGGAGTCTGGTTTGAATCCCAGCTAGGTGTTTGACCTTGGGCAAGCTGCCTAACTTTTCTGTTCCTCAGTTTCCTCCTCTACAAAATTGGCATGATGATACCAGTATGTCCCTTGTGGGGTTGTTGTAAGAATTAAATGAGTTCATAATGTGCCAAGTGTTTAGACAGGGCCTAGTGCACAGTTGGTGTTCCATGAACATTAGTTATTACTCATGATCTCAGAATGAATATCTCAGTTTATCTTCACCACAGCCCAGCCTGGCCGGAGAGTATGATGGCTCTTACTTTACAGATGAGGTCCAGGGAGGGGAAGCCACTTTCCCATGGCCACACAGAACAAAATCCCTGCCCCACACCTGTCCCCGACAGAGGGGAGACTGACAGCACCTGCCGGTGAAAGCGGGGCCCGGGGCAGGGCAGGGGTAGTGAAAGGAGCTTTCAAAGAAGGGCCAGGCCTCCCTCAGAGGCATGAGTGGAGTTGGGAGGTGGCTATAAATACGCGAGGCGAGGGGCTCTGTAACTAGGCCAGGAATGTGTGTTAGTCATTGAGGTCAGCACGGCCGCAGCGGCGCTTGGCTGGGAGAAAGCGGATCAGGAGTGGGCTCAGGTGAAGCCAGAGAGCTGAGGCCAAGGAGGGGTTTTGCTGGGGCAAGAGTGGCACTCTCAGCTTGGGGGCATGCTGGCACCCCCAGACCTTTGTCATGGGACAAGGGCAGATTCCCAGGAATGCCTCCCCTATCCCTTCTAACCTCCGAGAAATCCTTCTGTAGTCCAGATCGGATCAAGCCTCCAAGCTGCCTAAACCCACGGTCCTGGTTTCCAAAGGCAGACGCGAGTCCGCATTTTGGAGGGGGGCAAGCACATCCTCTCTAGTTTAATACCTGTGCACTTACTTTGATGTGTTAGGGGAAAAATACAACTGGCAAGGCAAATCCATGATATTGTGACTATGAATGCTTAAGATAACACTAAGTAGAGAGATACATATGTTTCTAAAAGGGAGGTGATTTCAGGACAGATGCAAAGTATATGCTAGAACTTGCAGACTGGCAAACATCATTACTGGAGTTTGAGGGTTTCTGGTCCACAGACTAAATGCAAATCTTTTTGCTGTGAGGTTTCAAGCCCTCCCCACCCCAACCCCACCCTACCTTCATTCTTGCTGTGCCTGCTACCTGGAATGCCTCACTGGCAAAGGTGAAATGTGCTCCTCCCTGCAACCTGCACAGGCTGCCCAATCCCCCGTCTGTCTACTGCCATTTCCCACACTGTGTGAGGTCATCCTATCTGCAGCCATCGCTCCCTCAACGACAGGGAAAGCAAGCTCTGTGTCTGTCTTCCTACCTGCTGTGCCCGGCACAGTGCCTAGAGCCAAGCACAGGCCCAGGACGTGACACCCAGTTCACATCCTGGAGCTGTCACTGCCTGGTGCGAGACTGTGCATGTGCAAGGCTCTGGGCTCAGTCACCTCCCCATGTATCAGATGGGGATGACAAGCTTCCTTCTCCAGTGGGGTTGCACGGATTCAGTGAGTTTACTCCACCTCAAGGCTTTCTTAGCCCGGTGCCTGGTATGTTCTGGACACTCCACAAGTAGTGGCTGAGTAGCAGTATCATCAATGCTATTGTCATTATTAAGGGCCAGTGGATATTCATTAAATGAGTCCATAGTGTTATAGGCTGAAGGGGAGAGAAAAAAGAATGGAGCATGTATGCATTTAGGCTGGAGAGAAAATTCTCAGTGGCTATTTTCCCAACCCCTCTCATTTTGAATATGGGGAAACCATGGCCCACACTGCATCCCTGGGACCAGGACCCAGAATATTTGTCCTTCAGTCTATGGTGCTCCACCACCACCTCCCTCCCCAGGCTGGGGGAAGGGGAAGGGGTGGCCGAGGCGAGATGCATCTGCCCAGTGTGACACTTGCAGGTTCCCCGCCCCCAGCCTTCCTCAGCTCCTCGGTGTAGACCCAGTCGACCTGGTTAGGAGTTCCAGGGCTGTGGCCTGCACCGAGCTGGCAGGAGAGTCCTCACTTCACCGAGGCAGTGAATCAAAAGGCTCATTCTTTGTAGACTCCTCAGATAGGTAGAAGCAGACTTGACCTTTGTCGTTTTGTTATTTTTAGCAGAGCAGGCAAGGAATGATAAAAACCTGTACAGGAGCTGGCTATAAATAGCATGCCTGTGGCTTTTTTTAAGAAACACACACACACACACACACACATCTGAAAATTGTAGATCTAAACAAGCATTGCCCTTCAAAGTAGAATAACAGCATTAGCATGACACTTTACAATCAGCAAGCCCATTTAAGCTGTCACTTCAGCTCACCGTACAATTCCACAGGGTGGACACTTCCATCATCTCCATTTTGCAGATGAGGAAACAAGGAATGAAGTCAGCCAGGAAGGCTGTGGGCACGGCACCTGGCACGTGGCGAGAGCCCTGTAAATATCACTTTCCTTATCACTGAATCTCCGAAAAGTTGAGTAACTTGTCCAGTGCCACGCCAGGAGAAGGAAGAGAAGCAGGACAGATGCCAGGGCCACCTTTCTCCAAGTCCATGAGTCCCCTGGCTGGGGCTGAAGGAAGAAGAGTTAGACCTGGAAAGGTCAGAGGAGTGGCAATGGATGTTATGGGGACAATGGGATGAGAACTGGAACGACAGGATGGTATCTGAGGTGCTGGCAGCTAAGAGGGAGTGGCTGTTTGGGAAGTGCCTTTGGGGTCAGCAACAAGAGAGGAAAAAGGAGGAGAAGAAGATAGAAGATCGCTGGCCAACAGTTTTTTAGGACAATGCCATGCCAGGGTCACCTCGTCCGGCACTGCCCTCCTTTGGGCAGAGTGGGAAATGTCAGTAGGCTCCATGGTGGGAGGGCTAAGAGCAGGTTATCAGCACTGGGATGAGAGCCGACAGAGGCCCAGGGGCTGGGGCCAGGGCAGCCTGCAGCAGGGAGGAACAGGTCAAAGGCAACTAAATCAGAAAGGGGTCCTGAAACTTGAAAGGTAATGAACTCCAGGTAACCATGTTGCGGGCCTGCCCAGGGTTCTGTGGTGTGCTGGTAAGTGTTTCACAACCAGCTCTCAGGGAGGTGGATGTCCTGCTTTCCAGTGCTTGCCAATTTCTGTGGTGTCAATGCTCCCACCTTGGCAGATTGTAAGCTGCCAATATGAGATCACTGACAACACAATCGGCTCTCACAAGTCAGTATAAGCAACTCCAGAACAAGACTGCTGCCACACCATGCCACACAAGATGGAGATACTTACGTCCTGCTTGTTTCAAGGGAAAAGAGAAGGGGCTTACAGGTAGTTTTTAAGCTACCATTAATTGTGCATGTAACACATGATAGGCAAAGTATTTTACAGGCAGTATCTCAGTTAATTCTCAGGACACAACTCCAAAGTAGATATCATCACCATGTTACTGATGAAGAAACCAGGCTCAGAAGGGGGAACTGACTTGCCCAAGATCACAGAGCTCAGTGAGTGGTGGAGCTCAGACTTAAGCTCAGGCCTGTGTGAACTCAGAGCCTGTGCCCCAGACATATACCACCTGGCCTCTAGCCCGGGTAGTTCTGGGACCTCAGTTGGGGCTGGGTTTTCAGGCAGAGGCTGATGGGTGGGTTCCTCTGCAGGGCTGGCAGCTGAGAGCTCCCACCAAGTCACAGGGGAAATGGTTACCACCCTTGGGGGAGGTCCTGAGAAGATTGAGACACTCCCATGGGGAGAGAGCAGAGCAGGAAATGACCCTCTTAATGCTGAAGAAATGAACGAACGATATCTTCAGATTCCCTCTCATTTTGTTTAGATCAGATTGTCTATGAATTAAAAGTGTTGTCACCTTTGCAGAATAGAGATGAAAAAGCAAGCTAGACATCCCTGAACACCCACTATGTGCCATGTACATATGTATTACTCATTTATGCCTCCCAACACTCCCATAATTGCAGGTATTGTTAGCCCCACTTTACAGATGTATTAATAGAAACTGAGGTTCACATTGGCCAAGTGACTAGCACAAGGCCACCCAGTGGTAAGTGGCAGAGCTGGGCTTCAATCCCACATCTCTTTGATGCCCAAGCCCCTGCTCTATGCTCTGTGTCCCCCAGAAAGAAACAGCACCTTGTATCTGAGAATCTACTTACAGTTTACAGAGATCCTTCCATACCCTTCTTTTATTTGGTTACTGCTAACCAGCCCCTGGGGAGGTCAGGAAGGCTGGGGGGACAAGGTCAGCACTCTCCCGGCCCACTGCGGCTGTCTTGCCCAATAACCCCTGATCTAGTGCTCTTCCAACCCCCTGGGGCCACCTGCAGGGGGATGTGCAGTGAGAGAGGTGGCCCAGCCTTTCAGGAAGTCTCATCCATAGAGGGCCTGCAGAGTGGCCACTAGACTGGGGCTTTCCCCGCTGCTGGTGGCAGGCCTCCTTGGAGAGCCTATGCTCTTTGGAGCTGTGTCTGATGAAGATGAGCCCTGAGCAAGGTAGCCCCACATAAGGGGGGTTCCTTATGGGGCTAACAGGCGGCCCTGGAGTGAGCACTTGCCTCCAAGCCCTGGCCTGGCTGCAGTGTGCTCAAGGCCGGTGGTGACCACTCTGTGGGCCTCAGGATCCCTATCTGTAAAATGGAAAGCTAGGGCTGGACACAGGAATGCAGCGGCACCTCCAGCCCTGATGCGCCGCAAGTCCACATAAACCAGCCCCAAAGGCAGATCCCAAAGGGAATTCCCAGAAGTTTTCTGGGCCCAGCATCCTCTGGGGAGTATGTGGGAGATATGACACCCTTGTGGGTCTAAGGAACCCATCAAGACTCCATCAGCATCACCATCTCCCAAGGGCGGCCAGTTCCTGTCTGTCCTCCTCCTTCAGGCTTGGCTCTGGCCCTCCATCCCACCTCTTCCCTGCTCCCCTCAACCACTCACTGGACACCCTGGCAGAACCCAAGTGTTCCCCAGACCTATCACAGGGTAGGGAAGAACAGGCAGGGACTAAGGAGCCAGCTGCCTGAGTCCAAATCCCAACTGCACTTACCAGCTGGACAACTTTGGCCAAGTTGCCTGACATCTCTGTGCCTCCATTTCACCACCTGTAAAATTAGGGTGATCATCAAAGCCACCTTAAAAGGTCTTTGGGAAGAACTGAATGAGTCAACACATGAAAAGTTCTAAGAACAAACAGAACCTGGCATGTAATATCATGTCCCCGTCTCAGGGCCATTTATCATTTGCGGGCGTGTCCCCTCTTCCGTCTCTGCATCCCTCCTACCCAGCTGCCCTGGGGGGTTGGGAAAAAACCAGGTTCTATCAAGCAGGGCTACCATTAAGGTCAGTCAAGGGAACTTCCCAGCCCCTGGAGGGAGCACTGGATTGAGAGTCCTGAGCCTACAGCTTTCATTCAATTGCCCATGACCCTGGCCTCAGTCTCCCCTTATGCCAGGGTGCCCCCTCAGCCCCCTGCACATTCGCGACTCTGTGAATGTCTACTGGCTGTTCTTCTCCTCCCAACTGTGGCCCTGTGCAAGCAGGGCCCCTTTCCTCCTTGCTGATGTGTCCTGGGCTCGGAGTCCACCCCAGATCACAGCACATTGAGTGGATCATAGGACCTGCGGAAGGCAAGACATGACTGTGCTGCACTGCCGCATTGCAGATGCTGTTACACGCAGGGCCCTCACCGAGGGCTTCGTGTTCATCTTCGGGTTCCATCCTGAAAACCCTTCCCAGCTGCCCCCCTTCCCAGGGTAAGGACAGAAATCTGTACAGTGGTCCACAGGGGCCCCCACTGCCTCTCCTGTCCCTTGCCCACACTTTCCCCCAGCCATCCGGGCCTCCTTTTAATTCATTGAGAACTGCTAAGCTTTTCCAGTCTCAGGGCCTTTGCACAAGCCACACCCTTTGTCGGCAACACTGCCTCTCCTCTTACCTACTGAACTCCCACTCCAGCCTGCAGACCCCAGCTCAGTCATCACCCCCTCGAGGAAACCCTCTGTGAGGCTTCCTGCTCTTGCCAGAGACACCGGGGCCTCCTGCTGAGCATGCTCTCACCCCTCTGTAAATACACTTTGGTTTGTGTGATCATTTCATTTCATGGCTGTCTCTAAACCCTCTTGAGAGCAGACACCATGGGTGTTTCTGCTTACCACTGTATTCTCAGCACCTAGCACAGAACCTGGGAAGGAGATGCTCAATGGGTATTTGTGAAATAAATAAGTCGATGGAGAAGCAGGAAGCACATGGCATCGTGCGCATTTTACAAATGAGGAGCCTGAGGCCAGAGAGGTTGAGAGACTTGCCCAAAGTCACACAGCCCATCACGGTAAAGCAGGGATTTGAGCAAGGGCCACCAGACTCCAGCTCCCAAACTCTTTGCACCACTTCGGAATTGCCGCCTGTGGGTGCAATGGAGGACTGAGGCAGAGTCCCAGAGGGTGGGGCTGGAGTGACAGGGAAGGGCTGTGGTTGTTCTGAGACCCTGGCTGCCTGCAAACCTCACAGGGAGTGAGCCCGCAGCCCCTCTGCTCCTCTGCAAGCCTTCCAGGAAAGATCTAAGCTCTCATTCTAACTCCAGGTGTGTCATACTGGGTTTGTTAGCTCCACTCTCTAAGTCTCAGTTTCTTCATCAATAAAGTGGGGGTGATACTCTCCACATAGCAAGACTGTTGGGGGCAGACAGTGTGTGTGTGTGTGTGTGTGTGTGTGTGTGTGTGTGTGTGTGTGTGTGTGTGCGCACACACTTTAGCACCCAGGAATATGCTCAGCAGAGGTAGCTGATGTGGCCCCTGTGGCCTCTGAGCCATTCAGGCTGGACATGCAGGCCCCTGGGATGACCACATTTTATTCCCTAACTTCTTACTGGTCATATTCCCAGCAGTGTTGGCCACCCAGTGAGTCAGCAGTTAGGCCTGCCAGCTCACAGCATTCTCAGTCGTCACCCCTCTGCTCTAGGAATCCTCTTTCCCTGCTGGGTCCCCAACCCTCTTCAGCAGGAAGACGACAGAGAGATCACAGGCTTCAGGGAAGACAATGCATATCTGGATCCTCAATCCTGTGCCACAGAGCTATGCACCCTTGAACAAGCCACACACCCTCTCTGGGCTCGTTTCCTCACCTCTACGTTGAAGACTGATAACATCAAATTCTCCTGGGGTAGTAGTTAAGAGCCTGGCACACAGTAGGTGCTCAGCAAATGTCAAGTTCCCTTTCCTCTTCTGACATTCCTGGATTCATCATCCCCACCCGCTCCCTTTCCTCCTTTCTTCACCTCTTCTTTCTTCAGGGAGGCAGCCTTTCAGCAAGAGTGAAAACACACACACGTCAATGTTAGCTAGGGACCCCAGTACAGGACCTCACATTCAGTGAGAGGTGAATAAATATCTGTTGCCTGAATGATCCAAAGAAATGAATTACGAATGGCGGAGTGTCAGGTTGTAGGTAGCTTGGAGGGGCCATTTAGGAATAGGGGCTCTCCTTCCTGGGTGTTCAACTCACCTTGAGTCCAGCCCTGGGCTCAAGCACGCTGGTCCCAGTTGGGACATCTCTGGGCAGTGGGATCTGAGTGGAGTTGGGGTCTCCTTTTACCCTTCCCAAGCTGGGCATGGGGAGGGAGCCCCATTCATTGACAGCTCAGGAAATAGCAACTCCTAAGCCAGGACCCCTAAATGCGTCCAAAGAATATTTCCAGAGCCTAAAGAGATGCAAACACCATCCAAAACTACTAGCAGAATTGCTTTTTCATTCAACAAACCTGCATTTATCAGTTCAATCAATATTTATTGAGGATCTTTTCCCAGTGCTAGGGATAACTCAGGCAAATGAGACCCAGTTTCCTGTCCCTGGGGAGTACCCCAGCCAGATGGACAACACAGATGCATATAAAAAGGTTAATTGCAAAAAACTCTTCTTGGGGCATGGGGAAAAGGGGGACGGAGGGAAAATCAAGGAAGGCTTCATGGAGGAGGGGCTGCTGGAGCTGAGTCTTGAAGGATCAGTAGGAGTTCTCCAGGCAGAGAAGTGGAAAGGGAAGGCATCCCTGGCAGAGGGGGTGGCACATGCAAAGACGCAGAGGCACGGAAATGCAAGAGTGTCTTTGGGAGCAACAAAGACCCACTGTGGGGTCTGAGGGTAATGGGAGCAGTCTGGAGTGGTTATTTGGGCCTCATGAGCCACAGTGAGGAGTTTGGATTTGATGCTGAGAGCACAAAGGAGCCAAAGAAGGGTTTGGAGGAATGTAGGCAGCTCCCCAAGGCTGCAGGGAGTTAGGAAATGGCCAGGGGATGGCAGGGGAGGAGGGGGGAGGACAGTTAGGAGTCAGGATTGATGGGCGGGAGTGGGCAGCATGTATGACTCCGCATTACCAAGGAGGTATTAGCTCTGAGGGGCAGCGCAGATGAGACCATGGCCTTGTGCCTGGGAAAGGCAGTCTGCCCCAGAGAGTCCTCTGAGAGTAGCTCCTGCTTCCCCAAGCTCTGCGTTCTTCCAGGAGGAAAGGCACCAGATCCCTCATTGTTTCCACAGTAACACTGTGAGCTCATGGCTCTGACCTTGGCCTCTGGCCTTGCAGAAGGGAGGCAGGGTCAGCCATCACCACTCACCTGCCCCACACAGGTGGGAGCCTAGGGTGGACCCTCACGGGGCTAAGGTTTTCTAAGCTGTGTGGCCGGGAAGATATGCCCACTGCTTTGGGAAACCTAGGTCCCAAGCAGTTCCAGGACCCAGATTCACCCCACCTCCCACAGCGTTTCTGGGCTCGCCACAGGGCCTCCTGCAGTTCCTATTTCAAGCTCCAATTCCCCTACTCACTCTGTGACCTTGCGCTACAATGTTTTACCTGTACCTCAGTTTCCTCATCGGTAAAATGGGAATAAAAATAGGATCCACCTCCCAGGGTTTTGTGAGGAACACACGAGGTGTGTGCACAGAATGCCTGGCACATAGTAGGATGTCAGTGTGAATGGTGGCTGGCCAGAATTCGCCAGAAGCCAGGCCTACAACCTCCTCCCTGAGGGAGCAAGGACCAGTAGGAGGAGGGGAGAATTGGTGACCTGCGTTCAAATCTCAATAGACTAGAGACCAGACCAGCCTCAGCCCTGCAGATGCTATCTGGGAACCCTTATCTACCAGCCAGAGGAGTTGGAAGCCACCTACTCTCCGCCAGCATTTTCCCTGGGGCCTGCTGGAGACTCTCACCTTCTGTTTCTTCCACTAATAACAGTTGCCATTCTCCTTTAACTTGCAACCCCGCCAAATAGGTATTATCATACCCATTTTGCAGATGAAAAAAACCTGGGACTCAGGGAGGTCGAGTCACTTGCCCAAGGTCACACATCCTGTAAGTGAGAGAGCTGGGAGTTGGACCCAGGTCTGTGTGGCCACAAAGCCTCCACTCGAGATCTGGTTGGCTGAGGGAGTTTCAGGCCTTGGTGGGAGTGGGGAGTGGATGCGAGGCTTCCATGTGACTGGAGAGGAGATTTCGGGCAAGCCAGCCCGTGTGGTCCCCTGGATCCACAGTCCACGGCCCGTCAAGGTCTGGGGCTAGAGATCCTGAGTTGTGTGCTTCAAACTTGGGTAACTTTAGGCAGGCGCAGAGAGAGGGGCCTAGGGTTTGAGTGGGACCCTCAATCTTGCTTTGGTCCTCACTGGCTCTGTAACTTTCACGTAAGGCCCTGTGGTCTCCAGGTCTCAATTTTCTTTTCTGTAAAATGGGAAGAAGCCTGGGCTCTTTGAGGGTGATCTGTGGGGGTCAGAGGAGACAGGAATGTGAGAGACCTTTGGAAATACCTTCTTATCCCCCGGGGAACCCAGCTGACAGCTCTTTGGGGCAGCAGTGACCTGAGAGCTGCCCCAGAACTCCTACCCAGGTGTCTACAGACCCCGAGCCAGGCAAGGCAAGGGCAGGGGTAGCCCTCATCCATGCTTCCCAGAAAGAAGAGCAAAAACAGAGAGCCCACGTCTCATACCGAAGACACAGCTGGCCTCTAATTACATTCAGTCCTCTCCCCTCAGACCTGCCTGGACCTACCTCCTCTATTGCCTTCGTGCAGAGAGCCTCCTCTATTGCCCTTGTGCAGAGAGCCTCCAGCAGCCTGGGCCAAGTTCTGTGTCCCCATTCCTAGACAGACTGACCCTATTCACTCACCCTGTGTCTCAGCTCCAGGACCCCTCCCCAAGGGAGAAAAACATGGTCTGGCCAACTAAACACAGAGTAAAAATCAGATTGGCTGGCTCCTCCTTCCGTCCCCCTCCCCTATGTCTCATACCTTTCCCTAACCCTGACTCTCAATCGGTGTCCACCATAAGCCAAATCATGCTGGAGGCAGAAGCTATCAGTAATCCTCCCAGCTGGCCTCTTGCCTCTTTCCCCCTCTTCCCTGTGGCTGACCCTGACCTGTCATTTCCAACCTTCCTGGAGTTGCAACACTAGTGCCATTGTTTGTCTAATTTCACAACACCTCTGCCTGTCCAATACCCCCTGCCCCCCAACACATCCTGGAAGGCCAGGCCAGATGACCCAGGTGTATCTGCTGCAGGAAGAGAAGGCAAAGGGGACGGGGCAAGGGACAGATGTCTGCAGCCAGATTCCACCCTCAAGAATGACCTTAGGCAAGCCCTGATCTTTTTCTTGAGGCTTCGGTTTGCTGAACTGTAAAATGGGAGAATTGGATAGGAGTTCTCAAGGGTCCAGCAGACTCATTCAAGCCTTTACTGCACCATCTAACACATGCTGGGACCTGAGACCTGGAATGCTGGAGACATGTCTGATGTGGTCACAGCCCAGTGAGGGAGACAGACGTGTAGACCATCACAATACAGTGTGGTCAGAGGTAGAACAGAGGCATGAACCAACTCAGTTGGTGGAATCAGGAAGGACTGTCTGGGGAAGCAGAATTTGAGTTGGACTTCGAAGAATGAGTAGGGTGGGCCTAGAACTGGGGTATACCCACAAGGAAAAACCTTCAAACTTTGCTGTTCAATATTTGCACTGCCTCAGGAGATAGGGGCATCCAGTCACTGCGGGGTGGATGCAGGCGCTGAAAGACATGGGATCTGGAATGTCAAGGAGATGGGAACTCGGCCAGGTGGCAGTTCTAGTCTTAGGGTCTGAAAACCAAAATCCACAACTGCCTGAGAGTTTGGCTGCTAGTGTGCGTTGGTGAGAGCCCAGCCCGTCTCAGACAGGGACCACCGGGAAGGTAAGACTCAAGACTTGGGAGCGGACGAGTGTCAGGGCTCCCAGTGAGCCCACACTCATGATGGCCTGCGCATGCAGGCAGCCCTGGGCTTGGAGTCCAGAGGCCTCCGTCACAAGTTTGGTCTACTCTTTACTGGTTGTGCCACCTTGCCCTGGCCACCACATCCCCCTGAACTACACAGAGCTTCCCCATCTGTACCTTGGGTGCTCACGGCAGCCACCCCAGAGGTAGTTGGGAGGATCAAATGATTTACTGTTTTGTAGGTGGCCTTTACAAACTGTAAAGTGTGCCGGACACAGAAGGCAGTGTGATTGTTGAAATGTGTGGCTCATAACAGGCTGCTTCTCGGGCTATTTTGTAAGCAGGGAAAGCAGTTTACCGCCAAAGATGTTGAAGTAATAATGGTGGGATTCCTGGCACAGACATGTAGGCTGGCAACAGATGGGAGGTGCAATGGGCCTTTCCGCCTCTGCCCGTCTTTGCCCACCCTCGCTCCAACATCTCGGAACAGCTTTACACGGGCCTGTTTTGGGGAACGGAGAGCCTGTGGGCCTTGGGGAAGGGCAGATGCTTGGCCCTGGTCCCTGGGGTGGAGCTGACTAGGGACTGCTGACTTAGAAGACCACCTAGAGGGGTGGCCAGTGGAATCCCCCCAACTACACCCCTAAGAGGGGTAGAGTTCCCATCTGCACCCGCAAGATGAAGCAGAGATGAGGCTGCTTTGGAAGCCCCCAGTCTTGGGCTATTGGTGTGGGGTCGAGAGCCTCCCTGAGGGGTGTCCTGGGCTGCTCTGTCAGAACCCCAGCAGGGAGCCTTGCCTGGCCTCTGACTCACACCCTTGCCCCAGTGGAGGCCAAGGCCTTGAATGACCACCCGGCCCTTGACATCGTAGCTTCGCAGCATCCTCCCTGCGTTGAGGCCACCCTGCGGGCTAAGGGGCAGGTGGGCACCCTTCCATGGGGCTGGGGGCTGAGGAGCAAGGAGGTCTCAGCATGGCCTACTGGTGGGAGACCCACCTCAGGCGCTCCCAACTGTCTCCCTCCCGTGGCCCCTCTGCACGGCCGGGTTCTGATTTTGGTGCAGTGCAGACTTTCAGCTTAACGAGACAAATTGGTATTCTGTGCCAGCCCAGGGATGGAGCGGCAGCTCGGGACGCTCGGGCGGGCAGCTCAGAGGTGGGCAGGAGGTGGGGGCAGGGGAAAGAGGCAGCTTCTGCCTGGAACTGCCTCCCGGGGCCGCCTCCAGCCCTGCCCCTGTCCCCCATGCACCCCTCCACCCTGACAGGTGCCCTGAGACACTGGTCCTGAAGGTCCTTCCACCTTCAGTGCCCTCCCTCCAAGCAGGGTACCCCTCCTGGAGGGGGCAGGGCAGTGGAGGCCAAGGCTTCAGAATTCTAGAGAAGCCCCTCGCCCCCGGTGACCTCCTAACCTTGCTCTTAGGGCTCTCCTCCCACCCATCTGGAGTTGAAAGAGCAGCAAGTCTGGCAGAGATTAGGCAGGAAGAGGTGAGCAGCTGGCTAGGGGCTTCCAACCCTACCGACTCCTCACCCGGGGTCCCTGGGTTCCCGTGGAAGTGTCAGTCAGCCCACAGTCGGCCTGCAACTCATCATAGATGTCCTGAAGATTAGGTGGGTGTACAGACATGCAGACACCCCTGCTGGTGGGCACCTTCTTGAGGCAGGCCCTTCTGCCAAGCCAGCCCCCACCACCACACCCCCCCGAGGGCAGGTGGGGTCGCACACAGGCAGGGCGGGTCGCAGGGGTAGCGCTTCAGGGCAGCAGAGAGCTGCTGCGGGCTCAGCTCCACTGGCCCTGGAAACACAGATGTGTTTAAAATGTGTTGAGTCGACTTCTCCCCATTTGCGACCTTTGCCCCTTTGCCCCCCAGGTCTGGGGGTGCCTTGACTGCAAAGAGGGGGGCCAGAGCCCCTGACCAAATAAGTCCCCCAGAAAGCAAGGGACGACTTGGGGCCATTTGAGCAAAATCCTCCCCTCTCTGCTCCCGTTCTCCCCACCACCACTCTCAGGACCCCCTTCCCTCCAGCACAGCCCAGCCCTACCCTCTCCGTGCCCTTGACATTCCCTCCTGCTTCTGGGGAGCGGGCATATTCCTGGGACTCTGCCAGCTTCGGTTCCTCATGATCCCACGGGAGGAATTAAAACCGCAAACAACAGCGTGGTGGTTCGGTCCACACACCCCCCCCGCCCCCCACTCTCCTCCCCCGTGCCCCCTCCAGAACCGGCCCTCCCTGTGTCCCTCCCTCCCTCCCTCCTCCCGCCCCCATCCCCCAGCCTCCGGCAGCGGCAGGGGCGGCCTCTGCCTCCCCCGAGATTGCATTTTGCCGGCGAGATGCTCTCCTAGAACCGGCGCCGGCGCCTCCGCCCCCCGCCCCCCACCCGCTCGGGCAGGATGGTACAGTCTGCAGAGGGGCCCGGGCACGCTGGCTGGGCTCAGCCGCGGCACCAGCTGCCGCACCGCGATTACGGGGCTGCCCGCCGGGAAACCGTGCAGGATTGGTGGTGATTTTCATAGCCAAGTAAGTACCGGCATCCCCCAGCATGAGAAAATAAAAAATAAAAAGCGCCCCACTCCACTCTCCCCTTCCTCCCTCACCCATTTTATTTTGTTTCATTTCATTTGATTTTTCTCAGTGCTGATGGTGGTGGCGGTGGCAGCGTGGAGGGGGGGTGGGAGCAGGGCTTGTTTATCTGGCAGCAGCCGAGGCTGCACTGGGAGCCGCCGCTGAGGGAGACACTAGTGTGAGGGTCCGCGTGTTGTGGGGGACGGCTGGATGCTGGGGACTAGGACAGGGGGGCCTCGGACAAGCGGATGCCCAGGGTCTCAGGTAGATTCCGGCAGCCTCTGGACTGCAAATGCCCCCTAAGGATGTTATGCAAGGGCCAGCAAGCTGGTGGCAGGGGACAAGGTTCTCTTCTCTCTGAGCCGGTCCCAGGGAGACCAAGAGGACTGGAGGGTGCCCGTTGCCCACCCTGGTCAGAGTCCCAGGAAAGAGGCAGGAGGAGGCCCCTGTGAAGCGTCCCTTTGGTGGGGTGGGCAGCTGTGTGCTGGGACTCATTGGGTCAGGCCAGCCGGGTCATGTGGTGGCAGGGACGTGTTCCTGGGTCCCCTCCATGGCCAGGAGGGTGGCAGGAACGGGTGGCCAGGCCATTTTGCAGCAGTCATGCTGGGTGGTGGAGTCGGCACCCTCTGCCCAGAAGCCCACTTCCTAGGCCAGCCTCAGTGGTCTCCAGCTGAGGGATAGGGCACCTGAGGCTCCTCCCTGCCCCCTGCAGGGTCAGGATGGGAAAATGCAGCAGGGGGCCTCAGGACTCCCTGAGGGTGGGTTGCGGACAGCAGCAACCCCTTTCTAGCCAAGTAGCTATTCCACACCACGGCTGTCCTCTGCTCACCCAGGTTGGGGGTTGGGGGTTGGGGGGGTGCTCTGGACTGGCCTGCCCCAATCAGGCAAGGGCCCTGGGGGTCTCGGGCCCTCCATGCAGAGGCCCAGCCTGGCTCGACCTTCAGAAGGGTAAGTGAGCAGGCAAGCCCGACCAGCCGGCAGAGGGTCTTAGTGCGACGCTGCATGCCCTGAGCCCAGCGTGGAAGGGGCTCCCTCCTCTCCTGCATTGCTCTCCGAATCGCTGGGAGGAGGCAGAGCTGACGTTTGGGGTATTTCCAGGATCAGCGGGCGCCATCCGGAGAAATTCTCCTTTGACGTGTGCAGTAGGAGGGGGCTTGGAGCGCAGGCCTTGGGGGCCTCCGCCTGTTAACTTCGTTGAAGGAGCAGTGGCAAAGAAGGGGCTGCAGCTCTGGGGAGTCCTGTGGGGGGTTGGGGGTCCAGGAAAGATGCTGATGGCCACCATTATTTAGCCACCTTCACACCCTAGTCCCATTCACATCAGGGCATATGCATGCCCACAAATTCACACATATGCACAGATACAAATATAGTACCCATAAGTAGTGCGTCATATATGTCCAAATCATATATACACATATGGAATGCCCATGCCCACACCCCAGCACCTGTAAATACAACCCACGTTCCTGAACACCACATGCTCACGTGCAAAACACAGCACACACACGAATGCAGTACACACATACACACCTGTGCATGCAGCTTGCCCACACATGCATGTAGCACTAACACGGGAAAGCAGTAGGCTGCACACAGTGCCCTGCAACAGCCAGAAATGTGTGTACCCACCTGAGGGCTGGCTCAGGTGTGAAAACAACAGGCACACACATGTGGGGCTCTGAATGCCATCTGCGTGCCTGCCCGTGCATTGGCAGGCACATGGCATGCTGGAATGTGCCCACAGGTGAATGTCAGTTGCACACATAAGAAGACGGCCACAGGCACACAGATGCAGCACCTCTGCGGATGCTGCGTGCACACACCCGCCCCCTCAGCTTCCAGGAGGCAAGGTGGCTCTGTGGGTGCTAGGGAGAGCTTGCCCCTTAAGGGACTTCCGATGAGGACAGAGGGATACTGGATCCTAAGTGCCCGCCACAGCCTCACACAGGCGTTGGGGGAGGGCCAGCCCGTATTCCCAGGGAGCTGTGATTAGACTCAGCAAGGCCATCTTGGGTTATTGATGTTCTTCAGAGAAGGCTGCCCAAAGTTGGAAAGGAGACAGAGGCGGCCAGGGACGCAGCTGCTGCCCGTGGCCCAGACCGCCAGGAGCCCAGACTGGCCCCACCAGCCCTCTCCCTGGCATCAGGAAACCAGCCCGCTGCTATGGGGTCTCTGAGAGCTGGGGCCTGGAACACCTTCAGCAGACTCCAAAGTCCCCTCCAGACTGAAGGTCAGAGAAGCTGCTGTGGCTTACGTTGTATGCAGAGCCTGAAATGCTGGCACCCTCCTGTGCTGTCCCGCTGCCCTCCTCTGCGTTCCCCCAGCTCAGGCGCAGGTATGGGTCAGGGGACCCAAGTAAATAATAGTAATCCAGCTAGCATTCACCCAGCTAACTGCTTTGCACGTATCATCTCAGTGAGGACGCCCATAGCCCTGTTATCCCCACGTCCCAGATGAGGACGCTGTATCTAGAGAGGTGAAGCTGTGTCACCCAAGGTCACACAGCTGGCATGTGGCAGAGGGGAGGTAGAAGGCAGGCCACCAGGTGCCCAACTACCCTCTTTGACCCTTCGGCATGAGGCCAGTTCAAATTGGGGTACCAAAATTTTGGGAACCTATAGCTCAAGAACTTAGAATTTTGTGGCAAGATTCCGAGAAAGAGTGAAGAGGATCTCCTATGGGTGAAGGCGGAGGAGCCTTCCCCAGGCGGGCGTGGCCCTGACCTAGGCAGCCGGACCGCTGTGTCGTCCCTTTACCCTATGGAGTTGCTGATGCCTAGAAAGCCAAAGCAGACAGATGCCTTCTGAGGCCACCTAGCTGGGACCGTTTATAAAAAGGAAACTGTGGCCCAGCCAGGCACAGGGACTTGTCCAAGGTCACACCGTGTTCTGTAGAGACCTGGGCTTCTTGCAAGTGCTCTCAGGCCCCAGACAAGAAGCAGCAGAGGCCTGTGTTGGCCCCTGGTTTTCCCCAGGTGTTTGACTGTGGGTGGAAAGTATGAGAGCCCTGGGCCCAGCCCTGCTCCTGACCAGCTGTGTGATCTTGGCCAAGTCACTTCCTCTCTCTGCCCTCAATCTTCTCATCTGTGGCCAGGCAGGCCTATCTCTGCCCTGTTTTATGCCACAGCTGCCAGAGAGCCCTGGACACTGTAGAGGGCTGTGCACGAAGGTGTGATTGGCATCAGGATCAGGAGCCGGAGCAGGTGAGCACCTTGCTGCTGCAACTGGCCAACTCTGAGATCAGAAAGGGAAAAAAGGAAAGAAATCTCTAGTTTGCAGATCGGAGGTCAGAAAAGCTGCCTGTGGCTTATGCTATGTGCAGAGCCTGAAACACTGGCCCATCCGCCTGCTGTCCCACTGCCCTCCTCTGCCTTCCCCCTGCCCAGCCACAGGTATGGGTCAGGAAACCCATTAATGCATTAATTAACCTAAAGATCACCTGATGGGGGCAGATTTCTGGGCCCTACCTTGATGAATCAGGAGGTCCCAGGGGCTACATTTCCACAGGTACCCCTGGGTTTTCACCCATTTCACTCCGCACCCTGGGGAGCTGAGGTGCTTAAGAGTGGGCTTGGTGGAGCACATAGGCGCTCAGAGCTGGGGGTGGCCTAGACACCATGCTGTTCTGCCTGTACCTGTCACACGTGGGGAAACTGAGGTCTCCAGCCTAGTGGGTGACTGAATGAGACTGAAACTCATTTCCTCTCCCCACCAGTCCCCTACCAACCCCTAGCCCCTGGCTTCACCCTGCACAGCTAAATCAGGCCCTCCTGAGGACCGATGAACCCTCAAATCCAAAACAAGGCCATCTTCTCAGCAGACAGCTGGGAGCCATGCTCCAAGGGCACTCTCCAAGACCCCATCTCTACAAAAAATTTAAAAATTAGCAGGGTGTGGTGGCATACTCCTGTCGTCCCAGCTATGCAGGAGGCTGAGGTGGGAGGATCGCTTGAGTCCGGGAGGTCAAGGCTGCAGTGAGCCGTGATTGTGCCACTGCACTCCAGCCTGGATGACAGAGCGAGACCCTGTCTCAAAAAAAAAAAAAAACCGTTTAAAAAATGGGTTATGCTATGGAAAACTCCTGGGACCTCCTGCTGGGCAGTGTGGCTTCGGCTTCACCCCGGTCTTCACTTGACAGTCTGGATGGAGGCGGCGGGAGGCAGGGGGAAGCGGGAGTGACGGTAAAAGCCTTAGAAGTGTCATTCACAGTCTAGGAAATCTCTGCAGGGTCAGAGAGTTCCAGATATGTGGCCAGAGACCACGGCTGGCAGGACCAGGAGGGCAAGTGACCAGGCCCGAGCAGGGGCCACAGCTCAGGTTCCTAAAGAAACAGAGGTCCCTGGGTATGGGGGAGAGTGTGTTGGTCTGAGGGTCAGGAGAGCTGGGTCCCAGGCCGGCTCATCACTGGCGAGTGACCTTGGAAAAGCTGTGTAAGCCCTCTGGTCCCAAGCTCTCCCCTTGTGAGAGGGGTCAGTGATCCTGCCCCCCAGTGTCCTTGGTGAGGGCAGCTTCTCCTGCCCACTGCCCCTTGGGGTGAAGGGTCAGAAACACTGCAAGTCTCAGGAAGTAGCAAGGAGAGCAACTGCAGGGACAGCCCGTTGTGTTTGTTTTCTGTGGCTGCCATAACAAATGACCACAGGCTAGGTGGCTTCAAACAACAGACGTGTATTGTCTCCCACTTCTGGAAGCCAGAAGTCTAGAGTCAGGAGCCAGCAGGGTTGGCTTTTCCTGGAGAGGCTGAGGAAGAGCCTGTCCCTTGTCTCCCTAGCTACGGGCAGTGGCCAGCAACCCTTGCTCTTCCTCACCTTGTGGCTGCGTCACACCCATCTCTGCTTTCATCTTCACCTCACTCCTTCCTGTGTGTCTCTCGGTGTCCTCTCCTCTGCTTCTAAAGACATTGGTCATTGGATTTAGGGCCCAACCTAGACCCAAGATGATTTCATCTCAAAATCCTTAGCTAATTCCATCTGCAAAGATCCTATTTCCAAACAAGGTCACATTCTGAGGTTCCAGGTGGGCATGAACTTTGGATAGGACACCGTTCAACCCACTGCAGTCACTAAGATTTATGAGGTGTTTATTGCTCATAAGACCTGCACACAGTCTTATCTCTTCTTCACCATCACCCATTTTCCGGATTACAGAAACCAGGGCCCAGAGACATTAAGAATGTGCCCAAGTCAGGCCAGGCGCAGTGGCTCATACCTGTAATCCAAGCACTTTGGGACGCCAAGACAGGTGGATCACCTGAGGTCAGGAGTTCGAGACCAGCCTGGCCAACATGGCAAAACCCCGTTTCTACTAAAAATACAAAAAAAGTTAGCCGGGCCTGGTGGTGCATGCCTGTAATCCAGCTACTCAGGAGGCTGAGACAGGAGAATCATTTGATCCTGGGAGGTGGAGGTTGCAGTGAGCCAAGATGGAACCATTGCACTCTAGCCTGGGTGACAGAGTGAGACTCTATCTCAAAAAAAAAAAAAAAAAAAAAAGAATGTGCCCAAGTCACACAGCAAGTGAGGGGCAGAGCTGGGATTTGAACCCAGGTCCCTGGTGCTCCTTCACCTTTCCACCTTTTTGTAGCTGGCTGGGGGATGCCCAGAGACCCCTTAGGGCCCACAGCTAGGAATCCATGGGGCAGGAATTCCAGCCAGCCCTATGAAGACCCCAGGTCTGCAGGGGCTCCTGGGCACCAGAGAGAGGCTGGAGACAGGCAGGGGAGCTTCAAGGTGTGAAGGGGCCCAGCCGTGGTCCCAGGAGACCAACATGTGGCAGAGGATTGAGAGCCACAGTTCCTTGTCTCTGCCACTGACTCTGTGAACGTCATTGTGCTCTTCCGGAGAATAGGGGCAGCAGCACTGACTTTATGGGGTAATTGCCAAGTACCGAAATGTTCATCATAATAGTACTAATCGCTAAAATGTGTCCGCAAGCACTTTACAAATGCTTTTTGTTTTCCCATGTAATGCGTGGGAGGGGAATTGCTTATTCAGTCATGTGCGTTCGGTTGTGTGTGGTTGAACCAGTGACTTCGCCTCAGTTTGCTCCTCCGTAAACCAAGGGTTAGCTGAGCACCCATCTTCCCGGTTGTCACGTGAGGCAAACAGGATCCAAGTACAGGGCTTGGCCCGGGTGTGGTCCAGGTAGAGGCTCAGCGGATGTTTTCTTGCCTGTAAGATGGGATAGTGGTAGTATTATGATGATGCTATTATTTGTTGTATGAGGATTTGGTGAAGTAATGCAAAGGAAGCACTTGGCTCAGGGCCTCGCCAGAAATTGATGGAAAGTGGCCTCCTTTGTGGCATCAGAAAGATTTGAGTATAAATCCTAATGCCAGTGTTTACTACTGTGTGACCTTGGGCAGGTAGCTTTGCTTCTCTGAGCTTGACATCCTGATATGCAAAGTGGAGTGGGAAAAACCTGCCTCACAAGATTGTGCCACGAGATGATGGGTAGGTAATGTCTCAAATGGAACCCTCATCATGCCAGGCATTCGAAATATGTTGAGCTTCTGCCCTGCTTGTGGGCATCTTAAAGATGTCCCCAGAAGGGGCACATCCTAGTCCAAGGAGGGTGGATTTGATTTGGGAAAATTGGGAGCAGTCGTGCCATAGTGGAGCATATGGGATTGGTGGAGCCTATGGGAGAAGCAGTGAATGGATGACACCGTTTGGGGTCCAAGCACCATGTAGCTTTGAAGGAAGAAAGCAGGTCTCTGCAAGCTTCTGTGCTGCCTCTGAAGGCAGTTTCCTATAAAGTGGTGCCTTTCCTGTGCCGGCTGGGCTACTCTACCGGGCCATGTCTGGCTGCCCCGGGACCATTTTGTGGGAGCCATGGGGGCGTCATCTGGATGAACTCATTCTAGCCCAGCTCTGTCAAACACCTGCCTTGCAGGCCCAAGGGAGCTGTGGAGGCAGTGGGCGGGGAATGCTGTGGCAGCCATTTGGGGTGCCTCCTGCATGCCTGAGGCATCCACGCTGAGTGAGGCCCCCAGGCTCATCCGGAGCAGAGGGTGCTGGCCTCCAGCTCACTGATCCTTCTGAAGTTTTTTGATCTGTGCCCATGGGCAGGGCACGCCATCCTACGTGGGCCTGACTTAGCGTTGATGTAGCGCAGTAGTTGAGGACAACATCTGGGCCCAGGCTGCTTGGGGTCACATCCAATGCCTGGCCGCTGACCAGCTGCATGTCCTTAATCTCCAAGCCTCCGTTCCCTCCACTGTCAAATGGAGATGACAACACTGCCTGCCTCATCAGGCCGTTGTGTCGGAGACTGAACTGTGCGGATTCCAAGATATACATTTTGACATTTCTGAAGCCAGGTTGTGCCTGACAACTGGTGTTACACCACAGTGGAACCAGCCATGCCTTTTATTTCTTAAATATACGTAAAGTAGTGATACAGGTTAGAGTCAAGAAAATATGATAAATAAGATCAGTTTTATAAGGGGCTCAGAACAGAGCCACCAGGCTGGTGGGAAGAAGCCAGGATTGCCACCTGCCTCCCCAGCTCAGTTGCGGTGAGTCCCTCACTGGGTCCTTTGTGTCCACTCTGAAACAATCAGCAAAAGAACACCTGCTTGCCGGAGCAGCTGTGAGAAGTCGGCAAACTTTTGTGTGTATTACGTGACCAGCAGAGTCCCCATATGCAGTAGGTGCTTAATAAATGGCCGTGCAAAACAAACAGCAAAGACCGTAGTACAAGGAGGAATTTAAAGCATAGACTCTGGGATTCTAATTCCTGCTCCACCATTTCCATGCTGTGTGACCCAGCACAAGTTTCTTAATTTCTCTGTGCCTTAGTCCCACCATCTGTAAAATGGGGATAACAAAAGTGTCCAATTCATAGGATTGTTGTGAGGATTAAGTAAAATTAAAGTGCTTAGGACAGCCCTTGGCAGAAGTGTAAGCAATTATTATTTGATGAACTTTAATGAGTCTCTTCTAGTTCAATAAATGATACTAAAATAAACACTAGGCTCAATAAAATAATAGCAGTTGAGGCTGCACTTGCTTTATAGCTGAGAAAACCAAGGGCCAAGAGGCATGCTGGTTTGCCCAGGATCACACAGCCAGCTCCCAGCAGACTGGAACCACAGCCCAATGTCCAGGCACCAGCCCAATGCTGCCTCTTTGCCCATGTTGGTTCAGGACTCTTTCTCTTATGGAGAAAGCAGTTCTTGCCATGGAGAGGAGGGTTTCTAGAAGAAGCCACCAGCAGATACATCACCAGTGCTTCAGGGATCCACAGGGTAATTAGGGCCCTCATTAGAAGTCGTTTCTGTCTTCCCTCAATTTTCTGCCTGACCACCACAAACAGTGGAAGGGGCCTAACTGGGATGCCCACCCTGCCCACAGCTGCCCAAGGTCAGCAGAGCCTGCCAACCATCCTGCAAGCCCACCAGCCAGCACTCTCCTGGCCTCCAAGTGGCTTCTGCAGAGTTGACACAGCAAAATTCCCTCCTGGAGACAGCAAAAGCCGTGGCTGGCCCGTTGGTCCAGCCACCAGACAGGCTAGGGCCACAAAGTGGATTGGAGTTGGGGGGAGGACAAAGACCTGGGTGCAGCCAGCCATGACAAGCACTTCAAGTGACCTTGGACAAGTCACAGTCTCTTTCTGAGCATCAGTTTCCCATCTTTGAAACAAGCCTTTTGGAGCCAGATGGGCCCCCTGAGACTTTAAATGTCTAAAATTCGAAGCTGCCTGGACATTGCTGATGTCCAGGTCACGGGGGAAGGGGCGGGGTTGGAGGGGTGGAGCTAGTGTCTGCGTGTGGAGTGCAATGTGTGTGGATCTTGGGTTGGACTCACTAGGAGCAAGCATGAGACAGCGCTCAGGAGAAAGGGGCTGAAAGGAAACAAGGTAGGGAGAGAAAGAGATAAACAAGCGTGTGGCCTCAGCTGATCCCTTGGGGGATGTGGGGCATGAACTGCGCCCCAGGTTTGGCTCTGCCTTGAAGCAAAAAAGCTGGCCTTTCATACCCCATATCAGATAGTTATTGGCCACGGCTGCCTTCTGAGTGGGATGCTGTGTGCAATTGCCCGGGCAGGAGCTCCTGTTCTTCCCAGGGCAAGCCTGCAAAGAAGGGGCAGCCGGGAGCTCTAGCTCCCAGCAGCTGGGGTGTGGAAGCTGCAGACCGGTAAGGAGGACTAGGGTGGGCACCAACAGTGTCCACTCTGTTATGTGGATTTGGGATGCAAAGGTTGCTGGGTGCCAGTCTCTTCCTAGCAACTATCTGAAGGCAGCAGATTAAGAGCTCTTTAGGCCACTTCTAAATTTATCAACTTACATGACTCACTTCAGATTAAAATGAAGCCCTTCTCCCCATCCCACCCCCAGCCAATTTCAGATTTCTGAGCTCAGAGCATCCTGAAGAGGGCATAGAATGCAAATCAATAAAACCAGTATTAGCTAAGTATTTGGTGTGGACCAGGCTGTTTGTCGGGCTCCTTGCTGAGCTCAGAGATGAATCAGCTCCAGAAACAACTCCTGCTGGGAGGCGGAGGCAGCCCCAGGTAGAAGGTGGTATACGACTGCGGGTGCCCTGCCTGGGGGCTAGGCCATGAATAACTTCCAGGACCAAGACTCAGCCTCACCACCACAGTATTTAGAGCTTCCAGAGCCTCAGTTTCCTTATCTACAAAATGGGGTCAGTGTGGTGAAGAGTATGTGGCCTGGGCCACTCCTGCACTCAGGGAGTAGCAATAAAATTAAGCGAGACCTGGCACTGGGACCCAGGGCTGTTTCTAGGCACTTCTCTGCCCTCTCAGAGGCCTGAGTCTGCCCCATGACCTCAGGGGAAGGAAATTCTGAGCTGAGTGGAGACATCAGCTTCCCTGGCCCTGGGAACGTCTACAGTGGGCTTCACTACAGCCCCCGGGTAACCTGTCATAACCAAGACAGCTCTCGTTTAGCGAGCAATTTCGATGCTAGGGGCTCCGTGTGCAAAAGTTTCCTTTACTCTCACCACTGCGACTGGATCCATTTACAGATGAGCAACATGGTCTCAGAGATGTGGGATGGCTTGTCCAAGGCCTCTTGAATAGCCCCTCTGCTCCTGCCCCTTTGCATTGGACCTAAGAGGAGACTGAGGCCGGAGAGGAATTGACCAAGGTTGCAGAGTAGAGTCCAAAGCCCAGCACCCTGTCCATGGTATTAGCCCCTCCCCCAACCCTCCAGGAAAAAGGCGTGGCTTGGGCCAGACGTCAAACTGGGAATAGGGTGATTCATACCTGGCCCATGTCCCAATGCAACTGCCCACGGGGACAAGTTCAGGGTGTCCTTGAGACTGACTCTTCAGCAGCAACAGGCCTGGCCCCCAGGAATTGACCATGTCCTTGGTCTTTATCCTGCCTCCCTACAAGACAGCAGGTGACTCTTGAAGGTTTGGAGCCACACTGGCTCCACATTTGGGGAAGAGGTGGTTTACATGTCTTAAGCACCTGCCAGCTGCTATTGAGGAAACTGTGGTTCAAATTCCAACTTTGCCACTGACAAGCTGTATCCCCCTCAGTGAGTTACTGTTCCTTTCTGAGCCTCAGGGTTTTGACCTCTGTCTTGGGGGGAAATGACCATAGCCATTGTGGAGATGATTCGAGATATGTACGTAGCCCCCACCCAATGCCGAGGGTGGTGATTATCACCCCAGGTAGCAGCATGTGGGGCTGAAGGCCACTCTGTAAAGGAGACATTCTTATTACACTGCACAGATTCTCAGAGAGGTCCAGGGACTTGTCTCCAGTCACACAGCAGGTTAGCAATAGAACATGATTGGGTGCTGGTCAGTTAGTGTCCTTTGAGCAGTGTGTTGTGGTGTTCTTGAGGCCTCAGAGGGCAGCCAAGGGCACTTCCCAAAGAGAGTTTTCTTCTGCCAAGGAGATTAAATCCCAGGATGCAGAATTGTGGCATCTTAACTGGAGGAGAAGGCACAGGGCAGTGGTTAAGAGCAGCCCCTGGAGCTTGAGGGCCTGGGCATGATTCCCCAACACTTCCGAGCTATGTGACCTTGAGCAAATGACTTAACTTCCTGTGCCTCAGTCTCCTCGTCTGTAAAATGGGCAAAAATACTAGTACCAACCTCATGGGATTCTAGTGCAGATTAAATGAGTTACATGTAAGGAGCCTAGAACCATGCCTGATGCAAGGGAATCTCTATGAAAAAATCAGCTATCAGTGGTAGCAGCAGTCGTGGGATCAGAGTAGGGAGGGAGCACCTTTCACCATCTCTCCCTTAATCTCACCCTAGCCTTCCCCATAGACCCCCCATGGCCACCAGGAGAAACTTCTCAGAATGTCCACCAGGCCTGTCACTCTGGTCAAAGTCTTCAGTGCTCCCCGTTGCCAAGTGGATAAAGCCTAGACTCCTCGGTCTGTGTCCAGTGCATTTGTGATGGAGTGCCTGTCCCCACCCTACCTTCCCAGCCCCACACTTCACCTTCATGCCGCTTTTCCTTTGTCAGGTCAGTTAGAAATGTGGCCATGTGATATGAACTGGAGCACAGGCCCTGTTCACACTGACCCTTTTCCCCACCTCTGAGACTTTGCCTGACTTTCAACCCCCACCTAAGGGTCTCCCCCTTCTGAGGGCCTTCCTGCCCCTCTCTTTGTTGTAAGCTCCTGGGCAACACACTCTGGGCCTCTGGAGTCATGATCTCCAGCCAGTGTGTTTTGTTTGTTTTTGTGTTTGTGTTTGTTTTCAGTGATTTCATTAGAACACTGTTGAGTGCATGCATGTAGAATAGATGAAGGGAGGGGCCTTCCCTACTGGTCCCCCAGATCCTCTCTTGCCCTTTCAATCGTCTGTTCTTCCTGCGTGGCCAGAGGAATCTTTTTTAAGAATATATATCAGATAGTAGTGTTCCTGCTTGAAACTCCACAGTCCTCCCCTTGATGTACAGGAACAAGTCGAGACTCCTTTCTGCAGCCTGTAAGCCCTTCTGGGTCTGACCCTCATTCCCCACCCCTCTCCTGGCTTTCCTCTCGTTTACTGCCCTTCTTTCTGTACCTCAAACTCATCAGCCTCTTTCCTGTCTCAGGGCCTTTGCACATGCTATTTCCCCATCTAGACTACACTTTCCCCTTCGGTTTATTTCATAGATTCCTTCTCATCAAGCTGAGTGGTAATTCCTCATTAAGGCCATCCCTGATCTATTTAAAAGAGCTCCCCCACCCCCTCACCTATATTCCCTGTCATGGCACTTGTTTTCGAATAGCATGTACCACCCTTGACATTATTTTCTGTATTTATTCCCTTGTTTGTTGTCTGTCTGTCTTCCCTAGACAATCAGTAGCTTGAGGGCAGGAAGCATATCTGTCTCATTCACTTCTGTATTCAAGGGCCTAGGACAGGGGAGGTGCTCAGCAGATTTGTGTGGAATGAATGAATGAATGAATGAATGAACAAATGAATTGGCCAGATATGGAGAGGTGGTACAGGGGAGGCAAGAATAAACCCAGAACAGCCCTTCTCTCGAGGGAGGTAGTGGGAGCAGAGGAGGAGGCGCCATCCTAGAAAATGTCCTTTGAAAGCCATCCTGGGTGGCAGCCTCGGCCAAGTTCAAGTTCCATCTGCTCTCTTTTGCGCAGCTGTGAAAGGGACACCAGTATCCTCCCTCACCATCACACTTGACCCGGTATCTGCAAGACAGGAGAGAAATGACAGTGGAGAGGTTGCCTAGAAACCCCCGCCTTGATCCACCTGCCTTTCCTGAGTCTCTCTGGACACCCCAGAGGGAGAAGGAAGCGGGGTGAGAGGGAGAGCATGGGCAAAGGGGGTGCAGTCGCAAATGAGGCAGCTGCAATTCACAGTCTCCCGTGGCATCCATTCTAGCTGGGGAGAGGGCCAGTGCAGACAGAAGCTCATCTGGAACAAGTCTGACATCAGGTAGCAGCCATGGAGGGAGGCCAGAGAAAGAGGGCAAGGCTCTAGATTGGAGGTGGGGCTCAGAGAAAGAGTCTCCAAGGGAGGAAGAGCACTCAGCTGTCCCGTTCTTTGGAAATTTCGGCTTTGTCGCATTGTTTGTGGCTCCACTGTGTACTTTCCAGCTTAAAGAGCCCTTAATGAGGGGTTTGGGGGCCAGGCCTTAATAAAGGGAAATTTCTGCTGATTAGACCCATGCAGGCCAAGCTCTGGAAAGAGACTGGTGCTTCTTGCCTGGTGCTTACCTGCCCCACCCCCCGAAAAGCCCCCAGCTTCTCCCCCAGCAGAGCACCCCGGAGAAGCCAGCAATTACTGTGTCCCCAACCCACAGGGTGGCCAGAAAAGAAACCAGGCAGCAACAGCTTGGAAAACCCTATTTTCCTTTTTTAAACTACAGTCATTTGAATTACAAAAATAATGCATGCTTGTCGCAACAAATGGAATGATACAGAAGGATCTATGGCAAAATGAATAATTTTCCTCTCCTCACATCCCACATTTACCTGATGTAACCACACTGTCGATACCCTATTTTGTCAATTCTGGGATGCACTTTTTTCCCCGCATTTTAACATCTCTGAAGTCAGGATATGTCTTGCAGTTGACAGCACGTCATAGTTTTATTGGAAGTCCTTTTTTCTTTCTTCATGGTACATAAAATCATGGCTCGACTTACCATTGGACTTAAATCTGAGGAAATCTGGTAACTTGTTTCTTTCTCTTGTTTGTTCTTTCATATACTGGCAGATACAAGTTTGGAGGGGGTTCATTTCTTTTTTTAATGGTATCATTTTATGTGTAGCCCACAGCTTTATTTTGTCACTTAGCAATGTACCATGGCCATCCTGGTGGCTCAGCAGTCATGGAATGAGAAGTGGCAGAAGCCCGTGTAGATGACAAGGACCTTGTTGCTGCCAGCCCTACTGTTTGCCAGCTGTAGGATACCCGCTATGGGCCCCATTAAGGAGTGAAAGAGCCAGGCCAGGCGCATTGGCTCAAGCCTGTAATCCCAGCACATTGGGAGGCCAAGGTGGGCAGATCACTTGGGGTCAGGAATTCCATACCAGCCTGGCCAATATGGTGAAACCCCGTCTCTACTAAAAATGCAAAAATTAGCCGGGCATGGTGGTATGCACCTGTAATCCAAGCTACTCGGGAGGCTGAGGCAGGAGAACTGCTTGAACCTGGGAGGCAGAGGTTGCAGTGGGCCAAGATGGTGCCACTACACTCCAGCCTGGGTGACAAGAGTGAAACACCGTCTCAAAAAAAAAAAAAAAAAATGGAATGAAGGAGCCAGCACATGTGCAGTGCCCAACACAGGCGGGCTCCAGGTGAATGCCCGGAGTCAGAGCTTCCCTGTGGAAGGTGTGCCACAGTAGGATGCATTGTTGCCCCCTCCCCAACCAAGCACCCCTGAGACCCAGAGCAAGGGCAGGGACTCTGAGCTCAGATTAAAAGGTCAGATGCAAAAGGTCAGCTAAAAACAGCCACACAAAAACAAGAGCAGAAGGCAAAGTCAGAAAACAGGCTCAAAGGTTAGAAGAGAAAACAGCATAGCAAACAACACAAAGCTGAAAAGCTGCTTCCTTCACCCCCAAATCAAATAACAGATATTTTTAAATATCAACAGGAGCAGATAGAGGCTTCTTACTAAGGAGAAAGTCACAGAGAGGCCAAAGTGATCTTCCAGTCCCCCTGGCTCCACCCCTGCCAGTTGCAGGAGGCCCAGGTCAGCTACATGCACCTACTGGGTGCAGCTCCTGAGCTCCCAGTCTGTAGGATTTTCTGGATAAGAATGCTGTGGATTGCTGGGCGCGGTGGCTCACACCTGTAATCCCAGCACTTTGGGATGCTGAGGTGGGCAGATCACTTGAGGCCAGGAGCTCGAGACCAGCCAGGCCTGATCAACCTGGCCAACTCTACTAAAAACACAAAAATTAGCCAGGCATGGTGGCGTGCACCTGTAGTCCCAGCTACTCAGGAGGCTGAGATACAGGAATTGCTTAAACACAGGAGGAGGTTGCAGTGAGCCGAGATTTCATCACTGCTCTCCAGCCTGTGCGACAGAGAGAGACTCCATCTCAGAGAAAAAAAAAAAAAAAAAGAATGCCGTGGACTGACATGTATTGTTCCAAGTGTTTTGCTTGACTTATTTGATTACAATATCCCTCTAGCAGTTATTATTCCCATTTTACAGATGAGGAAATTGAGGGTCATTGATACACAGTGACCTGTCCATGGGCACTGAGCCAGCTGGTTTGACCGTGAGGTCAAGGGCACTAGGACTCAGACCATGGGGTCTAGCAGAGAAACCAGTAATTGTAAGTCAGTGTAATAACAGCCAGGCTGGAGGAAGCCAGGGGGATGCAGGAGCCCAGGGGAAGCCCTGGCCTGTTGTCGGGGCTGTCAGGGGGCAACCTCAAGAGGGCCCCACGAGGGCAAGTGGAAGGCTAGCTAACAGCCAGCCAGCTGGAAAAACAGGGGACCAGGGAGGGGTGCTCTAGGCAAAGGCACCACTTGAGCAGGCACTGAGGCCACCACCAGTAGTGCAGGGCAGAAGGCACCAGGCCGGGGTGGCCAGCGCTTGGCAGGAGAGGTGGCCCGGCTAAGCCCAGGGCTGCAGGCTAAATGGTTGTAAGTTGAGGAGTGATGTGGCCAGATTGGCCCTTTAAGAGCATCCTGCAAGGACAGTGATCCTAGTGAGGATAATGGGTTGGAGGGATGAGGCTGGAGGCTAGAGGCTGGAGGCTCACGGTGCAGCTGGGGTAGGGCAGAGGCTGAGTTGAAGGCAGGTTCCCAGGAGAGCAGGGCATGGGATGGGCTGACAGGGCTTTGGGACTGATAGGAGGCAGGGAGAGGGGAGGCATGGTGAGTCACAGCAGGCAGTGAGTCCCAGCTGGTGGCATTCAGAAAGGGACAGAGATGGTGAGAAGGGAAGTAGTCAGAAAAAACCATGAATCCCATCCTGGGAAAGGGCCTGCAAATCCATTTAATGAGAGGCCAGGAGGGTTATGAACAGACACATTTGGGAACCACTGGCAAAAGGCATATGCAAGTCCTCCATAGAATGAAAGCAACCAGCCTTACCTAAAGGGGCGGGGAGCTTTCACTCATTTAGCAAACGCTGTCTGGGGGCCTACTGTGTGCCAGGCAGTGGGGATACCACACTGAACACAACAGATCTGTTCACTGCCCTGTGGAGCTTGCATTCGAGCAGGTGGAGAGAGACCATAAACAAAGACATAAATGAGTGGATCGTCAAGGAGAAAAATAAAGCAGATGAAGGGAGATGAAGAGGGTTGTTTTGAATCAGGTCAGGGAAGACTTTCCTAAGAAGGTGGCCTTTCAGCAGAGACCTGAGGGAGCCTCATGGCTGTTTGGGGCGAGGGTTTCAGACTAAGGAATGGCCAGTGCAAAGGCCCTGACATGGGGACATGCTCAGTGAGTTGGAGAAACAGCAAGGGAGAAGTGGGGTGGAGGAAAGTGAGGAGGCAGGGGTAGGAGATGAATTCAGAGAGCTGACAAGTTGGGGGCCAGGATCACGCAGGGTCTCGTGGGCCATCACAGGGACCCTGGCTTTTCCTCGAAGAATGACAGGAGCAACAGGAGCCTTGTGAGCAGAAGAGGGACTTGATTTTTGTCTGACTGTGTGTGGAAAACAGACTGTGGGGGGTGAGGTGAGAGGAAGGAGAGCAGGAAGGAGGCTACTGCAATGAGTGTGGTGAGAGAGGATGGTGGCTGGGACCAGGGTGGAGACTGGAGGTGGAGAAAGAGGGTCACATTCAGGATAGCTTCAGAGGTAGAGCAGACAGGATTTGCAAGGAGGTATTTAATGAGATAATTTTTATTTTAGAATTGAAGAGTTGGGTTGACCCCAGAACCTAGCGCATTGTCTAGAACCTGGTAGAACCTGGTAAGCACACAGTAAATATTGAACCACGGAAGGAAGGAAGGAAAGGAAGGAAGGAAGGAAAGAAGGAAGGAAGGAAGGAAGGAACGAAGGAAGGAAGGAAGGAAGGAAGGAAGGAAGGAAGGAAGGAATTTGTAGGGTGGTGGATGGATGGATGGATAGGTGGGTGAAGAGATGAATGGGTGGGTGGATGGGCACATGGATGGATGGATGGGTGGATGGATGGATCGATTTGTGGGTGAGTGAATGGATGGATGGATGGATGGATGGATTTGTGAGTGAATGAATAGATAGGTGGGTGGGTGGATGGATGCATGCATGGATGGATGGATGGATGGATGGATGGATGGATGGATGGATAGGTGGATGAGTGGATGGATGGATGGATGGATAGATGGGTGGATGGATAGATGGGTGGGTAGATGGATGGATGCATGGATAGGTGGGTGGGTGGGAGGATGGATGGATGGATGGGTGGATGGATGGATGGATGGCTGGATGGATGGATAGATGGATAGGTGGATGGTTTGGTGGAGGAGTGGAGAGAGAGATGGATGAATGAGTGAGTAGATGGGTGGACAAAAGGATGGAGGGACAGAAGAATAAGTGGATGGATGGGCAGGAAGATATGTATATGGGTGAATGGATGAATGGGTAGAAGCAAAAAGATAGTGAGGCAGAGAGAGAAGAAAACAAGTGGACTTCGATTGCCAGAATAAGTAGAAAATTTTACTCAGAGGCAGTGGGAGCCATTGCAGGTTATTGTACAGGGACATGACAGGATGCGAGTACTGTTGGAGGCACTTTCAGATAGTGGCTTTCAGTGGTGCCTGGCACCATGGCCCAAGCTCGTGATTCCCATGAACATTAACGGCCAATTCTCTCTGTTTCCTTTCCCGCTGTCTAACCCCTCATCCTCATTCATTTATTCATTCGCAAGTTTTCATTGAGTACTTACTCTGAGCTGAGGGCACTGGGGACATGATGTGAATAAACCAGACACAGTCCCTGCCTGTAGGACACATTCTTCAACCCCCATCAGGGCTGTGGAACTAAAGACTCACAGGCCTTTGTGGCCCACTGGCTTCATGCTGAGAATTGATGAGTTGCTCTCTGCCCTTGCCAGTGACCTTGACTTCCCACAGCCTCAGTGGAGATCCTAAGGTAAGCCAGGCAGGACCTGACAACTGGACTCATGACCCTGGTAACCCCTAGCATCCTCCTTCTAGCACAGGGCTTTCTTGTTTGGGGTTTTTGTTCTTTGGTCTCATCTGGGGATTTGTTTTGGGGTGTATATCTGTGTTTGTCTGTGTGTGTGTGTCTCTCTGTATGTGCATGTCTGTGTGTGTGTGCGCACACACATGCTTGTGGGGAGAGGCTGTGCTAGGAATGTGTAAAGGAAAGGAAGGGACCAGCATGTTTCAGGCTCAGTACATATTATTTGTTCCTGTAGCAAACATTTCTTGAATGCTTGCTACATGCTGGGTACATTTGAGGCAGTGGGTACATAGTGGTAAACAAGACAGAGGAGTTCTCATTAATAACTAAGATTAATAATTCTGGCTGGGGCTGGGCGCAATGGCTCACGCCTGTAATCCCAGCACTTTGGGAGGCCAAGGCAGGCAGATCACTTGAGGTCAGGAGTTCGAGACCAGCCTGGCCTACATTTAGTAGAGATGAAACCCCATCTCTACTAAAAATACAAAAATTAGCTGGGTGTGGTGGCTCGCACCTGTAGTCCCAGCTACTCAGGAGGCTGAGGCAGGAGAATTGCTTGAACCCAGGAGGTGGAGGTCACAGTGAGCCAAGATCATGCCACTGCACTCCAGCCTGGGCGACAGAGTGAGACTCTATCATCATCATCATCACCATCATCATCATAACAATAATTCCAGCTGGGGTGATTATTATAAAGAAAATTAGTGAGAATCGAAGGGGCTCCCTGCCACTAGCGTGGTCAGGGAGGACCTTGCTAGTAGGTGATGTTCAAGATGCCACCATCTGGGGAAGAGCAGTCCCAGCAAAGGAGTCAGCCAGTGCGAAGATCCTGAGGTGAGAACATACTGGGCACGTTTAAAGACTCCAGCTGTTGTGACTGCAGCAAAATGTGTGAAGGGGAGAGAGGTAGATGATGTGGAAGAAGTAGAGAGGGGCCTGATCTTTTGGTGCTTTGTAGATCACCCTGTGGAATTTGGGGCTGATCCTGACATAGGAGCATCTTATGCAGGGCTGAGACACACACACACACACACACACACACACACACACACGCACGCACACACACCTGGCTGCTGTTTGAAAAACAGATTGTCATCTCATTAAATCCCTGCAACAGTTCTAGGCACTTGATGGTGAAATCCCCATTCTACAGACAGAGAAACTGAGTCGCTCAGCTAGTGGGTGGCAAAGCAAGGTTAGTTTGACCAAATCTTATGCTCGATGAGCGGGCACCCACAAAGCCTCCTGGGCAGCAGAATGATGTTGTATGAGTGCGATGGAAGCATGCTGACCTGGCCACTGGCTGAGGGGAGATGCCTGAGTCCCGGCACCTGACTTGGGTGCCTCCATGCCCACTTGTGGCCTCCTGTCCTCACTTACCACCCCTCGGCCCCATGTCGCAATGGCGCTGGCTGAGTTTCATGATGCCCTGGCCCCCACATCCGCTCAGGGCCATTGTGGGGTGGGTGCTCAGAGCATGGATCTCACAGGGTTCTGGCACACAGCACCCTCCCAGAGCAACCCTTCCTGACTCCCAAGAGCACAGTCTTTACTCAGGGACAGCCCTGAGCCAGAGCCAGGAAGCCCCAACCTGAGCCGGGAAGGCAGGCCTGAGCCAGAGCCAGGAAGCCCCCACCGCACAAAACATCCAGACCTCAGACCCCAGGCTTTGCGATTCTCTGCAGAGGTGAGTAGGCAGATGGACAGGCTCTCTCCCCACTCCACTCCCGCGTCACCACCCCCTTCTCTGGAGAAAATCTGGCAGTGAGCAGAGTAAATTTGGTGTCTTTGCTCTGATTCACAGGGGCCTGCTTTAGAAAGCTCCATACGGAGGCAGGGAGAAGCGGAGGGAGCGGGCGCAGGAGAGGAGCCTGCTGCGGGACTGCCAAGGCGAGAGGAGGCTGTGCCTGGGTGTGCCCTGGCTTGCCCTGAGCTCCCGCAATCCCCCACCTCCTTTTCCAATCCCTCTGCTCACCCTTTGTTCCTTCCTGTGCCCTCGCCCAGCACAGAGCTCAGGGGCAAAGCTCCCAGCCCTGTCACCCACCAGCTCGGCAACCTCACCTCTCTGAGCCTCAGTTTCCACAGCTGTAAAATAGGGATAATAAACCTTCCCGACAGGACTTCAATGAGAAAACCACAGAAGGAAGGCACCCTTGGTGCCTAGCACATAGTAAGTGCTGATTTTAAAAAGCAGGTGCCACTCTTCTGGTGGTGGTGATGACTTTGGCTACTGGCCTCCTGAAGACCCCCTCACCTCTTGTCCCCTGCCCCTTGCCTCTGTCTCCCTCCTCTCACACCCCTTCCTGAAGGCACACAAGACCCAGACTGAGCCCTCAACCAGCCCCTTTCACAGAGGGGGTCTGCGTCAGGTCAGCTTAAGGCCTGTCAGTGCCAGGCACTGTGCCCAGGGCCTTCTTATTCTCACTTTTCCAGTGCAAAGGAAACAGCTTCAGCCCATTTCACAGCTGAGGAAACTGAGGCTCAGCACTGTGAAGGAATCTGCGCAGACGTGAGCTGGTACCCAGATGCAGAACTAAGTAGGACACAGACTCATTGCTTCTCCTTCAGGGGATTCTTCCCTGGCTGATGGTTGAGGTTGTATTATATCATGGGCCTCTGGTGTGTAAGATTTCTTTCTGCATCTGGAGGCAATGTACTGGTGCACTGCGCAATTCAGCTACAGCCTCAGAGTTACGGCTCAACCCCCAGGGCCATGGGGGCCCTGCAGGATGTGAGGCAGGGCAGGGACAGGGCTGGGACGTGCAGAGACCAGCCCACTGGCAAGTGGAGTGAAAACGCAGCATGGGAAGCCTGGGGACAGGCCGTGAGGAACTCATACAGGCAGAGGGGTGGTGGCAGCAGCAGGTGGGTCATGGAGAGCTCAAAATGCCACAGAGACCCCCGCGGCCAGCAGTGAGGTGGCTGTGGGGGTACGGGGAGACACTGAGGGCATCCCCAGGATCCTCACCTGCATGCAGACCCCTCAGCCTGTCCCTTCTAGAATCTCACCCGAGGAGCCTGTGCCCACGGGAGAGGCAGACAGTGGCCAGCAGGGAGGGGGCTGTGTGTTCACCCCTCAGTGAGCTCTTTAGGATCTGCCCCCAAGGTGTTCAGGTCACTCTCTCCTGCCCTGGAAGTCTCTGGTCCCTGGAGATGCCTCCAGAGTTTCCAGGAACTCAGTTTTTCTGCACCCCTCCTGGACTCATCCCCAGGGACCTTGGGAAACCCAAAGCCAGGGCCAGCACCATCACGATGCTTCAGACCTTAGACAGCACCCCGCCAATGCTGCCTGTCACAGCAGAGATGGACTCAGAGAGGCCTAGTCGTTGCTCAAGGTCACAAAGCAAGCAGGTGGCAGAGAAATGGAGCCTGGGCTTGTGACTCACTCCCCAGGGGGCATCTTTCTTTGTTCTTCCATGAATCCCTCGAGGGGAGACCCCTTTATCCCTGGACCGCCTTGATCCCTGGGCCTCTGGGTGCCCGGCCCTGTGCCGGGGGCTGACGCCAATGCACCGGCCCCCAAGTCCTTCCGTGGGTGGCTCCAGCATCTGTCTGGACTGGAGAGGGCCAGTCCCACAGTTTCTTTTTGGAAGTTTTTTCCGGAAGGCGTTTGGAGGCCAGCCAGTGGGTCTTTTCCATCACCATGGAAATTTCCTACCATAGAATTATTAAAACCTCCCGTGGCCCTTCTCCCACCTCACTTTGTTTTGAAAAACATCTCCTTGGTGGCCAGGCAGGGGACAGAGCAGCTGAGATCCTAGAATTAAGCCCGCAGAGAATTCCCCAGTAAGAGGCTTCCAGGTAGATCGCTCATCAGACTCAGGATATTCTGGTTTGGAAATCCAGGCTGCCCCTCAGGAAGGGATTCCAGCCACTCAGGGCCAGGAGCCAGGATTGCCTTCTGCTCTCAGTGCTCGGGGTGGTGTCGGCACAGACCAGGCCAGGGCCTTGCCCATTGTTGCCATTCAAAAAATGTGGATTAGTTGTTAGATAGGTAGGGACACAGGTAGGTTGACAGGAAGGAAGGATTGGAGGGAAGGCGAAATAAGACAGGTTCCCTTAGGAGTCCTCCCTGCCCTGGGACCTACGCCAGTCATTAACTCCTCTGCTGTACAGCCTCGTCATCTGTAAAATGGGGACTGTCACACCTATCCTACCAGTTGGCCTGAAATAAGAAGCAATGTGTGTGCAGGGTCTGACTCCAGAAATGGCAGCAGTTTTGTCGGCCCCGACATTACCCTCACCAGGGAGAGAAGGTAGGATAGATGACACGTGAGTGAGGGAGATGGACCTGAATCCACCTCTGGGAATCCTAACCCTGCCCCTATGAGCTGTGTCACGTTGGGTAAGCGACTTCACCTCTCTGGGCCTCAGTTTCCTCATCCATGAAATGGGTAGAAAATACAGTGCCTGCTGCACGGGTTGGTTGTCAGGGTCCAGTGGGAGGAAGCATTGCTTCCCCGAGTGCAAATCCCCTTGTTCTGACCTGGATGGGCAGGGCCCTCATGCACAGGCATGTTCAACAGGGCTGGGAGCGGTGGCAGGCCTGGGATGGCAGACGGAGGCCTTTCCTTCACTGCAGAGGGATATATCCTTCTTCAGTTTAGGCTCCTGTGGGTGAGCAGAATTCAGACTTCCTCACTCTCAGTCAGAAGGCTCAGGTGGGGCCCAGCTGAGAAGGCAGCTGTGACTGGCGAGGCCTCAGGGGGGAGACCTGGCACTGGTGGGGCCTGAGCCAGAGGTGCCCCAGGGACACACAGGTCAGGGAGACCACCTGTGCTGGCCACCATGCTCTAGGGTTCCAGCCTTGGGGCAGCTTGACCCTAGCCATGGCACTGCCCTCTCTCCCCTTCTCCTCACCATCAGCCTGGCCAGGAAAGGGCTGCCTTAGGCCATTGCTCACACACCCAGGTGAGGCATGGAGGGATGGCCCAAAGGTGGCAATTGAGGCAGCAGGGGCCCAGGATCAGTTGGCTGAGTAGAGCAGACAGTGACAGAGGTGTGCTGTGGAGAGCAGTTAGGGTGTGGCCTCTGGAGTGTGGTAGAGCTGGGTGCCAGTGCTGGTGCTCTGCTGCCCTCACCATGTGGCCTGGCAAGCAGCTGAAGCTTCAGGCTTCTTATCAGTAAAATGGGGGCAACAGTAAAGCCCACCCCCAGGCTGGCTATGAGGATGCCATGAGACAGAGCACGTAAATGCAGCCCAGGGCCTGCGCTCACTCATCCACTCAACTAGACATTAAGCACCTACCGCGCACCAACACTGAGCTGGGCAGTGGGATTTTACAGCAAATGAAAGCAGTCTAGGGGGACTAACGTGTCCAGGTTTGTCTGGGACATTCCTGATTTTAACACTGAAAGTCCCACATCCCAGGACACCCCTCAGTCCGAGGCAAACCAGGACAGTTGGTCATCCTAACACAATCTCTGCCCTCATGGATTTACAGTTTAGTGGAGGGACATAGACAATAAGTAAATATATAACATCATAGTGGGTGTAAGTGTTATTTTTTAGAATATAGCAGAGGTGGGACATGGTGGCTCACACCTGTAATCCCAGCACTTTGGGAGGCCAAGGCGGGAGGATCACCTGAGGTCAGGAGTTTGAGACTAGCCTGGCCAACATGGTGAAACCCCATCTCTACTGAAAATACAAAAATTAGCTGGGCGTGGTGGCGGGCGCCTGTAATCCCAGCTACTCAGGAGGCTGAGGCAGGAGAATCACTTGAACCCAGGAGGTGGAGGTTGCAGTGGGCAGAGATTGTGCCATTGCACTCTAGCCTAGGTAACGGAGCGAGACTGTGTCTCAAAAAAATAAAATAAAATAATAAAATAAAATAGAATATAGCAGAGTCAGCGGGAAGAGCGTGATGACAAGGCATCTTATTTTTGATGGGGTGTTCAGGGCAGGGCTCTCTGAGGAGGTGCCATTTGAGCGGGCACTGCCTGAGGTGGGGGACTGAAACGTGCAGACATCTGGGGGAAGAGCACTCCATGCAGAGGAAACAGGGCAGGCAGAAGCCCTGAGGTGGAGTATGCTGGTGTGCCGCAGAAACAGAAAAAGAGAGGGGGTGGGGTGAGGGAGGATCAGCCAGTTGGATTCATTGGGACTACCTTTAGAAGCAAGTGATATAAATACCAACTCAAGTTAGCTTATAGCAAAAAAGATGCATTGGCTCACCTAACAGAAAAAAATTGGGATTGTTGGCTTCAGGTATGGCTGGATCCTAGTGCTCAAATGAAGTCTTTCCATTTCCCAGCTCTGCTTGCCTCTGTGTTATCTTCATTCTCAGGAATGTCCTGGTAGCCCCAGGCAGACTTCCTACCAGTGTGTAACTGAACAAAAAGAGAGGGTCTGCTCTGAGACTAGGTGGCAGGCGGGATGAACTGAGATCTGGTGCGGGTGGAGCAGATAGTGGTGTGAGATAAAGAGAGGGAGGGGTGACGGGGCCCTCTGGCCCTGGCCTTGCAGACCCCACTGAGGACTTTAGCTCTGCATGTACTGGAAGCCACTGGGAGGTTTTAAGCAGGACAATGATGTGATCCAATTTATGTTTTAGGAAGATCATTCTGGTTGCCATGTGCAGAAGGGGTTGTAGTGGGGAGGGGTCCTCAAGGGCTTGGCGAGGAGGCTAATGCAGTAGGCCTTGCGGGCACTGATGGCAGAAGGGGAAATGGCGAGAACAAGATGGACTTGGGAGGAACCTAGGAGAAAGTCTGGACCAAGCTAGGGGTCTAGGCTGGGGCTGCGGGTGCTGACAAAAGCTTGACAGGGTCTTGGGCCTGAAGGAACTGGCATATGACAGGGAGTTCTGTCCAGGAACAAGGCAGGAACTAGTCCCACATAGGCGCGGGGCAGTTCTCAAAGCCTGTGTGCTTCAGAAGAGACACTCAGGTCTCCCTGTACCATTCTGGGGATGTGTCCCTGCCCAGATCTGGCAGCTTATGGAGAGAAGACTGAGGCCCAGATACCCCAGGAGGGTTTGGCTGTATTTGGGAGTGTGGCTGGGATCAAGGTCAAGGTCATTTATGGAGCGCCTATTTGGTGCTCGACACTTTCATATGCATCATCTTTTCTAATCCAGCAACGCTGTCGGTCGGTGTTGTTAGCCTCATTTTACTGATGAGGAAACTGATTCTGAGAGAGGGCCTGCCTGGGCATTTGTTACATAATAAGTTCTCAGAAAACCCAAAATTTATAGAAAGTGAATACACCCTTCCCCCTGGAGAACGTTATAGTTCCAAGGGATCTGAGAACCTTCACCTTGGGAAGCAAATTAGTGAGGCAGGGTCTCACTCTGTCACCCAGGCTCTGGAGTGCAATGGCACAATCATGGCTCACTATAGCCTGAAACTCCTTGGGCTCAAGCAATCCTCCCATCTCAGCCTCCCGAGTAGCTGGGACTACAGGCATGCACCACCACGCCTGGCTAATTTTTGTAATTTTTGTATTGAGAGACAAGATTTTGTCATGTTGCCCAGGCTGGTCTCAAATTCCTGGGCTCAAGCAATCACCTTGGCCTCCTAAAGTGCTGAGATTACAGGCATGAGCCACCAAGCCCAGCCAGAATTAGGCTTTTTATTCAATGCAAATTAGCCTTTCCTCCCTCTCTCTCTTCCTTTCCTCCTTGAACTACTTGCAGATAATCTATTATGTGCTAGACACTGCTAGGCCCTAGGAATACAGTAGTGATGAAAACGTAGACACAGGCCTTAGTGAAAGGAGACAGACAGTAAGTATATATATAATATGCATAATAGCTATAACTGTTATTTTTTAAATTATTGCAGAGTCTGGGCCTAGGAGGTGGTGATAAGGGTTCTTATCTAGTCAGTGATCTAAAATCAAACAATCCAACAGTCACACAAACATGTTTAAAATACAACCAGGATGAGTGTGATTTCGTAAGTAAATCAGAGAAGGCCTCCCAGAGAAGTTGGGATTAAGCTGAGAACAGGAGGAAGAGTAGGAGTTTACTAGGTGATGATAGGGAGGGAACAGCATTCTAGGCAGAAGGAACAGAACAGACAAAGGCCATGTGGTGGGGGACAAGCAGAGGAAATGAGAGAATGGGGTTCTTGGGGGCTGAAGGAGCAAGGCCAGGCCACCCAGTGCTTTGAAGATCACATGTGGGAGTGTTTTCTTTATCCCAAAAGCAAAGTGGGCAGGAGGATGCTGTGATGTGATCAGCACTGCTTTTCCAAGTGGCAGCAGAGAGGCCAGTGTATTAGTCTGTTTCCACACTGATATAAAGAACTATCTGCAACTGGGTAATTTTATTTTTAAAAAGAGGTTTAATTGACTCACAGTTCCTCTTGGCTGGGGAGGCCTCAGGAAACTTACAATCAGGGTGGAAGGCAAAGGGGAAGCAAGGCACATCTTACATGGTGGCAGAAGAGAGAGAGCGCCCAAAGGGGGAAGTGCCACTTTTAAACCATGAGATCTTGTGAGAACTCACTCACTATCATGAGAATAGCATGGAGAAAACCACCCCCATGATCCAGTCACCTCCCACCAGGTTACACATGGGAATTACAATTCAAGATGAGATTTGGATGGGGACACAGAGCCAAACCACATCAGCCAGTTAGAGGCCACAGCAGTCACCTAGGCAAGAGATGAGAAGAACTAGGACAAGGACATGGGCTGTGCAGGGAAATTATGGGTTTCAAGAAATGTAGGAAGGAGGAAAATGAATAGGACTTTGATGATGGAGAAGAAAGAGGCAGGGGTGGCTGCTGGATTCTATGCTGACCACCTGGAGAGAAGATGAGGCCTTTGGTGGCAACAGCAAATCCCAGGGGAGCAGGAGGTTGGATGGGAAAGCTTAGAGGTTGAATTTCAGATACGTTGAGTCTAAATCCCTACCTCACACCACACACAAAATTTAATGGAGACAGAAGACATAGGGGAAAGCTTCATGACACTGAATATAGCAATGATTTATTGGCTATGACACCAAAAGCACAGACAACAAAAGAAAAAGTAGATAAATTGGACTTCATCAAAGTTAAAAACTTTAATGCATCAAAAGATACTATCAACAGAGTACAAAGACAACCCATGGAATGAGAAGAAATATCTTCAAATTACATATATGATAAAGATTAATATCCAGAATATGTCGAGAACTCCTACAACTCAACAACAAAAAGACAACCCAGTTCAAAGATGGGCAAAGGACTTGACTTGACATTTCTGAAAAGAAGATACACAAATGGCCAATAAGCATGCGAAAAATGCTCAGCACCACTAGTTATTAGAGAAATGTAAATCACAGGGAAATGCCAGTTCACACCAATTAGGATGGCTATCACCAAAAAACAGAAAATAGGTATTGGCCAGAACGTGGGGAAATTAGAACACTCTTGCATTCTAGTAGGACTGTAAAATGGTGCGGCTGCTGTGGAAAAGCATATAGTGGTCCCTCAAAAAAATCAAACAGAATTATTCCACGATCCAGCAATTCCACTACTGGGTAGATACCCAAAAAATTGAAAGCAAGGACTCAGATATTTGTTCACCCATGCTCATAACAGCATTCTTTGGAATAACTAAAATGAGGGAACAATCGAAGTGTCCATGAATGGATCAACTGATAAATCAAATGTAGTCTGTTCATACAATGCAATATTACTCAGCCATAAAAAGGAAGGAAGCTCTGAGCCATGCTACAACATGGATGAAACTTGAGATGCTAAGTGAAATAAGCCAGCCATAAAGGGACAAATACTGTTATGATTCCACTTATATGAGGTCGCTACAGTAGTCAAACTCATAGAAACAGAAAATGGAATGGTGCATGTGCCAGTGGATGGGAAAGGAAAAGGGAGTTGGTGTTGGATGGGGACAGAACTTCAGTTTGGGAAGAGGAAAACGTTCTGAGATGGGTTGTGGAGATGGTTGTGCAACAATGAGGATGCACTTAATGTCACTGAACTGTGCACTTAAAAATGGCTAGAATGGTAAATCCCATGTTATGTAGACTTAACCACAAAAAAGAGAAACGTAGATGAAAAAATTAAATTGAGAATGCTCATAGACCTACTTGTAAAAGCTACAGCTATGAAACTTCCAGAGCGAACGCAGAAGAGCATCTTCCCCATCTAGAAGTAGGGAATGATTTTTCAGAGAAAACACACACACACAAAAGCACCAATCTTAAGAGGGAAAGCTGAAACACTGGGCTTGAGATCTGTTGAAGCTGAAGTGTGGGGACAACTAGCAGGAGAGGCCAGGCAGGACACTGGTGTCTGCTGCATGGTGAGGCCTGGCCTGGAGGAAGCCACACATTAGGCTCCTTATTTCAGCTAACATTTCAAGCCAAAATCTGCATTTGGAGCCTACCTCAGGTCACCTTCTTATGACCTACCAGACTAGACTAAGTGACTTTGAGTGGCTTCTAGAATGCTCTAGCTGCAGATGCCCAAGCAGATGAGCCTCTGAGTACTTCCCTAGGTGCCTGTTCTGCTAAGACCCAGCACCCCCAGGGTGTGGCATAGACCCTCCATCTGCTTCCTCACTGGCGAGGCTTAGGGCTCATCTGCATTAGCTGCTCTCTGCCCAGCTCTGTCATACCTTCACCCCCTTCCTCAGGGCTAATGAAGGAGGCAGAAAAAATTTAATTTCCTCTAAACTAGAGGCTGATCAATTATGGTTAAAGGAACTTGGTGTCTGGAATAATTAGCTTTGCGTTTGCTTGGGAAAGAGCACCATCCACATCCTTTCTCCCTCCCGCCAAGCTGGCATGGAGGGGAGTTACTGACTACAGGATCCTGTGCCATGCAGCCACAGAAAAGCTGTGGAGACTCACAGTGAGGGGTGATTCTCTAGTGCTTTACCTTACTGGGGGTCTCCAAGCATGGGGCCCCAGCCTTGACCCTTGCTCTCTCTAACCATCCCCACGCACCCGTTGTTCCCATGCTTTCTGGGTCTGCCATCTTGGTGCTATTTCTACACGGCCTTTATTGAAAAGCAGAGAGTTGACTTGGTCCTACTAGGCCTTGATTTTGAGTCCTTGTGGGGTGAGGGCTTCAGGGATTCCTTTGAGAAGCTAGTGAGAGCCAAAGGCTTCCTCCCCAGAAAAACACAACCTCTTACAAAGAATGTTGGTAGGTTCATGGCCCCTTCTGAAGCTCTCCACGGCTTCAGCTAAAGATGGCCTGATCTGGGGCAACCTGTCATAATGCCAAGGCCCTGCAAATGCTTCCCAGTTTCACCAGCTGGTTATCTTTTGGGGGTGATATGATTATGCGAATTTTGCAGACAGAGAAACTTGCTTAGCGGGGTAACTCATGCTTCCTGCCTGGTCCCTAAAGGAGTAACTGGACCTATAAACCAGGAATTCTCAAACTCACCTTCTCCTCCTGTGCAGTCTGGAATCCCCATCTCCCTACACCTGGCTGATCTGAGTGGGAGGATGGGGTTATAAAGTAGTGGTCGAAGACCCTGACCCCCTAACCAGAGAAGCAGCCCCTGGAGGACAGAGCTTTTGTCTGAATCACCTTCAAGTCCCCAGCATCCAACTCAAGGCTCAGAATCAACCGACTGCAGGGCCAAGTAGGAGACAGCATGAGGCATTGCAGACGGGGAAGGGGGCTTTGGCTTTGGCAGCAGAAACGCACTTAGACATCAGCTCTGTCCACCCTGGCTCTGTCCTCTGAGCCTTTCTTTCTGAGTCTCAGTTTCCCTGTCTATAAAATGGGAACTGCAGAACTCCTCTAACAGGGTTAGGCCTATAAAAGCCTAGGCAGGCATGTGTAGTGATCCCTCATCACAAAGATGAAGAAACTGAGTCCCAGAGCAAGGCAGTGACCTGTCTAAGGCCATGTGGCAAGTAGTAGAGCTGGAATCAGAGCACAGATCTGCCTAACCCCAATCCGTGCCCATGACCAAATGTGTGGTGCCCAACACATAGTAGGTGCTCAATAAATCATCCAGTTGTCCCTCTCCCCTTACCTGTTCCCCAGCCAGAGAGGCATTCTGCAGGAGCCTGCAGGTGGTAACATTAAACAAGACAGAGCAATAGTAGCCCAGAGGGTGGGGGAGCTCTGACATGACCCCTGCAGGACAAGTCCCCCACCTCCCCCATGTGCTACTTGATTTCCTACACAATAAAGTCTCTTGTCATGAGCGCAGAGCAGTAGTGAAGAAAGATGAACTTGATTGCTCTTTTTCTTGCTTTTGTCTCTTCATTTTTTCCTCCTCCTACTGCAGTGGCAGGTGGGAGGCTCAGCAAATGTTCAGTGTGGCCACCCCTCGTGCTGACGCCCGCTCACCTCCTCCCTCTCTTAACCGTCCTTCCTCTGAGTCTGTTCAGTGCAGAAGCCCAGGCTGAAACTGGAAGTGGTTAATTCGGACATTCTCAGCCCAAGCTGTGATGATACGTTTCAGACGTGGGGTGGTGACATGGGGACACTGAATGCATGAGGGTTCACCATGAGCCATGGACATGCTGGGCCAGGGACACAGAGACAGGTCAGCCCGCTCCCCACAAGGGGCTCCCAGAAAGACAGTGATAGTGTAGTGTGTCCAGAAGGCCATGGAAAGTCTGCCCAGGAGGTTAGAGAAAGCTTCACTGGCCAGCACTTTAGAAAAGCATTTGCCTTTGCCCATGGGAGGGCATTTATGGCAGGGGAACTGCCTGGGCAAAAGCCTGGAAGTGTGGAACCTTACAAGGTGCTTATTATGGCAGGAGGGAAGGTTACAAGGAACGGGTGGAAGGATATGAGCCTGAAGAAGCAGGCAGGCGTGTGTGTCAGGCTAAGGATTTTGAACCTTGTTCTGAGGGCAGTGGGAGCCAAGCAAGGCACCTAGTCAGGTCTGCCAGGGTGGCTGCGTGGCTCCGGTCTCCTCCTCTACCTGACCTCTAATGGCTGGGGCTGGGCTCTGAGTCTTTTCCCTTCTCTGGCTGAGCTATGTCCCTCGATGATCTCATCCCATCCCATGGCTTTAAATACCATCTTTAAGCTGCTGATTTCCATATTTATATCTGTAGTCAGGGCCTCTCTTCTGAGCTCCCAACTCATGCATCCAACTGCCCACTTGGCATCTCTACTTGGACGTCTCACAAGCATCTCAAAGTTAACAAGTCCAAAACAGGATTCTTCATCATGCCTACCCAACCTTCTCCACCCACCCCCAAAAGCCTGCTCCCTTCCCCGACCCACTGCAGTAAATGGTGCCACCATCCACTCGCCCTCTTCCTAATGGCATAGCTCAGGTTATCAGCCTACTGGTTCCACTTCCTAACCCACCCACCCACACCTCTCCAACACCACTGCTGCCCCTGCAGGCAAGACCTGTCCCTACCCACCTGGATGACACAGTAGCCACCTCACTTCCTCCCTGCTCTCAATCTCACCCTGCCAGTCCATTCTCCAATGCATGACAGATCCGTGAAAAAGGGAAAAGTACGTTAATCTATCACCTAAAATTCTTTAGAGGCATCTCTCACTACCTGGAATAAAATCCAAGTTCCCAGCGGCTTCAAAGCCTGGTGTGATCTGGCCCTTATGCTTCTCTGAACTCACTTTGCCTGATTCTCTCTCATCACAAGCCCCAGCCACGTGGCCTTCTTTGAGTTACTAAAAGCATGTCTTGCCCCTTCCCACCTCCAGGGTCTTTGCCTATGCCGTTCACTCTGCCTGGAACATACTGCCCCAGCTCTTTGCACATCCCCCTGGCAAAACAGATGCCTGGACAGTCTCAGTCATAATGCCTTATTCTCTTCATAGCACTTTTTTTGTGTGACAGAGCCTCATTCTGTCACCCAGGCTGGAGTGCAGTGGTGCAATCTTGGCTCACTGCCAACTTGCCTCCTGGGTTCAAGTGATTCTCGTGCCTCAGCCTCCTGAGTAGCTGGGATTACAGGTGTACACCGCCGCACACAGCTGATTTTTGTATTTTTAATAGAGACAGGGTTTCACCATGTTGGCCAGGCTGGTCTCAAACTCCTGGCCTCAAGTGATCCACCTGCCTCCGCCTCCCAAAGTGCTGGGATTACAGGCATGAGCCGCCACACCTGGCCTGCTCTTCATAGCACTTTTCAGTCTGTCTTCCCTAACAGAAGCAAGTGCAGAGGCAAGTACAGTATGCTTGGCATACAGTAGGTGCTCATTAAATGACTGTGGAGTGAACAAATCAGAGAATAAGAGAAGGGGACCTAGAAGTAGGAGATTGGGCAAGAGAGAGTGAGACCTGAAAGGACAATGCAAATAGAGGAAAGGAACCAGCATCAGGCCAGATGTCTGGATTTAATCTTAGGGGCACTGGGGAGCCACAGAAGGTTCCTGAGCAGAGACACAGACATGGAGATGATCATTAGTACAGGGAAGGCTGTATGCCTGGTGGTCATGTAAATGGGCTCTGAAATCAGACAGGCTTAGATCAGATCTTGGTTCAACAACTTACCAACATGGGTCCTCAGTTTCCTCCTTTGTAAAATGGGACCTGCTGAAGATCCTACAACTGGGGCTACTGAGATGATAAATGAGGCAGTGCACATCAAGTTCTTGTGAAATAAACATTAGCCGACACTGCTACTGTAGGGTTGTCACTTAAGCAACTTATGTGTGTCTGACATTGCACTTGGTGCTGGGGATACCCGGGGAACCTGAACCAACCCCTGCTCACAGTCTGGTGGGAGATGTTTACCTGTCTGTAGTTCCCCAGGATCCACTGTACAGAAGGTAGAAACCAGGCAGAGAATTAATTCTGGGAGAATCAGGGGAGGCCTCCCAGAAGTGACATTGGATTTCGGGGAGACAGTTTCCTTGAGAGAATATTTTGAGTCAGCAGCCACTGGCCCGTGAACAAGAGAAGAGCGGTGTGTTTTGGCTGCTCAGCTCTCAAAATAACCCGAATCCGAGGGCGGACAGCCCCGCAAGCCTCAGGAGCTATGCCATTTCAGGCCAGGTTCCTGCGACCTTGGAACAGTCCTTGCCCTGCCCCGCAGCGTCCCCCCAGCAAGAGGTCTGGGCAGTCAGTGCAGGCACCACAGAGACAGGCCCTCTCTCCCCTGGCACATGGGTCACTGGGCTCTCCTGAGACCCAACTCATCTTTGCATTTGGGCTTCTGAACCAGTGCCTTGACCAAAGACCAGCAGGTGGCAAGAGGGCAGGCTCAGAGCTTGGCCACTGCCCTCACTCTTTCCTCCGGGCCTCCCGGCTCCCATCTTCCTGCTTCGGTCTCTGTGTCTTGGCTTCAGTTCCTCTGTGTCTTCCTCTGTCTCTGCGTCCCTCCCTCTCCCTCCCTTCTTAGGTCTTGATGTATCTCTTTTTTTTTTTTTTTTTTTTTGAGACGGAGTCTCGCTCTGTGGCCCAGGCGGGAGTGCAGTGGCGCAATCTCGGCTCACTCCAAGTTCCGCCTCCCGGGTTCACGCCATTCTCCTGCCTCAGCCTCCCGAGTAGCTGGGACTACAGGCGCCCGCCACCACACCCGGCTAATTTTTTTGTATTTTTAGTAGAGACGGGGTTTCACCGTGTTCGCCAGGATGGTCTCGATCTCCTGACCTCGTTATCCGCCCGCCTCGGCCTCCCAAAGTGCTGGGATTAGTATCTATTTTTTTAAAAGAAAATTATTATTAATTTTTTTAAATTAATGAATCATAATTGTATACATTTATGGGGGACAATATGATGCTTTGATGTATACAGACACACACAATGTGGCATGATCAAATCACACTAATTAACATATTCGTCACCTTCCTTGCCTATCATTTTTTATGGTAATATCGATTTCTCTTTTGAAGTCAGTCTCTGTTTCTCTCCCCTCTCCCTCTTCCGCCTCCTTTCCTCCCTCCCTCTCCTCCCACTCCTAGCCTCTCAAGTTCCTCTCTGCCTGACTGTGTCTTTCCTTTCTCTTTCCCCTCCTCCCGTACCCTCCCTCTGCTCAACTCCCTCCAGTAAGAGGCTTCCTAGAACACACACACACACATCTGCACATGCACACGCACGCACACGTGCACGCACACAAACACACACACACACACACACACACACACACACACAGGTTTCCTGAACCCCTTTTAAAACCAAAGTCCAAGCTGTAGACTCCCGTGGCCTGGAACACAGGGAAGAGGGTGGGATTGGCCCGAAGGGGTGTGTGCTGAGGCTAATGGCAGGGAGGGGGTCTCCTGCACCCTGGCCTTCACCCGCACCCTCACAGCCGCGCGCTGGAGACACTGTGCTGGGGGCAGGGAGGAGGCTTCTGAGCGGGTTCCCTGCTGCGTGTGGCTGCTGTGCTTCCCGGGCAAGTTGGACTGGGCAGGTCGGACTGCGGATCGGGTTATTGGGCCCATTCAGCAGAATTATAAATAGCAGCTTGTGCCTGGCCTGGCCCAGAGAACAACCAGGGCTGCCGCAGGGCCCCCCAGGCCCCCCGTTCTCCACCCCTCCAGCCATCGCTCTGAGGCAAGGCCTGTTGTCCCCCGTGCTGTCAGTGGGTCCCAGGTCAGTATCCGATGTGCTGTCGCCATAGCAACCTGCATGTCCCTGTCTCAGGTTACGAGACATGGGGGTGGGGGAACTGAGGGACAGGTCCAGTGGCCTGGAATCAAAGGTCACTGCTCTGTGCTGGGGCTTGCTGACTCTCTTGGGGGCTGGGAAGTGGGGTCCTGTCCCCTGGAAATCTCACCACGCTGGAGGAAGCTGAGGCAGAGATGCCCCGAGGCCTGGCAGAGGGGCACAACCCCAGGACTCTGCCAGTGAACTTGGCACAGTGGGTCAGGCCCAGACCTTGAAGTCAGAGAGACACAGGAAATCCTTCATCCTCACCTATTGCTTAGCTCATCCTGGGACCACCATTTAACCCTCTTGAGCCCAGCATACCCCTCACCCCCTGCCCCAGTGTTACTGAGGAGATCAAAGTCAACCAGCTGGGAGGCAGGTCCCTCAGTCCTGTACTTAACTCATTAGTCCCTGGGGACAGTGTGGCTCAGGGTGAAGCTCACAGACTTTGGAATCACACTGGCCTGGGTTCAGATCTGACCTCTGCCATTCACCAGCTAGGTGATCTTAAGCAGGTTGCTCAATCTCTCTGAGCCTCAGTTTCCCCATCTATATAATGGGCATGAAAACAACACCTACACCTGTGTTGTTTGAGGGTGAGATGGGCAACAGTGGCAGAAGGTGCATAGCCCCGGGTCCTGAAGGTAGCAGCTATACTTGTCATTGTTGTCACTTTCCGAACTGCTATTTCTATTTCAACCTCCTCGTCAGAGACAGCCCTGCCTTCCTTGATAACTCCCTGGGTCACTTCAAGTGATTCCTTTTCCCTCCCAGGTCTGTTTTCCCATCTGCAAAATGACCACAGGACCACTCAGGCCCTGCCCAGCGCTGAGATCTGCCTATCTTAAGCAGCCCCCACGGGGGCTGCGCTGTTCTATTATTATATACTGACACCCTCACCTGGGTCTGGGCTCCTGAAATCTGAGCTTGGTGTGAGTGACATCCTGCATGGTTGCCAGGCAACCAAGGCGCGAGCTGGGAGGCTTGGGTGTCAGGGTGTCCATCAGCAGCCCTCTCCCCAAAGGCTGGAGGGAGCAAGAGGGCTTAGGGCAGATCTTTGCCTGGCTAGCCCAGGAAGGACTGCCCCTCCTCTCATACCTGCTCAAGTCCACCCTCTCTTGGAACCCACTTTCTCAGGGTGAAAGGGGCTGCTGGCCTGGGATATTTTTGTAGATGGAGCACGTGGTCAGGCTCAGAGAGAGAAACTGGAGTCTCCTTGCACTGCTATCTGATACAGCTGCTGTCACCATCACCCTCTTCCTGGAAGTCTGCAGCCTAAGTGTGCCCAAAAGCATGGAGAATTCCCTGACCCCCTCAGGGGGCCTGACGCTGGCTTCTGGAGCTTCCAGGGCTCTTTGCACGGGCCCTGAGCCACGCTTAACAAATCATATCACCCTTATATTTACCTAGCCTCCCTGCATGACCTCTTGTATTTTCATTCCTTCACCTAACAAATGCTGTATTGAGTATCCATCCCAGCTCCGCTGTGTTCTGAGTGACCTTGGGCAAGTTACTTGCCTTAGTTTTCTTTTCTATAAAATAGAGATAATAAGAATACCTGCCTCATAGGGATGTGATGTGGATCGGATGAGATGACGTGTAAAAAGTGCCTCTTGCAGGGCTTGGCACATAGAGAATGCTCCATAAATGTTAGCTTATTATCATTAATTTTATTCAGTTGTTATCATGTGCAGGCCCCATGCCAAGTTAGGAGGGAGCAGTACCAGGCTTTCTGAGGACAAGGGCTGTATCTGGTTCCTCTCCATCCACACTGCATTACACATCGAAGTCGATCCACAGCAAAAGTTTGCGAGATGAGTGGAAATAAGAAATGAACAATTTGCCCTGAAATTCATTACTCAGCTCGTGTGGAGACGTTAGCTTTGAACACCTTTTATAGCTCCAGGTATTCCTCAGGCTCTCTTAACGGCTTCATCATCCACAAAACTACCGAAGTGTGTTTGAAATCTCTTTGTCAGTTTTCAGTCTCTGCCCTTTGATTGGGGTGGGGTGGAGCAAGTGGGCCCATGAGTACGTCAGGCTGACTTAAATGGCAAGGCAGACAGATGGCAGAGGAAGCAGGACTTGGCACTGATAGGAACCCAAGACGAGACCTGCCTTTCATTTCACTCCTTCAGCGCCTCACTGGCCTCACCCTGGTCCCAGCACCGTCTGAGTGACCTGTATCAAGCAGGTCACTTGTCCCCTTGGAGCCACAGACCCCTCATCTGTAAAATGGGCACCTTGCTCCCACTTTCCAGGGTTACAGGTGAGACAAAGGAGGCTGCACTATGATGAACTCCCTCAAATAACAGTAATTATTTATAGCAAGATAACAGTGCTGTAGGAGAGGGCTGGGCTGGTGGCCGCTCCTCCCTGGGGCCTGCCATGCGTCAGCAAATCAACATTGGGTAGCCGCCAGCCCTCTGGCCCAGGGCCGTTCCTAACAGCAGGTGATGCGGCCAGGCTGATGGTGCCAAAATTTCATCCTTGACTTCTTCCAAACAGGAAGGGGCTGCCATCTGCTTCCCACCCCTCACACCCAGCCCGCTGGGCCAGCCATGGCCCCTGTACTGTGCCCCACTAAGGGCCCTGGCCTCGCACCTGTCAGCCCCACCAGGAGTTCCCTTAGTGGATGCTGAAGCTGGGGGTACCCTGAAAGCATCCTCCTGTCTGTCCCACAGCCCACATGGACACTGGGCAGAGAGGAGGGGAGCAGGGTGGCCCTGTCTTTCCATCTCCCCCAGAACCCCGCCTCCCACTTCCCTGGCATCTCCACCAAGGGGCAGCCCCATTAGTGCTCCTTCCAGATCCAGGAGCCTATTGAGTGTCGAGGTCATGTGCACAGCCTTGGGACTCAGGGCCTAATGCAAATCCTGGTCGGGCCATTCCCTGGCTCTGTGACCTTGGCCAGTCATCCCACCTCCCTGCACCTCGGCTTAAATAAGGGTACCTTCCTGGGATCAGGGGAGAGCGGGATTATTGAGATACTGCCTGGGGAAAAGGTGGAGACAAGGAGCAGCAGGGGGTGGTTATAAAACTTTGCTGCTCTCACGCTCATCTCTGTGACTGCCGCTGCTCCTCCAATGCCATTACAACATTGGCCATCTCCCCGCCAAAAATGTTACCTCGTTTCCTCCGGTTCAGTAACGGTATCCTACCTGTAGGCTGGGGCTCGGTACACAGCAGGTGCCCAGTGCATGTCCTCTGCCTTTTTATTCAAACATAAGCGTGGAAGGAGGGGATGAGTCCTGACCCAGGAAATCTTGTTCTTTCCCAGTTTCTGGGGTCCAGCCACAAGTTTCCGTGGCCACTTTTCCACGTGCCCACTCAGCTAGCTTTTGCCATGTGCCAACTGTGTCTGCCAGGTGTGCTGGGAACTCAAAAATGGTTGGACCCTAAAGGGCATGAGCGGTCAAGCCCCATGGAGGGATCAGCTGACTGCCCGGAGAGTGGGGTTAGCATAGGATTTACTCAGGAAGGGGCCCCTGGAGCGGGGCTCTCAAGGGTGAATAGGAGTCCACCAAGCAGAGAAGCAGAAGGCAGGGAATAGCCTGTGCTAAGGCATAACCAGTGGTCCACAAGGCAGCTCTGAGTTGGTTTTTTATTATTAAAACAAGAAAATTTCCCCATGTAGATGTTTCAGTGGCCAGAATATTACTCTGTCTGATCCAAGGACACAGACAACCCCATCAAAGTAGAGGTTGAGGGTGTCATGACCAGAGAGGCCCCTCCCCTGGGCTCCAATCCAGTGTCAAAGACTTATCACAAGTCAGCATGTAGAAGTCTCTTAGAAGCCATCTAGCCCAACCTCTTTAGTTTTCAGGTGGGGAAACTGAGGCCAAAAAGAGAAGAAGGTGGAGCAGGAGCAGCTAATGGCAGACTTCATTACCAGGCTTGCCCAATGCCTACCCACCCATGGTGGGTGTGACCAGCTGTGGGGCCGCATGCTCTGCTCATGATTGTGAGCTGCACGGTCACCCCTGGAGATGTCGCTATCTCTGGGATGCAATGCAGGCCCCTGATATCTCTAGCCTTAGTTTTCTTACTTGTGAAATGGAAATGGTCAACGGATCCTTTTGAGCTTAAAACTGAAAAGCATCTAATGAACACTCATATAATTCCATTTTGTTGTTCTGTCATTGGGTTCAGGGTAAACCTGAATGGCAGATTTTCCTGCAAGCTAAAGTCATCTGTTGGCATGGTTTGGGGGTTCAGGGGCCACCCTGCAGACAGCTCCAGAGGCAGTGATGAAGTTTCTGCTATAGGTTAGCCTTTTATTCTCTTCTGGAGTCTTCATGGGTGCCCCCTTTTTTGCTACCCATCCACCTTCCAAACTGAGACACTAAGACCCCCACTCCAGGTAGTAAAACTGTTCGGCCTAATTGCTTCCTCACACCCCACCACACACACATAGTCTAGACAGAGTCTTATTTCCGAAATGCACATGCTTTCTGCACACCTCAACACCCAGCCCACTCAGACGTGTGCAGGCTAGCTTATACACAACCACACACATCCTGGCCTGCACAGACACGCATCTATGCATGCACACGTAGACATGAACTTCAGTGGACAAGAGGGAGCAGGACTATTCTGTGCTGCACTGATAGTAGGTCATAAAACACTCAGTAAATATACAACAACAAAAATTGTTAGCATGAAGAAAATCTCAGCTCAACCTAAAAAGCTTTGTGACCACCAGCATTGACACAGACTATCCTGGACAAAGAGAGTGAACTCCCTGTCAAGGGGGGCATGCAAACACAAGCAGGGCTTAACAGAGATGCTGTAAAGGGCTTAGGCATCACAGGGATGTTGACCTTTGAGGTCCCTCCTGATCTCTGGATTCAAGCAGGTTTGGGGAGTCAGGGCCTCTTCTGAGCTTTGTAAACACTGTTCCCTTTTGGTGGCCTCTGTTCTAGAAGTGTCTCTTCTTCCTGCGGTACCATCACAGTAAAGGACCTGGTGGTTAGGGACCAACTCAGTGCAGGCCTGGTGCCATCAGGATCTGGGTCAGCCACTAGAGATGCACACACCTGCACACGCCCCCCAACCTAGCACCCATTTCGTAGCAGGCCCAAACCTGGAGAAAGAAACAGAGGTGGCAGCTCCGGCCTTGTCAGTCCCTTATAACAAGGAGTCAGAAGTAGTGAAGACCTGATTTGAATGTTACAAAGCAGGAGGTCTCAGGACAAAAATATCTACAGGGGCAGGGAGTAAGTATGGTGGGCTGGAGAAAGATCCTTTGACTTGAAGATTTGAACCTAGGTTCCAACCACATCTTAAACCCAAAACCTAAACTCTCCTAGATCATGTCTCACAGAGGACAGATCCTAGAGGCAGCATGACATGAGGCCTGGGATTCAGGAGAATTTTGAAATGCAGAAGGATGGTACTGGAGGAGCTGGGGCTGTGCCCCACTGGGAAAGAGGGAAGCAAACAGCACCTCCCACTCTTTCTCTGCCAAGTTGCCTGTCATCAGACCCAGGGCTTCAGAGAAAGAAGGCAACTGCAAGGCTGAGAAAGCAGAAGGGAGCAGAGCTTGGCAGGGCCATTGCTGATTGCTGGGGACAAGGAGAGGCTGCTGGACATGAATACCTCCAGAGTCTGAGGTTTGGGGTCTCCTGGAGCCTTGAAAGCACTTTGGCACTTGAACTCTTAAACGTTCTGGCTGAGGGATCTGGGCAGGACTTGAACCTACTTGAGAAGCTGAAGGAGTCACACCAGGGCTCAGGGGAGAGGAGGCTTGGGGCTGGTTCTTGGCAAGTCATGAGGACAGGGTATCTTCAAGGTATCCCTTAGGCCTCCCCAGAGCAGCCCAAGATTGGAGAAGGGCCTGGCACTCAGGGAAAATTTGGCCCAAGGATGAAGGTGGGACACATTCCTGGAGCATCCATCCCTGGGGTAGAGGTGGGTGGCAGGCTTAGGAAGGTGAGTCCTCTGACTGGCCTTGGGCCTGAGCCCAGCTCTGCCAGCACCTGCTCCATGGCCTTGCACCAGAGCCTTCCACCTGAGGGCCTCCATTTCCCCATCTAGAAATCACTGTCATCCCAGTTTCTAGTTTCTCTCGCTGGCTAGGCTCTGGGCTGAGCCCTGTGCCCTGCATTAACTCACATTTTCCTCCCAACAACCCTGGGAGGGAGGGGCTGTGATTGTCTCCATTTCAGAGAAGTGACAACTAAGGCCAGAGAACGACTTAAGTGGTTTCCATGGAAGGTAGAGGCTTCTGGGGATGGAGGAAGTTCCCAGGAGGAGACTGCACTGGGGGTTGCAGATCTAGGGACCCTGAGATGGATAAGGTGGTAACAGGCAGAGAAGAGAGGAGAGGGCATTCCAGATAGCAATCTTGGTCATGCTATGGTGTGGAGCTAGGGCTGCTGTGGGGGCCATAGACTGTGGGAATGGAGGGAGCCAAGCTATACCCTGCCGTGTCCTGGCTTGCTTTTATTTGGGGGGCTTGGAGCCTCAGCATCAAACCCTTGGCTCTGTGCAGCTTCATCAAGGCTAGGGTCCCCTGGGCCTGTGTCCCCTGGGAGGCTGCATTCGCATCTGTCCCCGCGCAGATGGCTGGTGAGCACAGCTAGCAGCCCCCACCCCCACCCGCACCCCCTTCTGTCGCGAGGACTCGGCTGCGCTGGGGAGTGTGGTGCGGCATTATTTTTAGAAGTGGCACCATCTGTTCAAGGTGCCGGGTGGATTCTGTTCGTCTCCGCAGTGGCCAGGGACAGACATGCCAAGTCAGGGGAAGAGCTACAGAGCTAGTCAGGCCCCCCCATGGTCACACTTCAGCCAGGATGGTCACTAATCAGCATGCGCACAGGGCATGGGGTTCCAGGGTCTGGGGTCTGGGGTCTGGGGCTTGGGGCTGCCAGTGGGGCAGCTCTGGGGCCAGGAGAGCGGACGCAGAGGATGAGTTTGAGGTAGGCAGCGGCATGTGCCCCCCCACACCCCACCTGGTCCCTGGGACTGGGCCCAAGGGCTGCCTCCTGGCAGATCAGAGTGTCCTGGCCCTGACCTCCAGGTTTCAGGGACGAATGGAGAATAGGCAAAGGAGAAAAGTACAAAGGCTGGACCATAAGGATCCTCAGTGGGACCCAGCACTGGGTGTGGCAGAAGACACCGGCCTGGCCAGAGTAGCCCAGAGGACTAGGACATCTCCCCACTCCTGACCCACATGCTGCAGTGTGTTCCACTGCCTGAGGGGCCACTGTGTAACACTGTGATCCAGAGCAGGGGCTCTGAAAGCAGCCTGCCTGGGCTCCAATCCAACAATTACGTGACCCCGCGCAATCTCTTTAACCTTGCAAAGCCTCCATTTGCTCATCTGTGAAAGGGGATACCAATAGAAGCTCCTTCCTGGGGTTCATATGTGGATTTGCTGGTTTGATGCCTATAAAGTGTGGCACGTGTCCGGCCCTCAGCAAGAATGCATTTGGCATAAGTTATTCCTACCATCTGGTTGGCCAGTTTCTGCTTTGAAAGGCAGGTGTCACCCTAATATTCCTCGCTTCCCATGTCATTCCATAGTCCAACTGCTTTCTCGGTCATGGAACCAGACCTGGTGGAGGCCTGTTCTGTGCTGGGGACTGGAGAGGCCCTGTTCCTGGGGAGCTCAGGGCCTAGTTGGGGAGGCAAGCTGGCAAAACCCACCCCAAGGCAGTGGGTGGAGGGTCAAAGTATGGATTTAAGGAGTGAGCCACACGCGACGGGCTGGCAGAGGGAAGAGAGTTGGAATTTGGAGCAGAGGAATTGGAGAGAACTTCACAGAGAAGTTGGCATGAGGACTAGATCTTGGAGAGTGAGGTTTGGATTAATGGAAAAGCAGGTGGTAGACCATTCTGGATCCAAGGAACATATATGCAAAAGTTGGAAGGCAGGAACTTGCATTAGTTGTTCAGAAAATGGCAAGGACCATAAGGTCCCTCAGTGGGACCCAACACTGGGTGTTAACTTAGACAAGACCCCAGAGAGGCCAACTCGGACCCCAAGGAGGCCAGCTCAGACCCCAGAGAGGCCAGCTCAGAGCCAATCAGGTGGGATGTGGGAAGCTGTAGTCACGAATATGTTTTCTTAAATAGGCACTGGTAGCCAGTGAAAATTTTTAATCCAGAGACAGCCATGCTCAAATCCAAAAGGCAGCATAATGTGGCAGCTTCAGAGTCAGAAAAGCCCAGTTCTACTCCCAGATCTGCCACTCCTCATTAGCTGTGTGAGCTTGAGCGTAATGTTATTTTACCTCTCTGAGCCTCAGTCTCCTCATCTGTAAAATATGCATAATAATACCTACCTCATGGGGTTGTTGAGGGATAAGGTATGAGCAGAGCCTCACACAGCCTCTGACATGCAGAAGCCACTCTAAATGGCAGTCACTGTCAGCTTCACTCTGTGGTCACTGAAGGAGGATGTAAGGCTAGAGAGCCAGGGGGCTGAGGGGCTGTGGATGAACCTAAACCAGAGTTGGGAGCCTGGGGAGGGGAGGAAGAGGAGTTAGGCTGAGCCTTTATGCTGATGCTTCCTGGGTCTGGTCACCGGACTGGACATGAGGGAAGGATTAGAGTCAAGAGTGGCCCAGATAGTGCTGTGGATGCCCTTAGTAACACAAGGGTCACAAAAGAATGAGGAGACTTAGGAGAGCCTGAGGGCCTGGAGGACCTTTGGAGGGGACATTTGGCAACCACAAGAAGGTCGGTTCTGGAGCTTGGGAGAAAGGCCGTGGTGGAAAGGTCGGTCTGGGAACCACCCATGTTAGGGTGAAAGTTGATGCCAGATGGGTGTCATTGCCCAGGGAGAGGCAAGGCATTAAGAGGGCAGGACCATGGGGAAACCTACAGTTACCCCAAAACAGAGAAGCCATGGAGGCCTGGGCAGACATGGTCAGAGAAGCACAGGAGAGTGGGAAGAAGGAAGGGAGGTGCCATCAGCCGTGGGCAGGGACGTGAAGACTGAAAAGGGCCCTGGAGTTTGCCAGTGGGGGTCCTCACCAGAAGCCACCCAAGGGCCTAGCCTACCAGGAGGTGGCATTTGGATGGTTAGGGCCAGGGAGTTGGAGATTATTTTGAGCCACAGACTGAGTCACAAAAGCAAGGCAGGACTTTAGAACCCAAAACCAGGAAAGTGTGGGCTACAAGAGGAAGGAAGCCTAGAGATGGAGGAACAGGAGCCCCAAAGCACGAGGACAGGAGTTCTGCTCATTTAAAATTCACAGCCCCCACCATCCGCTCATTCATCTCTGCAGGGTGGGGGCTGCAGACCTGTGTTTTAACCAGCCCTCAAGTGATGCCAACATAGGTAGCCCTCAGGGAACCACTTTGAGAAGCCCTGTTCTGGGGTCCTTGAGCCGCACCCAGAGAAGACTTTATCAGGAGAGGAAGGAGAGAACACCTTTACCATGAGGGAGGGTGCAGACCCAAGTGCAAACCTCTGCTTATCCCCACGTGCTCTCAGCTGCTCCTCTGGCTTCCTGGCCTTTTGATTTTCCTCCTTCAGATCTGAGGCCAAGTCAGTAGCCTCACAGAGATCTCTGGCTTTCTGCCAAGGAGACTCTGGGTGGAGATAACCAGGGCTCAAGTGTGGAAGATGAGTGCACAGTCACCAAACCAGGGGCACCTCTGCTTTAGTCTAGAAGAAGTAGAACAGTGTCTGGCCACAGTAGTGAGAAATAGAAGCTAAAAGACACTTCCACCCATGCACATACGCAAATCCCTGCTGGTACCTGCATCATTCTCATTTCCTCACTCCTTTGAATCCAAGAGTCCTACTTTCTGCTGTTTTAATGCCTCTTTCTCAATATAGCTAGATTTCCTAGCATCCGCATTCTTGGAACACATAGAAAGACTTTCCTCCAAGCCTTAGCTTCCTGTTTCTCTGATCTGGACCCCAAAGGACTCACTCAACTATCCAAAAGTAATATCCCAACTTAGACACATCCCCTGGCACCTCTGTGGGTGAGTTTTTCCTCCCTCACCCCATGGAGGAAATAATTTACTAAGCTCAGTCAGACTGAGATGCTACCACTTAAATATGCTCCCAGTTCTGGCAGAAATCAGAAGGAAAGGACCACGCACAGTACAAAAGAATGAATCACTAATGGTGGAATTTCTGGCATCAGTGGCAGATGGCACTGATGGACTGAAGTGGGTCCACAGTGCATGCACTTCAGTGACCCTGAGTCACCTTTTATACAGTATCATTTTGTTAGCTCAGTCCTGCCCCCTAAAAGCCTAAAAAACAGGCTTTGAGCATCAGCACTAAAATATGGGGTCAGCTCCCCATGCTTGCTCACAGAACTCATGGAAAAGGCCCAGTGCCTTCCCCAGCGCCTACACCCAGCACCCTAGGTGTTGGAAGGGGGTTGCACCTTTCTCTTGGCTTTCCCAACCCCACTCTTCATTGGTCAGCATTGCTGTCCTGGAGAGTTCCTAGGGGCACTTAATAACATCCTGCTCTGTGTCAGCACCTCAGTGTGTGGACAGCTCCTTCACATGTTGTCCTTAACACCCACCTCCACCTCCCTAATCAGCACTGTGCCCTTGAGGACAGCTCCCAGGGAAGCCAGTTCCCCACTGCCAGCTTTGTCCTCCCCAGGGGTACTGTCTTTCAGCACCAGGACCACGTGGGCAGTTCTCACTCCCAGCCTAGGTTAGTCAACCTGCTGGGGAGAGAGGGGGCCTGTAGTTATCAGGTTCCCTGACCTCAGCTATCCAATCCCTCCCCAGCACTGACCTCCGTCCATCCATCAGCACTTCATTCCCAGAGACAGCTCCCTAGGCCCCAGCCCTCCATGGTCAGAGGTGAAGCCTGAGGCCTCACCAACCAGCCAGTGACCTGTTGTGTGTGGTCAGAATACTGACCGCAGAAGAACCCTGTGCCTCACTGTAGAAACCAGAAAGGAAAAACGGCAAAGAAGTTGGTCTGCTGGACAGAAGGGTGTGAGCCTAGGTTGCTGTTAAGAGTGCCTGTGTATGAGAGAGGGCTGGCCCTGCCACCCCTTAACCATAAGACCTTACACCAATCACTGCACACTCAGTCTGTCTTCTCCTGTATAAATGGCGGGGCTGGAGTACCAGTGCAAAGCATCGTTGTGAAGGATTAAACAAGCTAAGTGCATAAAGCAGTGCTGAGCACCTAGCAGGAATGATGTTGGTGTTGCTGTTATCATTTTTTGTTCTTCTTCCAAGCCTCTTCTTGTAATCCACAGGGACGGAGCAGACAGTGGGAGAGAATGAGGGGGATGAGGGCAGAAGAGGACAGTGTCATGTTGGCCAGTTAGGCCAGTTAGGACCTGGAGGCTGGAGGCAGCCAGTGCTGCAAAGAAGACCTCAAGAATTTCAGTGCAGCAGTAGGGAAAGAGTTGGGCAGTGCAAGAGAGGATGGTGGGATGTGGCTGAGGCATTTGGCTGAAACCAGAGTACAATGTCCAGAGCCGCTGGCCCATCCCAGGCAGGGCCACCATCCCCAGCATTCCCACGGCATGTTCCCTCTCTTGCAGCCCAAAGTGAAGCTTCCCCAACACTTTTCTGCCTCAAACAGGCTATCTTGTCTGGATCTGCTAGTGACTTTACTGTTTTAGCCTCATTAGAAACTCCACAAATATTTTTTAAGGAAATTATTTCTAAACATGGAACACATAAAAGGTACAAATTTTGGAAGGCAGGCACCGCAGTCAGAAGCCCAAGGGTGGGCAGTGGATGTCACAGATAGAAGGTGAATTCCGGTCAGGTCATGCCTTCCTGATTCTAGGGCATTTCTCCTTCCTTCGGCCTCCAGCCAAGCACGACTTGACCTGCAACTGGGATGTCCATTTCTGCTAGACACAAGGCAGCAGCAGGGAAGCCCTGGGAACTGTGCATGACCCAAGAAGCAAGGATCCTTGAGGGTGGGGCTAAAATAACCCTTCAACACTGAGCTTCTGTCCAGATTGCACCCTTATTTTACAGAAGAGGAAACTGAGGCAGGAAGGGCCATAGTGCAAGTTGTTGAAGGACAAGGGGATGCAAAGGAAAGGCAGAGGCTTTGGACAGAGAAGACATACTGAAACTATGCCAAGTCCTACCCATATGGCCGTGGCGATTGTGGCCTCTCTGAGCCCCAGCTTCCTTGCCTATAAAGTGGGGACAGCAACACCACACAGCCCATGGAAGGCACTTGCTAAGCAATTGCTGTTCATCATAGTCATCACACCAAGATCAAAACTGAGTGGATCTGATTCCTGCTGTTCATCATAGTCATCACACCAAGATCAAAACTGAGTGGATCTGATTCCTGCTGTTCATCATAGTCATCACACCAAGATCAAAACTGAGTGGATCTGATTCCTGCTGTTCATCATAGTCATCACACCAAGATCAAAACTGAGTGGATCTGATTCCTGCTGTTCATCATAGTCATCACACCAAGATCAAAACTGAGTGGATCTGATTCCTGCTGTTCATCATAGTCATCACACCAAGATCAAAACTGAGTGGATCTGATTCCCAGGGAAAACCCGAACCAAAAGTTGTGCAGAAATCACTTGACCCAGCCTGCACATCCTGACCATGGGGTTGAGGTTACTGGGGGGCTCTGTGTGGCAGAGTGAGCAGATGTTAAACAGCAGGAAAAAGGATCTGAGTGTCTCTCTTGCTCTCCTCATAGTCCCAGTGCCCGGGGCAGGGCCTGTGATGCAGCTCATTAGTTTTATTGGGTAGGTGGATGAACAGATGGATGGAGAGATTGATGGATTGACAGATGGACAGACAGCTAATGGTCAAGCAGACAGATGGAAGGATGGACGAACGGATGGATAGACGGATGGATGGTTGGATGGATGGATGAGCAGAAATGGAAGGTTTTTCCTGCCATCTAACATTGGCAACTCCTCTGAGAACAGAGGACAGTGGAGTGAGTTGACCCTGGTAGGAAGGTAAGGGCTGGACCTCCCCTTCCTCAGGCCAGGCGTGAGGGTGAGAAGCTCCACAGGAAGCCCTGGATCCCTCTCACTGCCTGCCCCTTAGACCTACGTCTGCCACCTGTGCCTTCAAGGCTGATGCAAGGCGGTTTCTTTGGGATTTTTTTTTAGATTTTCCTTTTCTGGTTAACAGAATAGGAGTTGTCTAAAAATAGCACTAAATTTGCTTCTGAGGTATTCATTTTCAGTTCCCTTCCTCTTTCCCTGTTCTCTCTTCTCAACTGTGAGAGTTTGTGAGATTGTCTTCTTCAGCTTTGAGCACATACACAGACACTCACACATCATGGGGCTTGCACACCCAGAGACAGGTGTGGCACAGATATCTTGGGCTTGCTCTCTCTCTCTCTCACACACACACACGCACACTCATGCTGACATGCTCCAGTAGACCTGTGTGGCACACCTTGTCCTTTGGGGTCACTCACACCAACCACATGTCCACTGATACATCATAGAGACCCTCTTTCCCACACACAAAGCACGGTCACTTACAGGCGTACTCTAAGACCAGCATTTGCACACTTCTTCTGACACAGGTGTGCCCCCAGACCCTGTCCCACTCATACTAAGAAAACCACCATAATGCACTCCCACTGACCCTGCACACCCACACTCATCTTGCATATCTATACTAGCCCTGCATACTCACACTAACCCTGCACCCACATATGCCTTGTACGCCCATACACCCTACACACCCACACTTAACCTGCACAGTCACACTAGCCATGCACACTCACACTGGTCTAACACACCCACACCCACCCTGCACACCCACATTTACCCTACACTCACACACTCACCCTACAGACACACTGATCTAGCACACTCACATTGGCATGCCTGCTTACATCCACACTCACCATCAGGCTCTCCCTCCTTACACACACGTGCAGAGGAAATTGCCTCCCCCAGAGAGGATATCTAAGAGAATGGCTGAGGCTCTCTGGGTGAGGACAAGGGAGGAGCTGTTGGCCCTCCACCCCCAACTGCAGGCTGAGTTCACCTGTTTCCTTGGGTTCAGCATGGAGGAAGAGGGTTCCCCATCACTGGGGCAGTGGGCCCCCTACAGAAAGGCCAGAATTTGCAACCAGGAGAGGAAAGCAAACATCCTACCTCATGGGAACTATAAGTAGTTCATCAAGACCAGAACAGAAGGGAAACTAGCCTTGTTTGCTGTGCCAACAAGCTGGAGGCCTCCCCAGCCACCTGAGAGGTGACAAGGAGCCTGGTGGGCATGGGAAAGTCAGAGCTGAGTTCCCTTTGAAATATGGCACTATGGGGTACATGCTGGTCTGGGAGCGATTGGAGGCAGGGAGTAAGTTAAATTTTCATAGGAGAGTCACCATTTAACAAGTGTTTCCTCGTTGCCAGAAACTGTGCTAGCTCTATCTCAATCCTTACAAAACCCTGTGAGGTAGGCTGTAGGGTTGTCTCCATGTTGGGGAGGGTCAACCAAGGCACAGAGGATTAAGAGCCCTGCCCAAGTCACATAACTAGTGACTGGCAGAGCTAGGCTTCCATCACTGGGGATCTTCAGACCAGACTTGTGCCCCACCTCAGTCATTGATGATTCAATGGAAAAGTGACCTTAAAAATACATATTAAGGTGGCACTTAAATTCAGCATGTCTTAAAACAGAAGAATTTGGCATCCAGAAGTTATTTTTAGCACATAATTCATGTACGACTGTCCCAGCTACCATCCTTCAGTTAGGATTTGAAAAGCTGTTGGTTTGGGGATTTGTTTTGTTTATTTTTTTATTCTTCCTTCGAAAGATAGATTCCTTCTTTGTTAAATTAACTCCACAAACAAAAAAATATTGCTCCTTCCTCTCCCAACCTCCCTTCTGGCAAAGACTTTTTATTAAGGCACCCCTAACCTATTCTTGAGTCATTGAAATGTAACAATACAGAGTAATTTAAATGCTAATAAGATGAAACTGAAATGCATAAATCCAATATTGTCAGAATGTTCTCCTGGATTCTGAAGGGCCTGGCACATCAGAGCCTGAAGGGACTCCAGAGAGCACTAATCCAATCCCTTCACTTCCCACATGGGGAAACTGAGGCCCAGAGAAGAAAGGGGCTTGCTCAGGGTCACACCACTGGAGCTGGGAAAACAAGGAGGAGATTCTCACTGGGCTTTGTCTCAGTTGGCTGTGTGACCCCTAGTGTGTTGCTCAACCTCTTTAGGCCAGGTCTGGCTATATGCCCTGTCCAGGCCTGTGTGCCCATTGCTTAGGGCAGGGGTGCTCACCTGTGCAGTGTTGAGAGCTGACTGCAAGTGAACCTCATTGCAACCATGAGGGAGGAACATTTGCTAATAACTAGGAGGAGGGGAGCAGGGGGGACTCAAGGAAGCCAGTGTTTCATTTTCTGCTCTGGGCCAGGAGCTGGCTCTCATTGAGTCCTTGCAGCAGCCTGTAAGACAAACAGGGTCATCCCCACTTTACAGAGGAAGCCCAGCAAAGTTAGATGACTTCTCCAAGGTCACATAGTTCATTTAGTCTCTCAGCCATAGAGTGGTAGGTCACATGATATTTGGATGAGGCAGCAAGAGCCTGAGAATCTTCTGGGGTTGTGGCTGAGGGAAGTCGTCCCAGCTTCACCCTCACTCTGATGCCTCATTACAAAGAGGGGAAACTGGGCAGTGGAGGGCAGTGCATGCATCTCAAAGAAAAACTATGACTGCTGATTTTGTTATCTTTCCTGACCCCCCAGAAAACTCTTAAGGTAGGCAGGGTAGGAATCACTAGCCCATCTTACAGATGAGCAAACTGAGGTCTGAGGACCTATCTAAAGTCACAGCTTCCACAGGCAGTAGACCCAACACCAAATATTTATTGAGTGCCTTCTGGATGCCAGACACTGCACTAGGTACAGAAGAGACATAGCAACTGCCCACATGATGCTCTCAGAATCCTGGGGAAAGAAAACAGTTAAGCAGGCTCAAGCAATACAGTGTGAAGTGTACTACAATCTGGGAGGCACCTGGGAGTCAGGAGCATTTATGCAGTCTAGGTGGTCAGGAAAGGCTTCCAAGGAAGGGAAACTGAGGCTGAACAGGACAGCAGCTGTTAGGGAGGCAAAGGCCCAGGTAGTGAAGAGTGTTCTGAACAGACACATGGCACATCTGCAGGAGTCAGGCATCTGAGGTATTCTAGGCAAACTATGGGGTCCTCAGTTCTGTCAATCTGTGAAAAGATCATTTGTATAATATCATACAAGTAGCTTTTGTGCTGGTGGACTTCACATTTTTCCAGCAAATCTTGCTGTCAGAGCAAGCACCAAAGTGGGCTCTACAGCTTGGAATGAAAAAACAAAATGCCCAGAAAAGGGGTGACCTCATGTTTGCACCCATGAGATGAAGCAGGGTTAGGGAACAAGCCACATCAGAAGAGGTAGAGAAGGAAGTATGAGATCAGTCGCCTTCAGGGTGGAGTTCTGATTTTTAATTGATTTTGTTATCCCAGAGTTCTGTCCCTCTATACTGGCTCACACTGTTTTCCTTCTGCACCTTTTACTAGCAGACAGTTGTGTATTTCAGTTTCTTCATGATTCATCTTTTTATTAAGTCCTTCTTTACCTGAAGAAAAAAAAATCCCTACTTGGAGCTGAGAGGAAAGGCATTCCTGGTTACCCCGGGCCAGTTCAGGTCTTCCTGCTTTGTGTGTCCACAGCACCTGGGGGTCCCCATGATGGCAAACTCTTCAAGTCATAGAAATCACTAATTTAGTTGTCTCTCTTCTTCACTGTGGGCTCGTAGAGGGCAGAGTTCCTCTCTGGATTGTTCAGTGCCTGGCACTGTGTAGTACCCAAAACACAATCATTGAATGGATGGTTGGATGGGTAAGTGGATGGATGGATGGATGAGTGGATGGGTAGATGGGTCGGTGGGTGGTGGGTGGGTGGATGAATGGATGGAAGGGTCAGTGAGTGAGCGAGTGCATGGATGGATGGATGGATGAGTGGATGGGTGGGTAGATGGGTGGATGGATGGATGAATGAATGGAAGGGTGGGTGAGTGGGCAGGTGGATGGGTGGGTGTGTGGATTGATGGGTGGGTGGGTGGATAGATGGTTGAAGATCATTTTTCATCTTATCACAGTAGTCATTAAAATCAACAGTAGCCCACTAACTCATGCCTACTGTTGTGATCACAGATATAATTGCTGCTAACGATTCTCATAGCTTGCTTGTACTGTCAGAGACGTAATTATCAGTGCCTGTAAGCCACTCCGCAGGTAGCACAGGCACAGATAGAAAACAGCAGCTCGGGTTTAGAAAGTCCCTTGTGGATTGCAAAGCACTTTCATTCACATATGGCACTTCATTTAAGTGTCATAAGAACCTCATGAGGGAGATTCACCAGGGGAAGCAGAAAAGCATCCTGATTAGGAATGTGTCTCTGGACCCAGACTGCCTAGGTTCAAATCCCAGATCCACCACTCACTAATCTTGTGATCTTGAGCAATTTACTTCATCTCTCTTGGCCTCAGTTTCTTCATATGTTCTAGGGATAATAGGTCTCATAAAGCGCTTTTATGGATTGACAATAATAATCACAATAATTTGAGTGCTGACTATGTTCTGGGCTTGGTTCTAAGTATTTTAAACGAAATAACTCATTTAAGCCTCATAACATCTATGAGGTAGATACTCCTATTCCCCTCTGCTTTTTGTAAGATAATGAAATCAAAGTTAATTTCCTTCCCATTCAGCTGGGAGATGAAGGAGCCAGAATTTGAACTCAGAATGAGTGGTTTCCAGAGCCCTATGCATAACGCCTTGCAGCGTCTCTGAGATAGATATTTCTGTAAAACACTCAGAGTGCTTGGCACCTAATAAGCACTCAATAAATGCTTATCATGTGCCAGTCAGGCAATGTTATATATCAGTAGCCCCAAATTATAGATGCTGAAGCTAAGACAGAGAATCCAGGTGACTAGCTCAGAATCACAGGTGATTTCTACTGCCAGTAAGTTTAGTGCAGGTGTGGGTGGTAAATGTTCACCAGCTTTGCCTTCACCCAATCCAGACTTGTTGCTTAAGCGTCAAGGACTGAGGCCTCCTGGGGCTCCAGGTCAGTCCCAAGTTCCTTCTGGACAGAAGGTCTGCATCTCCTCATCTCAATTCTTTTCCCTGAGTAAGCAAAGCCTGTTCTGGAAAGTTCTTAGTCAAATCACCTCCCCAGCGCTCACCCCTCCAGCGGGGTTCAGCCTTCCCCCAGCATCTGAGACCCATCTCTCCTACAAGCCCCAGCCACTGCATTGGCCTGAAGGACCCCTGACCTCATTTCCTTCCTTCTGCCCCAATTGTAGCCCATTTGCCTCACTCTATCCTTGTCTTACTCCTGCCATTTGGATTTTCTCTACCCAGCTTCCTGAACATACACCAAACACATTTACACTGAGCAGGCAGCAGGAAGAGCACTGCTTAATGTAAAAGCTCCCGCCCCATCCCTGCACGGACCTAGTGCCTCATCCAACCCTGAACAAGGGCCCACATGTTCTCAGAGGTCTCTCCTTGCCTCCTGTGGCTGGCCCTAGACTGGGGAGGGAGCCGTATTGAGGCTCTGCACTAGCTTGTAGCAGGGGGAGGAGAGCATTCGGCCCAAACCCAAATGCCAACACTCTCCCCAGAGAGGTTCAGCATCCTAGACCAGGCCCCTGCCAGGCCCTTCTTACAGGGTAGTGGACAAGAGTCCAAAGTCTAAGGTTGAAAAGATCTTCCACTCCGTGGCATCTCCCCACTGTGTGACCTTGGGCAAGTGACTTCACCCCTCTGAACCTCATTCGCTTGGTCTATAAAATGGAGGTAATTCTAGTATCCACTTCACAGTGTTGCACAGAATGAGACAGTGTCTGTTTGCTTTTCATTCATTCACTTATTCATTTAACAATTGTTTACTAGGTAGCTACAAGGAGCCAAGTGCTTTTCTGGTCAACCCTTATAGAATTTACCTTGGATGGATGATACAGAACTCATCCCACAGTGCCTGGTACATAGTAGATGCTTAAGAAATGGCAGGGGAGTATTGTTGTTTGTTTTTATTCACATTCTTGGTCCCTGCCTCACCTGCTTCTCCGAGGAATACATTGTTGGGGTCAAAACTCATGGATTCTGTGGATGGTGTGTGTTCCATCCATGGCCAAGGAACATGGCCTCTTTTGAGTATTGTAGGTGGGAGCACCAAGCGTGCAGTTTCTTTGGTGTCTCATGTCTCTGTGCCTCTTCTTGAGGTATCACATCCATTTTATGTTCTATTCCATAAGAGATCTGTTAGTCCCAGTGTAAAAATAATCTTCCTACTGCATCCCTGAGTAAAAGCGTCCCTTGTGTAAGACATTTAAGGTTTCTCCTGTGGCTCCAGCACCCAGTGACCCAAGACTGGGAAGCCCCAAATCCAGAAACACACTGGATTTGAATACAGTTTATAATTAGTTCTCAGTAAACTGGGAAGTAGTCAGGGGTAGGGGTAAGGAAGAGAGACTGTTTTGCCCCCAATTTGCAGATGAGTGAACCAGGGCTCCAAAAACTGAAGGAACTTGCCCAGGGTCCCACAGCCAGGATTTGAACGCAAATCGCTCCAATGCCAGATACTGTGTTCTTAGCGGCTGCCTGGCACAGTCCACCCACCCACCAGGGCTCTTCGGAGACAAACGCGGGAGCACCCCCTAGGGGAAGGGGAGGAGCCCAGGGCTATGAGCCAGGAGACCATCTCCTTCTGCACTCCTCAGCACTCTCACTCCGTGCGGCTCTGGAAGAGTGCTTTTTCCCTCTCTGAGCTTCAAGTTCCCGGCTGGGAAAGTGACTTAGCCCTAGAATGCCTCCAGCTCTAAAATGTGTGAAAGACGAAAAGGTTATGAAGGTGATAAGGCAGGGGAGGAGTTGGAGCTGAGGAGGGGGTCAGTCCTGCCTTCCTTCTCTCAGCCCTTCCCCTCACCGTCCTGGGCCCAGGATGGCCAGCTGTCCATGACTGCGGGGCAGGGCCACTCCCTGTGCCAGACCCAACCGAGCTCAGCTGGGGCCCTTTGTCACCCAACGCTTGCTGGGGCCTCGGCCTCTGGTGTTGGGTGTCGGGGTGGATTGGATTCTCTCCTGGCAGCCCCACAGATGCCGCACTCCTGTAAGGGTGGCCGGGCGGGCAGGGAGAAGCCAGAGCTCCCACCTCCTCCTGGGCTCCAGAGAGGGACGGGAAGCCGCTGTCCCTGGTGCTGGTCCATAGGGACCCCCCTCCCCCTGCCAGGTGAGGGCTCCATGGACCTGAACTCATACTGGGACCAAGCTCTGGGCTCAATGACATTCTTGTGACTATGTATGACCTGGCTTCTTTGGCCAGGCCAAGGGCCTCGATTAATATGGTGGGGGCCTGTGGGTGCAGGTGGGGGCTTTCTCCCATCCCCATGCCTATGAGACCTGAGTGGGGAGGGATGTGGGAGAAGAGTGTATTGGTGGACACAGGTGGCATGGGTGGAGGGAGGATTTGTAGGGGCGGGGAACCTGGGAACCGTGTATTTGGGGGAGAGTGTCCCAGATTATTTGGGCATGGGGCGTGTGTAAACATGTTAAGGGTAGTGAGAGAAAGAGGGAAATGGAGTCTGGGTGTGCTCAGAGGGCCTGTGAGCACAGCAATTCTTGAGGGAAAGGGGTGGGGAGGTTAAGTTGTATGGCTCAAAGCTGGTGCATGGGGCCTGGGTGTTGACGTGTGTGTGGCAGTGGCACAGGACACAAGGACATGCCAGAAGGTATATGTCGGGGGATGTGTGTACACACAGTGTGTGTGTTGTGAAGCCAGTGTGTTCCACAGCACAACACACAAATAGGGAGTTAGAGTGTGTTATGGGGCTATGCCTTGAGGGTGGCATATCGTGGAGTGCCTGGGTTGGCGCTAGTAGCATTGGATTTACAGTGTGAGCTGGTGTGTTAGGGGGCATGGGTGTAGTCAGTGTTGTTTAGGTTGCTGTGCGTGTGCCTGGGGCCTTCCTGAGCACCTGTCCCATGTGGCCTCCAGTGCCTGGCCTTTGTCACTCACTCTGTGCTTGTCCCACAGGAGCCACCACCCCTGACCATGTAGATGCCAGTTCCAGGGAGCAGCATGGGCCCCACTGAATGGAGACTCCTGGGTCTACAGCCCTGAGCCCCTCCGGCCCCTGGACCTCGTCCCACACCGGAGGACACCTCTTGGAGCTCACCACCACTGTCACCAGCCCGCCTCGGCCACCCCCACCCCCCGGGACCCGGAGTCGGCCGCCTGGTGCCACAGCTGACCAGTGAGGGTGTGCTGAGGACAGCCACAAGCAGCCATCACCCGGCAGCCTCTTGTCCAGCGCTGACCCTTGGGCCCAGCCCGAGCAAGGACCGCAGCAAACATGGGTGACATGACCAACAGCGACTTTTACTCCAAAAACCAAAGAAATGAGTCGAGCCATGGGGGCGAGTTCGGGTGCACAATGGAGGAGCTCCGCTCCCTCATGGAGCTGCGGGGCACTGAGGCTGTGGTCAAGATCAAGGAGACTTATGGGGACACCGAAGCCATCTGCCGGCGCCTCAAAACCTCACCTGTTGAAGGTAAGTGTTCAAGACTTGAACCCAGGGCTGCAGCCTAGGTGGCCACCATCTGAATTGGCCACAGGGACCATATTCATAATATGTAACAGCAGGGATGTGTCAGAGAAAGGCTGAAATGCCAGAATGGCCATTGTAGTGCATTCTAGCTGAGTATCAGCCCCTCTGGATAGGCTGGGGAGCAGGGCTTCATCAGGGGTTGGGCATGACCCAAGCCACCTGCAGAGAGAATGGCAGGAAGAAAGCTGGGTCAAGACTGTGTTCTGGAGACAAGGAGCCCCACAGCCGCAGAGTGGCGAGTTCAACATTCTGTTACTATGGGAGGCACTAGTTTCTGAGGCAGAGGCAGAAGGGCCACTGGGTAGAACAAACATGGAACCTGCACCCAGGCCCAGGAGGGGCTTTTGCTTTCCCCGCTTAGCCCACAGTGGATGGATTTGGGGGTTCCAACCATGCAGGCCCGGTCCTTCCTTCCCCAGGCCCCAGGAATTCCCTAGTGTGGGCTTGAGTGTGGAACCATAGCATGACTAATGTGCAGCCAATTCCCTGCCACTGGGCTGGAATCAAGTCTGTCTCTCAAATCCAGACTCTGGTTGGGGATCGCTGGGGCTCTGGGGCATCACAGCTCTAGGGTTGCTGGGCAGACAAAGCAGTAGGAAGATGGATGTGATAGGAAGGGTGACAGATGTCCTTGTATGTCCTGCCTTGAGGGTGGAGTGGGGCTTTCTTGCAACTGCCAAAATTGAGCAGGCCTGGAATCTCTACAGTGTGTTTCAGCTCCTGGGGGCTTTTCTGGAAGGGACCAAAGCTGGGTCCTCTGCCTCAAAACAGAGACAAGGGAAGTCAGCCCAGCTTGGGTACCAGACCTCATGGTTTGGGTTACCTGCCACAAGTTACCTTCAGCTCACCATGGAAAGGAAGCATTCCCTACGTTAACCCTACAGGCATGTGTGTGAGGCTCTGCAGTGACACTCCCAATCCTGAACATTTGTGCAAAGCTGCACCGAGCCTCAGTTTTCTTCTCCTGGAAAATGGGCCAATGCCTACCTGACAATGCCTAGTGCGTGGCTGGGCATACAGTAGGTGCTCAAAGTGGCAGCCATGATTATTCTAAGGAGAAGTGGATGTCAAGTCCTTCCCCAGATATCTACCACCACCTGGGAGGCAGGCAGCATCTGAACTGTTATCCTTCATGACAGAAAAGGAGCCTGTCTCCTCTGTCCAGTCCTCTGAGCCCTGGGCCCTGCTGGACTCTAGCCCTGGCAGCATTTCCTGCAGGGCTTGCCTGGCAGTCCACTGGTCACATGTGCCTACACTCCACTACACCCAGCAGCTCCCAGCTGTCTGTGTCCCTCTTTGTCTGCTCTCCTGGTTCAGAAAGAAAAGCTAAAACTGGTTCTTCTTCCCACATTGACTGTTCTCACTGACATTTTGCCCATCGCCTGAGCCCAGGCAGAAGTTTAGAAACACCTTTTCTCACTGGGTGCTATTTTTTTGTTTTGGCAGGGAGGGTGGGAATAGAGAAAGTAACCTTTCCTCATAGTGTGATTCTGGCACGAGGCTTAAAAACAGCTGCTTGTGGCCGTAAAATGGGCATCGGCTTTGCTTGGAGACTTCTGGGTCCCAGCTTCTTGTGCTCACTTATCCCTGGCAGAATGGTCCGTGCTCCCCTCCACCATCAGGTTGGCACATGAGGACGCTGGCAGGCAGGGTTGTTCAAGTGGCCTTTGCCTGTTGATTGGGGACTGGGAGATTGCCTCAAATCAGGAATTCTTAAATGTCTCTCAGCCCCAGTCCCTGGGGAGAAGCTGATGGGCACTGTGGCCCCTCTCTCAGAAAATCAGCCAACCACACGCAACAGGTGTGGCTCACACTATTTGTGGGTTTCTAGACCCCCTCAAAGCAGGGTTGTGGACCCTAGTTAAGAAAACCACCTACCACTCCCACCAGAAAGGCTCCCCAGAGCTGGGAAGTTGAGCAGCTCACGGCCAAGTTCCAGCAACCTTGCAGGGCCATTTCCGGCTGGTTCCTGGGAGCCCGCTCTGTACTGCTAGAGGGAGTATTGCCTAGCTGAGACAGGAACCCTATCTGCTCTCTCTGTACATCCCATGCCCAACCTCATGCCTGGCACAGATGAGGACCCGGTAAAACCCTGAGACACAGCTACTAAGTCCCAGCCTAAGGTGGGGGAGCTCTCAGACAGCTGAGTAGCCCAAGCTGCAGATAATCAAGACCAAGTGCAGCAAGGACCCCAGGACTCAGCACTAGTGAGGCTGGTGGGCAGTGAAGGTCAGGGAAGGCTTCATGGAAGGGAAGGTGTTTGGACTTGGCTATGGAGGAAAGAGAAGGGAAAGCATGTAGTATGGCCTACAGCAGCATTTCTTAGAGGGGATCCCACAGAATAACTGGTATGCTGCAAGAAGTGAGGCTTCAGGTGAAAAGTAAAGAACTCTGTTTTCTCATCTGTAAAATGGAAACAATAATGACATCTCTATTGCTCTGCCACCTGCCAGCCGTGTGCCTTTGGGCCTTTTCGTCTGACCTCTCTGAGCCTTGGTCTCCTGGTCATTCATGAGAACCTAATGAGATCTCTGATGGCCAAGATCTCTGAGGAGAAGGGAAGCCCATCATAGGATTTCCTGCAGCTCCTGCCACATTGGTCCCTAGAAGCATCTCCCAGGGGGCTGGGAGGTACAGGCTGGAAGAGATTTGGGGAGAGGCAGAAGAGCATAATGCCACAGACCCAAACTTGGGCATCCCAGGTTCAAATCCCAGCTTTGCCACTTGCCTGCTGTGGGACTCTGGGCAAGTTACTCAAACTCTTTGTGCCCCCGTTTCTTCATCTGTAAATCATGGATAGTAATAGTGACTACCTCACAGGGCTGGGGGAGGACAAAATGAAGTAGCTTAGAACAGTCCCTGACACACGGGTAGTTCTGTGTGGTAGGATTCAGCCCCAGCAACTAAACACCTCCATTTCCCCATCAATAAAATAGGCTGTGAATATTGAATAAAATCAGGTCAAGTGCCCAGCATCGAAGTGCTCAATAAATGTCAGCTCTTGTCATTGTTTTCATGATGAGTATCATCACTCGGGAAAAAGTGGGCACGTTCTCCGGAAAGGTTGGAATGGTGGCCAGTGTCCACACATGAGAAACACTTTGTACAAGGCTGTTATGCATCTCTATGACACATGTTCCTGGAAACGGGTGCTGTTACCCCATTTTATGGAGGGGGATATGAGGGCTCGAGGTCACTGCCACAGTTCAGGTCAGAGCAGGCTTTGAACTCAGCCCCATGCTCAGACCTGAGCCAAGCACGGCCACCTGGGAAGAATCCTCTGGCATCCACTGTAGGACAAGGCCTGAATAGGGTGGGGCCAAGGGACACTTCCTTTACTCTGTCTCATATGGAGCATTTGTCCCACCCTGCTTGGCCATCTTCTGATTTAGAGAAATCCTTGGCACAGCCCCAGCCCCAGTTTAAAAGCTCCGTGGTCTGGGCTGTGCCAGCTCCAGACACAGGGACTCAGTTTGACCATTCCCGACACCCCCTACCCCTAATCTGCTGACGAGTAGGGAGCTGGCCTCTGAGTCACACTGCAGGAAATGCTCCAGGCCACGCATAAATTAGCCTTCCCATTCAAGTTCAGCTAATTTTAGGCAAAAAGATCTCTGAAAGTGACAAATGGGGTTTGAGGCCACAGGGAATCAGCGCTCACCCAGGGCACGGCTGGCAGCCAGCTCAGGGTGTGGCTCCCACAGCCCAGCAGTACTGGATGTCCCACCTGGAGACCCTACTTTCCTGACACCTGTTGGGTAAACCTGCCCCCCTGTGAGGCTGTGAGGCCAAGGGCAGCCTCTACCCCCATCTAAGCTCCACTCCTTTCCTCTTCCACTGTTGGTTCTGTTCCATTCTAATTAACGCCTTTATCTTCTTACCTCTACTGTTCCCTTTCCTTCCACACTGTTTCAGCCAAGGACATTAAAATCCCAGAAACCTGAGTTCCATTCCTGAGTGTCTTTCTCTTCAAGGGACACTGCGAGAGTTCAATTTAACCTCTCTGAACCTCAATGAACTTATCTGTGAAGTGAGGATAGTAACAGTACCCACCTCATGCAAATGGTGTGAGGATTAAATTAGATAAGCCACTGTGCAAGGCAGACCCTAGACACCTACAGAGTGGTGTTTATTATCATTGTTATTATACTCTAGTGTTTCTTTTAAAAACATGCATGGGCCCCATCCCCTTGAAAGAATTAGGCAGTCAGACAAGACACTGGCGGTGCCCAATGCAGAGTTAACATGCCATCAGAGGACATGGAAAGATGGGCGACTAGTGCCAGGTGGTCCGGGAGGCCTAGAGGCAGGAGCTCTGTGTTATTCTCCACCATGTCTCCAACACCTGATGCATTGCCTGGGAGCTCAAGAAATATTCACGGAAAGAAGAAAAGGAAGAAGAAAGAAGAGGCAGGGGATGTCCCAGTGCCCCTCCTTTCATGAGACAGAAGGCTGCAGGCTTGGGGACAGACACAGGACACCCTGTGTCACCCATGGAGCAGATGGCTCCAGTTCCCTGAGCCCAGCGTTGCGCTGCCCTGAGCCATTGCACACACAGCCCTCATTGCTCACTTCCTGACACCTGCACCCACCTCGGGTTGTCAGAAAGGGTGACGATGATAGCTTGCTGTTGGGTGTTTGCCACGTAGCATGTTTCCTGGCGGGGTTGATAAGGGGGACAAAGATGGGGCGGCAGCAGGGTGGAGTGGGAACTGGATACTGCAGAGTGCTGTGAAACGGAACCTCCGGTTAATTTTGTATGAATCCCACAGCCTGCCCAAGTGGAGGAGAGAGCGGGGCTGAGGGAGGACGAGAGAGCAGATCATGGGAGATGGCGGGTACTTTGTGCTGCACGTGAATATGATATTGAACGAGAACGTCCATGGGGCTGCCACTAGCTGGGCAGCAGGAGGATGTGGAGGCAGGGGCAGGGGTCTTCCGTGTGTTGTTGCCACATTCTAGTTCCCTCTGTGTTCTGTCAACCCAAGGATCACTGAGACCCTGAGAGGTCAACAGGGAAGCCAGGGGAGCCACAGACTCGGCGGAAGCCTGGGCAGGGTCATGCGTGGGGGCTCCCCAGACACGGAGTCGGCATGGGGAATTCACTGCCTGGCCAGAGATGAGTGGGAAAGCCTTGCTGCCCCACTCCAGCGCCTTCATGTGAAGCGGCCCATGCTCCATTCTAAGGCCCAGGACTCTGTCAGGTATGAGGCCGAGAGGAGAAAAACTCCTGAGTATGCAAGAGGCTGAGGAAACACAGCTGCCTTCTCAAATAAATGCAGGGGTGGAGGGGAAGACATGATGACTGGTGAGGTGTCCCAGCCTCAGCTGTGTCACTAAGTATGTGGGAGACCTCAGGCAAGATACTTAGTCTCCGACAACCTCAGTTTTCTCATCTGTGAAATGAGAACTGTACTACTTCCACTCTCTGCCTTTTGTAGACCGTGAGTTGAAAGTGCTTTTACAGAAGAATCTAGGCCCAGTATTTGCTGAGCATTTTTATCCATGAGGGCTCCATCTGACAGAAACCCATCTCGAACTGGCTTATGCACAAAAGGAGTTTTCTGGTTTGTGCAACTGAAAACTCCAGGGATAGGTCTGGCCTCCGGCACGGCTGGCTCCAGGACCTCAAATGCTGTCAAGAGGACTCTGTCCTTCCCTCTCCTACTTTCACTTCCGCTGTCCTCTGTGTTGGCTTCATTTTCAGGCGGGTTTTAGCACATGGGGGCTCCGGCAGCTTCGGGTTAACATCCTCCCATCCCGGTCAATGCGGCAGCCAGGCCTTTCCTCATAAGCCCCGCCCCATTAAAAATCCCAGACTACGCTCTCACTGGGCCACTTATAGTCACATGGCCATTCCTGAGCCAATCCCTGCAGCTTAAAGATGGAGTGGGCTGATAGATCAGACCTGGTCACATGCTCAACCAGAGGGCACGGGTCAGTCCACCAAGACCCCAAGGAGATTGGAAGAGGGAAGGAAAATGGAGGAGAGGCTGTGGACCTGCTGCAGAATGGAAGGTCTGTACTGTGTGCTGGGGAGGAAGATCAGAAAGGTTCCCTGCTCTTGAGGAGAGCATGGCCTGGATTGGGAGAAAACAGAATTGAGGAGACAGCTGAGGAGAGAAGGTAGGATTCAGAACCACCTGAAATATAACATGGCTAAAGATTCTACCAGCCAAACCACGGCACCGTTAGTAATTACACCAGGGTGCTAGGCATGAGCTGGGACCGTCCAGGCTGACTGGGTCTATGACTAGTGTCACAGTGGGGAAGAGGCCAACTTGGTATCATGGTGCAAATCCTGGCACCACTTCTTATCCAGCTGTGGGACGTTGGACCAGTTATCTAACTGTGCCTCAGTTTCTTCATCTGTAACATGAGGTCATAACAGTGCCTCTTTCATAGGGTCGCTGTAAGCATTAAAGTAATATGTGCAAAGCACTTAGTGCCTGGCACATGGTAGGTGTTATTTCAGCATTACTGTTATTATTCTCTGCTGGGAACTCTCTGTGTGGCTTCAAGGGAGACGTTGGGTTTTAATTAGTGAAGAAGAGAAAGGCAGCTTGTTTGGTAGATCAATGGGCTTGAGCAATGCATGTGAGTCTTGGTTAAAAAAAATGTCAGCCCCATATTTGATTTGCAATGCTTATTATACACCTCCCCCCATCACCACTACCATGGGGTAAAAAAAATCCTTCAAAAGCACAGTTTAATGTGAAGTTCCAATGAATCATGTGTGGATGCTTTCCAGAATGCTGCCTGCATATCCTTCTGAATCATCAATAAAATAAACCTACATGTTAATCAATGCATGCTATCGATGGTCATAGGCTGGGGTGGTAGAGTCTGCTGGGCAAATAATTCTGCAGGCCACGGGGTGGCAGGGAGAGCACGGGACAGATAGATAAAGATCCTGCCCGGCAGCTGACTGAAGGGCTTCCCGGTGATTCCAGCAAGACTAGGGAGTCTTCATGTCCCGTGAGCGATGCTGCTTGGCTCACTAGGTGCTTCCCGTAATCAGGCACCCAGAGAGGTGGTAGAAGAGATGGGTTGTAAGGGCAGCATTTCCACGGGGCCTCACTTTAGGCAGAGCATTAGGCAGACCCACCATGCAGAGGCCTGAGTCCCAAAACTACCCTGGCTCTCATTTACTGTGAGCGAACTAAGAGCCAGGCCTTCCCAACACATTGTTCCCTGGGATCCTCACAGCAGCCCCTTGAGTAGGACACAAAGGCTTGGAGAGGAAGGGGGCCCTGATTCTTACTATGAAGGCATTATCATTTTGCAGAATCAATATGCACTAATCACTAAGTGCCTACTATGTGCCCAGAAAAGGGAAGGAATATGGAGACCATTGACTTTGAGTCCCAGCTTCACCTTCTAAGTCCTTAAGTCATCCCCTCACTCTGAACCTGTTTCCCCACCTGTAAATGATATGATAATAACACCCACCTCCTAGAACTGATGGAACATCTCCATTGCTTCCCCCTGCTTCTAATATGCCAAGCAGTGATGGAGGTGGACACACATTTATTTATTGGACAAATATATGTTATGCACCTAGTATGTGCAGGCTTGGGCCACATGTACTCTTCTGGGAAGAGACCCAGATCTCTCCCATATGCTTTCTCAGGGGCAGTGTCTGTGTGATGTGGCTACACACAGGACAGGTGGGCAGATGGGGACAGGGCCGGCCTTCAAGGATATCCCTTCTTGGTTCAAGGGGGCAGAGGATGTCAGACAGGAAATGTCGGGTGCAGTGGCTCGCACCAGTAATCCCAGCACTTTGGGAGGCCAAGGTAGGTGGATCACTTGAGGTCAGGAGTTCGAGACCAGCCTGGCCAACATGGTGGAACCCCATCTCTACTAAAAATACAAAAATGAGCTGGGTGTGATGGCGCACGCCTGTAATCCCAGCTACTTGGGAGGCTGAGACACAAGAATCACTTGAACCCGGGAGGCAGAGGTTGCAGTGAGCCGAGATCAGCCTGGGTGACAGAGTGAGACTCTGTCTCAAAAAAAACAAAAAGACAGGAAACAACTCCAGGGGCACAGAGGCAGGCAGGAATCAATAGGAAAGATGGCAGCCAAGGGCAGGAAGCCAAGGCCTCAGTGTAGCCAGGGGGAGGAAGGAGGAACCCCTTCCAGATCCCCTTACTCTCCAAAGCTCCCTATAGATTCCCAGGAAAGGGAGGTGCAAAGGTGGATTGTAAACTGCTCCCGCCTTAAGACTGTCCCAGTCTAGCTGTGCTACTAGTTACTAGCCACGATGCTAGTTATAGCTGTGATACTAGAGAATAATTAACATGCATTGAACACTAACAGCAGCCAGGCTCCCTGCTGAGGCTTCACGGCATTTTCTCCTATAATCTTCACATCACCCCTGTGAAACAGGAACTGTCATCATCCCAGCTTACAGATGAGGAAATTGAGGCTCAGAGCACCACGTCTAACAAGTGACCTGGCCAGGATTGGTGCCTACACTGTCTGGCTCCCAAATGTGCACACATGACCTCCTCGGTCTGCTGCTTTCTATTGACAAAAATAACTACTGCAAGAGGAAATGTTCTAAAGGTTGATGAAGGAGGAGTGATCCCCACCTGATTGGGGACAAAATCAGGAGTAGCTTCCTCTGAGTGAGGCCTGAAAGGACAGGGCAGAATTGAGTGTGCAAAGATGGGGAGGGAAGCACACGCAGTTAATGGGGCGTGAGCAAAGGCCCTGTGATGACAACCAGGATGTGTACAGGGAACAGTGAGGAATTCGCTGTGCCTGGAGCCTAGAACAGATCGCAAAGCACAGAGGACTCCAGCCCATGAACTACAGATTCATTTTTGTAGACTCTGGTTTTTAGTCTGTTTGTTCATGCTGTGTATGTAGACTGTCAGGTTGGATAATAGTGTTTATGTCCCTGTGAGTGTGAAATGGGCCTCCAGCTCCATAAGATGAGGCCCTGAGTACAGCCTTCTCCAGGTGCATGGAGAGCCAGTGAATTCACTGAATGCAGGGAAACCGAAGGTTGGGGAAATGGTTCTCACACTGGGTTCCCCAGTGCCTTGAGGTTCCACAGAAGTGCCCTACAGGACAAGGGGATGCTGAATGGATGGGACTCTGGGGCTTCTCACCCACCACCATGAACCAGAGACAGAGACACTCCTTTTTTTTTTTTTTTTTTTTTTTTTTTTTTAGATAGAGTCTCACTCTGTTGCCCAGGCTGGAGTGCGGTGGCACGATCACAGGTCACTGCAGCCTCGACCTCCTGGGCTCAGTGATCCTCCCACCTCAGCTTCCCAAGTAGCTGGGACTACAGGCATGTGCCACCATGCCCAGGTAATTTTTTTTTTTGTAGAAACAGGGTTTCAAAAATTAGCCGGGTGTGGTGGTACACGCTTGTAATCCCAGCTATTCAGGAGGCTAGGCACAAGAATCACTTGAACCCGGGAGGCAAAGATTGCAGTGAACCAAGCTGGTCTTGAACTCCTGGCCTTAAGCGAACCTCCTGCCTCAGCCTTCCAAAGTGCTGGGATTACAGGCATGAGCCACTGTGCCCGGCCTGATACTCCTTTTTAAATGCTTTGAAGACTTTGGTTTTTTAACAAAGTGTTGAAAAAAAGAAAAAAAAATTGAAAACCTCTGATACTGGAGAAAAATGCTAAACTAGAGTATCCAAAAGCCTGGGTTGGGGCACAGATCACATAAGTTCTTAATGCATCATTTGTTAAATCTGTGAAATGGAGCAGACACTGTCTGGCTTCCAGGGGCCACACTGACTGTGGATTAAATGAGAGAACACACAATGTGCCTGGCCCAGGGGTCTTAGGCGAAGTTGGTCTTTGCGGGGGCCCCAAGGGGATGCATGTGACTGTGCAGGAAAAGGGTGCTCAGTCCACCCATGCTGGGCAGGGGCGGAGACCAGCCTGACTTTGGCCCTTATCGACTGAGACCCTCTCCAAGCTCCCTCCACCCTGTTCCATGCCTCAGCCTCCCCATCTGGAAAATAAAGAAGGTTGGTCTAGTAGTCTCTGAGGCTTGTCCAGGCTCAGACATTCTACTACTGTGAAACTGTCTGCCTTGATGCCCCCATTCTGTAGACATCAGATGGGTCAAAGGGTGGCTGACTCACAGCCAGACTCCAGGCCTCTCTTCACTTGAAAATTCGTGACCTCAAAACCTTGGCCCATCAGTGCCCAGGCCAGGGCAGTGCCCTTGGCCCTTGGCCCTTTGCCCCAGGCCTTGGCCCAGCAGTCCTTTTCTACCAAGCAGCTTCAGGGCCCTCCCACGCTGGCTCCCAAAGGTCGGGTTTAGCGGGGGACCAGAATTTGGGCATCCCTGGCAACAGTTCTCTAGCTCCCAGAAGCCCAGGGGCCTAGACCCCAGTTTCCAATTACTTCTCCTCCCTGGGTCTCAGTTTCCTCATCTGTCACACGGGCCTAAGGGGTGAGAAATGTTGCTGTATAACTGCAGGCGGGCCGTCTCGAATGCTAGTAGGACCTGAGTCATCCACCCAGCCTGGGTCCCACAAACGCCTCGAGTTCAGCTGGAGAGATCCTCTGCCTCCAGGCCTGCCTGTCATCCGAGAGGCCCAGACAGGGCGGGTAAGTTATTTATACAGGCCCTCCTCACCCCACAACGATTATCTTACTCCTCCTGGTGCAATCCAGGCCCCTGCTGTGGTTTCAGACCCAGAGTTATTTATAGTCAGTGGAAATTAGTGCCTCAGCCGATGGCTCCCTAGGACCCACCTGCCCTAGCCTCCACCCCAAAGGGAGAGAGCAGGCAGCAGGCAAAGAAGATGTCAGAGGTCGGAGGAGAGTGTCACATGCAGGTACAGTGTGATGAGAGTATCTGACACTGGATTGGCAGGCAGTTGGACAGAGCAGTCGCCAGGAAGTAGGACGAAGGAGAAACGGCCCACACTGAGGAGGGCAGGCTGTTGGGTGAGCCCTTGGGAAAGCTCTGCTGGAAAGAACAGCAGAATGGAGTGTTCCCTGGGGCCTCCCCCTTCAGCACACCCCAGCTCAGTGGGGTCAGAGCAGCTGGAATAGGAGCCTGAGAGACTCATGGACCCATGAGACAACAGGTCTGGAAGGGCCTTCAAGGACCATCTGATTCAGTAATCCCAGGGTGCACATGGGGAGACTGAGACCCAGGAGAGAAGGGACTTGCCCAGCACACAGTGGGTATGGGCCAGGGGGCAGAGACACCCGCCACCCCCCTCCCTGCTCTCCCCTGCAACCTCCTGGCTCCCTGCAGAGCCTCAGCTCAGCCACGCCATCCAAAGACCACAGACTGAGTGGCTTAAATGACAGAAATTCATTCTCTCACAGTTCTGGAGGCTTGTAGATGGCCATCTTCTCCCAGTGTCTGTTCACATTATCTTCCCACTATGCATATCTGTCTCTCTGCCCAAATTTCCTCTTTGTATACGGGTGTCAATCATAGCATGGATTAGGCCCACCCTAATGGCCTCATCTTAATTTAGTATCTGCAGTGTCCCTATCTCTACAATGACTCTATCTCCAAATACCACCACAATTTTAAGGTACTGAGGGTTAGGACTTCAACATATGGATTTGGGGGAGCATGATTCAGCCCAGAACACTCTGACATGGGAAAACCACTTCAGTCCTCAGAACTGAAGCTTTCGCTTCTGTAAAGTGGGGACATGAACAGGACAGCAAGCGGACTGTAATGAGGGACACGCTCACTGCTGTACTGATGTGTCTGTCCCCCAAGCCCGATGCTCAGTGGGCGTTAAGAAGTGGGCGTTAGGAAGTGGCAGTGTGGTGAGAGAGTTAAGAGGCAGACATCCTGGGTCTGAACCCCAGCTTTGCCACCCACTAGCTATGTTGTGCTGAGGAAATGACATCACCTCTCAGAATCTGTTTACTCAGTCTGTGAAATCATTCTTATTCCTGGGCTGTGAGAAGTAATAAATGAGCTGATGTGAGTCAACACACTTAGCACTGCCCAGGAAACCCCTGGAAGTGGAGACCATCATCATTATTATTATTACTATTACTATTATCATTATCATCATCATCATTATATAGGTTAAGAAGCTGAGGCCCAGAGAGGGAGGCATCTTGCGCAGCCTCACACAGCCATCTGGCACAAAACTAAATGAGAACTCAGGTCTCCCAATCCACAGTCCCAGATTTTTCAACCACGTCTCTATGTGACACTAAAGGGGAAAAGAAGACAAGTAATTCCTAAGTGCCCCACATTAGGAAAGTAACTAAGTACCTTTTAGCTTCTCCACGTGCCTTTGGGACATTATGGAAAAAGATTGTTACAGAGAATGCAAAGCCACGTGGATGAGGCTCAAGAAATAATGTGATGTTGAAAAAGTGGGTTTAGCATCGTATGTCCTGACAATGGCAACACCTCCACGAAGACAGATGCAAGGGGAAAGGGGCTGGCAGGAAACATCTAGAATGTACCCCATGTTGTGGCTGAAGGGTGAGACTGGGGTGATGGTTCTTTCCTCAGCCTGTTTCTGCCTGTGTGCCGATGTCGCTCCACTAAGGCACGTCGGTCGTAAACAACAGAAGCTGACTGGGCAGCATAGTGGAGGCAAGAGGGCAGCTTAGGAGTGGGCTCTCCAAGTTGGAGCAAAGGCTGGAAAACCCAGCTCAATTTTCCAGAAGGAAACGGGGACATGCAGGGATCAGTGGCACGACTCACTAAGTAAATGTCCCTTTGGGGAACTGCAGGTTGGGAAAAATCCACTACAAAAGCTTCTTTTGGTCCTTGTATAGCTCAGGATTCCAAAGCAGCCTGTGCTGGTGAATGTTAACCCCAGCTCTCTAGTTGCGAGGGAATCCTCTTTTGCAGTGGGTGCTGATTTCCTTGGTGTAAATACCACCACGTTACCCACGTGACATCATTAAACACAGAGTTGGGACGAGAGGCGCAGCCGCACACCATTATACGGTATTTCTACCATGCAGATACAATAGACTGTCTACTAGAGAGAATAGATAATAGTGAAATGTAGTAAAATAATTAGGAGGTGATAAGTTTGGGGTATTTGTTGCCTTTTAAAATATAATTTATATAATTGTAGGTTTATATAATTGATTTCTAATGATGGCTATAATTAACAACCAGCTCACAAAATACCTGAAATTTTAGCCATCAGCTCTCACAAGCAAGTGTGAGCTGGCACCAGCAAATCACTGATTCTACGTCCCAGGAGACAGCATCCCTGGGAGGTGATTGGCCTAGCTTGATCACATGCCCACGCTTAGGCCAGGAAGGTGGGGACACTTTGACTGATCGTCACCAAGACTCTTCCCAGTTGGGGAGACCAAATCCCCTAAAGGAAAGCAGAATGCCACTGGACAGCCAAAACTCAACACAGGCCTTTGCTTCTCTTCTTGATAATTTCTTTAAGCTGTAGTTTTTTCTTTTATAATATCTTTTTTATTTCTTTTTTAAATTCATAGTGCTTGAAGTCCCAGAGTCTTTTAAAAAGGCTCCAGGGCTCAATTCTGAGAACAGTGAACTGAAGGACCCAGCCAGGAGAGGTACGGAGGCTCAGAGCAGCCATACCCACCTCTACCTCCTCACTTCCCAACCCCTCCCACCTTCTCCAGAGTGTAAGTAAATGAGCTAAACCTCCTGCCCACCTGTCACCCTGCCTGAAAGTCCACCTTTACAAGTCCCCCAAAAGAACATAGGCAGCCCAAGTTGAGAAGTATCTTAGGGCAGAGTCTTCACAAATACCCGTAAGGCAGATGAGGGTGAATGGGAGCCTCAGAGGTCTGGAGTGGCCCAGATACTGGAGAAGTGCTCTTGAAGGCTTAGGCCTCACCTCAAAATGGGGACAGGGTGGTCATCCTAAGCCTAGTGAATTCATGATTGACTGCGAGGCCTGTGGACCCTCCAGGAAGATGTAGGAGCTCAGGTGGCCAGGGTGAAGAACCATACCACCCCCTCAATGAGAACCTCAGACCCCCCTGCTTCCTCCTTATTTGGGACCACCTGGTGGCCAGCAGAAGACCAGGGGATCTGATTTAGGATGGGAGCCGGAGGGAAAGTGCTGCCCCATGCTCCGGTAATGGTCCGGTTGGGGGGTGACCACCTTGTGTCAACAGCTCAGGCCCTGACGTGGGAGATGCCACTCCTACCCCCATTTTGCATGTGAGGAAACCGAGGCACAGAGGGGTTGACGGACTCGCCCACGTCGCACAGCTGTGAAAGGCAGGCCTGGATGAGACCAGACCTTGTGCTCTTAACCATTTGTCAAAGGGAATGAAGGGTCATTCCTAGAACTCTCTTCCCCCATAGAGGGCACAGGATGCTGGCTCAGAAGCCTGAAAGTTTTCAGTTGCTCCAAACCACACTGGGGCTCAGGCCCAAATATGAGGAAGAGGGGCCAGGGGAGGGGCCAGGAAGATACCTGATCTGCCAATGGGGCAACTGAGAATTTGACCCCAATTTCCAGGCCTCACTCATCTGCCTCCTTCTGGCCAGTGACATCCTCAAGGGCACCTCGGCCTGGGCCTCATGGGCTATAAGTAGATAAATCAAAAGTCCCAGACCCAGGGGTTGGAGGCTGTCAGCCCTGGAGCTACTTGACAGGGCCTGGCCATGGGGCACCATGAGACTGGGAGTCCAGCATTGGCTCCTCTGCTCACTCACTGTGTGGCCTCAGGTGAATCATTTTCCCTCTCTGAGCCTCAGTTTCTTCATCTGAAAAAGGGGTCCAGATATGCCTACCTACAAGGTTGTTAGGAAAATTAAATGAGAATAATGTATTACAAGCCCCTCCCTTTTTTCTTCCTCTCCCATTTATGGCCAGAGTAAACTTAAATACAAGTCAGGTTGTGCCACCACCTGCTGAAAACCCTGTGGCTCCCACTGCTCTCAGAATGAAATCAAAACTCCTCACTGTGGCCTGCAGGCCTGGTATGATCCAGCCATACCCTGTTGCAGGAGGGCCTCAGGGACAGGCTGCCAGGGCCACAGGAGATCAAAGTCCCCAATCTGTAGAAACCCAGAGCTTCCTTTGAAACTACAGATCTTTCCCCCGTCTGCTAATGTCATTTGAGATTCCATAATAAGTTAAAGATTGTAACTGAAAATAAATGATGATCATGTTTAAGTTGTGCCCTGAGAGTATAGATGTTCTGCTTCTTACTATTCTCTGAGAAATTTTGGCACATCCCCTAGTGGGGTATGCCCCACCCCCTAGCTGAGAATCACTGCATTCATTTACTAATTCAAATAAGCTGCTGCATTTTTTTTTTTACACTTTAAAGAACAATTTATTGGGTAACTACTTGGTGCTAGATGCTGTCCTAGGAGCTAGGTATATAGCAGTGAGCAAAACCAACAAAGATATTCTTCTTCACAAAGCTTCCAGGGGTCCAGAAAAAAAAATACAGAATAAATTAATGAATAACAAAATATCGAGTGGATAAGTGCTTTGAGAGTGACTGAGGGAGGGGCAGCTTTAGGTGGGCAATCAAGACAGGCTTCCTTGTGGAGGTGACATTTATCCTGAGCATCAGCTGACGTGCTGGGTGCCTAGGAACTACCTTCCATGGATTGCTGAAGGTGGGTAACAGTGGGGCTTCTGCTCTTCAGTATTTTCAAATCCCCTATGTCCATTCCTTGGGTTCTCCCAGGCACTCTACAAGACCCTATAACCTTCATGGTTTCGTCTTGTAACATAGCTGCTCAGGGGGACACACACTTTTTACCTCCCATTTATAGTAAAGAAACTGAGGCTGAGAGAGTGACTTGTCCAGGGTCACACAGCGAGGGGGTGACAGAGTCAGGACTTATCTTTGGGTATCCTAACATTCCCAATCCTATCCCCCTTCTCCCACCTCTTTCCTCACTGGGATGTATTTGGAGAAATCACAGTATCAGAAATAGCACCCCCTACTCTGTTAGAGCCTAGAGCTGTCAGCTGGGCGAAAGCCAAGTCCCAAGAGGCCACTGAGTGTCCAGTAAAGAAAAGGGGTCACATAACTATGGCCAATCCCTGAGAAAATAGGCATGTGGGAAAATCCCTGGGTGAGCCCCATTGCAGAAAAAAAAAATTCCTACAGAGGCAAACTGTAGAATGCAGAGGGTAGCTTTTCTATTCCCACACTTCGCCTCAGCCCATAAGTGGCTAAAGGGTTTCCCGTCCACTTGAGAGAGGCAGCTGGAGCACATCTGGTGGGGAGACAGGCACCAGCCTGGGCTTTTGGATTCCTGAACCAAGACAGCTTCACTGGCCTCTGAAACCCCAGCCCTAGCAGGGATTCTAAGTAAATGAAAACAGGAGCAGATGCATGTGTGTGGAGGTGCCTGTCTGCATACTGAGAGCTCCCCCAGCCCATCCCCTACCCCAGCCAGAGCCCCCAGTCCAGCTCAACTTGGGGGCCACAGAGACATCAGAGAATCTAACCCTGGCCAAAGCCAACAGCAACCTCTCCACCGCCTCCTTATACACGCCCTGGCCAGGCTTCCCTGTCGTTCCCTCTGTCCCTAATGTAGAAAGCCGCGTCCCTTTGTCCCCTGTCAAGAGACAGGTCCCAGGGAGACAGCCCTAAGCCCAGAGGGGCTATGATCTAAGCTAGTGAAGACATGCCCCTGCCACCTCCTTGCCAGCCTCAAGGACACGTGAGTGAGATTCGCTTCTGGCGTGAAGCCGCCAGCATCCTCTTGAAGTCCTGGGAGATCTAATTACCTAGGCGAGGGGAAAGTGTTGAGCAAGTGAGCGCTGGGGTTTAGAATAATCAGTTTTTCAACCGCTGCAGTTAATGCGAGGCCAGGCCGCAAAACTCTCCCTCTCATGTTCTGGCTCCTGGAACTGCTGACTGTTTGATCTAGAACTGCCAGCTTTTCTGTCACCCCCACTCCCATACCTGCCCCAGGGCTTTCCTAAATTGTCTAACAAGTACCATCTCTGGGAGCCTGCCAGGCTTCAGGCCTGTGCAGCCTCAATGTGGGAGGCTGATGGAGATCTCGCCTGAGTCAGGGGCAGGTCCCAGCCCTGGGGTTTAATTCTGAGCACTAGAGGAGGAAGGACATGCCCTTTATTATGGCATCTCCTTCCGGTATTATCACTGTCCTACAGATGAGGAAACTGAGGCACAGTGTGCCCGAGGCCATGCACTGACAGGTGACAGAGGTGAGATCCAAACCAGCGCCTGCCTGGCTCAAGCCCCTGCTCTTTGAATGTGTTCCAGATGCTTTCAGCTTGTAGATATTTTTTCCTCTCCCTATTTCATGTATTTAAATTTCAGAGCCTCTAGGACCTGTCATTCCAGCTCTGTCCTGAAATTTTGTCCCTGAAAAGTGCCGGGAGTGATGATTTTCTTCTACCATGCTTTCATTAAGAGCTATTTTTATCTTTTGCTATAAATAGCTTTAAAAGAATTGCCTCCAGTAGATGCCGGATCAAGCATTGTGGGGTTTCAGGGTGCCAGCCCACCCCCTTTTTGGAAAAGCAAAACCTAAAATGAAACAAGAGAGCTAAGGCCTCTGAATACCTACCAAGCGCCAGACACTGGGAAATCCTTTTTTTTTTTTTAAGTTATTCATTCAGTAGATGTTTCTTGAGCACCTACTATGTGCTAGACACAGTTCTAGGCCCTGGAGATAAAAGGGTAGTGATCAAAAACAACAAAACAATGTCTCTGCCCTCATGGGGCTTGCATATTTTGGCTTTGTGTGTGCGTGTGACAAGCAAAAAAGCAAGTATAGGCATCCACCTAGGAGATAACGGGGGTTCCAGACCACTGCGATAAGGCAAATATCACAATAAAGTGAGTCACACACTCACAATGCTACCAATTGTCTGAGCCCACAGCAAGTCGTCATTTTTTTGCCAGTTAAGGGTCTTGCCTCGATGTTGATGGCTGCTGACTGATCAGGGTGGCAGTTGCTAAAGGTGGGGTGGCAATGGCAATTTCTGAAAATAAGGCAACCATGAAGTTTGCTGTGTAGATTGACTCTCTTTTCATGAAAGGTTACTCTAGCATGCGATGCTGTTTGATAGCATTTTACCCACAGTAGACCACTTTCAAAATTGGAGTCAGTCCTCTCAAACACTGCCGCTGCTCAATCAACTAAGGTATGGAATATTCTAAGTCCTTTGTTGTCATTTCAACAATGTTCACAGCATCTTTACCCAAAATAGATTCCAGCTCAAGAAATCACTTTGCTCATTCATAAGAAGCAACTCCTCATCCATTCAAGTTTGATCACAAGATTGCAGCAATTCACTCATATCTTCACGCTCCACTTATCTTTGGGTATCCTAACATTCCCAGTCCTATATCCCTTCTCCCACCTCTTTCCTCACTGGGATGCATTTGGAGAGATCTCAGTATCAGAAATAGCACCCCCTACTCTGTTAGAACCTGGAGCTGTCAGCTGAGTGAGAGCCAAGCCCCAAGAGGCCACCAAGTGTCCAGTAAAGAAAAGGGGTCACAGAACTGTGGCCAACCCCAGGGAAAATAGGCATGTCAGAAAAGCCTTATTAAAACCCTTTCTTTACTGGACACTCAGTGGCCTCTTGGGACTTGGCTCTCGCTCAGCTGACAGCTCCAAGTTCTAACCAAGTAGGGGGTGCTATTTCTGATACTGTGATTTCTCCAAATGCATCCTAGTGAGGAAGAGGTGGGAGAAGGGGGATGGGACTGGGAATGTTAGGATACCCAAAGATAAGTGGAGCATGAAGAAGTGAGTGAATTGCTGCAATCTCATGATCAAACTTGAATGGAGGAGGAGTTGCTTCTTATGAATGAACAAGTTAAGAATTCTCATTCTCTTGCTATTTTCACCACATCTGCAGTGACCTCCTCCACTGAAGTCTTGAACCCCTCAAAGTTATCCATGAGGGTTGGAATCAACTTCCTTTAAACTCCTTTTCATGTTGATATTTTCACCTCCTCTTGTGAACCACCAATGTTCTTAATGGCATCTGGAGTGGTGAATCCTTTCCAGAAGGCTTTCAGTTTACTCTGCCCAGATCCATCAGAGGAATCACTATGGATGGCAGCTATCGCCTTATGAGTGTATTTTTTAAATAAGACTTGAAAGTTTAAATGACTCCTTGACTCATGGGCTGCAGAATAGATATTGTGTTAGCAGGTGTGAAAACAGCACTTATCTCCTTGCACATCTCCATGAGAGCACTTGGGTGACCAGGTGCATTGTCAATGAGTAGTAATATTTCAAAAGGAATCACTTCTGTGGCACTTTCATGCTACAGAAATGGCTTATTTTCTTAAGCCGCATGAACCAACCTCTGCTAGCTTCCAACTTTTCTTCTGCATCTTCCTCACTTCTCTCAGCCTTCATGGAATTGAAGAGAGTTAGGGCTTCTGGATTAGGCTTTGGCTTAAGGGAATGTTGTGGCTGGTTTGATCTTCTATCCAAACCACTCAAACTTTCTCCATTTCAGCAATACATTTTCACTTTCTTATCATTCAGGTGTTCACGGGAGTAGCACTTTTAATTTCCTTCTAGAACTTTTCCTTTGCATTCACAACTTGGCTAACCATTTGGCATAAGAGGCCTAGCTTTCAGCCTATCTTAGTGAGACATGCCTTCCTCACTAAGCTTAATCATTTCTAGCTTTTGATTTAAAGTGATTTGGAGGCCATGGTAGAGTTATTAATTGGTCAAACTTCAGTATTGTTGTGTCTCAGGGAATAGGGAGGCCCAAGGAGATGGAGAGACAGGGAACAGCCGGTTAGTGGAGCAGTCAGAATGCATGCAACATTGACTGATTAAGTTCACCATCTGATATGGGCATGGTTTGTGGTGCCCCAAAACGGTTACAATAGTGACATGAAAGATCACAAATCACCACAACAGATTTAATCATCATGAAAAAGTTTGAAATACTGCAAGAATTAACAAAATGTGATTTAGAGAAATGAGGTGAGCATGTGCTATTGGAAAAATGGCACCTATAGACTTGCTCAATGCAGGGTTGCCGCAAACCTTCAATTTGTGAAAAAATGCACTATCTGTGAAGCACAATAAAGTAGGTGTGCCTGTAAATGGGAAAATAATGGAGATTTTCCACTGTCTTAAGGACTCTGGAGGAAATAAGACAAGGGCTGGGTAGGAAATAACAGAGCGGAGCCTCTCAGAGCCTGGGATCCGGAGACAGAGGAGACCCGGAGGATGCAAAGTGGAGAAGGTGGGCAAAGGCTGGGAGGTGGGGCCTGAGTGGAGATTGGGTGGGAGACGAAGCCAGGGGACTGAATGGGGCTGGACAACAGGAGGCTGCAGGAGCACCATGGGTTGTGTGGGTTTTTCCTCTACAGTGAGGGAGTCAGGGAGAGACATGATGCATCATCTCGTTTCATTTTTGCTAAAGCCCTGCCAAGCAGGTGCTAAATCCTCACTCTCACAGCTGAGAAGAGGCCAGGGATCTGGGAGGAGAAACAGCTGGCCCGGTGAGGCTGTGACAAGTCCGCTTTAGGAACTCAGACCTGGGCGAAGGCCTCTGTGACACCTCACACTGCCCTGGGTTGCTCAGCCTGCCAGGGTAGGCGTGGCTGGAACCCCAGCACAGTCTCCTCACACAGTGCTCTGTCCTCTGAACAGCTTGGTGCTTTCTTCTGTTCATCTTGCTTTTTTCACTGAGCCTCAGGCTACACAGAACTCAATGGACTGTGATTTGAGGGCTCAATGGGAACATTGTGTCTCCCCATAAAATTTCAAGTGGCTGCGGAGATGTTGCTAGGCAACCAGGTGTTGGCCCAGTGAGGGGAGGGGTTGGTGATTCTTCCCGGACAGAAGTGGTTGGTCCAGCCACCCTTGCCTCCCCTCGTCCCCTCATAGCACAACGCCACCTGGGGAGGCAAGAGGATCCCCGGAACTCACAGGACGGGGATGAAATACAAGGCAGGAGAGGGTAATAGTTCCAAACCAACACTGAATGAATTCAGCCCTAAAGGAAAAATAGAAAAAAAGTGCCTATTTCCAAAAACACTGGAAAAGCCTTTTATGACCATAGTTGTGGCTCACCCTTCTACCACATGCCAAACACTGTTCTAAGCACATTAACAGGCATTACTGACTCATCTCATCCTCACTATAACTCAGCGAGATGGGTTCTAGGGTTCGAGTATAATCCCCTTTTTTCAGATGGGAATACTGAGGCACCTGGAGGTTAACATGCCCAGGCCATACGCAGCAAGGCCAGGCAGCCTAGCCCTGAGCCCAGCATCAAGGCAAATGGATGGATGGCAGGTCTAGGAAATCGGATTGGGTGTCAGTGAGGAGAAATAGAACACATGAAGGATTTACTTTAAAACTGGAGTTGAATCCATTCTACTCTTATTGGAGGTCTACCATGTGCTGGACCACTGACCTTATATAGAAATGAGGCAGAACGCTCAAGCTGGCAGAAAGGGGTTACAGGAAGGTAGGCAGACCCAAACAGGCCTTCATAACAGTTAGCAATGTGGTAGGCACCACGAGAGAGAAGGAAACATGGTTAGGAGAGGATGGATTGAGGCAGATTCCAAGAGGAGGTGACAGACCAGGCCTGGAAAAAGAACTGAAGGTGGAGGGAGAGGTATTTCAGGTGGAAAACATGGACAAATTTGTGGCCATCGATTGGAATTAATTGTTTAGGTGTCTCCCTCCACCTTCACCATCCCAGACTGTGTCTTTGTGTCCTGAGGAGACACCACATACCTGATATTTTGGATGCAGCAATCTCAAAATGCCTGTTTAATAAAGATTAAATGAAAAAGAAAAGGAAGGGGAATGAATGAATGACCAAGGTTAGGCTTAACTGTCACACAATGGGTGTTAGACATTATTAGTAAAGCATTTCAGAGTGATTAGAACAGCGTATATTGTGGGTCAGAAGGCAGTGAGCCTCAGAAGAGGGAGACCCACTAAGGAGCCGTTGTAGGAATAGCCAGATGGGAGATGCCGAGAGTCCGAATTCGTGTGATGACCCCAAAAGTAAAGAAAGGTCAAATCCAAGAAACCCCGGGGAGGCTGATCAATATAATCTGAAAGAGGAATAGATTTGAAGGAAACAATTAGTTTGGTCTTAGACTTGCTGAGTTGGAGACGTAGATAATCAAGTGGAGCTTACCTTGTGGATCCCATGAAATCCTGGACCAGGGATTGAAAGAGAGAGAAGATGGGATGAGAGACACTGCTTATCCCTATTTCCTTAACCCACATCTGTTTTGAAGTTTAGATGTGCGGCCTTGGGTTGGTTCCCTAACCTCCCTAAACCACAGTTTCCTCATCTGCAATTTGAACCTCTTAATGCAGGCCCTGCAGTCTTGAGACTCAGATGCAATCACAGATGTGAATGCGGTTTCTAAATCAACTTTCACGAGGGACCTTCTCTCATGGGGTCTCTGTGGGTTTTCTGATTTGCTTCATCACCATCTCATCACCATCTTCCCCCCACCCCCACCCCACCCTCCTATCCCCCGCAAAATTCTTTCTCCCTGAGGAGGAATCTATTTCTAGGAAACGGCTCCTGATCCTCAAATAAGCTCTCTTTTTTAAGAGCAGGGAGGAGCCACTGTCACAGAAATGAAGGCTTCCGCTTTCCTGGCGTTTATTTCTGATACTGGATTTCACCAACAGCTTTTTCGCCCAGTAGTAACTTCGCGCACCTAAATGGAAAGTTCAAGTGACATCCCAGGCTGAGGCCCAGGCTGGAGATTGCATTTCCCCAAGTCCTTCTGTGGCCTTCATGGCCTTGGGGGTCTGGCTGGAGGCGCCTCCATCCCTCCTGTCGACAGCAAGGACACGGGAGTCCACTGAGGCGCTTGCTATGTGGTCTCTGGCACAGAAGGGAGTGACTCCAGGAGACCCTGAGTATCTCTCCAGCTCCCCAGTCTTCAGCCTGAAAATGCCTGTCTTAGAGCAGACGTTGCTTTGGAGTTAAGCACTGACCACTCCTCACCTTCCTTCTTCCTGTGCAGGTGTGTCTAGGAGAGGCCACATGTTTATTGAGTGTTCTCATGGAGCTTAGAGTCAGCAAGGGAATGAAGCATTAAGAAAAACCAATTTCATTAATAATTATTAAAATAATGATTAAAAGGAAAGGGATTTTCAGGGAGCTATGAGAGCATTCCGAAGGGGGTGTAACCTATCTAGGAGGGGGGTTCAGCCAAAAGAAGTGCTGAATTAGGTACAGAGGCAGGGGGAAGAGCATTCCAAGCAGAGGGAACAGCACAGCAAAGGCCCTAAGGCAGGAAAGCACTTGTGTTGAAGCCTCAGAAAAGAGGCTGGTGTCACTGGAGCACAATGATGGGAAGGGGGAATGAGACTGCAGAGGAGAGCAGGGGCCCTCTGTGCAGGGCCTTCTGGATCTTCTCTAATGGATTTTCTCTGCCTGCAGTGGGAGCCACTCGAGCATTCTGAGCAAGGGCTTGACATGAGCACACTGCACTTTACACATTTGAAATGTCCCTCTGGCTGCAGGGTAGAGTACGAATTGAGGGTGGTGGGAACAGGGAGACAGGCAAGGTGGCTGCTGAGGCCATCCAGGTGAGCAAGGATGGTGGCCTGGACCAGTGTGCAGATGGCAGAGGGATGTGGTCATATCTGAGATGTTTTTCTTGAATTTTGCTGGATGGTGTAACAGGTACAGGAGGCAGGAGTGGACTCTGATGGAAGACAGAGACAGTACATGGAGGAAAAGAAGAGATGATGGGGGTACACATTGAACACCTACCGTGTGCCCGGCGCGTCACACTCGTTACCTTATTTTAATCTTCACAGCCAGGCCGTGGGTTAGGAACCACAGCTTATGGTACAGAGGAGGTGAAGTGACTCCCTCAGGGATACACAGGTAGTAAGTGAGGCAGCTGAGATTTTAACCCAGGAATGTTTGTCCCCAAATCCACTTCATCCAAAGGTTATATGGAAACAGACCTTTATTTTCTTATAGTTCATATTGACTTCCCCTTTAAAGTCTGAATTATTTAAATAACATTCTCTTGGTTAAAATTAATTTTTTTTTTGAGACAGCATCTCGCTCTGTCACCCATGCTGGAGTACAGTGGCACGATCTCGACTCACTGCAACCTCCACCTCCTGGGTTCAAGTGATTCTCCTTCCTCAGCCTCCTGAGTAGCTGGGACTATAGGCGTGCACAACCACGCCCAGCTAATTTATATATATATACGTATATATATATATTTTAGTAGAGACGGAGTTTCATCATGTTGGCTAGGCTGGTCTCAAACTCCTGGCCCCAGATGATCCACCTGCCTCAGCCTCCCAAAGTGCTGGGATTACAGGTGTGAGCCACCGTGCCCAGCCAAAATTAAAATATTTCAGTCACAGCTAGAGTCCCCTAAACCACTGCAACTAATCATAGTGCCCTTTCCCTTCCCCAGAGATACCACCTTCATGAGTTTGAGCTGATCCTTACAGACCTCTTGCTACACATTTACATATATATAGTCATAAAAAATAGACTATTGTTTTGTAGAGTTTTCTGTTTTACATAAGTGGAATAAAACTATACACATTGTTCTGCAACTTGCTTTCTTCACTCAGCAGTTTATCTTGGAGAGTCTTCTATGTTAGTACATATAAATGGATCTCATTTTTTAAATCTGTTGTGTAGTATTCTTTGGAATAGATGTACCACCGTTTATTTAGCCCACTCGCTTTCCAAAGACAGAAATGCATTTTTCTATAAATGATGTAGCTTTTGAAGGACTTGTGGATTTTTTGCTTTTGAAATATAAGATTTTTATTTATGCTAATGGAGGAACCCACACCACAGTGACAACACAAATATTTAGCAACACCCAGTCTGGTGACTAAGTTTTCCCAATTTCCTTCAGGTGCTTGGCATCCCTAGGAACTAGCTCTTGTCTATTGCCAAGTCTCTGTTTATAGCAAAAGGCTGTCTCAAGAGTAACAAGGAAAATGGCAGAGTTGTCAGCTTTGATTTCAGTGCTGCATCCTGAAGCAGACAACATGATAGGGTGTGAAGACAGTACAGTTCGGAGCCTCAGGGACCTGAGTTCAAATCCTAGCTTTAGCCGTATGACCCTGAGCAGGCCTCTTTATCTCTCTGTGCCTCAGTCCGTCTGTCCGTAAAATGAAGTTTAAAATCCCTATCTTACAGAATGGCCAGGAGAATGGAAATGCAAGGCCCGTGTATAAAGTGATGATCATGTAGGAGCACATGTGCTCATTTCTTGCCGGCCTGTCTGCAGCCCCAGCCGAGTGGGGCCTATGAGAGGGGCATTGGTCCTGCATCATTGAAGGAGCCACTTGAGATCACAGAACAGTGAGAAGACACCAGCATGCCACCACTGCTGTCGATGCACTGCGGGGGGTAACATTTGAGCTCAAAGGGATTGGGAGAGGGATATTCCACCCAGGCTCTGGGCGCCAGCTGTGTGCCCACCACCACTGCCCTTTGCACTTTCTTTCATCTACCTCAGCAGGCGAAGCTAGGTTGTCCCTCTCCCCCAGTTTGTGGATAAAGAAACTGAGGCTCAGGGAAGGGGCACCACGTGCAGAAGCTCTCACTAAGTGTCAGGGTGGAGACTGGAACTCTGCATCCACTGCCTCTGAAAGGCGTCCTGGGAGGCTACAGGTAGCAGCTCTGCAAAGCGTCCCCACCTGGAGGGACAGGGAAGTGCTTCTTGTCTGCGCTCAACCATGGAGGCCCCTCCCCAGAAGGAGGAATAAGGGGCTTTTCTGGCCTCCATTTTCCCAAAGGGCTGAGACAAAGACCTCTCAGAGATCACCTCTGGGCATGCTGAACCAGATCTCTTCAGTGAGGTTGATACAGAGGGAATATGAAATGGCCGTCATTTGTGTGTGTAGTAAGGCTCCATTCAAGCAAGCCGAGCCGTTGTTCCCTTCCCTCGTGTCTGTGGGGTGCTGAGAGGGCCTGGGCCAGGGGTCAGGGTCCAGCCCCAGGGAGCTGAACCTCCCTGGACCTGGATCAAGTCGCTTCCGCGTCTCTGGGCCTCCATTTTCCCAACCGTCAAATGGGAGGGTAAGAGAGGCTGGCCACCGGATGTGGAGGAGAGGGGACAGGGAGCCTTAGGGATGGGTGGCCAGATTAACAAAGAAAAATACAGGGCATCCAGGGACATTGGAATTGCAAATAAACAATAAGTTTGTTAATTTTTTAATTAGTAGTAAATGATTTGCTGTTTATCTAAAATTCAGATTTCTCTGGGTATCCTATATTTTATCCAGTAAACCTTTCTCAGGGGCCCCAGCTTCACTAGATCCCCCCATTCTTTGGTACAGATCATTGATGTTTTCACAGCTTCTAGATGAGTCCTGGTCACCACCTTCCACTCAGATCCCCAGCCCCCACACCCACTTCCCTGCCCATGTGGGAAGTCTGGAGCCCTGAGTGGAGAAGTTTAGTAAAGAATTCCCACAGTGGAGAGAAGAGTGGGAACTCAGCCTGACTTGGAGAAAAGGCAGGTGATAGGTTTAAATCAGTGGAAACTTGTGTCCACACGTGTGTTGAATTACAGGAACACAGCCTCTGTGTGCCCGTTCTGTGCCATGTCCACATGGGTGCACATAAGCGAATGGACATTGCGTCCACATGCTTGCAAAGAAACCACCCAGCGCTGCACTATGCACATTCAAATCCACAATCTAGTGCCACATCCACAGTTGTGTGCCACATCTGTGTGTGCATGTGCACGTCTAGATGTCAGGTCTGCTATGAGCACATAACTGTGAATGAGCTGGGTGACAAATGCTATCAGGGAGGATCAGGTAAATGCTGCCCCCTCCACATGACAGAGACTGGATTCATAGGAAACCCCACCTAGGACCACTAGGTATCAGAGAGACACCCCTTACCCTGCACCTTGCCCATCAGGAACCGTCAACACCGTGATGTGATCATAAACTCTAGGCATTGCATACATGCCTGCAATGCACACCAGACGATAGCAGACCATCAGACTGGTTCTGAACTTACCTTGACAGCCCATACAGACCGATATCACAGCAGATGCCCGCAACACAAGCTGTTTTCCCACAGAGGCGTTGTCTCTCTGCCCCAAGTCTGTTAAGTGGCTCTTACAGGGGGCACGTGGCCACCCATGTGTGCAGGAGCATCTGGGCAACCTCAGCACTTACATCCCCATCTCTAGTCCCCAGAGAGGCAGGAGCCAGGGGAGGTTTCCTAAGGACCTGCTGTGTGCTGGTGGAAGCAGCCTCCCTCTAGGGGATGGTGGAATCAGAAACCAGAAGACAGTAGTGGCAAAGGGTGGGTCTCAGTTGGTGTTTGACCCCCAGGGCCAAAACCCAGCACAGGAGAGATGCACAGTAAATGTGTGTTAGTGAATAAATGAGCCAGGTGACAAATGCTGTCAGGGGAGGATGAGGACAGATTGTTCTTGCTGAATAAATCAAGGAAGCCTTTCAGGAAGTGATAGTAAATGTTCTTCTGGGTCTCTCAAGACTAACTAAATAAGTCGACAGAGGGTTGGGCATCCTGGGTTCGAAGCCAGATGTGCCAAGTCAGAGGCAAATGCCCGGCACATGCAGACCCGTGGCTTGGTAGGAGAGTGGGATAAATGTGGCATGGCTAGAGGTGAGGCAGGAGGAGTCCTTTGGGACAACCTCACAGAGAGGCCACTGTGAGCCCAGGAACTGGATGATTGTGAGGACATGGGGAGCCATGGAAGGTTGCGGATCAGGGCAGGGATGCTGTGACAGCCGAACTTGAAGACCAGCTCCTGGCCCCACACTGCCTCATCTCCTCTTCCAGTCTCCTTTTTCTCGCCACTCAGCTTCTAGTTTCTCCTTCTCCAGCCTTCTGCAGCCACCAGTAGGAGACAAAGGGTCAGAGTGTTCTGTGTACCTGGGGACTCAAGTCTGGGTCTGTCAGCCACAGCACTCATGACCTCCTCTGCTGCAGGAAGAGAGGTTGTGAGCCTGACTGTTGGCAGCTTTCAGGGAAGGAGAAGGGCCCTGTGGGAGCTGGCAGCCCCTACAGAAGAAAAGGAACAGTCGACCCAGGCTGAGTGCAGGCTCTGTCACCACCCCACTGTGTGACCTGGACAGGCCTCAGCAATAAGCCCCATGTCTCAGGGTTGTTGGCGAGGCTCAAAGGTGATGCTGTGCCGAAAGCACCTGGCAAGTATTAGGCTTCCTCCTCACCCTCCTCCCTCAGGCTGGTGGCTCTTCAACCTGAGCCTGTATCCCCATTGCCAAGGACAATGCAGCTGGCCCTGCCCCATCCAAGAGTGTGTGACTCAGTAGGTCTGGGTGGGCCCTGAGAATGTGCATTTCTAACAAGTCCCCAGGTGATGCTGAAGCCGCCGCTCCAGGGACCACTAAGTTTTCATCCCCTGCTGCACATTGCAATCCCTGGGGAGCTCTTCTAACTCCCAAGGTCCGGGCCATGCCCCAGCCCAATTCAACTAGAATCTCTAGTTTGGGGCTTAGGCATTCATATTTTTTAAAGCTCCCTGGTGCCTCCAGTGTACAACCAAGTTAGGAACTAGTGCCTTGGAGAAAGCTCAGTGATAGCAACAACAATAGCAGCTAATATTAGTCAAGGCCTTCCCATGTGCCAGGTGCCCAGATGCGACCTCGTTTAACTCTGTATGGCAGGCACTATCATTATTCTCAGGCTGCACGTGAAAAAACCAAGGCCCAGGCCGGGCGTGGTGGCTCATACCTGTAATCCCAGCACTTTGGGAGGCCAAGGCGGGTGGATCACCTGAGGTCAGGAGTTCTAGACCAGCATGGCCAACATGGTGAAACCCCATCTCAACTAAAAATACAAAAATTAGCCAGGCATGGTGGCAGGCACCTGTAACCCCAGCTACTCGGGGGGCCGAGGCAGGAGAATCACTTGAAGCCGGGAGGCGGAGGTTGCAGTGAGCCAAGATCACACCATCGCACTCCAGCCTGGAGGACAAGAGCGAGACTTCGTCTCAAAAAAAAAAAAAAAAAGTGAAACCAAGACACAGAGAGGGGAAGTTACCCGCCCAAGGTCACAGAGCTGGAAGGAGTCTCTAGTGAGGCCCAGACCTAGATCCGCTGTCCCATTTCATTGCTTTGTCTTGAAGCGGTATGGCTTCCCACAGTCCCAGCAGTGATGCCTGTGCAAGCTACCCACTCTGTCTGACCTCTGACAGGATATGAAGCACGTGGTGCCCTCCCCCACTCAGCCTGTGCCACACACCTTTGTGTGCCCGCGTCTGCACACTGACTCAGCCACATCCTCGGGCACGCATGCATGCACTGACAGCCTCTCACAGGCACTAAGGCCCATGCCTGCCTTCTGGGTGCCTCTCAGGCTACATTTTAAATATACGAAGCAGGGCCACGAGGTCACCCTTGTGGTTTTTCCCCAGAAAGCACTCACCATTCGTTTTATCTGAAATTTCCTGAGCACCCCATTGTCGCAGGGATCAAGCTGGAGTGAATCAGCATTCACATTGGCTTCACCAGATAGGGTCACTGTGGGGCATTTGCAGAAAGACACAGCCTACCCCCAACTAGATCAGGCTGGAACAGGGCAGGGTGGCCGCTGAGCTCTGTGGCAAGAGGCCTGGCTCGGCTGCCTTCCCAGCAGAAGAACCCTGTGCCTCAGTGTGTGCATCTGCATAATGGGTGCTCAACATAGAGCAACTTTACCATCTACAAAGCACTGTCAGAGCCTTGGTTCTGTGTGATCCTCAAGTGAGACAGCCCAAGGCCCCTCGGAGAGGCTGAGTGATCCACTCAAGGTCACATAGGAAGGAAAGGTAGATGCCAACCAGGTCTCCCGATCTAGGTAGGGGCATGTTATGGCTGTGGTGGTGTTCTGTGACACAAGCTAAGACAGCGGCAACACAGACAGAAATTCCTGCAATGCATATTCCAGGCCCAGAGTAACATTAGTGGTGTACGGTGGTGGTAGTGACAGCTGCATCTATCCTTTGTGAAGGCCAGTATATGCCAAGCACTATTTCCACACATCATATTCCCAATCCTCTGTCAACCCCAGACTGCAGGGGATGCCAGAGACAGGGCTTTTTTCCCACAGAGGCATTGTCTGTCTGTCCCAAGTCCATTAAGTGGCTCTTACAGGGGGCACGTGGCCACCCGTGGTGGGAGGGGCTTCTGGACAACCTCAGCACACACATCCCCATCTCTGGTCCCCAGAAAGGCAGGAGGGGAGGGAGGTTTCTTGAGGGACTGCTGTGTGCTGGTGCACATTTATTCCCATTTCACAGAGGTGAACACTGTGGCTCTGAGAAGGGAAATGATTTGCCCAAGTCACCAGCACTGAACCAAAGAGCTGCTGGGATTTGAACCCAGGGCTGAGGTTACCCATTAGCCTGCTGCTGTCACACACCATGCAGCTCATCCCAGCTGATGGCCCCCGGCCCTGCAGACAAGGCGCCCAGCTCCCAGCCCCCCACTCCTGGAAACAGTTCTGCCCTCGACTGAATTCCACCCCCTCACTGCTACCCCGGTGGCCTGGGTGACTCTGGGGGAGCAATCTGTTTTCACACTAGCTCTGAGCAGTGGATGGAGAGTTTGGGGGACGTGATTATTGTTGGGTTTTTTTCTTGAAATCATTTGCTGAGGCTGCAGGCAGGTCCGCTCAGCCAGACAGTGCCCCTGAATATCAGCCAGCCTCAGAGGGCAGTTAGTGTATTCCTGCTCTCACCAGGGGCGAAAACAATCTCTGGGGTCACTTTGCTGGAAATAAAGACGTGCAGCCCCATGGGGCCTCAGAACAGGGGAGAAGAGGTCAGTGGTCACCTGGATGGCCTGGAAAACTCACCTTGAGTCCCTCCCAGTTGGGCTCTACTTTTGATACAGCCCAGCCTCTCAGTGTGAGGTGCCCCACACATGGGAAGAGCAGAACCCTGCCCTGCCCTCAAGTACAGCACTAGAGCAGAAAGTAAGCCATATGTTAAATGTCTGCATTCCTTCATCTCGCCCCTTCATTCTGACCTCTAACCCAGCCCCTGCTCCTTTACCTACCTCAATAGCCTTTTCTTTATTCTGATTAATTAACCATGTTCCACTTTATAAGTAGCTTATAAAAGTTGTCTCATACAAAATGACTTTAAATGCCCTAAGTTAGGAAATCCAGACAAAGAGAGGAGAGGAGAAATAGGATGGAGATTTGACAGCTCGATGCATGCTGCTGAGTCCTCTGGTGTAGCTCACAGAGGTGAACTGCGTATTCAGTACTGAGCTACCAAGCAGGCAAGGGGAAGATGGCAAAAAGATGAGTTACAAGAGCCAGAGTCTCCATTAGAGAACACTCTCACTCTCACCCCAAAGGCCTGTGTAAGCCTGACCCCATGTGGCATGCTATAAATTCAGTTTCTATTCCCAGCCTTTCCTGGCCACTGGGGACAAAGGGTACAATAGATGTGTCCTCTTCCTTGAGGACCATCTGACCCCTCTTCTGAGGAGCAAACCAGGAATGCTTCAGCCACTCTAGCCTTTCCCAAGACCTTTGGAGTTTCTCTTGCCTTTTCACAGCCCTTCTCCCCACCCATATCCCTTCATCTGATCAACCCTCACTCCTTCCAAGCTCACCCAATTACAACTACACTTCTGCCAGGCGATCCTTCCTGACACTCCTGTCTTCCTTACAGTAGTGTCCCCAACATATAGAACAAAGTCTGGCTTATAGTAGGTGCTCAATCAAAATTCGGTGATTGATTGAATGAGTAAATGAATGACTGGATGTGCACTATTTAGTATGACCCTAGGTACCTTTTCTAGCTTCAGAGGGCCTGAGAAGGGTGGGGGAACTCAGACCTCCTTAAGATAGGAGGATCTTGAGTCTTGAGTGGGGCCTGGCATCTGGTGCAGGACACCCATTGTGGGCCGTCCAGCTTCTGTGTAAACATGCTCCCTCCCTCCTTCCCAGAATAATCCATCCATCCTCAGCTCACCCATTAGAAAGTCCTTCCCTCTCATAGTGAGGAGCGCCTCTGCCCGGCTGCTGCACCATCTGGGATATGAGGAGCCCCTCTGCCCAGCCCCTGCCACTGTCTGGGAAGTGAGGAGCACCTCTGCTCGGCCCCCACACTCTCTGGGAAGTGAGGAGTCCCTCTGCCCGGCCGCCCCACTGTCTGGGAAATTAGAAGCGCCTCTGCCCAGCTTTTGCCCCCTCTGGGAAGTGAGGAGTCCCTCTGCCTGGCCACCGCCCCATCTGGGAAGTGAGGGGTCCCTCTGCCCGGCCACCCACCTTCTGGGAAATGAGGAGCCCCTCTGCCCGCCCCCCCCCGCCGCCGTCTGGGAAGTGAGGAGCACCTCTGCCTGGCTGCCGCCCTATCTGGGAAGTGAGGAGCCCCTCTGCCTGGCCACTCACCATCTGGGAAGTGAGGAGCCGCTCTGCCCCGCCACCCACCATCTGGGAAGTGAGAAGTGCCTCTGCCCGGCTGCCGCCCCATCTGGGAAGTGAGGAGCGCCTCTGCCTGGCCGCTGTGCAACTCTCCAAGTGTGAAATCACAGCCTTTTGTGTGATCTTTCTGCCCTCCCCGTTTGCATTTTCGACATTAAAGTTTACTTTCTAATTAAAAAAAAAAAAAAGAAAAAGAAAAAGAAAGTCCTTCCCTCTCATAAAGCCAGAGGCCCCTCCTTGTACCTCTTCCTCCAGGTCGCCAGCTCTGTGCTCTGGGGCCAAAGCACAGGCTCCCTTTGCCCCCAAGAGAACCACTGTCCCTCGAGCTTTGCTTAACAGAGCTGAGGTGGGGCTGGAGTTTGTCAGACGGCTCTCAAACATGAGTTCCAACTCTAATAGGTCTGGGCACATGCCCTTGGTGAGCTAGATGTCAAGATTTCTATATGGGAATTGACTTTTTAATGTTTGTAACAAATTTCCATTTTTTTAAAAACACCGGGCAGACCAAATGAAACCTCTTTAATGGCCTGAGACTGCAGTTTGCAGGAGCCAGAATTGGCTAAAAAGAGAGAGGAAGGTACCCCAAGCAAAGGAATGGGAATGGCCAGGGCAGAGGTTTAGAGGCTGGGGAAGAGCCCAGTTTGTATCCAGGACAGCTGGATACAGATGCACTTTGAGGCCAAGGCTCCTCAAATACCCACTGACAGCAAGCAGCCGTGACAGCAGGGAGTTCCTATACAGCCAGTCCCTCACTTTGCGCCGTGGCTGTCTTCTTTTACATACATGGTAGGACACACAGATTCTGCCCACAGTTGAAAAATCTGGGAGAGTGTTGGAGTGTTTTTTTACCTTCACAGTAAAAGTGCATGCCTTTACAGTTTAGAGAGCTTCACACACATTCTTCTGTGCTTGGGTTTCCCCAGCCTAGAGGTTATTTTGTTCCCATTTTATGAATGAGAAAACTGAGTCTCCGAGGGGTGAAACTGGCCCAAGCTCACTCACAAGTCAGTGGTAGAACAAAGACCAAAACCTGGCTCCTCCTCTAGTGCTCTGACCTCTGCTTATAATTACACAGAAAGAAAATTGACATTTGAAAGCCTACAACCCCACATAGCATCTGTCTGGACATTTGTGTTTCTGAATTTTCAGGGCCTCGCTGCCTTTGTCCGGTAATCTTTGACACACTGTATTAATTTTTAATATGCGAAATGGTGAGATGCTCTCTAATCTAAATTGAATCTCGAACGCCATTCATCTCTCACACCAGCCTCTGTTGTTTCTGCTCCCAAAAATATGTGTGTTAATTTTCAGCAGAAAGGAAAGGAGACCACAAGATTCAGCTCCTGGGAAGGGCATGACAGGTAGGCTGGACCAGGCAAGCTGTTCCACCTGCAGGTCCTCAAAACCCCTGTCTTTGGATACCAAGTACCAGAGCCACCAGCCCTAGCCTTCCACCAGACCAATCCTTCATGTCACATGTGGGGAAACTGAGGCCCAGAGAAGAGAAGTGGCTTGTCTGCAGTCACAAGGCCCTTCCACTGTGCCTCTCCTCACCTTGACTGACCCCTTCCTATCTTGTCAAAATCCTGCCAGTTCAAAGTCTTCCTCTCCAGAACGTCTGGCTTAATCTCCCACCTGGCCTAAAAACTGGGCGGTAATAATGACACAGTACATCTACCCGGTGCCAGGCACAGCACTACACTCCTTACGTGAGACATCGTGTTGAAGCCTCACCCTAACCCTGTAAAATAGACACTGCTGTTGCCTGCAAAAGGAGAAATGAAGGCAGTGAGAGGTGAAGCACTTAACCAAGGTCACCCAGAGCTGGGATTTGAACGCAGGCCATCCAAGTTCAAACCCCACCTGTGTTCTTGGGGCTTGGTTTCCTCAGCTCCGGCTTGGCTGTTCTTCCACTGAGAAGAGGGGAGTGAGCGAGACGTCATGACCACCTCCACCTTCTCAGAGGCCCCATGTGAGCCTCAGTGCCCAGGGTTCCCACCTTGGACTTTGATTCTGGGATGCTCGTAGTGGAAACTGCCATGGGAACAGTCCTAGCAGAGCACACAAATGTGTTTATGCCCTGAGTTGTTATTTCTGAAGAACAGAGGGCCTCTCGGAAGTCTGTGGGGAGTGGGCAAGGGCGGGGGCTGGGGAAGGAGCTGCCTGGAAGAGGGAGGGAGGGACAGAGAAGCTGCTCTGTGCCGACCCCTCACCCTTCCAGCCACATCGCCCTGTCCCAATCCATAGCCTTGGGGGTCTCAAACTAGCAACTTAGGGGCTGAATCCAGCCCACAGATATGTTGTTCTTGGCCCTGGCATGTTTTTAATGGGGAGATTTTACATCAAATTCCAGATGTCCAGCTTCTCTTAGAAGATTGGAAGATCTGCCACACTGGGCCCACATTCCCCCACAGGAGCTGAGAAGCAGCTGTCCTCTTCAGAAGGGCCAAGGTTCTTCAGTTTGCTCCAGTTTCTACCACTCCCTAATGTCTCCCACTCACCTACTTCACTCATTCACAAAACCCACCCAACCCCCACACCTATTCAAATTTGCAGCCCCTGCTCTGTCTGCTGTCCTGGGACTCAGGATCTCAATGCCTGGCCTGTGGATTCCCAGCATGACAGAGCCCCAGCATGATATGGCCTGACTTCCAAAATGGAACACCCACATTATCAACTATTTACACTGTGGACTCCGGAACTTCTGAATCGCAGAACTCAGAAGGTTCAGAGACTCCCCCTCTCTTGGAATCAATCAGGCAGGGCCCAGAAGTTTGGCTGGCCTCACCTACTTTTTCTTGGCAAAAACCTTAATTTGCACCAAATCTTATGAGGAGCTCCAAAATGTGAAAACAGACCCCAGGAAAACCATTTCAGGGCCTGCAGACCTCAGATCCCCTGGGATTCTCAGGACCTACCCATCTTATTGAACACTCCCATTGTTGAAATGGGGAAACTGTAGCTCAGAGAAGGGAATTGGCTGGCCAAAGCCACAGCAAACTGCCATAACAGGCCAGTGTTGGCTGGTCATAGCCCCTCCCTCAGAGGCCCACGGCCCTCTTGAACTCTCCCTTCTCCCTTGTCAAAACTCATTCCCAGGAAAAAGCCTGAATGAAACTCATTCACACCATGGCATCCAGAACTGATGATGGCTTCCCCTCCCAGAAAGTCTAAAGGAATTGGAGCTTTTAATTAAAGGAATAAAGGTCAAGTAGAGGAATTCCAGGTGTTGGCTATGGGTAGAATTGGACAAAAGGAGGAAGACAGGGAAGCTTCCTGCGGTTCCTGGAATCGTGCTACAGTGTGCCGTGCCTGCACGCTCTGTACATGGATCTCCCAGATGGCCAGCCCAGCACAGAACAGTGGAGGAAGTGTTCCCACGCACTTAGATCAAGGCTACCCTGGGCTCTCAGGGCCTAGGAGCTGCCCCACAGCAGCAGCTTGGTCTCAGGGCAGCCTGTCTCCCCATCTGTGAAATGAGCCTAACCTGGCTCTGGGTTCATTCGTTCTCACTGCATGCAGGACATGGGATCCCAAGAGCTTGCCTGCACCAACAAGCAGGCTGGCGTGAGGTCTCCTAGGGAGGGAGCCATCCCTGGGCTCCCCCAGTGGGAGTGTCTCAGCCAGCCTGGCCCTTGGAGGCTCCTGATGGAGATCTCATGGTCAGCATCTGAGGAGACTCCGCATCTAGAACCCAAGACAGACTCCCAAACCACAGGCTGCTGGACTCCCGGAACCACTGAGCTCTGACATCCACGGGCAGCCAGGTCTGTTGCATGCACATCACACTCCCCAGAACCTGGCACCAGGCTAGGCCCACAGTGGGGGCTCCAGGAATGCAAACTGAATGAATGAATGGGTGAAGAGGCAATGAACAACAGACTGTTAGAACCCTAAAACCATATATTAGACCATGAGGTCCCATCAGCCACATGGTCCAGTCCTGCAACCCCAGTGTGCTGCTAGTGCTGTTCACAGGAGTAGACTGAAGGCCATAGGTTTGATGAGGGGTGTGTGCCCCTCCCTGTCCACCCCCATCTGTCCTCACTAAGACACAAGAAGAGCTAGGGTTTGCTGGGTCAATGACAGGACTGTCGTTGCCCCGCTGCGGGGCCCATTTTTGCTGTACTGTTTGGGCCAGGCTGCACACCTCGGGCCAGGCTCGTAACACTCGGACCTGCATTTAGTGGGTGGGACAATTGTAAGGCTTCAGGTGCCAGGCCCTGAGGGACAGGAATCAGACTGGTCTTTGTCCCCAAGGTCCACGGCCCAAGTAGGACAGGGGTCTGGGGAAGTGGTAAGCCTGCTGCGGGGAAGACTGTGGCAAGTAAAGGCAGAGGGCCACTGTCCTCCTGGGGTGGAGGGGAGGCTGCTCAGCCCTTGAGAGGGGCTCACAGTGCTGAGTGGAGGAAAGGCTGTTCCCGGTTTGCTGAACAGCAGGAGCAAAGGCCTGGGGGTGTGACAGGACACTTGTCATGGAAAAATAAAGTGGCACACCAGCTACTTGGGGCGACATGGGGCAGCTTGAAAGGAAGGCTGAAGCAAGGAGAAGCACCGGCCTCTGAGGGGCACAGCAGACAGTGGACAGAGGGAGTCTTCCCCACCAGAGCCACGCACCTCCTGGTCACACGCCTGAATTTCCTCCATGAGAGGTTCACCCTTCCAGGCCCCTCTTCCAAGGTACAAATACACCTGGGGTTTGTCAACTGTGGGTCATCCATACCCCAGTACCAGGGAGTTTAGGAGGGGATGTATAGACAGGCAAACAGTGGCCAGTGCCAGAGCAGGGAAGGGCACAGCATGGGCACAGTGTGGCAGGAGGAAGGCAAAGTGCTGGCCTGGCTCTGCTGGGTGGAAGCCACATGGCAAAAGCCAAGGCTGCAGACACAGGTTGCGGGTCAGAAGAGAGGGCCAGGGTGCCAGGCTGGGAAACACGGGCTTTATTCCAAAGACAGTGAGCAGCCTCCCAAGGCCTTTGAGCAGGTGCGTGAGAGTGGACTTGCAAGTCTGGAAGAATTATCTGGAAATGCAGATGGTGGGTGGAAGTGGGCCCTTACCACTCTGTCCGGTCCCCACATGATGAGGGGTGCACCTGGCTACACCTCACTCCCTTGTCCAGAAGAGGAGAAAGTACCAGTGTCAGCTGCATGTCCACCAGGCACGCTCCGAGCACGTTGCAAGGCATCCACGGTGAGGGCCACTCCTAAGTGGGCACTCTTCTGTCTGGTGAGCTGCTCTGTTCCAGTGTCTGCAACAGTGCCAGGCACTTGGTAGGTGCTCAATAAATGCTCATGGACCACATGAATCACCTCATGTGATATTCACAACCACCCATGGGTTAAGTACAATCACCATCCGCATTACAGTAGAGGGTACTGAGGCTCAGAGAGCGAGGGCCATCACGCTGGGATTTTAATCCAGGCAGTGGCTTCTGATTCTTCTCTAACCACTGCGCGGCATTCGACAGGAGGGAGAGCGGAAGGAGGGTACCAGCGCAAGGCGGCTGTAGGAGTGTGGATTCGCTTCCCATGGCTGCCACAGCAAATGACCACAGACTGATTGTGGCTTAAAACAAGGGAATTTTATTCTCTCATGACTCGAGGCCAGAGGTCAGAAATCAGGTGTCAGCAGGGCCACCTCCCTCTGAAGACCAGGGAACAATCCTTCCTTGCCTCTTCCAGCGTCTGGTGCCCCCAGACATTTCCTGGCTTATGGCTGCATCACTCCAAACTCTGCCTCTGTTTTTGCGTGGCCATCATCCTTCTGTGTCTGTGTCTCTTGTAAGGACACCTGTCATTGCATTTAGGGCCCAGACAGATAATCCTGGATGCTCTCATCGTGATATCCTTAACTTAAGTACAACAACAGGACTATTTTCCCAAATGAGGTCACATTCACAGGTTCCGGGGATCATGATGTGGATATATATTTTGGAGGCTGCCATTCAACCCACTGCACGGTGTCTCTGGCTTTTGGCAGGAACCAACTTAGGGCCCAAAGCATGAAGAGATGTTGGGCTCCTGGGCCAGCCACCAGCAAGTTTCTTGCTCTGTTTCTCCTTTTCTGCCCCTAGATTCCCAGAACATGCCTGCATCTCTCCCAGGCCCCCAGCCAACCTCTCTGTTCTCTGTCCACAGGTTTGCCGGGCACCGCTCCAGACCTGGAAAAGAGAAAGCAAATTTTTGGGCAAAACTTTATACCTCCAAAGAAGCCAAAAACCTTCCTGCAGCTCGTGTGGGAGGCGCTGCAGGACGTGACGCTCATCATCCTGGAGATTGCCGCCATCATCTCCCTGGGGCTGTCCTTCTACCACCCGCCCGGCGAGGGCAACGAAGGTAAGATGGGCCTCAGACCCACGAACCGCCCCGCACACCTGGCCACCGCATCCACGCTGGGGGGCACTCACGGCTCACACAAATAATCCTCTCCTCCCAGGGGAAGAAACCGAGGTCCAAGGGGCAGGGCCCCACCCATAGCCAACACAGCCAAAGGGTGGCCGAGCCAGGCCTCAGCCCCGTTTTCCCTGTGTGAAATGCACAAGGGTTGGACTGGTGACAGTAATCACTTTAGTGAGCATTTTTGAGCACTTACAGTGTGCTAAGCCCTGGGCTGAGATGTCGCCCTGACAACCCCCTGAGGTAGCTGCCATGGTAATGCCCATTTTAAAGATGAGGAAACCCTGGGTTCAGTATATACTGCTTGGGTGATGGGTGTACCAAATTCCCACAAATCACCACTAAAGAACTTACTCATGTAACTAAGTACCACCTGTTCCCCAAAAACCTATGGAAATAAAAAATATAAAAAAAAGATGAGGAAACCAAGGCACAGAAAAGGGGGTTAATCTGCTCGAGGTCACCAGCTAATAAAGAGTCCTCAGATTTTGCTGTGGAGCCTTTTGAAAACATCGTTGTCAGGCCCCATCCTAAGAGAGCCTGGTTCTTTCTCTCCAGAGTCCAGGGATGGCTGGATTTTAATAAGCACACAGGTGAGGGCGACCCTGACATCTGTGCAGGCTGATCTGTTTTATAATCTGCTTTTTCAGTCAGTAGGATATTGTAAATACTTTTTTGTGATTCATTGTGATTCAACATTTCCTAATGAATGTGCTGCATAAATAGATAACCCTACTACACCTTCAGACAAGCAAATTAAAAGTTAATAGCACATAAGAAATAACATTATGGGCCTCATTTTCCCTAAATAAGAAGGTGGTCTCTGAGGTCCCTTGAATATCTGTTGTCCTGCCCCCTCCCAAGCCAAAGTTGCCCAAGAAACTGAATAACCAAGTCTATTAGGCCAACTACCTCAATTTTACACATAATAAGTTGATTTCTTACATGACCTCTTCCCATAGAGGGTTTAAAGACACAAGAGATACATCTCACAGGATGCGGTCAAACAGAAAGCCAGCCAGAAAAGGAATGGAAGCAAAGAAACCAGCTGTAATTGCTGCCATGATTGAGATTTAAATCTGACTTGAGGTTCCTGGCAGCCAAGACAGAAAGGGAATTAGGGTGATTTGCTGGAATATACTAAAGAGTACTGAATTTAAAAAATAATAATAATAAAACAAAAATTTTAAAATGAAAAATAAAATTAAAAACTAAAAGGTAGATTTGCATAGCTCAAATTATCAACAAGGAGGAAAAATATTTAGGAAGATGACATTTCTCTTTACGAGAATTCTGGGATCAACTTTCACATAGGACATTATAAGAAATGCACAATAGGCAGCCTTCTTTGAAGAAGTTTTATACCAAATATGAAAGAAGGTAGTACATGACGACTTGAATAAGCCTTGAACAAAGCTAAGAGTGTAACACAAATGCATAATGATAATACTTCTTACTATTTTTATAGCTACCACTAGTTGGGAGCTATTATGATAGAAGTCCATTTAATTATCAGTCCTCACAACAACCCTATAGATAGGTGCTATTATTATCCACGAAACCAAGGCCCTGAGACAGCAAATCGCTTGCTAAGGGCACACAGCTAGAAAGTAGCAAAACCATGACTCAGACCAAAGCATTCTGGCTCCTCGGTCCTGTCCCTCAGCTGCGTTTCCTCAGAGAGGGACAGGACTGAATCAGCTCGGATACATGGCCTCATGCAACCCAATTCAGTACAAGATTAGAACTCAGATAGCAGGTGGTGGAGGGGGTGGAGGGGTAACATGGACCGAGCGCCTCATGTGTGCCAGGAGGAGCTTCTCACCCTCTAGACAGATGGCTGCGATGTTCCATCTTAGAGATTCAGAAACCAAGGCCCAGAGAGGGGAAGGACTTGCCTGCGGTCACAAAGCTACGTTAGACTGTAGGGCAGGATTTTCAACCCGAGTCTGTCTGGCCCTTTCCAAGGCTCTTCCCTGCCTCTGGCTGGGGCACTAGCTCAGGCCGCCCCTGGTCCAAGGCAGCTTCACACAGTCCAGCTTCACTGGGATCAAAAGTTCTTGGGCTTTGTGACCATCCTAACTCCTTCTCCGGAAGCCCACGCCCTGGCCTGAGATCTGAGCTCTGGGCCTTCCATGTTTCCAGGGCTCCTGTGCCCCAAGTCAGGCTGGGGCTCCATCAATCCCCAGCCACCAAGTGCAAAAACAAACAAACAAACAAACAAAAAACCCTGAGACAGACATCAGTTTCACCAGGGAAGTTGACAGGGACAGTTATGTGGCCTTCTTGGCTCCCTTCTCCCTGCACACAGCCTTCCAGAGACTGGGGCCCAGCTGTGACTGAGCACCCAGCACACGTGGCACTTTATGTCCGGGTTCTCAGTGAACCCTCACACCCATTTCACAGACCAGGAACTTTCGGTCAAAGATCCCCAACAGGGCCCTCCCTGAGCAGCCAGTGTTGAAATTGTGCCATTGCTATGGTGCTAGTGAGTTTTGTTTGAAATCATGAAATGCACCCAATTTCTTTTTGACAACAGCTGCCACATCTTGGAAGGCACCAGAGTCCAGTGATCAGAGCCTAGGCACAGGGCCTGGATCTGCCTGTCTGGCCCTGGACCCAGGCCGGCCCTCCATGTGCTCAGCTTCAGTGTCTTCATCCATAAAAGGGGGTGAATGATAGCACTTGCCCTGTGGAGATCTTGTGATGATTGAAGGAAATAATGCAAAGCGCTTATCATGGAGCCCTGAGCAAACCTCAGGAAGCAGGTGTCACTCCCCACGTGGCCGATCGCTCCTGGTTTCTGGAAAAGTGGCCACGTTCAACACCCCACAATTCTAGTATCCTCTACAGCAACGCAGGGGTGGACAGTGTGAGCATATTAGAGCCACAGGTTCCAAAGCCCCAGCACCTGTCACTCTTGCCTCCAGCCCCTGCCATGTTGAGTCCTCAGAGGTCCACTGCCCGCCTCCGCCCCAGGTCTAAAGATCCAGGAGTTAAGGCCTGAGCCAGGCAGAGAGCCTTGCTTCTGAGAGGGCGGGCAGCCCTGTGCACAGAACAGACTCAGGAAGTTCTACAGAAGGAGCAACGCCGGCCCTGTCAGCAGAAGGAAGGAAGGAGGGAGCGCAGGCCAGAGGGAAGGAGGAAAAGGAAAGGAAGAAGGAAGGCAGGGAGGGACTTATTTATAACCTGGCACCCATAGGAAAGATGGACGACTTCCACCACCGGCTTCACCAGATCCCTGGTGCTCACATTGTGTTTGAACTCATTCAGTTTTATTTATCACTTGCCATTTTCTTAAGTGCCTTGGAATGGACATCCTCAGCCCTGAGCTCTGATGCTAGCCAGGTACACAGCATCCCCACCCCCACCCCATCTGGCAGGTGAGGGAACTGGAGCTCCAAGAGGGGAGGGTGGGGACTCACCCAGAGTTGTGGCCTAGGACCCCAAGTCAGGCCTCAGGCTTCCCGCACTGGGGAGAAACTCAAGAGCCAGGGATGAAAGACCCGCAACTGGACTCCTTCCAGGGTCAGGTCTGGGGGCAGGCAAGAAATACAACATGGTGGCAGCACTACAGGGCTGACCACCCCCACCAGAAGACACGTCTTCCCGAGAGGGAGGCCTGCTCTTAGCAGATGACAAAGCAGGGGCTCGGGACCCAGTGGGATGTGGGTTCAAATCCAGGCTCAGCAACTCCCAGCAAGTGACTGCCCCTGCCCAGGCCTTACCTTCTCCCTCTGTAAGACAGGGCTGGTCAGTGGCAATGTTGATGGGTGGAATTAGAGTCACACACGCAATGAGTGTATGAGTTTCTCACTGTGCCTGGCCCATTGTAGATGGTTAGTAGATACAGTCATGTGTCGCTTAACGACAGGGACATGTCATGTTCTAAGGCAATTTCATCATCATACCAACATTGTAGAGTGTGCTTACACATACCTAGATGGCACAGCCCGCTACATACCTGAGCTGTATGGTGCAGCCCGTTGCTCCTAGGCTACACACCTACACAGCATGTGACCAGACTGAATCCTGTAGGTAGCTGTAACACAATGGTATTTGTGTATCTAAACATAGAGAAGGTACAGTAGAAATGCAGTATTATAATATTATGAGACCACTGCGGTAAATGCAGTCTGTCACTGACAGAAACGGCCTTGCATGGCTCATGACTATGTTTGCTGAGTGACCACAGGGACCTTGTCCAGCCGTGACACTGTTGCTATCTGTACACAGTGTCTAGTTTTACCTAATGCCTAACTCCTGGGGCTCTGCCCCACACTTCATCTCATTCTTTTCCCTAAAACCACTGGGCCAAGCTGGGCCAGCCTGGGCTGGATGCCCCCTGATGAACAGGAGTGAGGGGGTATAAAAGCATCCCCAAACTTAAAGCCAGGAGCCCTCGTTTGAGTCCTGGCTATATCACTTCCTGGTGTGTAACCTTGGGAAGGTCTTATCTCATACTCATCACTGAGAAAGCAGTTGGGGCAGGGCTATGGGTGCTGCAGAACTCTGCAGCCTGTTAGTCCTCTACCAACATCATTTTGTACATGAAGGATTACCTGGCTCAGAGACCTCTAGGCACTTGTCCTAGGTCACACAGCATGTTCATGGCAGGGCTAGGATTGGCACACTCAGTGCCCCTAACCCCCTGCTGGTGACAGCTCCCCCAGTGCCAGAGTGCCAAAAGAGTGATAGGCACATAGTAGGTGTTTAGAAAATGTTTATGGCTCAACCAGTTTTGAGGATCTTTGTTGGATACCAGGCCCTGGTAGCCATCTGGGAGGCAGGTTCACCATTGTACTGGTGAACATGCAGACAGGCCCGAAGAGGCCAAGCGGATTCCCCAAGCTTACACAGACAGGGAGAGGCCACACCCTCTATAGCCGCAGGTCCAGGAAGAGCAGTTGCAGTTCCCTGGACCCTATGGCCACTGTCTCCAGATCCTGTCCCTGCCCCAGTCCAAGGGAGCCCCAGAGGAGACCTCAGCAGGACCCACCCACTCCCCTCTTCCCTCCCCTTCCTATTCTCTTCTCCCTAATTGCTCCAGGGGCAGCAGGAGTTGTTCCTAGGGTCGGACAGCTTCCAGGTGGCCGAATCCCTACCCCAGCGATCTGCACTCCCACTTTCTAGTCATCCCTTGGCACCGCGTGACGAGCAGACAGTTCTCTGGAGACAATAGCTAATCGGCTTTTGCTGGCAGAGTGAGTGCCCTCCAAGGCCCAGAGGGTTCCTTGGTATTGAGTCAGCAAGGGCAGCAGGTAGGGCTGGGAGTTGGAATAGGGTGCATATCCCACTCAGTCACTGTGCCCTTGGCTTTCAGAGGCCAGTCCAAGGAAAAAAGCTCATGAAAAGGGGAGAGGTCTAACTTTTACCATGTATCTATCATGTGCCAGGCCCTTAGCTCACAAATCCGTTGGGTTATCCCACTTCACAGCTGTCTAATCTGAGGCTCAGAGAGGCCAAGTCACTTACCTAAAGTCACACAGCAGAGGTTGGACTTGAACTAGGTCTTTCCGATTCCAGAACCCGAAAGCTTGTCATTGCTCTAAGTGTCCAAATGCTCCAGTAACTGCTCTAATGGGGGCCCCATTGAGGAAGCACACAGCAGGGGAAATAACAGCCTTCCCATTTCCAGAGCACATAGCAAGGGGCAGGGGATAACAAAAGTCTTGTAAAATGCAGCATGGGGCTCTGTAATCCCACTCCTTCCCCCTCCATGCCTCTAAGCCCCAAGAAAATGCGTTTCCATATACTGGGTTTCTGTTTAGCAAGGTTCACCTGTGTCTCCCAGTCTTTGGAGTCTCTATTGGTGTCATTCATGGTGGTACAGGAGGCACCGTTCACCATTTCCTCTCCTCCCGTCATCATATGTCACTCAAATCCAGCAGGAGCTCCTTCTGTAATGTGGGCCTCAGGGCTTCATAAAGCCAGGCTGTGGAACTTGAATGCAATAATGCTCACCCACACACTGGAAAGTAAGAATCACCAGCTTTAACTGAGCATTTACTGTGTGCTCACTGCAGTGGGTGTTTTACCCGAAGGCTCTCTCTTAATCCTCTCAACCACCTTATGAGAGAGCACCTGCCATTTTGCAGATGAGAAAAACCAAAACAAGGCAGGCACAGTGGTTACATAGCAAGTTCATGGGCACACAGCAGTTAGCGCAGCTGGGATTCAAACTTGGTTACCATTAGGACAGCTATGATTACCATTACTCCAAGGCTGGTCCTGCTAAACAGTTTAAAATTACTGGAAGTCTGAAACTCCCAAGATGGGGAGAAAGGTGGCTTTGGGAACCCCACATGATGGCATTGTTTACTGGCCCGAAGGGAACGGCTGGTTCAGTGCAAGACCTGGAATTTTCCAGGGGTGCATGCAGCTGGGCCACAGTGATTCCAGACCTGGAATTTTCCAGGGGTGCATGCAGCTGGGCCACAGTGATTCCATATCTCCCCAGGCTTGGGCCCCACCCTTCCAGGAGCCCAATGCCCATAAACATTCCTTGAGTGTCACTTGGACTTCTTGTCATGTTGCTTCTGACCCCTGGCTTTCCAGAAGCTTCCACTGGGGTCTCTTGAAGCTTCTGTTCTCTGTTCCTTGAGACAGACTGGATTTCCAGATGCTCAGCCATGAATCTTTGGCAAACACATGGCAGAGGGGGCTGCTAGGCTCAGGGAGAGTGAACAGGCCAGGTCTGGTGTCAGATCCCAGATCTGGATCCAAACCCCATTATCTGCCATGTGACCCCAGGTGAGTCTCTGCTTCTCTCTGAACAGGTACCCTTCTCTCAGCCAGCTTGAGGGTTAAAGTGGATGCTGGGTGCACAGCAGGCCTTGCAGGGTATCCAGTGCCCCACCTGGCCCCCGTGGAGGGGAACTGCTCTGAGTTTTGCAGGAAGGATGATCCGATGCTGCTGGAGATTCCTTTCCATGGAAATGGCCGCTCCCCAGGTCCCAGAGGAAATGAAGGCCTGGGTGCGTCCTGGCTGTGGCACCTCACCTCCTGGGCCTCCACCTCTTGCTCTCAGGACCCTTGTGGGGATGAGAGAGGGGCGTGGAAGGGCCTTAGGCCCAGCACTGCATGAGTAGGATCTGCCTTTGGGTCTGATGCCTTCAGATCAGATGTGCCTAGGTTCTTCCTTTTCTGTTCACCCCGTGGGCCTGGCAGACCTCGAGAGTTTTTGGGGCCTAGACTGGGAGGCTCAGTGGTGCAACGGTTGGGATGCAGGGTCACTGTAAGTCAGACAAGCGGCCTGCAGCTCAAGCCTCAGTGTCCTCACTGTGGAGGGCGGCTCACTCCTCAGCTGACGTCTGACAAGGACGGAGTTAGAGAACCTCCTGTGTGCTGAGCTCTGGCCAGGAGCTTCCACCTTCCTCTCCCTGAGTCCTGGAAGGTGGTCTCAGTGATCCCTATTTTGCAGATGAGGCCACTGAAGCCGGGGAAGGGCAATGACTTACCCAAAATCATGCAGAGGCAGCAGCAGGATTAGAACCAGCTCATCTTCCCAACCTGCCTGGGCAATGTAATGAGACTCCAACAGAAGAAGAGGACAGCGGCAAACTGCCTTTTCAGACCCTAAAGCAAGTGTAATATTGGCTGCCTTTGTTCTGGAAAAAAAGAAAAATACCTCACTTACTCTCTTTTCTCATGAATTAGAGAAAATTCCTTGTCTTTTCTCATCAATTAGAGAAAATTCTCTTTTCTCTCCTCTGTGCCTTGTCTGTGCTGTAGAGTCTGTGAACTTTACCACATTAAATTTCAACTCTGACAATAGGTCCCCGAGATAGAGAATATTCTTACCCAGATGAGAAAAAATGAGTTTCAGAAAGGGAGTCATTTGCCCAAGATCTCACAGCTAGAACCAAGGCAGAAAACTGAAGGGGCTAAGATGGTGGGCTCTGAAGCCAGACTGCCTGGGTTCACATTCCAGCTTCCTACTTGCCCTTCATTGCTTGGGCAAGTCACCTGACCTCTCTGAGAAACCTCAGCTTCCACATCTGTGAAATGGGCAGCGGGAATACCCTGTGAGATGATCTGCGTGAAGCACTTTCCACAGGGCTTGGTACCCAGACACACTGAGTAAGTGGATAATTATCATCTGATTCTTAACACTTGTTACTTTGCAGAGCTGAGCTGTAAATCCAGGCCCATGAGGCCTCTCCTGTCTGGTTGACCTCACTCTGCCTGCTTCTATCTGGTCTTTCAGGATGTGCGACGGCCCAGGGTGGGGCAGAGGATGAAGGAGAGGCAGAGGCAGGTTGGATCGAGGGGGCCGCCATTCTCCTCTCAGTTATCTGTGTGGTCCTGGTCACGGCCTTCAATGACTGGAGCAAAGAGAAACAGTTCCGGGGCCTGCAGAGCCGCATCGAGCAGGAACAGAAATTTACCGTGGTCCGGGCTGGCCAGGTGGTCCAGATCCCTGTGGCTGAGATCGTGGTTGGGGACATAGCCCAGGTCAAATATGGTAAGTGTCCCAGCCACAGAGCCAGGTTCTAAAGCTGGATTCCGGCAGAGGTGGGACAGGCCAGGCTGATGCAAAGAGATTGGCTCAAGGAAGGGGATGCATTCCTGAAGGCTGATCCCAAACCAAGATGTCTTCTGAGATCCTTTAGGAGGTGGAAGGGTACTTCCTGGAGGGGGTACAATCCCAGAATCCATTTAAATCAGAAATGACAAGTACATGGCACATGTGCTACCACTCTCCAAACTTCCACCCATAGCAGACATTACTAATCAGTCACAGCTCAGAGCCTGGATACAGCCGCAGAAGCCTTCTCAGCACAGCACTCCAACAATCACTAATACTCAGAATGGGTTTATTAGATGAAACCTATTTCCCATCCCTGATTTGACTGTTAATGGATGCTTGTTGGGCTAGAGGAGATGTTAGAAAGTGTGTAGGTGGATAAGTGAATATTCTGGGCCTGTGCTACTGCCATGGAGAAAACGGGCAGGCTGGCACCAAAGGGAGTTTGAGCCAGATATGTCCTAGGTAAGGTGAGGCAGAAGGTAGGGGAGAGATTGGAGTGCCCCTCCTCACTCTGCCCTAAAAGGCACACATCCCCTTGACGATGTGACTTGGTTGCGGTCTTCTAAACCTAGCCAAGAGAGACTGGTTCCTTCCAAAATATTTCCCCTAAACCATAACTGAGACTACAGAAGAACGAATTGTTGGGAGACCTGCACTCCAAGTTCAGGCGAGGTCAAGAGAAACACTTTGTAAAGTACATGCCCACTTGAGCGAGGGTTGCAGGGCCCCAACCTCAGCCCTCCAGGCCTTGTGCTGTGTACCTTAGCTCCAGTGTTGAGCTGTACATGGGCCTTCTATGGGCACCATCTTGGTTCCTACACCCTGGGAGCTCTAGGCATTCTGTCCCTGATGGCAAACCTTCCCTGGTAATCGCACCTTTAAGGGAATGTTCCAGCCCTCTAGTCACCTGAGAGCCTGCTGACTCCCCTGCCCTTCCTCTTGCCAGGTGACCTCCTCCCTGCCGACGGCCTCTTCATCCAGGGCAATGACCTCAAGATTGATGAAAGCTCCCTAACTGGAGAGTCTGACCAGGTGCGCAAGTCCGTGGACAAGGACCCCATGCTGCTGTCAGGTGAGCTTCAGCCTGATGTTGGGCCCATTCCCGTCGCCATGCACAGGGGATGCCTGTGTGTCCCCTTCATGAGGCTGAAGGGACTCAGAGACTTTGATCCTTGGCTCTGGTATCTCCAGCCAGCTCAGCCCCAAGTGAGAACTCCCTTCCTTTTCTCTCACAAACACACATTGAGCCTACTGTGCACTCAGCAACCCCAGCCCTGGGGAGACTGCGGCGAATAAAATAGACAAAGCATCCCTGCCCTCATGGCATTGGCCTTCTAGTGACTTGGTTTACTAAAAAGCTGAACACCGAAGCCCACTCTCATCAGAGATGAGAAAGAATCAGTCAGGTGATAAGCATTCTGGCCACCAGCTGTGTGCCAGGTACTGGGCCCGGCACTAAGGCTGCAGCAGTGAGTGAGGCAGGGAAGGCCCAGCCCTGAGGAGCTTGTGGCGGAGTGAGGAGCAGGGAGGCGATGTGAAAATTCCTGAGCAGAGAAGTGTGTGAAGAAAACAAACAGGGCAAAGGTGTGCTGAGTGTGGGTGATGAGGAGGAGCTGGCCTTGTGACTATCTGAGGAAGAACACACCAGGCAGAGGAAACAGCAGGGGCAAAAGCCCAGAAGCAGGACTGGCTGGAGGCTGCAGTGAAATAGAGAGAGTGGAGAGGCCACAGGTCAGGCCTCATGGGCCATGGTCAGCATTTGGAAATTACTCCCAGTGTGATGAGGATTCTCTGAAACGGTTTTAAGCAGTGAGCTGATCATGTTTACATTTTTACAAGCTCACTCAGCTACAGGGGCAGAGAAGAGGTGGGGAAACCCTGCAGGGGTGAGACACTAGCCAGGTGAGGCCCCTTTTCACAGGGACGCCCAAAAGGCCTTATTGTCCAGCAGTGCTCAGCAAACACCCTCTGCAAAGCTACTCTGGGTGCTCAGGCCAAGTGCTGGGACTATCTCCACCCCCAACCCACCAGTGATTCAGGCCCAGCCCCTGCCCATGGGAGCCCCTAGCCTGAATGTCCTTGGGGATTCAGGCCTACCAACAGCTAATCCCACAGTAGACGTGTGAGGAAGGTGTTGTGAGAAAGCCAAGGAAGGAGCAGAGCTCCCTGGAGGAGGTGGCGTTGAGCTGGGTTTTGAAGGATGAATAGGAGCTTTCCAAGTCCAATTGTAGAGAACGGGCCCTCCTAGCAGAGGGAACCATGTACAAAGGCACAGAGGTCTGAAGGAGTGTGCAATGTCCTGGAAATACAAACAGGTCTGCAGGACAGGATGGTAGGAGTGAGAATAGAGGTGGGGGCATTTATTTATCCAGCATTTATTCAACCAACAATTGTTAAGCACATACTGTGTGCCACTGGTTAAGGAAACAAACAAGGTCCCTGCTGTCCTGGAGCTTAGAATTTAGTAAAGGAGAGAACCAATAAAGTAATAAGCAAGCAAATATGCAAGGTAACTTCAGATAATGGTAAGTCAGATGAAGATGTTCCACCATTGTAGTGAGGTATAGAGACCTGCAGGAAAGGCACAGGAATCTGAGTTCATCAGGGAAGCCCTGTCTGAAAAGGTTGCATTTGACCTAAAATCAGAACAGTGAGAAGAAAAAAGTATTCCAGGCAGAGAGATAGCAAGTGCAAAGCCCCCGGGGTCTCACTGAGAGACCGTGGAATGCCCCAAATGACCTCTTAGAACATAGGGCCACATGAGATTTCAATAAATTGTTACAGCCCTGTGGCCCTGGTCCTGCCCTCCGGGATGAAGTGGTTGACAGACAGAGCATCCTTGGGGGCAGTGGCCAGGTATGTCCTCTGGATATGTGGAAGCCCGGGGCAGGCATGGGCCTAAGAAGATGGAAACTTCAGACAGTTTGGGGAAGAGGGAAAAGGGGAGGATGCTGGCAGGAAGCTGGAGAGAGAATGTTCAGAATCACTGGCCTGACAGCATCACAAACCAGCCAAGGAGGAGGGCACAGGTGCAGAGAGACCCTGGAAAAGATACGACGGGCAGAGATGGATGGGAAGCCAACCAGCCAGCCTGGAGTGAGTCATAGGGTGGCCGGGTCTCGGAGCAGGGGCAGGAGGGCCCAGAGGGAACAGAGGTGCCAAAAATAAGACGATGCTGAAGGCAGAGGATGGGAGCAGGAGATTTCAGGACAAGAAGCATAAGGGGAGAGTGAGGAGGTGCTTTGGGGAGCTTGGGGAGCTCTCTGGCTGTGTGTGCCAACTCTCTGTCAAGAAGCCTCAAAACTTGGAGAGGCCGGTGTGTCTCCAGGGAGGCCAGAAGTCCCAGGAGACCAAGAGATCCTCCAGGAGAGCTGAGGCCTGCAGGCCCTTGGAGACTCAGAAGGGAGCTCACCCCTTAGTGGGGAAGGACAAGGGGACTGGGGACAGACAGAAGGCATTCCATGTCTCAGCAGGGATCCCAGTGAGTCCCGTGAAGCCTGGGCTGCTGGGGTCAGCATTGGTTTTGGCAGGATTCCCAGTCATCTTGGAATGGTGGCCTGTGAGCACTGAGATGAGAAAGGGGTGACTGCAAAAAGCCACTACAGGCCCTCTGAGCCCAAGCTGAACCAGCGGCCTTGGTCTCCATCTGGCTGGAAGCCTGGGTTGATGGAAGACGCCTGGGGCGTCTAGATGTCAGGAGACATCAGCCAAGGTCTCCAGGATGTCCTTGTGGGCAGGAAGGAGAGGGGCATGCGGGAACCTGGAGATCTCAGTGGGTTCGTGCTGGTTCTTGGGTCGCTGGTAATCTGGTGGATGGTTTCTAGTGGCCTTCCCTGGAGCTCTATCCTGTTGCAATGTGCAAAGTGTTCCCATCAGTCTCTCAGAGCCCACAAGCACAAGGGAGTGGCAAAAAGAAAGCAAGTGTCAGGATCCAGAAAGATGATCACAGGACACAGGATGAACCAGATGGAAGAAAGTGAAGCTCCTTGGCAAGCCTGAAGCCCTGGCATCAGAAATGCAATTGCGTGGGAGTCAGCAGGGCAAAGGAGTGTGGCTCAGCTCAAACTCATAGGGAGAAAGTGATAAAGGGGCATAGCTGGCTCCATAGAAAGCAGTATAATTGGAAAGAGAATTCTGTAACAGTTGGGACCATTATCAGACAAAAGAGGCTGCCTGTAAGAGAGTGAGTTCCCCGTCACCGACTGTCTATGAGCAGGATGTAGACAGGCTGCAGGTGGGGATGTTGGAGGGTGACCTACTGAATGGGCACCGCATTCAGCGCCCCTCCCAGCCCTGAGAGTACATTCACCATGCCCTGTCTGCCACTCTGCCCCCACCATCTACTGATCCACCTTGTCTTGCTCCCTTCAATCTGCCTCTGCTGAGGCTGTCCTCTCTTCCCAGTCTCATTTCTTCCTCTTTGCCCACTTAACTTTTTTCCATCTGCTCAAGCCCCACCTCCTCCATGAAGGCTTCCCTGACCACCACTGCCCTGTGGCAGTCACCCCCTGACCACCTGGGACCCACTTTTAGCCTGTGACACTCCACTTTGTGCTTGACCCAAACAGACACAGCCTCGTCATGGTGTTTGAGTTTTGCACTGCACAAACCATCTCAAATAAAATGAAGAACAAAATTTGTCGACCATCCCACCACCCAACCGGATCTCACTGGTCTCACTTTTATAGGCCCTGCTGTCCTTGGCCACATGCAGATAGACGACACTACTATGTAGTGTCATTTCTGCAACAATCCTCTTGCCCACGCAGGTCTGAGCAGCCGGGAGCTCTGAACTGGAAGCTCTCAGGAGGTTGTGCCCAGCTCACCCCTGGGCCCTGCAGACCTTAGGCTCTGTCCTCCAGAGGCAGTGGGGAGAAGCTGAGCAGAGTGTCAGGCTGAGCTGAACAGGACCTGAGCTCTCAAGCGAACTTGCTGTGTGGCCTCAGGCACATGGCTTCACTTCTCTGAGCCCATTTCCCTGGGAGGACAATAGGAGTGTCATTCATGATATGATGTAAGTGGATCCCCTAGCACAGTGCTGCACAGGGAGGCTCAACATAAGTTGGTTCCCTTCCCCATTCCTTGGGTGAGGCCTGGACTTGGGGGTGAAACAGACTGGGTTCCAATCCCAACTCTACTCCTTAGCCAGGGACCCCCAACAAGCTTCCCCCCCTTTCTGATTATAGCCCCAGCTCATGAGGTTGTGTTGAAATCTGGAACCTCCAGAAATGTCCATTTCGCCCTCTCATCCTTCATCTCAAATGTCTCCCCTTTCCCACCTCTCTGGGCTACCCCCTTCCTCTTCATCATCCAACTCCTCCCTACCTTCAGCCTGCAGCAGCCTGCCTCCCCCAGGGGGTGTTCCTTGATTAGTTTCTTCCCCAGTGTTCTGAACTCCCTGCATAACAGCCATTTGGATGCTCATTTTTATGCACAACCAGACACCATGGGCCCTTTACATCAGCGGGGAGGCCTTGCTGGGCCTTCCAGTCTGATGATCCTTGAGGAACAACACAGAGAGACCAGGCTGGGGGCATTTGTGGTGTCGTTATGGTGGTTGAGAAAGCCCTAGTGTCATCTCATGCACTGTTTCAGCTTAGAAGAGGGCAGGAAACACTCCGCTCTGGTCAGTTGGTCCAACCATGCTTGGCCTGTGACCCTGGACAGGTCCCTTCACCTCTCTGAGCCTCTGTGTCTGTGTCAGTGCAATGGGGAAGCTGGTGAGGCCTCCACTGCCTGCCCCACAGGGCTGTTGTGGGGACCACAGGCATGCACACGTGTGACTGTCCTTTGCAAACAAACCCTGCGGTTGTGAGGTGCTGTATGGTGTGGAAGGAATGTGGCATCTGGAGGCAGAATGCCCAGGTTCCAGCCCTCCAACAGCTCCCACTGTGGCCTCTGCCCCTCAGAACCTCAGTTTCCCCATCTGACAAGTGAGGGCAGACCAGCCTTCAGAAAGACTCAAATGACCTCAACACTCAGGGCACCAAGGAAATCATCAAAACCAGGCAGGTTTCCCCTACCTTCCTACCCTCCAGGGACGGACAGGCAGACACGAGCCCATGTCTGGTGTATCTTCAAACGGGACAGAGTAAAAATATTCAGAAATTGCAAACTCATATGTCTGCAGGGCCAGGTAGGGAGAGCACAGGTGCCAAACCCAAACCACAGCTGCTTCCTGTTGCTGCCTGCAGAAGCGCCAGCCCAATCTGACCTCAGTGCTCACTTTGCAAGAGGAGCCAGAAATCCAGATTTCCCTGTACCAGCTCTCAATGTTTAAGTATTGGCAAGAAATTCCCACATTTTAAGGTCCCTATGGGTCAAGCCACATATGGGTGGGACCTAGAGTGCAAACTCTGACCTAGGCCTATTTTTTAGCTTTGTATTTTAAGATAATTTCAAACTTTCAGAAAAGTTGCAAGGATGGCACAAAGAATACGGGCATGCCCTTCACTCTGATTCGGCTGTTGCTAACCTTTTGCCGTCTTTGCTCTCTGACAAATCTCACTCTCCTCCTCATCATGCAGATGTGATGGCCTTCTCCCGCTAGACACTGCAGGTGTGTCTCCCAAGAGCAAGGGTATTCTCATGCATAACCACAACACAGCCATCAATTCAGGAAACTTGACATTGATTCGGTACTGTTACCTGCTGTGCCATCCATATTCACATTCTGCCAATTGTGCCTGCAGCGTTCTCCAGGCCAGGATCCATGTGGGGTCCTGCATGCCACTTGGATGTCCTGCCTCTTTGGTCTCCTGCATGGAGCAGCGCCTCATCTTTTCATTGTCTTCATGGAAAGCCAGTGTTTTTTAAACCCTCCTAGGTCATGAACTTCCGTGAGAGTTCCACTAAAGCAGTGACCCCTCTTATAAGGAACAGATGCCCAGACTCCTCATCTTGCAACATTTCAGGGGATTCAATGATCCCTAGAGGACCCTGGTCCTATCCCAATTTGCAGCTGGGGAAACTGAGACCCAGAGCAGAAGTGTAAGGCCCCACAGAGGGCAGGGGCAGGGCGGAAGCCAGACCCCAGCTCTGGGCTCTTCCTGTAGCCCCCATGCAGGAGCCTGCCTCCTTGTAGTAACTTCCACTGGGAAATGCAGGACTAGACTAGATGCCATCAATGTGGCAGTGGAAGGGGCTGGAGCCAGGGGGCCAGGATGGCGGGGCTGTCTTCAAAAAACAGCAAGGCCTGGCTCCAGCAGGCCCGATGGCTCAACCCCCGCGAGACCCCGACACACCCTCCTCCCTTCCCCCTGCCAGCCAGAGCACTAACAGCATGAGGTCATGCAGGACATCGGTAAACCCTCTTGGGACTCTGCCCACATCCCAGGACCTGCTGCCCACCCCACCAAGCAGAAGGCCAGGCATGGGAGAGCCGGACCTGCCACCACTGCCACCGTCTCCAGGGAGCCTAGGACGACACCGTGACTGCAGAAGGCCCAGTCTGCTACTCGGCCCGCACTCTCTCCATTACACTACCCTGCCTCTTCTCCATGAGAGGCAGCGGGGTGTAGTGGATAGAGCACGGGTTCAAGTCCCGGCTCCACCACTCACAGCTGTGTGACCCTGGGCCATCACTCAAGCTCTCTGAGCCAGAAAGTGGTGGGTGGAGGGGCTGGGGATTGAACTTGCGCCAAAACCTACCTCAGGGGGCTGTTGTGAGGGGGACACTTTGCCTACTGCCTCGTGCTCTGTGAGCGTGTGTTATTAACTGCATTAATAACAATAATAATGGAAGGACTGTGTCTGGGCTGGGAATCGTTTTGGCTTTGTTTAGTGCTTGTGCCTGGAGGCAGATAATAGCCCCCAGAAATAGCCTCCATCCCTTCTTCACAGCCTCTCCCCACTGAAGGAACCCTTTTAGAAGAGATGAACTCTCCCCTCTCCCTATCCAGGGAGAGGCCTAAAAGGTCACACGCAAGAGATCAAGGAACCCTAGGTCCAGCCCCTACTGTCCTACACCCTCTGCAACTTCAGTCATTCGCCTTATCTGGGCTCAGAAACCCCATTTTGTAAAAGGAGGCTTCCCAGTTCTGCTACCTATGGCTCAGCATACCCCACAAGCCACAGCAGAAGGCTTTGACTCCGAGACTGCCACCATCTAGACCAGCTCAGGGCAAGGGAAAGCCACCTCCTGCTGTTCAGGACAGGCCCAAGGCCAGGATGGGCTTTGAGCCTGCAGCTGGGAAGGTCCTGGCCACTCTCTGCTGCCAGGTCAGAGACCAAGGAACATCCCCTCCACAGGACCAGGACAGGACAGAAGCTTGGGCAGGACAGGACAGACAGTACCATCCACGGAAACCACAGTGTTCCCTGAGCCTGGGCTCCCATTTCCTCCCACTCATGGGATAGCTGGCAGCTCCCCACCACGCTCTGGCCCCCCTTTCTCTCCTTGGGGCTGCCCCAGACAGCTCTCCCACCAACTTTGTCCACAAGGTGGAAAAAGCACAAGATTGGAGCCACAGACCAGCTCCCATCCCAGCTCTGCCTTCCTGGGCTGAATGCAGAGGTGACCCCCTGAGCTGATGCCCTATCTGTGAAATGGGGTGAGGCTGACCACCTCACAGACTGTGACAGCTGAGCGAAAAGTGGCTCAGATGGAACTTGGCACATCATGAATGCTCAAAAGATATTCTCTTCCTTCCTCCCCCTCCACCCAAAAATACTCTCAGCGGCTTCCTATTGAACACCAAGCAAAGACTCCACTCTGTCACCCTCCACTCAGGCACCTTCTCCCTTCGTGGGCGCTGAGCTTTGGCCCGGCCCGCCCGCTACCATCACACTGGACCACCTCCCACCTTTGCCTGGCTGTGTCCCTTCCGGCCCGCCATGTCCTTGGCTTGGTTTTGTCTTGCATTGCTCTGGATCTGTGTGCCTATCTGCTCTCCTTGACCCCAGCTAGACTGTGAGCTCCTGGAGGGCAGGGACCACAGGGGGACCTCTCTCAGACCCGAGAGCCTGGCATGGAGTTGACACCCCACCATGTCTGTCCGTCAAGTGAAGGACTGTGGAGCTGGGGAAGGGGGGCGCCATCTGGTCATTCTGTCCACACGGGCCTCTGCCGGCCTCTCCACACCCTCTTCTTCCCGAGATGTAGCTGTCCACCCTACCCAGGACATGCCCTAGGCTGGTCTCCCTTAGACAGTGTCAAGACACTATTGCTGAGATATGGGGCCTAAGCCAGCTCCCTCCCCACTCTACAGATGACAAAACTGAGGTCCAGAGAGGAGAGGGGCTGGCCCCAAGGTCACATAGCAATCAGAATTAGACACCATGTCCCAGGTGCCCTCTTCTGGGTCCAGGGCTCTCTCTCTACCCCTCCCCGTGCTTGTATTCTGAAGGGCTCTGTGGGCAGTTAGAGGAGGTGGGGGCTACAGAGTGCTGCCCAAGGGACTGTGGACAGTGAGGTCCCACAAGGCCCTATCAGGGCCTCCATCCCCAAGAGGTTCCCACCTCTGCCCCTGTGGTCGTCCTTTGAGAGGTTTAGCCCACTGCGCTTTGACTTGGATGTCTGTTGCTCTGCCATTAATTGCTTCTGCCATGGTGTTAAGCATTGCCCTCTGCAGGGGACTCGTGGAGCTGAAGGGGAACGGTCTAGGGAATGCCCCAGTCCTTTGGAGTCTTCCCCTGGCAGGAGGGCCTGGGAGAGGACAGGGCACAGCCCAGTGAGGTGTGGCAGGAGGGGGCACAGCTGGGATGAATGTGACCCTCTGCAAAACATAAAGATGATTTATTAGGGACATTGGTATTCCCAATTATAAATGTAATACATACCCACCCTGGAAAGTTCAAAATAGTACAAAAAATTGTGCTGGAGTTGCAGCTCCAAACCAGGCTGTGCGGGGGAGGCCCAGAGGACACTCCCACTCAGACACTGCCTTCAAGGGGCTCATGGTCAGGTTGAGGAGCCAGGCCTGGAAGCACCCCCAGAGGAGACTTCAGGTGATTCAGAGGAGACAGATGAAGTCCCCTAGTGGGAGTCAGGAGGGCTACCCAAGGAGAAGGGCATTCATCCTGTGGAGGAGGTTGTGAGCAAGAGGTGAGGGAAAGGCATTCAGGTGATCACTGTGAGCAAAGGCCAGGGAGGTAGACACCAAGGCCCAGTGAACTGTGCACACTCCAAAGGCAGAGGCCACGAGACAGGACTCAGTGTCCAGGGCCAAGAAGGCAGAGGTCTCATCCAGGGGACACTGACTGAGTGGTTTGGACCTCAGGGAGCCCTCCAAACCCTCGAAGAAGGGATTGGAACTGGAGGGAGACAGGTAAGAGCAGAGGCTTGGGGATACCGGAGGACAGAGGGAGGGAGGACTGGGGATTGTAGATGCCCCGTCTCCCCTGCCCTGGCTATTGCTCAGCTCTGGAGGACACCCTGGGGCATCTCCAGGTCTGGGCGGGGAGCGCACTATGCCTAAGCCCCTCCCTGACGTCCTCCTGCCACCTCCCTGCCTCCGGATGTGGGTGTAGAGCTGCCAGCTCCCTGCTGCGATGGGAGTGATTAGATTAGAAGGTGATTTGGGAGTCTGATTATCGTGGGTGGAAATTGGCCCCCTGCATCTTTTTCCATCCTGTCTTGGGTTGGGAGGTGGGGAGCAGCCTCTTGGTTGCCACCTAAGCCAGAGAACCAATGCCTTCATTTCCAGCGAACCTTTCTACTCAGAGCAGAATGTGTCTCAGACCAGAATGTGAGGGCCTTGCCCCTGGAGGCTAAGTGGAAGGTAACAAAGACAACAGGCTCAGGGACAGCAGAGAGTTCAAGTCCAGGCTCTGCCCCTCACCTGCAGAGTGACTCGGCAGTCCACCCCTCCACTCTGAGCCTCAGTTTCCTCCAGTTTGAGGACTAGATGAGATCATTGAGCGTGGAGGGCAGCATGTGCCCTGCACACAGTAGGTGTTCTACAGAGGTCAGCTTGGGTGGCTGTTACTGCTTTCTGTGCCCTATGAATGCAGCGTAGTGTTCCTTCCTCTCCTTTGAAGAGTCTCCAGTGATACCCGCCATGAGACCCCAGTTTCTTATCTGTCTAATGCTGATATGTAACAGCCCCTCCTCCTAGCACCCTAACAAGCCGAGCTGGTGCCCACGGAGGCATCTTGTCAGCAAGTTATTATAATGAACAAGGCCCTGTTACTGGCCCTCAGCAGGGTGACAGAGCAGGGTGGGGTGCTCCAGGGTCTGCCTGTGATGAGAAGCCACCAGGCCTGGGCTGCTCAGCCTAGAGCCAATGTCTGAGCTCATTCTGTGGTCCCCACTGTGCCCTGCCAAGGGGGAAAAAAAGCACTGTCCTTCTGTCCTGGGAATGGCCAAAGAGCTTGCCATCTGAGAATCTGGGTTCCGCACACCCCCTCTGTGAGCCTTCATGACTTGGTTTCTGCATCTGTGCAGGGAGAGGCTGGCATTTACGTGCCTGAAAGGAATCACTGGAGAGTGTCTGTCTCTCTGTAAAGCACTTTGAGATCCTGAGACCCCAGAGACCAAGAGGCTAGATTGTTGCAAGCGCACACACACACACACACACACACACAAAAGCATGCACGCACACACACACAGGCACACACACACACAACATCGGGATATCACTCAGATCCTACAAGGAAAGGGACAAGGTGGGTGATACCACTTAAAAAGTGAAAACAGATACCTTGCTTAAGGCAAGCTCTTTAGGTCTGACCCAGAACCCCTCAACCCTTATTTTAGATACAATTCTAATGAGTTTCCTGACATAGACTTCAAATCTGAGGCAAACCAAAACACAGTGAGAGATAAGTTATGCTGAAAACAGGAAGAAGTGGCACCTAGTCTCGAGGGGACAGAAAAGAGAACTCTGAAAAGCAGAAGTGAGTTCCAGAAGCAAGGCATGGCATGTCGGAGAGTCACTGTCATGGCTGTCAAGGCCTCTGTGACACTGTCCAGCCAGGCCAGGGTGGAATTCTTACTCCCCCATCTGAGAAGGTAGTGTGTCCTGCATCATATACAGCTTTCTACCCAGAGTAGCAAAAAAATAAAAACAGGAAAAAAAAATGTGTGCCTGGAGAGCCAACCTTCCAGCATCCAGATTCTTCCAGCACCAATCAAAGGACAAAGGACCAGCAGTGCCGCATTCCCTCGCTGCTAGAACTGGGTGGGCATAGCTGCTGTCTACTTCCCAGACTGGGTCCCAGCTGTCCTCCTGGGGTCACCTTTGCTTCCCCAGTGAGGCCATGGCTTCAGGGGGCTTTTTTTTCCAATTTTTAAAATTATATTAATAGTAAAATACACATAACATAGAATTTACCATTTTAACCACTTGTAAGTGTACAGTTCAATGGCATTAAGCACCTTCACGTTTTTGTGCAACCATCACCACCATCCATCCACAGAACTCTTTTCATATTCCCAAACTGAAGCTCTGCACCCATTAAACACTAACTTTCATTTCCCTTCCCCAGCCCCTGGCACCCACCATTCTACTTTCTATCTCTGAAGCTGATGACTCAGGGGACCTCATGCAGGTGGAATCATATAGTATTTATGGTCCTTTTGTGGCTGGCTGGCTCACTTACTTACTGCAGTATCCTCAAGGTTCATCCATGTTGTAGCCTGTGTTCAAGTTTCTTTCTCTTTAAGGCTGAATAATATTCCATTGAGTGTATAGACCATATTTCTCCCCTCTCTTCAGCTTATCCTCCCTCTGAAGCCCTTGCTTGCTGTTGGACAAGTTGCTCTCTGAGCCTGCATGGTGGAGAGGCTGCCTGCAAGCAGCAACAAGGCTCTCTCATGAAACAATAGCTGACACTGAAGCCCCAAAGATAAAACAAATAAAAGTAGAGCCATCCTGACCAAAGGCCTCCTTCACCCACCATAGCTACACTTCCAGCCCCTGGAAAGAATGTCAGGGTCCTTTGGAACCCAGTTTGAGAAATCTAAAGTTCTAGGAAAGTGGTTCTTAACCTTTCTTGCAGCATAGACCCCTGGAGTAGTCTGGTATCATCATGTGCCACACCTATTCCAAATAAAGCCTTGAAATGCATAAAATGAAATGCATGAGGTCCCACAAGATCCCACTGAGGTCACAAAGGAAACCAATTATATTGGCATAAAGTAGAAAAAAAATATGTGGTATAGTAATGAGTGTACTTTATTAGAACACTGAATAACAAGATCTAGCAAGCAGTTGCATAACCACTTTATTTATAAAATAGAGATGAGCACCAACAATGCTGCAATAGCTGTAAAGTGATATGAAAAAATCTGTGATTTTTGTAATGTGTGTAGTGGCATCATGGACACTGATAACACTCCTGGAGTTTGATGTCTACATCTGTAAGGGTGGTAGAGGAGTGGGGAGAAGGAGACAGAAGGAGGAAGTGACCCTCCAGGGCAGGTAGTAGGTGGTGGGCCTGGAGATGTTTGGGGTACCTGAGAACTGATAGGTAGCAGTGTTTCCACCCCAGCACTGTCCTGAGGTGAAAGCATCTTGAAAGAGCCCACCACACACACAGTGTGAATCTTAACCATAGGTGATGCCCCATGACCTCTGCAGGCAAAGAGCCAGGAGCTGACTGAGACCACATTTTTTCACTCCTTTGGGGAGACGGCTTCAACCATGCAATGGTAACTTGGCTTTTGTCCCCTTTCCCAGGAACCCACGTGATGGAGGGCTCAGGACGGATGTTGGTGACTGCTGTGGGTGTGAACTCTCAGACTGGCATCATCTTTACCCTCCTGGGGGCTGGTGGTGAAGAGGAAGAGAAGAAAGACAAAAAAGGTAAGCCTAATCCCCTTGCAGACCAGGAGAGGAGCTCTTAAGGCCACATTTTTTTTTTGTTTATTTGTTCACTCAACAAAATAGTTATTGAGTGCCTTCTACGTCCGCACCCTGTGCTGACAGCCACCTCCTGCATCCTTAAGGCCTGCATGGGCCAGGTAGGCTCTGTCTGTTCCATCTCCAGGTCTTGTCCCAGTCTCTGTCTTGTCCAATCATGTCATGGAGGCCCCTCCTTCCCCTCCGGGCCAGGCCAAGGATGCTGACCATGTTGTTGAGTCTCCAGCCTCAAGTGGTGGAAACAGCCAGCATCAATTGGTCCCATCATCACTCCAGTATTGAGTAGAAATCCCCACCCATTGGAAGCATATTCCTTCCAATATTGTCAACTCCACTGAGCAGAAATGAAAATCCACCCAGCATAGATTCATCCAAGACATGGGCAGAGGAGATTCTGGGAAAGGTAGCCAGATGCATGGCTCCAAATCAACCATTATGAGTTTACTCTCCAGTGCTCCCAGACCTACCATCTTGTCTGAGTTCTGATTCTTCCTCCTCCTTGAAAATAAGATTCCTTATTCACTGGGCTCTCCTCAATGCAGCGAGCTGACCACCCAGGCTAAAACTGTCTCTCAGAACAGAGGGAAAGATGCTCAAACAAAAAGCTCAAGTCTCTTCAGGCCAGGCCCAAATCCAAAGGCCCAGGCTTCTGGTCCCAGCACAGCTGACTCCTTACCTGTCCCCACACTTGATCTCAAAGATAGCCCCCCTTTCACATTTTCAGTCTTTTGTCTCCTTCCTCAAGCACAAAGGGAGGATCTGTGACATTCAGAACTTCTAGAACCCCAGAAGGGAGATGAGAGGACAGATGCCTCCCCCACTGAGTTTTAGGGGCAGCCCTGCTCCCTCCAGCTCTCAGAGGCTAATCAGGCACAGAGCTTAGGTCGAGACTGAAGATTACTTGTTCCTGAAGGCAAAATCCATTTTCTAGGGGGTCCCCTAAGATTATGGTGGCCCCTCCAGCAGGACAATGGGGCTGAGCTGTGTTCTGGGAAATTAGAAGGCTGGAGAGAGTAAAGGGGTGCTGAGGCTGAAACTGAGGAAAGAGTCGTGACTAAGAGTCCCAGAGGACATAAGGAGAGTGTGCACATGCTGGGTTTGAATCTGTGGTAGGATGGCTGAGCCCTATTCCACAATGATAGCAGTTAGGCAGATCTAAGCAGGTAGGCAGGATGCAGCAGCCTGTACTCATTGTCTTCACCTCACTGAGGCTTGAGTGAGGGGAAGACGCCCCCAGACTCTTCTATGGGCCAGATCTGTGGTTTTTAAAATGCTAGCAGGGCCAGATCTGTGGTTTTTAAATGCCAGTAGGAAGACAAGTGTCAACTGCCCCAGAAGCACAGTTCAGGGTCCTTCGCTGAGCATGCACCTGCACTCCTGTGAGATGGAGATGTCAGAAAAATAGCCTCATGTAGAAGGAAGATGGGGAATGTGGAAGGGATGTGGCAGAGGAAGCCTGGGGGAGCAGTCCAGCATCTCAGGCCACCATGAGCAGCATGGCCTCAGCTGGGCCCCCTCTGCCCTCCCATCCCATCACCTCCACTAGGAACATTGCTTAGAGCCCGCCACATGTCCCCATTTCAGGATGACCCTAGGTGTATGGCCATGTGTGTATGCACATGTGTGTTTGTGTGTGTGCGCGTGCGCATGGGCAGATGAGGCTGTGTGCTTCTCCTTCATTAACATGTCTCAAAAATCATCACACAGGTGTGAAGAAGGGGGATGGCCTTCAGCTACCAGGTACAGTAAGACACCCTCAGGGTAGATGGGCTTTTAGAAATAGCAGCAGGCTTTGGTCATTGGGCCCTGCCCCTAGACCACCAGCACACAGCTGGAGGAGGCCACATGCCTGTGGGTGGCTCCACCCCCCAGACCCTCCTTTGTGCCCTCCTGTGATGCCAGCCCTGTGGGACAAGCCAACACCCCACTCCACCCTCTTGCCCTTACAGTGCCTCACCCTACCAGCCAATGCCAAGTGGTACCACCCCCATCTCTACACCACCCTTAGCCCTGCGTACCAGCATGCAAAGCTTGCTCACCATCATAGGACCCTCCCCTCAGGCCCTGCTCTCCCCACCAGCACCCCTGGGGAGCCCATGCCCTCACGCAACAGTGTGCTTCACCCAGTGGGGCCTCTTCCTGCCCATAGAACACTATTCCCTACCCACAAGAAAGAGCAAAAGGTGTGAATTTAGCCATCTCATATCACTTTTAATTTCTAAATTAAGAAAAATTCACTAGTGCCTTTTCCATCCCATATACAAAATGCAACATGCTTGATGTCACCTTTTAAATTTGGGGGGCATCTCACATGGGAGTTCCCAAAGCAGTCTCTGGAATGCCAGTTAAGGAAGGAGGCAATGGCCTGAATCAAGGGCATGAATCCAGTTAAGTCAAAGTCATCACCATTAGCAAATGTTCTTCCAGAACACCCTGATGCACAGAGATGGTGGTCATGGAGAATACTCATTCTGAGTGGTCCGTGCCCACGCTGCACTGCCTAGTGAATATTTTTCCACTCCTGGCCCCCAATGGGCAGCCAGATCTCCTCATTTCATGGAGCCCTCTCTTCCAGGGGACTCTCTTGACTGGTTGGACCAGCAGGGTCCAGACCTCAGCACAGACCAGCACCATCCCAGCTAACCACCCTGGTCATCCACCATGCTTTATTTGAAAGACCCTCCATGTCTGAGTTTCTCCCCTCAACCTCTGCGGCATCTCTATGGAACATTTCACCCCCACCCCAAATTTGAGTTTCTTGGTTTCCAAAGGATAATTTTTTTTTTTAAGAATAGAGTCATGTTATCTCCCCACAAGTTGGTTCATGTCTTTGTCGTTGTTGCTTTTCTCCATTGTGACACTGCATTTTCCATCCCTCCCACCCCCCTGCAGCAGCAGACGGTGCGGCAGCTTCAAATGCTGCAGATAGTGCGAATGCCAGCCTAGTCAATGGTATGTCTCCCACGGCGAGCTCCTGGTCATGGTTGGATGGGCGTCTCTCACCCCCACCCCAACTTTGGGCTTTCTTTCCTTGTTCTGGACTGCACAGATCTCGGATGTGCATGGGCCGCTGGGACAGTCACCTTCTCACATGGGGCAGGCGCTTAAGACAGGAGCCACAGCCGGGGGAGTCAGCTCTGCAACCTGTCAGCCTCACAGCTGCCAAAAAGGTGCTGGCTCCTGTCGAGCCCTTGACTCCCCATGGAGCCCAGATAAGAGACGAGACTTTGGCTTCAGATTGGCTCCCAAGAAGGAGCGTCCCACCTGGCATGGCCCTCTCCTAAGTGTATTCCTGGCCCTGGCTTTGGGAAGAAGGCCTGGGATCAGGGCTTGGGCTGAAGCTGGCATCTGGGTCCCCAGCAAAGGCTCTAGTCCTCGACTCTAAAATTTCCTCGAGGCAAGGGGACCCAGGCCGGGATTCAGCTCCTTGGCCCTGTCCTGTAGCATGGCTGAGCCAGCAGTAAACAGTTTTTCCTCTTCTCTTTCACGGAGCCAACGGGCAGGGGGTTCGCTTGGGCTCGGGCCTGGTTCTGTCCTTCGGATGTGGACTGGTGTTTCTTGCTGTTGCCTGTGCTGGAGCGTTTGTCCTGGGTCACAGGGGTGGAGGGTGGGGGAGAGGGGCTGGCACTGTGTACTGGTGTCTGCATCTTAATCTCCTTACACGCAAGCAAGAAGGAGTTCCATTCACTTGCCCCCAAAGCCTTTAGAAGATTTCGGATTTCTATCCCCTTCTGGCTTCAGAGCAACAGACAAGGCTTTTGTTTACTCAGATACCACCCCTATCCCCAAATAAAGTGACATAATAGTCCCCCAGGCTACTCCTGAACTGTTGAGAGCCATTAGGGCTCCATCATGAAAACATTGCCCCAGAGGAGCTGAGGGCAGGGGAAAATCTTTTTCCCACCGTCTCTGCATACCAGGCACTGGGCTGTGGGTTTCTCATCCATTATATCATATCATTCACTTCTCACCACTCCTGCAAAATATGGAGACTTGTTCCCCGCAGCCTCCCATCCCCTGCCCTAGACCTCTCCCCAAGCCACCTGCATTCAAAGTGCCCAAAGATGGAAGCACCTAGTAGGTGTCGGGGCTGAGTAAGGCACTTCTGCGAGCAGTGCCTTGCCAAGAAGGACTAATTCTGGTATGGCTCTATTTCAGGCACAGGAGGAGGAAGGATGACAGCTTGGGGAGTGGGAGGTGTCATGCCTCAGGGAGGGGTGGCTGAGGGTGACAAGGAGAACCCATGTGGGCAAACCCATGGCTGAGAGAGAAGGAACCTAGAGGGGGCACCCACTTCACCCCGGCAGTGAGCCTGCTGAGCTTTGTGAACATACAGACCCCATCCAGGCTGGCCAGTCTCAGAAAAAAGGGCAGCTTTACTTCCAGACTGCAGCAGAAAACCCCAAATATCCCAAGAGAAACTGTAGGAAACGTTCATTTCTTGACCACCTACTGTATACCAGGCACTGCTGAAAGCATTTCATATTCACCATCTCATTTAATCCTCATGACACCCCCATGATACAGGTTTTATTGTCCCCACTTTAAAGATGAGGAGACTGAGGCTCAAGGAGACCAAGACACTAGCCTAAGGTCACAGAGCTAGAAAGTAGCAGAGCTGGGATTTGAACCCAGAACCCAGACCTGGCTGGCTCTAAAGTGTGTGCTTCTCCTCCTGATCCAGGATTTCCCAGTGGAGTGTGTCTTGTAAGTTTCACAAGGATGTTAAGAGGGCTTTACCCCAAGAAAAGGATTCTGTGGTCAAAGATGTTTGAGAACCACTGGATTGAATTGATCTCTTCCTGGTTACAGAATTAGTCCTGGTTACAGGACTGCTCAGAGCCTTGAATATGCTGGTGTGTAGCGGAGAGTTACAGAGTCACATAGAGTTTCCTAGGCTGATTTGACTGCAAGACCTTTCCTGGCTGAATCCTGTGGAATTGGTCTGCCCCATAATATACTCTGGGAAATAATGCTCTAAGCCATTGCTATTCAAAATGTGATCACAGGACCCAAAGCCTGCACATCACCTGGGAGCTCCTTAGAAATGCAGAATCTCAGTTTTTTATTTTATTATTATTATACTTTAAGTTTTAGGGTGCACACGTACCCTAAAACTTAAAGTATAATAATAATAAAATAAAAATTAAAATTAAAAAATTAAAAAAAAAGAAATGCAGAATCTCAGACCCCACCCCAGACCAACTGAAGGAGAATCTGCATTTTAACAGGCTTTCCAGACTCCAGGTGAGAGCACATTACAGGTGGAGAGGCACAAGGTGGAACCTTGCCGATTGAGAGAGAATTAAGTGTTCTTTCCCCTCCTTCCTCTGAGCCAGATCACAATGACTTGGATATGGAAAAAAAAAATTAGGGTGATAATTTTTCCCTTTGACCCTGCTCCCCCAAGCCCCCAACTGAAAAATGGGTGTGGTCCATTCATCTTGGAAGCATTATGATTGCCATTATTATTTAGTTATTTTTCTTTTACATTACTAGTGTGTCACTATGTAATACATGACCTGTAATCATGGTTATAATCACAGTTAATTATACATCATGAGGCCGGGCGCAATGACTCATGCCTGAAATCCCAGCACTTTGGGAGGCCAAGGCAGGTGGATTGCTTGAGGTCAGGAGTTGGAGACCAGCCTGGGCAACATGGTGAAACTCTGTCTCTACTAAAAATACAAAAAAAAAAAAAAATTAGCCGGTCATGGTAGTGGGCACCTGTAATCCCAGCTACTTAGGAGGATGAGGCAGGAGAATTGCTTGAACCCAGGAAGTGGAGGTTGCAGTGAGCTGAGATCATGCCACTGCACTCCAGCCTAGGAGACAGAGTGAGACTCTGTCTCAAAAAAGAAAAAAAAAATTATACATCATGGGCTGGGTACAGTGCTTCATGCCTATAATCCCAACACTTTGGGAGGCCGAAGCAGGAGAATCACTTGAGGTCAAGAGTTTGAGACCAGCCTAGACATCATAGTGAGACCACATCTCTACAAAAAAAAAAAAAAAAAAATTTAATTAGCTGGGTATAGTGGCACACATCTATATTCCCAGCAACTCAGGAAGCTGAAGTAGGAGGATTGCTTGAGCCCAGGAGTTCAACGTTGCAGTGAACCAAGATCACGCCACTGCACTCCAGCCTGGGCAACAATAATAATAACACATTACTACTAACTCCCAACGTTTACACAGTGATTTTCCAGTGCCTTTCATAAACATCACCTTAGTTGATATCCATTTCACAGAGGAGAAAATGGAGGCACAGGGAAGAGAAGTGGTATTTCCCAAGTCTCCCAGGTAGTGGTCTCTCTCCCCAGAGCTTGTGTATCAGGTCAGCTTACCAGGAATCCTCCCAATCCATGCACTTCACACCCATGCCCTTTGTGATGCACAGAGAGAATAGACCCATTTGGAAAAGGTGCATCTGACTCCAGATACAGAGAAGGGCCTCTGAGACCCCACCTGAGGGCTCAGTCTTGGACCCCATTCCTAGCTCTCCTGAAATACAGCCCATCTCCAGATCCCACATGGGGCCAAAGCTGGCTGTTCCACCATAGTTCAGGGCCAGGCGAGCACCAGTTTGGCCAGGAGAGCCCCAAATAAGTCCCTCGCTTCTGAGAAACCAGGCCATCTGTGCCTCAGCACTCCCAGAACATCCTTCCCTTCCTCCAGCATATGCATTGGTGATTATTTTTCTGATCACGTGTTCACTCTGGAAATAAAAGAGGAAAGTGCTAGCTGGGCTTAATGAGTGCACACACCGGCTATTGCATCTGATAATATGCAATGCAAATAAAGGCCCCTTTGAGCCTTCTAAAACCAACTATTGAAGTGGAGTCCCCTGGTGCCCCTGAGCCCAGTCAGTAAAATTATTTTAGAAAATAAAAATAATTGTTGTTATTCATTCCTGCTTACTCTAAAAAGCTTTTTTCTCTTGTGTTTTTTAATCCAGTAGAAAGAATTTTACAGTAGAGACACAGGGGGTCTTTCACTTTAAAGCCCAGGATGGGCAACTGATCCTTTGCCATGGGAGGCCATGGGGACAGCTCTGCACTTACCCTTGAACAGACAGTGCTGGGCGAGGTTCGGGGAAGCCACTTCTCCCCTCTGAGTCACCCAGAAAGTGGGCACAGTGACAGTGATGAACTAATCCTGCAGCCATGGGGCTATTCCGAGGATGCTCCTAAATTCAGGCTGCCTCTGAACTTCCCTTGGCCTCAGTTTCCCCATCTATAAAATGAGAGTGATGAAAATCCCTCCTGCCCCACCTTGCAGGGATACTGGGAAGACTGACAAGAGATGACACTTGCAAAAGCCCTTTGAAACTGCAAAAGGCTGAACCGTGCAAGTGATTATGATGAAGGTAACTGGGACACTCTGGGAGGTGAATGTCTCATCCTGTTTTATGAAAGTGGAAGCTTGATGAGATTGGGAGATAGAAAGCCAGCAGCTAGTTGGTGGTGAAATGAAGACTTCAGGAACCCTGTCGCAGCAGTGCCACCTCAACTTCCCTCCCCTGGGCTCAGAGGGGCTGAGGGGTGTCCATGGTCTCCCTGACGGCAGCTTCTGGAGAAGCAATGGCAGGACGGAAGTAGGCACGCACTTTGGGGCCAGCTCTCCATTTACCCATTGAGACCCAAGCAGCTCATCTCCCTCTCTGAGCCTCAGTTTCTCATCCATAAATGGGTATAATACAAGCACACCCTTCATAGGTGAGGCTGTGGCGAGGATTAGATGGAATCTCAGAGCTTATGTGTGTGCCCAGCACATGGTGGTGGACTGTCCTGGAATGTGAGCTGTGAGAATCACCATTGCAGCCATCATCCAAGGGTGGCCAACCTTCTCAGACCCCTCCCAAGGGGGCGAGGCCTGTTGGCAGAGCAGGCAGAGCTCTGGGTGAGCGTGCAGGCCCAGTAGATGGGAGGGTGCTGGCGAAGGCAGGTGTGCTAGGCAAGAGACAGAGGCCTCCATTGCCCACATTGCACACCCAGCCCACAAGCTCCTGGCCAAGGCTGGAGTGGGGGCCTCCCAGGCAGCTCTGATGAGTCGGTGGGGGGCAGCCAGATGCAGCACCAGGCCCTGGTATGGAAGGGGATGCCCACGGACACTACTTAGCCTGCTGCTGTAGCCTGAGCCATACCCCTACCAAGGGGTCAGCACCCCCATTGGGGACCAGAGCACTTCATCAAGAACCCGGCCACACTTGAGGTCCCTCGTATACCACCATGGGGACCCCTGATCACTCTTTGTTCTGGTCACTCTCAGGGGCATTGGGCAAGGGGTCATCCTTGGGTGGCTTCACACTCTTCAGAGTGTGAAGGAGAAAGATCATCCCTCTTGAAGGCCAAAACTAAGGAACACATTGACCTCAGTGCCTTGTCCAAACTCCTCTCCATTCTAGAAACACTCTCTCCTCTCTCTCTGTCTCTCTTTCTCTCTCTCTCCCCCTCTCCCCTCTCTCTACTGCATGTTTTCTTTTGTGGGAAAATGAAAAGGACGTAACTGAACAAGCTTCCCTTTGCCTTCTCTCAACCCAGAAAACACCAAATCGGTCACAAAAAGCTTGGTGTGGGGGCCTGAGTGCTTCTCTGCTGCCTCCTCCAGCAGACTCTAATCCCCTGCACCCTCTGATACTTCCCTTTGATCTGTAACACGCTCAAGGCCAAAAGTATTCCAGCAGAAACCTCCCTCCTGAGTCCCCTGGAGAATCAAGAGTTGCCCGGCTGGCAGGCCCCACAGCTAAGGTGCGGCCAGGCCTGCTCCTGCTTCAGGGCCCTCCCCAACCCGTATCCCCACACAGAGGGATGCAGTCAGCACGGCCCGCCCTTCATCTGTGACATTAATGTCTGTGGCCTGTTGCGTCTTCGTGATGACCGACCATGTGTTGTCTGTTCTCTGTTGTCTGTTAAAATTCTTTGTCGTGTAGGTAAAATGCAGGATGGCAATGTGGACGCCAGCCAGAGCAAAGGTAACCCTTTTGTTTTAACCGGCGTTTGTCGTCCCTGAGGCCCCTCCCCACCGGCTCTGACAGTCACACCAGAGACAGAGACTGGCAAGGGCCAGAGGCAGACACATCCACTCCTACAGGTGTCTGACGACCTTGGGGGTGTAGCTGTGATTTGCATGGTGCCAGGCCAAATAAAGAGGTGTCCACCGGTGAGGAGGGGGATACCCATGGGCCAGCATCTCCCTAGCCTTTGAACTCTGCGCCCCATTCAGCTGAAGACTTTGAGATCCTTAGAGGTTGAGGGGTAGGGAGTTTGGCTCAGTCTCTGTCCAAAAGGGTCACGGGCCCTCCAGTCCATCCTGCATGAAGAGGCCACGCCAACTGGGATAGTGACTTGGCTCCCATGGCTGCCCTCTTTTACGTTCTAAGCCTCCTTTTTTGTCCCTCCTGTCGAGTGGCTACTTAATATCCCACAACAGGTCCCAAGGACCAGCTGGGTAGAGCCCAAGCCTGTCTGTCTTGTCTGAATGTGGGAAAGGACAAGGGACCACCTAGGGTAGGACTCACAGGCTTGTTCAGGCCGAGAGGGGGATCCAGGGTAACAGCATCAGTCCCTGCTGTGTCCCAGATTCCAGGTCTGAGGCAGCGAGTACCACTGGGATCCATAGCTCCGGCTGGAAGAGGCAGGCCCCCATCACAGGACTTCTGCACCAGCCATGCGGGGCTCAGTCCAGGCAGTCAGCACCTACCCTGGGCAGGCAGGGGTGGGTGCCAGCGTCTCCACCCTGTGGGCTGACCTGCATGTGTGTCTATGTGTCTGTGTGTATGCACGTGCGTGATCTGCCCCCTGCAGCCAAACAACAGGACGGGGCAGCCGCCATGGAGATGCAGCCCCTCAAGAGTGCCGAGGGCGGCGACGCTGACGACAGGAAGAAGGCCAGCATGCACAAGAAGGAGAAGTCCGTGCTGCAGGGCAAGCTCACCAAGCTGGCTGTGCAGATCGGGAAGGCGGGTGAGTGCAGCAGGTGGGAGGCAGGGGACAGGGCTCACAGGGGGACCCCAGGCAGAGCCCTGCCCCATGCTCGGCCTCAGTTACCTCATCTGCAAAGTGGGGGGCTTGAATGAGTGCCTGAAGCCCACCTTTCTCTACCACAGCACCCAGTCTGAGTCCTGTGTACAGAAGGCACTCCATTAGCACTCAGTGATACAGAAGAGTGAAGCTCGAGCAAATCCAAGGCTCTGGTAGCAGACGGCCTGCCTTCTTGTCCGGCAATGGCTGTGAGAACTTGGGAAAGTAACTTCTAGCTCTGAGCCTCTGTATCCTCATCTGTAAAATGAGGATAATAGTTGTCCCCACTTCACAGACTGCTGTGGGAGTTAAAGGAGACTCTGCATACAAAGCATTAGCACTTGGCAGGTGCAGCAGCTGGAGAGGGTGCAGGGCCTGAAGTTCCAAGCAACACAGACTTTATCCTGAGGACAGTGGGAGCCATGGAAGAGACTTGAGCAGAGGAAGACAAGAATGGGTTTGGGCTTTATCATGACCACCCTGGCCACAGTGCAGAGGAAAAACTGAAGAGGTTGAAGGACATTGCCAAGAGCCCAGGGAGAAACCCATGGTCTGAGCCCCCGCACAACAAACTGGGCATCCCAACTAAAGTGGTAACTGCAGGTGATGGCTGGTGACAGCCCCGCTGGCCCAGCTGCAAAGTGAGCCCCCGACCCTCTGGCACGGCCTAGGCTTCCCCTCCCGGGTAAGGAGGTAGCAAATGCCAAGGCCTTCCCACCTGGCTGCTCGATCCTTTGTGGCTGTCTCCCCAGCTCTAATTATAGACACCACAGCATGGGGAAGGGAAGCAGATTACAGGCTTGGCTGTCTAAATTTAAACTTGGGGGCCTGGTGACAGCTCCCGGCTAGCTGGGAGCTTGGCTTCCAGCCCCTCCGACTGTCAGACAGGGATGGAGCCGGCTCTGAGGCTCCGCAGCTGGAGGTGGGGGTGGAGAGCTATGGGCCCAGGGATTTCCTCTATCCTCTATACCGCCATCGCCACCGCCACAGGCAGAAGACTCTATGGAAACATGGCACTGACAGGGCCGGGAACGAAGCGATGAGAACAACCCCATGGCCTTCAAAGTCCTCACTCCTCTCCCTCCTGCACCTCGGCCCTGCCAAGAATGGAGTTCACAGTCAAGCACTCCTGGGTTCACAGCCCATCTCTGCCTCTCTCTTTGGCTGAATTCCCTGAGATGGGTAGGCAGGGGATCTATTGACAGGGTGCTCTCAGGTGAGACCTGCAAGGGGCACAGGTCCACGCTAGGGAAGAAGCCGGGGGCAGCTGAGATTTCCAGAGAACTCCCAGCCTCTCCCGATCCCATGGGAGCTCTGGAGCAACCCAAATCCATCCTGCCCTCCTCTGCTCAAACCTCCTCCGTGACTCCCACTGTCTTCAGGATAAAGTCCATGGCTGCCCAGAACTCTAGGGTCTGTCCTACCTCAAAGCAGATGGCTGGGCTTTGGGACTAACACGTCAGCCACTGGATGTTGGCCATCAGGTTAAGATGGGAGTGCATTCCCAGGCACTTCCCAACAAGGGGACCCAGTCACCTGAGCAGGCTCTTCCTCTGTCAGAGTCTGCGGGTGTGAGCAGTCTCCGCAGCACCTGCAGTAGCACCTGTAGCAGATGGGGGATGGGCATGCTAAACTGAAGAGGAAGCCCCAGGGGATCAGGATGGGTCCCCAGCTGCGTTCCTACCGTTACAGCATTTCTCTTGCCTGTGGCTGCAAGCAAGTCACTTCCCCTATCTGAGCCTCAGTTTCCTCATCCAAAAAAAAGCCACCTGCTGTTTCCTCTACATGGAATGTTCTTCCCTAGGTCACCATGCGACTGGTGTCTGCTCAAATACCACCTCCTCCAAGAAGCCTTCCCTGGCCACCCTAGCTAAAGTAACCACTCCCTACCCCTGTCCCCCATGTCACTTTCTATCACATCATCCTGGCCTTTTTCTTCACAATGTGTCACCATATCTGAAACTGTCTTGTTCATGTATTCGTTTTTTTGTTTCTTGTCTTCCTCCTCCTCTAGAATGTCTGCTCCTCAAGGGCAGGAACTCTTGTCTTCTTTACTGCTGTGTCCTAGTTCCCAAACTAGGAACTAAGATGTGCCTGGCGTGTCATAGGTGCTCAAAAGGTATTTGTCGAATAAATGAATAAATAAATGATACCAACTTCACGTCATTATTGTGTGAAAGCTCAATGCAAACCATTCCTCCTTTATTCACACAGTCACTCGGCACACATCTCTTGAGCACCTACTATGTGTCGAGCACATACTATTGCCGAGCACTATGCTGGGCACTTTGCATGCGTTATTACCACATTTGAGCCTTACAAAATCTTGGGGAGGAAGTATGCATCCCCATTGTACAGAGCAGGAGACTGAGGCTCGGTGAGGATCAAGGTCTCAAGAACTTGCCACAGGTCATAAAGCAAGGAGTGGCAGAGCTGGGAGGTGAGCTGGGGTCAGCCTGACCCGGAGCTCTTTCAGCCAAAGATTTGGTCCACACCACCCCCAGCCTCCACTTCCTGGAACCCCCCAAGCATGTGTCCCTCACATTGCAGGCTTGGTGATGTCAGCCATCACGGTGATCATCCTGGTGCTCTACTTCACTGTGGACACCTTCGTGGTCAACAAGAAGCCGTGGCTGCCTGAGTGCACGCCCGTCTACGTGCAGTACTTTGTCAAGTTCTTCATCATTGGCGTGACGGTGCTGGTGGTCGCCGTGCCCGAGGGGCTCCCTCTGGCCGTCACCATCTCGTTGGCCTATTCGGTGAAGGTGAGAGGGGAGGAGAGCAGGACCAGCCGGCTGATGCAGCTGCAGCTGAGGGCCTGGGGGAATCACTGGGGCTGGTGCTGGGGTTGGGAGATGAACGAAGAAGCCCCATAGACCCCCTAGGAGCTTGGAAGAAGAATGTATGCAGGACCCCAAAACTCTGACGCTTTCATAGAGTCCAGGGGCCTGTAGCAAACCAGAGAGCCATACCCTGGCTGAAGAGGCAGCTGTTATTCAGCCCAGCCACACGCCGCCTTGCAGGGGTGCAGGCCCAGCATTGCCACATTGTCACCTTTTTCCAAGAGAAGCCAGAAATCTGGACTTAATGTAGACTCTCGTGATTTTTAGACATTGATAATCAACTCAAAAATTTTAAAAAAATAATAAAGACATCACCGTGCAAGCCAGAATTCATCCTTACCCCACCAAATTTACGTAGAAGTCTGGCGGTCTCAGTCGTAGGCCCCGCGGGCAACTGTAGCGCTTGTAAAACTCATCACAGAGGTGGCTCCCTGAAGTGTGAGGGGTAAGCCAAAAACAAAAAGGAAGTCTGATTTCATAGAAGCCTCCTCCCCTTGGGAAAGAGGCTAAAAATATAAGAAATTTTAAAGCAGTTAAATGAAGAGCTGGGGTCATGAATGTTTTCCGGGGAAGCTTGGTCTGGGACCTTTCTAAGCGCTACCCTGATGGCAGAGCTGCACCTCCACCTGCACCCAGGCCATGACTGTCTGCAGTGCCCAGTCACTGCGAGTCTGACCCTACTGGGTCACCCCCAGGTTCTCACACCCGGGTCTCATTTTCTTCCCTTTGCCCCATGTTTTCTCCACCTCGAAGGGCCGGGCGTAGGGCTTCTGTTTCCCAGTGCCCCATGCCAGAATGTCCCTGCAAGGGTGGAGGCGTGGCCATGTTTATAAACGAGGCATTCACTCTGAGAAATTGGCAGAGCCTCCAGAGGGCATGGTGAGCATCAGTTTCCAAGCTGGAATTTGGGCTGGGCTCTCCGATGTAATTTCATACAGAAAAGAGATCTCTAGACAGACGCCAGAAAGTGGCAGTTCTGTGTAACAAATACGGCCCTTATCGTCTTCCTGTTTTAAGGTTCTTGAGGAAACTCCATCCCCACAAACCAAAGCCCAAACAGGCCACAACAAGAGGCTACTTTGGGACCCAGGGCCAGCAGAGGGTGACTGTTATAGAGCCACGAGTAGGGGGCCTCCACAGCCACTTCACTGAGCCCGGGGATGTCCTTGAAAGTTGCACAGAGCTGGTTTGGGAGAATCATATACAGATGCTTTTAGGCCTCTGCGCCTTCTGCAGTTCGTATCTCTGGCACCCGCTACCTTCGCTCATCTTAGGTAGTGTTAAAGTTAGGTACTTTTACAGTCACTTGATAAACTTAGGAGAGCACCCCAACACAGGAGAGGCAGACTGTGCCCTCTCTGAGCCTGGACCTGGGAGCCACCATCAAGAGCACAGAGATGACTGACCACTTAGATCAGCACTGCCCAAAAAGAGACAGAATGTGAGCCACGTGTGCAATTTTAAGTTTCCTAGTAGCAGCCAGACGTGGTGACTCATGCCTGTAATCCCCAGCACTTTCAGAGGCCGAGGCAAGAGGATCGCTTGAGCCCGGAAGTTCAAGATCAGCTTGGGCAAATAGTGAGACCCCATCTCTACAAAATAAAATAATTTTTTAAAAAAGAAGAAAAAATTCCTAGTAGCTACATTATTTTAAAAAAGGAAAAAGAAACCAGTGAAGTTAATTTTAATAATGTACTTAACCCAGTATGTCAAATCCAACACTATTATCCAACTTATTATCAATCCAATGTGTGATCACTATAAAAATTATAAATGAACTACTACTTTTACATTTTTTCAAAATATCCTCTAAATCTGATGTATATTTTGCACTCACAGCACATTTCACTTCAGAATAGCCACATTTCAAGTGCTCAGTACCCTATAGGTGTAGTCACAATACATGTGACTACCGTATTGGATAGTAAGGACTTAAAGATTCTTGAGCCCAACAGACAAACCCTCTTCAAAGAGTACAGGTGGGCTGAGGCCCAATAGAAAGGTCCAGGCTGTGAGGTTAAACGGAGGTAGGTTCAAATCCCAGCTTTAAACCCCTCCGGGTGTGTGATCCTGGTCAGGTCACTTTGCCTAGATTTCTTCAGTTGCCAAAATGGATTACCAGAATCCTTTCCTGTGCCACAGAATTCTTAAAACATCGGACAAGAAGTAATTCACAACAAGGCTTTGCAAACTGTAACATGTTGCAAATTCAAGTTGCTGTTGATCATTCAACGTGCGTTTATTATTACTATTATCACAAGTTATAGTAGGAGAAACTGCCAGAGAATATAATCCTACTAATACTCATTTTTAGTAACATAAAGCTCTATTAAAATTATTATTCTTTTTTACCCTGGTTATAAAGAGTTATAATGAGGAGCAAAAATAAAGGAAATCAAATTCCTAGGCACAGCCTAGAACTCCATCTGATTCAGCTACTATGTCAGGAGGGCCTGCATGAAGAACAGTATTTCCTTGAGAATTACTTCATTTGCATTACTTGTTTGAGAGCCTAGAAGAAGGTATGAGTGTGGAGTTGGGCCAGAGAGAAAAGAAGGCAGATAGAAGAAAATATTGTGTATAGGAATATTCCATTTTTGTTATAAATTTCAAAAAAAAAGGATGTTGATATACAAGATGTACCTAGTTCTGGATGGTAGCTAATAGTTGATATGTTTTCTTTTTCCCTTTTGTGTATTTTTTTAAAGAAATGTGTGGTTTTTATTATGCAAGTGATATATGTTAGTCATAGAAAAGACAAAAATCTGTAATTCTATCACTTAGCAATAATGACATTAATACTTTGATATTTTTCCAGATATTTTCCTGTATCCTAATTTATTTACTTTTGGTAAAATTAAAATGAGAATGAAAGCCAGGCGCCAGTGAAAGATAATAGGTTTGAGAAAATTCATGACCAAATAAGGAATAGTTACTTATGTTAGTCTATAAGAGAAAAATACTTAAAGTACTCAGAGAGGGAACCAACCTTATTTATCTTTCCCCCTTCTTCCCGTAAAGAATGTAGATTACTTCTGTAATCCAAATTAATAAATTCAATTAACTGAGTCCTTTAAATGGTTCAGATACTAACAGAGAAAGGAAAGGGCCACGCGCAGACAAAAGAAGCCCAGGTATAGGAGGCAGCAGCAACCAAGATCCTTTACAAGTGCCGGAAGCAAAGGGGCAGGCTGTGGTGGCTCTGCCTTATTTACTGCATGTTTACCCAGTGCCTCCAGGCACCCCATGCTCCCCAGCCCCTCTCCTCACTGTTGCCCTCTCACCTGCCCCTTCTCCCAGAAAATGATGAAGGACAACAACCTGGTACGCCACCTGGATGCCTGTGAGACCATGGGCAATGCCACAGCCATCTGCTCAGACAAGACAGGCACGCTGACCACCAATCGCATGACAGTGGTACAGGCCTATGTCGGCGACGTCCACTATAAAGAGATCCCCGACCCCAGCTCCATCAACACCAAGACCATGGAGCTGCTGATCAATGCCATCGCCATCAACAGCGCCTACACCACCAAGATTCTGGTAAGTGTGGACCAGGCACATCCACCACCTGGAGCAACATCCATGGGATGGTACAGAGGTACTGGGCAGGTTGAGCAATGTGATTCATAGTCTCAAATCCTGCTAATATATTTTGGTATGGTCAGATAGTAAGCAACATGTTTCTGTTTGAGTTAATATACTATTAATATTGCTACAATGTTTGTGTGACAAAGAAACCTTTATTGTTAATTATGCTTTTTAAATCCTGTCGTTGAACCCCCACTCCCCCTGCCCACACACAGACAAACATTCATTAGTGTGCTTTTGCTGCATAGCAAACTACTCCAAAACTTAGTGGCTTGAAACAAACCTGTGTATTTCACTCAAAGTCCTGTGAGTCAGCAATTCAAGCTGGGTTCAGCTGGATGGTTCTTCTGGTCTCAGCTAGGCTTCCTCCTGCATCTGTGGGGGTTCATGTGGACATCTCCTCTGATCTTGGCAGAACTGTAGGCTGACTTGGCATGGCCTCAGCTGGGCTGGCTCATCCCTGCCCTGTGTGGTCTCACCTCCTCCAGCAGGCTAGCCTGGGCTTGTTCACATGGCGACAACAGGCCTTTGAGAGAGGACAGAAGTGTGCAAGTCTCTTGAGGCCTGAACCGCCACGTTATCACTTTTTGCTGCATTCTCTTGGCCAGTGTAAGTCAGGAGGCCAGCCCAGATTCACACAGTGGTAAAATAAACTTCACCTCTTGATGAGAGGTGCTGTAAGGACATGGATTCAGAAAGGAGAATAATTGTGGCCATTTTCACAGTCTACCACTGATGATGTTGTTGTTGCTAATAGTAGTAATATTATTCATTTTGATAAGAAAAACTCTCAACCTACTGTCTCAGCTAAGCTGTCTAGACTCACCATGCTGTAAACCCTATCTGGTTTAGAAGCACAGGTTGCCTCAGCACTAGATGAAGAGAAACCCAAACTTCATCCATCCAGATGTCCATCAGCTCCCAGATGTAGAACGTTTCTGCCTTGAGAGCATCTGGGTGATCAGCTAAGCTTTTTTGTTTACCCTCCCAATGTGCTGAGCCCTGACCTCCTCCTCCTTCTGCCCCTGAGCCAGCTGCAACCTTCTCGATCAGGCTGGGTTTGTAGGAGCTGCTAGCAGCTTTATCGAAATGGGGAAGAGAGCGTGAGTCAGCAGCAAAGAGCCAAGGGCTGGTAGGGGAAGGAGGAGGAGGCGGCTCCTGCACCCTCCACAGCAGCTGAGCAGCCACCCGCATCATCCTGGAGCAGCAGGCTAAGGGAGGCAGAACTGACAACGGGGAAAGTAGGTCAGAGGACCCATGCAGACAGTGATAGAGAACCCTGGCGGTGATGCCAAACATGACGACGTTTTTGTCTTCTTCCCCCACCCCACCCAATTTGGGAATCAAGGGAGATCAGCGATGCTTTATTCTGCTCCCCAGGACTTCCTAAAATAACTGGGATGCTGATAATGATCTCCTCCTGCAGACCTGGCAGAGAGGGGAACAGGGCGATTCCCAGAACGGGCTTCAGCCATGTGGGCACAGCCCTGTGGGGTGGGCTTGGATTGAGATGTGTGTAATGCAATTATAGTCAAAAAGAATTCTTGGGATCTGCCAGGAAGGCTGAGGAAACCTCTCCACAGTGATGAGTCTCAATTAAGCAGTGCTTTTTAGCACCGGAGGCAAAGCTGAAATGTCATTTCCAGATGTTGGTGGATTGAGTCTTTTCAGGTGGCATAAAGGACAGGGGTCAGTCGGTCCATCTGAGGAGGTCAGGGACCTGGGAACTGGGGTCCTTGGTTTGTAACCCAGGCCAGATCCCTTACCTCTCAGACACCAGAGTCCCCTCTGTGCCTGGAACCCTGGCATCATAGATACCTGCGCCTGTCTTTCTGGGTCTTTCTTGTAAGTTCCCTGGCCACATTATTCTCTTTGCTGGGAGCTGACAGCCGTCGATGTGGGAAGGACAGCAGAGCCTCTGTGTGACTGGGTAGTGGTTAAAACTTGGACTCTGGAGCCAGACTGCCTTCGTTCAAATCCCTCACCAGCTGTATGAATATAAACAAATTATTTAACCTCTTGGTGCCTCAGTTTCCTAGGGGAGGGGGAGAATCTTGGATTGTTGTGAGGATAAAGTGAGTTAGTTAATGGAAAGTGCTCGGCACACAGCACTCAGTATGACTAGTATTGTTGTTATTCAGCAATAAAATCACCCACCGAAAGAGGATTCCATTTGTAGCAATGCAGAGGTTAACAAATAAAGAGAGCAGAGACATCAGGGCTAGAGAGGGAAAGGCTATTGCCCAAAACCATTCAGCCAATTAGCAGCAAAACTGACCCATGGATGCCCTAAAGCTAGCTGCTGAGTCTGATGTCCAGACTAGGTTTTTGGTCATAGATACCAACCCTGCAGCACCTCTAGCCTACGGTCTGCTTGGGAAGAAAGGTCTGGGGTCCAGAAGGTGAGATTCACAGCCAGGGCCTGCCAGCCATGTGGGGCAAAAAGCCTCTCAGGGGCTCCCCTTTCTAGGTTCAGATGAAGACTGAGAAGAGGCCCAAGCTGCTCTGCTCAGGGCAGACATCCGGCCACCCTCCAAACCAGGACAGGAAATCTAGATTGCAGGACATTCTGAACCCATACAAGAGGAGACAGGGCAGGAAGGGCATGCAATGTCCACCAGCTTCACTACCCATCAGCTTTAATTGGGAAATGAGCCTAGACTGGGAAAATAAGACCCTGGGCAGGGCTGGGCTCCCATATGCTGTATTTCCCCCTCCACAAGGAGGCCAGTTCCTCTGTGTCTTCTTGCTGTCTGATGCCAGGCTGTGGGCTTTTTAAGAGCAGGAGACAGCTGAGTCTTCTCTCATCCCCCTTGGATAGACTTTTGGGAAGTGCTGGGTGGATGGGTGATGTAAGTGAATGGACTGATGGATAAATGTGTTGATGAGCAATCAATGAGATGAGGGATAGGTAGGGAGAAGGGGGGATGGATGGATGAGTGGTGGGTAGGTAGATGGATGGGTGGATGGATGAATGAGTGGATGGATGGATTGATGGATGAATGCATGGATGGGTGTATGGATGAGTGGGTGGATGAATAGATGGGTGGATGGGTGGATGGACAGATGGATGGCGGTTAGGTGGATGGATGGGTGGATGGATGAATAGATGGATGGATGGGTGGATGTGATGGTTGGTAAATGGATGGATGGATGTGTTCATTGGCGGATGGATGAGTGGATGCATGGATATATTGGCTGGTAGGTGGATGGGTGGATGGATGGGATGGGATGGGTAGATGTGTTGATTGCTTGATGGAATGGAATGGTGGATGAATAGATGGATGGATGAATGGACGAATGGATGGATGAATATGTGAATGGGTGGATGGGTGACTATGAATTTATAGGAGTCTTAAGGCAGGACTGATGTCTCTACCTTCTAATTTTTTGTTCTTGTATGGCAGCAAGAGGCAGGAAGTTGGCCTTGGATCCAGTCCCATGGCCCATACCAGTGCTCTCTCACTACCTCCAGCTTGTTGAGCTGGTCTCTTCCACAACTACCCTCAGCCATCCAGGCAGCATTGATCCATAGACCTCCCAATTAGCCGATGTCTTTTACTGAAAAAAAAAAAGAGTATTTGCAAGGATAGATTGCAAGGTCTACAAGACTCACAAACCGTAGAGACCACCTAGTTCAGCCCCCTCAGTTTACTCTGAGAAATGGGAAGGGATTTGTCCCAAGTCACCCCATGGGTTAGTGACGTTAGAATCCAGGTGTTCCAATACCTAGCTCAGGAAGCAATGGTTAAGAGGTTTGGCTCTAAAGTCCGACAGACCAGGTTCATATCCCAGCCCCAACACTCATCACCTGTGTGATCCTGAGCCAGTTACTTAACCTCTCTGAGCCTCTGTTTTTCAGTCTATAAAGTGAGCATATCATTATTGCTAACATTTACTTAGCTAGGCTCAATGCTGAGTGCTTTCCCTACCTTGCTTTGTATGACAACCCACAGAGTGGGTGACACCACACCCCAATGCGTAGATAAGGACCCTGCAGTTGGAGCAGTTAAGCCACATGCCGAGAGTACCCGAGCAGATCTGAGGCCAAGCCAGGATTGGAACCCAGATCTGTACAATCCCAAGCCCAGGCCCAGGTCCCTGCCACTCAGGGCAGAGCCACACCTCTGCCATGAGGCTGTTTGTCCGAGGGCTGTTGTGAAGCTTAGACGAACTGAGGTGTGTACAGCACCCTGCACAGTACTTGACACAGAGCAGGCAGGTGCTCATCCATGGCAGTCATTACTCTGTTTCCCTCTGCTGCTCTTTCTGAGCTTTCCCCTCTGTAGTTTGCTATGCCAGCCACTGTCTTTCTTGACCCTCAACATCCCCTTCAGATCAGCTGGCCAAATAGGACCATTCCCATCTCGCAGCTAGGAAAACCGCGCTGCAGAAACAGAAGGGAACCTACCAGGGTCGCTGCTCACCACCAAGTGGCAGAGCTGGGCCCAGAGAATTCTGGAGGAATTCACCAAGCAGGCAGGGGGCAAGAGTATTCCAGGCAGGGGGCACAACCCTGCAAAGGCCCAGAGATCTTAAGATGTGTAGCTCACTTAGGAAACATGGTGATTTGTGGCCTGGGCATTTCTGCAGGGCCAGAATGACAAGAGGTGAGGCTGGGAGAAATGGGGGGAGCCAGTGGTAGCAAATAAGCCCCTAATGGGCTTTCTCCTCCCAGCGCTCAGAAGAACCACCCCAGGCACGGGTGGAGGAGGGTGGTGTGAGGGCTGAGGCTGCAGGCTGGGAGGCCTCTCAGGGGCCCAGCCCCACCCTGTGCCCCATCCTTTCTGAGAATGGCAGAGCCTTTTTTCTTTCCATTCTTATTTCTAATCATCAGTAACTAAACTTGCCCTCTGAGGGAAGCTGTGTGAATCATCTTTTAGTCAGAAATTGCTTCCCTGCCTCAGAAACCCTGGCACACCCTCAGATTCCCTTTGTGGTCTGCGGTGCTTTGTACGTCAAGACTTCCACTAGCAGCTCTGGCTGTCCTGCTGCTCCTCCGAGCCACAGCTGAGCTTTCAGATGGAAATAGCTCTTTCCTCGACCTCTGGAGGCACCACGCTTCCTTGGGAAAACATCCCCCTGTTCTGCCCATGTCTGTTCTGTGTACTGGAACCACCCGAGCGGACTTACATTTTCTACTTCACTAGACCTCTTTTAGAGGAGGTTGATACTGCAGTTGACATTTGAACTATTAAACTGAGGATGGGCACTTGCGGAGCTGAACTGTTGGGAGTTTATGGCGTATTTCTGAAACATAAGCTATTGAGAGAAAAACAAATCTCCCTGGAGCCCCCGAAGTGGTTCTGAAGGAAGGATTCCCCCTGCAGGATGGTTTTCCTGAATAGATAAGCCAAGCTTCGCCTGGTGAAGCCCCAGGTCCCCAGTACACCCCATTCTACATGGAGGTGGCCACGAGGCCAATAACCCCAGAAGGGAGGAGGGTTGGCTGTGCTGTATTTCCCATAAATCTTAAAACCTAGCAGATAGTAGGGAGGGCCGAGGAGAAAGGGGAAGGGGGGAAGCAGAGACAGCCCTTGAATTCAGATCTCCTGAGACCAAACCCAGGGCTCGATCTAATATTCGAGTGAGCCTCAAAGTCCCCCTAAGCCAGGCCATACCCTGAGACTGGGCTCCTGCCAAGCCAAGAGGGTCAGAAGGTGTGGAAGATACTGGAAGGGACTTAGCAGGGCACTGAGGTCCGGAGGTGGGCCCTGGGGTATGTGAAACAGCAGGGGCCTGGGTGTCGAATTCAACAAGGGTTTTGCTTTTGGTTTTTTTGGCGAACACCGTCTCTGGAAGAAGAGTTTAAAGGAAATCACTCCAGATGGGGAATTCCAGTTTTGAACAGAGCTGTTAGTCCTTTCACCCTGATATGCACACAGTGACACATACACACACACCACACATACACCACCCATCATGCACATACAACACACACACAGCACATACAACACATACACTATACACAGTACGTACCATACACATACAGCGCACAACACACCTGCCACACAAACGCACACCATGCACCACACACACACCAAACATACCACAGACACACAGACCAAACACATCATATACACACACACACACCACACACATACCAAGTACACTACACATATACACACACCACAGACACACACCCCATGCATCACACACACACACACACACTCTGCACTGGTGAGCTGGGGAAGGCTCCTGGGGTCTACTCTCCCGGAGTGCAGCGCCTCTGCATTCCAGGGGGCTTCTGTCGTCCCGGACACCCGCACCCACCTCCTGCCCTCCCCCACTCTGGGGAAGACCCCAGGGCTCACTGGCCCTGCACAGCCACCTCACTCTCCTCAAAAGCCAGGCCTTTAGAGGATGATTCTGGGAACCAAGTTCTGCCAAAATTTCGTGCCACCTGGGGTCCTGTTGGCAGCACCCCACACACAAACACAAAATTATTCATTGATTCACTGGACAGATGTTCACTGGAGGCCCTATGGCATTGGTGGGGTGGGGATGTGGGCATGAATGAGGCCAACTGCCCTGCCCTGGTGACTCTGAGCCAGTGGTCTCTGCCAGGGAGAGAGGCAGGCTTCTGGGAGAGGTGCTCTGCGGGCTCAGGGCCCAGACCCCCTGCTTCGGCTCCTAGCCAAGTAGACCTTTCCTTGCCATGCAGCCTTGCCTCTCCCGGCCTCAGTTGTGCATGACTCTAAAATGAGAGAAAGAGCAGCCCCTGCCTTGTAGGCAGCTGTGAGCCTATGATAAGGTGATGCACGTGAAGAACTCAGCAGAGTGGTGAGCGCAGAGAAGGCATTTGGGGAAACGGGCATGGCTACAGCTGTTGAGGTTGGGCCTCCAGGCATCAGGGGAGACGTCATTGCTGATGCCTGTCCTTAAAGGATACTGGCTAGGTCACCAGAGACAGCCAATTAGCATAAAGTTGTTTTCTAATGGCCTCTTAGAAAAATCATCACATTGCAGTTACTGCCGTTTACCATGCTATGGGGTTCGTTTGGGAGCTTTTTTATTTTTTTATTTTTATTATTATTATTTTTTTTCCCCAAGATGGAGTCTTGCTCTGACGCCCAGGCTGGAGTGCAGTGGCACAATTTTGGCTCACTGCAACCTCCGCCTCCCGGGTTTGTGTGATTCTCCTGCCTCAGCTTCTCGAGTAACTGGGATTACAGGGGCCTGCCACCACTCCTGGCTAATTTTTGTATTTTTAGTAGAGACGGGGTTTTGACATCTTGGCCAGACTGGTCTCAAACTCCCAACCTCAAGTGATCCTCCCACCTCAGCTTCCCAAAGTGCTGGGATTACAGATGTGAGCCACCACACCTGGCCTGTTTAGGAGCTTTTTAAGTTATTTTTTATTTTAAAAATTTGCATAAAATATATATACCATAAAATTTACAAACTTGACCATTTTCAAGTATATAGTAGTATTAAGTACATTCACATTGTTGTACAACTCATCTCCAGAACTCTTTTCAGGTTGCAAAACTAAAACTCTGTACCCATTAAATGGTAAGTTTCCATTCCCCTCTCCTCCCATGTCTGGCACCCACCATTCTCCTTTCTGTCTGTAAATCTGACTGCTCCAGTAACTCATAAAAGTTGAGTCATACAGTTTCTGTCCTTTTGTGACTGGTTTATTTCACTTAGCATAATGTCCTCAAGATTCCTTCATGTGGTAGCATGTATCAGAATTTCCCTCCTTTTTAAGGTTGAGTAATAGTCCATTGTATGGATAAATGACATTTTGTTTATCCATTCATCTGTTGATGGACACGTTGGTTGTGTCCAACTCTTAGACTTTGTGATTAATGCTGCTTTGAACATGAGTATACAAATATTTCTTTGAGTACCTGTTTTCAATTATTTGGGGCATATTCCCCAGAATCAGACTTTCTGGATCATATAGTAATTTCATGTTTAATTTTTTGAGGAACTACCATACTGTTTTCCATAGTGGCTGTACCATTTTAGATTCCCACCAATAGTGCACAGGAGTTCCTGTTTCTCCACATCCTCACCAACATTATTTTTTGTTTCTTTTTTTTTTAACAGTAGCCATCTTAATGGGTGATATATGCTATGGTTTTTCTTAATCCCATTTTTGCAAATGTTATCCGTAACGTGTAGCTCTTCAAGTCATCATTCATTGATCTTAGCTCCATTCACTTCCCAGCATCCCAAAACAAGAGCACGAATTGTCCTCTCAAAGGTACGACCATGGCTGCACCCAGCATTCCCTAAAGGCCCAACACCATGCCAAGAAATGTGCTGGACCAAGCTGGAACTGGAATCAGGGGCTCTGGGGCAGTCCCAGGCCTGACCCTCTGCAGGTCCCTGACTAGGAGCAAGTGCCTTTTCTCCCCAGGGCCTGTTCTCCGTCCCTCAAAACAGGAACAATACCAATGCCTTAACTCCCTTACAGAGTTGGAGCCCTGGAGATAAAAAGGCTCGTGGAAATTTTACAGCAGGAGCAAAACTTCTGGGTTTGTCAGGATCTCAAAAAGCCAGAAGAGAAAAGGGGAGGGTCCCTGATTCTTAGTAATGCACGTAGGCAATTTCAGAGCTCAAGTTCATGGAAACAAACTGAATTACGGAGGAGGCAGCTCTGCCATTTGCAACCACGGATTGTTTGAAATCCTTTTAGAGGAAAATTAAAATATTTCACAGAGGGTAATAAAATCCTGAGTGTTTTGCAGGCAGGACTGCTCAGCTCTCTTGGGCAAATAAGTAATTAGGCATTTTTATTTAAGTCCTCTGTGTCGTCATTTTCTTTCATTAGTAGAGGGAGAAAAAACTGTTATGGAAAATACATAAAACTCTGGAAATCAACAGAAAGTTAATTATAAAATTGCAAATATATATGTGTGTGTGAGATATATATATATATGTATATGTATATATATGTATAGCACACAATAACAGCATACTGCAGAGAGAAAGGGAAGATCTTAGAACTTATTTTCCCAAACTTCAGACATGGGAAGCTGTGTCAAATATTCCTCTGCTTCTTAGTAAAACCTATCAAAGAGCTTGGGAGTGGGGCATTTTTCAAGGCACAGGATGCCTTAGGTCAGTATGGCCATGGGAGCCGGGGAGGTGCTCTGAGCCTTGCTCCCTATCCACGGCCCCCGTACCATCCACCAAGGGACCTGCAGTTCTTCCTCACTCTACCCTCCCTCACCACATCCACTTTAAGGAGAGGGTTGATATTTCTCTGAGCTAGAAAGCATGTGCTCCAGCCTCTCCATCTTACAGATGGGGAAACTGAGGACCTGGTTTAGGTTCAAAGGCTCTTTTTTTTCCTATGCATCCCCAGGTCTCAGGACCACTGCGTGTCAATGCCTGTATTCCCCCCATGTGAATCGGGTCTGCTCTTTGGGCCCGAGCCCTAGCTGCAGAAGAGGGAAGAATAGGCCAGGGATACATCCAGTTGCTGACAGAGGGTCCTCCCTGTCCCTGCACAGCCAGTCCATGCTGACATCTTCCTGAGTCCACCTTCTTCCTGTCTGGGCTGCTCTTTTGGGTAATATGAGGGAGACTGAGGACGAGGATGCAGAGGGCTCCTTGTGAGAGGTTCATCTGGTACTTCAGGGGGACACAGGCGTGTTCATAGCTATTTCGTCTTCAGAATCTCTCTAGAGTTTGGGTTTATCTCTGTTGTCTTTCAGCACCCCTGAAGCCAGCTCCACCTGAGTCACCTGTCTCAATGTTATTAAGTGGCATGAGTGGGTGTGTGCATTGGGGTTGGGGGGTGCACATGGGAGCCACCTGCAAATCTGCACTTTCACAGCCTCCTGTGAATCCAACATCAGTGCCCATATGGAGGCATCTCGTCCTTACCATTAACCAGTCTCCCCCACCACTCTGGTCTGCATTAAGCCATCTAGCAAACAGTTAATAAGCACCTGCTGTGTGCTGGGCTTTGCACTGACCCTGAGAACCCAGAGAGGAATAGAATTCAGCTTGTTTACACAGGGGAAGAAAGACCCACATGGCAGTTTTCAAAAACAAGGAGATATTTGAGCTGGTCCTTAAAGGACAAGAGGAAGTTTGCCTGGCAGGGAAGGGAGAGGGACCCACCTGGGAGGAGCAGCAGAGGTGAAGGCACAGAGGCATGAAACAGCCCGTGTTCGGGCAGCCATGTGAGGAAGTGACAGGTGCTGGGGAGATGCAGCTGGTGTTCTGGGAGTCTCCAGGACAGGAGCTAATGGTGTTCACACGGCCCTGCGGCGGGCACAGGGCCAGCATGAAGCAGGTGCCAAAGACTGTGTGTCTAATGTGTGAAGGGGAGAAGGAAATAAGGGAGGCACTCAGGGAAGGGATAAGTCTTTGCAGCATATTCATATCATGGCATCTATAGAGCAGTTAAAAAGGAACACACTAGAGCCATAAACATGAATGAATCTCAGAAACAGTGTTACAACCGGGCGCAGTTACAGCCGGGCATGGTGGCTTACACCTGTAATCCCAGCACTGTGGGAGGCCAAGGCAGGTGGATTACTTGAGGTCAGGAGTCTCATTAGGTTAAACTGCATGAACTTGCCCATATTTGACCATTTTTGACATTCAAAAATAGCAGTTTCCATTGGTTCAACCTAATTGAACTCATGAGGGACAGTCTGTCTGTCCCATGAAATACCACTCAGCAATCAAAAGGAACAGATTATCAGCACGTACAGCAGCTTGCTTGGATCTCAGGGGGATTCTGCTGAGCAAAGAAGCCAAGCTCCGAAAGTTACAGACTGTATGATTCCATTTATATAACAGGCTGGAAATGATGAAAGCTTGGAAACGGGGAACAGATTAGTGGTTGCCATGGCCAGGGAGTCGGGGGAAGAGAGAGGTGACCATAGCTTTAAAAAAAGGGTAGTACAAGGACCCTTGTGATGAACTGTCCTGAATCTTGACAGTGGTGGTGGCCACATTAACTCACATGTGGTGCCATTGCATAGAAAATACACACGCACACCCACACACAAGCTCATGTAAAGCCGGTGAACTCTCCACAAGTTCGGCTTCCTTGCGTCAGCATCTCCATCTCAGTTGTGGTACTTGTGTTAATACTATGGTGATGACATTGGGGGAAACTGGATGAAGGGTATACGGCATCTCTGTATTGTTTCTTATTGCATGTGAATTACAATTATCTCGGAATTAACAGTTAAATACACACATGGTAATGATTAATGCTAAATTTAAGACAGAAGTTGTTTCTGGGACAAGGAGTGAATTATGCAGATGGGGAGAGGTTTGCGGAGGGGATTCAACTTTATCTGTAATGTTTTACTTCTTAAAATAGAAAAATCTGAGGCAAGTACGGCATAATGTTAAGATGCTACAAAGCTGGATGATAGGCACGTAACTTTGTTACATCATTCTCTTTTTCATGTTTGAAATAATTCATAATTTTTTTAAAAGCTAATCTTGCTTCACTCCTTTCACCCGGAGTCAGGACTGGACCTGGGATGCAGAGCCCTGAGGGTGCAGGGGATGGGCCAAGGGCTCCCTGAGGGCTCAGCCCCCAGCCCAGAGACCACCTAAGTGGCAGTCCCAGAGCCTCAGTGGCAGCCAGGGCAGAGGCTCCCGACACAGGCCCCACCAGGTGCCAGCCGCTCCTTCCTCTCTCTGCAGCCCCCAGAGAAGGAGGGCGCCCTGCCTCGGCAGGTGGGCAACAAGACGGAGTGCGGCCTGCTGGGCTTCGTGCTGGACCTGAAGCAGGACTACGAGCCCGTGCGCAGCCAGATGCCAGAGGAGAAGTTGTACAAAGTGTACACCTTCAACTCCGTGCGCAAGTCCATGAGCACTGTCATCAAGCTGCCCGACGAGAGCTTCCGCATGTACAGCAAGGGGGCTTCTGAGATCGTGCTCAAGAAGTAAGCGCTGGGCAGGGCACCGGGGCTGAGGGCTGTGCCCTGGTGCAGGGAGCTGGGGATGTCAGGGTCATATAGCACTGGCCGCCATCCAGGCCAGGCTCAGCAGCCTGCCCGGCTGGAGTGGCCGTCTAGCACCCAGAGCCACAGAGGGCCCTGCCCAAGGTCACCCAGCAAGACTCATCTTCACTTGCATGCCCCTTGGCCACTGTGTTTTCCACTATATCCTCTTAAACATTTCTATAGCCAGAGTCCTCCCCCTTCTCCTCCCTAAGCCGCTGGTTCATCAGGAAGTTCTACTCATTGTCACACTTAGATCTCTCTTATTTCATTTCCTTTAGCGTAGAGTTGGTTGATGGTAGCTATTTTCATTATTAGCCACACTCCTCTGACTCCAGAGGAGTGCTGGAAATAAGCCTGGTGAACTAAGCAAATCCCTTCCCCTCTCTGGCCTCAGTTTCCCCACTTGTACATTGAGGCAATTAGTCTAGCCCCCAGTGGTTCTCAGCCCTGGGTACACATTGGAATCACTCTGAGGAGTGTTTAAAAAAACATTGATTCCTGGATTCACCCCAGACAAATTGAACTGGAACCTCTGGGGCAAGGCTCGCACGTGGGTATTTATTAAAGGCTCCTCCAAGCAATTCTAATGTGCAGGCAGGGTCAAGAACTACTAGCCTGAGTTTTATGTGCTTTGTAAACCATTTCAGCTGTGGGAGTGTTATTTCAGATGAATCTTGTGAGTATATAATACATCAAAGTGGGGCTCCGCTTGCTGAGTGGCCTGGGCAAAAATTGCAGGACGAATGCTTGATTTCACCCTGCCTGGGGGATGAACTAGATGGGCACTGGATGACCAGCCACAGCTAGCTGGGCATCACGAGGGTGGGGAGGTGGTCTCTAAGCCTTTCAGAAGGAGCATTCCCTGGGCTCCCCATCTCCCTTCCATCCTCCCCTAGGTGCTGCAAAATCCTCAATGGGGCGGGAGAGCCTCGTGTCTTCCGGCCCCGCGACCGGGACGAGATGGTAAAGAAGGTGATTGAGCCCATGGCTTGCGATGGGCTCCGCACTATCTGCGTGGCCTACCGCGACTTCCCCAGCAGCCCGGAGCCGGACTGGGACAATGAGAATGACATCCTCAACGAACTCACCTGCATCTGCGTGGTGGGCATCGAGGACCCGGTGCGGCCAGAGGTAGGCCCCAGGGCCAGCGAGCTCAGGGAAAGGGGATGAGGCTGGGAGGCCAGCCACCAGGGTGACCTGGAGTAAGTCACTTCACCTCTTTGAGTCTCAGTTTCCACATAATGCCCATGGGGATTTCCTTCCTTGATCCTCATAAGAGGATTGCCCATGAGAAACAGTGTAGACCACATGTGGCATGGGTCGGCCCAGAAGGACACAGAACCCACAGGTTGCCAGCAGGTATTGCTCTGCCATGGGGGCAGTCCTCGAGCTGTCCAGCCAGCCACCATGAGCTCTTCCCTCTGGTCCCCCAAGGGACAGGTGTAGGGGCTGCCCTGCCTTAGAAACCTCTTGCCCTGCAGGAGCCAGGATCTCCTGTAACAAATCCACAAACATGGATTCCAGGGTCCCTACAAAGGACACACCCAATAGCAAGGGCATTGCACTCAGGAGAACCCGAAGTGTGGTGTCCCTGTCAGTATTTATAGTTCTCCCAGTGCAGATGCAGTTTACCAGCCAGTTTACCCCAGCAAGCTGGCCTAGGAACACAGCTGAGAGTCTACTTTTATCAGATTCCCAGGGGAACAGAGCTAGAAAGTTAAGGTCACATTCTCCAGCAGAAGGGAAGGGGGCTGACAGCACCCACTTCACAAGGATCAAGGGAGGCGATGCCTATCAGTACACCTAGTGGGGTGCTCAGCACACAGTAGGTCTTCATTCTCCTTTAGCTGAATCTGCACCTGAAGGGGGAAGACCAAGAACTCAGTGCTGGAGCTGCCGGGGTCAGGGGAGGATGGGATGTGTGTGGTCTGTGGTGCTTCCCAGGCTGAAGAAAGGCTGTGGGGAACAGAGGAAGCTGTCCTGAATCTCCAAAACGGTGCATGGCAGGCGGAGTGAGTCAGCTCACACTGTGAGGCCCCAGGGGAGCACCATGGGCATGAGGCAGCGTGCAGGAGGGGCTGGCTTCCACTTCCTCCCAGGACTCACTCAGCTGCTAGGTCCAGACCGGATGCCCTGGCCAGGCCCTGGCTGGGTCCAGATTGGCCTTGGCTGTAAGATTTGGTGCTGATGCTTTGAGGGCCCACCTCCTCCACTCCTTAATGGACCTACCCTGACACTGTTCTCTGGGGGTCTCTGGCCATTTGCTACTCCTCTCTGAGCCTCAGTTTCCCTCTCTTTAAGGTAAAAGGGATAGACAAGATGACCTCCAAGTTCCTGGCCCTGATGTTATAAGATTCTGCATTCCAAAGAAAAATGAAACTAGGAGGTCACAGGCATTTCACATTTTAGGCAGCAGGGAGAGGGTTCAAAGTGTGAGCTCAGACATCAGACAGATCTGTGATCCTGAGTGCCGGCACAGCTGGCTGTGTGACGTTGAACCAGTTACATAACCTCTCTGAGCCTCATCTGCATACTGGGGATAATAATAGTATCACACACACCCCCTCTGGGATATCATGAAGGCTCAGATCATGCATCTACGAGCAACAAGCAGAGTATCTGGTACAAGATAGGCGGCCTACATACGTGGGTCCCCTTCCTTCATGCCCTCTTCAGTAGATTTCATTACCCTAGATCCAGGGACACGTAACAGCCCTAGACATACAGCCTAGCCTGCCAAAGGTGTTCAATGAGTGTTTGCGGAATGAATGAATAAGAATGAATGGGACTGGAACCCCAATCTTCCACACCATGCCTAGTGCTCCTCTCTCTCTCTCTCTCTCTCTCTCTCTCTCTCATACACACACACCCTCCTTGGGGGTGTCATTGTGGCTTCCTCACTCCTATCAAGATCCTAAAACAGCAAAGACAATTAATGCCCCTGGAGCTTGGCAGTGGAGCCCACACGTGCTTTCCTGCAAACCTCTCTCTCCATGGACAGACAGGCCGTTTATCAGCCTCCCTGTGGGACACCTGCTCATTACCAGCCACTAATGGGTTCAGGCCTCACTGTGATGTGTTATCTCGTTACTGAAAACTCTTCATCCTTGCACAGCACTTGAGGCTGGCCTGCCTACACCCTGTGGCTCCCCTGTCCTTCCCAACCCCACAGCCTCCCCCTTCCCGGGCCCTCCCAGAGCTCCTGGCTCACCACCCTGCCTTGGAAACATCCCTTAGGTGAATGGAAGACACAGGCAGGCCCAAACTGTTATTTGACCATGACGCACAATAAGAAATGTATTTTATGTCATGACTCAGTAAACACACACATTTCACCAAAGCAAGAATTTCACAAAATAATGGGATGCACTTACCTATTTTCTGTTCTTCTATTTCTTTGTTTCTTTTTTAAAATGTTGGTCACCACCCACTAAACAAATTTCACGTCACTAACAGGGCATGACTTGAGGTTTGAGTGACTGATCTAGTCCAAACACCTTCCCGCACAAACCCCAATTTCCAGAAGAAAACACCGAAGCCCAAAGGGGGACAGTGATGTGCCCAAAGTGGCTGAGTGAACCCAGATTAGAACAGGTTTTCTGCCTCCCTGCCTCAGGGCCTTTGCCTGGTTGCCACACACACACACACACACACACACACACACACGCACACACGCACAAAGGAAAGGACAAGTAGTTCTTTTTTTTTTTTTTTTTTTTTTTTTTTTTTTTTTTTTTTTTTTTTTTTGAGACGGAGTCTCGCTCTGTCGCCCAGGCTGGAGTGCAGTGGCGCGATCTCGGCTCACTGCAAGCTCCGCCTCCCGGGTTCACGCCATTCCCCTGCCTCAGCCTCCCGAGTAGCTGGGACTACAGGCGCCCGCTACCACGCCCGGCTAATTTTTTGTATTTTTTTAGTAGAGACGGGGTTTCACCGTGTTAGCCAGGATGGTCTCGATCTCCTGACCTCGTGATCCGCCCGCCTCGGCCTCCCAAAGTGCTGGGATTACAGGCGTGAGCCACCGCGCCCGGCCGGAAAGGACAAGTAGTTCTAAGTCAAGAGGATGAGCAGACGAGGACAAGGATGAGAGCTCCCCATGCCCAGGGCCTGAGGGGGCAGAGCTGGGTTCCTGGCATTTTCTGTTGACAGCATGGTCATCCAGAGAAGTTAGCTGCAGGCACAGACTCTGGGAAAGGGGGGCCTGGAGCCAACCCCCAACCCCGACTTTGCCGCTAACGAGCCACTTCCCTCTCTGAGCCTCAGTGTTCTCAGCTATGAAATGGGAGGTCAGCCCAGGTGCCCCTTGGGTCCCTCCCAAGCTCTGACGTCCCCAGAGAGAGCGATAGTTGACTGGAAGACTTACCCTCCCATCTTCCCTCACTTCCTTCAGTCAGGGCATCCACATGGGCCACGCTCTCTCCTGTTGGCTCACCCCTGGGATGTCTATATAGGAGTCATAAACTGTCTCACAGCAGCAACTTACTCAAGTGACACAGCAGACTCAAGGGACATGGGTTCTAATTCTGCCCCTGCCACTCCCTCACAGATGGCCTCAGTTTCCCCACTTGAAAACTGAGAGAATCAGACTGTCCAGCATTCACAGTGAGGGACACAGCAGGGTTACAGGTGACACCACGTGCAAGCATAAGAGCTCAGACGTGTTGATTCAGCACCTCCGAGTGGGGCGGGATGGATGCAGGACCCAAGGAGACGGGTGGGTATGGCTTTGTTTATTTGTTTGTTTTTTAGGTAGGTCATTCCTGCCCCCTCTAGCCCCCTGGTTCCCACCTCAGAGGTAACCACTATCCCCAGATTTTAGGGGCGACCTTCAGGGAACGTGTGTGCTTATGGTGGCCGTGTTTTTGTCAAGCACCCCAGAGCTCTGTCCTCCTGGACTCGTCCCTTTATGCAGAATTATTTGTCACCCTCTGTAAATCTCACAGGTGAACTCCCTTCCTGGTGCCTCCAGCCTAGGAGGCTCAGCCAGAGGGAAAACCTCAGCCCGGGCCATCTCTAGGGTCCTGCAGACACATTAAGATTCATTTTGCAACTGCAAGAAAACAATCTTTACCTCCCTCGGTTTCCCTGGCTGTCAAGGGGTTGAATCTCCACATTGCCTTCCTCCCACGAGAAGCCCAAAGGGTAGAACAGATCAAGACACCCTTGCCAGAGCACCCCACTGCCAGCCCTTACAGTGGGTACATTTTCCAAGGCTGATTGAAGTCAGTGCTGATAAAGCCATCAGGAGAGCAGCGGTCTGGGATTTGCCGGGTTATCCGGGGGTGTTTGAAGCCCTCGGAGTCACAGACAACGGCTGTCACCAGAAACAACAGATGTTTAAAAGCCTTTATTTAATGAAAACAGGAAGCACCCATTTCCTGGCTGCTTTCCCTCAGTGAGAAATATCTAGGATAATTTTAGCGAGAGAAGTCATTTTTTCCCAAACTTATTTATTTATTTTTAATTTCACAGTAATTTTATCGATGTGGGAAGCATATTTCAACTGGATCGATGCCTCTGGGGTTTGAGTCGTAATCATCTCCGGATCCTCAGTGTCCAGAGCAGTTAGATGCGCCAGAGCTGTTTGTCCAATAAGTAAATGAGTGAGCAACAAAATTAAGTCCTGAGAGCAGCTTAAGAAAACATCCTGTTGGGGTGCAGGAATCAGGAATGGCTTCAGGAATAGAGAGCATTTCATTTATAAGATGGGAAAGACTTGACACACAGAGGCTAAGGGAGGAAGGGCATTCCAGGCAGAGGGGACAGAATGAGCAGGGCAAGAAGGCAGGAAGGGATGCAGAGTGGCTGGGGCCTCGTGAATGCCCTGTTGCATTTATGAGAGAAAAGGGAATTGGAAAAGGTGTGCACGTGCCCATCCTGTGCGTGGGCTCTGTGTGCCCTGTCATAGAGTTCCTCCCAGCCTTGCTGAAGGGTGGATACTATTGTACCCATTTTACAGATGAGGAAACCAGGGCTCATGTGAGACCCTAGAGCAGAGCCCAGCCCAGCCCGTTGGTCCCCAAGCCCTCTCTCCACTGCACAGAAGAAAGTATAGGGTCCGTAAAAATTAGCTTCATTTTTCTCATGAAGCCAGCTTGCTTGGAGAGGCCCAGAAGATGGCTGATTTTGGCTCTGGGAGACAGTCTTGAAAGTGAGAGTATTTCTAAAACGCAGCACCAATCACCTCATTCCTGGCTCAGAACTTCCCACAGTTCCCAGTGCCTGAAGGAGCATATCCCTGGTCCAGAACCTTCTGCCCCTCTCCAAATTCATGGTCTCCAGTCCCTACCCCACATCTTCCCTCAGCCCCTCCAGATCACCTGCAGCGTGGCCCTCAGGCCCGTTCATACCTCAGGCCTTCTCTGCCAGTGCAGAGTGGACAGTTCCCTGCGGCCAGGACTAATCTGTGTTCATCTGTGTAGCCTCAGCCCTGGCACAATGCCAGGAACCAGAGCCTCAGTTGGCAGCTCAAACATCCCCTCCCCCAGGAAGTCCTCCTTGATTTCTCCTCCCCACCCACTTTCTTCTAAAGCAACAGTGCCCTCTGTGCTCCTTCAGTAGCACAAAGGGCACTGAAGCAGCACAAAACCCCCTTATACTCAGCAGCACAAAACCCCCTTCTGTGTTCCCAGAGTCTTTTGTATAGACCTGTGCCAAAGACCCTGCCTCCAAACAGAGTACAGGTCTGACACAGGGTGATGCTCTGCTATCTGAAAAAAGAAAGGTTGTGTTAAAAAATCAGCTAGACTTGTTCCACAGTGGAGCAGTGGGCATTAGAGGGAGGGAGCACCCTGTCATCGGGTGTGCAAGCAGAGGCTGACCAGCCCATCTGTTGAGGACACCTGGGAACGGATCTAGGGAATGGGCAGAGGGTCAAAGTCAATGACCCAAAACCCTTTCCAACTCCAAGTCCTCCAGCGTCTTTGAAACCAAGAACCTAAATTCCTCCTTTTGGAGGCAGGAGCCAGATAAGGTGTGCGTTCCCAGGAAACAGCAGCTCTTTGCTGTTCTCAGGGGCAGGAGACAGCAGGGGGCCACAGCCCAGTTTACAGCCATCATGAGGATGTTAGTAAGTTATATAAACAAGATCTTGGACATTCCACATTCCCACTCCCTCCAGCCCTGTAAGAATGAGGTCACGTTTGCTTATGTGATTAGCCGCTGTGGCACGAGGCAGGGGCCTTGCTCACGTGGCCCCCAAACCCCGAGTGGGCACTGGAAGGCTTCTCCCCAGGCCCTGGAAGTAAGCCCCAGAGGAGGCTGGTGGTCAGCTGGCCCTGCTCTAACCCTTCAACAACGGGGAGATCACTACCTGCCACCACAGAGCCGGTCTCTTAGACAACTCCAGTAGCTAGAGAGGCCTCCTTACTGGGACCCTGCCCCTCTAGAGCATCCGTTCCTCACGCCACAAGACAGCCACGCTCAGAACTGCGGGTTTCCTCTTGAAGGCATCAGGGTGGAACCCCTGAAAGAGAGCAGCCCCACAGGCTGACACTCAGGCAGGTCACTGGTGGCCAGGGTAAGGAAAGAGGGGCCAGGCAGTGCCCTCTGCACAGGGTACACAGGGAGGGTAGTGCCCTCCCCATGGCCCCTGCCCTCCTGCCCAGAGGCAGGCTGGGCAATGACCCAGCTTGAGACGATGGTGGTGGGGGCTGAAGGAGTGGCAGGTGCTGTGAATGGGGTGGATACAGGCGAGATAGTCAAGGCCGATTCCTTGTTTTTACCATTGCTGAAGGCAGAAAGGAGACCCCAGGCAGGAGCTGTCCCAGTCAGGCTTGGCCCCACCTTCTAACTCTTTGTACTAGTTTTCTAGGGCTGCCGTATCAAAGTCACACAAACTGAGTGGCTCAAGAGCAGTTTGCTGTCTCACAGTCCTGAAGGCTGTACATCTGTTTGAGACCAAGGTGTCAGCAGGGCTGGCTCTTTCCAGTGACGATAGGGAGGAGCTGTCTCTGCCTCTCTCTCAGCTTCCAGTGGCTTGCTGGCCACCTTTGGCCTCCTTGGAGTGTAGAAGCAGCACCCCGATTTCTGCATGGCATCTCCTTTGCATATCTTTGTGTCGAAATTTCCTCTTTATAAGGACACCATTCCTGTTGGATTAGGGCTTACCGTGATGCGCTCATTTTAGCTGGATTTACCACTATAATGACCCTATCTCTAAGCAAGGTCACATACACAGGTACTGGGGCTTAGGGCTCCAGTCTGTCTTTTGGGGGGAATACAACTCAATCCATAGTCTTCCAACTCCCTCAGCAGTGGCTTGGCAGGTGGATGCTGGAGTGCGCTCCTGGTCACTGTGGGGTGTGCAGGGAGGGAACGTCAGACTGAGCCCTTCCAGGCTGGAGATTCTAACAGGCTGTGGTCCTCCCAAACAACTGGATTTCCTGCCCTTGACATGTTCTCTCCCACTGAAAGACGTTCTGCAGCAAATATTATTTTATTATTTGTCACTGCCCTCGGGTAAGAATCACTCGTTCCATTGATTTCTGTTGTGTATAAAGGGGTGCCCCAGCTCCAGGCTGGTTTCCTCGGGGAAACCCTCAGCTCTGCTCAGGGCCAGCTGCTGGGGTAGGGTGGGGCGGGGCTGGGAAGCCTTGTGCCTTCTGATTGGCTGGCTCTGATCCGGCCTGATTGTCCCAGATATCCGTCTGTCATTACAGTCAGAGAGGACAGAACCTATCCTTATTATTGCAGAGAAATGGCGTATTTTACCTGAAGCATAATCCTTTATACATATTCTAAATCCGTGTCACATTCTGTAAGTAAAATGCCCCCAAATGCAAATGTCCCCCCAAGAAACTGAAAATACACAAATAGATCTGTCAAGTTTGCAGGAACTATGTATGTGGATGAGGCAAAGAGAAGTTCACCTGGCCAAGCTTACCTGGGGCCAGATCTGAGGAGGCGTTCATGGAAGTCTTTCCAAAGTCTTCGCCCAGGTCGAGACAGCCAATGGTTCTGTCTCAGGATGGACCGTCATGGTCAATAGGTGGTAGCGACCTGGGACTCTGTGATGAGAACCACATCAGGGTTTAATCAAAGGATGTGTGATTGATTAACAATGCCTGCCGTTGGCACAGGAAGGGAGGCTGTGGCCCATATGCCATGTGCGTCATCAGCATCTCATAGTCATCTAGTCCCCTTTCAGTAGAGCTGCCTGTGAGAAGGGCTCCTCTGGAATCCATGAAGGCAGGGGGAGTCTGCCTGAGGTGGTGCCCTCCCCCATGGCCCCTGCCCTCCTGCCCAGGTCCCAGAAGCCATCCGCAAGTGCCAGCGGGCAGGCATCACGGTCCGCATGGTCACTGGCGACAATATCAACACGGCTCGGGCCATCGCCATCAAGTGTGGCATCATCCATCCTGGGGAGGACTTTCTGTGCCTCGAGGGCAAGGAGTTCAACAGGAGGATCCGCAACGAGAAGGGGGAGGTGCGTGTCCCAACGTAAAGCATCCTCAGGGGAACGCGCTCAGATGGGAGCTGGGAGGTAGGGTGCTGCATGATTGTACAGAAGCCAGCCAGTGTGCTGCTAAGAGCCCAGTGACTCTGGGCATGTCCCCTCCCTTCTCCAGGCCTCAGTTTCTCTCCCCGACCCCACCGACCCGCCCCCTTCCCCATCCCTCTCCAGATTGAGCAGGAGCGAATTGACAAGATCTGGCCAAAGCTGCGGGTGCTGGCTCGCTCCTCCCCAACGGACAAGCATACCCTGGTTAAAGGTAAGACTTGGGCGGGCACGGGCAATCCTGAAGCCCAGCACCAGGCCAGAAGCTGGGCCCTCCTCTCCTGGCACTTGCAGCTTCTTCCCAGAAGGGAAGGGCCCCTCGCCCCTGACTCTCCACACCTGGGCACAGCCTTATGTCACCCCCTTTTCAGCCCCAGGAGCCTGCAAGGGGCCAGAAGGAGATGGGGCTAAGTCTTCTCTGTGGGCCTCCAACTCCCCTAGGAAGCAATGGACCTGGGCCTGTGTGGGGTCCCAAACTCCTGGCTCAGCGCTGAATGGGGCCCACAGACGTGTTCTATGTGGCCGGTACAGCGCCTTTTTAAATGATGGATTTGAAAGACTACGCAGACCCTGCTCTCTCACCTTTGACATAGTCCTTACTGCTGCTTGTTGTCTGATACTCAGCCTACTTCACTCGTTCTCAGTCTGGTCTCAGAGCTTTAAGTCTCTTGGTCTGTCTGGTCCCTGAGGCCCCCAACCAACGTTTGTGACCAGGACCTCAGGGATGCGCTCTCCTGGGAATAGCCACCTGAGGGATGAGACCAAAAGCCAAAGTCTTGCTCCTCCCTCCAGAGGGAGGGCACACCACTTGCTGAGCCTAGGTGGCCAGGTCCTGGGCACTTTTTATTTTTATTTTTATTTTATTTTATTTGAGACAGGGTCTCCCTCTGTCACCCAAGCTAGAGTGCAGTGGTGTGATCATAGCTCACTGCAACCTCAAACACCTAGGCTCAAGCCATCCTCCTGCCTCAGCCTCCCAAGTAGCTAGGACTACAGGCATGTGTCAACGTGCCTGGATAATTTTTTTTAATTCTTTATAGAGACAGGGTCTCACTATATTGCCCAGGCTGGTTGCAAACTCCTGGCCTCAAGCAGTCCTCCTGCCTTGGCATCCCAAAGTGCTGGGATTACAGGTAGGAGCCACTGTGCCCAGCCAACTGGGTATTTTTAGAGTCACGTGGTCCTGGCTTTGCCACTGACCTGCTCTGTGGCCTTGGGCAAATCCCACTCTGGGACTCAGTTTCCTCATTTGTAAAATGGCTATGGGAGCAGGGCTCCACTGGAGATCAGCCCTAGAACATCTTGGATTCCTCTTTCAAAGGTGCTGCCCAAGGACATTAATGGAAGCAGATCTGGCCTGGGGAGAGAAACCCAGAACCCCAGAACCACAAGGGAGCAGAAGGCGCCCAGCCCATCCTTATTCTTATTCATTCACTCATTCTCTCCATAACTGTTTACTGAGGTCCTGCCAGGTGCCAGCCCTGCTCAGGACAGGCCTGGTCCTGCCCACGTGGAATTCATGGGCCAGGCTGCACGCAGCAGGCATTGAATAAGTGGTCCCTGCATAGAGCAAAAGGCTGCACTGCTGGCATGGGGTGCTCTGGACCCAACACTGCCTCTAACTTGGACTAGGGAGGCTTTAGGTCACAGGCCATGGAAGGTGGGATGGGCTCCAGGGTTGGTAGGGCCTGTGCTTGAGGCAAGGCAGGGAACTGCTCTGCAAAGGGCTAGAGGCAGAAGATCCCCAGATGCCTTCAAGGATCTGGGCCAGGACCTCGGGGTGGGAGAGGGAAGCTACAGGAGACTGGAGCAGGTGGGAGGGCAGCAGATCCTGCAGGGCCGCCAATGCCCACCACGAGCACCCCGTCATGGCCTGCACCGTGTCACCAGGCACAGGAACATGGGAGGGTTTAGAGGGTAGAAGCATCATTTTAGAAAACTTACCCTGCAGTGCAGAGCACGGCCTGGCAGTGGAGGGACCTGTAGGATTGTCCTGCTTAAGAGTTGTCACCTGCCCACAGTGGTGACACCTCAAGTGGAGCTGCCAGGTGCGGGTCTGAGAAAGTTTGGGTAGTGGAGGGGTCTGGGCTGGGTGGTGGTTTGCATGTCATGGAGGGATGAGGAGCAGGAGGGTCTGGGATCCCATCAGTCTATACCTGTTGGAGAAGAGCATTGGACATCGAGCGAGGAGGGAGAGCAGGCCTGAGACAGAGTCCTGGGTGGCACATGTGGGTGGGGAGAGAGGAGCTGCAGAAGCCAAGAGCTGCCCGAGTGATGGTGCAGGCTGAGAACCTACAGAGGAGGCCAAGGGGAGGAGGCTAGAGGGGCAGGAGGATGGTCAGTGGGGAGTGGTGCCGGGAAGACAAGGAAGGAGGCCTGTGGAGGAGGAAGGTGTGGTCCATGGTGGAAATAGTTGCTGAGAGGTCTGCGGGGACAGAACAGAAATGTGACCATAGGAAGCAGCCACAGGGAGGCCCCTGGTGACTGCACACAGTCAGGCCACCCCAGGACTGGAGGCAGGGAGGCGTCTAGGGAGAGGTTTCCTCCCAGCTTTCCGCACAGCTTGAGCTACGCAACGGTCCGCACCACCTGGGAGCCACAGGGCAGAAATTTGACCCGTCCCTGCCTTGGAGGAGCCCCCAGGCTGACTGAGGGAACTATGGAAACTCAGGCCTAATGTCCCAAGGGGACAAGCTTGGGGAGGCTGAGTCCAGGACGGTGGAACTGAGGGGTCACCGACAGCTGGGTGGGAGCAGCCCAGAACGATTCCCAGAACACACGGCACTGCAGCTGGGCCTGAAAGAGGGTAGAGCTGCAAGGGAGCAGGTTGGGGGCACAGTGCCCCAGGTTATGGAACTCAGCGCCTCATTCCACAGGCTGCTGCCGTCTGCTAGGCACAGAGCAGAGAGATGCGCAAGGATGGAGCAGCACATAGAGTTACATGGATCTGATTAAGGGCAGGCAGGGATCCTCAGAGGGTCAGAAAGGCTTCCTGGGAAAAGCAGCCTCTGAGCCAAAAATACAGTACAGGTGGGTGACAGGAGTACCTCCAGCCAAGGGAACAGCCTGCCCAGACACAGGGCCAGTGAGAGCTAGCTCTGTGGGACCGTAAGCACAGATTGGGGGTGGCCAGGGGATGAGAGAAGAGAAGAGGTCAGGATGTGAGTGAGGCCTGGTCACAGAGGACTTCATAAGTGGAGCTAAGAACATGGATGTTATCCTGAGACCAAGGGGGGAAGCAGGAAAACGACATTCCGGGGATGGCTGGGGGACGGAACTGGTTCAGACATGGGTGTTAGAGAGATCCTGAGGTTGCTGTGGGGAAGCAAGTTGGAGGGGGAGTCCAGAGTCAGTGAGAGGAAACAAAGTGATGCTGGTGGCAGAGGGTGGAGACAGAGAAAAGGAAGGGTTTCAGTGGGATTTTGGAGCCAGAATTGGCAGGCCTTGGTGATACATTCAATGTGCAGAATGAGAGACCCATGGATGCTGATACCCAAATTCCTGTCGTGCCCATGGACATCCCTGCTCGCAAGCCCCATGAATGAGGAGTCCCACAAACTCCACAGGTCCCCACCGATGACATCCTTCACCCACCCTTTTCCACTGGCCCCAGCTCAGTGACTGGGGCCACATGTCATTTGTTCATTCTGTTATTCGTTGAATGTTTTATTGAAGATGAATGTCTGGAGGGAGGTCAGGGCCAGAATGGTGGGGCAGAGGTCACTGGCAAATGACAAAGCCAAGGCCTCCTCAGCAAGCCTGGACTCCCCAGGGAGAAAGTGCTGGCTAGTGGTGTCGGGAGGAACAGATGGTGAGGTCCTGCTGAAACCCTGGGAGCCCTGCTGAGGCAGAGGGGGCCCTGAGCACAGTTAGAGGATACAGTGTTTCTGGTTAGGATGGATGCCAATGTGGCCACAGGTTGCAGACAGCAAAGAGGGGGCTGGAGAGGTGAGCAGGGCCCGGGCCACAGGGGGCCCCAAGTCGGCACCAGCCCAGTAAGGAGCCCACTGTAACCTGCTGGCAGCTATAGGCCAGCCTGGAGCTGGGAAGAGCCTGGATGGAGGGGGCGGCTGGACAGGGACCAGAGAGGAAGCCATGCCCAGCCAGGCCCCTCCCGAGGACCAGGGCTGGCCCAGGCTGCCTCCCACCTGAGTGGCCCAGGGCCTGAGCACACTCCTGCCCCAACAGGCATCATCGACAGCACACACACTGAGCAGCGGCAGGTGGTGGCCGTGACGGGGGACGGGACCAACGACGGGCCTGCACTCAAGAAGGCCGACGTGGGCTTCGCCATGGTAGGAACGGCCCACAGAGGGCCTGGGGTGGTGGGGGCTGGGGAGATTGGACTACACAACCTTGGGCTGGCTACTCAGGAGCCCCAGTTCACACTTGGCCCACCCGCCATCTGCCGTGGGTGCCCACCCTTCTCGAGACTCAGCCTGACCCCGAGGTCTTCCTGGAAAGGCATAGGATGCTTCTTGCTCTGGGGGAGCTGTGTGAAGGGGGGCACTTGCAGGCTGAGGAGGAAGATAACAGAGGGGGAGAGGGGGCCAGGGTGAGGCTTCCTGAGGGTGAAGGGAGCTGGGTCTGTGAGGAGCGTGAAGAGTGGGGTGTCCCTGTGTGGTCTGGCTGTGCTGGGCCCACTGGGAGTTGTGTAGGACTGAGGAAGTGGAGGGAGTGAGGATGGTGATGCTAGAAGTGGTCACCTCCCCCGGCCACCCCACCCAGCCTCCTGTCCCTGTCCCCACAGGGCATCGCAGGCACTGACGTGGCCAAGGAGGCCTCAGACATCATCCTGACAGACGACAATTTCAGCAGCATCGTCAAGGCAGTGATGTGGGGCCGCAACGTCTATGACAGCATCTCCAAATTCTTGCAGTTCCAGCTCACCGTCAACGTGGTGGCCGTGATTGTGGCCTTCACAGGCGCCTGCATCACGCAGGTGGGTCCGCAGGAGACCACACCAAAGCCTGGGGGAGGGCGGAGACCCCCCACAGAGGCTCGGGGGCCTTAGGGTACTCCAGGTTGTCCCTGTCAGAACAGCCGGGGATGAGGCACCCATCGATGGAGCACCTGCTGGGGGCCAGGAACTGCATCACAGAGCTCAGGTGCAGGCACTGGCCCCAGGGGAGTCGAGGACATGAGGCTCAGAGAGGTGGCGTGACTTGTTCAAGGTCACCCAGCAAATGGGAGCTGTCAGGCTCACAGCCTGGCCCTCACTGCAGGAGGCAGGAGAGGGAATCCTCAAGAGAAGGCAGGGCCCTTGGCCACCACGAGGGCAGAGGGAGGCAGGGAGGGGCAGGCCAGGGCCCAAGGGGGATCAGGCATCCAGGTGAGGACAAAGAGCCAGTGGGGGCCCTGGGGCCCTGGCTCTGGACTGGAGTGTGGAGTGCCTTAGGAGGTGCTAGGTGGGGATAACTGGAGGGAGTCGGGGATCTTGCTCACTGGGAAGGTCACAGAGGAGTCTGGCCAGATACCACGACTGGGTCTGGAGCAGCCCTATGCACTGAGCCTGGCAGGCAGGCCCCAGATGTCTGCAGACTGACTGCTTCTTCATGCAGCTCCATGAGGTGGGAACTGTGATGATCCTCATTTTACAGAGGCAGAAACTGAGGCTCAGAGGATGGACTGGCCAGGGACCTGCCATTGTTCTTGCAGTCTCCTGATACTCCCCACAGGGGCTGACCAGCCTGGCCAGGGAGGCAAGAATGGGTCTCCCTTAGCCCCAGGGGATCCCCAAGGCCCAACACTCCCAGTAGCCACCTGGGCAGACAAGCCCATGCCCACAGGAGCCCCCAGAGGCCCAGAGTGCAGCACTGCCCCAAGAGCTGTGTGGCGCTGGAACACTGCTCCCCTCTGTTGCTTCCTGCGCTGGGGGAATATAGGTGGCAGCTCCGGCTACCCCAGCCCTGAGAATCGGAGCCTTGGGAGGGTGGCTGGGGGCTTCCTTTTGCTCAGAAGGGCCCTCTTTCCTGGCCTGTGGATGAGACACTCCCTCTAGTGGCAGCTTGAGGAACACTCCTGCGGCCCCAGCAACTTGGAAACCAGAAGGTCTTGATGCCAGATAGGGAAACTGAGATTCTGAGACCACTATCAGTTTGCCTGAGGTCTTTGATTGAGTTGGTGGCGAGGCCATGCAGCATTGATAAGAAGACGGGCACACTTGACCCTGAGGTATATGGAATTAGAGAAAGCCCGGGGTGGGGAGGACGGGGGCAAGGGGAGCGAGGCTGAGGCAAGGAGGAGGTGAGAGAGAAAGCCAGGAGCAGGGGCTGTGATGAAACCTGGGAGGTGATGAGTGGAAGGGATGCAGGTATATGGGGCTTTGGGAGAGAACAGAGGTGGGAAGAGCATCGGGTTTGGGCTGTTGAGCTTACAGGGTCTGGGGGCTTCCTGGAGGAGGTGTTCCACAGGCCACTAGACGGATGTAACTAAAGCCACAGGACGAGGAGGAGAATGGGGCTGAGGCAGGAACACAGATTTAAAAGGAAGGGAGGACGACGACCAGGAGAGTGGGGTCAGGATTACAAGTGGGAGTGCAGGGGCGAGGTCAGTGACATCTGGCCGAGAAGAGGTCCTGCAACTCGTGGCACAGAAGGTGCTGGTGACGTGGGCGGAGGGCATTCTGGGAACGTGGAGGGGCCAAAGTCTGGCTGCTGTGGACAAGATACGTGGGGGTGTGAGGAAGGATGGGGACAGAAGAACCAGCTCCTCTCAGCCAAAGAGACAGGTCTGAAAGGGTCCCTCCCAGAACCTGGACAGTGGTGACCTAAAAGTGGTGAGGTCCTTGACAGTTTTAGTTGCTTTTGCTATTCCTCATTTGCCATATTTCCTACCTTGAAATGTATTAATTTTTGAGTCATAGATACGCACAATAATTTTTTAAGGTAAGGCGGGATAAGAGGGGAGGAGACATTGGGGGGGTGGGGGACGGGCACTGTTTGTAGGATAGAAAGCCCGAGGGGGAGGAGGCAGTGGGGGGAGGAGGTAGGAGCCCATGCCGGAGGCGGTGGGAATGGTCTTGGCCTCAGCCAGGAGAGACCCCCTCCTCGGGGGCTGGAGGGGAGAGGGGAAGATGGTGAGATGCAGCTGAATTTACCAGAAGGCAGGGAGCTGGTGGCCATTGGGCCTGGGGGGACTCACTTATCTCCTGGCAGGGAAGATGTGGCTGAGGTGGGCAGGTCTGCACTGTTCTCCAGAGAAGGCATCAGAGAACAACTCCATGCCTGCTGGGGAGCCAAGGGGCAGGTCGGACTCCAGCCTCCAGCAGGAGCCTGCGGACACTACACCATGAGCCCGCCCAGCACTTCACAGCAGCAGGTGGGCGCACAGGTGACAGCCCTCTCCTGCCCGTCCCCAGGACTCCCCTCTGAAGGCCGTGCAGATGCTCTGGGTGAACCTCATCATGGACACGTTTGCCTCGCTGGCACTGGCCACTGAGCCGCCCACGGAGACCCTGCTGCTGAGGAAGCCGTACGGCCGCAACAAGCCGCTCATCTCCAGGACCATGATGAAGAACATCCTGGGCCATGCTGTCTACCAGCTTGCCCTCATCTTCACCCTGCTCTTTGTTGGTGAGCGCCTCGCCCACCCACGCCTCTCCCAGGCGGGGTCATCACCTTCTGGGTGCACCATGGCTCTCACCCAGCATTCTCGAGTCACAACCCCCTCCTGTTTTGCTAATGGGGAAATTGAGGCCCAGGGAGGTCAAGTAAGTTGCCCAAGGTCACACCAGCAAGTCTTGAACAGGGCCTGGCCCTGTCCCAGCTCTGGCTAACCCTAAAGCCATCAGTGGCTTTCTCCACTGGTGACAGCTCCTGGCAACAAGTACAGACCGTGCAAGGCCCTGACCGGGTGCTGAAGCACTGCATGGCAGCCCCAGAGGCACCTGAGGCTGGGAGGGGAGTGACTCACCCCTTCTCTGACCCATTCCAGCACCTTATCCTGGCCCCGTGGAAGGGACCCTCAGCAAGGCTTCCTGGGGCAGGGCATACACGCTCACACCACCACCGACTCTCACAATGCTTCCACTTGGGCTGCCTGGTTGGGTCTTCCACTCAGTGAGGCAAGCACATTTGCCTCCACCCCACATTACAAACGAGGGCACCAAGGCTCAGAGAGGTGAGGTGACTTGCCCAAGGGCACACAGCCAGTCTGAGGAAGAGTCTGGGCACAGAACCAGGTCTGGCTGGGGCCAAGACTGGCCTGGTTTCCACAGATGCTTCGGAGGCAATCCCAACAAAGCCTATCCCCAGGTCACAGATGGGGAAACAGAGGCCCAGAGAGGGGAAGGGTCTGGCCCGCAGTCCCACATGGAATCAGGGCCAGTTCTCTCCTTACAGGAGCCTCCCGGAGCTGGCCTTTCACTTGTCCTCAAAGCCCAGAGTGTGATGGAGGTGGGCATGGATCCATTCCTCAAAGGCAGTTAGTTGCCTTTTATAAATTTTGAAAGTAGTGTGTTGTCAGGACACATTTTACTGTTGTAAAACTTATCATGAAAAAGCTTAGAGGAAGCCACTTATATGCAGAACTAGAAGAGACTCAGAGGAGGTGGAGGGGTTGGAGAGGAGAGGAGAGCGGGGGTCCTGGTCGGCTTGCTGGCTTGACCACTTGAGCAGCACCTACCCTGGGTAGTCTTGGGACATCTCACACCCAGAAAACTCCACAAGCCTCCTGGCACCACTTTACTCAGCTGTGCAAAAGGACACAGGACTTGGCCAGGTGCAGTGGCTCATGCCTGTAATCCCAGCACTTTGGGAGGCCGAGGCGGGTGGATCACTTGAGGTCAGGAATTCGAGACCAGCATGGCCAACATGGAGAAACCCCATCTCTACTAAAAATACAAAAATTAGCCGGGCGTGATGGTGCGCACCTGTAATCCCAGCTACTTGAGAGGCTAAAGCAGGAGAATCACTTGAACCCAGGAGGCGGGTGTTGCAGTGAGCTGAGATCACGCCACTGTCCTCCAGCCTGGGCAACAACGAGACTCCATCTCAAAAACAAAACAAAACAAAACAAAAAGGATACAGGACTGCATCAGACACCCTATCAGCAGCGTCTACACAGCAGTGCCCTGCCATGTGACAGCTCAGGTGTTAGAATGAAGCCACATGGGAGGGTCCAGAGCCAGCCTAGCCCAGAAGTCCTGGGCTCCATATAGGAATTGGCATCTCTAGTAACAGCCCCATGAGCTTGTAGAGGTCTCAGCAAGGGACATGCTCAGGAACAAGAAGCAGCACTCTCGGGGCAGCGCAAAACCTCCCGCAGGTATCCTGTCCTCGCAGTCCAGAATGAGTTTTCCAGTCTGAGGTCACTTTTTAGAAGCCATGTCGCCCACCTTTAACACAGCCGGCCGTCCACCTTTATCGGGTTTCCACAGAAAAAGTGGAAGACAGTTGCCCAAGGCCTTTCTTCCCCAGAGGAGAAAGGGCTTTGCTGACCCTTCAGTCCTAGTCTCTGACCAGCTGACAGCACAGCCCTGGCCCCCCACTGTCCAAGCATGCCTTGATGTCTTGGGGATTCACGTCACTGCTCAGAAGAGGCCCCCACGAAAGGCCAGGCATCTCCCCTCTGATTCCCCCACCACTGCCTTCAGCCCAGCCCCACTCTCTCACTTGGCAGGCGAGAAGATGTTCCAGATCGACAGCGGGAGGAACGCGCCCCTGCATTCGCCACCCTCAGAACATTACACCATCATCTTCAACACCTTCGTCATGATGCAGCTCTTCAACGAGATCAACGCCCGCAAGATCCACGGCGAGCGCAATGTCTTTGACGGCATCTTCCGGAACCCCATCTTCTGCACCATCGTGCTGGGCACCTTTGCCATCCAGGTAGTGAGGCCCCCACCCTAACCAGGCCCGGGGTGGGCAGCAAGCGGCTGGAGCCCCTGGGCAGGACCCTGAGAGCCCAGCCCTCTGTGCTGGTCCCTGATGGCCTCTCTCTCTCTCTTTCTCTGCTCCCCTGTGACCTCCAGATAGTGATCGTGCAGTTTGGAGGGAAGCCATTCAGCTGCTCTCCACTGCAGCTGGACCAGTGGATGTGGTGCATATTCATTGGGTTAGGAGAGCTCGTTTGGGGCCAGGTAAGTTCCTGGTAGGTCGCAGGAGGTGCCTGTTAGCAGGGCAAGGGAGACAGCACTGGATGGAGAATCCAGGACCCCCAGGAATGGGCTGCCAGACCCCAGGCAAGCTCCTCCCTATCTCTGGACATCTGAGCAAGGGGGTTTGTCCCAGGTCCTATACTGGTCGTCTGGGTACTACTGCTCTGATTTTTGCCTTATATCTATCTACCACTGCTCCTGTTGTTTATGTAATATTTTCTCTCAATCACGTCAGCTTTTTTAACTTAAATTTGTTTTTAAAGGCAACGTCCTGTTACTAAGACAACTGAAAAATCAGTATCACTTGTCATAAATGGAAGCTAACAAAAACATTAATGTAATGAGAATGACATTATTAAACTCCAGCTAGAAGCCATGGCCTGCCAGGGATTCAAGGCTGGAGCAGCTTGTTAGGAAGGGAGATGAATCAGTGGTCTGCGGGCGCTGGTGGCCGGCTGGCGTCAATCAGGATCCTTTAGAGCACTCAGAGGGAACGCAAGCAGGACACACTCTGCCACATTGCGGTGTTACTCAGTGCTGTGCCTGTGGCCATCTGTGGCCTCAGTGCTGTGCCTGCCCCAGCTCTGGGGCTCCTTGGGCTGGATGCTCTTTAGGGGCCCTTCCAGCTTTGTCCCAGAATATTCTCCCACCAATTCGTTTTTCTACGTTTGCCCAAGTTCCAGACCCTGTCACAGCTCTGAGAGCATGCAGCCCAAAGGCTCCTGACCCAGGACACAGGGCTTGGGAGGAGGGCCCAGAACCAACTCAGGGCCTAAGGGGCCTGATTCCCAAGGTGCTCACACATCCAGGCAGTGGGACCCCATGGGTGGGAGGCATTTTTCTTGCCTTCAAGCTGTCTGCAGGCTAGAGTGAGAAGCTACGGGGGCAAAAATTAACTAAAAGATAAATAAGAAAGTTTAGTTTCATCCAAAAGGACTTCCTGTAACCTTTGGGGCTGCTTTGGAGAGTGATAAACCCCTGGGCACCCTGGGGGCCAGGCCATCTTTATCCCACTGGGGCCCACCCCCTACAGGAGGCTCTTGGGGGCTGGGCCCAGTAACTGAGGGAAGGATTCAGAGGACAAAGGTTAATGCCAGCGGGCAGTGCTGACTTTACACTCCCAGGGAGCCCCCTGAGGCTGCATTCATGCCAGCGCCTGACTGCTCCTACAGGAAATGGAAGGGGCCTCTGATATCTGCCACCGCAGCTTTCCTGTAGGGCCTGCGTCTGGGTCCTCAGCCCCATGGACAAGCCTTTTGGGGAAGATTAGGAATGAAGGCATAGCTCTTTCCCATTCTGCCTTCCCAGTCCAGGATTGGCTGCCTTCAGGGTCCAGTGACCTCAGGAGGAATAAGGGACAGAGGAATAAGTAACCCCAGGAGAACCGAGGGCCAGCCACGGGCCAGGCTCATGCAGGACGAGTTAGACCCTCCACCGTGCCCAGTTCTCACCATGCCCAGAGCGGCCCCCACTTTACAGCTAGGAAAACCAAAGCTCGGTGAGGTTAAATGACTTGCCCGAGGCCACAGGACCAGGGTTGTCTGGGGTATTCAAAGCCACATCTGTCCAACTCCTAGAGGCCAAGATTGTCCACTATGTACCCTGACTCTGAATGAATGAATTAAAAAGCAAATTGCACTCCAGCCTGGGCAACAAGAGTGAAACTCCATCTCAAAAAAAAAAAAAAAAAAAAAAAAGACATTGTCAAAGACTGGGCTGAGGAACAGGTGAGGTGGGTGAAGGAGTAGATTGATCACATGCCTGGGTGAGCGGGTAGGAGGAGGGAGGTAGAGGAGCGGGTGTCAGGGAGAGAAGGCCACTGGGAAGGACAGCCCCACCGTCCTGACAGACAGGGTCCCTTGCAGGTCATCGCCACCATCCCGACCAGCAGACTCAAGTTCCTCAAGGAGGCAGGCAGGCTCACACAGAAGGAGGAGATCCCGGAGGAGGAGCTCAACGAGGACGTGGAGGAGATCGACCACGCGGAGCGGGAGCTGCGGCGGGGCCAGATCCTGTGGTTCCGAGGCCTGAATCGGATCCAGACACAGGTACAGGAGGCTCTTGGGGGCTGGGCCCAGGCCTGGCCGGGGCGGGCCAGGGGATGGAGGTGAGTGTGCTTGTGCTGCCCCCCAGGGCCCAGCTCTGGTGCTGAGGGAGGGTGGCTACAGAGGGGTCCCGGCCAGCTCTCACCAGCCACTTGCACACCCACTCCTGTGGCTGCTAAGGAACAGCACGGCCTCCTCAGAGAGGTCCCATTGTGCCCTCTCAGGGCAGCACGGGGAAGTGGTAGGGGTCACACCCACCATGGTCTCCAGGGGGATTTCCCTGAGAGGGTGGGGAAGGGTGGCTCTGAGGGCAGAGGTGAGTGAGGGGACTGTCGCTCAGGGCTGGGGGCACCCACCCACAGGGGCCGTGTGAGGCTGGACAGAAGCTGCAGGCCAGGTCGCCCAGGGTCCCCCAGGGCGTGGTGGTCAGGGGGTCCGCCGCCTCCACGGGGGCTTCAGTTGCTCTCCCCAGCTTCCCCTAGGGGGTGGAGAGGCTCTGGGGAGCAAAGGTCAGTCATCCTCAAGCACACACAGACACACATGCACACACCAAGCACACCAGGGGAGCACAGGTGCAGGGCGTAGCCAGCCAGAAGCAGGTTTCTTCCCCAGAGCAGAGAGAGCATGGCTGCCACGTGGCACACGACACACCTGCGCGCCTCCCCCGACCCCCCCACACACATACCACATGCTCTCACATGGTCCCCTTATGCCTGGAGCAGGTGTTGTAGCTCACAAGTGCTGTCACAGCCCTGCGAGGGGAGGGTCAGAAGGGACTCTGTGGGTCTCTTGCCCAGACCATCTGGGGAGCTGGAGTGGGAGCTCCTCCATGCCCCAGCATGCTTGGGCGAAGTGCAGTGTAGAAGCAGCCACCTGGCCACCATCCTGCCAGCTGTGGCCCAGCACCTCATTTCCATCCGATGTAGCAGAGAGCTCACCTGGGTCACCTCCCACCCCTCTGTACCCTGTCCCAAACCTCACCTCATGTGACCTTCACAGCCCTGGGAGGTAGATGTGACTCCCCCAGTTTTAGAGGTTACCAAGGTCCAGGAGATGGCCCCTTCTACTGAGCTGGCACAGCTGGGGTGGGGACTGGAAGCCGGTTTCAGACCCGGAGGTGCCTGACACGGGCCTGGGCTCACCCTCCCTGGTTAGGGCCCCGCAGCCACCCCTCCCAGCCTGCCCCCACCTCCTGGGAGGTCCAGGACAACTCAGTGAATATGTCCCTGGTGCTGTCACTGCCCTGGCGGCAAAGCCACGCAGGGGTCTCCAGATTACGGGAGGAAGCAAGGACTGCGATTTCTTGAGTGGGCAGGGGCGCCTGTCTTGCCTGCCTCTTGCGGAATGCTAACACGGGTCAGGTGCTTTGCCACTTACAGATAACCCTGCCAGGCAGGTGGCATTGACCCTTCTTAAGAACAAGAAACTCGACTCAGAGAGGTGGCTTGCCCAAGGTCAGCTAGCTAGTAAGTGACAGAGCTGGAATTTAGGCCAAGCTCTGTCCACCTCAGGACCCCCACCACACCCTCTACCTCCACGCCTGTACCTGAGGGAGGCTGAACACTGCTCTCTTCCCTCCAGATACCATGTTTAATCACTGCCTCCCCCACTGGCCAGCCCACTGGCCCCTGAGCCACTAGCACAGGACAAAGGCCGGACCCCCTGTGTCCTCCCGGGGACCCTGGGGCCTGCAGGTGGGCCCAGAGCTGAGCAGACGTTTTTCAGAGCCTTGGAGTGTGTCTGGTATTTTTGTTTTGATTTAAGTGACATTGTCGTTGTTGCCGTGGCTGCGGCTGTTCTTGTGACGTTGCCCTGTCAGTCATGTAGCCGTTGTGCTCGTTCTTCTCGCAACTTGTCTCGTTCTCTCCTCCGTTGCAGATTGAAGTAGTCAATACTTTCAAGAGCGGGGCCTCCTTTCAGGGGGCCCTGCGGAGACAGTCCTCGGTCACCAGCCAGAGCCAGGATGTAGCCAATCTCTCTAGCCCTAGTCGCGTGTCGTTGTCCAATGCTCTTTCCTCTCCGACCAGCCTTCCTCCTGCTGCAGCCGGGCGTGAGTGTGACTCCTTACTGCCTCCGGCTGGCACTGCCCACGCCAGCTCCCAGGCGGGCAGGGGCTGGGGCACCAGAGGACATGGGGGGCAGCCGGTCACAATCAGGCCCAGGGGGATGAAGGGTCCCAGCCACCGAAGAGGGTCCCGTTGGTCAGGAGAGCGTAGCCAGTCATGCGGTGGCAGTCACTCAGTGGACCAGGGTCAGTCAGAGGGTCATTAGGGTCCCAAGTGGCCAAAAAGTCTGGTTCAGTCAAGGGGTCACCCTTGGTCAAGAGGACATCAGTGACCAAATGGTCCCAACCCACCACAGGGTCCCGGCAGCCAGAGGGGGACAGACATGGAGGGGACACAGAGTGTCCCACTGGCCTAGGGTCATATGTGGTCAGGAAAAGCCTGGACCACCAAGGCAAGGGTTGGAGTTGGACAAGAGGTCCCAGTCTTGCAGTCAAAGTCAGCAGAAGGGTCACTGTGGGTCAAGGGGAGCAAGCCCCTTAGGGTCCCAGTCAGTCACATTGGGATCCACCCAGGAGAGGGTCACGTCAACCAGACTTTCCCAGTTGGTCAGGGGGCACCCACAGTAATGAGGGTCATGGTCAAGGGGGACAGTTGAGCCAAGAGGTCACTGCAGGTCAGAGGTCATAGTCAGCCAGGGATCCCCAGGCCACCTAGGAGCTCACAGCCTAGACGCTGCACCCCAGCAGTTCAGAGTCTCTGCCCGCTTCCTGTCACTCCTCCCCTTGCACTTTTGACTGCATCAGCTGCCCTGCAGACACCTTTCCCTGTGGCTGAGCTTGGAACTTGCTGAAGTTCTAAGCCCTTCCTGGAAAGGACAAGGTCCCTGGCCCATTCAGCTTGACCCCTGGTAGAAAATGGTGGGTCGAGCCTCACATCTTGCCTGGGTGCCAGCAGGCCCAGAGGGACCTGATATGCCCTTCAGCATCCTGCCCTCCTTTATCTGAGAGATAGCCTGGGACTGTGGCCCCTCCTTCATCTCCCTCCTGCCAAGCTCATCTCCTCATGCCACCACTTCTGATCTAGATCACTCATTGCTGGCTTTGTCTAGCTCTTTCCCGGACCCATGGCTTCGGGCCCCATAGGGAACAAGTCTGTCTTTCCTCCCATCGCCCTGCTATGTTTCCAGTCAGGCGCTTCTGATCTGCAGGGGAGCCCCTGGTTCTGGTCTTCTCCAATTGGCATAGTGTCAGTCTTAGCCTCCAGCTTCTTTGATGAGAAGTAGACTCCAGCTCACCCCTTGAAACTTTATAAAGGGCCTCTACCCCCATCCAAAACCAGAACACCCACAACACAACCCCTGCAGCCAAGCAGGTAACCCGGTGTGCTGGTGGGAGCGCCTCCCTCAGTGCCTCCAGTAGGAGGCGCGGGCCACAGGGAGCCTGTTGATGGCAAATGTCCACGACCCATAGCGGCAGGACAGAAGCAGAAAGCAGGGAAGGAGCCTCTCAGTGCTCATTCGTCAGCACAGAAACGCAGTGCTGGGGAGGACCGGGGAGCCAAGATGAAATGGAGATGCATTTCAGCAGATGGTGGCTGAGTCACATTTCCATGAGATACCGTCACTAGGCAGTCACTGCCAGGATTTCTCGGGGAAGGCAACACCGGTCCCATCCTCCTCCCCTTTAGACCAGAGAGCTCTCACCTTAGCAGCAGCCTAGCCAGCTGACCTCCCAGCTCCTTTCTGCACCAACTCAGCTCTGGCCTTGCTCAGCACCCCCACCTATCCTGAGGTGCGGTAACCAAGTGTCCCGGCAGGGAGAGCTACATGGGGAAGAATCCACTTCTGTTCTGCCACCCCTCCCGATGACTCCTGCGGCCCTCCGGCTGGGGCTGCCTGCTAGCAGTCTGGCTTCTGGGTGAAGGCCCAGTTCTTTGTCCATCCCAGTTGAGCCTCTTTCTTGAAGGGCAGCACTTCACCCTGGCCACGACGGAGCACACCTGACATCGCTGGGCAGGCCCACTGCCTTTGGAAGTCGTCCCCGAGTCAGCCCCTCATCTTAGCTTTCACAGCCTGGAAGCTAGAGCTGTCCGCTCAAACCTCAGCCACTTCTTTCTCAGCTTTTCTTCTGCCTCATTTGCAAAGCCATTCAATAGGGCCCGTCCGGGAACAACACTTCTTTGCAGAAATGCCCTTTTCTTCATTTCTGCAGAAATGCTTAGACAGGAATGTGTCTACACTGACCTCCTTCGAGGCCAGATCAGTCCCCTGTAGCCCGTGGTTACCCCAACTTTGGAACAGTCTTGGAAAAGAAGCCCAGGCAGAGGCTCAGCCAAAGCCAACTTGACAGTCCTTGCCCTGACCCCTCATTCTCTCAGGGGACCCGGCAGGGTTGGCCAGGGCCTCCCCACCCTGCTCACCATCTTGCCTCTCCCTCTTCATGCCTCCTGGAGAATCTCGCATTCCCCCTCTGTGACAGAATCCAGCCTGTAATTCTGGGTGCCTCCTGAGACCCTTCCTGAGCCTATAGTCTTAAAAAGAGCCTGACCAAACCCCTGCCTGAGGGCACTGGTTCCCAGACAGGATCACAGCCTCTGTGGTTTCAGTACACACATTTGGACAACACAGCCTCGTGCCTCCTTTGCTTGAGTAGTGTCTACAACAGTGCTGCCTCCTCTGGTCTCCAAGGACTCTGAGGACCCTCTAAACACCAGCCAAGGTCCCTGCAGAAGCCAGTGTGCTTTCCTCCCACAGGGAGGTTTAAACAGGTGGCCAGGAAGTGACAGAAGGGCCCCAATTTGATGGGATGAGGAAGTGGGCCGCCCCACTACCCCACAACTCCTTCACCCCCACCGCACCCCACCAGCCTTCTGAGGGGGATCTGCTTCCTGGGGACTCCCCAGCAGAGGAGGCTGCCCATGTGCCTGCTGAGGCAAAAACACCTGCAGCCAGTGTGCCCTGGAAGGAGTCAATCCACTGTCCCCTGGGTTATGAAGAGTTGACCACAAAGGCCTGGGACAGGGCCTGACTTCTGACCTGGGACACTGGAGTGAGGAAAACCCCTGAACACATCGCAGGCCCTCCCCTCCCCACGGCACCACCGCAAGATGAAGGCCTCAGCAGACAGACGCACATGGTAAGCCTGACCGCAGTCACAAGGCACATGGCACGAGGATGCTCGGGAGGGAATGAATTGGTGCACTCTTCTGACTAACTCAAAAACGAGGTTGTTTTTGCCCCGGAAACTTAATGGCACGTCCCTATTGCCTTATACCTGAGCCCCACTCAACATTTCCAGAGCAGTTCCCCACTCCCTTTACTTCACAGATGCCTCACCACTGAATTGTGGGAGGGGAGGACCTGCCAACACATCCATTTCGCAGAGAAAGACACTGATGAGGCCAGGGTGACCACAGCAAGGGCGTGGCAAGAGGTCAGACTCCGGAGTCCCTCATTCTTCCCACTAGTCACACCGCTTCCCAGGAGGCCCACAGACCTGGAGCCACAGAGGCTGAACTTCCATTCCGGAACCAGTGCCCACGCCCACAGCCTCATATCGTGAAAAGGAGTCAGTCCTCCAGGGAAGGCCAGGGAAGCTGTTTCTCAGCTTGAACTTCTACCAGCGTGGCCAAGACTGGGGAGAAGGGCACCTTCCCACTGGTGGTCAAGGACAAGATTAGCATCCCACACTTCGATCCAAGGCAAAGCCGCACAGCCTCTCTTTCTCATTGCCTCAAATTCCTAACTCATCTCAAACCATCTTTGTGCTTAGCAAGTCTGTAGCAGGCTCCGTGTTTATCAGTGGAAGTCCTGCTCTTTCAAACCACCCAAGCCAAGAGCCAGCCCCATAAGCCAGGTCCAAGCCACATTCTGGACGCCGTACCTTGCTAGACAGATAAGGCACCTCCTGCTCCCACTTCCCCTGCAGATTCCTGGTTCTGACGACTCCTAGGGCAAGGAGTTTGCACTGTTAGGGGGAGAAATGAAGACAACAAAAAGGGAAGAAAGCTGGACTTCTCATTAGCGTTTTGGTAACTAATTTAGTGCAACCTTGGGTTGGCGAGAAAATGGCTTGCTTTGTGGGGGGAACCCTAGACCTCTCCACTGTCTGAATATTCCATGTGTTTGTTTCCCTAGAGGGCTAGAGAACCCTGGACACAGAGTTCAGCAAGAGAGAGTGAAATTAAAAGAGGTTGTGAGTCTTTAACCTTGAGCCTGAAATGAATGTGAATCAATCCCAGACTCTTGGCTTCCTTGAAGCCGGGTAAACATTCGAGTATGTAGAACCCATCTCAGACCAGGGCCTGTGCGTTTTCTCAGAGCCCTCTGACAACGGGCATGGGTCTCCCTGTTCCCTTTGTGCTGACGAAACCAAAACATCTGAAACCCCGCTCACCAGGTCCCTTCCTCTCCTTCCCCTCACCCCCACGCCCAAATGCAGCTTATGCCAAAAAAAAAAAAATTCCTACCTTTAGGGTAGGCAGGGAGGGGAGATGGAAGAGCCTTTTTTTTTTTTCCCATAGTTTTTTCCATTTCAGCCTCGGAGAGAACCGAAGTGGAGACTTGAGATGGCCGTGGCGGGGTGTCCCAAAAAGTCTCGTCCCCACAGTCTTGTCCAGAGCAGTTCATTTTTTCTGTTGTCTCCATGCCACGGGGAGGGCGGAGGGGCCTCATCTCATTGTGTGTCATCCCCTCTGCGTTGTCAGTCACATGACAGGGTCCTGCCACCATCCCCCTGCCCCACACATACACTAGGTGTTCCAGTCAGCATCTGAATTGCACTTCAACCTCAGAACACACTGAGCACCAGGCTAGGCAGCTACAGCCTTGATGCTATTCCCATTCTACAAACAAGAAAGCTGAGGCCTGCAGCGCCTTCTTTGTTTTCAGTTAATCAAGGTGTAACGGCTCACTTTTCAGGAGATCAGAATATGAACCATCTCTGCAGAGCCACAAAGAGGGACTCCAGGGGGAAAGAGCTCAGAGCAGCCACAGTGGCCATGATGGAGCACCAGCATAAAGGCCGTGTCTGGCTGGCTCTTATTTGGCACTTGTTGCCTCTTATTTAAAGCACAATTCCAGCAAGTGGGGTACCCTGGAGTCCCAGCTCACAGTATGCAAGGTGAAAGGACAGAGGTGCTTTTCAGAAAACAGAAAAGTCAGCACTAACTAGTAAGCGATGACTGACAGCAAGGGAGAAAAAACAAGACAATCCATGGGGTCTTACCTAAGACCAAGAAGGATAATTGACAAAGCTTATGTTAAATTCTTCTCTGTGCACTCTAAATTAGAAGTCAGAGGAGCGTATGACATGCTTTAGAAAGAATTCCCTCTGCAACAGTAAAACAAACCTTCAGCGATGACACTTAAAATCATCAACCACAGTCACCTAGAAACTCCACTTCCATAAAAGAGGGCTTTCCCCACCAGGGTTTCACAAAGGAGCTACCCCTGGGTTCCGCTGAGAGCTCAAGTCCTGGGACTTCAGGGGCCTCCCCACGACCGTCTCGTCCAGTCCCCTGCCTCCCCGCAGGCCTGTGGTGCAGGGCAGCCACTGCTCTGCAGGTGGGTGCCACTTGGCCTGCACACAGCAGCCGACTAAGGCTCTGTCCTGGAGGCGCCAACGCCGCCTTGTTTTCTCCACCTCTGACTCCACTCCGAGTTGGGGCTGGGACGAGAGGAGGAGGCACCTTTGTCCCAAGTCCCATCAGACTCTTGAGATGACAGGCACTGCTGCCCCTCCCAGGAGTCCAGAGAAGGGACACCTCTCTTCCAAGTGAGGGTCCCGTCCCTCTGCACCCTGTGAGGCAGGACAGAGGACAACCAGAGAGCTAGTGTGGCTTGTCCACAGTCAAGGCACCAGATGTGGCAGAGCCAGGATGCAAGTTGGGTCTTTCTGCCTCCAAGTCCAGTGCTCTTTCCACTAGCCTTGAAGACTCAATGACCAGCCTCCTCCCATTCTTCAGCGGAGGAAACTGAGGCCCCAGGACGTGTGGTTCACAACTGAGACAGAAAATGAAAGAACTTGCTGTTTTGTGACTCAGTTCCACACACCCCAGAATCCCACTGGGGCTGGGTTTGGCCATCTGATTCCAGCCTCGTTTTTTGGTTTTGTGTTTTCAAAGCACAAATAAAGAAATAAACAAAATCCCCCAGGAAATAAGAGACCCCAAAGCAAGCTCCAATAACTGGCCGGCCAGGGCTTTGAGTCTATACTCGAGTGTTTACCTCCCAAATGCATGAAGGAAAGAAACGCTGGGTACAAACGACCTCCGTTCACATTGTCCAGGCTTCCAAGTGTAGCCGTGTGTCTGTCTGTGTGTGCCATGTGGCTCCCGGCCTCCCCGTGGCATGCAGCCCGCCCCCGAATGTCATCTGTCCGCCAGCTCCCATGTGCTTTCTGGCTGCCTCTGCTCTGCACCTCAGAAAGCCCTGGGTTGGCTTTGGTTTGCTTTGCTGCCTTTGGTTTGATGTTCCCGTTCTGTTTGGCCCTCATGTGTCTCTCTCATCCCAACTCATCCAACCGTCTCTCCTTTCTGTGCCTTTTCTGTTTGTGACACGTAACATGTTCCATGTTGTATGGTTTCTTAACTGTGTGTGGTTTTCCTAAGATGAATTTTTTTAATAGCCTCTCCTCTTTCCTACTTGATTCCCACCTGGTCCTCCTCCCTGTCTGCATGGTTGAACCTCTGCTTTAAAGTGAACAAGGCTCAGTCTCTCACTAGGTGTGGGTGCCCGCAGGAGTCGACTGTGCTTCCTTTAACCACTGTTCCCCATCATCTCTTTGATGGTGCTTGGTGATTCCTCCTGTCCTAACACTAGTTTCTACCAAAACCAAAGAGATTTTTAAAAACCAGCTCAAGGATGCCTATAACCTGAGCCCCCTTTTTCACTCTCCCCCATCCTGTCAATGCTAATAACACCCAGCGACTATGGATTCCAGCCACCTGCTTTGCCCTAACCCTTCTCCCACCCGCCCCTCCTGTGAGCCCCCCGAGCCTGGCTGTGGTCCCTGGGCAGTGCTCCTGACCCCTGTGCTTCCCTTGCAGATCCGCGTCGTGAAGGCGTTCCGTAGCTCTCTCTATGAAGGTTTAGAAAAGCCTGAATCTCGAACCTCCATCCATAACTTCATGGCTCATCCTGAATTCCGGATCGAAGATTCCCAGCCCCACATCCCCCTCATTGATGACACCGACCTGGAAGAAGATGCCGCGCTCAAGCAGAACTCGAGCCCGCCGTCATCCCTCAACAAGAACAACAGCGCCATCGACAGTGGGATCAACCTGACGACCGACACAAGCAAATCAGCTACCTCTTCAAGTCCAGGGAGCCCCATCCACAGCCTGGAGACGTCGCTTTAGCTGAGGACCCTCTCGCCTGCCCGCCCGCCCTCATGGACCCCGCTGCCACCCGCTTTCCGGGCACCCATCCATCCAGGCACCCAACTCACCCAAGCAGCAACGAGCAACAATCGGAAACCAAATACTGGAGAGAAAACCAACGTTTCCACCCACAGACCCTTTCTCTGGCTGCGATGCTGTTTGAACTCTTTTTCACTTCAAGGCAAGGGGCGGGATCTCCACTGGGGGCTTACGGGAGTGAGCGGTTTTCCCAAAACAAGCCCTTCCTGGCTCCCACCCAGACATGGACCAGCCATGCACCCGCCCAGCCACCACGTCCCCCGCATGAATGTACTGTACACTTTCAATCCTCCCCTTGTTTGGTTTTTGGGGGTTGGGGAGGGGTTTTTGTTTGTTTGTTTGTTTTCTTAGGCGGGAACTGCAAACAGACTCTTTTCTGAGACTATTTATCCAATCCACTGGTCTGTGAGTTTTTGAAATGCTTGCACAGCATGGTCTCAGTTGTATAGATTAATTTAATAACTTTTTGAAATTGCAGAGCTTAACTCGCCTAGTAGATTTGCACCAATGGAACCGAAGAACTTCATAGACACTCACAAGGTTATATCCATTTCTTTGTATCTATATCAACGTATACTTTTCCGAGACTGTATACGTCCATATAGATAGGTAGATATATATATATATATATAAATATATATACATGGATATATAAAGTTTCTTTGCCGGCATGTTGCCTTGTTTCCGCTTAAATTGCTCTATTTTAACTTATTTATGTCCTAAAAGAAGAATGTAATTTGTTTACAAACCTGTAGATAACGTCTTTGGCTATTTGTATGGTTTAAGAACACTGGTGGCTGAGATGCTATAAAAACAGCTCGGCCCAACAGACACTTCCCCTGGGTTGCATCCTGGATGTTTTATGATAGCCATGCTCTGATTTTTGCCTGCTATTTCCGTTCAATAATGTCACTACCGTGAGAGGCTCAGGCAGAAGCCAAATGCTACCGAGTTGCCATCCTGAGGGGTTTAACAACATGCTCCGTAGACGAAGGGAGAGGAGGAGAGAAGGCTTCCTGGGTTTGCAACACTAACGGCCATCCGGCCCAAGGATGCCAGGATCTGCAAAGCACTGCTCGAAGACTTTTCTCTCAATGAAACTCGCTTGAGTTTACTAAGAGCATTTCAAAAATAGGTTCTCTTTGGCACTGTCTGTACAGAGATTGAGGTAGTGTTGAAATATTATAAATGGTATTGTGTTGATTTTTTTTTTTATTTAGTAACTTACAGGTTTGTTTCCTTATTAATGGCAGCATCTGAGCTGTTGGCATATTGGATGAGGATCAGTATGGCTTGCTGCTTTTATTTTTATTTTTGAAGAAGAATAGCCTTTTTCTCTGCACTATTTAGATCCGAATGAACCTTATGATGTGTATATTGAGATGTACTCAGTGTGATTTTAAACCAAATTGTCTTCCTGTAGTCACAATATATACTGTAGCCTTTTAACAGCAAGTCTTGCTTTCCCAAACAGAAAGCCATTCTGAAACCCTACAGTATCACAGGTGAGAAAAGGTGGTTATTTTTTCCCCAAGACAACAGCACTAGTAATCCCACTTAATAAGAGCTTATTTAATTGGATGTCAGCCTCTTAACTGCTAAGCACTTTGTGGGTCTCAGCGTTTTTCATAAAAGAACTTTTGTATTTAATACAAAGTTTGCTTTGAGACTTTTCAGCATATGATCTTTTTTCCATAAACTTGTACAGTGCAAAAGACATTTTGAATACCATGATCGATGATGTCCCATGCTTCGAGGAAAACCAAACACTTTCCGCCTCTCTTGCAAAATCCATTCCTCATGCTGACCCTCCTCACGATGGCTGTGTCAGCCCAGCCCCTTCCCTTCTCCAGGCCCAGAGAACTCTTCCACAAACAAGATGAGAGCCACTCGGGAAAAGAGCCATAGTCAACTGGGAGGGCCTACATCTGGATGGCGGTGGAAAAACTTGAGGGTTTGGGGTTCAAAGTCAGCCCATCCCACCTGGCAAAATCCTCCTGGAAGGAGGACCTTCAAGAGCGCATCACCTGAATGTCGTGAAGAAGTATCTCTGAATGTATCCAGGAGAGGAACTGCATAACCAAAGGGGTGACCAGCCCTCAGATGTGCTTATTGGATTCCAGTACAAACGCCACCAAAGCCAGCCCACTGCTCTCCTACAAGGAAGGAAAGATCTGCACGTGTAAAACATGGGGCAGCCTTGGAACATGGTGTTTTTTGGAGTTTCCTTTCTCACAGTTTTCCATCTCCCCACTTCTTTGATCAGTCATGTGTCCGTGACCTCGTTCCATGACATCAGGATAGCTGTGTTTGCACACCATGCTCCATGTTCATTCGGAGCCAGGAGGGGTTCTCAGTGGAGCCTGGCTTAGGGAACAGGGAGCGATGGAAGAATGCCAACATTAGCGTTGGTCTTCTCTTGTCAGGAATGAAGGATGCTTGCACACATGCACCCCCTCACTCTCACACTTGCACACATACACACACACACACACGAAATGGTTGGTTTGTCAAAACTCACTGTAGTACATAAAGCTTGCACTCTGCGTCCTATATCTAGCAGCATGGGGTACGTTTGGCAGTTCACTCCATTAGGGGGTAAATAATTTATGACCATTCATCTGTTTTTATGAATTTTTTTATCTAGACAATAATGTAAATAAAGAACTCACCATCTCTGTTCATTTAATACTATGCAATGGTTATGCTTTCAATCGCTGGCTCTTCTGACTCGTGCAGTGTGGTTCTGAAATGTTTGTGGTTTAAAAAAAAAAGCAAAAAACAACATCAAACAGAACATAGTAAATATATCTGTAATGTATACTTTTTTCTACTTTGGGACTGCATCATCCACATAGCTTCTTTTCTGTCCTCTAGACAAGGGCTCCAGGAGTAAGTGGCAGATTTGGTTCTGAGAGCTAAGCTCACCAACTTGTCTCCCCCTCAACAGATGAGGGAAGGGCAGGGAGCCCGTTCAGTGACTCCTGGCGCTGCAGAATCACTCATCTTTGGAGGTGAGCAGAGAGAGCTCTGAGGAGTTTCCTTCTTGCAACTCAGGCGGAGCTTTCTTTAACTCAGGAGCAGCCTCCATTGCTCCCGCCAACCCCTCACCATGGCCCCTTGTCCCCTTGTCCCAACCATAGCATAGAGATGACAAGAGAGAGGCAGTCCTATTTCTGAGACTGGACCAATTAAAATGACTGCACTGGCTCAAAGGACTCTGAACCTGTCTTGTCCTGGGTCCTCCAGTTGTTGGAAGCCACTCTTTTCCCCAACCATGCTGAAATGCCACCTTTACCACACACTGATGTCTTACATAGACTTAGATCTATTTCTGGAACTTCTCTTCTCTTCGCTTACTTGGGTGTCTCATCTGGCACCAGCCATACAATTTTAACTATTGTCAATTTCTAATGTCTTATTATGTGGTGGGATGAGTCCCTTCACTCTTCTTTTACAAAATTTCCTAGTTATTCTCTCACATCTATTCTTCCACATAAACTTTAAATTGTGCCCAGTCCTCCACCCCCTGTCCCATTCCCACCCCCAAATTCTGGGCTCTGTCATTCCCTGTGCCATCATCTTCCCCCCATTGTAATTACTGTCCACTCAGGGCTGTGAAATAGACTATGTTCTGTAAAGAGGGACAAAAAGGGCATCCTGATCTTGAGAGAAGCCTGCTGTTCCTCCCATCATTTCACCTGCCCCCTAAGCCCAGGAGTTGTCATGAGAGGTCACCAGGCCCCCACTCAATCTCAGCTTGGGAACCAAAGTCACCCACCTTGGTTGTGTTGGGGTGGACCCGCCATCTGTCCCTGGTCCAGACGAGAAAGAGGAGTCTCTCCTAGGCCTGGAGCTGGGAAAGAATGTGTGGCCCAGTTGTCTGCACTTCTAATTCTCATCATGGAGAAACCTTTATTCCTATCTCCCTTTCCTGAACTGGTTTTTTGTTGTTTTTGTTTCATTTTGTTTTGGGGGGATAGTTTCTTGCTCTTTAATTTGGAGTCTCCAGTACCTTTGGGATGCAGGCAGTTCTTGCCTGGGCCTTCTCGGAACCCTCACTCCCCTAGCCCACTCTTGCGCTACCTGCAGGAGGCTGCCAACCTGGTGCATTCTGACAAGCCTCCCACCCAAATCTCTCTCCTGCCATTGTGTCCAAAATCCCACCATTAGAGGCTCTTGTAGGGAAGAGCGTTTCTTGAAGGCTTTTAGGCCTTCCAGAGCCAGGAGGGAAGTCAGACAATAGCAGGAAGTCCCCAGGCCTTTTCAAAGTTCCAAACCAAGCTCTCCTGATTTTAATGTAGAGATCATACCAACCCAGGTGGGGGAGGAGGGTCCCCAGCCCCAGGCAGCAGCCATCACCCCCTCCACTGAAAACAATATTGGAGGCTGCTTTGGGACTGCCCTTCTCAGCCCCCTAAGTCTGTTTTGTAATGCCTGTGGTGCTCTCCCTCCTGGACCTTTCCTCTCGGGGGTCACCACACTTTGCTAACTCTTGTGTGCACATATTTTATAATAGAGTAGCGAGGGAATGGTGCCGCCTCCAGCTTCCGTAAGCTGCCCGGGCTCTGGGGGGCTCTGGGACAATCGGGGCTGGGAAGTGACTGTGCTCTTATTGTACACTCTTTATTTCTCTGTATCTTTGGCTTGTGCTCTTTGTAATTAATGGGATTTGTCTGCCTTTTCAACACTATACTGAGCAATAACAATAAATGCACACGTGGAAATGCAGACACGGTACACATCACAAGGCCTTTTTCTGAAGGACAGCTGGGTCCCCGCCCTTCGTGGAGTTGAACTCAGGGGGAAACTGAGTCCCTGGGAGGGAAATGCACTTTGCCCAAGGGCCCACAGCTCAGCGGGCAGTCTCTCTCCTTCCACTAGATCACACCTTTTGAACACCCACCATTTGAGGGAGACAGGCTCACCCTGCCATGAGCCATTAACCTATGAGGAATGGTTGACCATCTCATAGAAGAAGACTGGGGAACGGGGCCTCAGGACGAAGCGGAGGAGGTTTGGGGGCAAGGGGTGGGGGGGCAAAAATCAGGGAAAGTTGGCCTGATTTGGGGTCTGGATTAACCAGAGGGAGGAGATGCGGAATACAGACACTGGATCTAGGTGGCACCCCCCTACTGGGGAGAGGGGTAAGGCAGAGGGAAGCCTGGCACCTGAGGAGTCTGGACTTCACAAACCTCTGCTGAACATTGGCAGAGAAAGAGAATATGCCCAGACCAACAAGTAATCCCTAAGGTTGGCCCAAGGGTTGAGAGTTACACACACACTCACACACTCACACAGCTCTTCTTAGGTTGAACTGATCCCCAAATCAAGCGCCATAGGCCCATCTGACTTCCATACGCAGTTTCATATCCAAGGGTTCATTTAATCCCAATATCAACCTTCAGAGGAGGTATTATTATAATTCTCACTCAAAAGAGCAGGAGACAGCATCTCAAAGAGGTGAAGAGCATGCCCACCTGGTAAGCAGGAGATCCAGCACTGATACCTAGCAGTCTTGATGCCAGCATCTGTACTCTAAACTGCCATATTACAGCGCCTTATGGGCCAAATACCTTACAGCAAATACCTTAATGAATAAGATACAGTTCTGTTGCTTGTCACAAATCCCCAATCTCTTCAACATCAGTGTCTACACAAGGAAATTCTTTTAATCACAATTATGCCTGATGCATTATATTTACATCTAATATGCCCTTGTCCTCATTTTCCACTCAAAGAAAGTGAGGCTCAGAGAAAAGTGACTTGGCCTTATCACCTAGAAAGTCAGTGGTGCAGCTATAGAGCCAAGGCCAGAGCCTGTTCCTTGAAGAACAGGAGATCTGGCAGGACGCAGCGGCTCACACCTGTAATCCCAGCACTTTGAGAGGCCGAGGAGAGTAGATCACCAGAGGTCAGGAGTTTGAGACCAGCCTGGCCAACATGGTGAAACCCCATCTCTACTAAAACTACAAAAATTAGCCAGGCATGGTGGCACATGCCTGTAATCCCAGCTACTCAGGAGGCTGAGGCAGGAGAATTGCTTGAACCCGGGAGGTAGAGGTTGCAGTGAGCCAAGATCATACCACTGGACTCCAGCCTGGGCAACAGAGCTAGAGTCCATCTCCAAAAAAAAAAAAACAAAAAAAACAACAGGAGATCCAAGAGATCCCCTGAAACCTGCCTTTGTTCCCTGCTCTAACCTAACCACCACCCCCTCACACCCCTGCAACAATTTCTCCACTAGAGGGCAATAAAAAATCTTGAAAGCTGCAGTGGGGTAGAAGAGTTGCCCAGAGGCCTGGCCCTTAATTCTAACACCCTACTCCCCTGGCCTCCCCTCCAAAGCTCCTTGACAGTTTGGGTCTATCACATTCTCTGAGCCTTAACATCTTCCTTCAAGCAGTGACCATCTCCAGCTAGGGTCCTTACTCCCAGTTTCAGCAGAGGAAACTGAAGGACTGTGACTTGCCCAAGGGGAGCCAAGGCCTCCCCCAGCTCATCTGCCTCCTTAATGTCACAAGGGGCCCAGGGCTAGACCATATGTGGCTGAGGCGGGGAGCCCAGGCTCTGTCCTCCAGTGTGGCATTCTCACTGCGCTTGTGGGGAGCCTTCAGCTGCCCTACCTTGTGAAGCCAGAGACCTGGGGTTGGGGACCCTGAGGATTAGGTCTGGGGCTCTAGCTGCAGGAGCCTGGCTGAGATCCTTCATTGCCTAGGGGGGTCTCCTTGATGGGACTTACTCAGGACCCCAGGGGATCGGTTTGGAAGGGGCAGTCCTATATAGGGGTTAGGGATGGCAGGGCCAGAGGTCCCAGCCTCTGGCGAGGGGCATTCCCTGGCCTCCTCTGCCCTGGTCCCAGTCCTTGGGTACTGAGAGGGAGACTACAACAAGGAAGCACTAGGACAGTCTACTTACTCCTAAGATGTCACTCATCCTACAACATTCATCATAAGACCAGTCGCACCCAGAGCCGTAGTGAGGCGGGTGAAGCTGCAGATAGATAGATGATAGATAGATAGATAGATAGATAGATAGATAGATAGATAGATAGATAGATTTTTTTCTTTTTTACAAGAGTGTCTCTCTGTTGCCCAGGCTGGAGTGCAATGGTGCAGTCACGGCTCACTGTAACCTCCACCTCCCGGGTTCCAGCGATTCTCCTGCCTCAGCCTGTAGCTGGGACTACAGGCGCGCGCCACTATGCCCGGCTAATTTTTGTATTTTTGGTAGAGACGGGGTTTCACCATGTTGGCCAGGCTGGTCTCGAACTCCTGACCTCAGGTGATCCACCCCCCAGCTCAGCCTCCCAAAGTTCTGGGATTACAGGCATGAGCCACCGCGCCCGGCCGATAGTTATATTAATCCTTTCTTTCATTTATGGATCTCAGGAAAAGGGCAGACTTGGTCGGGAGAGTAGACCCACCAGAGCTTCAGATTCCAAAGCCCTCCGGGTCAGGGTAACTGCGGCAACCAGAGCCCCAGCCCTCTGGTCTCGCACGTCACTGGAGGATAGGGGCTGGGCCACGGGAGGGCGGGGCGCGCCCTCTGGAAGGCGCGGAACTGCTGTGCGAGCCGAGCGCGTTGCTGCCCGGAGGCTCCTACGCCACGGCCCGTCGGGCCCGGCGCCGGAAGTGAGCTGTTCCGAGGCGCCGCCGGGAGCTGCCACGTCCGAGACCTGGAGCAGCCACCGCCGCAATCATGGTGAGTGTTGGTACTGAGGAGGCCTAGCAGGGTGAAGGCCACGGTCGCGGCCTTCACGGGTTCCTCGGCCGTCCTGAGTCCCAAATCCCAAGCTGGAGCCGTTCAGCTCCCCTCCACCGCTTAGAGATTTGGGGGGCTCTGGCCCCGTCCTTGCGGACCATTCCGAGGGGAGTCCAGAGGTGAGGCCGAGGAACCTCCCTGACTTTGCGGGGCGCGCCGCTCCTGCGTCTCCTGCCAGTCTCCCTTCCTTCTTTTCGGTCAACAATTGAAAACAAAACGAGGAACAGCAGAGGAGCTACTGTATACCGAGCCCTCAGCATTGTTCGTAATCTCCGCCTGCTAACAGCCTTGTGAAGAAGGTGCTATTCTTCTCAACACTTTACAGATGAGGACACTTGAGGTTCGGAGACGTGGAGCCTCTTGCACAGCTGCTTAAGTGGTAGTAGAGCCGAGATTTGAACCCTCCTAACCATTCCTTTCTGCCGCCTACTGCAGCTCCCAGCAGAGATGATTGAACTGTTGCTCGGGGTAGGGCCCCCAGGTAGGATGGGCACCTCGGGAAACGTAAAGATGGCCTGAACGACCCTCCGAAGGCAGGGGCTCAGGGTTTTTTAAGTCTCTGTGGCATCTGCAGTGTACATTCACTCCACACTTACTCCTTGAGTGAATGAATGACTGAAGGAGAACTAAAGAATGGAAGTATCTGGGCTGAGCCTGGAATATCTAGTACATGCATTCTTTTAGAAACATGGGTGTGTCTCAGCAGCAGGTTTGAGGGAACCTGCAGGAACCTAGAAATCAGAACACTGTGTTCTTGTTCTGCAGAGGGTTAGGTGTAAATCACTCACCTCTGGCTCTTCCACTGCAGGTTAGAGTTGAGGCTTTTATGCTCTGACATTCAGCTCATCCTAAATGAATTTTTAACTCATTATCTGATCTCAAAGAGGTGAATTATTTTGAGTGCAGGTGTTAACAGGGACCAGATAATACCAGGTCCCTGGGAAGAAGTACTCTAAGAAGTTCTCTCTCTCTCTCTCTCTCTCCCCACCCTCCCTCTCTCCCCACTCCCTCTCCCTCCCCCCTTCCTCTCCCTCTCCCTTTCTCTCTCTCCCCCTCCCTCTCTTCTCTCTCTCTCTCCCCGCTCCCTCTTCCTCCCCCCTTCCTCTCCCTCTCCCTTTCTCTCCCGCCCTTCCTCCTTCCTTCCGTCCTTTTCTCTCCCCCTCCCTCTTTCCTCCCCCCCCCCCCCCCCCGCCTTCTCTCTCTCTCTCTCTCTCTCTCTCTCTCTCTCATTCAGAAGTGTGGTTCATCAACCCTGACTGGTGGGTGAGAGTGGTTAGAATTAAATGCTGATTATTTCTAAGGTCCTTTGGTAACCTGGTTGAAACTACCTCTCAGTAAACTTTCTTCGTGAACCTACTTAACCGCAGCTTTACAGAACTCAGTGTAACAACTGCTTTACATTCTAGACAGGCAGCCTGGTGGAGTGAAGTTTTGTGGACTCAGCATTAGAAGGTTAGGGGATGGGGCTCTTTTCCCAGGTCTGCCTTGAACTAGCTCTGTGACTTTGGCAAGTGCTTTCTCTTCTCTGGGCTTCTTCATTTCCTTAGTCTGTCGCAGGTCTCTGATTGACTGTGCCCTTGGTACCCTGCCCTCCCCGCCTTCCTGTGCACTTTGTAACCTATACAGCTCGGCACATGGAGGAAACTCCTTATTGTCCTTACTTGCCTTTGCAGACTTCGGGGACCTGGTTTTTAGAGAGTCTAGAATCTGATGAGAGAACCTGTGCTTACTTGGTGTGTACCTCTTGAACTGCTTTGCAGCCATCCTCTTCCACTGTCTGCCTTTCTGAAATCACAAGTCAAACTTTATACCTACAGGGCTTGTGCTGGAAAAGATGAAATGGGGAAAATGGTAAGAAATGTCTGTTCCACACTGAAACTTCTTTTAAGTCCTCTTTTCTATCCCAAGAATTTAAGAGAAGAGTGGTTGAGCAAAGAAAAAAAATAACAGCTTTTGTTCATTTACTTATTCATTCAGCAAATAGTCGCTGAGTTCCTTCTATTTGCAAAGCACTGTGCTGGATGATTTGAGGGGATTTGAAACTGCAGATGGCTCAGACCATGGCTCCAAGGAGCTCACCTTCTAGTGGGGAGAAGAAACAGCATAAAGTGTTGTATGTGTTCCTTGCTGAAGATATGCAAGAGAGTCCAGCCATTTGAGGGTCTGAGAATCTTCAAGAAAGGTGATGGATGGCCCTTTTTGAGCTGGACCTCAAAGAATAGATAGGAGGGAGATGACCATGACACCATGTTCCAGCCCTACAAACTGTTCAACTCTGGATCCCACTACGTGACGGACCAGGGAGCAGCCTCAGGAAACACTCGAATCAAGTCTCCCAGTCTGAAGTAATAACCCCGTTATGCATAAACTGCCTGGAACATCAGAGGCTCTGTCATCCAGGAAAGGAACACCAGCTGTAGCTCCCTTGGGGTCTCTCCTCAACCTTAAGGGTAGCCAGGACTGCTTGCCGTTTCCCCACACACATCAGGCTCTCTCAGACCTCTTTGTCTCTACTCGTGTATTCCCTCTGCTTGGCTGCTTGGACTGGTATTTTCCCCTGTGCCACCTGCAAATTCCTACCCATCATCTAGGGCTCAATTCGTGTCTACCACCCCAGCCCCTCAGGCTCCTACAGGACACACAAACCACCATTAAATAATTTATCTTGCGACACTAGCATTATTCGCGAGCTTCTCAAGGGCAAAAAGTTCCTCTTATTTGTGTCTGTATATCCAGTTCCTAGCACAGTGCTTGGCAGAAAGAAGGTACTTAGAATGAATGCTTACTGAATGAATGAATGAATGAGTGAGTGAACAAACAAATGCAGTCAAGAACTTGAGATGGTTGTATTCTAACTGCCATGAGTTAATTTACCAGTGATATCTTTGGTTCTAGGTGTCAGTAATTAACACTGTGGATACCTCCCATGAGGACATGATTGTAAGTATTAATATCACCCTCCCTGGAGGGGTGTGGACATGGGCATTTTTGTGGGAGGGAAGCAATTTGGGGTTTTCATTACCCCTTTCTGTTGATCATTCATGGATCCAGGGTGGCTTTGCAGTGGTTGCCTATCAGCCTGTAATCTCGGGGTATGGCAGGCTCCCTAGCAGTGCCCTCTGAGTTGTCAGGACTGTGGCAGTCTAATCACTCTCTGCTGGGAGGAACCTGGGAATAATTTGTAGTTCTAGGCTGTCAGTCTTCCAGCCAATACAATAACCTGCTCTCGGATGAAGGCTGAGTGGGTACGGAGGCTTGACAATAGTCTTCCCACCTGTCTTCCTCCTGCTGTCACTTCTTAGCCCCACTGGAAAGGGGGGTGAAAAGAAGAGAGTGTAGAAAGATGACTCAATACAAAGGCAGAGGGCAGCCACAGTGAAAGCCCCAGGCAGAGCCCAGTCAAACCACCAAGACAATAGGCCAGACAAGGCCCTTTGAACCAGAAGTCCACACTCAGGGCATTTCCTGAGAGGTAAACACAAGGCTCAGTATAAGAGGACAGGGCTGCAGGAGAAGGTCCAGAGGTTAAAGTCTACCGCAGGAAAAACACAGACTCTGCTTCATTCAGGGCCAAGCAGCCTTTGAGCAAGACCCAGGACAGCTGGCTGACAGTGTTTCATGTCAGGGTTCTTGCCCTCACAACCTGTCCACCAACAGTTGCTTTTGGGTTTCTGAGAGGTTGTCTGGTCCCAGAGTTGTATATGTTCTCTGGATTCAGTCATGAGTGGTCTAGCTGTAAGACCACACCTCCTTGGAGATAGCATGGAATCATGGGCAGGAAGACCCAGTCTGAGACTCCCTAGCCAATATCTTAACTTTTCTGAGCCAGCCTCAATTTACTTACGGGAAAAATAATGGATATGCTACCTACTCGTATGAGTTTGGTTTGAGAACTAGATGAGGCCAAGTAGTAATGACAAACATTTGCATGCTCACTGAGTGTCAGGCCCCATGCTAAGTACTTTTCTTTTTTTTTTTTTTTTTTTTTGAGATGGAGTTTCGCTCTTGTAGCCCAGGCTGGCATGCAGTGGCGTGATCTCAGCTCACCGCAACCTACGCCTCCCGGGTTCAAGTAATTCTCCTGCCCCAGACTCCCGAGTAGCTGGGATTACAGGCGTGCGCCACCACTCCCAGCTAATTTTGTATTTTTAGTAGAGGCAAGTTTTCTCCATGTTGGTCAGGCTAGTCTCGAACTCCCGACCTCAGGTGATCCGCCCGCCTCAGCTTCCCAAAGTGCTGGGATTACAGGCGTGAGTTTTCATTCAATATCTTGTTTAACCTTCATAACAACTGTTGAGACAGATGCTATCTTTAGCCTTATTTAAAGATAAGGGAACTAAGGCCCATAGGATGTTGGTAAATAATAAAGATAAGGAAACTGAAGCTCAAGGAGATGAAGTGTTTTCAAAGTTTGCACAGCAGGTAAACTAAGGAGATAGGATTTAGATCTGAAAGGTACTATGTCCTGCCTCCTTCCACTGAGAAGCATGAGAAGTGCTTCAGAAACACTCCTCTACTGCCTGCCCTCCAAGAAACCAAGGCCTGATACAGTGGAGGGAGTTCCCAAAGAAAAATCAGGATGTGTTCCTTGCGTAGGGAGGTGAGAATTCCCATCTGAGCCAGACAGAATGAGTGCCTTTGAATGGGCATAATTGCCCCTGGTGGCCATGGGAGTGCAGCTGATAGTCCTGAAACTCCCAGGGTGGGACAGCTGGGGAAAGGGACATCCATTGGAATAGGCAGGGCCAGCAAGCAGAAGGGACCAGGGTGTTCAGTGGTGCAGGAGGCATGGTGCCTCAGAGACCATCACCCTGCGGACAAGGATCTGCAGGTAGGGGCCAGGCCTAGTTCTGCATGCTCAGTCAGCATCAAGGAATTCGGTTCACAAGTGGTGAGAGCAGCGACACTTAAGGCATTGTGTTCCTTGGGTGGAAAGTCTGGGAAGCTCTGGGCACACTACTAGGGAAAAGGTCGAGCAGAAGCCCCAAAACAAAGGTCCACAAAGGATCCAGGGCCAGGGCTGGAAAGAGCCCAAATATCTGAATGGAACCCTGTGTGCAGGCCAGAGCTGCATCACAGAAGACCTGACTGGGGACTCCAGGCAGTCAGAGGCCCACTCCTTTGGCCTGCTCCCATGCATTAGCATCAGGTGCTAGGGCTGAGCTGAACCCAGGGGTATTCCCCTTTAGCCCACAGAGCCTAAGAACTGAATAGGGCCTGAGAGGATGGAGGAAGAAGAGGGCAGCTAGGCCAACTTTTTTTCTCCCATACCCACCCTGCGGAACAGGAATGGAAGAGCCCTTCCCTGAGGTATGTAAAGGGTCTGTGACACCAGCTGGGCATGGCTTGCTTTGTCCATTTCAGAGAGACACTGCCCATAGGTGAAGTGAGAATGTCCACATGCTAGCTTCCTGCCTGAGGGTGATGATACTTTGAGATCAGATTGATTTCAGGGAGATTCTGGTCCAAACTAGACTCTGTGTAGTGACAGCCCTCACCCCACCCACCCACCCACCCAGCCTGCAGGCTTCCCGAGCTGTCCTCCCTTTGCAGCACGACGCCCAGATGGACTACTATGGCACCCGCCTGGCAACCTGCTCATCAGACAGGTCCGTCAAAATCTTTGATGTGCGCAATGGAGGGCAGATCCTTATCGCCGACCTCAGGGGGTAAGTGCTGGCGAGCCCAGGGAAGGGCTCCAGGAATGGTGTGGGTTCTCAGGCCCTGCTTCAAGCGTGGGAGCAAAGCATGGGAGCCCAGATTCAGAGCAACCCCAAAGCACATTTAGCGGAGAGGACGCTGGGATCCCAGCCAGCCTGGCTGTCCTCAGCGGACGTCCCCAGGGATGATGCTGTTAAGGGCACAGGTGGATACAGGTGTGAATCTCAGCTCTGCCACTTTATGTGTACCCACCAGAAGACCTTGGGCAAGTGACTCAGTTTCTCTCTCAGAGCCTTCATCTGCTCATCCTCAAAATTGGGCCAATGCTACCTCCTATCCAGCTAGTGTATGCAAGGCCCTGACACAGGGCCCAGGACACAGTAAGTCTTTAGTGCAGGCAGCTACTGCTACTTTTAAAAGTGGTAAACAGTACCATTTCGTTCAAGTTTAGCCAGTATGACCTAAAGTGTCACAAAAGCATCACCGTAAGAATAATGTAAGAATGCTATCATTTTATAAATCCCATTGTTCTGCCTATATGCCCGTGGCACGTGTTCAGTGATTATTTACAAATGTTTGACCTGCCCTGCTCCCTACTGAGATTCTTGAGGAAGTCCTGGCTCATTTTTATGGCCACATCTCTACTGCTTTCCCTCAGCTCACTGCCTTTCACGTATTTGTGGGTTTGCCTGGGTGCCGTGGATCTCCAAGGGTTCTGTGAATAGAGTTCAGGGGTTGATGAATTGGGACAGGGGGAAAAAAATGCATTTTCAGTGACTCTGATATTTAGCATTTCCTTCAATTATGGATGTAGGCCAGAAACTTCAGTAGTATTTGTAGTGCCTGTCACTTTGTCACCAGTAGAATTCACAGATATTGTCATCACACATCACGGTTACTTAGCTACCTCAAAATACCACTTATGCTCATCACAACTTTGAAATTACAGTGGTTATTAGACCTGCCGCTAGGGTTTGTTGCTTGAAGTGTTAACAAAGAAGTACATGCATCACTATCTCATAAATTGCTTTATAATATTTTGATAACAGGCTGGGCAAGGTGGCTCACGCCTGTAATCCTTAACACTTTGGGAGGCTGAGGTGGGAGGATGGCCTGAGCCTAGGAGTTTGAGGCTGCAGTGAGCCACGATGGTGCCACTGCACTGCAGCCTGGATGACAGGGTGAAACCCTTCTCAAAAAAAAAAAGTTGATTACTGTATAATTTATAATTGAATTTTCTTTATAAGCCTAGTTCTGTGTGTTTTGTACATTAGTCTGATGAGGGTCCATAACCTTCCCCAGAATGCACAGAAAAGATTAAGAGCCATGACAGGTGGGTGCTCAGCATGTGTTTGTTCACTGAATTAAAAAGCATAAACTAAGTCAGTGTCCATTTGGGGAAATGGGCCTAGAAGCTCCCCTCTGTCTGAGTGTCAAATGATCAAGTGACTGAGGAGCCAAATCAAGCTTCTCTATGCAGGAGCCCCCCAGGCAGGCAGAGAGCTGCTGCAGTGCAGCGTGTTGGCCAAGGCAGTTATGTTTGCTGTGACTCTGTCCTTTCTGCTGTTTTTCTTACATTCAAAGGATGTGAAATATTGGAGGGATAAAAAAAATTCCCACCCCATTCTTTTTTCCCCTTAGTAAAAACTGTGCTAGTTGTTGGAAGATTGAGTCTACTCAGTTTCATTAGCAGCAGCTTTGTAGGGACTGGGAATGTCCTGTTGTCCCAGCCAGAGGGAGGAGGAGACTTGAGTGTGTGCAGCCCACGGTGAAGGAGTAAACCAGGAGCAGCACTAATAGCTAATGGGTATTGAGTGGCTTTTTTCTTTCCTTCTACCAAGCATTGTTCCAAACTTTATGAAAGAATTCTTATTGATGTCTCCATTTTCAGGTAAAGAGACAAAGATATCCTTGCCTAAAGTCAAGAGCTAGTGAATGGGAGAATGGGTCTGGTCTCCTAACCACTAACTCTACCATGCTACTCTACCTCTTGAGTGCTAAGGTGCAAAACCTTCCCTGGGCCAGAGAAATGGTCACCGTACAAAGCCTGGCACAGAGCATGTGCTCAGATAGCACCTGTTATCAGGTGAATGGATAAAGATCAGAAGAGAAGGGAAAGACATGCCTTTCGAACAAATTAAAAGAGTAGTGGAAAACATCAAAATGAAACCAATAATGCCTCCTCAGGAAGCTGACCGTCGGGAAGGATGAATAGCAATTCAGTCTACAAATATTTCCTGAACACTTCTGGCTGGAAACCTTGGACCAATTAATGACTATGCTGTAGACAGCACATACAGACAGTGCTGGCTGCAGTCTGGGCAAGTGAGGCTCCTGCCTGGCCAGGACAGGAAGGCTGACCCAGAGGCTCAACTCTCTCTCAAAGGCTCTGTGACCTTAGGTTGCTTAACCTCTTAGGACCTCAGGCTCCTCACTGTCCACTGAGCACCCCTTTTGCAATGGCATTGTATAGTTCTCCCTTTGAAGTTCTTAAGCAATTCTGCCCTGATATATCGTCTCAGGGAGCCATTTAGTTCTGTCCAAAGTAGTGCCTGCAGAGGCACTGTGGGTTCCTCTGGCCTATCTCTCCCTTTGTAGTCATGAGGGTCCTGTGTGGCAAGTGGCCTGGGCTCACCCCATGTACGGCAACATCCTGGCATCGTGCTCCTATGACCGGAAAGTCATTATCTGGAGAGAGGAAAACGGCACCTGGGAGAAGAGCCACGAGCATGCGGGACACGACTCCTCAGGTATGCTGAGCTTGGCAGCAGAGCGGGCAAGGGGACCACTGGGTAAAAAAGGACTCTGTCCCGGCTGGAGCCCTGGCTCCCTGCCCCTCGTGGTGCCTCTTGTCTGTCTCTTGAGCTTTGGTTGGCTTTTCTGCTACTCTGTCCTCAGCTGAGTAAGGCCCTAAGACCTAAAGCCAGTCCAAAGCAAATAAGAAAAGACAGGTGAGTTTCTCTTCAGGATTATTCATTGCAAGGACTACCCTTCATTCTCAGATTGTTTTCCTACCCACTTTTTTGTTAGATAGACTGTAGGTTATGAAATCGTGGTATTAGTAGGTGATGGGGTTTTTTTGTGTCCTCAGTTGACCAAGTTACAGCTTCCCCCGGTGACTCCTACAGTTGTTTGTTGTAGACATTTAGTAAAACAGTAAATCTGTGGAAGGCGGGACCTGGGGCCGCGGTCTCCCTGCTTTGCTCACTGCACTCTCCCTCTTCCCGCAGTGAACTCGGTGTGCTGGGCCCCCCATGACTACGGCCTGATCCTGGCCTGTGGGAGCTCGGATGGGGCCATCTCCCTGCTGACTTACACCGGGGAAGGCCAATGGGAAGTAAAGAAGATCAACAACGCTCACACCGTGAGTCCATCCCCTGCCTTTCGTGCAGTGAGAGCGCCTGCCTTGCCCCGTGTCTGCTGCAGCCTCCCTAGAGGGTGGCACGGGAGGGTCCCCGCTGGACAGTGGGCCGGGGAGTGGTCAGCTGACCAGACATGATTGCTCTAGAGCAGCTTTGAGCCTCTCTGCCCTGAAGCCAGACCAGGCAGGGCTTGGCACTGCTTCCTTGTTGTGTGCTCCCAAGCAGGGGAGGGCTGGTGCAGCAGCAGCCTGCTCACTGCCACCTTAGCTATGGTTGCCTCCAGGTGACATGCCCTGCAGTAGTCATTGGGACCCTGTAGAATGGAGTGGTGTTATTAAAACTTTTAAAAAGTATGTGAGCTATGCATACATTTAAGAAAGATTAATATAAACAAGGTCATTCTTTACCCAACTTTTGGTGAATCAGCGAGTGACAGTGGTCGTGATGTTGGTGGTTCAATCAAGGAATAAATGTTTGCAAAGCGAACATCAATGTCCTACCTCCTACCACCACACAGTTCAAAAACCAACAATAACCAATGTGGGGGGCTCATATGACTAATGCCACATCGTTTGCTGTCATGCATCTGTATGATTATTGGATATTTTATGAGTTTAATTCTACAATAATTTGTATCTATTCTTTTTCTAATCTACTCATTCCAGTTCAGGGTCACAGGTGGTTGGAGCCTGTCCTGGCAGCTTAGGGCATGAGGCAGAAGCCAGCCCTGGACAGGATACCATTCCACCAGAGGAGCACTCACACACACCCCCACACTCACACTGGGACAATGCAGACGTACCATTGAAGTGAACATGCACATCTTTATTGTGTGAAAGGAAACCAGAGTACCAGGAGAGAGCCCACGCAGACACAGGGAGAACACACAGACTCCACACAGGCAGGGGCCCCCGCTGGGAGTTGTTTTTTTTTTTTTAATCTTGTCAGCATTATAATGAAATGAAATTGAGGATCAGTTGTACATAGAATGAGACAATCTGTGGTCTTTTGTGACTGGCTTCTCCTACTTACTATAATGAGTTCAAGTTTCATCCATATCATAGCGTGTATCAGCACTCCATTCCTTTTTATGGCTGGATAATACTCCATTGTGAATATAGACATTTTGTTTATCCATTCATCAGATGATGGATGTTCTCGGCCTTATGAATAATGCTGCTATGAACATTTGCAGATAAGTTTTTGCATGAACATATGTTTTTAATTCTCTTGGGTCTATACCTAGGTGTGAAATTGCTGAGTCATATGGTAATTCTGTGTTTAACTTTTTGAGGAATTGCTAAACTGTTTTGCAAAGTAACTGTACCCTTTTACATTCCCATCAGCAGTGTATGAGGGTTCTAATTTCTCCACATCCTCACTAACATATGTCTGTCATTTTGGTTACAGCTGTCCTAGTGAATGTGAGGTGGTATCTTATTGTGATTTTTTGGGTTTGTTTTGTTCTGTTTTTTTGAGACGGAGGCTTGCTCTGTCACCCAGGCTGGAGTGCAGTGACATGATCTCGGCTCACTGCAACCCCCGCCTCCCAGGTTCAAGCAATTCTCATGCCTCAGCCTCTTGAGCAGCTGGAATTACAGGCACACGCCACAACACCCGGCTAATTTTTGTATTTGTAGTAGAGACAGGGTTTCACCATTTTGCCCAGGTTGGTCTCAAACTCCTGGCCTCAAGTGATCCGCCCACCTCAGCCTCCCAAAGTGCTGGGATTACAGGTGTAAGCCACCACACCCGGCCCTTATTGTGATTTTTATTTGCATTTTGCTAATCAAAGATGATGGTGAGCATCTTCTGGGGGCCTTTGGAGAAATGACCAGGAGGGGTTTGCACTCTGTAACACCGAGTGAGTGGAAGCGGCCCACAATAAGAAAGGCTGAAGGGGCGGGAAGAAATCTGAGCTCTGTGATCCTCCAGAGCAAGCCTCTGGGACAGGGCCCCTCAGGAGGAAGAACTGCAGGAAATGAAATCACAGTTGAGCTGGATAGGGACACAGGAAAGGAAGGATGAGATGTAGACCAATGTGGGGAAGAGGAACAAAGACAGGAACTCCTGAAAGCCATCTCCCACGTTTTTTAACACCACACAGAAACAAGGGAGAGTTCTGAGCTTAGACTTTCCTGAGCCTTTCTTATCAGGAAAACTCATCTCACCTAAAAATAACAGAAAAGTATTTGAAGTGAAATTGCATACAGTTGTTATATAAGAAACAAGAATATGCAAAATAACCTCCCTGCGGACAATGAGAGCACATTAGAAAGACATGCCCACATAACCGAGCCAAGCTGTAACCTGCTATTTCAAATCAAGCCAGGTGACATTCTAACAATACAAAACAAGAGAGAATAGTGTAAATCAACTTTTTAAAAATCAGAAATAAGGTGACAGAACTCAGGAAAGAATTAGAATTAAAAATCATTTCAGAAGTAAAGAAAGACTAAGACGAAATGCAAGTGTCGATGAACACAGCAGATCCTGCCTGAAAAGGATAAACAGTGTGAAAAAGGAAACATTTCAAGAGCAAAAAAATGAAGAGGTAAAAAGGTTTTGACCAAAAGTAAAGACAGGCAGAAAGGTCAGACATACGAATACCAGGAGTCCCTGGAAAGGAAAACAGAATACCAAAAAGTAATCCAGAAAACTTTCTTAAAATTAAAAAACAAAGATTTGAAACTTGAGATTGAGAGATCATACCCCACACTTAACAATATCAGCCGGGCGCAGTGGCTCAGCCTGTAATCCCAGCACTTTGGGATGCTGAGGTGGGCGGATCACCTGAAGTCAGGAGTTTAAGACCAGCCTGACCAACATGGCGAAACCCCGTCTCTACTAAAAATACAAAAATTAGCCAGACGTGGTGGCGCACACCTGTAATCTCAGCTACTCGGAAGGCTGAGGCAAGAGAATTGCTTGAACCCGGGAGTCAGAGGTTGCAGAGAGCCAAGATCACGCCATTATAATCCAGCCTGGGCGACAAAGCAAGACTTGTCTCAAAAAAAAAAAAAAAAAAAAAAATCAAGGCCAGGCGTGATGGCTCAGCCTGTAATCCTAGCACTTTGGGAGATCGAGGTGAACTCCTGTTTGAGGCCAGGAGTTCAAGACCAACCTGGCCAACATAGTGAGACCCCGTCTCTAAAAAAAAAAAAAAAAAAAAAAATTCAACTCAGCATCACCAACAAAAAGATATAATTCTAGTAAAATTATTAGACTTTAAAGAAAATTTTGGGGGGTTCTAGAGAAAAGGAACCTTGTGACTTAAAGGGGAAAGACAATTAGATTATTGTCAGACTCTTCAATAGTAAGGATTGGTGCAGAAGAAAAAAGAATAACATGTTTAAAATACTCCAGGAAAGAAAGTGTGAGCCAAGGATTTATAACCAGGAAAATTGACTTTGAAGTTCACACAAAGACTTATACACAAAAGGTTATAGCAGCTTTAATAGCCAAAAACTGGAAATAGTCCACATGTCCATCAACAGGTAAATGATAAGTTGTGATATATCCATACTTTGGAAATACTGCGAGCAATAAAAAGAAATGACTGCAATAAAAAGAAATGACTTAACAAAATAAGATGAAGAATAAATTTCAAAATAATTATGCTGAGTGAAAAAAAGAAGAAAAAGGACACACTGTGATTCCACTGCTGTAATATCTAGGAAATGCAGCTGAGCAGGCCCATGGTCACCACGATTGGGGGCTGCAGGATGGGGAGATGGATTACCAGGGGATCCGAGGAAACTTTTGGGAATGATGGGCATGTTCCTTATCTTGATTGAGGTGATGTGATGATCCTACAGGATATATTTTTGTCAAAATTCACCAAATCATGCACTTGATATGCAGTTTATGTCAATTATACTATATCAAAGCTGTTTTTAAAATTAGCTTTTGAGTGTAAAGGATATGAACTATTATCAATATGCAAGAATTCAGGGACTATTGTTTCTAGGAGCCCTTCCTGAGAAATCTACTAGAGGATACAAGTCACACAACTAAAATGACTACAAAGACTTCAGCATAAATATATAGTTACTTGTAGAGAACTAAGACGAAATGAGGGTTAAAAGGCTGGGCCCAGGGCAGGCACAGTGGCTCACACCTGTAATCCCAGCACTTTGGGAGGCTGAGGCAGGCGGATCACCTGAGCTCAGGAGTTCAAGACCAGCCTGGCCAACATGGCAAAGCCCCATGATGTGGTTTGGCTGTGTCCCCACCCAAATCTCATTTTGAATGCCCATGTGTTGTAGGGGGTAACCAGTGGGAGTTGAGTCATGGGAGGAGGTCTTTTCCATGCTGTTCTCTTGATAGTGAATAAGTCTCACAAGATCTGATGGTTTTATGAAGGGGAGTTCACCTGCACAGGCTCTCTCTCCCTTTTTGCTGCCATCCATGTGAGATGTCACTTGCTCCTCCCTTGCCTTCTGCCATGATTGTGAGGCCTCCCCAGCTACATGGAGCTGTAAGTCCATTAAACCTCTCTTTTTTTTGTAAACTGCCCAGTCTCAGGTATGTCTTTATCAGCAGCGTGAAAATGGACTAACACACCCCGACGCTACTAAAAATACAAAAATTAGCCAGGCGTGGTGGCACACACCTGCAGTCCCAGCTACACGGGAGGCTGAGGCAGGAGAATCACTTGAACCTGGGAGGTGGAGGTTGCAGTGAGTCAAAATCGCGCCTCTGCACTCCATCCTGGGCAACAGAGCCAGACTCTGTCTCAAAAAAAAAAAAAAGGCAGTGGCTCACACCTATAATCCCAGTACTTTGGGAGTCTGAGGTGGGAGGATCACTTGAGCCTACGAAGTTTGAGGCTGCAGTGAACCATGATCTTACCAGCCTGCACTCTAGCCTGGGTGACAGTGAGACCCTGTCTCAATTTTTAAAAAAAAAAATTGTTAATAATAAATAAAGAGGAGAATCAGTCATCTTTGGAAAGTGATAGAACCAGTTCAGAAAGAATCAAGCGTTTATCCAGCCTTTCCTTTTTGACCTTGTATTAGTCTGTTTTCTCGCTGCTGGCAAAGACATACCCAAGACTGAGCAATTTACAAAGGAAAGAGGATGGAGAACTCACAGTTCCACGTAGCTGGGGAAACCTCACAGTCATGGCAGAAGGCAAGGAGGAACAAGTCACAGCTTACGTGGATGGCAGCAGGCAAAAGAGAGAGCTTGTGCAGAAAAACTCCCATTTTTAAAATCGTCAGATCTAGCGAGACTTATTCACTATCATGAGAACAGCATGGGAAAGACTTGCCCCTGTGATACAATTACCTCCTACCAGGTCCCTCCCACAACACGTGGGAATTCAAGATGAGATTTGAGTAGGGACACAGCCAAACCATATCAGACCTCTATCCCTGGGTAACTGAATAGTTAATGAGAAGAAGTGTCCCTATCTGGAGCATTCCATGGAATAAATGACAAAGAAAGGATGGAATTAGAGTATCACCATTTTACAAGCCCCAGTGAATTAAGAGAGGCCTGAGTTATTGACAGCTGTTAATATAAGAGACAATCTAACGTGCCTCCTGATGAGAGAACGCACCAGCTCTAGTCTTGCCAAAGGGATCACACCTGAGTCTGTCCAGTCTTGGCTCCAGCTGACAGTTTTCAGGAATTCAGAGGAACATATTGAACTGCATATGAAGCAGCAAAACCCAGACCGAGAGACTAGGCTCTCTTCAGCAGAAAAATTGTAAGGAAAAAAATCAGAGGAGGAATCTGCAAAGTAGGAGATGTAAAAAACATCCAAAAAAATGTTTAATGGACAAGACTAAACTATAGTATCTAGGGGTGCACATTTGGGTGATAAAATGGGGGGAAAATGGGTTAGAAGTTAGGGCAGTGGTTACTTATAGTGGAAGAGGGAGCTGTGATTAGGAAGGGCATAATGACAGGGCTTTTCAGGCAGGTGGCAGAATTCTTGTTTCTTGATCTATTACTTTATAATAAAAGATTTTTCTTAAAAAAAAGCTCCAATGTACCATTCTTTCATGTGTTTAGAAAATGTCCTGTTTCTTAAACTTGTGGGAGTTCTTAATTTCTACTTTTAGCGCACACTGCAGAAAAATGCACACACTGTTGGGATCCTTGAGGGAGAATTCTGAGCAGTGGACCCCATGATGAGTGCTTCATGTCAGCCTTCACACACACTCCAGTCCTGAGAAGCGGAGGGGAGAGGGACAGCAGGCTTGGGTCTGCAGAAGCAGTGTTCTCTTGCAAGGCAGAGTCACCATGTGTCCCATCTTTACAGATTGGCTGCAATGCCGTCAGCTGGGCCCCTGCTGTTGTACCTGGAAGCCTCATAGACCACCCATCGGGGCAGAAACCCAATTACATCAAGAGGTTTGCATCAGGTGGCTGTGACAACCTCATCAAGCTGTGGAAGTAAGTAGGGATGTGTGGCCTTCTCTTTGAGGGGACACTTCTACCCTTTACCCTACTCACCATGACTCAGCCACACTCACAAGAAACAAGGTCACCTTTCTTTCTCCCTCCTGCCAGTAAAATACTGTTTTCAATCTGTTGGAGGACATCCTTGAAAAACAACACAACACCTGTTCACCTAATTCCCAACTGTTGGAGCTGACTCTTTGGCTGTGGAAGCAGAGCATTTTCTGGAGGGTTTTTTTTACAGCTGGGGTGAAGGGAATAAAATGCCACAAACTCCATGAATGAAAGAAGAAAGATGGAATCGCTTCTCCACCCCAGGCAGAGCCTGTTGGGTTGGGGAGGAGTTGAGGTGTGGGAACGGCCCCCTGCTGATTCTCTTTCTGTCCCCACTGTTAGGGAGGAGGAGGACGGCCAGTGGAAGGAGGAGCAGAAGCTAGAAGCGCACAGTGACTGGGTTCGAGATGTGGCCTGGGCCCCCTCCATCGGCCTGCCCACCAGCACCATCGCCAGCTGCTCCCAGGTCAGCCCAGGGCCATGAGTATCCCTTGTCATTTAGTCTCGAGTCAGGCCCATCAGCTCTTAGTCTCCTTAGCAGAAAGTCCTCTGGGAAGGTAAAGGGAGAGCAACAGGCACCTTTGGCCCAGAGCACAGGGAGTCAGGTCATTGTGTGGGGAAGTCTTGGTCAGAAGCCACAAGTGGCCTGCCTCCACTGAGATGAGACAGCTACAACAGAACCGGCACCAAGAAGGAGGCGGATTCGGGATGAATTTTCCCTTCTGACCCATGTGAGACTAGGGCGCCGAGGTGCCCAGGTGCAGTTCCAAGTGTTCCCAAGCAACGATGGGGTTGGATGGGAATTATACGCTTAGCTACCAAGCCACCCTTCCCAGACAGCAAGGACGGCCAAGGGTGAGCCTTCAGTTATACACCACCACCCTAGAGGGAGCCAGCTAGGCCTTTCACATCATGGGAACCTGTTTGGTTTGGTTCTAAACTTGGGATTTTTGTGCTTTTTTACTTGTGCCTTCTCATTCTTGGAGCTTGGTTTTTGGAGAGCTCTGCCCATTCAGTTGAGAAGGTATAGACGGCCAGTGGAAGTGACTTGGCAGGCATGAGGAAAACCCCAGAGAAAATCTGAGTTAGCAATGCAGACAGAGTCCACCTCCGAAACCCGGATGAGAAAAGGAATCCGGGAGACTCTTAACCAGTGTGAAGAGACAGAAACAAAGCTGTGGACGCCCCAGAGGTCCTCGGCTCCCCTTTGAATCCCCCACCCTGTTCCTGCAGAGAGGTGCCGGGTGGCTCTAGACTGGGAGGACATCACATCACAAACGCAGGAGTCTTGACTCCACCTCCTGACTCTATCCTGTTTCTTCCTAGGATGGTCGTGTGTTCATTTGGACCTGTGATGATGCCTCAAGCAATACGTGGTCCCCTAAATTGTTGCACAAGTTCAACGATGTGGTGTGGCATGTGAGCTGGTCCATCACAGCCAACATCCTGGCTGTCTCTGGTGGAGACAATAAGGTACATACCCATTCCCCGTGGCATGGTGGACACAGCCTGTTGGTCTTCACCCCGCCCACTAGAGAGGGCACTTGACATTCCCATCTGACTGCAGGCTGGGCAGGAGCCTTAGCCAGGACTGCGTTTTGAGTGTGCCTCTTAGTTACATCATTAATGTCACAGCCCCTGAGGTAGTATTAACACGTCCCCCTTTCACAGATGAGGAAAGAAGCTGACAGAGGCGATTTGACTTGCATGGGGGTCCCAAAACTATGAGGTGGCAGAGCCAGTCAGGCCCATCACCCTACTAAGCATTTGGTCACCTCATGGTGATGTTCAGTTAGCTGTGCCAAAAAGGCAAGTGTATAAGAACCCATAAACAGAAGAAGATTGGGGATATTTTTTGTCCATAACACTGAAAAGGCTTTTTAAAAACCTTTAGAGTTTATGAATACTTGTTATGCTGGTAAGAGGCAGGTACACAGTGGGTGCACTGGAAGAGTTTGCATTTTGCAGCTGAAAGAGTTCTGGAGACCAGCTGCTCAGGGACCCAAATGTACTTCACACAACTGGACTGTGCAGTTAAAAGTGGCCAAGGTCATTTTATGTGACGTGTATTTTACAATTAGAAGGAAAAAAGCTACCCGCAGAAAGGAAGCAGTAACAAGCCATAGCCATCTGCCCAGCTGAATTCCCCTATAAGACAGAGGATCTCTAACGCCGCAGGGTCAGTTCCACGTGGAGTGGCTGTGCTGCGTTTTCAGGCACATCTGCTCTGCGCCTGAAGTGCGAGTTGGTCTGGATCCTGCCAGCCCTTGCTGCTTCTCTCCCTTGCCTATGTTGGTCTTTTACTGTTTCCCAGTGGCCACTTTGGCTCCATGTCTTACCTTTCATTTGTGTGGCTCACGGCACAACCAACACAGGCAAGGCAGAGAAGCAGCTGGTCTCCAGAACTCTTTTCAGCTGCAAAATTGAAACTCTGTACCCATTAAATAACTCCCTTCCCCATTGCCCCTCCCCAGCCCTGGCAGCCACCCTTCTCCTTTCTGTCTATGTGAATGTGACTGCTCTAGCGACCTATCTAAGTGGAATCATACAGTATTTGTCCTTTTGCGACTATGTCACTAGCAGTATGCCCTTAAGGTTCCTCCATGCTGTACGTAGCATGTGTCAGAATTCCTTCCTTTGTAAAGCTAAGTAGTGTTGCATTGTATAGACAGCCCACACCCTGTTTCTACACTTATTCCTCCACCAAAGGGCACCTGGGCTGCTGCCACCTCTTAGCTATTGCGAATAGTGTGGCTGTGAACATGGGTGTGCAGATCTTGAGAGCCTCTGCAGGCGGCTTTTCTGGCCGAGGGTCCCTTTCATCTACAGTGGTCCCAGAAAGATCTAGCAGGCCCCCTCTCAAAGCCATATTTCTAGTGAGTGCCAGAGTCAGGACCAGAACCCAGGTTGATGGCACTCAGGGCAGACCAAGGGACCCAGATTGCCTCAAGCAGGCCCCCAGTGACTTTTTTACAAGGCTGTAAGCAAGTGCCTGGCTGTGCACGCAGTGTTGTGGGGCCCGTCACTGTGCATTTAGGCTTCTTGCTCTTCTTTACAAGCCTGTTTCCTTTCGCTGTCTCCATAGCACCCTTACCTAAAGGACTTAGTATGTTTTCAATCCCAGAGCATTCTGCAGTGTGTTGAGTGAATAGTTTGTCCCTAAAGCAAGAGTTCTTAAAATCAAAATCGTTATTTTCATTTTTAATCAAACTAATATATGTACATAGGTTTAGATTGTTTTTGTTTTTTGTTTTGTTTTTTGAGATCGAGTCTCGCTCTGTCGTCCAGGCTGGAGTGCAGTGGCGCAGTCTCGGCTCACTGCAACCTCCGCCTCCTGGGTTCAAGCGATTCTCCTGCCTCAGCCTCCCCAGTAGCTGGGAGATTACAGGTGGCTGCTAGTTTTTTTGTGTGTATTTTTAGTAGAGATGAGATGGGGTTTCACCAGTTCAGGCTGGTCGCGAACTCCTGGCCTCAGGTGATCCACCCATCTCAGCCTCCCAAAGTGCTGAGATTACAGGCGTGAGCCACCATGCCCGACCTAGACTGATTTTTTTTAATGCAGCCTCCTAATTTTCTCTCCAGGGGCAAACCTTTTCAGCTCTTAGCTATTTCTTATACAGTTTACTTCAGTGTAGAAACAACATATTGAACTGTTACCTTCCTCTACCACAGTAGTTTTCAAACTGCAGTGTTGTTAAACCTGTTAAAACAGATTGCCAGCCCCACCCCCAGAGCTTCCTAATCAGTTGTTCCAGGCCCCAAGAATCTGCAGTTGTAGCAAGCTCCCAGGTGACCGATGCTCTGCTCTGGTCTGGGGACCACACTTTGCGAACCCTGCTCCCCGCCACCCCATATCCTCTCGCTGTAGCTCTGTCACAGTTTGCTGAAAACAGTATCCTGTGTTGACATCATCATCCACAGCTGCTGTTATTGTTACTCCTTTTTTTCTGTGAGTTTTTATTCCTGGACTCTCATTTTGGTGAGATTTCAGTGGAGGAGGGACATGCTCTGTTCACCCACAAGCCTCTGGGCAGTGGTTCTTGATGAGGATGAGGCTCATATTTAGGGGACAGCAGAGGGAAGGGCACAGACCCGTGATAATCTGCTTGTGCACTGACTCGCAGGTGACCCTGTGGAAGGAGTCAGTTGATGGGCAGTGGGTGTGCATCAGTGATGTCAACAAGGGCCAGGGCTCCGTATCAGCATCAGTGACAGAGGGCCAGCAGAACGAGCAGTGACAAGACAGGTGGGGCCTGGCTCCCCACCCGCCAGCTCCAGGACTGCCCCTTCCTGGGCCAACTAACCAGACAACTGGGAAGAGCCCCCAACTCCAACAGGATTATTTTCCCAGGAGGAGTTACAGATGCAGCCACAGATTGATCATCTGCCTTAACGTGATCGGAGATGCTTTGTAATCTACTGTCCAGCTGAAAGCACTCATGTTACGAGGAAGAAACTACAAGTGATGTTCAAATCTATTTTGGGTCATTTTTATGTACCTTTGGGTTCAGGCATTATTTGGGGGGTTTTGTTTCCAAAGGAACTAAATAAAGTCATATTGCTTATAATTCCTGCTGCGTTATCCTAACCACCCCACCCCACCAGCTCAGTTTGACTCTTGTCGGTCCACGCACTAGAACAAACTATTCACAAAGGCCACGGCTGTGATGGCCTGGCTTAACCCCACGCACAAAGGTGGCTTGTCACTGCATGAGCATCTCTGATTCAGTTTATACTGAAAGCACCATACAGAGCACTGGACTCAGCCTTTGGTGACAAGGACTGTAGCCCTGGGTCTGCTACTTACCCTCTCGGTACACATCCTGTTCTGCAGAATGGGACTAATACAGTCTGCCCTACAGGATGGCTGCAAGATTCAAACACGCTAGTGCATCTGGTGACCTACAAAATGCCACGCAGGTGCAACGTGGTATTAACCAAACACCAATAGTTAAGATGCTGGCCCAGAAAGTGGGCACGATTCATTTAGTTTATTGACCCTGTCAGGAAAAGGAGGGCCCCATGATGGGAGACCTAACTGACCCTGAACCAGGTATCACCTTTCAGCGGAGGCCCTGTGACCCTGACAATCGCCATAGCCATCAGTGAGCCTGCGGTGAGCCAGACCCTACACTGGATCTTTCACACATTCGCTAATTTAAGCAACACGAGAACCCCGTGTGGGTGTACCCAGTTCACTGATGAGGAAGCGCTCAGAAGGTAGAAGCCCTGCCCAGGACTGTGCAAACGTAAAGCCAGCGTCAGGGCCTGGCCCATCTCAACAGTTACTCCCCACTGTAGAATCAGGGTGGGAGCTGGGGGGCTCTCCTCAGCTGTAATACAAGGATGTTTCTCACACCAAACCTTTGTATGAATAGATTCAGATAAAAGGTCAGCCCACTTGCCTCAGGCCCCCTAGTCTGCCTACTTCTTGTCCTTCCCTCCTTTTTCAGCAGCAAAATCCCCTTTAAAAAAAAAAAAAAATCTTTGATCATACTATGTAACATAGAAGAAAGTGAAACTGCTTTGGTTAAAGGTGAGGACAGAGAGGCCATGGCCTGGCCCAGTCAGCCTCCAGTCAGTCCACAAAGCCCAAGCCTTCTGAGACCAACATGAAAACAGCTGCTTCCTTCCTTCCCTTACTCAGAAAAGCAAAGCCCAGGAAGGCACCTTCACGTGCACTACTGAGTGTCGAGTTCTACAGTGAATCCTTGAACCATATCCACGTCTGCCTCCCTGATACGCTCTGTGCTCCTCAAGCCTGGGCCTGGGCTTCCTATGGTGCCAGCTGCTGTCGCCAAGAAAATACCGAGAAGGAACTAGTCCCGTGTCACTCTGGGTTGGTGGTAGGTTAATGGGTCCCTGACTGTGTGCTCTATTTTAACTCCCACCACCAAGGATTGGTTAAGATAATTATGAAGTTGGCACCATAATAGTTGTTTATACTTAGAGTGGCAACACATTAACCATTCCTGGGTAAGAGGAGACCCCAAAATTTATTACCACAAAATAGCCTAGTCAAATAGAAATACTATCTGTAAAACTTGCCGGGCAGTTGTCAAGCCCAAATGAGATAAAAGTAAGGGAAATTTAAAAGGCATAGAGCTCTGGTTAGGGCCAGATGGCGCTAGCAGCCATATGTTTTTAATCCTTTTGCAAAAACAAAGCAACTGGGACAGCAAAAGAAACCCACAGACCCTAGAACATGGAGCAGGCCAAAGCCTTCATAGACACAATACCTCTGAGAGATCAGCAGGGTGAAGAAAAGGGAGTTTTTATGGTGCTATAAGCCAGAGACCCCAAAAATTGCCATCAAATACTCATCCATTCTGAGTGCAAAACTCAGCAAGCCACTGTGAAAACAACTCCCAAAACTAGAAGATTCACAGGCTTCCATTTACAAGTGAGCCCAGAAACACTAAGGGGAGACCTTCCACTTCTGCATATAAAGGATTAACGATTGTAAGAATTTCCCAGCCAACATGGTGGCTCACAACTGTAATCCCACACTTCGAAAGGCCAAGACGGGCGGAATGTTTGAGCCCAGAAATTCAAGACCAGCCTGCCAACATGGCAAAACCCCATCTCTACTAAAAATACAAAAATTAGGTGCAGTGGTGTGTGCCTCTGTAGTGCCAGCTACTCAGGAGGCTGAGGCACAAGAATCGCTTGAGCCCAGGAGGTGGAGGTTGCAGTGAGCCGAGATTGCACCACTGCACTCCAGCCTGGGCAAGAGAGTGAGACTCTGTCTAAAAAAAAAAAAATTTCCCTGGCTGGGCGCAGTGGCCAGCACTTTGGAAGGTTGAGGGAGGAGGATCTCTTGAGCCCAGGAGTTTGAGATCAGCCTGGGCAACACAGCAAGAGCCTGTCTCTTTAATAATAAATAAGAATTTCCCTCACACTATAGACAACTAGGAAATTAATTCAAGATGGATTAAAGACTTAAACGTTAGACCTAAAACCATAAAAACCCTAGAAGAAAACCTAGGCATTACCATTCAGGACATAGGCATGGGCAAGGACTTCATGTCTAAAACACCAAAAGCAATGGCAACAAAAGCCAGAATTGACAAATGGGATCTAATTAAACTAAAGAGCTTCTGCACAGCAAAAGAAACTACCATCAGAGTGAACAGGCAACCTACAAAATGGGAGAAAATTTTCACAACCTACTCATCTGACAAAGGGCTAATATCCAGAATCTACAAAGAACTCAAACAAATTTACAAGAAAAAAACAACCCCATCAAAAAGTGGGCGAAGGACATGAACAGACACTTCTCAAAAGAAGACATTTATGCAGCCAAAAAACACATGAAAAAATGCTCATCATCACTGGCCATCAGAGAAATGCAAATCAAAACCACAATGAGATACCATCTCACACCAGTTAGAATGGCAGTCATTAAAAAGTCAGGAAACAACAGGTGCTGGAGAGGATGTGGAGAAATAGGAACACTTTTACACTGTTGGTGGGACTGTAAACTAGTTCAACCATTGTGGAAGTCAGTGTGGCGATTCCTCAGGGATCTAGAACTAGAAATACCATTTGACCCAGCCATCCCATTACTGGGTATATACCCAAAGGACTATAAATCATGCTGCTATAAAGACACATGCACACGTATGTTTACTGCGGCACTATTCACAATAGCAAAGACTTGGAACCAACCCAAATGTCCAACAATGATAGACTGGATTAAGAAAATGTGGCACATATACACCATGGAATACTATGCAGCCATAAAAAATGATGAGTTCATGTCCTTTGTAGGGACATGGATGAAATTGGAAATCATCATTCTCAGTAAACTATCGCAAGAACAAAAAACCAAACACCGCATATTCTCACTCATAGATGGGAATTGAACAATGAGAACACATGGACACAGGAAGGGGAACATCACACTCTGGGGACTGTTGTGGGGGGAGGGGACGGGGGAGGGATAGCATTAGGAGATATACCTAATGCTAAATGACGAGTTAATGGGTGCAGCACACCAGCATGTCACATGTATACATATGTAACTAACCCACATATTGTGCGCATGTACCCTAAAACTTAAAGTATAACAATAATAAAATAAAAAAATAAAATAAAATAAAATAATAAATTTAAAAAAAAAACAACAACTAGGAAATCATGAAAAGTACATGAAACAACTACTGCTTTCAGACATAGGACAACAGGCAGTGTTTGGGAAAAGGGAAACAGGTAAGCACAACAAATGCACCAGGTTACTACTACCCAGAAGCAGTTTCTGGGCCAAAAGGTAAAGAGAGACTCCAGAGTCTAGTAGTCTCCAGGAGTTGAAGAGACAGAAGTCAGAGTTCAGGAAGACCAAGGCAGGCCGGGCGCGGTGGCTCACGCTTGTAATCCCAGCACTTTGGGAGGCCAAGGCGGGCAGATCACCTGAGATCAAGAGTTCGAGACCAGCCTGGCCAACATGGTGAAACCCTGTCTCTACTAAAAATACAAAAATTAGCCGGGCGTGGTGTTGCACCCCTGTAATCCCAACTACTCGGGAGGCTGAGGCAGGAGAATTGCTTGAACCAGGGAGGCGGAGGTTGCAGTGAGCAAAGATTACACCACTGCACTCTGCCCTGGGCGAAAGAGCAAGGCTCTGTCTCAAAAAACAAACAAACAAACAAAAAAGACCAAGGCAGAACTGAAGGCAGAAGAGGACGAGAGGAGGAAGCTGCACAGAGCAAGCTCCTGAGAGCTGAAGAGTCTCCTGGAGTCTTTGGACAAGTACTAACCTTCATATATGAAGGGTGAAACCAATAGACCAAGCAGCTGGAGCTCACATAGGGGTGGGAATAGCCCATGTTCCCAGCAACCAGAAAAAAAAGAGACATTCCATCCAGAAGAACAAATATAAGAGTGGCAGCAGGCCAGGCGCCGTGGCTCACGCCTATAATCCCAACACTTTGGAAGGCTGAGGCGGGTGGATCACGAGGTCAGAAGTCCGAGATCAGCCTGACCAAGATGGTGAAACCCCATCCCTACTAAAATTAGCCAGACATGGTGGTAGGTGCCTGTAATCCCAGCTACTCGGGAGGCTGAGGCAGGAGAATTGCTTGAACCCGGGAGGTGGAGGTTGCAGTGAGCCGAAATCACGCCACTGCACCCCAGCCTGGGCGACAGAGCAAGACTCTGTCTCAAAAAAAAAAAAAAAAAAAAAGGAGCAGCAGCCAACTTCTCATCAGAAAGTAGGCAAACCATAAGAAAATTAACATCTTTAAAGTACTGAAAAAATTAAAAAAAAAAAAACCTGTCAGCCTCAAATTCTATACCTAGTGAAAATATATATATATTTTAATACAGACTCTTTCAAATAAAAGCTGAAAGAATTAATCACCAGCAGAGCTGCCATTACAAGAAATGTCAAAGAAGTTTCCTTCAGGCAGAAGGAAAATACTAGATGAAAAACAGGCTGGGCACAGCGGCTCACACCTGTAATCCCAGCACTTTGGGATGCTGAGGCAGCAGGATTGCTTAAGCCCAGGAGTGTGAGGCCAGCCTGACCGACATGGTGAGACCTTGTCTCTACAAAAAAAAATACAAAAATTAGGATTTACAAATACGACTTCAGGCCCAGCGCGGTGGCTCATGCCTGTGATCCCAGCACTTTGGGAGGCCAAGGCAGATGGATCACTTGAGGTCAGGAGTTCAAGACCAGCCTGGCCAACATGGCAAAACCCCATCTCTAGCAAAAATACAAAAATTAGCTGGGTGTGGTGGCGCATGCCTGTAGTCCCAGCTATTCAGGAGGCTGAGGCAGGAGAATTGCTTGAACCCAGGAGGTATGGGTTGCAGTGAGCCAAGATCACGCCACTGCACTCTAACCTGGACAACAGAGCAAGACTCCATCTCAAAAAAAAAAAAAAAAAAAAAAAAAAAACAAATATGACTTCAACATATTGCAAATACCTTCAACAACTCCGATATCCCTTTGCAAATATCCCTTTACAGGCTGAGGTGGGAGGATCAGTTGAGCCCAGAAGGTGGAGGCTGCAGTGAGTTGAGATCACGCCATTGCATTCAACCACAGGTGACACAGTGAGACCCTGTCTCAAATAAAAAAGAAAAGAAAAATGGATCTGCACTAAGGAATAAGGAGCAACACGATAGTAAATACCTGAGTTCATAAGACTTTTTCTTAATTTCTTTAATCTGTCTAAAAACTTTGGCTATTTAACATGCATTGTGGGGCTCATACCTTAAGTAAAAATAAAATGTGTGACAATAATATCACAAAGAATAGAAGTGGGGAAATGAAAGCATTCTGTGGTGCAGTTCTTACACTATCTGTGAAAGGATATCGTAGTTGTTGAAGGTATTCTGCAATATGTTGAAGTCATATTTGTAAATCCTAGAGCAACCACTCAAAGAATAGAACAGTACAGTATAGCTAATAAGCCGACGGTGAAGACAAAATGATACCATTCAAAACCCTCTAAAAGTGGTTATGACAAGAGAAAGAAAAGGAAGAACAGATGGGACAATGGAAAAATTGGTGACTTACAAATAGTCTGGAGATTAACAGTAATGTGCTAACACTGGTGTTTTAATTTTGATAAATGTACTACGGTTATATAAGATATTCACGAGTGGAAACTGAATTGGGTTATTCAGAGAGAAAGATTTCATCTTCCATATGTTTATATTTTCTGCTGGAAGCAAGCATTTATAATCAAAATTTACCTGGGATACTTGGTAATTTATAATCAAAATTACCTGAGATACTTGAAACAGATTCTAAAGCCCCCACGCCAGAGCTACTGGATCAGAATCCAAGGATGGAGTCTTATAAACGTGCATAAAACTTATGAAGCTTTCCTCATGAATCCAACACAACCCAACACAGGTCTGTATCTGGAAATTGAGACGAGATGGCCCTCCAAGCCACGTCCCACCCTGAGGTCGTCCTATGGCTCTTAGCGGTCCATAGACTAAAAGGCTGGATGATCAGCAACGCTGAGACAACAGTTTCAGTACAGCAGTGGGGATGAGAGGCAAGGTCAAGTTTTGAGGGGCCAGGACACAGCAAAGAAGAGGACACAAGGAAAGGGGAAGGAAATGGAGATGGTAACACGAGGGGAGGGTGGGATCGGTGCACAACAGACGTTTTCAGGATTAGGAACCTGGGTGTATTTTAAGGCAGAAAGCAGAAGCCACTGGAGGGGAACAGAAGACACGAGAGAGGCAAAGTGTTAGAGCTTTGGCCCCAAGATGGCCGGAGGCTAGGGAAGCCCCAGTGAGAGAGGCAGAGCTTGGCGAAGAGGAGGGATGAGAGAGCATGGCTAAGGTCAGGGAGGATTTAAGAGCGATGGCCGCCTATCTAGAATGAGCCGCATGTGGCTGCTGAGCATTTGAAACATGGCTAGTCCAAATTGAAATGCACTGTAAGAACACACACTGGATTTCAAAGACTACACATCTGTAATCCCAGCACTTTGGGAGGCAAAGTCAGGCAGATCACTTAAGCCAGGAGTTCAAGACCAGCCTAGGCAACATGTCAAGACTCTGTCTCTACAAAAAATACAAAAATTAACTGGGTGTGGTGGTGTGACCTGTAGTCCCAGCTACTTGGGAGCCTGAGGTGGGAGGATCATCTTAGTCCAGGGAGGTGGAGGCTGCAGTGAGCCATGATAGTGCCACTGCACTCCAGCCTGGGTGACAGAGCAAGAACCTGTCTCAAAAAAATATATATGTATATTCATTTAGACATATGCTGTTGCACACTTAGACTATAGTATGGTATCAGCATACGTTTTATATTTACTGGGAAACCAACAAAATTCGTGTGACTTGCTTCATTGTGGTCTGGGACCAAAGCTGTAATGCCTCCAAGGTATGCCTGTATATTTCTATTGCAAAATGTGAATCTCGAAATTATAAAAGCTACAACTAGGACAAAAAGCAACCCCACCAAATAGCCCTATATCAAAGAATAAAATCTCTTTCTAGAACCCCAGAATTTGCCTCTTTCAGACTGAAGTTTAGCCAAATCTATGAAAAAAGAGCTTGCTAAACCAACTAATTATCAGTACAAATAAAATTATAATGAAAAGTCTATGAAGATAATTTGTTCTCAGATGCCCTTCACATATAGCAATTAATTCACAAATGATGAGTCACTCATGTGCCTTCATGAAGGCAGGCCCTCAAGAGACCCGCAACAGAAAGGAAAGCCACCGACTGGAGAGAACCTGCTTCCTGAGCCCCACCAAGTTCCAAAAAGGAGAATGGGGCTTCGTCCTCACCCTCAAGGAGTTGCCAAACTGGGCTTGGTTATTATTCACACTTGAAAAGAATGAGGAAGGTCAGCCAGTCCCCTCCAGGTCGCTCGGGCTTCCTCCAAGCTCCTCTTGGTTCAAATTTGCTGTGTCCTCCAGCCGGCATCTCTCCTCTGTTCCGTAACTGACAGGGCAGCGAGGTAGCTTCCGGATGACTCCTCCCGCCATGGTTCTTCCGTCCATCAGCTCTTCCTTCCTCAACTCTGTGGTATGTGGCTAGGGGAGTTTCCAACTCCCAGGGGACATTTCAGTTCCCCAAAGATAACACAGCTTTGCACAGTGGATGTTTACTTGCTGGTGGTCTTATCTAAGATCAACATTGGCAGCTGTGCCCGGAGAGGCCTCCAGGGTCCAGGTAAGTGGAGGCTTCATGTCTCAGGAGGTACCTGGTCACCACAGTTAGGATTTTTCTGTTTGGGGATTTTTTTTTTTATGGGTTGGTGGCTCTGAAAAAGCTGCAAGTCTTCTCTGAGGACTACAGACCTCTCTCCACCCTCTCCACATTCAGCCTCTCTGGGCTCCAGGGCCAAAAGATGTCTACACTCAGGTGGCAGACAGGCCTGTGAAGACCTCCTGGTGACATGCTCATATGTTGCTGGGACTAAAGGTGGGATTTTAGCCACCACAGTGGGTTGGTGGTGAGATGTTTACCAACAGGAGGTACTTTGTCCCTCATGTCCACTTAAAGATTCAGTCCAACCCGGCCTGTGCTTCTGCTGTCCCAAGAGACTCTAGAAAGCTCCAATCCTCCCTGAGGTTGATCTTTTAAGTCAGGGTAGGTGGTCATTCGGCAATCAACTGCTCTACTGCCTCAATGTCCTCCTCACTGGACGTCCTGCCCCAATTCCATCCTGTTCAGCGCAGACTGATTTTCCTGGAACACAATGTTCATTATGGAGCCAGATGGCATATCAGAAAGAGCACTGTATTAGGAGTCAAGAGATCCATGGGGGAATCCCAGCATTGCCCCTGATGGCTGTATAGCTTTGGGGAAAGTGAGGCCCTCTTGGCATTCAGTTTTTCTTCCAGCGAAATAAAGGATTCAGCCTCCCAGAGCTTTAAAGTCTTTCCAACTCTTTCATTCATTCTATGGTCTCTCTCTCCTCAAGAATCCTCAGTGGCTGCCCTCCTGCAAAAAAAGCCCAAACTTCTTGGGCTAGCAGTTCCCAAGGCATCCATCACCTGGCCCCAAACCACCTTCTTATGTTTTTGTTATGACCCCATCGCCACCCTCCCCCAAGCCACCCAGCCTTCTCCATGCTGCCCTGATGTACTCTACCCACGCCTTCACCTCCCCTCTGCTTGCCGCAAAGCCCTCCCTCCAAAGCCCTGCCCCGAGTTCACCACAGGCCTCTTTCCTGGAGCCTTTGCTAACATCCCTGCCGCAAGCCCCAGCCTAAGGTGAGCTCCTCTCCTGAACTGCTAGAACTTCTCTGCAGACAACTCATTGGCCCTTAGGGGTTCCTGCCTGGGCACCCAGTTGGATGAAGCACTCCAGAAAGGAAGAAATTCCTGGGGCCGAGGGAAATGAGGCAGTGGCCTTGGCCTATGCTGGGAAGTCCTATGGGCCTGGTATGAAACCATTGTCATCTGCAGGGTGTTTCACAGGTTAGAAGCCACTTTCCCCCCATCGCCTCATTTCACCCTCAAAGACTCTGGGTAAGGGGAATTATTTGTGGTCGGCGTAAGGCCAGTCAATGAGAGAGGAGCCAGGCCCGTGCTAAGCGTAGATCTTCCACCTCCAGGTCCAATGCACTTCCCTCTCAGAAGAGGCATCCGCTAAAATAGGGACCAAAGCTGCTGGAGGGAGGCAAGGCAAGCTGCTATGTGAAAAAACGCCAGGCCAGGCAGTCATGTCACACCTGGCAGAAATGACTGAAGCATAGCCACTGGCTGAAGTTATCCCCACACCCACTCTCTGGAGAGGATGATCAGGAGCAGTCTGCTCAACCGGGAGGTGGGACTCCTCCTCGGGAAGGTGTAGAATCACCAGCCTGGCTCCCTGCGGACTCCCGGGGCTCACAGAGGCCAGAGCAGCAACAGCACATGGGAAACAACGGGGCGCTGGACTGGGGAGGTCTCAGAGCTCTCCTAGTGATGACAGCCTCATTTTACCCAGGGAGAAAGGGCGAGTAAGCTAAGGTCACACAGCAACAAAGCTGCACCCAGACCCCAGAGCCACTCTCCTCCCTCCCTCCTCCACCAGGGCCATGCCCACTTGGGGCACCCCGCCACCGTGTTCCAGGGACAGCTGGAGCACATGCTTCTTCCCTCGCCAACCCAGCAATTCCGCAGGGCATCTGACCTCCACTGTTGACTTCTACCCAGAGGACAAGAACATTTTTAGTTCCCAAGGAATGTACATCAGCCCCACGGAAGCTAGGCCACCTCTGGGATGGGGTTGCTGGTTTAGAACAAACGCCAGTCATCCTATATAAGGACCTGACAGCCACCAGGCACCACCTCCGCCAGGAACTGCAGGTAAGCTCTCTCTACTCTCCGTGTGCGTTTGCTGACAGGTTTATTGTCCGTGACTGCTGCCCGTCCGTTTAACCTCTCTGGGCCTCAGGAGTCCCCTCTAAACACGGGGGATGTCGGACTGTCTGGCTGGAAGACAGAGCTTCATTTAGGAGCTACCTCTAACCCCCTCCCTGCTGAGTGCCCTGGGGCCCTTGCTGGTTCAGCTTCCTCCCTCCTCATGAAAAGACTCGCCATGAGCTCTCAGAGCCTGGGACAAAAGGCACCGGGGAGGACCCCCAGCCCCTATCAAGTCCTGCTGCCAGGTGTTCTGCCCTGAACGGCCTTGGAGAAGAGAACACACATCCATCATCTTCTACCTTGGGAGGTGGAAGCGGGGGTCCTCTCTACACAGCAGTCAGGACCCCAGATGGTAAAGCCCTTCACGCCATCTGCTGGGCTCCTACCTGAGCAAGCTCAGAGGCACATGAGAAGGGGAGGCAGCTGCCTGGAGACCCTCTCTCCCCCAGGCCCACCTGTCTGCAACCCAGCTGAGGCCATGCCCTCCCCAGGGACCGTCTGCAGCCTCCTGCTCCTCGGCATGCTCTGGCTGGACTTGGCCATGGCAGGCTCCAGCTTCCTGAGCCCTGAACACCAGAGAGTCCAGGTGAGACCTCCCCACAAAGCCCCACATGTTGTTCCAGCCCTGCCACTTAGCAACCAGCTCTGTGACCTGGAGCAGCAGCGCCATCTCTGGGCTTCAGTCTTCTCCCAGAGCACAAAGGACTCTGGGTCTGACCTCACTGTTTCTGGAAGGACATGGGGGCTTAGAGTCCTAAACAGACTGTTTCCCCCTTCCAGCAGAGAAAGGAGTCGAAGAAGCCACCAGCCAAGCTGCAGCCCCGAGCTCTAGCAGGCTGGCTCCGCCCGGAAGATGGAGGTCAAGCAGAAGGGGCAGAGGATGAACTGGAAGTCCGGGTCGGTACCTCTGCAGTTTTATGCTTCTGTGGCAGCGAGGAGGGTGGGGTCAGGGGAGAGGGAGGGCAGGGAGAGGTGGCAGTGAACAGGGTCCCAACTACAAGCTCCCCAGAACTATAAAACCAGTACCACAGGAGTTGAGCTCTGCCCTGGGCTCTGTGAGGTCTTTACCCATTAAGAGAAAAATATCTAGAAGAAGTAACTTTGCTACAACAGAATAGGGACGGAAGGAGCCTGGGCAGAGGAGAGAGGGTGCCAGAGCCTCCAGGCGACTCAAAGGGGACAGAAAATACAGTGCCCAGAGACAAAGACACCCAGAAATAAACGGCAGGCCCAGACTGAAGATGTTGCTCTGCAGAAAACCATGTTTTACTCAGGGGCTTCCAGGGCCTGGACTGTGGGGTGGAGTGCTTCCGAACAGCACCCTGGATGGGAGGGCTGGCGCCAGCCCAGGCTCCGGCACCCACTCACCTCGCCTGGAGGCAAGGAGGGGGCAGGTGTGGGTGATGTGCTCTGACAAATCGTGCGTGGGGCAAGGAGAAAGTTAAGACAACCCAAGGATGGAGAGGAGGAGGGAGTAAAGGATTTTACGGGGTTTTCTATGCAACCTTCCTGTGGCTGTGGTTCAGGGAATGGTTTCTTCTAAATATTTGGTTGGTGACACCATTTCGCAGCTAAGGCAGGATTCCCCCAAGGTAGCACTTAATAATGGCAGCTATTAGACGCTGTGCCCGAGGATACCAACTTCACCTCTAACTGCCCCACCTCCTCCCTACGACAACCTGTGAGGTAAGCAGGGCTGGCATTACTCCCACTTTAGAGCCAAGGAACAGTTCAGAGGTGAACTCACTTGCCCAAGGTACCACAGCGGTGTGTGGAAGGGACGCGACACAAGGTCAGGGCTGACTCCAGTCCCCAAGCCCTCTTCCTCCTCACTGGTCTGATGGACAGAGACAGCGCACAGTGGCCCAGGGGAGGCCTCTTCCTTCCAGAGGAGTGAAATGTGCCCGCCTTGGCCTCTGCCTGCCTGTTTACCATACTCTTCTCCAGTCGAGGAATAAAGCCGTCGGAAGCTCCCCCAGCCCCTGCTCGCTTTCATCCTCACCAGCACCTGGCGGTGTTCAGACCTTTCCTCTACACGGTGGGATCCACTAGATTCTCATCTGAAAGAGCTGCATACCCTTAGGCCAAAACCAGGATATTTTGCTGGTGAGACGGCTAGCTCCACACATGGTCATCCCAGCCAGAGGAGCTGCCCAGTACCCAGATGAGAAAGAGGTCTTGGTGGCTGACGACGCAAGGTGGGGCTGGTACAGCGGGAACTTTGCAGTTTCTGTGAAAGCTAGCCTTGGAGCATGTGACCCACACTGCCTTGGCTGGAACCAGAAGTCAAACGCCTGGGGGGTGTTGGGGCTGCCAGAAGAGGAGTGGCTGCAGAGACCTGGAGCGCCCCACTACCAAACCCCTCACAACCGAGTGTCCCACCCACCTCTCTCATCTCAGGCCCCTCTACCTCCCCCCAAACGTTTCCCTCCCAAAATCAAGTTTCAGAGTAGAAGACTTTGGAGACCAAGTCCCACTCCCATTGAACAGATGGGCCACTGAGGCCAGGAGGGAAGCTGCCCCCCACCAGCCAGCACTGTGTCACCACTCACTTGCCTGCACCACAGCGCCAGGTGTTAGGCCAGGCCAGCAGTTTCCCAGACCGGTGCTCCTGTTTCCTAAGATGTCTGCCAGGTGATCAGCCACCCCGCATTTGCCTCAGCGGTGGAAGAAAAACAAGTATTTACTGGAGGGAATGGAAGGCCCCAACTCTCCTTAAAAAAAAAAAAAAAAAAAAAAAAAAATTCAATCATGTCATTCCCCACTGGGTCCACCTTCATGGTGGAGTTAAGGGGAGGGAGATTTCGAAAAGGGAACGCATAGCTATTGGTTAATAGCTTCTCTGCGCCTCTGTCCTCACCTGTAAAATGGGCACAGTGGTAGCGCCTACCCCACAGGGAGGCACTGAGGACGCCTGGCCTCACACAGAGGAAGGGCAATAGGACTAAAGCAGTTTTCAGGGCCAAGTGGGTTTAAAAGTCCTGCATTCTAGTCCTTGGCCTCCAACTCCTTGGGCTTCTACTGTGAGGACCAAATGACCCAGCACTAAGATCCTTCCCTGACTCAGATAAGTCAGTGCCCAATATGGCCAGGCACCGAGGTAGCCACTGGCAGAGACAATCTCTGCTCTCAAGGAAAGTCTGCCATGTGGCTGCAGCAGAGCTCCTTCCCACTTACCCAAAGCTTTGAGCTCCAATAAATCATCTCAGGAATACCTGGAAAATGGAAGAGATGAGGCGCTCTCCCTGTAGAGGGGAAGAAATGGAAGCACAGAAAGGACTTGGCTCAGAGCCTCTTTCTAGGAAAACATCAACTTCCTTTTGATTTTCCAGGCATCAAAGAAAGGTCTATGCATATGAGAGAAAAAATACCTAGGGAAGGAGAAAAAGGAGAAGAAACAGACAAGAGAGAAAGGAGAAAGAGCTGGGAGCAGGGAAGGAATAGAAGGCCAGCAGGCCAGTGCTGAGAATGCTGGGCAGACCCCCTGCCAGGGCCTGAAATGCTGCCATTGGTGACTCAACCTTTTGTCTTCAAAACTGCAAGGGAGAAAAAAAATCTCACACTAGGGGGCACCACAGCTTTTATCAGCAATCCCATTAGAGGCTAAGGCTGAGAGGCATGAGAGTGCAAGGTAAGTGTCTGAAAGATGGTGAGTGGGAAGGTGAGCTGTGGTCCTGAGAAAGGAAGAGAACCTGGCTGAGGTGTCACTCAGCAGTCCCTGCTGGGGCCCAAAGGCCATTCTCCCTCTCCACTCCTGAAGAGAGGCAGAGAGCCCAGAGCCCCCTTTGAGATGGGGATGGGCATGACCTCTGACATCTCCTGGGTCCTCCCTGCCCTGCCTCCTAGTTCAACGCCCCCTTTGATGTTGGAATCAAGCTGTCAGGGGTTCAGTACCAGCAGCACAGCCAGGCCCTGGGGAAGTTTCTTCAGGACATCCTCTGGGAAGAGGCCAAAGGTGAGTCCTGCCTGGACTGGGTTTGCTCGGTTTCCTTGCAGCCCCACATGGGAGTTCACTCTGTGGGTGATGAGTTTTCCCCAACCTCTGCCTCTCCAAAAGAACTTCTAATTTCCCTTTCCCAAAGATCTGCAGGATAGTGGTTGGCTAGTATTTGTGAGTGGCTCAGAAGGGAGTTCATCATAGTCTTTGTGTTCAAAGAATGTTCTAAGAACTAGTACATTAACTAGCTTTGGGGCCTCAGTTGAACCTCAGCTTCCTTAACTGTAAAATGGAGCTATTTTACCTATTGTGAGAGTCTACAATTATTTGGTGTTACACCGTCTTCACTGCGTAACTTTACTCCACAAACAAAAAGGAATTGGTGCCAAAATAGCACTCAGAACAGGTTCTGCAGCCTGTTAAGCAGTTCCTTCAAATATTAGAGCTTCCTGAGTTAAGCAAAGGGTTTGCTTTGAATCCCCTCACCTTGTAAAAGAAAAAAAAGAAACCGCCCAACTGATTGAGGTGGCAGAAACACCTGCACATCTGCAAAGCACTGTCCTCACCAAGGCGGTGACCCGTCACCCCTGGGGAACAGCAGGGGTAGCATTCACCCCGCTGTGCAAACGAGGAAACCAAGACTCAGAGCTTTGAGGTGACTTGCCCAGGGCACAACAGTCCACACTTGAGTGCCGCCCTCTGACTCCAAGGCCAGTGCTTCCCCACAACCCCCACCATTACATCCCACCTCCAATCTCACCACCGTGGAAGAAAAGCACTAGCAGGACGGTGCACCCAGCATTCTTACTCAACCTCTTGCTTTCCAGAGGCCCCAGCCGACAAGTGATCGCCCACAAGCCTTACTCACCTCTCTCTAAGTTTAGAAGCGCTCATCTGGCTTTTCGCTTGCTTCTGCAGCAACTCCCACGACTGTTGTACAAGCTCAGGAGGCGAATAAATGTTCAAACTGTATGCTGATGTTCCAAATGGGAATTTATTTCAAAGAGGAAAAGTTAATATTTTACTTTAAAAAAATCAAAATAATACAAATAAAAATAATTCTTGGTTTATGGTCTGTGGGAAGGGAATAAAAGGACAAGTAGCAAGGCCAATGTGCATGTTTAGAAAACCTAATCACACCAGCTCACTCAAGCAGAGAAGCTACTGCATGTGCATGCATTGTGTGGAATTAAGACTGGGTTTCTTAGAGAAGGAGGAGAGAAAGGGGGAGAGTAGGAGGGAGAGGGGAAAAGGAGGAGGGAGAGGAAGAGAAAGAAGAGATAAAGTGGGACTAAGAGAAAGAGGGAAGAGAGGAAGAACAAAGACACAGTTCCTTTAAACATCAGGGCTTCCTGAGTGCAAGGCTGCATTAACAGCTTATTAACAACCAGCCAGGGCTGTGTGGACAAAGAAACTTCAGGATGACATTATCGAAGCCAACATCCATTCAAGATTGGAGAGGAAGACAGGAATGCCCAAGAGTGAATCTGAAGTTAGACGTTAAGTGAGGTGCCCAATCACGGCTCTTGGGCACTGCTAGACAGCACTGAAAGAGCTGCATTCTCCTTCCTCCCTTCTCCACTACTGAGAAGGCCTGACAAAGCAAATGCCTCACATGGGCAAGGCTGGCCGTCGCCATGGTTCCCTTACTGATACCAGGTGGGATCCCCAAACATTCCCTCAACTCCAGTTCACAGCAGACACGAGCCTTGACTCTTATGTTCCACAACTTAATTCCAGTTACGACACTGGTCTTCCCGGGGGAAGGCCACTCGGTCATGCCCACCTTAGCCTAAACATGTGGACTGACTTGACTGTAGGCAACGGATGGGACACATCGCTAAGGGGAGGGAAAGGCAAAGAACGAGGTGGCCCCAAAGAGCAGCACCACAGACTTGCCAATTCAGCCATCTGAGCGCTTGTGGGAAACATGCAGGAAGCCGTCTGCAGAGACAGTTGGGGTAATGCCCACACTCTGGAAAACCCCTACCACAGAGGGTGCTAGGAGCCGAGCGTCTCCCCAAGTAAAATTCTGGCCGCCACACATGCAGGCACTAACTACTGATCAGGTGCGGCAGGCAGACAGAAACCCAACTGCTCTCCCTCACATAGAAGCTGTGGTCTGTGAATGCCACCGTCATCCAGGGACTCTTAGAAATGTAGAATCTTGGGCAGCACCCCAGCCCTAATCTATCAGGATCTGCATTTTAACAAGATCCCCAGGCTACTTAGTAAACGGCTGATGGGAAATGGCTTAGAATCCCCTTCCCAGGCGTCACAGCACACTGCAGGCCCCCTACTCACCCCTCCACCCTCAGACAGCCATGCCCCTACCTCCCCAGGCACCTGGCACAAGTGGGTACAGAGATCAACACACTTGTCCTGGAACTTAACTGTCTCAGCTCTGTCACTTAGTTGGGATACGACCTTGATTATCACTAACTGCCCACAGCCCTCTTATCAATAGCTACAGAAGAGGAGCAAAGGCCCAATATGGCCAAAGTGGTCAGGAGATGGTTTCTTTTTGAGAAAGCACCACTGATTGGGCTTGGGAGAGGATGGGTACCAGGCTCTGGACAAATGCTGGTCACCTGATGCTTCCCCCACCAAAGACAAGAACTTACTTCTCTCTCAAAGAAATCACAAGCATTATTAACCGCCTGCCTGGGTCATTCAAATAGAAACAGATATTGCGCACCCACTATGGGCTGGGCACTCTCACCTGTGCCAGGCAACAAGGTGTAGTGCAAAGATCTGGGCTTTGGCCTCGGACCTGAATTTGGATACCAGCTCTGTGATCCAGGCCAAGACTGAATTTCTCAGGCTCCTCACATGTAAAATGCCTACCTTGCTGGGTTACTGCCAAGACTGAACATGAGGTCTCACATGAGCTGTAGCTGGCAAAGGGCCCGGCACGTAGCTAAGCATTCAATTACTACAGCAGCCAGCACTCACTGTCACACCCCTGATGTACACCAGGCACCGTGTTAAATGCTCATGCAGATTAATGTGATTTCACTTCATTTTCACAGCAAGCCTACTTATGAGGGAGAAAACTAAAGCTCAGAGAAATTAAGTAACTTTCCTAAAGCACACAGCAAGCACGTGGCCGACTCACAGCCAACGCCACAGGACTCAGGGGCTGCTTTTTCATCCGGTTCCACAGCCTCTCAGCCAGTGCAGCTTCCCTCGCTCTACTGCCTAGGATGAGAGAGGTTTCCATATTCATTCATTTTCCTTCAGAATACACTGGGTGAACTTGGTAGAGGGGTGAGGACAATTTCAAGTCAACAATGGGCAGAAATATAATTTATCAAAGAAAATGGTTGGAGGACACCCTTGAGAAAATGTATTATTTCAAACATGTTCCTGTATCAGCTTTCTTAAACCCACTCCTTTATGGATCGTTTAATGATACCACTGTAACTTGAGGGTCTCTAAAGTGGGGTGTATGTACCCCTAGGGTGAGCGAGCTATTTGCTGGAGAAAAAAATTCTCCTTGTGAAAAAACTTTTACTTTGTGTATAATTAGCATAAGAGCACACGTATTTAAGTTCTCATGCACTTATAGTTGTGTGTTCAGAAATCATCTTGAGAGAGTGCACAGAAAAGGGTTGAGACGCCTCAACTAAGCTACCCACCTTAATCTGAATCCACCTACAAATGTCACTGGCATTTGGGGGGCCGAGGCAGGTGGATCACCTGAGATGAGGAGTATAAGGCCAAACAGGCCAACATGGCAAAATCTCATCTCTACTTAAAATTTAAAAAAAAAAAAATTAGCCAGTCATGGTATTGGGCGCCTGTAGTCCCAGCTACTCAGAAGGCTGAGGCACGAGAATCACTTGAACCTGGGAGGTGGAGGTTGCAGTGAGCTGAGATCAGGCCACTGCATTCCAGCCTGGGCGACAGAGTGACACTCAGTCTCAAAAAAAAAAAAAAAAAAAAAAACCAAAACCAAAAAAAAATGTCACTGGCAAATGAGCACTTTTTAATACAGTGATCCTGAGAGGGACTGGCTGGCCACTAATCACCATCTTTGACAGAGTTTGCTTCTTTAATCACTGTACATTCCGGTGGCCATTTGCCCTTACTTTACAAAAATGAACAAAGCAAAATTAAGGTGCTGAAAGCAAACGATGAGTATCGGTCTCAAGCTTCCTATAGAAAGATGGAAAAACAACAGAAAAGCCAAGAACAGTCACAAGGACCATCACTGAGTGGACAAAGCCAACTGCACATTCAACTGTGAAGGAAATGAAACAAAGTTCAGGACGATGCCAAAAATACATAATCAATGATTGTATCTAAAAGATGAGGCAGCAACAGAGACTTCAAAGGTGTTCAGCATTCTTGGAAGGAAGAGAGCCTTTCTTTTTATGCGTAAGTTTACTTTTTTGGCCGGTGCACTTGTATTCAAGAATACCTTAGTACAAAATAGGAGGGCTGAGTGCAAGTAATGAAACAGAATTTCCTCCAGAGTTTACCCAGAGGCATCAGGAATTCACAGTCCAACGCCCACCATCCAACTGATTCATCAGTACCCCCAGGGACTAGATTTTTCTTCCTCCTACAGCCTTGAGCTGGAAACAAAAAAAAAACAAAAAAAAAAGAAAAGAAAGTACCTACATAGGTCAGAAAGAAGCAGTGCATCTGAGTTCCCAGACAGTAAAATTACTTAACACTCTAAGGCTGTAGAACTTTAAGAATTCTTTTCTGGGGGGAGGCGGGGGGAGGGGAAAGACAGAGTCTCGCTCTGTCACCCAGGCTGGGGTACAGTGCTGCGATCTTGGCTCACTGCAACCTCCACCTCCCGGGTTCAAGTGATTCTTCAGCTTAAGCCTCCCGAATAGCTGGGACTACAGGCGCGTGCCACCCCACCCAGCTAGTTTTTGTATTTTTAGTAGAAATAGGGTTTCACCATGTTGGCCAGCTTGGTCTCGAACTCCTAACCTCAAGTGATCTGTCCGCCCTGGCCTCCCAAAGTGCTGGGATTACAGAAGTGAGCCACCATGCCCGGCCGAACTTTAAGAATTCTTATATGCAGTTTAATTTTACAGAGAGCCACATAGATACTCAAGAAAGTCTCCAGCTGGCCGGGCGCGGTGGCTCACGCCTGTAATCCTAGCACTTTGGGAGGCCGAGGCAGGTGGATCACGAGGTCAGGAGATCGAGACCATCTTGGTTAACACGGTGAAACCCCGTCTCTACTAAAAATACAAAAAATTAGCCGGGCACGGTGGCAGGCACCTGTAATCCCAGCTACTTGGGAGGCTGAGGCATGAGAATGGCGTGAACCCAGGAGGCGGAGCTTGCAGTGAGCCGAGATAGTGCCACTGCAGTCTGGCCTGGGCAAAAGAGCAAGACTCCTTCTCAAAAAAAAAAAAAAAAGAAAGAAAAAAAGTCTCCAGCTACCTGGATTCTTGGGTTACAATGCTGGCCAACAACCAGACTAAACCACTGCATCACTCAGGTAAGTCTATACAAACACGGAGAGACTGGGTTGGCTAGAGGATCCATCACTTTATTTTCAGAAAAAGATGGCCAAAGAGGGGAAAAAATACAGAGGCATTCCCACAGCACAGTGAAAACAATTAGCCATCCAAAAAGCTGAATCAAAAACAATGCCAATCAGCTTTCACGCCCACACAGGTGAGGTTTCACTGTGCAACAGCACATAAATGATAATCTAAATCCTAGAGAGAAAAGTAGATAGCACCTTGTGCTTTTCCTTGGCAGGTGGATGGCACAGGCTTGGAGACTTCCATGTCATCTCCGCTTTTCCTCCTCTAACACAGGGCTGGTTGGTTTCACCTGCAGGCACTACTGACTTCAGGGCTTGCTGGAGAGGAGATGGTTGTGCTGCAGTTCACTTGGTGACTATAAACACTTTGATATGCTCGGCAGTCCCCCAAGTCTTCCAAGCAGGAAATCAGGTCCCCCCCGACTTCCCACATGGGCCAATCTGCAGCACAGACAACATAACAGCACAGCTAATCCGTGAAGACGGACAGTGAATCAAGGCTGAGTTCCAGGCCAGTGACTTGTGTACCAGGGGCAAGATGGAAATGCCAGATAGGAAATATTAAATCCATTCCATTTTAGCTCACAAGGCTCAAATGCGCCTTCCAAAAACACCTAGAGGAATTTAGGATTCCATAAGGGATGTATTTTACAATTTAAGCCTCCAAGACCACAGACGAGGGACTCCAGGTGATCTATCCACCTCACTGCAGATCAGGGTGAAGGATCCTTTGAAACAAAGTACAGTCTCCTCTCACTTAACCCTGGACCATTAGAACCTCTAGGGCCTGTAACGAGTATACCTTTACAAGGCACCAGCAGGCGGCAGAGCAGAGCTCAGGACTTGAGATGACTCAGTTGCTCAAAAGGTGAAGGAGAGGCTCTCACTTCTAAAACGCAGAAAGACAGGACACAGGAGAGGCAAAGCCAAGGGGGCACCCAGGAGATGCGGGAGAAGGACTGGTACATTTGCAGACACCAGGCCTGCTTATTCTGCATAGACAATGTAACATGGCTGAGCTGCCCAGCAGAGCTTCGGAGAATTACGCTGATTCACCTCTCAACCTGGGCGGGGTACACAAAGGACTGTACACAAGATGAAATGAGGATTATTTTTGGTCAAATGTTCCCAAGAAGGGGGCAAAAGTGAAACAAAAGGAGGCTGGCAGCCCCTGACACAAGACTAGCAGGTAGTTTCCGCCGCAAACTGAACCTTATCAGCTTAACACACCCACACAGCAGCCCTGAGGGCATCAGTGAGGAGGAAGTACCTCCTTTGGGGTCCTCTTCCCCAAGAAAGCCTCTTCCCGGAGTCCCCCAGTCTGTCCTGGATCTCCATCATGGACAATGAGTGCTCCTCTGCACCCCCCCATATCAATGGCAGTGGAACCAATGAGACCAGCAGCTGAAGTCCTTCTGCCTGTGCCGACGCTGGAGTTGACACCAGAACAGTGACAGTCAAACTGAAGAGTTATCCAGGGAAGGGAGGAGGACGACTTCACTGGTTGCAAGAAAATAAACCTCCGAGATAGGTGTCCAGTTAATTTCCCCCAAAAAGTTTCCCAGTTGGAAGTCTGTTTTTAGAACCGAGAACCAGGAACTGAGTTACACACCCACATGTGCTTAGACAAGTAGGCGGGTGACTTTATTCACCAACTACTCAAAAACAGGCTGCAGAGAACAGAATTTGGACTGCCAAACTCACTGTACCCTCATATCGCACTCTTTCTTCTTTGCTGCCTACCCTGGAGCATTTTGGCTGGGAGGCAAAATCCCAGTGCTATTACAGGCAGTCCCCATACCCCTCATTCCATGCCCACCCCACCCCACCCACCACCCAGAAGCTGAAGCCTTATGACCCGCTTGGAGGAAAACATCCTGTCCTGGTTTTCTGTGTTCCAATCAGCTCTCTAAACACATCCTCGACCTGAGACACAGACTTCAAGCCAGCCTGTGTTCTGTCAGGCTGCTGGTCGCCCTGGAGGGTGGAAGAGAAAAAGAAGAAGGTTCCAAACCATGTCACTCAAAACAAATCAGGCTTAATGCTCATACTATGTTTATATTCTTTACATTAACAAAATGCAACAAAAGACTTGTCCTGGTTTTTAAAAAATACAGAATGTGAGTTTTACGACCTTTTCTAGGAGACTCCCGAGGACTGTACCTTCTCTGCTTAAAGACTGTAGAGGCGACTGGTGTTCTCACGCAAGGCAGCCAAGGTGAGGGAGAGTGGCTGATCTTTGACTCTGGCAATCTCTCGGACCGTATGCAAGGCCAGGCCCGGGTGGGCATACTGGCAAAGGCTTTTGGGAACCTGGAAGACATCAAGTGGTCATAACATCATTGTGCCATGTGTGCACAGTCATAATCTAGAACTCCCTCCCTGTCCCTTCCCCAGCAAGGACCTCTTTGGGGCTGCCCTGTAGAGACCCCTTTACCTGCAGGTGCAGGGAGAGTCCTAGTCATGGGGGCTCTGGGTGAGCAGGGTCCCACGCTTCCTTGGACTACCCTCTACAGGGTAGGGCTTTGCACTGCCTGGAAGAGAGTGGTTACCCTTCAGCTTCTCAGCCCCCTAGACTTTTGGTTCTGCAGAGTAACAGCAAGGAGGCATCTACACAGCCCAGGATGGGACCTGGAAGTCACTGGGGCTCTGGCCCTGCCAACCTTGTAAGGGTGACCACCCACCTCCCCACCCTCTCCCTCCGGTGCCTCCACTCAGCCTGAAGACCCCCTTACCTGGCGAGGGAGGAAATAGGGAGCATCCGTTTCCACGATGATTCTCTCCAGTGGGATCTGCCTCAAGGCTTCCCGGGCCTCCCAGGCAGAGGAGTATGTCAGCACTGCCGTGAAGCCCACAGACATGTTGGGAAAGTACTTCAGCAGGGGCTCAATGACCGGGTAGCTGCCGGTGAAGCAATGCCTGGAGACAGAACTCCACATCAGGGCTGCTCACAGTCCCCTCTGCAGCAGCCCCCAGCTCCCCCCACACCCATCACCCCTTTTCAATGATTCCCAGAAATGGAAAGACTGCATCCTAGGGAAGGACTCCACAGTAAACACAGACAAGGGCTGGCTCCAACACAGGAAGCCCCGAGATGGCACTTGGTGAGTGATCAGAGATCACTCAGAGATACCACGCACACCACAGAGTGCTCTGCAGTCCCCTGAGATGACCACCACAGAGAACACACTGGGATAGGAAATGCTTCTAACACTGAAGAGGAGCAAAATCAACAACTGTGGCCCCTATGATGACAACGACAGCATATAAAAACTATGCCCAAGTAGTCAAATGAACTGAAAGGAAATCTAACAAAATACTGGGGAGTCGAACTACAGGTGGATTTTCTTAATCTGATACCTGTTCATGTTCTTGGTGCCATATATATAGTTACCAATCTGTAAATTTAGGGCCTCCTCCTGCAATACCACCTCGTTGGGTCACCTTAGCCCTGGCCTACCAGCCACCATTACATTTCCTTCAAAGTTAGCCCAAAATGAAGTAATGAAAAACCAACCGACCCAGAAAAGCCAACTGACTGCCTCATCATTGGTGTGTGCAGCAGCCAGGGGTCAGAGGCTTCACTCATTCTGCTTAGGTACCCAAAGGCCCTGACAGCCCCATCCTCCTTTTTCTGCCATCTGACAAGACCCGATTTGGGTGCTAGAGTCCTTGTTATTCAGCCAACCCCTCTCAACCATCTTTAAGGAGCCGGCCAGGCATCACCTCCTGAGTCTTCTGGCTGGGCTATGATAATGGGCCCCTGCTGTGGCTCCCACAGCACCTATGACCACCCAGTCCCACATGCTATGTAGGCAGAAGCCACCATCCAACCTGTCTCCTGGCAGCACCTCCAGATGTCCCCAGAGGCAAGCCAAAGCCCAGGACCTACACGTGGCAAGAGTTCAGAAGTTCAGAGAGTTTACCAAACTGAACTTAAGCACCCATAGATGCCATTCTGATAAAACATGACCTTGATTTTCATAACTGGGGAGAAAGGAGCTTTCAAGTTCAAAAGAGGAAAGAAAATGTCCTTTCAAGTACCCTAAGATGCTCTGTGTGCTAAGCCACCACACCCCACAGCAACCTCTCAAGATCAGCAATCCTCACTGCTGAGAACTGAAACTCCATTTCTGCCCATCCCCAGGATGGGGGCACAAAAGGCCCCTTGTGCTCACTGGTGATTTAGGGTTATTAGTTCAAACCATACGAAGTTACTATTTTGTGAGCAAAAAAAAAAAAAAAGGTCAAATATGAGAAATTTCAAGTGGTTTAACCTAATAGTTAATTCTTTAGAAAAGATAGTGTATAGGCCGGGCACGGTGGCTCACGCCTATAATCCCAGCACTTTGGGAGGCCGAGGCAGGCAGATCACGAGGTCAGGAGTTCGGGACCAGCCTGGCCAACATGGCAAAACCCCGTCTCTACTTAAAATACAAAAACTAGCTGGGCGTGGTGGCATGTGCCGGTAATCCCAGCTACTCAGGAGGCTGAGGCAGGAGAATTGTTTGAACCCGGGAGGCAGAGGTTGCAGTGAGCTGAAATTGCACTACTACACTCCAGCCTGGGCGACAGGGTGAGATTCCGTCTCGAAAAAAAAAAAAAAGAATAGATAGTGTATAATGACAGAATACGATCATTGCTGTCCTCATCAACTTGACAGAGGAAGTGTTTCTTTCATTTGCCCGCTGAAGTTCCAGTCTTCTAACCTATGGATCTTGTAGTCAGGGGGCACAAACTTTTTCATGATTTCTAGCAGATCTTCATCAGCTTCTCGGCAGTGGATCACCAAGGGCTTCTTTAGAGACACAGCCAGCTGCAGCTGTCTCTCAAATACCTAGGAGAGGACACAGCGACAACCCCTGTTGGTTAGCAGCACTTCAGAAGTCCATCACCTCTGGAACGCCCAGTCCAGCAGGCACCCCCTGTGTCTCTCTTTTTTTAACTATATAATGTAATAATAGCTAATGATTATTGGTCACTTACAATAGAGCCAGGTAGTGCCCAAAGCACTGCACGTCTATCATAACCTGCAGTCCTCACAACCACCCTGAGGCAGGTGCTGCTGTCTGCGCAGCATGCAGTGAGGGCAAGTTAACTTGCAGCCAGCAGCTATAGCACCAGGATCCAAACTTGAACCCTGGCATTCCACACAGTAACCACTATATGATGCCGACCTGGGGTGGCAGGGGCAGGGCAGGGATCAAGAACATAAAGCGCAAAGTTAATGTCCCTCACCTCACTGTCCCCACCTCCGCTCTCAAGAGATACCAACTTCCAGACCTCTCCTATGCAGAGCTGTTGGGGACGGCAGGGCGTGGTGTTTGTGTGCATCTCCAGCAAGGTGCCTGGCTCTCAGAAGGTACTCAAATATTTGTTAAAGAAACAAATACTACACTTATTTTCTACAACTTGCTTTGTTTTTTTTTGTTTTGTTTTGTTTTGTTTTTTTGAGACCGAATCTTGCTCTGTCGCCCAGGCTGGAGTGTAGTGGTGCAATTGCAGCTCACTTCAGCCTCCACCTCCTGGGTTCAAGCGATTCTCCTGCCTCAGCCTCCCGCGTAGCTGGTATTACAGGCAGGCACCACCTTGCCTGGCTAATTTCTGTATTTGTTTGTAGAGATGGGGTTTCGCCATGTTGGTCAGGCTGGTCTCAAACTAACCTCAACTGATCTGCCCGCCTCAGCCTCCCAAAGTGCTGGGATTACAGGCATGAGCCGCCATGCCCGGCCAATTTGCTTCCTTTACTCAATCAAAATCGCGTATCCTCGCAGGTCAATAACTACAAATATACTTTACTCTTTATAACACTACCCACTTTTAAATCTTCACTATTGTTAATTTAAATGAAAAAAGTAGAGTTAGGACCTGTTCTTTCCTCTAACGAGCCCAGGTTTAGAACAAAGAAAAGTATTAATTCACCAGGCGTGGTGGCTCACACCTGTAATCCCAGCACTTTGGGAGGCCAAGTCGGGTTTGAGGTCAGGTGTTCAAGACAAGCCTGGCCAACATGGTGAAACCCTGTCTCTACTAAAAATACAAAAATTAGCTGGGTGTGGTGGCAGGTGCCTATAATCCCAGCTACTTGGGTGGCTGAGGCAGGAGAATCCCCTGAACCTGGGAGGCAAAGGCTGCAGTGAGCTGAGATCATGCCACTGCACTCCAGCCTGGACAGAGCAAGACTGTCTCCAAAAAAAAAAAAAAAAAATTAATTCATTATAAGCAAATTACCTCATATTAATGTTTCCATGAGTAGTTTCTACAACTGTGGAACATAATTTGTGTTTATGTTTTCAGCATCAAACAATGAGATACTTTTTGTAATTTGAGTCAGGTGATATTCACTTGAGAATATTTACAAGTCTAACACCTGTACTGCCTCTTCTCAAAATAGCAACACTAAGCCAATACCAATTCTGATGTAACTTTTGTTTAATCTGTGTTTTCAAAGAAAGGAAAATGACCACAGACATCAAAATTATAGACTGCTTGACAGAGGCTTTATCTAAAGCCTGGCCAGTTCCACTATCAATAGGTGGCTGGAGCCCCTCCTATTTGCATCTGCTAAGCTGTTCATCTGCCCTCCCCGACCCCTACACACAGGCAGCAGAGGTTTCAAGAGATTCCAATTCCAACATTTCATTCCTGCCTCTAAAAAATTATCCCTCAGAGTAGTGAAATAAACTATTAGAGCTTTAGGATAGAATATTACACAGCTGTTAAACATTTTTCAAAGTATAGCTGATGAATGGGAAAATTTCACGAGTAGAAAAGACACTTAAAACTATTTAATTTCCTAATTTCTTTCTTTAACACAAGCACACACATCCAACCTACGACAGGTGCATGGAAGACAAGCCACTGTGCAACTGTTCCTTGCAATTGTATTGTACCTTGCAATTTTCCAAGGAACAATAACATTACATTTATAATGTTTCATGAAACACATCCAGATTTCAAAAATGTTAAGAAGGAAGAAGAACTCATTAGAATGCAGGAACTTGTGGTTGGACAGGAGCTATTTGCAGCATTTGTCCTCACCAGGAACCCAGCTGAAAAACAACAGGAGTGAAGGAAGTACAGATGAGTTATTACCCAGTATAATTACTCACTTCTACCTGCATAAGGTTGGCTTCCTAACTGATCCATTATTTCCAGGGATTCCAGAGTTAGTCTCTCCTGGGAGTTGCCCCAGGCATCTCTTGCATATTTATTACTTTAATAATTAATTAATTCCTCTTTAACACAAGTAAAGAGATACAGCCTGGGTAGGGAAGGACAGTCTACTCTCCCTGGCATCCCTCCCAGATGCTGACATGTGCAACTTACACACAAACTATTCAGGATCTAACTCTTATGAGTTACATAGTTAATCTGTAAACACCACAGATCAACAAAGAAAACGTTAACAGTAATTTGCTCTAACCAGCAGAATAACTATAACTACCCATTCTTTCCCCAATTGTTTTGCTTTTCTCTATTTTCCAATCCTTCCAGAAAATTTTAGGTACATCAACCAAACTCTCCTATAATGAGCAGGGTCTGTCACCCTATCATCTTGCCCAGATACAGACCTTCCACAGGCTCTTTTTTTTTTTTAATGTAATAAAGATGGGGTCTCACTATGTTGCCTTGGCTCATCTTGAACTCCTAGGCTCAAGCAATCTCCTGCCTCAGACTCCCAAAGTGTTGGGATTACAGGCGTGAGCCACCTCGCCCAGCCCTCTATAGGTTCTTCTTCTTCCCTTCACAAGATAAAACATTCAGCAGGACACATCCAGAACTTGCTAACTGCTCTTTTAGGTAAATGCAACTCAGCACTGACATCCAACTAGGTGCAGTTGCCAGTCACCACCATTCACCTCATTTGGGTGCCAAATTTTTTATTTACATCAAAACAGTGTCCATATCCCCCACCCAGCCTAGGAGTCTCTGGTGTTGACAAATATTTTCTAGTCTTCCTCCCCTTTACAGGCAGCTTAGCCCTCTCCCAGCCAGCAACTCCTCAGACTCATTATCTTCCAGTCTTGAGTCAAATCTCACCAAGCCAAATGACATCTTCAAGACTGTGTTTATCCCCCTATGCCTATCGCTTCTAGTTCAGTTTGTTGTGCAGGTCGCCCCATGGACCTTTAAGTGCAGACCTGAGACCCTGATAATTTTGTCTTGAGACAGGGTCTCACTCTGTCACCCAGGCTGGAGCATAATCATGGGTCACTGCAGCTCAACCTCCCAGGCTCAAGCAATCCTCCTGCCTCAGCCTCCTGAGTAGCTGGGACCCCAGGCATGTACCATCACACCCAGCTAATTTTTTTTTTTTTTTTTGGTAGAGATAGGGTTTCACCATGTTGGCCAGGCTGGTCTCCAACTCCTGGCCTCAGGTGATCCGCTCGCCTTGGCCTCCCAAAGTGCTGGGATTACAGGCATGAGTCACCACACCCAGCTATACCCAGCTAATTTTTGTATTTTTAATAGAGACGGGGTTTCGCCACGTTGGCCAGGCTGGTCTCCAACTCCTGGCCTCAGGTGATCCGCCTGCCTCGGCCTCCCAAAATACTGGGATTACAGGTGTGATCCTGTAAATACAAAAAATTAGCTGGGCGTGGTGGCGGGAGTCTATAATCCCAGCTACTCAGGAGGCTGAGGCAAGAGAATCGCTTGAACCTGGGAACTGGAGGCTGCAGTGAGCCAATATCATGCGATTGCACTCCAGCCTGGCCAACAAGAGTGAAACTCTGCCTTAAAAAAAAAAAAAAATTAGCCGGGTGTGGTGGCAGGCACCTGTAATCCCAGCTACTCAGGAGGCTGAGCCAGGAGAATCACTTGAACTGGGGAGGTGGAGGTAGCAGTGAGCTGAGATCGTACCGCTGCCCTCCAGCCTGGGTGACACAGCAAGACTCCATCTCAAAAAAATTTTTATTTTTAATTAGCCAGGCGTGGTGGTGTGCACCTGCAGTCCCAGCTACTTGGGAGGCTGAGGTGGGAGGATCACTTGAGCCCAGGAGGTCAAGGCTGCAGTGAGCTGTGGCTGCACCACTGAACTCCAGTGTGGGCGACAAAGACCTTATCTCTGAAAAAAAAAGAAAAGAAATTCTAAAATACTACAACTCTTACCCTGCCAAAGCACTATGCTCAAAAAATATTGGGAGGAAAAAAAATATTAACAGGGGGCGGGCGCAGTGGCTCAGGTCTGTAATCCCAGCACTTTTCGGACGCCGAGGCAGGTGGATTACTTGAGGTCAGGAGCTCGAGACTAGTCTAACAAACATGGTGAAACCCCACCTCTACTAAAAATACAAAAATTAGCCACGCAAGGTGGCACACACCTGCAGTCTCAGCTACTCGGGAGGCTGAGGCAGGAGAATCGCTTGAACCCAGGAGGCGGAGGCGGAGGCGGAGGTGGAGGCCGCAGTGAGCCGAGATCGTGCCACTGCCCTCCAGCCTGGGTGACAGAGTGAGATTCTGTCTCCAAAAAGAAAAAGAAAAAAATATTAACAGAGTATTAGCCATGATCTCTGGTTGAATGGGAAATTATGCATTTTTTCATATTTTTTCAAATATTCTGCAATGGGTATATTTAAAAAAAACAATGCAGGCCAGGCGCAGTGGCTCATGCCTGTAATCACAGCACTTTCGGAGGCCAAGGCGGGTGGATCACCTGAGGTCAGGAGTTCAATACCAACCTGGCCAACATGGTCTCTATTAAAAATACAAAAATTAGCCGGGTGTAGTGATGCACGCCTGTAATCCCAGCTACTTGGGAGGCTGAGGCAGGAAAACAGTTTGAACCCAGGAGGCGGAGGTTGCAGCGAGCTGAGATCGCACCACTGCACTCCAAAGCCTGGGCAAAAGAGCAAGACTCCCTCTCAAAAAATCAATTAAGAAAACCTAAAGTTTATTGCTTCCCAAGAAAGAAAGAAAACAAATGTTTTGACATTGATATCATCCATAAGAAGTCACAAAGTACTTCTCCCTCATCTTCCATAATAAAGCTGAACAGTAAGAAATAGCTTGTAAAGCATTTGACAAATGGCATCTAGATGGTCTGGATGAGAGCAAGCACACTGCGTTTTCAGGGATTCTCAATTATTTACTTCTAAAATTAGATAAACCCTTATTGTCAGGCTTCAACAACTAAAAGAAAAATTAAAACTATAAGCAGACTAAAGAGAGCCTTGTTACCTTGTGCTGTTCTGGGACAGGCGTGGTGCACTTGTAAGAGTAATCCAAGCCCATTTCTCCAAATGCCACAGCCTTAGGGTGCCTTAAGGCTTGCAAAAGATTTCTTTCTTGACTCTCACTGTAGTAACGTGCAAAATGAGGGTGACAGCCAAAGGCCCCCCAGACCAGATCCTCTTTCAACAGCTCCTCCCATAGGCAATCTGTCAGGGTGCGGGGATCACAGAAGTCAGAGATGCAGCCCTGAAATTCCTTAGGGAAGGAGCTGCTGTAAATTTTTCTGAACTTTGTAAAGGTCCCTTGGAAAGATAGCTTGGAATAGAGCATGTCCAGGTGACAATGAGTGTCAATGAAGCCCTCCTCTAGGCTTGGCTCCAGGTGGCTCTTTGGCAGGGAGCTGGATGCGTGTCCTCCACAAGGACGCGGAGGCATCTCCTCTTGGAATGTTCTTTTCTCCTTCACCTCTCTTTCTTCTGAGCTTCTGGAGAAGCGAAATGAACGAGAATTCTGGGACCAGCCTTCCTCTGAGGCCTCCATGTCTCTGGAGGTGTTTTGGACACTCCCTGTAGAGTTGGGGGAATAATCACTCATGCGGCTCCGGCTGCTCTTCCCAACCTGGGCTGCATCGTTGCTGCTGCTGCCTGTGGAGGGGTAGCTAGAAGGCTTGGGGCTGCTGGTCCAATAGCTGGCGTAGTCACACCAAGGACTACTGTACAAATGAGGAGGGTACATGACATAGTCGGTGGTGAAGGAAGAAGGCTCCGGAACGGCTGAAGGTTTCAGGGAGACAGGTTCCTCCTGAGAGAATCTGACTGTGGAGATCTCCTCAACATCAGACCAGTCACTTCCAGAAGAGGGGTGCTCCATCACCACCTCCCTATCTTTATGCTGCAGAAAAGAAGGCATACAACAGTGGGTTAGCCTTCCGATGTGAAGATGGCCTCCCAGGCTGTCATCAGCTGAACATAAACCCTGGCTTGTTCTTCTGGCCATGGTGATGGCTTTGCATTGGCTCATTAGCTCACCCTGTCACCTGGTTTCCTTACAATTTCCAGAAATGTCCAGAACTGAGCCAAGTTACTGCTGTGAACAGCTGTATTGGGTTCAGGGAATAGGCCTGTGACCATGGCCTCATCATGCTACTCCTAAAGGTGGTGCTCTACCTGCATCCCTTTCTCTTGAGAAAAACTGCTCTCTAGAACACACTCCGGATTGGAGATTTTAGAGAAAAGCAGTGCCCAGCTTTTCCTCTCTGACACTGTCGTCAATATATTCAAAATGTAAAATTACAACAGCTGTGGCAGTTGTATTTTTTTTTCAGACAGGGTCTTGCTCTGTTGCCCAGGCTGGAATGCGGTGGTGAGATCTCGACTCACTGAAACCTTGAACTACTGGGCTCAAGTAATCCTCTTGCCTCAGCCATCCAAGTAGCTGGGACTACAGGCACGCACCACCACATCTGGCTAATTTCTTGTAGGTAGGGGGTCTCCCTATATTGCCCAGGCTGGTCTCAAACTCCTGGACTCAAGCAATCCTCCTGCCTTGGCCTCCCAAAATGCTGAAATTACAGGCATAAGCCACCACACCTGGCCATTGTGACAGTTTTTAAACGTGTCCCCGAATTATTTAACCCTTCTCCCCATTGAGAGTGGGGTCTATGACCCCTCCCCTTAATCTGGACCTACCTAGAGACTTACTTATAGCCAAAAGAATGCAACAGAAGCGAAGCTGTGTAACTTCCAAGGCCAGGTCAGAAGGGCCTTGTAGCTTCCATCTGGTTCACTCCACTTGCTCACTCTGGAGCAAGCCAAGCACCATGTAAGAAGTCCGGCAACCCAAATGACATCCTGCTAGAGAGGCCACATGTAGGTGTGCCAGTTTACAGCCTGGCTGACTTACTGGCTGACAGCCAACATCTGTCCACCATGTAAGTGAACATCTCGGATGTCCAGCCCAGTCACACTCTCAGATGACGACAGCCCTCGCCAAAATCTGAAAGGAACTACATGGGGCTCCCCAAGAAACACCTGCCCCAGTCTAGGCCTTTCCAAATTCCTGACCCACAGTACTGAGAGCAAAAGAAAAGTTATTTTAAGCTACTAACTAGTAATAGTGACTGAAACAACCATCCCTTGCATTAAATCGGCTTAGTCCTACTAGAGAAGGTAAGCGCCACGAGATCAGGAATTTTTATTTTTTTTCCACTGATGTCTCCCCAACACCTAGAACAGTGCCTGGCAGATACTGAGTGCTCATGAATATCTGCTGAATTAATTTTTAGAATAAATGGTGCCTCAACTTAGCATCACATCTCCATCAACTGGGTAGCATTTTAAAAACAGATTTTTAAGGCCCATTCCACCCTGAGATATTGTGATTCAATAGGTCCAAGGTGGGGCCAAGGAATCTGCATTTAACTCTCCCCGGAATTGTGATGCAGACCAGGTTTGAGAAATACAGTAAGCACATCAATATCAATTCATGCTGGAAACAAAATTTAAGTGCCATCATTTCTTCTTAAAGCAGCCATCTATACCTGCCAATGACAGAAGGCTTGATGAGCAAGAGGCCTTACAAAGTTCTCTTAATACTTTTATGAGTATATGTAATTCACATAATAAAACAAACATTCACAATGAAAGAGCATTCTAGCTGAATTACCTGATTAAAATGGAACAAAACTGTTTATGTTGGCTGTACTAATATTTCATACCCCTAACTACACTCTAACAGGAAACAAGTATTAGTAACCAACACTTAAATGAATTACCCATTTCCCATTTTATACTTTCCTGCCTTAGACTTCTCACAGCTACTGCTTGAATGGCAGAAATATCCAAACAAGAATCTTTTCTAAAATGCAAGCTAACTTAAATGTAGCACATTTTTAATTTAATCTGAACTCTTGAAGCTGGGTGATGGGCATCTGGTGATTCAATACACTATTCTGTTTACTTTGAATGTTTGCAATTTCCCCTAAAACCTTTAAAAACTTATCTATAAGGGAGAACAATCCTTCAAAAACTATCTCGGTTATAACAGAAAATTTCCATCAACCCAGACAATAAAAAATTACAGTCTTGCCTAAGTTTGACAAGGCTTTTGTGTTCTGTTTTGTTTTTTTTCCCTGCTGAATTTTCTAGTGAAACATATTGGAACTACAAGTCTACTTTTGTATAGGTGCACCTGAAAGTTAAAATGTTTATCATATACAGTAACACATCATTAACATGTCTGCAAAATAATTGGAGGTGGTCACATTATGGCAATCCCAAAAACACACCTCGAGGAAAAACGGAAACAGACTGCCTCAATGTGATATGATGACTATTTGCAACTTGGAATAAAATTTCCAAGAACAATACACAGATTCAAAAAGTACTATATTCTCATCAGCAAAAACGAGACATATGACCCCATTTTTTACAACAAATAAATTACAACATTTTGGAGGGAGAAAAGGATGAATCTATAGAGACGAAGAGACTTGACACATTTAAAAATTGCCACATACAGTTCTCATTTGGATCCTCTTTCAAATGAACCAAAACAATCATCAAACAAACAGGGAAATTTAATCAGACTGGATAGGAAAATGTCAAAGTAAGGAAAAAAGCAGTTTCAAAAATGCACATGTAACTAGAAACATACACCATAAACAGACATAATAATTATGTCATCTAAATCCTTGAAAGGTTTCTAGAGTCAAGTTGGCCAAGAAAATGTTTTCAGATTTTTTTTTTTTGTCGGGGGGTGTGGGGGAAATAGGAGGAGACTGCCGATATTCAAGACTGTCTCAGCCGGGCAAGGGGGCTCACGCCTGTAATCCCAGCACTTTGGGAGGCCAAAGCAGGCAGACCACTTGAGCTGAGGAATTCCAGACCAGCCTGGGCAACATGGCAAAACCCCATCTCTACTAAAGATACAAAAAACTAGCCAAATGCGGTTGTGCACGCCTGTAACCCCAGCTGCTCGGGAGGCTGAGACATGAGAATCACTTGAACCTGGGAGGCAGAAGTTGCAGTGAGCCACTGTACTCCAACCTGGGTGATAGAGCAAGACTCTGTCTCAAAAAAAAAAAAAAAAAGACTGCCTTAGTTAGTTTAAGCCTGTATGGTAAAATTTAAAGTTACATTTATTGAGCACCTACTACTGGGCACTGAGCAAAGAGTAATCACGTATGAATTCAGAGTTCCACATGCTGCAGCCCACAAGAACATTTCTAGGCTAAAGATGGATTGAACAAATTCATCTTATTTTACTCTTTCCTGAAACCTCACTGAACAACACCATGCCTGATGGTGTAAATAAGGTTTCATTGGAATACAGTCAGGCCCATTCACTTGTACGTTGTCTATGGCCATTTTCATGCAGAGTTGAAAAGCTGCAACAGAGGCTGTAAACCCAAAAATGCATCTGACCCTGTATTAGCTTTTTACAAGTGGTAACATTTGAAGAGCTAGCCCATTTTACACACAGGAAGAAACTGGGGTTCAAAGAGGCTGACTTTCTCAAGATCCTAATTCGAGTGGCAGGGCCAGGATTTAAACCCAAATGGTCTGATCCCAACACTCACATGCTCACCTACCATACTGTGCTGTCTCCAAATAGATACGTAAGAGAAAACCTAATTGTCGTCCAGTCTCATAAATAGAAGTTTGGGTATAACTTTAGAAAATTCATCCACACAATGGAATTAGAGGCAACCAAGTAAGATGATCTACATTAGACAGAAAACACACCCATTACATATTTGGGAGGAAAATATCTTACAAACCTACTTTATGTGGGAATTTCCAATTATATATATAGCATATAGTTTTTGTCCTTCCCACCCAAAAACCCTTCTAAAGTTACAGGAAATATATCCGAAAAGGTATAAACCTACAAGGGGAAAGCACACAAAATGAACAGCAAAGCAAATTAAATAAGCATTGGATGCTATTCACAGATAACAGAGCATAGAAAACAGATGGGTTAATGATTATCAGCCAAGAAGATCAGATGGCCAAAACCTAAGCCTTCAGTGAGGAAAAACCCAGAACCAGACTACAGGACCCCAGAAAGACTCAGGAATTGGAGGTGCCAGACTTCCAAAGTGAGGGTGAAGCCGCAGATGAAAATAGGAATTAGCTGAAGTCTGTCAAGATCTCCAGACCCCTGCTCCCACCCTGTGCAGATGGCCTGCCCTTTCCCCACCCAGCAAAGGACAAAAGTTGATGCTTGGAAAAGTTAAACCAAGGGGACCACAGAAAAATAAAGGTGCAATGAGCTATGACCATGCCACTGCACTCCAACCTGGATGACAAAAACTTTTTTTTTTTTTTTTTTTTTTTTGAGACGGAGTCTTGCTCTGTTGCCCAGGCTGGAGTGCAGTGGTGCAATCTCAGCTCACTGCAAGCTCCACCTCTCAGGTTCACGCCATTATCCTGCCTCAGCCTCCCCAGCACCTGGGACTACAGGTGCACGCCACCATACCTGGCTAATTTTTTTGGATTTTTAGTAGAGACGGGGTTTCACCGTGTTAGCCAGGATGGTCTCGATCTCCTGACTTCATGATCCACCTGCCTCAGCCTCCCAAAGTGCTGGGATTACAGGCATGAGCCCCACGCCCAGCTAAAATTTTTAATTTTTAAAGTTCTGGCCGGGCGTGGTAGCTCATGCCTGTAATCCTAGCACTTTGGGAGGCCGAGGCAGGTGGATCACCTGAGGTCAGGAGTTCAAGACCAGCCTGACCAGCATGGTGAAATCCTGTCTCTGCTAAACATACAAAAATTAGCCAGGCATGGTGGTCCATGCCTGTAATCCCAGCTGCTCAGGAGGCTGAAACAGGAGAATTGCTTGAACCCAGGAGGCAGAGGTGGCAGTGAGCTGAGATCACACCACTGTATTTCAGCCTGGGCCACAGAGTGAGACTCTGTCTCAAAAAGACAAAAAAGAAAAAAAAATTGGCAGCAATAAAAAAAAAAAAAAACCACGCACAGGAAAAAAAAAAAAAAGACCAAAAAAAAAAAATCAACATAAACGTTAGAAGATAAACTTGAGCCAGGCGCGGTGGCTCACGCCTGTAATCCCAGCACTTTGGGAGGCCGAGGCGGATAGATCACCTGAGGTCAGGAGTTCGAGACCAGCCTGGCCAAAATGAAACCCCGTCCCTTCTAAAAATACAAAAATTAGACAGGCATGGTGGCATGCGCCTATAGTCCCAGCAATTCAGGGGTCTGAGGCGGGAGAATCGCTTGAACCTGGGAGGCAGGGGTTGCAGTGAACCAAGACCAAGCCATTGCACTCCAGCCTGGGTGGCAGAGTGAGACTCTATCTCAAAAAAAAAAAAAGAAGATAAAGTTGAAGAAACCATCCAGAAAAATTTTTTAAAAAGGATTCACTGGGAAGAAAAGAAAATTGGAATTTCCATCCGAAAGACCAAGCATAAAATAGATGGTCCAGAAAAAGAAGAAACAGACAAGAAATCAAATAATCAAGAAATTTTCCCAGAACTTTTCTAGGCTAAGGATGTACTGAACAAATTCGACTTATTTTACTCTTTCCTGAAACCTCACTAAAACTAAAGAATCTAAAAACCAAACAAAAAACAAATAAAACCCCTCTACAATAACAAAAACACCAGAACAGGAAGAACAAGAGACTACAGTGATCACGCACTGGAGGCTAGAAAGCAGATGGCCAAATAACACCTCACTGGCAGACCAAGAGAAGGCTGAGACCTAAGCTAGGCACCAGGAAAGCTTAGAACAGAGCAGGCACTCGCGGTACTGGGCACCTTGGGAACTGGAGGAACTGGAGTTACAGAAGAACATTAAAAGGAGGAGGACAGGGTGAAATCTGGTTTCCAATGAGTTAGATCCCAGATTCCCTCCTCATACTCAGAGAAGGTGAGTTGTTTGAAGACAGTAAAACAAGAGGATCTCTAGAATAAGGCCTGGTCAGCTCAGTGGAGGGCACTGGTACTGCACCAAAAAGACAAAGATTAAGTGAATGCTGACGCCGCCCCCGCAGCCGCCCCTTTCGCTACCCAGCTCCCAGCCACCTTTCCTCCTAAGCAGGCTGAAAAACACTCCTCTGGGCAAGGTGACCAGTCTCGAGGCTTTCCTAAAAGCAGTGACATGGCAAGGGGAAGAGGGTTATATTCTCCCGATCATCCCAAAGCAAAGCTCAAAGTCTTTACGCTCAGAGCTTCCAAACAGCTTTTTAATCCTCCCATTCTTGATCATAAACAGACAACCAAAGATTACCAGACATGTGAAGGCAGCCTCTAACACAGAAGAGATCAAAAGAAACGGAAAGAAGCAACTTAAAGAAAACTAAAACCAAGCCAAAAAACTACCATGAACTCCCTAAAAGAGATAACAGAAGATGAAACAAGAACAGAGATGTTATTAAAAAACAAAAGAGCTCTTGGATAATAAAAAGCATGACAGTAGAAAAGTAAAACTAAATAAACAGCTGGGTTGGAAGATAAAGAAAAGGAAATATCCTACAAAGTAAAGCAAGAAATTGGCTAGAAACAAGGGAGAAAGGCAATAAAATTACAGGACCAGTCCTGAAAAATCCAACATCCAAATAAGAGAAAGAAGGTAGAGAAGCTAGAGAGAGAAAGAGAGAAGAAAAATACGGAAAGAAAACATCAGCGAAGTACAGTAATTCACGAACTTTTCCCACAGCTAAAGTACAAGGGTTTCTAGATTGAAAGGGAATGTCCCATGCTAAGCAAAGTAGACACCACCACCATGAAATTTCAGAGCCCTGAGATCAAAATATATTCTACAAGATTCCACAGAGGGAAAAAAAAAAAAAATACAGGTTGGGCACGGTGGCTCACACCTGTAATCCCAGCACTTTGGGAGGCTGAGCCGGGCGGATCATGAGGTCAGGAGTTCGACACCAGCCTCACCAAAATGGTGAAACCCCATCTCTACTAAAAATACAAAAATTAGCCGGGTGTGGTGGCACATGCCTGTAATCCCAGCTACTCACAAGGCTGAGGCAGGAGAATCGCTTGAACCTGGGAGGTGAAGATTGCAGTGAGCTGAGATCACGCCACTGGACTCCAACCTGGGTGACAGAGCAAAACTCTGTCTCAAAGCAAAAGAAAATAAAAAATAAAAAATCATATACCAAGGTTCAGGAACCAGCATAGCTTCAGACATCAAGAAAACCAGAAGAGGCCAGGCGAAGTGGCTTACACCTGTAATCTCAGTACTTTGGGAAGCCTAGGCAGGTGGATCACCTCAGGTCAGAAGTTTGAGACCAGCCTGGCCAACATGATGAAACTCTGTCTCTACCAAAAATACAAAATTAGCCAGGTGTGGTGGCGTGTGCCTGTAATCCCAGCTACTCGGGAGGCTGAGACAGGAGAATCACTTGAACCCAGGAAGTGGAGGCTGCAGTGAGCCAAGATCACACCAGTGCACTCCAGCCTGGGCAAGACAGAACGAGACTCCACCTCAAAAAAAAAAAAAAAAAAAAAAAAGCCCAGAAGAAAAGGAGCAATGCCTTCAAAATCCCAAACAAAACAATTTCCAACCTGGAATTCCAAAACCAACCAAGCTTGTAATCAAGGTTAAAGGTAAAATAAAGGCAATCTCAGACACATGTTTACCAAAAAAAGTTTCTCCATGTACCCTTTCTCAAGAAGCTACTAGAAAAAGTATTCCACCAAAATGTGAGAGTAAACCAAGGAAGAAGAACATGAGAAGACACAGAGTATAGGTAGCAGAAGACTCAATCCGGGAGAAATGTGAAGGAGGCTCCAGAGAGACAGCTGCCAGCTGGCCTGACGGCAGGCAGTCCAGACCAGAGCAGGACAACAGAGGGCTGAGGACGTATACCTCCAAGAGAGAAAAAAAAGAAACAGATTCCTTATTTTGACAGTATTGAGAAGGATTTTACAGCTCTCGCAGTTTGGGGATTAATTAGTGAAAGGTACCAGGAAAACCAAAGGAAAAACAAAGTAATGATGAACTTTAAGGAAAATGAAGTTTTACAAGAAAGAAAATGTGATCAGAGTATACAAGGCGACTCAGCTGTGAACATGGCAGTAACAAATCTTACACAGACTTAACCCAAAAGGTATTCAAGCCACACAGGGAGGCTGCAGAAAGGGGAAGCTAATGTGTCCCTGGGTGTGGGTGCTTCTGAAGGAGGTATAGAGAACTAAATTCTCATCGCCCAAGCAAGAAGTCCTCAGACATCTAAAACTGAAAAACTGATCAACAGTAAAGATTATTTAGAAACATGGGGTAAGTACTAGAAGAAAGAGCTAAAGATGAGAGAAGCTGCCTGCAGAGCAGTAGTAAAGGATGGGTGGAGACGAGTAAGATGGAGGAATGTGGCCTGGCACAGTGGCTCATGCCTGTAATCCCGGCACTTTGGGAGGCCAAGGCAGGTGGATCACGAGGTCAGGAGTTCGAGACCAGCCTGGCCAACATGGAGAAATCCCATATCTACTAAAAATACAAAAATTAGCCGGTTTGGTGGCGCACACCTGTAATCCCAGCTACTCAGGAGGCTGAGGCAGGAGAATTGCTTGAACCCAGGAGGTGGAGGTTGCAGTGAGCCAAGATTGCACCATCGCACTCCAGCCTGGGCAACAGAGCAAGACTCTGTCCCAACAACAAAAAAAAAAAAAAAAAGAAAAAGATGGAGGAATGCTTCCCCTCAATTATAAGCTATGTTAAAAATCACTAGTTTCCGTCCAATGACATCCTTCCCTTCTTCTCTGGTTATCCAGGTACAAGTCTGCCTAGATAAAGGCTGATTTTCCAGACTCCCTTGCAGCCAGGTGTCAGCCGGGTTTCCCCGCTCTTGTCAACAGCAGATACAACATGTGCAACTCTTGAGCCAAGCTCTTAACAGGGAAGGAATGCACTCTCCTCTTCTCCCCTTCCCACTGGCCAGAATGCCCAGATAACAAACCCTGAGTCCTATCAGAGTATCCATTTCACACCAAGAGATGGACACTGTGTTGAGGGGTGATAGAGAATCAAGACAAAAGGTACCAGTATCTCTGACATGATGGAGCCATCCTTCTTAAGCCAAACTTATATTCTGTTTAAGCCACTGTGATTTTGGCCTTTTACACAGCAGCTAAACCCATATCCTAACATATAAATCCTTCAAAAAAAAAAAAAAGCACTTAGTTTAGGTTTATTAATAACTCTGAAAATCTGAAAAGTATGTTAGAAGAAAACCATCAGTTTGTTCCCTGGAGGCCTGGTTAAGTAAAGTACTATTTTTAATTAGTAACACTTAGGATCAAACTAGAAAGATGGAACACATTTCATCAACAGAACTAAAAAGTCAGATGCCTGGTACAAGCTTTACTCACCTTTTGGATTTCTAAATGAGAGTCAGAGTCATCCAAGAACTCTAGGGGTGGAGAGCATTTGTCAATGACAGTCCTTCGGTCCCCAAGGGGCTCCTCACTGGGTTTCTCTTGAGGGTCTATAACTACTCTCCTGTCATAGAAGCTGCTCCTCTCTGGCACTGTCTTATCCTCCTCCATGCTGACCTCTGGGGTTGCGTCTTTCTCCTTCTGAGCAGCAGTGACTGTGACACTCCTGGCTGCTCCTTCTGCAGTCTTGGCTGGTCCTTCACTCCTGGCTGGTCCTTCTCCATGGCTGGGATGCTCTGCTGCGCTTGGTTTTGCCCGAGTGGCAGCCTCTCCCTTCCTTTTTGGCATCGATTTCCCCAGGATGCCCTGGATAGCCTTCAGGTAGATCATTGTGGAGCCCTGGTCTCGAAGTCTATCCCTCTTCCTTTTCTGGACCTTGTTGGGTTCCTCAATTGTATCATTCTGACCCTCAGCTTCAGCTGCAAATTCAGAGTTTGTGGAGTTATGAGAACTATCTTTGGAATCAACCTGGGAAAAAAAAAACAGAATTGAAAGGGCTGTTCCAAGGGCACTTTCGTACATGAAGCATTTGGCAAATTATAAATCAGTGGTGGTTCTACCAGTCAAAGGGAAAGTGACTGTGGCTAAGGCAAAGGTTCTCTCCGGGTGGTGAAGTGGCACTGTAAGAGGGGCTGATTGCTGCCATTTCTTAGCATTCGCCTTCTCATGCTCAGCAGATGATATCCTTTCACTGCAAGGGGACGGAAGGAGCTGAAATGAACACTCTCATTAAACCAGACTGCAAGCTCCTGGAAGGCAAGGACTACACTTCAGGCAAAACAGCAGCTCAAGCTCTTCCCACTGGAAAGGGCCCTAGAAACCAGCTAGCCCAATCCCATATCTAAGGGTAAAGGAAACCTGAGGACCCAGTGAGGGGAAGGGCTAGCCCCAGGAACTCCAATCCCCCAGTTCTGAGTGCAGTGTTTTTCCCACCATACCCAAAGCCTCCTGAAAGTTCTCTGCAAACACTTCCCCTCAAATAATCAACTTGGTTTTGGAAAATACCTCAGTTTCTCAGTGACTGCACCAGGGTCAGTCAAGATAGACTGCTCCCAACAACAAACCTCCTCCAAGACGGAAGTGAAGCCTCAGCCCCCTCTTGCACCCACTCACTCCAGGACTCCACACAGAAAAAGCTAGACTTTGTTTGCCAGACTATTTTGATGTGAAATTCTAATCCAGTCTAATCCCTGCCGGGTGTAAGAACTCTCCACAAATGTCCTCCTAAGGCCATTCCATAAGCAGTAAACCATTATCCCATTTGCATTCCTAAGTCATTTCTATTAAATTCCTCTCAAAAGTAAATACAGACCAGGTACAGTGGCTCATGCCTGTAATCCAGCACTTTGGGAAGCCGAGGCAGGTGGACTGCTTGAACCCAGGAGGTCGAGACAAGCCTGGCCAACATGGCGAAACCCCATCTCTATAAAACACACGGGGCGCGGTGGCTCATGCCTGTAATCCCAACACTTTGGGAGGCCAAGACAGGAAGATCACTTAGGCTCAGGAGTTCAAGACCAGCTTGGGCAAGGTGTCAAAACTCTGTCTCTACTAAAAATTACAAAAATTAGCTGGGCCATGGTGGCACACGCCTGTGATCCCAGCTACACGGGAGGCTAAGGCACAAGAATCGCTTGAACCTGGGAGGCAGAGGTTTCAGTGAGCCGTGACGGCACCACTGCACTCCAGCCTAGGCAATACAGTGAGACCCTATCTCAAAAAAAAAAAGGCAAAATTGCTTTATATGTATATATTCGCAAACAAGTCTAAAAAGCTAAACTGTTTATAATGGATCTCTTTGGGGAATGCAGGGAAGTAGAAAGAGACTTAGGCTCGGCTGGGAGCAGTGCCTCACACCTGTAATCCCAGCACTTTGGGAGGCCGAGGCAAGTGGATCACCTGACATCAGGAGTTCGAGACCAGCCTGGCCAACATGGCAAAACACTGTGTCTACTGAAAATACAAAACTTAAGCCAGGCATGGTGGCGGGCACCTGTAATCCCACTTACTCAGGAGGCTGAGGCAAAGAATCGCTTGAATCGGAAGGCAGAGGTTGCAGTGAGGCAAGATCGTGCCACTGCCCTCCAGCCCAGGCAACAAGAGCAAAACTCTGTCTCAAAAAAAAAAAAAAGAAGCAAAATAAAAATAAAATTACAAAAATTAGCCAGGCGTGGTGGCACATGCCTATAGTCCCAGCTACTCAAGAGGCTGAGGCAGGAGAATCACTTGAACCCAGGAGGCGGAGGATGCAGTAAGCCGAGATCATGCCACTGCACTCCAGCCTGGGTGAGAGAATGAGACTCTGTCTCAAACAAACAAACAAACAAAGGCTTAGGTGCTTATATTATAAGCTTCTTGTATCATTTGAAATTTTTTTCCGAAGAGCACATCATATTTTTTTTTAATCATTATCCTGAATCAAGGGCCAAAGGAAAATAAAACTTAAAACAATCATAAACCTAGCTGGGCGCGGTGGCTAATGTCTGTAATCCCAGCACTTTGGGAGGCCGAGGCGGGCCCATCGAGACCATCCTGGCTAACACAGTGAAACCCCGTCTCTACTAAAAATACAAAAAATTAGCCGTGCGTGGTGGCGGGCGCCTGTAGTCCCAGCTACTCGGGAGGGTGAGGCAGGAGAATGGCGTGAACCCGGGAGGCGGAGCTTGCAGTGAGCCAAGATCGTGCCACTGCACTCCAGCCTGGGCTACAGAGTAAGACTCCATCTCCCAAAAAAAAAAAAAAAAAAAAAAAAAAAAAAAAAAATCATAAACCTTTAGAAATCTATACTTGTTAATATAGACATCTATTTTCCTGAAAGTACTCAAACTGTTGGCAGCTGCTAACTTCACGAAGATGAATAGGAAAGGTGGTGTTTGCTATCATTTTGAACCTCTGTGGACTTAGTAAATTTTCTTACTTTCTGTATTTTCTAACGTGTCTACAGAGATTATTTGTTAAAGGAGGTTACGGGTCATTTTTGTTTTTTTTTTTTGTTTTTTTTTTTTTTGGAGACAGTGGTGCGATCTCAGCTCACTGCAACCTCCGTCCCCCAGGTTCAACAGATTCTCCTGCCTCAGCCTCCCAAGTACCTGGGATTACAGGCATGTGCAATCACACCTGGCTAATTTTTGTATTTTTAGTAGACGGGGTTTCGCCATGTTGGCCAGGCTGGTCTTGAACTCCTGACCTCTGGTGATCCACCCACCTCGGCCTCCCAAAGTGCTGGGATTACAGGTGTGAGCCACCGCGCTCAGCCTGTTTTCTTTGTATCTTTTTATATTTAAGGAATTCATATATATATATATATATAATTTTTTTTTGAGGCAAAATCTCACTCTGTTGTCCAGGCTGGAGTGCGGGGTGTAACCTCAGCTCGCTGCAACCTCCGCCTCTGAGGTTCAAGCAATTCTTGTGCTTTAGCCTCCCTCCCAAGTAGCTGGGATTACAGGCATCTGCCACCACACCTGGCTAATTTTTTTTTGGTATTTTTAGTAGAGATGGGGTTTCACCATGTTGGCCTAACCTCAAGTGATCTGCCCGCCTTGGCCTCCCAAAGTGCTGGGATTACAGGCATGAGCCACCGTGCCTGGCCTCTAATACTAATAATAAATTTGATGACTCCCAGGGCCTGCCCTGTGAGACACAGCCCCAACTTCCCAGCCCACTTCTCTAGTGCCCTCTTCTGCCTGCCACCAACCACCTGCCACCCTTGGCCCATCACACCCTCTTACACATTTGCTAGCACATCTTATCTCCTCTGCTTGCCATGTCCTTGCCTCCGTCCCATTTTGTGTTCCCACCTGTCTGTTAAGGCCCCATCTCCACTGACTGCTTCTCCACCCCTGCCCTCTGCTCCCGCTGTAGCCACATATACAACACAGAGGGTGAGATCTGCAACAAACTGAGGAGTATCTGCACCCTCAGACGGGCAGCTGCTCCTCACCTCTAACTGGTGCCATTTGAGAGTAGAGAATCAGAGTTAGAGATTCTGTTTCTTTCAAGTAAAACCAGAAATATTGAATTTAGTGCACTTTTCAACCATTAAGCAAGCACTTACTAAGCACTTACTCTGTGCCAGCAGGCACGGTTCTGGACCTGTGGGTTTAGCGTTCAATAAAAAAAAAAACAAGGCTGGGTGTGGTGGCTCATGCCTGCAATTCCAGCACTTTGGGAGGCCAAGGCAGGAGGATCATTTGAGCCTAGGAGTTCAAGACCAGTCTGGGCAACATAGCAAGACCCCATCTGTACAAGAAAAATACAAAAATTAGCTGGGTGCAGTGACCCACACCTGTAGTCCCAGCTACTCCAGGAGCTGAGACAGAAGGATTGCTTGAGTGTGGAAGGTCAAGGTCACAGTAAGCCGAGCTTGTGCCACTGCACTCCAGCCTGTGGAGACGCTCCAAACTTTTGGAGACGCTGTCTCAAAAAAAAAAATAATAGTAATAACACACAAGAACGTCTGCCTCCTGGAGCTCACATTTTAGCTGGTAAGGGAAGGGAAAACCAGGAGAAAGGTAAGACAAGTGAAATATGTATGTTAGAGAGTGATAACTGCCAAGGAGAAAAACAAAATAAGAAAAGAGGACATAAAATGGGGAGGTGATGTCATTCAATTCTTCAGTTCAAGGTAGGGACTTAGACTGGAGTCATAAATTCTATTTTCTGAGACAGTCTCACTCTGTCGCCCAGGCCGGAGTACAGTGGCGCCATCTCAGCTCACTTACAACCTCCGCCTCTCAGGTTCAAGTGATTCTCCTGCCTCAGCCTCCTGAGTAGTTGGGATTACAGGCATGTGCTACCACACCCAGCTACATTTCGTATTTTTGGTAGAGACGAGGTTTCTCCATGTTGGCCAAGCTGGTTTTAAACTCCCAGCCTCAAGTGATCAGCCCACCTGAGCCTCCCAAAGTGCTGGGATTACAGGCATGAGCCACCGCACCCAGCCTGGAGTCATAAATTCTTAATGTGAATTGTCTCAAAATGTAAATACTGTTAAGGACCTAGCAGGCTACATCCAGTCCACAGACCAGCAGTTTTGCCACCTCTGGTTGTGAAGACCAAGACTGGAGTTGGGGGAGAAAAAAAAAAATTAGGAGTATAATAATATACCTTATATTTTCATACAGATTTACAATTTACAGAAGTGCTACAGCCGTCATACTTCTTTTACAGAAAGTGAAACTGCTACATGGCTTGTAAGTGGCAGAACCGGGATTCAAACTCAAGTTCTCCCTAACATCCTGGAAGCCAAGGGAAAGGAGTAATGAAATATGAAAGTGAGAAACACTGTTGGCTGGGCATGGTGGCTCCTGCCTATAATCTCAGAACTTTGGGAGGCTGAGGCAGGCAGATCACTCGAGCCCACAAGTTCAACACCAGCCTGGGCAACATGGCAAAAAAACCCCTCTCTACAAAAAATACAGAAAAATTAGCTGGGCATGGTGGTGCACGCCTGTAGTCCCAGCTACTTGGGAGGCTGAGGCAGGAAGATCACCTGAGCCAGGAGGTCAAGGATGCAGTGAGCCAATTGCACCACTGCACTTCAGCCTGGGTGACAGACAGGAAAGGAGGGAGGGGGAGGGGGAGGGGGAGTGGGAAGTGGGAAGGAGGAAGGGGGAAGGGGGAAAAAAAGAGAGAAAGTGAGAAACACTCTCCTAGGCTGGAGGACCTAAGATGGATCAACGACACCGAGGATGAGTTTCAGCAGGTGACAGTTGGCTCTAAAGGTAAGAAGTAGGTAGACCATGGGCAGAAGGTAAGAGACAAACCACCTGACTTCATAAAGGGGAGAGTTCGTTCTTCCTGGAAGCACTGCTTGGTGAACTGTGCATCTCCAAAGGAAAGAAGGAAAGATAAGTGGAGATGTTGCTCCAGCCCTATCACCAGTAGCCTGAAGGATTTCAACAGCTCCTCACCAGCTCCCTGTCTTCTCCCTCCTACCCTTTCTCTGCAGCGTGCCAGAGGAGCTCTAAAATGCAAACCCCACCACTTCAGCCTTAGTTTAGAACCCTTCCAGGGCTCCACATTTGCCTACAGAATAATCCCTACCCCTGAGCTCATCAGGAACCCTTCACAGACTGGCCCCAGCCTTCCTGTCTAGCCTCATCTCCTGCCTTCCTCCAAACACGCAAGTGTCCAGGGAACGCAGGAGAGCACGGATGAGAGAAGGGAGGGCCAGCAGTGCCCCAAGCACTCCAGACAAGCAGCATTTCCTGACATTTTGGGCATGTATTGCTCCCTATGCCCGAAATGTCCTGTCCCCCTCCTTGTCCATCAGTAAGACTCAGATGTCACCTCTTCTGTGAGGACCTTCCTGATGGTCAGTCGCTCATTCCCCTGACCCTTGGGTACTCCAAACCCATCCCTGTTACAGCTCTCCACTCACTGCCCCGTGGTGAGTGACTTCTCAGTCTGTGAAGCATGGCCCGATTGTCCTTGGCAACAACAGCCCCAAGCCTGGTGTTCCACGTGTGCACTAGACATGTGCCAAGTGGAGATGCAGGAAAGGGGATGTGCAAAAGCTCTATCACTCAAGAGCCTCAATACCCAGTGCTTTACTGTGCCTGGGCTAACTCACCCTGCAGAGAGCTCCGCAAGGGAGGGACCCTGGCACCTTCGTCTTGCCACCCCTACATCTGATGCCAGGCTAGAACAGAGCAGGTGCTCCCAGAGGCAGCAGTGCAGAGAACACTGGCTTTGAAGTTGGACTAATCTGATATTACCCCACAGCTCGGCCATTTACCAGCTGCATGGCCTTGGTCAGCTTATTTAACCTTTCTGAATCTCATCTGCCCAGTGCCTACACAGAGTAGGTGCTTAAATATTTGTTAATTGATATGAAGGTATTTACTAATGGATATGTGGAGATAATACCACCTACTTCACGACACTTTTGGGATTATGTGATAGTCTATAGATCAAACATCGAGAATCATAGTTGACCAAGCCTTATCATACATGCTCAAATTTTCCCTTCCATTCTTTCAACTCTAAATTGAATGTAGACATTTAGATGTCATAGTAAAAATAATCTTTACTACATGAAGGTGCTCGTCACACAGTTAGTCTCCTCTGTGAAGAGTAAATGAAGATCATCAGCTAACATGAAACATCTCCAACTGTCCTGGAGGTAAGAAGGGAACGATGTGAGGTCAGCCAGCAGGGATCTCTACCGATTCTAAAATGACCAGTCTAACACCTTCCCCTCAGAATATTCTGTGACCTGGCACAGAGAAAGATGTGTTAAAGGCTGGTGGGAGAAGGGAACAAAGTCAACTGTGTAACCCTCAAAGTTTACAGAGCAAGGCCAGGCACAGTAGCTCATGCCTGTGATCCCAGCACTTTGGGAGGCCAAGGTGGGAGGACTGCCTGACCCCAGGAGATTGAGACCAGCCTGGTCAACATAGGGAGACTCTTGTCTTTACAAAACACAAAAAATTAGCCAGGCAGGCCAGGCGCGGTGGTTCACGCCTGTAATCCCAGCACTTTGGGAGGCCTATGCAGGCGGATCACGAGGTCAAGAGATCGAGACCATCCTGGCTAACATGGTGAAACCCCATCTCTACTAAAAATACAAAAAAATTAGCCGGACATGGTGGCGTGCACCTGTAGTCCCAGCTGCTGGGGAGGCTGAGGAAGGAGAATGGCGTGAACCCGGGAGGCGGAGCTTGCAGTGAGCCGAGATTGCACCACTGCACTCCAGCCTGGGTGACAGAGCAAGATTCTGTCTCAAAAAAAAAAAAAAAAAAATTAGCCAGGCAGGTTGGCACACGCCTGAGTTCCACCTACTTGGGAGGCTGAGGCAGGAGGATCGCTTGAGCCCAGGAGGTTGAGATGCAGTGAGCTATGATCATGCCAGTGCACTCCAGCCTGGGTGACAGAGCAAGACCCTGTCTCAAACAAAAAAAAAAAGTTTACAGAGCAGACACAGGAGAGCAGTGAGAGGACTCTAGAAGGACCTGAGGATGAACATGCCATTTTTGTGAGTACCCCTCGGCTGTGCTTGCTGAAGGACTTAGGACCAGGACAGATAAGTTCACAGATGACCACAGAGCAAGGGAGGAAGAGGTACAGATGAAGGTGGAAGGTAAGAGGTGTTTTGTAATTCATCAAGATGAGTCAAGTACTGTACACTTGGTTTTTAAACTGACAAACATATACTCCAGGAAGAGACTTCAGCAGTCCTAGAGATGGACAATCAGGGTAATATAAAAACCCTCACTCGACAAGAGTGATCTTTCTACAATGCAATTTCCTTTTCTGTGTAGAGCCCTGTATAAATTCTCTAATTGCTTAGAAGACAATCCAGCTGGCACAGTGGCTCATGCCTCTAATCCCAGCGCTTTGGGAGGACAAGGCAAGAGGACAGCTTGAGCCCAGGAGTTTGAGACCAGCCTGGGCAACACAGTGAGATCTTCATCTCTACAAAAAAAAAAATTTTTTTTTTTTTTTTTTTTTGAGACTGAGTCTCACTCTGTTGCCCAGGCTGGAGTGCAGTGCCTTGATCTCGGTTCACTGCAAGCTCTGCCTCCTGGGTTCATGCCATTCTCCTGCCTCAGCCTCCCAAGTGGCTGGGACTACAGGCACCCGCCACCATGCCCGGCTAACTTTTTGTATTTTTAGTAGAGAAAGGGTTTCACCGTGTTAGCCAGGGTAGTCTCAATCTCCTGACCTCGTGATCTGCCCACCTCGGCCTCCCAAAGTGCTGGGATTACAGGCGTGAGCCACCACGCCCAGCCCAAAAAAAAAATTTTTAATCTGCAGGGTGTGGTGGCACATGCCCATATTCTCACCTATTTAAGAAGATTGCTTGACCCCAGGAGTTTGAGGCTACAGTGAGACATGATTGCGCCACTGCACTTCAGCCTGGGAAATCGTTTCAAAAAAATAAAATAATTTTTTTAAAATAAGAATACAATTGGCCGGGCATGGTGGCTCACACCTGTAATCCCAGCACTTTGGGAGGCTGAGGCGGTCAGATCACTTGCAGTCAGGAGTTAGAGACCAGCCTGGCCAACAAGGCGAAACCCCATCTCCACTAAAAATACAAAGATCAGCTGGGCACGGTAGCGCACACCTGTAGTCCTAGCTACTTGGGAGGCTGAGGCAGGAGAATTGTTTGAACCCAGGAGGTGGAGGCTGCAGTGAGCAGAGATCATGCCACTGCAGTCTACCTTGGGTGACACAGTAAGAATCTGTCTCAAAAAAAGAGAATACAATTCTAAGGGAATTGTCCCTTAGAATAAAATCCATTGTCCTTAGGATAAAATCCAAATTCCCTTGGCTACTAAAACCTTGCTGCAATCCACCCCCTACCTCGCTCTCCAGCCTCCATTCTGGGCTCACTACTCCATCATACCACATTGTGGGCAGTCATGCGACCACTCCTCCAGCCCTCCCACCAGACTGCTCCCTAGAAGCTCATCACTCCCAGACCCAACAGTGCGTGGCCCACAATAACCCTCAAGTGCTTCTACTGAAACCATTAAATTGGGTTCTTGCAAAACAAGGCCCCTTTAGCCTTAATGAGAGAAAGGTGGGTCCACCTACAATTAGACCCACCCAGATTAGAGACCACACCCTCAAACCTGAGTTCCAGGTCTTTAGGACAGCCAGGGATTCAGCACACCTGAAAGACTATGTAAAGTAAATTTCCTGCCTCTCCCAGTAACAGGTTTCACTCTATCTACAAATTGTCAGTGAAGCTAAATTGAATCAACTGGTATTATTTTATGCTGTACCCAAGTCTACTGAAATTGTATCAAGGATTAATGGCAAGATTAACTTGTATGAGCAAAGTCCCATACTTACCTGATTTGAGACAAATTCAGCATTCCTACGCTAGAGACAGGGCTTTTCAACTCACTGTTATTTGTGAATTTAAAAAGAAAAAATCCACGTGCCCACACAAGAGTTCAGACAGTGAGGTCCACATTGAAAAAACCAGGGGCACTTAGCCTATGAGTCCCCAAGACAAACAGTCAAATACAGCCTCCTTTCTCAGCTACACAAAAGAAACCACCAAGGCTAGGCTTAAAAACAAACACATATTCCTTAGGGCCTGTTTTAATTGCTTTTGTAAAGTAATTTTCTCTAGAGGCAGCCCATCTGATCCCAAATAAGACTGTTTCTCCACTCCTCCACAGGCAGAACTTCTCACTTCTTAAGACTCAGACCTTCAAAATCTAGGATGCAAACTCTAAGGGGAAAGTGATCTGTTTTGTTAGTAAAGAATCCCAAACACCTAGAACATTGCCTGGCACAAACTAAACCCTCAACACATATTTGTTCAAAGCCTTGATTGAGTAGATGAGCGAAATGTATCTTCTCTGTGAAGCACTCCTTGGTCTGCTCAAAGTACTTATGAAACCCTCTTGCATGTTTCCATTAGGGAATTAACAATTTAACCTCCAAAAAAAAAAGAAAAAAAAAAAAAACTAGCACCACCAAGCAAAACCCCAACATGCTGGAAACTATGACTTTGGAGAAAAGCTACACCAAGAACCGCAATTCTTGGTTCTGTGATTCAGAGTGGTTCAAAGTACAAGGGCACACAATTCTTTAAACTGACAACTAAAATAAATACATTCTTCTCTTGAGCACATAATCCACCTTCTACTGCAGTGATTCTCCAACGGGGCTGCACGTTTACAATAACCTGGGGAGCACTGAAAAATCTGGAAGCCCAGACCACACCTCAGCCCAATAAATCAGTTTCTCTGGAGTAGGAGGCAGGCCCAAGTATTTTAAAGCTTTCCAAGTAGTTCCAAAGTGCTGCCGAGTTTGAAAATTACCTCTCTACTTAACTTCAGGCCACGCGCCTGGAAGACTGCTAGGTCTTCGAGTTTGGGGGGAGTGGACTTCTAGAAAGACCTTCCAGACCTTCAAGGATGTAATGTTTTGTAGTCTCCTTCCACCAAAATTCCCATCCCCAACCTCTCAAGCCATGTGGAAGGGGCTTCACCGATTGCAAAGCGTGGCAGCCACCTACCTTAAGGCTGCAGGCTTCCTCCTCTAGAGAAGCCATTTCTTCCAAAGAGGCGTTGGCAGGACGCAGAGGGGATCCCCCTGAAGACAGGAACCCCCGAGTGTTCCGAATCAGGCAGCCTTTGGAGGCGGCCCCGCCCACACCAGGGCCCAAGAAATGTGGGGAGAAGGAGGAGGAGGAGTTATTTCTGCGGCGGGATGAGCCCCAGGATAACCTCCGCGAGCAAGCCACATCGTCCTCCTTCTGGGCTTTCAGGCGCTTGGGGCTGCTGGGCCCTCCAGAACGCGACGCAGACCTCTGAGCTGGCCGGCTGGAGGGGGCCACATCACAGGGCTCCCGGAGGCAGCTGCGCTTGCGGGGACACCCTTCCGACGTGCTGCTCCAGTTGTGCTTGACCTTGCCCCGCTCGGACGCCATGGGCACCTGCAAGGTACAGGGGGCCTGGATTCCAACACCACCCTTCCTGGCGACCCCACCTCAGATTCCCGCCACCCCGGGCCCAGGAGGACGGCAAGACATAAGGGCAGAGCCAGGGGCTAGCCTCACTGACCTTTCCCTCTTCTTTCCACTGCCCATCACAGTTCTCAAGGTTTCAGAGATGCCAAACCGTGTTGGAGAAGTCAAAGCGATCCAAAATTGACTAAAGGCTGCCGTCGGTTTCCAAGCCCACAACGTGCTTCTGAGATCAGGAAGCCTTCACTTTGCCCAGCGCTACTTCGGAGATGCCTAAGCGCTTCCGGGGCTACGAAGCGCTTTGATCAGTTTGCAATATAAAGCCCTTTAGAACTGTCAAGCGCTTCAGAAGACCACATGGCGCTTCAAGATCCACACATGGCTGCCGGATCCGCGGCCCCGGGGCCGGGCGCTTAGCCCGTAGGCCAGGGCCAGACCCGGGCGCCGCAGCCCGCCCTGCTCCTGCGGCCCAACCAGACCCGGGCCGGAAGGGGCCCGAGCGGCCCCTCGGGAGCTGGCAGCGCCCTCGACCGCCAACTCAGGACGCCCCCCGCCGGCTGCCGCAGCTGTCCCGCCGGGCAGCCCGCCGCCTGCCCCAGCCCTACAGCCCCGCCTGGCCCGGCCTCCGCCCGAACTGCGACCACTCCGGCCTCCGTGGCGCCCGCCCTCCGGAACGAGCCCTGCGGCCCGCAGGCCGGAGAGCGACAGGGGCGGGGCCTGCGCCAAACGGAAGGCGCCCATTGCTCGACCCGGCAAGGGGCGGGACTCCGAGCAAGACGCAGCCCGCCTCAAAGCCAGGCGCCTTGGAGTCGGGACGGTACGCCTTAGGAAGCTCGTCCATTGGTCAGAAGCCAGATGGGGCGGAGCCACTCACGTGGGCTCGAACAGCGGGAAGTTGAGGCCAGCCAGATGTGCAGGCAGGTGGTGTCCGCTGACGCGCCTCACTTAACGCTGTTTTCCTCAGCGCCGGCCGCTGTACCTGAAGCTTTCAGACCTGGATTTCTCATCGAGCCAAAGCAAACCGTGTACTGAGCATTATCACCCCACTTTATAGAGCAGAAAACTGTGGCTCAGAGAGACTAAGTACACACCCAGAAATGGGAAGAATTAGAATTAGAAGGCACCAAAAAAAAAAAAAAAAAGACTACACAAAAATGTGAACTATCCGCCTGGTGAAAAATATTAAAGACGGCTGGGCACGGTGTCTCACGCCTGCAATCTCAGCACTTTGGAAGACCGAGGCGGGAGGATGGCTTGAGCTCGGGAGTTAGAGACCAGCCTGGCCAGCATGGTGCGACCCCCATCTCTACAAAAAATAAAATTAGCTGGGCGTGATGCCAGCTACTCAGGCTGAGGTGGGAGGATCACTTGAGGCCGGGAGGTCGAGGCTGCAGTGAGCTGTGATCCCGCCACTGCACTCCAGCCTGGAGGACAGAGCAAGACCCTGTCTCAAAAAAGAAAAAAAATCAAAGACAAGGTACAAATTCAGAAAAATACTCGAAACATATGACAAAGGGCTGATATTCGATGTAGCAATTCTCCCAAAATAATAAAATAACTTAGTATTAAGACTGGCAAAGGAGGCTGGGTCCAGTGGCACACGTCTGTAATCCCAGCACTTTGGGAGGCCGAGGTGGGTGGATCTCTTGAGGCAAAGAGTTCGAGACCAGCGTGGGCAACATGGTGAAATCCTGTCTCTAGTGAAACACAAAAATTAGCCTGGTGTGGTGGTGGGCGCCTGTAGTCCCAGCTACTCAGGAGGCTGAGGTGGGAGGATCCCTTGAGCCTGGGAAGTCGAGGGTCCAGTGAGCCAAGATTACTGCCACTGCACTCCAGCCAGGGAGACAAAGTGAGACCCCTGTCTCAGGGAAAAAAAAAAAAAAAGGCAAAGGAAGCAATGAACAAAAACAAATCATGAAACGCTCCTAAATATAAGAAAGATGGCTCCACCTCAACCATTAAAAAAGTACATGTAAGGCCAGGTGTGGTGGCTCACGCCTGTGATCCCAGCACTTTGGGAGGCCAAGGCGGGCAGATCACGAGGTCAGGAGATCGAGACCATCCTGGCTAATACGGTGAAACCCCGCCTCTACTAAAAATACAAAAATTAGCCAGGCGTGGTGGCAGGCGCCTGTAGTCCCAGCTACTCGGGAGGCTGAGGCAGGAGAATGGCGTGAACCCAGGAGGTGGAGCTTGCAGTGAGCCAAGATTGCGCCACTGCACTTCAGCCTGGGTGAGAGACTCCGTCTCTAAAAAAAAAAAATTAATTAATTAAATTAAATTAAAAAGTACATATAAAATTATAATTTTCCACTCGTTAGATTGGCAATAATCAAAAAACAAGGTAAGGGGCCGGGTGCGGTGGCTCACGCCTGTAATCCCCGCACCTTGGGAGGCCGAGGTGGGTGGATCACGAGGTCAGGAGATCGAGACCATCCTGGCTAACATGGTGAAACCCCATCTCTACTAAAAATACAAAAAAAAAAACAAAAATTAGCCGGGCCTGGTGGCAGATGCCTGTAGTCCCAGCTACTCAGGAGGCTGAGGCAGGAGAATGGTGTGAACCCGGGAGGCAGAGCTTGCAGTGAACCAAGATCACGCTACTGCACTCCAGCCTGGGCAACAGAGCAAGACTCCATCTCAAAAAAAAAAAAAAAGCAGGATAATATACCTTGTGGCTGAGGATGTGAGGAAATGCACTCCCATACATCCCTGATGAACGTGTTAATTGATACAATCTCCTTGGAAGGTGGCATTGTCTGTAGTAGCTAGAATGAAAACAAAACCTCAATCTCTATCAGCTGGTTATATACATTAAGGAATATCCATACAATGGAATGTAAGGCAAAAAGAATGAAGTGATCTAAACTTACTGTTGAGGAGCAATAGCCAAGAAAGACATGAAAAAACAAAGGACCTAGAAAAGCATTAACAAAACACATGTGTGGCTAAATAGAGAGGAGTGGCATACAAAGGTAAATGTGGCTTTCTTTTTTCAAATGCCTGAGGGTAACCACTTTGTGTGTTCCTTTCTAACAGCTTTAAGATATAATTTATATACCATAAAGTTCACTCATTTAAAGTGTATGAGCAGCAGGCATGGTGGCTCACGCCTGTAATCCCAGCAATTTGGGAGGCCAAGGTGGGCAGATCACAAGGTCAGGAGTTCAAGACCAGCCTCAACAATATGGTGAAACCCCATCTCTACTAAAAAGAAATACAAAAATTAGTAGGGCATGGTGGCATGTGCCTGTAATCCCAGCTATTCAGGAGGCTGAGGCAGTAGAATCGCTTGAATCTGGAAGGCAGAGGTTGCAATGAGCCAATATCGTGCCATTGCACTCCAGCCTAGGCAACAGAGGGAGACTCTGTCTCAAAACAAAAAAGAAGAAAGAAAACAGGTGTATGACCAGCTGGCCTGGTGGCTCACTCCTGTAATTTCAGCAAGACTGTAATCTAGTTTGTCTTGATAGATTTGCCTATTCTGAAAAAATTAAAAATGGAATCATACAATATGTGACTTGCTTTTTCTTACCATGATCTCAAGGTTCATCCATGTTGTAACGTGTCAGTATGTTTGAAATGCTTGTTCCCCAGTGCCATAAAGAAATAGCACTTGAACATAAATAATTTTCTCAGCAAGGCCATTTTTACACTTTCTGCAGAAAGGGTACACTCGCCAGCAGTTTTGCCACGAGTACACCCAACAAAGGAGACAGGGTCATTTATAACCTGACGTATCCACCCTACCTCTGGGTCCAGTTTCCATTGGCTGAAACGGGACTTCACATTCTGTATTTGTCTTGATTGGCTAACAACTTAGAATTTTTTCAGAGGCAAAAGCAGAGGAGAACAAAGGAAGGAGGAAGTAACTTGTGGAATGCTGAGAAAGGTAAAAACACTTTCAAATAAGGAAGAGGAACAGGCTATGACTTAATGCTTGCTTGCACCAGTATAACCGTGCCAGGGCAAATATTTAGGCTAAATTGTGGGAGTTAAGAACATAAAGTACATTGATTTATTATGGCTAGCAGGTATTTAAGAATGTTAGGTCTTTGAATAAATTTTGCTTCTAAGAGAAGTTACTATTTATTCCTAATTAGATGGGGAGGAAAGTCTTTGAAGAGGAACCTCTACTTTACTTTTCACAAGTACTTAATTCTTTTCTATGGCTGAATATTCCATTGCATGAATAGACCGCATTTCATGTATCCACTTATCAGTTGATGGATATTTAGGTTGTTCCTATTTTTTGGCTGTTATAAACATTGGTGTGCAGGCTTTTGTGTGGACATGTTTTCATTTCTCTTGGGTAGATACCTAGGGGTAGAATTGCTAGGTCATATGGAAATTCTTACCTTTTGAGGAAGTGCCAAACTGTTTTCCAAAGTGCTCACCATTTTCAATTCCCACCAACAGTGTGTGTGGGCTCCAATTTCTCCACATCATGGCCAACACTTGTTTTTGTCTTTTTGATTATAGCTATCCTAGTGAATGTGAAGTGGCATCTCATAGAGGTCTTGATTTGCATTTCCCTGATGACTAAGTTGAGCATCACCTCTGTTTTCCATCACCTCTGGAAGGATACTCCAACCTAGTGACAGTGGTTGCCTTTGGGAACAAGAAACTGGAGACTAAGATCCCATTGAGAAAAAGCCTGCCTTCTCACCATGGAACCTTTGTACTGTTTAGATTTTTAAATCCTCTATTAACCTAAAAAAAAATAATTCAGGGCTTCCCTACGGGGGATCCATGAAAAGACATCATGGTGCCCATGAAGGTCTGGAATTCATGGACTCAGAACGCATATGTATGTATGTCTGTATGTAGCAAAGGTCTAGAGCTTTCATCCAAGTCCCAAGGGGATTTACTGACTTCTCCAAAAATATATGAAATCCTAGTCTAGAAATGTAAGTATGTCTGGATAACCACAAACCTATTGGTGTCAGCCCTCTATTGCGCAAACAGCCCTGGAAACACTCTGCTTATAATTGTAAAGTGTTCGCAACAGGCCAGGTCCCATTTGGGGCACAAAATGCACATTCACCTTGAATCCTCACAGACACCAGAGCTGAAGACAGGGCTGTCTGTATAGATCACTGTCCACCTGGACTGGGACCCAGCTCAGCTACATCACACATCAAGCCAAAGCTGTCCTTACTGGGGAGCTGCCAAATGTTTCACCAGGCAGGACCCATCCAACAACAACCCTACAAGATGCGTACGTTTTCTTTTTCCCATTGTACAGATGAGGAAACAGAGCCTCAGAGTAACTCCCTAACTGGGCCCAAGATCATGCAGCTATTAACAGTCAACAGTAAGAGCCAGGATCCTAGCTCTTTGCTACCCCATCTCAAGGATACAGAGTGCCTTCTCTAAACAAATTCTTCCAGACACAAAACTAATTACAAGTTGTCTGTCGACTTTACAAATATATTTTTATTATATAAAAAGAAATTACTATAGATTACTTTAAATAGGATATTTCTCCCAGTGAATTTAAAATAGCATCTGTTTCACAGAAAGATTTGCAACATGACTTTTCAGATATATACGCACTGAATAATCATTAGGTACATGGCAGAAATACACATTTAATACCTTTTTATTTTACAAAACAGGACAAGTGCATTTTCCAAGTGCTTCTATAGCCACTGTCTCATCTGTTCCTCCCAACAGCCCAGGGATGAAGAACAAGCAGGTGTTATTTTACTTACAAAGAAACTGAGGTCCCAAAAATTAAATGATTGACTTAATTAGCAGCAGAATCAGACATGAAATGCATTCTCCTGATTCTTCATAATCCAGTCATAAATAACAACACATATTCTCGGCCGGGTGCGGTGGCTCAAGCCTGTAATCCCAACACTTTGATAGGCCAAGGCGGGCAGATCACGAGGTCAGTAGTTCGAGACCAGCCTGGCCAATATGGTGAAACCCTGTCTCTACTAAAAACACAAAAATTAGCCAGGCATAGTGGCAGGTGCCTACAGTCCCATCTACTCAGGAGGCTGAGGCAGGAGAATCACTTGAACCTGAGAGGCAGAGCTTGCAGTGAGCTGAGATCGTGCCACTGCACTCCAGCCTGGGTGACAAAGTGAGACTCTGTCTCAAAAAACAAACAAACAGACAAACACATATTCTCAGAATAAAAGCTCCATTAAAAAACACTAACATTAGTGGGATGGGAAGATAAAGGTACCAGGCAGTGACTGAATAATTATGTGAATTGCAAGATTTCCAATACAGGCAGTGGAAAGCCTGCAGAGCTCTTCGCTAGGTGTCTGGCATTTGTAGAACCTGAGGCCCAGAGAGGTGAGTCAAGAACTGCACTGAGACACAAGTTGAAAGTCTTCCAGGCCAGGCACAGTGGCTCCCAACTGTAATTCCAGCACTTTGGGAGTCTGAGGTGGGAGGATTGCGCCAACAAAGCGAGACCCCATCTCTACAAAAAAATTAAAAACTAAAAAAAATCTTTCAGAGCATGCAAGCTTGCAGGCTGTCAGCAAATACAACCCAGAGATCTTAGCTCTGGAAAATGCTATGGCATTGCAGAACTGCCAGTGGCGGGGGAACAAGAGCTGCTGAGGTAATGGAATCTGCTGGGGGTGATTATCATCACATACTCCCCGGAACCACAAAATCAGCCACATCCTGGGCCCGTGTGCAGGGTTTCTGCTTCAGTCTCCTCTGATCCCCTGCTCTGACTAACAAAGCCCAGAAAGGAAGAGACTTCATGGATTTTTGTGTCTCTAAAAGCTGAGGGCCTTTCTCTCCCAACTCATTCCAGTGAAATGAAGTTTCCCTCCCACCCAGGACAGCAGATGTTTTGTTGTGTGTTTCCTGGCAGATCTTGGATTCTGCCTCAGACCTTTTTCTTGATCTGATGCTCATCTTTCCAACTGAGGACAAGGGTCCTCAGCTGTGTTCCGGTCATCAGGGGCCAAAGAGCTCAATGCTGTCCACTTTTTCCTCTTTGTAGAGCAGAATATTCTCCATCAGTTTCCTTTTGGCCTCATTGATCTCAATTTGCCACGAAGTTTCTGTAACTGATGTTCAACAGAAAGCAAACAAGAGCGACTTGAATGAAAGTTACTATTATTATAATTCTTAAAGTCACTTAAATCAGGTTTCTGAATCAGGCCCTGAGTGTAATGAGCATTTCTTTTTTTTTTTTTCTTTTTTTTTTATCGAGACAGGGTCTCACTTTGTTGCCCAGGCTGGAGTGCAGTGGCACAATTTCAGCTCAAGGCAACCTTGACCTCACAGGTTCAGGTGATCCTCCCACCTCAGTCTCCGGAGTAGCAGGGACTACAGGCGTGCACAACCACACCTGGCTTTTTTTTTTTTTTTTTTTTTTTTTGAGATGGAGTCTCACTCTGTTGCTCAGGCTGGACGACACACACAGTTAATTTTTTTGTGTTTTAGTAGAGAAGGGGTTTCACCGTGTTGCCCAGACTAGGCTTGAACTCCTGAGCTCAGGCAACCCACCCGCCTCGGCCTCCCGAAGTCCTAGGATTACAGACAGGCGTGAGCCACCACGCCCGGCCTGTGAGCCACAGCACCCAGCCCATTTATTTATTTATTTATTTATTTATCATTTGTTGAGATGGAGTCTCACTCTGTTGCCCAGGCTGGAGTGCAGTGGCTCAATCTCGGCTCACTGCAACCTCTGCCTCCTGGGTTCAAGCAATTCTCCTGACTTAGCCTCCTGAGTAGCTGGGATTATAGGCGCCCACCACCACGCCCAACTAATTTTTTGTATTTTTAGTAGAGACGGGGTTTCACCATCTTAGCCAGGATGGTCTCGATCTCCTGACCTCGTGATCCGCCCGCCTCAGCCTCCCAAAGTGTTAGGATTACAGGCGTGAGTCACCATGCCTGGCTGGCCACACCTGGCTAATTTTTGCATCTTTCGTAGAGACAGGTTTTCACCATGTTGCCCAGGCTGATCTTTATACTCCTGGGCTCAAGCAATCAGCCCACCTCGTCCTCCCGAAGTACTAGGATTACAGGTATGAGCCACTGCACCCAGCTGTAATGAGCATTTTCATCTCCTCTGTCTTTGCAGGAAGCCCTGCAACCTACCCTGGCCTTCCAGAAAGGAGAGGGTTTCCCTGTTCCTATTTATGATGTTGAGGGGTGGGAGGGTGGAGTGAAAAAAATGCTCACATCCTGTCTTTCTTCTTCCTCTCCCCTCCCCATGGCAGGAGGAGTAAAAGAGAAACAGGAGTGGTCAGAGCCTGGGACATTCATTGAACCATGTTTACTAAGGGACAGGGACACTGCATTGAAAGGGCCTTCCTGGTCGGGTGCGGTGGCTCATACCTATAATCCTAGCACTTTGGGAGGCCGAGGTGGGCGGATCACCTGAGGTTGGGAGTTCAAGACCAGCCTGACCAACATGGAGAAACCCTGTCTCTACTAAAAATACAAAATTAGCCAGGCATGGTGGCACATGCCTGTAATCCCAGCTACTCGGGAGGCTGAGACAGGAGAATCACTTGAACCCGGGAGGCGGAGGCTGCCATAAGCCAAGATCACACCATTATACTCCAGCCTGGGCAACAAGAGTGAAACACTGTCTCAAAACAAAAAAAAAAAAAGGCGGGGGGGGGGGGGGGGGGCTTCCTAATTTTTTATTTCAGAAAGAAACTTGGTATCCTTGGACCTGAGTGGCAGGAATGGAAGGTACCTTTTTTTTTTCCCTGAGACAGTTTTCCTCTGTCACCCAGGCTGGAGTGCAGTGGTGCAATCTCGGCTCACTGCAGCCTCCACCTCCCGGGTTCAAGCAATTCTCCTGCCTTAGCCTCCCAAGTAGCTGGGACTACAGGTGCCTGCCACCACACCCAGCTAATTTTTGTATTTTTAGTAGAGAGATGGGGTTTCACCATATTGGCCAGACTGGTCTCGGACTCCTGAACTCGTGATCTGCCCGCCTCAGCCTCCCAAAGTGCTGGGATTACAGGCGTGAGCCACTGCGCCCAGCCAGAAAGTATCTTCTTTTTTTTTTTTTTGAGACGGAGTCTCACTCTGTCACTCAGGGCTGGAGTGAAATGGCACGACCTCGGCTCACTGCAACCTCCGCCTCTTGGGTTCAAGTGATTCTCATGCCTCAGCCTCCCAAGTAGCTGGGACTACAGGCACACGCCACCATGCCTAGCTAATTTTTGTATTTTTAGTAGAGACAGGGTTTCACCATCTTGGCCAAGCTGGTCTTGAACTCCTGACCTCAGGTGATCTGCCCACCCCAGCCTCTGGAAGTGCTGGGATTACAGGCATGAGCCACCGCACCCAGCCTGGAAGATATCTTTAGAAGTGACTGGTGAGGATGGTGTTTGTGTTGAGAGGAGAGGCAGACAGGAACAGACCACATGGGGCCTTGAGGACTTTGAACGAGGGATGACATGCATTGAGTTTTTTGTTTTTTGTTTTTTTGAGACGGACTCTTGTTCTGTCGCCCAGGCTGCAGTGCAGTGGCACAATCTTGGCTCACTGCAACCTCTGCCTCCCGGGTTCAAGCAATTCTCTTGCCTCAGCCTCCCAAGTAGCTGGGATTACAGGCACGCGCCACCATGCCCAGCTAATTTTTTTGTATTTTTAGTAGAGACAGGGTTTCGCCATGTTGGCCAGGCTGGTCTCGATCTCAGGTGATCTGGCCAGGGTGACCTCAGGTGATCCACCCGCCTCGGCCTCCCAAAGTGCTGGGATTACAGGTGTGAGCCACCTCGCCTGGCCGGCACTGTGTTTTTAAAAGCTACTCTGGCTGGCTCCTGGAGAAGGACCTAGTGAGGGAGGGGCCAGGATGGAGGAGGACTCAGGGAAGCTATGCAGTCCCCTGAGGACAGGAGCTCAGACAAAGGGGGAACGCAGAGAAGTAGATGGAGGTGAGAGAGATTTTGGAGGCCAATGGACAGGACTGGGTGATTAACCGGACACAGTCCAGGGCAGGGAGAGGGAGGTGTCAAGGATGCCTCCCAGGTTTCTCTGTGAAAAACTGGCTGGTTGGTGAATGGCTGAATAACCAAATGAAGGAGTGAATGAAGGCAACAGAAAGAAAAAATGATGGGCTGAAGTTGGGGACACACACATGAGCATCCAAATGCACTCTGACTTCCGGCTTACCATCCTGGGGAGGCTCCAGGCCAACACAGGCCTCAGAGGAGGAGTCAGCCTCCCTTCCCACGATGACCCGCAGCCTTCCTTCCCCATTCTCTGTGGGGAGAAGTGGGGTGGCAGCCCCTGCCCAGGGTGCCACACTCATGGAGGAGGAGGCATCAAGGCTGGAATTGTCAACGTCGTCTGTTTCCTCTGGGGTGTTGGAAGAAGAGCCTGTACCCTCAGAAAGCCCACTCCAAGGGAGCAACGTCTCCCGACCTCGGAGCCGCTCTTCCACAGCAGCCACAGAGCCACACACCTTTGGGAGAAGAGAGAGAAGGGAGCTCATCAGGAATTCTCTCTGAAATAGAAATGCTAACATCTGGCCTCCCAGCAGAGAGGGGGCGGGGAGCAGACTGAAGAACCTAATGCTGGTTGTTTTGTCTGAAAAAACCACACCCTTCCTTTGAAAAGACCTGTGCTTGCCCACCAACCGCCCTGTCATAGATGAGACGGCGTGACCCAACATGGGCAGATCATAGTACCCCACTCCTCTGACCATAGGGATTAGTCTAGATTTGGGCATGTGATCGAAGCTGGCCAATCAGAATCCTTCCCTGAAACTTTTCCACCTAGAGCTTATTGGGGAAAGACCTCCAGCCTTTCCTCTCTAGTGGTAGAACCAGACGCCCCACTACACCCAGAAAACCCATTTACAGTAGGGGAAAATGAAAGCTCAACACAGAGTAAAGCAGAGGCAAGCAACGAAGAGAGAGCCACAGACAGAGAGACACAATGGCTGTACCTTTGGTGTTTGAGATCCTGGGTCTAACTTCCCTGAAACCAGAGCAATGCCTGTCCTCTCTGTTGTTTGGTTAAATGAGACACTAAGTTCATTCATTCGCTAATTCACTCATTCATATTCTTCCCCCTCCCTATGTCTGTGTGTGTGTGCGTGCACGTGTGTGTGTGTAAGAGTTTAAGTTCCTAACACTTTCAATCAAAAAAGCACAAATAATATAGATGTTGCCCTGGAAGGTTTTTGTGGTTAGGGAGGTTAGGAAAATTAGACGGAAGCAAGGAAGGAATGTTTCTTCTTCACACACACACACACACACACACACACACACACACACAGAGCACACATACATACCCTTATACCCGTAATAACAATAACAAATCTCATCTCCTCAGTGCCTTGCAAAAAATTCAGTATACTAATGTATCCATTTCTTTCTTTCTTTTTTTTTTTTTTTTTTTTGAGACAGAGTCTCGCTCTTTCGCCCAGGCCGGACTGCAGGGGCGTATCTCGGTTCACTGCAAGCTCTGCCTCCCGGGTTCACGCCATTCTCCTGCCTCAGCCTTCTGAGTAGCTGGGACAACAGGTGCCCGCCACCGCGCCTGGCTAATTTTTTGTATTTTTAGTAGAGACAGGGTTTCACCATGTTAGCCAAGATGGTCTCGATCTCCTGACCTCGTGATCCGCCCGCCTCGGCCTCCCAAAGTGCTGAGATTACAGGCGTGAGCCACCGCACCCGGCCACTAATGTATCCATTTCATACACAATGCATGAATTTTTATAAATAAAAAATTAAAAGATCAGAAAAGTTAAGTTCCCTGCCTAAAGCCACCCAGCCAGTACAGTAAATGGCAAAGGTGACCATCAAACCCAGGCCTGCTTATTATCTTCCAGTCCCTGACCCAGCTGTTCTTTCATCTTCCCAGCTTGGTTGTGATGTACTAAGAGCTAAGGCCATCTCCTACCTCTTCTTACACCTAAAGTGCCCTATCCCCTTTATTTTACGTGGCAAACGTCTCATCCTTCAAGGCCCAGGTCACATGTTACTTCTTGAGATAAATCTTCACAGTAGATGCCCAATAAATATTTGCCAATCTAAAGACCGCATTTCCTTGGAGCTAGGCGTGGCCATGTAGCTAAGTTCTGCTCTCTATTATGTGAGAAAAAGTGATGCATTTCCAGGTTATATCTTTAAAAGAAAGGGAGTGTGTCCACCTTTTCCTTTTAACCCTCTTTCACTGGCTGGATTGCAGGTGTGATGGCCTGAGCAACAGCAGCCATCTTAGACCCTGACATGGAAGCCACATGGTAAGGATAGCAAACAAACAACATAGAAGGAGCCTGGGTCCCCAATACTGTGGCACTGCCACATTAACACTGGACTGCGTAAATTCAAACTGTTACACTAAAGAGAATAAACATCTATCTTATTTAAACCACTGCATTTTGCAGTCTCCTTGTTATAGCAGTTTCACCTGCACCTTAAGTGACACACTGAACAAAATAATGGAATGAATAAAAGAATGAAAGTCTTACTGAAAGAATAATTGGTTGAAGGAGACAGAACTTTTTAGAATATAAAACTGATTATGTCCTACCTCTGCTTAAAAACCTTAGTGAGGCTGGGCACAGTGGCTCAGGCCCATAATCCCAGCACTTTGAGAGGCCAAGGCAGGTGGATCACCTGAGGTCAGGAGTTCGAGACCAGCTTGGCCAACATAGTGAAACCCCATCTCTACTAAAAATACAAAAATTAGCTGGGTGTGGTGGCACACACCTGCAATCTCAGCTACTCGGGAGGCTGAGGCAGGAGAATTGCTTGAACCTGGAAAGTGGAGGTTGCAGTGAGCCGAGATTGCACCACTACACTGTAGCCTGGGTGAAAGAGTGAGATTCTGTTAAAAAAAAAAAAAAAAAAAAAAAAACCTTAGTGGCTCTGCAAAAATCCTTACTGTGCCTACAAAGCCTTCTATCATTGGACAACTCCTTCCTCGACACACCCAACACAAGCCACTGTGCCCCATGTGTTGTGTTCTAGCCCTTCGGACCTTCTTCCAGGCCCTTGAACGTGCTGAGCTCTCTCTCAGCTCAGGCCATTTGCAGGGTGTTCCTTCTGCCTGGATTGCTCTTCGTGTGCTTAAACCCCCCTTCCTCAGGAAGGTCAACAGGGTGGGGTCCTCATCATACACTGTCCTGGCGCTCACCACAAAGACAATTACTATGCAATGTCCATGAGTTCCAGGAGCGTGGACCTGGGTCTGCCTTGTTCCCGAACAGATGTGTCCCCTGGCCCCAGTGTACAACTGCGGAATGAATGACTGAACATCGGGGCACATGGACACTTGGGGGACACCTGTGCTAGCAAAGGCTGAGAACAAAGACTGAAGCCTCCAGCTCCTGCCACGTGACAGCGCAAGACGATGGACATAAGGCTGAACTGGGAGTCCAGAGAGCTCTGACAAAAACAAGTTCTGTGGCCTCATCTTCTCGTCTGTGGCCCTTCACTTGCCCTTCTGTAAAATGGGAGGCTTGGGCTACAGCAGTGGTTATTGAAGATTTTTTCCAGCTACCAAACCCTTTCCAGAGAACCCAATACAGTAACTGAGAGAAGTCAAAAGTGGGTGTCTGGTCCGAGTCACAGGTGGGGGCCTGCACCTCCCCCAACCCCTCTTGCTGCCAACAGCAATTCCTGAGTATTCTCAAGGAGCCCCTCTGTGCCCAACACCACTTGAAAATCACTCTGCTAGATGATTTCTAAGGGTCCTCCCAGGCAGTGGAGAGTTTGTCCTTAGAAAGACCAAGCAAGGCCGGACAGAGCGGCTGATGCCTGTAATTCAAGATACTCGGGAGGCTGAGGCAAGAGAATTACTTGAACCCGGGAGGCGAAGGTTGGAGATAGCACCACTGCACTCCAGCCTGGGCGACAGAAGGAGACTCTGTCTCAAAAAGAAAAAAAAAAAAGATCAAGCAGTAGTCTCTTGATTACCTTTTACCATGGAAGCCACGGCTACTTCTCATGTCCAAAAAAATCTCTTACCCCGTGTAGTGGCTGCTTTCTAGGACGTCCGCCTAGTGCATGGGCTGAGCACACTCCCTTTCTTTGGGACCTGGCGCCGACACCATCCAGGGATGGAGCCCTGGGCAGCCCGGTTTGCATGCTGGACCGCCCCACCATGCCTGATTGGCCAAGCGGTAAACAACTGACCCAAGTTCAGCCAATCAGGTTCTCCCTCTGTGGTGGGACTCAGGGTGGAGGCTCATCTCTCTGTTATAAACTGCGGGCAGAGCCGTTCCCTCCAGAGAACACAGAGGAAAGGGGAAGGGGCCTATAGAGAAGGGGGAATAAAGCCGATTCACAGAGAGTTCATCGAGTTCAGTTAACATCCACGGGTTTGGTCCTGCGCCCTGAGGCCCTGCAATACCCGTCCTCGGGCTCCGCACTATCCATCCCTACACCGCCCTTTGGCTGATGGGAGCTCTAGGAGGTTCTGCGGCTTGCAAGCAAGCACAACCCTGGTTTGTGCACCAGGCCTCTGCGAAGGGGCCGTCCCCGATGAGGTGGACCCACGCGTGGCCCAGGCAGCGAGGCCGCTGCGGGCGAGGCTCACCTCCTGCAGGCTGGTGTTACGCCTCCGCAGGCACAGGCAGGCAGCCGTGGCCAGGGCCTCGGCGCAGTCCTCCGGAAGCCTCCCTGCGCCCTTCTCCAGGTACTTCTGGCAGATCTCCTTTGCCATCACGTTCTCCACGCCCGTCTTCCTGGAGCAGAGCGAGGCGGTGCTGCTTGGAATATCACTGAGGAGTAAGTCCTTCTGTGGGAAGAAGGGTAGAAACGCCCTTGCGTGAGCTGCAGAGCTGCGAGAGCCAACGCACGCGCCCCACTCACCTCCAGAGCTGCAAAAAATGCTCAGAAAACCGACCGGACATCGTAAGAATAAATGCAAGGATTCCAGAAAGAAGTAAAACCCCCAAGAAATGGAGAAGGATTCGATTTCCTACATGCACAGGGCACTCCATAGTGAACTCATGCCACAAACGTGGGGCCTTAATTTTTCTAGGCCTCGGTTGGTTCATCAGGAAAATGGGAACAACAAAAATACCTACACCAGGGCCGGGCGCAGTGGCTCAAGCCTGTAATCTTAGCACTTTGGGAGGCAGAAGCGAGTGGATCACTTGAGGTCAGGAGTTCGAGCCAGCCTGGCCAACAGGGCGAAACCCCGTCTCTACTAGAAATATAAAAATTAGCTGGGCTTGGTAGTGCACGCCTGTAATCACAGCTACTAGGGCGGCTGAGGCAGAGGAATTGCTTGAACCTATGGTGGGGGAGGTGGGGGGCGGAGGCTGCAATGAGCTGAGATCACGCCACTGCACTCCAGCCTAGGTGACAGCGAGATTCTGTCTCAAAAAAATAATAAAATACCTACACCTAGGACTAACACAACCATTCAATGAAACAGTGCACCTAAAGCACAGAGAGTGACATCTGACACGGAACATTCAATAGTCTTTTAGTGATAATAACTAATAGTAATAATAGCTACCATTTATATGGCACTTACTACATGATAAGCACTTAATAATTTAATCTTATTAACTACATGGACAATCTCTTATGATACAAACATTTCAAATGTAGGATTCTGACCTATATACATAACAGGAGAGCCACTATAAAGAAAATATTATGTCTATACTTCTTATACATTTTGTATTTACATATATTTTATATTTTGTACCACATAAAATGCAGCAATCTGAACTATGCATACAATAGAACATATGCTATATAATAATTTTATACAAATATGTAAGCATATTTAATATAAATTATATTGTATATTTCATGAGTAATATGGTATATATGATTAGCATATATGAATGTTACAAACATACTAAATATTGTAAAAACATGTATTGTAGGCCAGGTGCGGTGCCTCATGCCTGTAATCCCAGCACTTTGCGAGGCCGAGACTGGCAGATCACTCGAGGTCAGGAGTTCGAGACCAGCCTGGCTGACACGGTGAAACCTCGTCGCTACTAAAAAATACAAAAAATTAGCCGGGCATGGCGGTGCGTGCCTATAGTCCCAGGTACTCGGGAGGCTGAGGTAGGAGAATTGCTTGAACTGGGGAGGGAGAGGCTTCAGTGAGCCAAGATTGCGCCACTGCATTCCAGCCTGGGCGACAGAGTGAGACTCCGTCTCAAAATATAAATAAGAAATAAAAATAAAAATAGGCCGGGCACAGTGATATAATCACAGCTCACTACAGTCTCAACCTCCTCGATTCAATCGATCCTCCCACCTCAGCCTCCCAAGTAGCTGGGACTATAGGCACATGCTACTGTACTTGGCTAATTTTTAAATTTTTTGTAGAGATGGAGTCTCATTATGTTGCCCAGGCTGGTCTTGAACTCCTGGGCTCAACTAATCCTCCTGTCTTGGCATCTCAAAGTGCTCAGATTATAGGTGTGAGCCACTGCACCCAGCCTAAATGTTTATTTTTTTTTTAAAGTGTACTAGTGTTTAAAGCTGATAATCAAGAACAGTAGAAGTGTATTATTTTCTTCTTTTCTAGAGGCAGGGTCTCACAATTTGCCCCAAATGGAAACCTGCCATCATTGCTATGTATCTTGATGCAAAGACTATGACGATAATCAAAAAAACTACAGAAGACACCTAGTGTTTAAACAGGGGTTGGGGGACTGAGAACACGCGATGAAAGGATGTCGAGGGAACTTCACCATGGAGGAGTCGGCAGCTCCACCTGAAACCACTGATCAATCTTAGCACTAAAACCTTAACACACTGATCGGTCTTAGCACTAAAAGTAGGACAACAGGCTACGCCCCGTGTAGTGAAGCAATGGGAGGCTCACAGCGCCTCCAGGAAGTGTTCTTGACAAAGGCAATGACCATGACTCTAAACAAGTCACAAGTGCTAACTGCCAAATATAGGAAATATGAGGAATAGAGAAACAAGGGAAGGAGACCACAGGATGTAATGAGCAAAACCCAGAATGTGAGACAGTCTGTCTACATAGGGCAAATGACCTAGTCTATGCAAAAATCCAACGACATCCAAAATGAAAAAGGGCATTGCGGGAGAGGTTGTGAGAGAATAAGAGTCTTTTTGTTGTTGTTGTTGAGACGGAGTCTCGCTCTGTCGCCCAGGCTGTAGTGCAGTGGCACGATCTCGGCTCACTGCAAGCTCCGCCTCCTGGGTTCATGCCATTCTCCTGCCTCAGCCTCCCGAGTAGCTGGGACTACAGGCACCCGCCACCATGCCCGGCTAATTTTTTTGTATTTTTAGTAGAGACGGGGTTTCACCATGTTAGCCAGGATGGTCTCGATCTCCTGACCTTGTGATCCGCCTGCCTCAGCCTCCCAAAGTGCTGGGATTACAGGCTTGAGCCACCGTGCCCGGCCAAGAATAAGAGTCTTAAGAAACATAACCATGCCCGGGCGTGGTGGTTCACACCTGTAATGTCAGCACTTTGGGAGGTTGAGGCAGGCGAATGCTTAAGCCCAGGAGCTCGAAACTCGCCTGGGCAACAAAGTGACATCCCATCTCCACATAAAATTTTTTTTTAAAAATGAAAAAAACAAACATAACCAAAGTAATATATGGACATTTTTGGGGTCTAGTTTCAAACAAACCACCCTTAAAAAGCAACTTTTGGCTGGGCACGGTGGCTCACACCTGTAATCCCAACACTTTGGGAGGCCAAGGCAGGAGGATCACTTGGGCTCAGGAGTTCGAGACCAGCCTGGGCAACATGGCAAAACCCCATCTCTATTAAAAATACAAAAATTATCTGGGCCATGGTGGCACACACCTGTGATCCCAGCTACATGGGAAGCTGAGGCAGGAGAATTGCTTGAACCTGGGAGACAGAGGTTGTGGTAAGCCAAAAGCACACCACTGTACTCCAGCCTGGGCCACAGAGGGAGACTCCATTTCAAAAAAAAATTAAAATTAAACATAAGTGGTTAAAATTTGGGGACAAAAGTTTACCTTTCATTTCTACTCTCCAAAGGTAACTCCTGCTAATAGTTTGGATTATATTATTTTCTGCTATACAGCTATAATTATTTTGGTTTTATATTTACTTATATAATAATTATAACAGTATCCTAAAAGCTGTTAAAATAATAGCAATATCAGCCTGGGCAACGTAACAAGACCCCATCTCTACAAATAACAAATTAAAAATTAGCTGGGCGTGAGGGCACATGCCTGTGGTCCCAGGTACTTGGGAGGCCGCCGAGGCAGGTGGATCACTTGAGGTCAGGAGTTCAAGACCAGCCTGGCCAACATGGTGAAACCCTGTCTCTATTAAAAATACAAAAATTAGCTGGGCATGTTGGTCCATGCCTGTAATCCCAGCTACTTGGGAGACTGAGGCAGGAGAATCAATTGAAGCCAGGAGGCAGAGGCTGCAGTGAGCGGAGATTGCACCACTGTACTCCAGCCTGGGCGACAGAGCAAGACTCTGTCTCAAAATAAAAATAAATAAATAAAATAAAAATAAAAATTAGCTAGGAGTGGCGGCACGTGCCTGTGGTCCCAATTACTTGGGAGGCTAAAGCAGGGGATCACTTGAGGCCAGGGGTACAAGGTTACAGTGAGCCATGATTGCACCACTACATACTAGCCAGGGTGGCAGAGACCTTATCTCAAATAATAATGATAATACTAATAGTTAACATATATTGTTTATTATGTTCTAGTTACTATTTTAGGCATCTCACATATTATTTAACCTTCAATAAACCTGTCAGATGCCAGGCACAGTGGCTCATGCCTATAATCCCAGCTACCCGGGAGGCTAAGGTGGGAGGATCCCTTGAGCCCAGGAGTTCGAGGTGACAGTGAGCTATGATCATGCCACTGCACTCCTCCAGCCTTCGTGACAAAGAAGATAGGAGATAGGAGACCCTATCTCCAAAAATGATAACAAACAAACATACCTTGTCGGTGGGGGGGGGTACTACTATTATCCTCAATTTATAGAGAAGAAAATATGTGATACAATGTTTTCATTCATTCATCCATCTATTTTTAGCAAAAATGTGATCATACTATATACTATTCTGAATTTGCTTTGTTCACTTGGAGATATGTCCCTGTCAGAACATACATGTCTTTTTCAATTTACTTTTTTATTTTTTTGAGACAGAGTCTCACTCTGTTGCCCAGGCTGGAGTGCTGTGGCACAATCTCGACTCACTGTACTCTGCCTCCCAGGTTCAAGCGATTCTCCTGCTTCAGCCTCCTGAGTAGCTGGGATTACAGGCACTCGCCACCACACAGGGCTAATTTTGTGTTTTTAGTAGAGACGGGGTTTCACCATGTTGCCCAGGCTGGTCTTGAACTCCTGAACTCAAGTGATCCACCCACCTCAGCCTCCCAAAGTGCCGCGATTACAGCCGTGAGCCACTGTGCCCGGCCTCTTTTTCATTTTTTTAAAATAAGAATGTTTGTGTTGGCTTTATTCAGAATTGCCAAAACCTGGAAATAACCCAAATGTCCAGCAACTGGTAAATGGATAAACAGTCATCTATCCATACAATGGAATACTCTTCAGCAATGAAAAGGAATGAATTACTGACACGTCAACAACATGGATGAATCTAAGCACCATGCTACATGAAGGGGGACAGAAACAAATGGGTGCATCTGCCATGGGCCCATTGATATGACCCTCTAAAGAAGATAGAGCTATGTGGACAGAAATTAGATGAGTAATTGCCAGGACCTGTAAGTGGAGGGAATTTTCTGGGGTGACAAAAATATTCCGTATCTTGATTGTGGTGGTGGTTACATGACTGTATACATTTGTCAAAACTCATACAGGCTGGGCGCCATGGCTCACACCTGTAATCCTCACAATTTGGGAGGCCAAGATGGGAAGATCGCTTGAGCCCAGGCATTCGAGGCTGCAGTGAGCTACAATCATGCCACTGCACTCTGGCCTGGGTGACAGGGCAAGACCCCTCCCTATCTCTAAATCAAATTAAATTAAATTTGGCCAGGCGCAGTGGCTCACTCCTGTAATCCCAACACTTTGGGAGGTCAAGGTGGGCAGATCACCTGAGTGATGTCAGGAGTTCAAGACCAGCCTGGCCAACATGGCAAAACCCTGTCACTACTAAAAAAAATACAAAAATTAGCCGGGTGTGGTGATGCGCACCTGTAGTCCCAGCTACTCAGGAGGCTGAGGCAGGAGAATCTCTTGAACCCGGGGGGTGGAGGTTGCAGTGAGCCAAGATCACGCCCACTGCACTCCAGCCTGGGCAACAGAGCGAGACTCTGTCTCGAAAAAAAAAAAAATGCCACTACAAATATCCTTGTTCATCTGCCTCTCCTCACATGTGTGCATGTTTCTCTAGGCACAAATGGAACTGCCGTGTCAGAGGGTACTCATATTTTCAATTTAGGTGGAAACCACCAAATGCCCTCAGGAAACACTGTGGCAACTAACACTTTCCCAAGCCTGGAGGAGGCCTGCTTCCTCCTACCCTGGGCCACAGGAAATCAGCAAGCTTTCCTCCCTGACTCAAATCTTGATTAACCATTGGATTGCACCTACCACAACAGAACATGATAAGAGACCATACAAGAGTCTAGAATAAGAGAAAGAAACTACATTTTAAAAAATTGTTATTTTCCACATTTTTAGAAATCATTAGCAAAAAAATAATTCTAGACAACTTCCTGTCAGTGCCTCAAAAGCCTCCTTCCACTGTGACACTTGTCCGGGGAGCCCCAGAGGACTGCTGGGAAATCCATCTCAAGAAAATAGTCAGGAGATGAGAAACTGCCCCCAAACAGCCCCAAACCACATCTGAGCTGCCCAGACAGACCTCTCTGCAGCATATGGGATTGACTGCCCAAAAGGGGTGGAACTCACAGAGTTCATCAAAGGAACATGTCGTGACTTTCTGCATGGAGTAGCGAGGCCTTCAGCCTCCCTACCCCAGAGCCCAGGGGATGCTTCTGGGGCCCAGTCACCAGAAATAAATAAATAAATAAAATAATAATCTGTCTGTTCCAATGGCCTCAATACCCAGTAGGAAAAGGTGCCCCCTCTCAAACTGATGAGGAAGACTAGAGTTTGGATGAGATTTGAAACTCTGCAAAAGCCTTGGGTTCAATTTAAACCCCACTTCCACCACTGGTCTCACTGAGGGGCGTGAGACAAGTCACTTCAGCTTGCCCTCAGTTTTCTCAGCTGTAAATGGGAATGATAATACTGAATTCGTATGGTTGGACTGTCACAAGAAACAAGCAGGAGACTGCTGTGGTTAAGAACTCAAGATCCTGTAATCCCAGCACTTTGGGAGGCCGAGGCGGGCGGATCACGAGGTCAGGAGATTGAGACCATCCTGGCTAACACAGTGAAACCCCATCTCTACTAAAAATACAAAAAAATTAGCCAGGTGTGGTGGTGGGCGCCTGTAGTCCCAGCTGCTCGGGAGGCTGAGGCAGAAGAATGGCATGAACCCGGGAGGTGGAGCTTGTAGTGAGCCGAGATTGCACCACTGCACTGCAGCCTGGGCGACAGAGCAAGACTCCGTCTCAAAAACAAAAACAAAAAAAAAACTCATGATGTCGGCTCAGGGAGATCTGACTCAGAATTCCAGCTCTGACACTTGGTAATTCCAACTGAGATCCTAGGCCAAACTCAGAGCCAGCTTTCCTCATCTGCAGATGAATATAATGACTCTATCATGGAAAAATTGAGATGATTTAGGTAGATAATGTATGGAAAGTATTTAACACAAAGTCAGGCTAGGTTGTTATATTTTTATTCTTTTTTGAGAGAGGGTCTCACTCTGTCACCCAGGCTGGAGTGCAGTGGTGCAATCTTGGCTCACCGCAACCTCTGTCTCCTGGGTTCAAGCGATTCTCCTGCCTCAGCCTCCCAAGTAGCTGGGATTACAGGTGTGTGCCACTACGCTTGGCTAATTTTTGTATTTTTAGTAGAGACAGGGTTTCGCCATGTTGCCCAGGCTGGTCTCGAACTCCCAGCCTCAAGTGATCCGCCCGCCTTGGCCTCCTCCAAAGTGCTGGGATTAGAGGTGTGAGCCACCACACCCAGCCAGGTTGTTATATTTTTTAAATGACTGTGTATATCAGATCTTTGGCCTACAAAATGGAAATTGTTTTTATTATAGAAACTTGTTTAAAAGGGCTGAAATTAACTTTTATCAATTTGAGGAAAATCCCTAATGAATTGCCTGATATATAGAGAAGTGCTTTCTCTTTTATACAAGTGCTTTCTATAAACATTCCAAAATCTTTTTTTTTTTTTTTTTTTTGAGATGGAGTCTCGCTCTGTCACCCAGGCTGGAGTGCAGTGGCATAATCTTGGTTCACTGCAACCTCTGCCTCCCAGGTTCAAGTGATTCTCCTGCCTCAGCCTCCCGAGTAGCTGGGATTACAGGCACATGCGACCACACCTGGATAATGTTGGGGGTTTTTTGTAAGTTTTTTCTTTTCTTTTTTTTTAATAGAGACAGGGTTTCACCATGTTGGCCAGGCTGGTCTTGAACTCCTGGTCTCAAATGATCCACCCACATCAGTCTCCCAAAGGCTGTGATCACAGGCATGAGCCACCGCACCAAGCCCCAGATGCTATTATCATGAAAAAGCAATGGTTGGCTGGCAGGTGGGGATGGGAGGTTAAAGCTGCTTTGTGGGGATGCAAATGCAACCTTGTACCGGGCCTCATTTGCATGTGTAAAACTAGCTAGAATTGAGGTCGTTGCCCTCTCTACAGAGCTGTGAGGCCCAAATATACCTCCCAGCCAGATGTGACAAGTTCCCTTACCAGGTAAACCGGGCTTCGGTTGTTATCCATTGCAGGGATGCCCGTGAGGACCTCGGCCAACACCTGGAGAGAACAGAACGTGAGTTAGCATGGTTCAGACGCTCGTGCACACAGCCAGGCAGCAGATTCTGTCTTCTCTTCTCAGTTCTGAGCTCCAGGTGCAGCTCTGCCATTGCCAGCAGACACACCTGCCCAAAATCTGGAACATGGGAATATCACTAAACACCTCCTCCAATTAAAGATGCCACCAAGCTGCCAGTGGAAGGTTGTAATTAATTGATAGCCAGGCAGAGAAGATGGTTTTCAAAAATTCATGTGTGTGTGTGTTTATATGTATTACCATAAGATATATATAGGTATAGATAAATATAGATACACACACACGTATATATACACTATTTTTTAAAGATTGTTTCATTTAAAAATCCTTCAGCTGGCTGGGCACGGTGGATCATGCCTGTAATCCCAGCACTTTGGGAGGCTGAGGTGGGCGGATCACGTGGTCAGGAGATCGAGACCATCCTGGCTAACACAGCGAAACCCCGTCTCTACTAAAGATACAAAAAAATGAGCCAGGCGCGGTGGCGGGTGCCTGTAGTCCCAGGTGCTTGGGAGGCTGAGGCAGGAGAATGGCGTGAACCTGGGAGGTGGATCTTGCAGTGAACTGAGATCGCACCACTGCACTCCAGCCTGGGCGACAGAGCAAGACTCCGTCTCAAAAAAAAAAAAAAACACCAAAAAACCTTCAGCTATGGCAAGCAGGCATTGCTCTGTGAATCTCAGGGAAGGAAAGACTCTGCATGCAGGCAGGTATCTATTCTAGACAAATCTTGCAGCATCCATAGCATGTTTCACTCACAGGCCTTTACTAACATTATTTATTCATTAGCGCATCCACTCGCAGAAGGAGCACAACCCTGTATACGTGTAAGTCACCACAAAATTGGCAAACCATGATATATGTCTTCATAAACAGGAAACTGCTTTGAACAGGGTTTCTCAGTAGAGACAATGCTATGATGGCTAAGGGCTCTACAGTCAGGCCTGAGTTCAAATTCTGACTCTGTTCCTTATATGCTCAGGTGATCTTTAGGCAAGTAACTAAAACCTGAGCCTCAGTGTCCTCATCTGTTAAATGGGGACTAGCAGTTGTGAATATTAAAGGTGTGAAGACCCCACACTTAGTGTGGAACCTCTCTCCCACAGCATCTCTCAAAGCAAGTCAGAATAGGGTCACATTTATAGCCAAGAATCCCTCCAAGCCTGGAGGAAGGAAAGGATAAAGGTTTTAAACCACCCAGGATTAATAACAGACTGGCAGTGACCAGAAAAGGGCAGCAGAGGGCATCACTGCTGCAAGTGGGACAGGAGCCAATTGAAAAGGGACTCCTGACAGGTCCCTGCCAGGAAGGGACAGAACAAGGGGAAATGAATAAACAAAGACTTCCTGTGCCCCTTTCACAGAGCAGGCTCTGAGCCAAGTCCTTTATAGAGGTCACTGAGCACTCACCAAAAAACACTGAGCAATGCACTGTGATCCCCACAGGAGGAATCAAAGTTCAAAAGCGTTATCAGTCAACCAGAGGCAGGGCTGAGCAAAAGGGTGGCAGGAGCCAGGAGGCATTCAATGAATGAATGGATGGATGGGTGGTAGATGGATGGATGGATGGATGGATGGATGGATGGATGGATGGATGGATGGATGGGTATGTGGGTGGGAGGGTGGGTGCATGGGTGGATGAATAGATGGATAGGTGGGAGGGTGAATGGATGGATGAGGAAGTCATCTGTGACGCTAACACACCAGTTAGAAGGTCAAGAGTAAACAGATATCAGAAGGAGGGTGTAAAGGTGGGAATAACAATAACCACAGTCATCATAATATTCTTGGTAGGTGCAGGGTGCAGGGTGCCATGCTCACCTGCTTATATACATTATCCCATTCATCTCCATGTGTATCGTTAGCCCCATCTTACAGAAGGCTTAACTGAGGCCCAGAGACAGAAGTGCTAGGTGTAAGTCACACAGCTGAAAGTAACTGAGCCGGGCCTAGGGGTTCTATCCCCCTGGTTCTTTTTTTTCTTTTTTTTTTTTTTTGAGACAGAATCTTGCTCTGTTGCCCAGGCTGGAGTGCAATGGCGCGATCTCGGCTTACTGCAACCTCTGCCTCCCAGGTTCAAGTGATTCTCCTGACTCAGCCTCCCAGGTAGCTGCGATTACAGGCACATGCCACCACACTCAGCTAATTTTTGTATTTTTAGTAGAGCCGGGGTTTCACCATGTTGGCCAGGTTGGTCTTGAACTCCTGACCTCAGGTGATCTGCCCACATCGGCCTCCCAAAGTACTGAGATTTTAGGCATGTGCCACCACTCCCTGCCCATCCCCCTGGTTCTTAAAGGAGAAGGAGCCTGGACTAGCCCTGCTGAGCTTCACTGAACAACTTGCAGTGGGGCTGAGGGAGGCAGAGGAACCAGCTGGGAGACACGGAGGTGCAGAATCTGGGGTTCTGGCTGAGGGCAGAGGTGACTCAGGGCCACGGTTCTGGTAGCAGAGGTAGACAGACAGGAGACTGTGGTCAGAGAGAGGAAGTACAGAGTTCAAGGCTAGAGAAGAAAAGAGGGTGAGGCCCAAGGGGCAGCTGTATGCACTTGGCTGAAGCCAACCTGACTGTTACTCTTCTCAGCCAGCATTTCCCAGACTGGGTTCCATGGAACACTGACAAGGACAGATATTCTGAGAACACAAGGTTCCATAGTCAAATGAGCTTGGGAAACACTGCATACCCCTCTCTGGTGAATTCACAAGTACCAGATTAAAGGCTCACTACCATTCAACCAGCTTGAATTAATCTTGTGGTAAAGAAACCTGCTTGACTTTGCCTAATGCAATATTTCCAAGCCTGTCAGGGCACAAACCCTTTTAACACATCAATCCTAGAGGTCCGAAGGAACTGGAGTTCTACAGAAATATACTTTGGAGACTGCTACATGCAGACCATGAGCTCCTGAGGGGAGGGACTGTGTTTTTGTTACATTCATATTCCTAGTGCCTGGCACGACATAATGGCAGACAAGGATGGTGGTGGTGGTAGGGTGGGATGCTGGGTGGGTCAGTGGTCGCTGAATGGATGGGCAGCTAAAGGGTAGATGGATGATCGGACAGCGATGAACAAATAAGGACAAATAGACAACTGGATGGACAAGTGGATGGCTGGATGGGAATTACGGAAGTCAGGAGAGGATATCTGGAGCCTACTAGAACCTGGACACTCATGAGTGGTTTTCCTTCAAGGGCTGGCAAATTTCTTCTGTAACACGCCACACAGTAAATATGTGAGCTTTTGGGGAGCATGTTCAGTCTCTATCACATATTCTTTGTGTTTAAAAATATAATCCTTTATAAATGTAAAACTACCCTTAGCTCACAGACCATACAAAATACGCCACAGGCCAAAGTGGCCTGTGGGCCACAGTTTGTCAGCCCCTGTTGTACTTTGATGGAACCTGTCTGTGTGCCTCTACCGTATCCTGTGATTACAAAGGAGCCGTGGGAAGGACAAATCAAGGTGGGCCCCACTCTACGCAGAGCAGGACACTCTTACTATTCCACAGCTGAAGATGTCCACTCGCTTTGTCAGCTGCCCCACCCGGATGAAATCCTCTGGCAGATACGCGGCTGACGTCCGGAGCAGGTGAGTCTTCATCATGGTGTATTTTGACCTTTTGTTGACAGGACACAGATGAGCCATTGGGTGAGCAAGTTTGGGGGTGAGATTTTGGTCCAGCAAGACATTAGAGCTGTGGAAATGAAAGGAGAGGGAACCTTCTCATTTTGAGCTGGATAACAACAAGTTGCCATGGAGACCCTTTGGGGAGACAATATAGCAACCTCACCTCCTGCAAGTTGAGGTCTCTAAAGACCCTCAGCATGGAGCTTCTGAGCCAGCCCTGACTGGGGAAGAGAGGGCATCAGGAGCACACTCCCTCCAGCAAATGGAGATGGAGTTCAGACTTAGTCTTGCTGCCCCAGGAATGTGGCCAAAGTGCAGCCTCCCTGATCCCCACAGATGCCAACCCTGATCAGCCTCAGCTTGCCACGCCTACAGGCTGTGCAGACTCAGTCTCTTCCACAACTGTTCCAACCCCCAGCTCTGGCCTGGCTGACTCAGGTCTAAGTGGCCAGCATCCTTTGTGACTAAACCTGCCCAGATCATGTAAAAAAAGAAAGAAAAAAAAATTCCCTCTTGGCCGGGCACAGTGGCTCACGCCTGTAATCCCAGCACTTTGGGAGGCCGAGATGGGCAGATCACCTGAGGTCAGGAGTTCAAGACCAGCCTGGCCAGCATGCCGAAACTCCATCTCTACTAAAAATACAAAAATTAACCAGCCGTGGTGGTGTGCGCCTGTAGTCCCAGCTACTCAGGAGGCTGAGGCAGGAGAATTGCTTGAACCCGGAAGCAGAGGTGCACTCCAGCCTGGGCAACAGAGTGGTACACTGTCTCAAAAAAAATCATTTGATCTAGTCATCTAACCCCCAGGAGCAAACACTGAGAACATACTCCAAAATGGGAAAAAGCTAAGCCACATGTGTACAGATATATAGTGCAGGCCAGGTGCAGTGACTCATGCCTGTAATCCCAACACTTTGTGAGGCCGAGACAGGAGGATCACCTGAGCCCAGGAGTTTGAGACCAGCATGGGCAGCATGGCAAGACCTCATCTCTACTAAAACAAACAAATTCAGCACGGCATGGTGGTGCGTGCCTGTGGTCCCAGCTACTTGGGAGGCTAAGGTGGGAAGCTGCGGTGAGCTGAGATTGCGCCACTGTACTCCAGCCTGGGCAAAAGAGCAAGGCCCTGTCTCAAAAAAAAATTTTTTTTGGCCAGGCGCGGTGGCTCACACCTGTAATCCCAGCACTTTGGGAGGCCAAGGTGGGTGGATCACGAGGTCAGGAGATCGAGACCATCATGGCTAACACAGTGAAACCCTATCTCTACTAAAAATACAAAAAGTTAGCCGGGCATGGTGGCAGGCGCCTGTAGTCCCAGCTACTCTGGAGGCTGAGGCAGGAGAATGGCGTGAACCTGGGAGGCGGAGCTTGCAGTGAACAGAGATTGTGCCACTGCACTCCAGCCTGGGCCACAGAGCGCGACTCCATCTCAAAAAAAAAAAAAAAAAAAAAAATTTTTTTTTTTGGTATTTTTAGTAGAGACGAGGTTTCACCGTGTTAGCCAGGATGGTCTCGATCTCTTGACCTCGTGATCTGCCCGCCTTGGCCACCCAAAGTGCTGGGATTACAGGCGTGAGCCACCGCGCCCGGCCAAAAAAAAAACTTTTTTAGCGTGTGTGTGTGTGCACGCCCGCAAATGCACGGGTGTGTGTGCCAGGAGTGGTTAAGTAAATTATGGGCAAATTCCTTCACGGGAAGACTAAGACACTAAAAAACATGACGGTATACAATGTAGCGAAATGTTTACTATGTTTAAATGAAGGGGTAAAAAACAGGATGTGAATTGGTACCCAGGTGCTACCTCAGGACTAAGGATTTGTATAGGCAGGAAGTGAAAAAAGAAACAAAACCTAGAGGCCAGCTGATGAGTCATGGGGTAGGTTAGTGGTGACCTCTCTCACCCTTTCATTTCCTTGCCTGCTATTAGAATTATTGATGCAATCAAATAAAAATTAGGGGAGAGAGCCGGGGTGGTGGCTCTCACCTGTAATCCCAGCACTATAGGAGACCAAGGCGGGTGGATCACCTGAGGTCAGGAGTTCGACACTAGCCTGGCCAACATGGTGAAAGCCTATCTACTAAAAATACAAAAATTAGCTGGGTGTGGTGGCGAGCACCTGTAATCCCAGCTACTCAGGAGGCTAAGGCAGGAGAATCGCTTGAACCAGGGAGGTGGAGGTTGCAGTGAGCTGAGATCGCACCACTGCATTTCAGCCTGGGTGACAAGCGTGAAACTCCGTCTCAAAAAACAAAAAAAAAATTGGGGGAGAGAAAAGAGGAAAGGACTTCCACAAGTCAAATGGAAAGAGAACTTTGGGGAAATACGAGTTCTGTGTCTCTGGAGCCAGTTCTGCCAGATATTCTGGTATCTTCGGAATCCCTCCCTATCCTAACCGTCTCCAGATGGGGACCTCTCCCTCTCATGTGCATGGCACTGACATGCAGGGGTGCAGGCCTAACCTGCAGGAGCCTTCCAGACAAGATGCTAACACCAACAGCTACACAAGAAGGGGACAGGTCTCAGAAAAGACACTGAACGAGGAGCTCAAAATCCCAGGGGGTTGGCAGACATGGCCCAAAGTTCGAGGATGAGGTCCAGGCCAGCTGCTGAGTGGACAGTGCGACGCAGCAAGGTGTGGAGGGCTTGTTGGGAAAACAGCAGCTCAGAAAGACAAATGTGACAGGTAGGCAATTCATCCTGAGAGCAATTGGACTTGGAGCACAGCCCGGAAACACTCATTTTTGAGGGCATAACAGAGAAAAAGACATCCAGGGGAGGGCAGAGGAGAGGAGGTAGGAAGAGAAAAACAAAGAGGACAGGGGTGAGTGGCGGAGCGGGAGGTGAGCCAGGAATAGGCACCAGTTCCACCCTTGCAGCCCAGGCCCCAGCAGGGTCCAGCCCACCTCTCTCACCTCTTGACGTTGCTGTGGATGATCTCCAGACCATGCAGGTACTCGACGGCACAGAGCAGCCCTGAGCAGATGCTGACACGCTGGGGCCAGGGGAGGGGGTCCGAGCCACCCTAAGAGAAAGAAAAGCAGGAGGACAAATAGTCACAATGTACCTTTTTAAAGTCCTGATGGCAGCCAGGTGCGGTGGCTCACACCTGTAATCCCAGCACACTGGGAGGCCCAGGCAGGCAGATCACTAGTTCAGGAGATCGAGACCATCCTGGCTAACACGGTGAAACCCCATCTCTACTAAAAATACAAAAAATTAGCCGGTCCTGGTGGCGGCTGCCTGTAGTCCCAGCTATTTGGGAGGCTGAGGCAGGAGAATGGCGTGAACCCAGGAGGCAGAGCTTGCAGTAAGCCGAGATTGCACCACTGCACTGCAGCCTGGGTGACAGAGCGAGACTCCATCTCAAAAAAAAACAAAAACAAAAACAAAAAAACGAAGTCCTGATGGCAGGGTCCCAGGCTCCTGATCCTCCTCCCACCCTTCATGTCCTCTGTCACAGGGCTCAGCATGATACTGTGAGTTTTTTCATTGTTTTGTGTTTGCTGGTTTTGAGACAGGTCTTGCTCTGTCACCCAGACTGGAGTGCAGCATCATAGCTCACTGTAGCCTTAAAATCCCAGGCTGAAGTGACTCTCCCGCCTCAGACTCCCGAATAGCTGGGATCACAGGCACGTGCCACCACTCTCAACTAATTTTTGTATTTTTCGTGGAGACAGGGTTTTGCCATGTTGGCCAGGCTGGTCTCGAACTCCTGGGCTCAAGCGATCCGTCCACCTCGCTCTCCCAAAGTGCTGGAATTACAGGCATGAGCCATGTGCCTGACCCTGTACTATGGGTTTTGACATCAGACAGATCTAGGTGTAACTCCCAGTTCAGACATGCATTAGCTGTATAATTTTGGAAAAAGACACTTAACATCTCTGAGCCTCAGTTTCCTTGGGTATAAAATGGAAATGTTAATCCCTATATTTTAGGGTTGCTGTAAGGATTCAAGGGAGTATATGGTATACCCCTAGCATAGCACCTGCCACACAGTAGGTGCTCAATCAGCAGTTATTTTTATCATGTCCATTACAGAGGCTGCTCTGGAATTTCTCTCTAAAAGAAGCTGGATGGGAGAGGAGCTAGGGAGCTTGTGTTTGCAAGCCAAGCACCTGGGCCTTACGCTGATTTTATCTGTATTAGGGGAAACTTCACCAGGGCTGATGGGGATTGTGGGATGGGCTAAAGCCTCTCATTTGCTCCCACTGTTGTTCTAAGACTGACTCTCCCAGGCTAAATCATCACCGTTTTGGTTTTTTTTTTTTTTTTTTTTTTGAGACGGAGTCTCACTTTGTCGCCCAGGCTGGAGTGCAGTGGTGCAATCTCGGCTCACCGCAACCTCTGCCTCCCGGGTTCAAGTGATTCTCCTGTCTCAGCCTCCTCAGTAGCTGGTACTACAGGCACACGCCACCACGCCTGGCTAATTCTTATATTTTTAGTAGAGACAGGGTTTCACCATATTGGTCAGGCTGGTGTCAAACTCCTGACCTCAAGTGATCCACCCACCTCGGCTTCCCAATGTACTGGGATTACAGGCGTGAGCCACTGTGCCCAGCCTCATCACCTATTTTTGAAGCCCTGGTGTAGGTCCCACATCCTCTAAGAACTGGCCTGGACAGCCCCTGCTAATTTCTTCTCAAAAACTCTGAAACCTAGAGCCAGACGAACCCAATGTAAGCTCTGGCCTGACATTTGTCCTCTATGTTCCTTTGGGCAAGTCACTTTGTCTCTATGTGTCAGAGATTCCTCTTTTGAAAAATGAGGGAAGAAATTGCTTTGGTTGTGGCACGGCCTGGAGGTGATGACCTACGTAAAACCCTTATCACAGCAACCTGCATACAGTGAGTGCCCAGAAAAGCTAAAGATCATTAGTATGCCGTGAGTAACTGCTTTGTCTTGTCCCTGCCATGGGAAGCAATAATTCTGTTATGGAATAACTCTTTCCCCTCTATTTGAGGATAAGATAAGCAGAAGACCTGTTTTAAAACACTGTAATTTTTATTAAGGATTACCTTCACATGATATAATACTCTAATAGTAAGTTTGCTTCTTATCCTAGGCCCCAATCACCTAGTTCTGCTCCCTAGCAGCAGCCAGTAAACCAGTTTCTTGTGTATCTTTCCAGAGACATTCCATAAACACACAAGCAAATAGGTATATATTAGAAGAACATTTTATAATAAAAATTCACCTCCACTTTTCCATACTCTTTACCTCTTAATTCTTTTTCTTGTCCTACTGCATTGGCTAACACCTCCAGAACCATGACGAACGAAGTTAGTTCTATGAGATACCTTTGTCCTGCTCTTGATTTGAATGAAATGCTTCTCGTCAAATAATTTTTTATAGATTTTTCCTGAAGATGTTTAATCAGATCTTTTTGAGCTTTTCTTTTTCTTTTTCATATTTTGTCATCCTCATTCAGAGGCCATGCTGATCTTCTCTGTATCGTTCCAATTTTGGTATATGTGCTGCCAAAGTGAGCACTTAACCAGATCTTATGTATCCTGGCCCCACTTCTCTCCTTGAAGTCTCCCTGGTCTCACCTAGATGGCCCCTCTCCCCTCTGAACTTCTGTAAGTCCTTAACCCTTGACCCCATGGCTGGGTGCAGCCTGGTCCCATTCTCTGACCATGACCCAGTCCCTTACCTGACCCTGCAGTCTGTCCTGTAGGGAACCATTTGCCATGTAGGGGTAGATGAAGCTGTGAAACTGTCTTGCAGCACAGAAGCCCAGCACAGGTAAGACATTGGGGTGGCAGCATCTGGAATCGGGCGTCAGTGCAGGTGTGAGGAGTCAGACGGAAAGAATGATCTACTTCCTCATGTCCCACCCCTCTTCTGCCCTCTCCTCCTCCAACGCCACCAATAACCTCCCAGGTACCACATACTCTGACCCCTAAGGGCCTGGCCCCAGGGTGGAAAGATGAAAACTGTCTGCCTTCAACGAGTATGGTGGTCCTCATCCTGCTTTACTGCTCTGCAACACATGACATCTCAACTGCCCCATCTCCAGAAACGGAGACTGAGAGGTTAAGGGACTTGCCCAAGGTCACAAACTAGAAAGCAGTAAAGCCAGGACCAGATCCCACACCTGCCTGACTCTAGGACTGGGGTTCTTTCCTGAAATCCTCTTCTGCTGGTTCTCAGTCACCATTCCCTCCTGACTTTCCTCCTACCTCTCTGACCACTCTTTCCTGGCCCTTTTCACTAAGACCCTCCTCCTTTGCCTTCCTCTTTCTGCCAGCTGGACTCCTCATCTTGTTTTGTATGTTGCTCCTCCAGGAACCTCCCATTGCTATAAGGAATATTCCCAAATCTCTTATCTCCAGCCCCATCCTAAGCTCCAGACCTGAATGTCAATTTGCATCCTGATGCTCAGGTCAACATCATCCTAGCCTCAACAAGTCCCAAACCTGCTTCTTCACCCATATTTATTATCCCAGAAAGGCACATCACCACCCACCCAGTTTCCTAGAAACCTTCTTATCTCCCGTATCAAATCAGTCACCATTCACTGCCACAAATAACTTTTAAAATGTCCCTTCATTCCCCTCTCCTCTGCCTTGGGTCACTTGGATTGGGTCAGGCTCTGATTCAGCCTCCCCAAGACTGCTGTAAATGGCCTCCTGCCTTATCTCTCCGCCCTCCTCTGCTTCCCGCAAGCCATCCTATTACTCGCTTTTGCATACTTATTAGAGTTATTTACATGTCAGTCTCCCCACTGGACCATAAACCTCCCCAAGGCAGGGGCTCTGTATGCTTCTGGCGTACACTCCCTAGAGCCTAGAAAAGGGCTTAACTACCCACATTTTCTGAATCAATGAATGAAGGAGTGACTGCCGACTCCATGAAAGCACTAAGCCAAAGTGGAAAGGGAATCATACTTCCAGTTTTTATTAGATGTATGTGTGTGTGTGTATCTGTGTGTGTGTGTGTGTGTGTGTACACATGTGAGTATTCATATACATGTATGAATAGAGAAAGCATTAAAGAAAACATATCAAAATATGGGCCCAGCACAGTGGCTCACATCTAAAATCCCAACACTTTTGGAGGCCAAAGCAGGAGGATCACTTGAGCCAGGGAGTTCAAAACCAACCTGGGCAACATAGTGAGATCGTGTCTCTACAAAAAAAGTTTTAACAATTAAAAATGAAAATATATCAAAATATTAAAACAGTAGTGCTTATTTATAGGTGCTGTGAAAAAGTTTCTATTTTCTTATTTATAATTTTCTTTATTCCTTTTTAAATTTGTTTTACTTTTTAATTAATTAATTAATTTTTTTTTTTTTTTTTTTTTGAGACAGAGTCTCACTCTATTGCCCAGGCTGGAGTGCAGTGGTGCGATCTGGGCTCACTGCAACCTCCACTTTCTGGGCTCAAGTGATTCTCATGCCTCAGCCTCCTGAGTAGCTGGGACTACAGGTGCATGCCAACACACCAGGCTGATTTTTGTATGAATTTTTTTTAGTAGAGATGAGGTTTCGCCATGTTGGCCAGGCTGGTCTCAAACTCCTGACCTCAACTGATCTGCCCACCTCGGCCTCCCAAAGTGCTGGCATTACAGGTGTGAGCCACCATGCCTGGCCTTTATTTATTTTTGAGACAGAGACTCACTTTGTTGCCCCGGCTGGAGTGTAGTGTCATGATCTCGGCTCACTGCAACTTCTGCCTCCTGGGCTCAAGTGATCCTCCCATCAGCCTCCTGAGTAGCTGGGACTGCAGGCATACACCACCACACCCAGCTAATTTTTGTATTTTTTGTAGAGACGGGGTTTTGCCATGTTGCCCAGCTGATCTTGAACTCCTGGACTTAAGTGATCCACTCGCCTCAGCCTCCCAAAGTGCTGGGATTATAGGTGCGAGCCACCATGCCCAGCCAAAAAAAGTTTTTGTATATATATTTTTTTCAGTTGAGACAGGGTCTCGCTATGTTGCCCAAGCTGGTCTCAAACTCCTTGGCTCAAGGAATCCTCTTGCCTCAGCATCAAAGTTCTAGGATTACAGGCATAAACCACCATACCTGGTCAATTTTCTTTATTTTTTAACACTGGTTACAGAATGAACAGATACTCAATTTTCTTTATTTCTTAAAATACCCTACAATATAAGGCACAAGTGTTTCAGATGAAAAATAATTAAAAAAAAAAAAAGCACACACATGGCAGGGCACAGTGGCTCACACCTATAATCCCAACATCTTGGGAGGTCAAGGCAGGAGGATCACTTGAGCCCGGGAGCTCAACACCAGCCTGGTCAACATAGCAAGACCCTATCTCTACAAAAAAAAAAAAAAAAAAAAGCAAAAAATGAGCTGGGCGCACACCTGTAGTCCCAGCTTCTCAGAGGCTGAGGTGGGAGGATCACCAGCCCATGAGTTCAAAGCTGCAGTGATCTACAATCATTCCAAGGCCATTCCAGCCTGGGCAATAGAGCAAGACCCTAGCTCTTAAAAAAGAAAAAAAAGTCAGGCACGGTGGCTCACGCCTGTAATCCCAGCACTTTAGGAAGCCAAAGCAGAAAGATCACTTGAGGTCAGGAATTTGAGACCATCCTGGCCAACATGTCAAAACCCCGTCTCTACTAAAAATATGAAAATTAGCCGGGCCTGGTGGCGCACGCCTGTAATCCCAGCTACTCGGGAGGCTAAGGCACGAGAATCACCTGAACCTGGTAGGCAGAGATTGCAGTGAGCCGAGATCACGCCACTGCACTCCAGCCTGGGAGACAGAGCAAGACTCTGTCTCAAAAAACAAAAAAAGAAAAGAAAAGAAAAAAAAAAAGGAGAGAAGATTTATTCCCATGTGGAAGGAAGGAGTTGGAGTAAGCCAAGTTTCCTTTATAATTCTAATCTACACATAGAATTGCTACACAGGAGAAGAATGGACTCTGGAGCCAAACCAGGTAGATCCAAATCCTGGCTCTGCCACTCATTAGCTGTGTGACCTTGGATGAGACATTTAACCCCTCTGTGCCTCAATTTACCCATCTGTAAAATAATGTGATAATAGTAGCTACATTTATAGGGTTCTTGTAAGGACTAAATGAGTTTATATATAATAGAGTGCTTAAAACATGACTGGGCACACAGGAAGCACTATATAAAGGTTAGCTATCATTATTACTAAACAAAGGGGAGGCTTACCTAAGACAAATCTGCAACTCTGCCTGGAAGAATCTTTCGATTGATCCTGGACTTGAACAGGCTGTCTGTAGAGAAAGACATCAGAACATGAAGATCCCGCCCCACCCCTGCAGCCTCCACCCCCACTAGAAACCAAGAAGTGCTCACCTCTCTGAGCTTCTTGAAGACGAATGGCTTCCCGTGCCTGTGCCCTCTGTAGACGTCAGCAAAGGTCCCCTGGCTGATTTTGCGGTTTTGATTGAAGTCATCGGTTGCCTGGACCACGTCTGCCTCACTCCAGAAAAGGCTGTCTCCAGCCAAGCTCAAAAGTTTTTCCTGCTTAGGAATGGAGGTGCTGAAGTCCTGGAGACCCAGAGAGAAGAGATGGAGATTACTATGGAATCTCGTTTTCTCTGCTACCTCAAGGGACCTTGGAACACCAGAGATGGAGGGATGGAGGGGATCAACTTATCCAATGGAAACTGTAAAAAGGACATGGATAGGCCGGGCACGGTGGCTCACGCCTGTAATCCCAGCACTTTGGGAGGCCGAGGCGGGCGGATCACGAGGTCAGGAGATCAAGACCATCCTGGCTAACACAGTGAAACCCCGTCTCTACTAAAAAATACAAAAAAAAATTATCCAGGCGTGGTGGCGGGCGCCTGTAGTCCCAGCTACTCGGGAGGCTGAGGCAGGAGAATGGGGTGAACCCAGGAGGCGGAGCTTGCAGTGAGCCGAGATCGCGCCACTGCACTCCAGCCTGGGTGACAGAGCGAGACTCTGTCTCAAAAAAAAAAAAAAAAAAAGGACATGGATAGGCCCAAGCTCAAATCCCAGCTCCATCTGTATCTTGCTCTGTGACCTTGGGTGAGTTACTTAACCTCTCTGAGCCTCAATTTTTTCCATCAGCAAAAATGAAGGTAACAATAGTACCCCGAAGAGTAATTTTGAAGACTAAGATGTGAGTATTCCTGGCACATGGTTGATGTTTCCTTTATTTCAGTTTACAGAAGTAAGCACTGAGGAAATAAAACAGCTGAAGTGAGGTCCCACAGCTGGTCAGTGGCCGAGCTCAGCACTCTTGGTCTAATTCACAGCATAGATACTGGGGTTCCAGACTCCTGGGAAGTAGGATACAGGTTCATATAACCAAACCAGGGGTGTCCAATTTTTGACTTCCCTGGACCACACTGGAAGAAGAATTGTCTTGGGCCACACATAAAATACACTAATACTAATGATAGCTGATGAGCTTTAAAAAAAAAATTGCAAAAAAAACTCATAATGTTTTAAGAAACTTTACAAATTTGTGTTGGGCCACATTCAAAGCCATCCTGGGCTGCACACAACCATGGGCAAGTAAGACAAGCTTGCTTTAAACAGAATTCCAGAGACTGCATGTGTATATAAGCCTATAAAAAGAAGTTCTGTTTCCGTTTTTAATAACTTCTCTCTTTAAAACACATGTACGTAATTTTTTTTTTTTTTTTGAGACAGAGTCTCGTACTGTCACCCAGGCTGGAGTGCAGTGGTGTGATCTCGGCTCACTGCAAGCTCCGCCTCCCAGGTTCACGCCATTCTCCTTCCTCAGTCTCCCGAGCAGCTGGGACTACAGGCACCCACCACCCTGTCCGGCTAATTTTTTGTAATTTTTTTAGTAGAGATGAGGCCTCACCGTGTTAGCCAGGATGGTCTCCATCTCCTGACCTCGTGATCCGCCCGACTTGGCCTCCCAAAGTGCTGGGATTACAGGCACGAGCCACCGCGCCCGGCCTAAATTTCAATTTTTTTAAGTTACATATGCTCTTAACAGTTTTTGAAAATTAGTATCCATAACCCCATTATCCATTTAACTGCTATTAAAGTTAGTGTATTTCCGGCCAATTAGATATACTAGGATTTATTTAACAAAACTGGTATCATGCCACACACATAGTTTTGATTTCTTTTTGAGACAGGGTCTCACTTTGACACCAAGGCTGGAGTGCAATGGCATGATGTCAGCTCACCGCAGCCTCAACCTCCCAGGCTCAAGGGATCCTTTCATCTCAGCGCCCCCAAGTAGCTGGGACTACAGGTGTGTGCCACCACGCCTGGCTTATTTTTTAAACTTTTTTTTTTGGCGAGGCCAGGCACAGTGATTCACTGCTTGTAATCTCACCATATGTGGGAGGCCAAGGCAGGCGGATCCTCTGAGGCCAGGAGTTCAAGACCAGCCTGGGCAATATGGTGAAACCGTGTCTCTACTAAAAATACAAAAATTAGCCAGGCGTGGTGGCACACACCTATAATCCCGGATACTCAGGAGGCTGAGGCAGGAGAATCGCTTAAACTGGGGAACCAGAGGTTTCAGTGAGTCGAGACAGCCTGGGCAACAGAGGGAGACTTTGTCTCAAAAAAACTTTTTGGCCAGGCACGGTGGCTCATGCCTGTAATCCCAGCACTTTGGGATGCTGAGGTGGGCGGATCACATGAGGCCAGGAGTTCAAGACCAGCCTGGCCAACATGGCGAAACCCTGTCTCCACTAAAAATACAAAAAAAAATTAGCCAAACATGCTGGCATGTGCATGTAATCCCAGCTACTCAGGAGGCTGAGGCAGGAGAATAGCTTGAACCTGGGAGGCAGAGGTTACAGTGACCAAGATCGTGCCACTGCACTCCAGCCTGGGCAATGGAGCGAGACTCCTCAAAAAAAACACAAAAACAAAAAAAACTTTTTTGTAGACACAGGATCTCACACTGTTGCCCAGGTTGGTCTCAAAGTACTGGGCTCAAGTGAACCTCCCATACCAACCTCCCAAAGTGTTGGGTTTATCCTTCATGGAAGGTTGATCTATTTATTAATTTAGAGATGGGGCCTCCCTGTGTTGCCTAGGCTGGTCTCCAACTCCTGGGCTCAAGCGATCCTCCCACCTCAGCCTCCCAAATAGCCAGGACTACAGGCATGTGACACCACACCTGGGACATGGAAGAGCTTCATTAACCACACTCATGCAAAGCTGGCTTCTCCCCCAGGCACTGGATGCAAAGGGTCTAGGCTCACAACACTTTTAGGGGCCATCAGAACATTTTAATTTATTTTAAAATCAGAAGAAAATAAATGGACTTTTAGAGTCAAAGAAATGTCCTCATTTTTAATCCTGCTTGGATTTTATTTATCTTCGTACCAATATGGTCATACATTTTTGGAGACAGGGTCTCACTCTGTCACCCAGGGTGGAATGTGGTGGTAGGATCACAGCTCACTGCAACTTCTGCCTCCTGGGCTGAAGCCATCCTCCCGCCTCAGCCTCCCAAGTAGCTGAGACCACAGGTCGAAAATAAAATAAAATAATAAAAGAAAATAATGGCCGGGTGCAGTGGCTCATGCCTGTAATCCAAGCACTTTGGGAGGCGGAGGCAGGTGGATCACCTGACGTCAGGAGTTCGAGACCAAGCTGGCCAACATGGTGAGACCCCGTCTCTACTAAAAATACAAAAAATTAGCCGAGCATGGTGACATGCACCTGTAATCCCAGCTACTTGGGAGGCTGAGGCAGGAGAATCACTTGAACCCGGGAAGCGGAGGTTGCAGTGACCCGAGATCGTGCCACTGCACTCCAGCCTGGGTGGCAGAGCGAGACTCTGTCTCAAAAATAATAATAATAACAAATTAAAAAACAAGAAGTATATTCACTGAAGTGCCCTCCCTCCCTCTCCCCGCTATTATTGACCTCCTCTACTTACAGTCTTAGAAGCTTGGGGTAATTTGATGGCAATTTCCTTTCTCCTCTCCACCCTTAAACTGGTCTCAAGGGGTAGAGAAATTGCATTTTTGAGAGGGAACTACACGCTGGGAGACATGGCTTGGGGGCTGCAGCCGAGGGGTGGATTTACCTTTGAATCAGACGAAGTGGGGAGGTCGCTTCTCAAGGAATGAGGGGCATCTTCTTCAGGAGGCTGGAGAAAGGCCGGCTGGTGGGCTCTGGCTGGAGAGGACCCTGGAAAGGAGGGACTATGGGTCAGGATGCAGCCTCGGGGAGGAAGACAGGAGGGATCCTGGTCTAGTCCTCAGACTATGCCAGTCTCCTGTTCACTCCCCAAACACTTGTTGCTGCCAATTCCTGACACCCACCATGTGCCAACCAACACACTCCTCAAGCATCACCTCAGGATAAGCCTCTGACTCCCCTACAACCTGGGGCCTGTTTATCATCCCAGTTGGCAAGTGGAGACACGGAGACACCGGAGGTAGACGCAGTGCTCAGGACCACCCAGCCAGTAGATGGTAGAGCCGAAATTCAGACGGAAATCTGTTTGACTTCTAGGCCCTGCACTATCTCACCTCCTACTCAAAGAGCAGAAAAAGACACAGAGGTGAACTAGCTACCAAGCCTGCCTTCCAGAAACCTCCACCAGGGCAGGGATGCAGTAACTATCCTCCGAGGATACATCCCACGGGAGAGCGAGGTCAGAGGCAGGAGAGACCATAACAGGCTGGGAGATGAGGAGGGTTCACAGAGGAAGTGGCACCTGACCTGGGCTTGAAATATGGAGAAACGTTTTCAACAAGCAGATATGGGGCAGTGGAACCAGCCCATGCAGAGGTGGGGCAGTAGAAGGGCCCGGGGCTGGAGTAAGTTAACATCTAGGTACATGAGTTAGCAAACATCATGCCAGGCACTGTTCTAAATACTTCACATCTGTAATACCAGCACTTTGGGAGGCTGAGGCAGGAGGATTGCTTCAGCCCAGGAGTTTGAGATCAGCTTGGGCAACATGACAAGATCCCGTTTCTACAAAAGATTTTTTTTCTTTTTTTTTTTTGAGATGGAGTCTCCCTCTGTTGCCCAGGCTGGAGTGCAGTGGCACAATCTCGGCTCACTGCAAGCTCCGCCTCCCGGGTTCACACCATTCTCCTGCCTCAGCCTCCCGAGTAGCTGGGACTACAGGCGCCCGCCACCACACCCAGCTAATTTTTTGTATTTTTAGTAGAGATGGGGTTTCACTGTGTTAGCCAGGATGGTCTCGATCTCCTGAACTCGTGATCTGCCCACCTTGGCTTCCCAAAGTGCTGGGATTACAGGCATGAGCCACTGCGCTCAGTCCTACAAAAGATTTTTTTTTAATAGCCAGGTATGGTGGTGTACACCTGTGGTCCCCTCTACTTGGGAGGATGAGGATCACTTGTGCCCAGGAGGTCAAGGCTATATTGAGCCATGATCACACCACTGCACTCTAGCCTAGGAGGCAGAATGAGACCCTGTCTCAAAAAAAATCCTTCCCGTGCGTTAACTCATCTAATCCTCATGCCAATCAGGAAATAAGGTACCACTGCACCATTTTCATTGCCTCTTTGCAGATGGTGAAATGAGGCATGGAGAAGTTAAGTCACTTTTCCAAGGGCCTTGGCCTTTGGCCAAGGCCTGCTTCTGTGCGGACCAGCCACCATGGCCCACCTCACCCACAGTCTGTGCCTGCGCCCACCGAGGAGCCCCCCTACCAGACGGCCTCATTAGTCTTCAGATTAATCTTCACATGGGGCACACAGTCATCAGTGGTTCCAGTGTCTATGTTCTTTTTTTTTTTTTTTTTTTGGAAACAGAGTCTCACTCTGTCACCCAGGCTGGAGTGCAGTGGCACAATCTCAGCTCACTGCAAACTCCCCCTCCCAGGTTCAAGCGATTCTCCTGCCTCAGCCTACGAAGTAGCTGGGACTATAGGCGTGCGCCATGATGCCGGCTAATTTTTGTATTTTTATTAGAGATGGGGTTTCACCATGTTGGCCAGGCTGGTTTTGAACTCCTGACCTCAAGTGATCCACTTGCCTCGGCCTCCCAAAGTGCTGGGATTATAGGCGTGAGCCACCATGCTTGGCCATGTCTATGCCCCAATCCCTTAGTGAGTGAACAAGATTCACAAGACGGAATGTTTGACAAGTAGTTTAGGGTCACTTAAACGTGAGGTTAAAGAGGGTGAAATTTCTTCACTAGGCCCCATGTGAAGATTAATCTGAAGACTAATGAGGCCATCTGGTAGGGGGGCTCCTCGGTGGGCGCAGGCACAGACCGTGGGTGAGGTGAGCCATGGTGGCTGGTCCGCACAGAAGCAGGCCTTGGCCAAAGGCCAGAGGCTTCAAACATCATCATCTGGAAATACCTAGGAAGCCCCATGGCAAGGACAGCTTCTGAGTAACTGGGGACCTGACCCTTCCAAAGGAAACTGGACTTGACCCCAAGATTACTGGATAAATCTACCTGCTTCAGGTATTTGTGGCTTACAACATCAGGAAAGGAATGACTCATCTGGAACTTTGGCTATTAAAAAATTTATTTTGGCCTGGGCACAGTGGCTCAGGCTTGTAATCCCAGCACTTTGGGAGGCCGAGGCAGGTGGATCACCTGAGGTTAAGAGTTTAAGACCATGAGCCAAGATTGTGCCACTGCACTCCAGCCTGGGTGACAGAGTGAGACTCCACTTCAAAACAAACAAACAAAAAAACAAACAAAAAGAGTTTAAGACCAGCCTGGCCAACATGGTAAAACCCCATCTCTACAAAAATACAAAAATTAGCCTGGCATGATGGCGAGTGCCTGTAATCCCAGCTACTTGGGAGGCTAAGGCAGGAGAATTGCTTGAACCAGGGAGGCAAAGGTTGCCGTGAGCTGAGCTGTGCCACTGCACTCCAGCCTGGGGGACAGAGCGAGACTGTATCAAAAAAAAAAAATTTGTTTTGGCCAGCACAGTGGCTCACACCTGTAATCCCAGCGCTTTGGGAGGCTGAGGCAGGTGGATCACCTGAGGTCAGGAGTTCGAGACCAGTCTGGTCAACATGGTGAAACCCTGTCTCTACTAAAAATACAAAAATTAGCCGGGCATGGTGGCACATGCCTGTAGGCCCAGCTACTCAGGAGGCTGAGGCACAAGAATCGCTTAAACCTGGGAGGCAGAGGTTGCAGTGAGCCAAGATCATACCACTGCACTCCAACCTGGGCAACAGAGCGAGACTCAGTCTCAAAAAACAAAAAACAAAAAATTTTATTTCACGAGACTGAAAGTAAAATCAGCCTGGCTAAACAATTAACCCACACAGATAGCTGATAACATGAAATCACCTGAGACAAGGTCTGGAGCCTGTCAAGGGGCTGCCCTCAGCCTCATTCCTGGGATCTTTGCCCTGCTGCTGTGTGAATCTAGCAGCCAGGAGAATGCGAGCTGGAGACCCCCAGCTGCTGGGAGCCTGGCTATCTGCGGGCCTGGCTGTGGCTGGCTCCAATCAATCCCTGCATCTGCATCCGGACCATGCTTCCCAGGGGCTGTTCCCCAGGCACTGTGTGCAGAGGGTACACTAGGCAGATAGGACTGTGATGGCCAACGGACACCCTGGAGAGTCTGCCTTAGACCGAAGGCAGGCCAGCAAGTGCCCACCCAGCCTTCCTCGGAAATGGCGCACCATGGTCCCAAGGCTCTCCCAGCCTTGCCCAGCTCCCTCTGCATTTTCTTGCAAGTATTTGTCCTAATGAAATCCTATCTTGTTGATGAAATCCTATCCTGTCTTGGTATCTGCCTCTCACCAAGGACCTGGACTAATGGAGGCCTCTGCTGGCCAGCACAGGGCCCCCGTCCTGCAGAAAGGCTGCTCTGTGATGGCCACTTCCACCCTTGCCCTGCCTTCTCTTGGCCTCAGCTCAGTACCCTTGGCCCGCATCCCTCAGACTGCAGTTATGTTCATCCGGTCTCCAAGTTTTTGGCCATGTCTGTGCCACCTCACTATGAGTCACCTGACGGTTTTCTTTCAACCAACTTTAATTCCAGTGTTATGTATTCAGCCTTGTGTTAAACAGTAATATCCATGAAGTCCCTAGTTCTTCTACACATGATCTATATTTGTGCTAACACCCAGGTTCTGTGTACCACTGCAGGTGTGGGCCCCACACTGGGAACCGCTGCTCCAGACTAACTTGAGTTCCATCCTGCTGCCAGGCCTGGCCACAGGGCAGGGCTGTCTCTGCACACAGGGTCCTTCTGTGCCCAGTAAATCTGAGGTCAGAGCTTGCCTCACACAAGTCATGAGTTTCCTATCTGACTTAATGCCTGGGGTTTGCTCAGGAGGCTCCCCCAGGCCTCTCAGTTTGGGGGAATCCCTGAGGCCTGCTCCTGCGACACATGAGGGCTATTAGTTGGGTTTATTTATCCCTGTGGTCTTGGGGAAAAGAAATGGACTCTGGTCTGGAAAATCAGACAGGACCCACCAGCCATTACTCTCCATCTCTCCCTACCCAGCCCTCCCCTCCTCTGGGGTCTAATCGGATTGGCTCCTCGTGCCTAGGGTAGTTATCTGTGGTAGGAGAAACTCACAACCATAATCTTTAAAGGCCCCCACTGTATGTCCAAGGGCAGAGAGAGGAGAATGAGAAGGAATTCTCCAGCTATCAAGGATATGAAAATCTCCCTGGATTCCATACAAACTAATCAGAAGTTGGCCATGGGTGGATCATTACTGAAGCCAGCTGATGGGGACATGGAGGGTCATTATGCTCTTGGCTTTTGTATGTTTGTAATTTTTTCATATAAAAATGTTTTAAAATAATGGCTAAGGGAGGGGAGGGAGATGGGGCAGGAGAGTAGATGAACAAGATGGGATACTTGTTGGGTGATAGTGATAGATGGGGCTTGGGGCTTCTACATAATCTTGTTTCCAAGAGTGAGGCACAGCTAATCAGAGGTCAGATCAAGTGCCAGGACTTAGCTAAAAAACAAACCATTTCCTATGGAAATGCTTCCAGAAGCTTTCTTTTTCTTGCTTTTCTTTTTTGCTCTGTTTTGTTTGTTTTTGTTTTTGAAACAGAGTCTTTCTCTGTCACCCAAGCTGGAGTGCAGTGGCGTGATCTCGGCTCACTGCAACCTCCGCCTCCCAGGTTCAAGCAATTCTCCTGCCTCAGCCTCCCAAGTAGCTGGGATTACAGGCGCCTGAGACCATGCCTAGCTAATTTTTATATTTTTAGTAGAGATGAGGTTTCACCATGTTGACCAGGCTGGTCTCGAACTCCTGACCTGAGGTGATCCGACTGCCTTGGCCTTTTTGTTGCTATTCTACTGAGGCTAATATGCCTGCTTTCTCAAGCAAAATGCACCACCTCTGGTCCTGCCGAGCTGTGTCATTGCAGGTACAAGAATTGCAGAAGCAGCGGCACTGTATCTGACATGGGGTCTTCTATGTCCTGCCCTGATGCTGGCAGCGGGTCTACCCCCAGCTGCCCCATCTCCTTTATTAGTATCAAACAGAATTTGGCTCAAGCGCTGGCTCCAGCACTACTCAAGATCTGACCTCAGATGAGCTGTGCCTCACTTATCTGAGCTTTCTCAAATGTAAAAAGAGCAATAATGGTCTGTTTCTTGTCCAGGTAAAAAGAGCTGATGTTTATAGAGCACAAAGGTCAGGCTGTGACACATGCAGTACTTGGTATTTTACCAAGGCTGGTGAAACTATGTGTAGAGTAAGTAAACAGATTCTGACTGATAGCCCAGTGGCCTCTCCTACAGCTAAGGCTTTGTAACAGTTATTTCAGCTGCTCAAAACCCTTTCATCTGAATTCTAGCTTCGAGACTGCTTTGCCGAGGTGCTCATAGCCTATCCATGGCTCCTCTGCTCACATATTTTCCTCCTCAGCCAGGCGCGGTGGCTCATGCCTGTAATCCCAGCACTTTGAGAGGCCGAGGCAGGTGGTCAAGAGATCAAGACCATCCTGGTCAACATGGTGAAACCCCGTCTCTACTAAAAATACAAAAAATTAGCTGGGCGTGGTGGCGCGCACCTGTAGTGCCAGCTACTCGGGAGGCTGAGGCAGGAGGATCACTTGAACCCAGGAGGCAGAGGCTGCAGTGAGCCGAGATCGCGCCACTGCACTCCAGCCTAGTGATAGAGCGAGACTCTGTCTCAAAAAACAAAACAAACAAACATATTTTCCTCCTCCATGTCTCTTCCCACTTCCTTCCCACCTACTGCAAGGGGGAGCCAGGGTATCACAGGGATCAAGATGTGGGCTCAGTATACTTCACTCCTACCAAAATCCTTTAAGATAATTGATGAGTTTGAACTCTGGGGCTCAGTGGAACCTTGGGGTTTTCCCGAAAGAAGACAAGCTTTGGGTGGTTTGATGAAATGAATGATTTCTTATTTTCAATTTAGGCAAAGATAGACAATCAACTTCCTGTCTCTGCCTGCAAATTGTAGTTATCATCTTGACCTGCCTGGGCACATTTGCTCCAAGTGCCATCAAGAAAGCAAATAGGGGCTGGGTGCAGTGGCTCACGCCTGTAATCCCAGCACTTTGGGAGGCCAAGGCAGGTGGATTGCTTGAGCCCAGGAGTTCAAGACCAGCCTGTGCAACACAGCGAAACCCCATCTTTACAAAAAATACAAAAATCAGTCAGACGTGGTGGTGCGTGCCTATAGTCCCAGCTACTCAGGAGGCTGAGGCAGCAGGATCGCTTGAACCCGGGAGGCAAAGGTTGCAATGAGCCGAGATTGTGCCACTGCACTCTAGCCTGGGTGACAGAGATTCCATCCCACTGCCAAAAAAAGAAAGTAAGTAAATAGGGCTCTGTGCAGTGGCTCATGCCTGTAATCCCAACACTTTGGGAGGCCAAGGTGGGAGAATCGCTTGATCCCAGGAGTTCGAGACCAGCCTGGGCAACATAATGAGATCCCATCTTTACAAAAATAAAAAATTAGCCGGCCGTAGTGATGTACACCTGTAGTCCCAGCTACTTGAGAGGCTGAAGTGGGAGGATTGCTTCAGCCAGGGAAGTTGAGGCTGCAGTGAGCTATGACCGTGCCACCGTCACCTAGCCTGGGCAACAGAGCAAGGCCTATCTCAAAAAAAAAAAAAAAAAAAAAGGAAAGAAAGTAAACAGCAAAGGCTGACAGAGACATGTGATGTTTATTTTACTTTTATTTTTATGTTGAGACAGAGTCTCACTCTGTCACCCAGGCTGGAATGCAGTGGCACGATCTCAGCTCACTGCAACCTCCGCCTCCTGGGTTTGAGTGATTCTCCTGCCTCAGCCTCTCGCGTAGCTGGGACTACATGTACCCGCCACCACGCCCGGCCAATTTTTTGTATTTTTAATAGAGACAGGGTTTCACCGTGTTAGCCAGGATGGTATTGATCTCCTGACCTCGTGATCCACCCGCCTCAGCCTCCCAAAGTGCTAGGATTACAGGCATGAGCTACCACGCCCGGCTGGCTGTGATGTTTATCTTTACAGTAACCTAGATAAAGAATACCAGAAGGAACTGCTATGCCTATTACCTCTTCCATCCTGACCAGCACGCCCCTACAATTTCCCTATTTTGTTATAATTTTCCCTTTGGTCAGGACCATTTCCCCTTATCTTTCATTGCTGATCAAAAGTCTACACTTAAAAATACATATATTTAGCTACAGGAAATAATCCAGACTCCTTGGCCTAGAATTAACTTTCTAGATTCAACCTATCTGGAGTGTCTGGAATGTTCATAATATCAGATAACATTTAATGAGCACCTCCATGGTGCAACACTCAGGTGCAGGATTTCTTACCACAACGTGATGAAATAGGGTCTATTATTCTCCTCATTTTACAAATGAGTAAACTGAGGTACAAACGCTAAGTCATTCTACAAAACAGCAGCACTAGGATTCAAATATGAGTCTGTCTAATACAAAAGCCCACAAAACATGTTCCTTTCAGCTGATGCCGCCCCTGGCTTCAGAAACGGCAACAGTGAACTGAGATTACATGGATTTGGGGTCTCTGGCTCACCACTCAGGAGGCCGCAGGAGACAGGAGGTGAGGCAGGGCTCCAGGGGTGAGGCGGTGAGAATGGAGATTGGGCTGAGCAGCAGCTCCCCTAGGGAGGTCATCTGCTGGCTGAGCCATTCTGTCATTTGGAAACTGTCCCTGAGCCCTTGCCTGGGCACAGGCGACGGAGACAAATCTGAAGTGGTCCAAAAGGATTTGGGATAGCAGTGAGTATGATGCTTAGGGATGTGAGTGTTCAAATCACACAGCTCAGACATTACTTCCTATTTGTGTGACCTTAAGCAAGCTGCTCTCCCTCTCTGGGCTTCAGCAGACTGTGACTGATGGAGGGGAGGAAAGTGGTGGGCAGGAAGCACCCCTCAATTCCCCACTGCATGGCTGCGAGGGCCGGGGCCTATGGAGAATGGACAGAGAAATGGTCAGACATCCGGTCCAGAGCCTGCACGCAGGGCCAACCTGTGCTGGGGACACGGGAGACCACTGGTGAAAACAGGGACCCGGCAGTACATGACCTCAGCCAGGTTGGTTAACCTCGCTGTGCTTTAGTTTTCTCATCCATGAAATGGGCATAATCACAATACCTAATTCATAGTTAGTTGAAGATTAAATGAGTCAATATCTTTGAAGTACAGTACTTGGAATAGTGTCTGGCACTAGAAAGCCTCCAATTACCGAGCTATTTCTTTTCTGCTCACAAAAATGGTAACAGATGTTATATACATTTTGTTACCTGATTTTTTCTACTTTTCTACCTCCCGATATTGTCAGTATGTTTCCATGTACATATGCACGTCTACATCACTGTTGATAGTACTTTGTTGTGACTGTCTGACATTAATTTTATTATCCCCCATTGTTGTTGCCAGATTTTTTGCTTTCTTTAGGAAGAGTCTCGCTCTGTCACCCAGGCTGGAGTGCAGTGGTGTGATCATAGCTCACCACAGCCTTGCACTCCTGGGCTCGAGCAATCCCCCTACCTCAGCCTCCTGAATAGCTGGGACTACCAGGTGCATGCCACCATGCCTGGATGATTTTTTTAAAATTTTTTGTAGAGAAAAGGTCTCACCAGGTTGCCTAGGCTGGTCTCAAACTCCTGGGCTCAAGCCATCCTCCCGCCTCAGCCTCACGGAGCTGGGATTATAGGCATGGGCCACCATGCTCAGCCTCAATTTTTTGCTCTTATATGCTAAGCTGAATGTCCTTATAGATATATCTTCATTTCCTTAAATAAAAGTGCTTTAAGTAAAAAAGTTAAATTTAAAATACCTGGGCCTGGAAAGGTGGCCATCCTCACAGGCTGCCCCTCTTCCTGTTCATCCTCAGCCTTTCTTACAGAAGCTGCCAAAGGCTTTTCTGGCTTCACAGAGTCAGGGAAGGCTGGAATGGGACACCTGATTTCAGGAGCCGGTTTCCCTGAAAACAAGGTGGAAAGAAAGTTATTACTATTCCATGAAGTGGGGTAGCCATTGAGAGACTGGTTCTGGAAGTCAGAGACCTGGGTTCTAATTCTGGCTCTGCCACAAATGCATGGTGTTGCAGGGCGGGAGGGTCTTTCCCTTTCTGGCCCCGGCCTCCCCATCTGTAAAATGCGGTAGACCAGGCGCGGTGGCTCACACCTGTAATCCCAGCACTTTGGGAGGCCGAGGTGGGTGGACTGCCTGAGGTCAGGAGTTCGAGACCAGCCTGGCCAACATGGTGAAACCCCATCTCTACTAAAAATACAAAAATTAGTTGGGCATGGTGGCACACGGCTGTAGTCTCAGCTACTTGGGAGGCTGAGGCAGGAGAATCACTTGAACCGGGGAGGCGGAGCTTGCAGTGAGCCAAGATCGCACCACTACACTCCAGCCTGAGCGACAGAGCAAGACTCTGTCTCAAAAAAAAAAAAAAAAAAAAAGAGCAGTGGCTGAACATGGCAGTCCTGGTGAAGGTGGAGCTCTGACGTGCTAAGTCACATACACCTGCTTCCACCCAACCAGCTGTGTGACCTCCAACAAGTCACCTTCCTCCTCTCGGTCTCCCTTCCCTCACCTATAAAACGGAGGTGATAATGGCGTCCGTTTGCCTCCCGCTGGGGTGTCATGTGGGAAAGGAGAGTAGAGATGGGAATGGGCGCTGTAGACTGCACATTTCCCTGAACACGTGAGCGGGTCAAAGACACCATCCCTCTAAGCTCCCACTCCAGCCCCTAGGGATCAAAGTTCTGGCTGTCCTACAACCTCCCTTTCACGCAGTGGAGACAAACGCATCCTTCCCACTTGATGGATGAGAATCCTAAAACAGCAGCCATGGCCACTGAGGACGGGCTGTACCAGGCCCAGGCCCAGCTGCACAGACATGAATCCTCACAACATCTCTGCTTCTCATCCCTGTTCAGAGATGAGGAAACTGAGGCCTGAGCAGGTTAAATGACTTGCTAAGATCACATGCCAAAGGCACGCAGGACTGGCCGAAGAACTCCCCTGCCTTCTCGAGGGTAATCATTTCCTTTTTACATCAACTTGGGAAACCCCAAAGGTGCTTCGAGGGTGTGTCAACCTCAGCTTCCAGCCAGCTTCTCAGAGCTGCTCTGTGAAACAGCTTCCTCTCCCCTCCTCCACTGGGCCCTGATCTTATCCCTTCTGGCTGGGCCCTGCCGCCAGCTCAGGCAGCCTCCACACCCTTGCCAGGCTACTTCTTACCAAAGTATACATCTGGCCTCGTCACTTCCCTGCTTGAAGCCTTTATGGGGCTCCCCATTGCCTAGATAATGTCCACACTCCTTAGCCTGAATCTTTCTGTCTCCCCATTGCCTCCCAGATAAAACCTGATGCTATAGCCCTGCATTCAAGTCCCTCATTCTCTGGTGGTTTGGGATAGACTCATGTTTGAGAATGACAAAAACTGGGGCACTGAAGTCCCAGGAAGGGCTGCTGACTCGCTTGATGTCACACAGAGCATGACATAAAGCATGACACAGGGGATGTCACAACAGATGTCCCAGGTAGGGCTGGGACAAAACATCTCCAGCAACATTTCTTTGAACTGGTCAACTGTGCCTCTCTAAACAAAACCAATTGTTACCCTGGGACCTCACTTTTCAAACCCAAGCTTTTGAACTAAAATAATAGGACCTAAATTTGCATAGCACCACACTGGTATGGCACCGTGCATATTTATTTAATTTTCACAACAATCTCTGGTAGTTCATAGGTTTATCTGCATTTTATTTTTGAGTATATTGAGGCTCAGATAAGTGAAATGACTTGTGTCAAGTAAAACAGCCAACAACAGTCAAACCTGGGACTGGTTTCACTGTCTCCCACCCAGCTAGGGCAGAACTATTGAAACACCACTGCCATCACTGCCACCACCAGCCCCAATTCCCCCAGGGGCAGACGCCCCAATCCCCAGACAAACAGGAACAAAGGGGTGATCACTGACTTCCCCAGGGTGGGAGGAGTTGGGGAGACATCGGGAATGCACAAAAATAACAACAAGGCTGAATGTCGGGGGGTGATGAGTGGCTTCGTCCTTGTGTTTTCTTTACTGTCACTGACATTTTAAATAAATTTTCGTTTTGTTTTGTTTTGTTTTGTTTTTTGAGACGGAGTCTCGCTCTGTCGCCCAGGCTGGAGTGCAGTGGTGTGATCTTGGCTCACTGCAAGCTCCGATTCTCGGGCTCACGCCATTCTCCTGCCTCAGCCTCCCGTGTAGCTGGGACTACAGGCGCCCACCAGCACGCCCGGCTAATTTTTTCTATTTTTAGTAGAGACAGGGTTTCACTGTGTTAGCCAGGATGGTCTCGATCTCCTGACGTCATGATCCGCCCTCCTCAGCCTCCCAAAGTGCTGGGATTACAGGCGTGAGCCACTGCGCCCGGCCTGAGTGGCTTCTTCCTTGTGTTTTCTTTACTGTCACTGATATTTTAAATAATTTTTTTTTTTTTTTGAGACGGAGTCTCACTCTGTCGCCCAGGCTAGAGTGCAGTGGCACAATCTCGGCTCACTACAAGCTCCGCCTCCCAGGTTCACGCCATTCTTCTGCCTCAGCCTCCCGAGTAGCTGGGACTATAGGCGCCCACCACCACACCCGGCTAATTTTTTGTATTTTTAGTAGAGACAGGGTTTCAGCGTGTTAGCCAGGATGGTCTCGATCTCCTGACCTCATGATCCGCCCTCTTCAGCCTCCCAAAGTGCTGGGATTACAGGTGTGAGCCACCATGCCCGGCCCTCCTTTGGACAACTTTTATGAAGACTAATGGAGACACTGCTTAGCTCAAAATATGGGACCTTTATTTCTGTGGTGGTTATAGTCTTAAAATATTGGTTATCTCTTAAATAGTCCACATATTGAGGATAAGAAGAGTAGGATGAGAGTCTTTTAGTTTTCTTTTTCTTTTTCTTTTTTTTTTTTTTGAGACAGAGTCTTACTCTGTTGCCCAGGCTAGAGTACAGTGGAGGAATCTCGGCTCACTGCAACCTCTGCCTCCTGGATTCAAGCGATTCTCCTGCCTCAGCCTCCTGAGTAGCTGGGATTACAGGTTTGCAACACCACATCCAGCTAATTTTTTTTTTCTGTATTTTTAGTAGAGATGGGGTTTCACCATGTTGGCCAGGCTGGTCTTGAACTCCTGACCTCAAGTGATCAACCTGCCTCGGCCTCCCAAAGTGCTGGGATTACAGACATGAGCCACCGCGCCTGGCCTGTTTTATATTGTGGGGTTTTTTTCTTTGTGATTTATTCATATCATAGAATTTTTCAACAAAATCATTATGCATTATTTACACAGTAAAGTATACTTCTTTTAAAAAAAATCAGTTAGCAAGCTAGCTAAAGTAATGACGAGAACTGAGTCTTCCAAGCTAGTGTGAGTAGCGTTTGCCCTGGGGACCCCTCTGGCTCCAGTGAGCAGACGATGAATCAGCCCTTCATGAGATTCAGATCCACCTCACTTCTGTTTTTCACCAACGAATGTCCACGTTGTGTATTGATACGTTCAATTCAAGCACCCTCCCCACAACCCTGGAGATCTCAAGTCAGGAAGCTGAGGCTCAGCGGGGAACAAGACCTGCCCAAGGGAAACAGGGAGGCAGGCAGCACTGAGGCAGGAAGGCGGGGTCTCCTCCCAGAACCACTGACGTAAGGGCACCCAGAGAACATGCACTTCTCTCCCAACCTGGGCTCCACGGGCACTTCAGTGGTTCTATAGGCCACACCCCCCCATCCTGATTGCCATCAGGCCAAGGCCTTTGTGGCTGAAACTCGGAGTCTAGAAGCCAGTTTCTCTCCAACAAGGGCCTTGCCTGCAGGAATCACAGGATCACTGTCTGCCTCATGGCATCCCACTGCCTTCCACAGGCCCAGGAGGAGAATAAACAGTCCCTAGGCCGGGCACAGTGGTTCACACCTATAATCCCAGCACTTTGGGAGGCCAAGGAGGGCAGATCACCTGTGGTCAGGAGTTCTGGACCAGCCTGGCCAACATGGCGAAACCCCGTCTCTACTAAAAATACAAAAATTAGCCAGGCGTGGTGGTGCACACCTGTAGTCCCAGCTACTCAGGAGGCTGAAGCAGGAGAATCGCTTGAACCTGGGAGGCGGAGGCTGCAGTGTGCTAAGATTGTGCCACTGCACTCCAGCCTGGGCAATAGAGCAAGACTCTGTCTCAAAAAACAACAACAACAGAAAACCAGTCCCTTGTACAGAATGACAATGAACAATGTCGGGGTGAGTGCTGATTCAAGCACGGGTCTGGAACAGAGCTGTCGCTCCCAGGGTGCACAGAAGTGAAAGCTCTGCCTGTGCTCCCTTGGAAGGCTACCCCCCGCCACTCCCAGTCCTCATCTTTCCCAGCCTCCCCTCTCTGGCAGGGAGAGACTGCCTCTCTCCCTCCACCCTCCCTCCTCAAACTGCCTCAAGTGGGGCTTATGCTCCTGGAAAGGCTTGTCATCCTTGTGACATCTGTGTCAAAAGGGCAGCAGTGGCTCCCCTGGCTCAGGGCCGGCTGGGCTCGCTGAAGTCACTTCCCAACAGTGACCTCCTGCAGAGGCCAGGCCCGCAACAGTATAAAATGCTCCCTAAAGGTCTCACCTACACCCAGAACCGCCCATGATCCCAGCAAATGAGGCACCTTCTCCTTGTCGGAGGCCTGCCTGGCTGAGCCTCATTGTTCTCATCACAGTAAAACGGGGATGAGGGTGATACTTACAGCCTTACTTAACTTCAGTGTCCTGTTCCTTTTTTTTTTTTTTGAGACAGGGTGTTGCTCTGTCACCCAGGCTATGCAGTGGTGTGATCACAGCTCACTGCAGCCTCAAACTCCTGAGCTCAAGCTATCCTCCTCTCTTAGCCTCCCATGCCGCTGGGATTACAGGCAACACCACGCCCAGCTAATTTTTAATTTTGTGTAGAGACAGCATCTCACTATGTTGCCCAGCCTGGGCTCAAACTCCTAGGCCCCAGTGATCCTCCCACCTTGTCCTCCCAAAGTGCTGGGATTACAGGCCTGAGCCACTGCTCCCAGTCCAGTGTCCTATTCAGGGTAATGTTTTGTTCAGCACAAATCTTTGCCTCTCTGTCAAAACACATTTGGCAGGAACATCAAGGCCACCAACCCATTTGTGGCCGACCTCTGTGGGCTCCACCCGTGGGGAAGATAAAAAATGTCATTATGTTTTCATCCTAAAGAGAGTCCAGCTTTTCTCTTTCTTTTTCTTGTTCCTTCTGCAGTGACATGCGGTGGCCCCACCTGGCACCACAGGGCATTTGGAAGTGAGCAGGAGTGAGGAACAGATGGGGAGGGGCGGTGTCGGCAGGGCTACCTGTGACCAGACCTGTCAGCACACTTGGGGCTAACATCCACCCTCCCACACAAGAGGCACCAGGTCACACCAGCCACGGATGTAAGCCAACAGAGCCCCATGTCAGCCCCAACAAGAAGTTCTGGTTTCCTGTGAAACCCCCATCTTCTCAAGCTTTGAGTTTTTAGATGTCTTTAAAATGCAAGCAATAAATGGTGCGTATAAACATGAACCGCCCTCATCTCCACCCTGGAGCTGCCGGCATGGTCTGAGCTGGGTGGACAGGCAGGCCCATGCATGCCTGTCCCACTGTCCAAACATGAAGATGGAGAAAATGGCCTCTGTCCTCATCCCTCCAAACCTGCTCCCTGCTAGCTAGAAAGACGCAACGCCCACTCATTCAGGCTGGCACACCAGAGAGCTAGTGAAATAAAAATAGAACACCAAAGGCAGGATGAGGCAAAGGAGGCCAAATGCCTACAAGAAAGGGCTGTGACAAGCTTTAACTCTCGCACTGAGCTTCCTATCTGCCAAGGCCAAGGCTCAGGAGTGAGCTGCTCACGGACTTCTTATCACAGATAGACAGGGGCAGCCTCAGGCTTCCAAGACAGCACTCTTTCCTCCCAGGATTAAATTCTCAAGAGAATTCCACACATAAAGTTGATTCTGCAGGATCATGAGATCCAAAAACACAGACTGTGATCAAAGAGTAGAACTAGGATCACAAGAGTAAGCGTGGGGAAGCGTCGGCTCTGGCTTGAGCCAGACCCAAGCTCTGCGATTCCAGCTTCACGCCCAGGCACAGACCTCCTAACCCTCTGAGCTTCATGCGCCTCTCCTGTGGAATCAGAATAATAACCCCACACCTCCCAGGGCCGTCCCAGGGCTCCATGATGACAAATGTGAAGTGGCTGGCCCAGGGCAGGGGCCCACAACACTGTGCAAACAGCCACCCTCCTTCAGTTCTGCCAGAAAGGTGCAGATAGAAAAGAACCTCTGATTCCCAACTCGGGCCTCCGAAGGAAGCATTTAGGGTGGAAGGCTATTTTTAACATTTTAAACACTCTAATGGAAACCGATTCTAGGTGGGCAGCAACTTGGTGCACAGTCCCGAGAGGTACAGTGGCCATGAGAGCAAAGTAACATAGGAGCCCAGCAGCAGGGGAGGTGGGGGCCTGTGCCCACGCCATTGGCAGCCAGCCTCAGTCACACACTGGAGGTGGGCAGCCCAGGGTTCTCCCTGCTGGGACCCCCAGGGATAGGAAGGGGACGCAGGTGACGGAAGGAACAGCTAATCTATAGCTTAGGTGGCCACAGGCACCAGAAGGTTGACACGGCAGTTCTCAGACAGAGTCTGGATTTTTTGTTTTTGTTTTTGAGGCAGAGTCTTGCTCTGTGACCCAGGCTAGAGTGCACTGGTGCAACCATAGCTCACTGCAGCCTCTACCTCCCAAGTTCAAGCAATCCTCCCACCTCAGCCTCCCAAGTAGCTGAGACCACAGGAGCACGCCACCACGCCAGGCTAATTTTGTTTTTGTTTTTGTTTTTGTTTTTTTTTGGTAGAGACAGGGTTTTGCCATATTGCGCAAGCTGATCTCAAACTCCTGGGCTCAAGCAATCTACCTGCCTTGGCCTCCCAAAGTTCTGGGATTACAGGTGTGAGCCACTGCACCCAGCCTGGAATCTGGATATCCGTGAAAGCTGCCTTGCTGAGGCTGAGAACCCACAGTGATGAGGGCTGAGTCCCAGATACAAGGAGGAAATGGGGGAGGGGCAGAAGCGCTTCTCTGTGCCCCTGTCATGGTTCACCAGAGCTGGTTGCCAGGCATGATTTCTTTTTCTCTCTGATTTGTTTTCGGAATGCCTGTGCTCTTCCTAATGAGCATGAATCACTGATGCCACGGAAGGCAAATGAACTCCCGCAGTCTGGAGTGTGTCCTGCAGTCAGGCTCACCAGCAGGGGGATCCTCCTAAGCCTTGGCTTCCTCATCCGACAAATGAGATGTGGAAGTGGACCCCCGACCCGAGACCAGCCATGAGGATAAAAAAATTAACACCCAGCAGATCTAAGCTACCATCATTTGCTATAGTCTCGCTCTGTTGCCCAGGCTGGAGTACAGTGGCACGATCTCTGCTCATTACAACTTCTGCCTCCTGGGTTCAAGCGATTGTCCTACCTCACCCTCCCGAGTAGCTGGGATTACAGGCAGACACCATCACGCCCGGCTAATTTTTGTATTTTTAGTAGAGACGGGGTTTTGCCATATTGGCCAGGCTGGTCTCGAACTCCTGACCTCAGGTGATCCGTCCGCCTTGGCCTCCTACTACTGTTATTATAATGACCACTCTAACTCTAGGTCAGGCTTTTTTTCCTAAGTTCTTGCCCATATCTGTGGCCTATTTAATTCAGGTAACAGCTCTGGGGGATAATTGCTACCAAGTATAAGGTAGTTGTCTTATATCTGAAGAAAGCGAAGCCTAGAATGCAGATTTATTTATTATGTGCTTGTTTATGGCCCAGTTCCTTCAGGAGAAAGGACTAAAGGATGTTTATGGGTGCTGGGCCTTTGGCTGACGGGGCCTGGGCCGTCACACTAGCTGCCTGAGAACATTTCACACGGTGGCAAATCCAGGAGCTGTTGGAGCAGAGGGGACTCAGAGCTGGCAACAAGGTCTTTCCTGGGTGAGCACACTCTGGAAATTCCCCCCAACCCTTCACGCCCGTCAAACTACACAGTAATTTGTTCTTAGGCTGACTCATGTGGCCAGAATAGATCCCTTCCAGAACAAACAAAAGTGATTCAGCTATAACTAAAGCACCCTCGTGCCAGCTGGCTCTATCAGGGACAAACACAGCTTTCCGCGCCCTCTCTTTTCCTTTCCCTCCTAATCCCTGGGTTTGGCCCTCCAGGCCATACACAGTCACACACAACACACAACACACACACACACACACACACACACACACACACACACTCCCAACTCAAGCTAGACCTGAAATGAGGCAAACCTGAGAGCACAGCCTGCCTTCCTAATTGTGCGATCCCTGGTTCTCCACTGAACTTGTACTCCACCTGCTGCTGAAATGACTCATTCTTTCTCATTCATTCATTCATTCATTTTGTGTTAGGGAATGGGGAATCCTTTATCAAAACTGCCGTAATACTGACATTAAGCTAGTTAAATAAAAGACATCTAATTATAAACTGGGAGGTGCTCTATGCTGAAAACAAACTCGAGGGAGGGGTGCCTGATGGACCTACTTCCATAGGCTGGCCAGGAAAAGCTGCCATGAGAAGGGGCCACATATGCAGACACCCAGAGGATGAAAAGGACTAGCATGGAAGAATGTAGGGAAGCTGGGGAGAGACAGCATTCCAAGGAGAGGGAACACGTGTGCAAAGGTCCTTAGGCAGCAAACACTTGGCATATCCCCGCAAGTGAAGGATGACCGTAGTGGCTGAGGGGAATGACTGAGGGGGAAAGTGGTAGAGGTGAGGTTGAAGAGCCGGGCAAAGGTAGACCATGCAGGGCCTTGTAGGCCACAGTTAGGCAGAACCTTACTGTAAGCGCCCTGGAACTGAGGTAACCTGTAGCTGAGAGAGTACTTACCAAATAACCATCTGCTCTGTCTCATACTCCTGCCTCCTTAGCAATTAGGCTGGGCGTCACGACTGGTTCTAGCCAGTGGATTTTTTTTTTTTTGAGACAGATTCTCGCTCTGTTGCCCAGGCTGGAGTGCAGTGGCGCGATCTCGGCTCACTGCAAGCTCCGCCTCCCGGGTTCAAGCAATTCTCCTGCCTCAGCCTCTTGAGTAGCTGGGACTACAGGCACCCGCCACCACGCCCAGCTAATTTTTTTTTATTTTTAGTAGAGACGGGGTATCACCATGTTAGCCAGGATGGTCTCGATCTCCTGACCTTGTGATCCGCCGGCCTCGGCCTCCCAAAGTGCTGGGATTACAGGCTTGAGCCACCGCGCCCGGCCTAGCCAGTGGATTTTAAGTGAAGATGCTATCTATCACTTCCTGGACGAAGCACTTAACAGCTAGTGAGCCTCTTCCAACCCTCTCTTCCCCAGCCACAGTGACTTTGGAAGCCACATGTTCTAGATGACTTAGCTGGCTACAAGAATGCAGGAGGCTGCATGACCCTTACTGGACTTCAGGTGAGTGGGAAATCAATATTTGTTGCGTTGAGGAACTAGATTTCAAGGTTTATCTGATACCGCAGCATAACCAAGCCTATCCTGGCTAATGCATCATCTGAGTATGTGTCCAAAACTTGCAACTGGAGGAGACTAGTTGTAAGAGCTAAGCATCTAGCAGGAGTTCAATAAAGGATGGTTCACTTCACCCTAGCTCTTACCCTTCCTCTCTGAAACACTGGGGACTGGCTTAGAGGCATTCCACACTCTGTTCATTCTAACACCACTCTCAAGAGACCAACAGTGATTAAAGCCTTGCTTTTTTCCAATGGAATAATGAATGCATGGAAGGAAAAGGTCAAGTGACCTGTCCTTAGCCACTCAGCAATTAACTTTAAGAAAACCTCTAGCTGGGCGTGGTGGTGGGCGCCAGTAGTCCCAGCTACTCGGGAGGCTGAGGCAGGATAATTGCTTGAGTCCACGAGGCAGAGGTTGCAGTGAGCCAAGCTCATGCCACTGCACTTCAGCCTGGACAACAGAGTGAGACTCTGTCTCACAAAAAAAAAAAAAAAAAGAAACAAAGAAAACCTCACCATCTCGTATGCTTTGAACCTTCCCAGTCTACAAGAAAAGTAGATAGGGCAATGTCTTTACCCATTTTCCAGATGGGGCAAGTGATGATGCAATCTAGTAACCTACCAAGAAGCGGGTAAGGTCAGGCAGACCTGAATTCCCATGTTGGCCTCATCACTATGGGCTATGTGGCCTTGGGAAATTACTTAATCTCTGAGCCTCAGTTTCCTCTTCTATAAAATAGGGATAATAAGAGTTGTGAGAAAAGATGCTTACCTGGCACATATCAGGTGCTAAACACAAGCTATTACTAGAACCCAGGTGCTCTGACCCCTGGCCTGTGGTTTTGGCCCAAAACAGTGTCGCCTCCAGTGGCAAGTCTGCAGTGGGCAGGGTCTGGATGTAGGCATGTTCTGTTGTGCCCTAGCAGCTGGAAAGGGGCGGAGGCAGGGCAGCCTTCCAAGAGAGCAGACACACAAGCCCTGTCTGGACCTGGCACAGCCCGGCCCCTTCCGGAGAGGAAGGGTTCATTCTCTTCTGTTTCATTTTACATAGCAGCCCCAAATTTTCCACTCAATGAGAGCCCAGCTCCAGGAAGGAAATGACTCTGGCCGAGATGCCAAACCCAAAGTTAGAAACTGTCAAGAGTTGCACAACCAAGAAGAAACTGCATGAAAATTGTGAAACTCAAGACTTCAGGTAGATAGTAGCAACAGATGGGAAGAGAAAACCTTGGTCACTTCCCAAATCCCTTCGGATTCCTGAAGTGTCTTCCTGTCCTACTCAGTTGACATCTGGAACCTCACAGGCCCAGCCCCCCAGTCCATATAGTGGCCAAAACAGGGGATACTCCCAGGTGGAAGCCCTCCAACGTCTTCCCTTCACTCTCCGGTGAAAGCAAACTCTTGGCGGTAGCCTGCATGGCACTGGGTGGCCTGACCCTGCCCTGTCCCCAGCCTCAGCCCACCCCCAGGCCTTTGTACATGCTGCTCCCCCCGGCTAGATATGTGTGTGTCGTCCTTCACTTCTTGGTCCACTATTCCTTACGGAGGAGGCTCAAGTTTCACTGCCTCAGAGAAACTTCCCCTGATGAGATCAAATCCTCTCATCTTGCACTCTCCTACCTGCCCTCCCCACCTGACCTACATTTATCCTTTGAGCACTCATACTGCAGTGGGTGACATGCATCTGTGTGTTAGCTTCTTATAATTCATCTCCCACTGGACTGTAAGCTCCATGAGGCCTGAGACCTTGGCTGTGTTTTCATGGTTGCATCCCCAGCATCTAGCGCACAGTAGGCACTCAGCAAATGTATTTTTAGGCCAGGCGCAGTGGCTCATGCCTATAATCCCAATATTTTGGGAGGCCAAGGCGGGTGGATCACTGAGGTCAGGGATTCAAGACCAGCCTGGCCAACACGGCAAAACCCTGTCTCTACTAAAAATACAAAAATTAGGCCAGGCACAGTGGTTCACACCCGTAATCCCAGCACTTTGGGAGGCCAAGGCAGGGGGATCACCTGAGGTCGGGAGTTTGAGACCAGCCTGACCAACATGGAGAAACCCTGTCTCTACTAAAAATACAAAATAAGCCGGGCGTGGTGGCGCATGCCTGTAATCCCAGCTACTCGGGAGGCTCAGGCAGGAGAATCGCTTGAACCCGGGAGGCAGAGGTTGTGGTGAGCCGAGATTGCGCTATTGCACTCCAGCCTGGGCAACAAGAGCGAAACTCCATTTCAAAAATAAATAAATACATAAATAAATAAATAAAATTACAAAAATTAGCCAGGCGTGGTAGTGCATGCCTGTAATCCCAGCTACTCAGAGGTTGAGGCACAAGGATCGCTTGAACCCGGGAGGCGGAGGTTGCAGTGAGCCGAGATCGAGCCATGGCACTCCAGCCCAGGTGACAGCGTGAGACTCCATCTCAAAAAGACAAAAAATGTATTTTTAGTTCCTTATTAACTCTCTTGTCCAGCTCCTGCATATCTAAATCCCTGTGGCAGGGCAGAGGGAGAATTTCACCTCACAGGCCAGTGCACCCAGTTTCCAGACTCCACCCTCAGAGCCAGAGCCATCTGCTCCCCACCATCTACAGGCTCAGCACCTAACCCAGCCTTTGGTGGCACTTAATCAGCTCTAGAGCTCAGCATTGATTATAGTGGATTCTCCTTTGCCTGGGAGCCACAGCTGGGATACTCACTTCTGCCTCAATTCCTGCTCTTAAGCCCCTAAGATGCCAGTATATAAGGTCTGGAGCCCGGCCCACAGTCCCCTCCTAAGCCTGGTCATCTGGAAAAATCCCTCTCTGGAGTAGGCCTCTCATCGTTAAGCCCCAGGGTGATGGCGGACCCTAGCCCCAGAAACAGACTCTTCTCACACTGGATGCTGGTCTGAACATACAAGTACTGCCTCTGACCCCCTAGGTTCTCCATCATGGGGCTTCCCTGAGATGCCCAGCACCCTCACCATGGTCACCATTTCCCCAGAGCAGTGACTCACAAAGTATATTGATCTCATGGGCATATCAGTATCAAATGAAAAGGAGTACCATGGTCAAATATGAATGGGAAACAATAGCCTAAATAAGTTTCTTTGCTGCAGGACGTATCAGAGCCTTCACAGTTGGTATGCATTGTAAATCTCCAAAGGCAGAGGCAGTGATAAAGTATGCGGGGTTTCCCGAGTTTAGTTATTCATGAACCCTTTTGTTTGCAGCAGGGTATCTTGCTGGACCAGTCTTCTGAGGCACATGGTGTGGGAAATGCTACTCTAGACCATGATCTGCTACTGCAGATGCCCTGTGCATGTAGTACTCTCCACATGACAATGAGGCAGCTTTCAATTAGGACACAAAGGCAGTATTCCGCCTTCCTGTCTGACCCAGAGGGTGAATCTTCATCCAAGACCCAGTTCTTTCCTGGAGGCTCAGAGGTCACAACATTCACAGAGGACTATTTTTCAACTAGTCTTTGCCAGAAGATGGGAAGTGAAAGTGGAGAGGAGAGGATAAAAAGGGCTTCATTTTACAAAATGGGGCATCGGGAGACATTGCCTATAGCTTATGGAAGAAATGTAAGTACATTTGTTAACACTGCAAAGCCAACCTATAGAGGGACTGAAAATAGTGATAACAGTTGGAGTCACCCTAATCTGAAAACCTGAAATCCAAAATGCTCCAACATCCAAAACTTCTTGAGCAACAACATGACACTCAAAAGAAATGCACTTCAGATACTGGATTTTCGAATTAGGGATGCTCAGCCACTAAGGATATAATGCAAAAATTCCAAAATCTGAAAAAAAAAAAAAAAGTTAGCTGGGCATGGTGGTTTGCACTTATAGTCCTAGCTACTTGGGAGGCTGAAGCAAGAGGACTGTTTGAGCACAAGAGTTCAAAACAGCAGTAAGCTAAGATTGTACCACTGCCCCACTGCATTCCAGCCTGGGCAACAAAGCGAGATTCTGTCTCTATTTAAAAAAAAAAAAAAAAAAAAAGGAAAGAAAGAAAACAAAGACCCAGCCTGTAGCTAACAATCCAAGTCAACAAGAATCCCCATCTTGGGGGATCTCAAGAGTCTGCCTCAGCAGCAGGGAAGACTGTGGTACTAACCTTTCTAATAATCTAATCTCTGCTCCACCTTTCTGAGTTCTACTACTGACCCTCAGAAGAGGTTCTCTGCCAAATACAGAGAGCTCAAAGGCAAAAGTCAAATTAAGAGTCCTGCCTTCCCATCCAACTTACTGTTTCAGGTGGCTTCAAGGGAAGCTCCAGGTAAGCACATTAAATTGGGGGGTGAGGAGGCGAGGCTAAGCGCAGAAGCCAGGAAATAACAGACCAAACACTTCAGGGCTGAGAATTAAGATGTGTCTAGGCTGGATCTTCGGCTGTGATTACCACAGCAGAACTGATTAGAAGCCAAGAGAGCAGAAGCTTCTAGTTTTTTGACAGAACTGTGTTGCCAAAGAAACCACAGCTGAATCTGATAAAAGCTGGAGATTATTTGACTCCTACAGCTCCACTCAAGTCCCCAAACCCACACCAGCAGGAGGTGGTTTGTGAAAGCCAAGGAGCCCTAAATAAAAGCACATTCTTTCCAGTTCCGTTTCAGATAAGGCCACAGAGAATAATGAACGTGGAAGCTCCACTTCCCAGAAATCACGGAGGACCAGGTATCAGAGCAGTGTTTTGTTGTTGTTGTTGTTGTTGTTGAGACGGAGTCTTGCTCTGTCACCCAGGCTGAAGTGCAGTGGCACAATCTTGGCTCATTGCAATCTCTGCCTCCCAACAATCTCTGCCTCCTGGTTCAAGAGATTCTCTTGCCTCAGCCTCCCGAGTAGCTGGGATTACACGTGCCCACCGCCACCTCTGGCTAATTTTTGTATTTCCATTTTTATTTATTTTTGAGACGGAGTGTAGTCTGTCGCCCAGGATGGAGTGCAGTGGCACAATCTCAGCTCACTGCAAACCTCCACCTCCCAGGTTCAAGCAATTCTCCTGCGTCAGCCTCCCAAGTAGCTGAGATCACAGGCCTGAGCCACCACGCCTGGCCTAATTTTTGTATTTTTAGTAGAGACGATGTTTCACCATGTTGGCCAGGCTGGTCTTGAACTCCTGACCTCAAGTGATCCACCCACCTCAGCCTCACAAAGTGTTGGGATTACAGGTGTGAGCCACCGCGCCCAGCCAGAGCAGTGGTTCTTTTTTTTTTTTTTTTTTTTTGAGACGGAGTTTCACTCTTGTTGCCCAGGCTGGAGTACAATGGTGCGATCTTGGCTCACCACAATCTCTGCTTCCCAGGTTCAAGCGATTCGCCTGCCTCAGCCTTCCTGAGTAGCTGGGATTACAGGCATGCACCACCACGCCCGGCTAATTTTGTGTTTTTAGTAGAGACAGGGTTTCTCCATGTTGGTCAGGCTGGTCCCGAACTCCCGACCTCAGGTGATCCGCCTGCCTGGGCCTCCCAAAGTGCTGGGATTACATGCATGAGCCACCGCGCCGGGCCGAGCAGTGGTTCTTAAACTTCAAGGTGCATCAGAATCATCTGGGGAACTTAAGCCAGACTGCTGGGCCTCACCACTAGAGTTTCCGAATCAGCAGATGAGGTGGGGCCCAATAATTTGCGTTTCTAACAAGTTCCCAGGTGATACTGATGCTTAGGATGCTTCGCGAATCACAGATCACTGAGAACCAAGGGCTGCCAGATGGGCCAAGCAAAGAACTTACTCCTTTACCTGGGAATGGAGTTTTGGCCCGGCGCAGGGGCTCACGCCTGTAATCCCAGCACTTTGGGAGGCCAAGGCGGGCGGATCACGAGGTCAGGAGATCACCCTGGCTAACACGGTGAAACCCCGTCTCTACTAAAAATAAAAAAAAATAAAAAAATAGCCGGGCATGGTGGCGGGCGCCTGTAGTCCCAGCTACTCGGGAGGCTGAGGCAAGAGAATGGCGTGAACCTGGGAGGCGGAGCTTGCAGTGAGCCGAGATCGCGCCACTGCACTCCAGCCTGGGCGACAGAGCAAGGCTCCGTCTCAAAAAAAAAAAAAAAAAAAAAAAACACACAAAAACTCCACAAAAAAACAGGGAAGGGAGTTTTACAATTGCTCCTCTGCCAGATTTGTTGACTGCTATAGACAAGTAACTACCTCGTGTTTCTCATCTCAAGTAGGAGTTTTTTATTGTGGCTTCCTGTTCAAATTCCACCATGGAATTTGGGTGTGCTGGGGGAAGGGGATGCAGACAGCTTCTCTTTGGTTGAGAGGCCCTGGGTCACTGGGGCCATTAGAGAAGGCTACACATCACCCACACATACCAGATTTGCCCTAAAGGAAGTGACTGATTAGGCCCCCAGGCCTATCTCCCTTGTGGAAAGCAGATGTTTTATGCAGGTCAAGACAGGTGTATACAGATATCTGGGTGGCCAAAATGGACCGTGGCAGAAACTGCTAATGGTCCCTCCAATACTGATTGCCTCCTTTTCTAGAGTACTAGAAGCTTTAGTTGCACATAAAACCTTGCAACCAAAGATTACATTTCCCAGCCTCCCTTGCAAGCAGGTGTGGTTCTGTGACCAGGTTTGGCCAATAGCTTATGAGGGAAAGTAGGTGAGCAACTTCCTGGTCATGTCCTTAAAAGAAGTGGAGTGTACCCACCTTTTTCCTCTTTTTCCCTTCTTGCTGTCTGCGATGTGCATGTAGGGGCACAGAGGGGCCATCTCAGATGTGAGAAGTCTTGTGTCCACACTGGCAGAACAGTAAAGAAGAAAGAGCCTGGGCCACAAAACCACGGAGCTGCCACTTGAGCCCGGGGCAGCCTGGCAGTCACAGGAGAGGGAAACGAACGCCTGTCTTTTCTCAGCCACTGTGGTCTGCGCTTGTTTTACAGTAGTGAACCTGGAAGGCTAATAGAGGAGCCCAAGACATGGATGGCTAAAAGAGGAAAAAGGGGCTGACTCTGGCCAGCAGATTTGCTAGGGCAAGGAATGGGTAGCTGCTTTCTGTTCTAAGCCTTCTGTACTGATTTATTCTAATTCTCTTATTTATTTATTTATTTATTTATTTTGAGACGGAGTCTCGCTCTGCCGCCAGGCTGGAGTGCAGTGGTGCCATCTTGGCTCACTGCAAGCTCCGCCTCCCGGGTTCCCACCACTCTCCTGCCTCAGCCTCCTGAGTAGCTGGGACTACAGGCACCCGCAACCACGCCAGGCTAATTTTTGTTTGTTTGTTTTAGTAGAGGCAGGGTTTCACTGTGTTAGCCAGGATGGTCTCGATCTCCTGACCTTGTGATCTGCCCGCCTCGGCCTCCCAAAGTGTTGGGATTACAGGCTTGAGCCACTGCGCCCGGCCCATTCTAATTCTTAGAGTATTCAGTGTTTGACAAATTAAATAACTACGGCCTTGGCAACTAAGGCTGAGGAAATATCAAGGAACAGAGACCCACAGAGCCAGCCCTCTACCCATTCAGACCAGGCAGCCACTGCAGTTCACATTTCAAGAGACTGTGCAGGGATATGGCCCCCAGTGGGCCCCTGTCGTACCACTGAGTTCAAGCATGGCCTTCAAAAGGCCACAGTCACATCCAGGCACATCCCCTGGAGAGGTAAGTCCCTCAGGAAGCCACTTCATGTCCAGGACTTCTGGTGTGTGGGGCTTTCAAGTACTGTTTTCTTCAAATTTATCATTAACACCCTTTAAGAGGTGGTGGGCATCCAGCCAGGCGCGGTGGCTCACGGCTGTAATCCTGGCACTTTGGAAGGCCGAGGTGGGCAGATCACTTGAGGCCAGGAGTTCAAGAATAGCCTGGCCAACATGGTGAAACCCCATCTCTATTAAAAATTCAAAAACTTAACCAGATGCAGCGGGGCACACCTATAATCCTAGCTACTTGGGAGGCTGAGGCAGGAGAACCACTTGAACTCCAGAAGCAGAGGTTGCAGTAAGCTGAGATCGCACTACTGCACTCCAGCCTCAGTGACAGAAAGAGACTCCGTCTCAAAAAAAAAAAAACAAATTAGTGGGCATCTGTTTGAACTACTATAGAGATAACAAAAAATTAAAATTAAAAAAATAAAGGGCCTGGCGCAGTGGCTCAGCCTGTAATCCCAGCACTTTGGGAGGCTGAGGCGGGCAGATCACCTGAGGTCAGGAGTTTGAGACTAGCCTAGCCAACATGGCGAAACCCCATCTCTACTAAAAATACAAGGCCGGGCGCAGTGGCTCACGCCTGTAATCCCAGCACTTTGGGAGGCCGAGGCGGGCGGATCACGTGGTCAGGAGATCGAGACCATCCTGGCTAACAGGTGAAACCCCGTCTCTAACTAAAATACAAAAAATTAGCCGGGCGTGGTGGCGGGCACCTGTAGTCCCACCTACTCGGGAGGCTGAGGCAGGAGAATGGCATGAACCTGGGAGGCGGAGCTTGCAGTGAGCCGAGATCGTGCCACCGCACTCCAGGCTGGGCGACAGAGTGAGACTCTGTCCCAAAAAAAAAAAAAGAAAAAAAGAAAATGATGTAGCTGGGCACAGTGGCTCACACCTGTAATCCCAGCACTTTGGGAGGCCAAGGCCGGTGGATCACCTCGGGTCAGGAGTTCGAGACCAGCCTGGCCAATATGGTGAAACCCCCGTCTCTACTGAAAATACAAAAATTAGCCAGGTGTGGTGGCAGGTGCCTGTAGTCCCAGCTACTTGGGAGGCTGAGGGAAGAGAATCGCTTGAACCTGGGAGGCAGAGGTTGCGGTGAGCCAAGATTGCGCCACTGCACTCCAGCCTGGGTGACAGAGCAAGACTCCATCTCAAAAAAAAAAAAAAAGAAAAGAAAAAGAAAAAAAAGAAAATGATGCTTACTCAGGAATAGGGCATTGGAATGAGAGTACACGTGCCATAGTAAACTAAGTGTGTATCCAGGGAGGTTTTTCAAAGGAAAAGTGAAGAGGATTACATAACTGTTTTGAGATAACTATCCTTGAATAACAAGAGTGATTCCAGTCTCCAGGGTCGGATAGGCATTTGCTGGGCAGATGTCCTCGCAGAAGTATTTTTTGTGTGTGGTTACAATGGTCTTTATGCAAGGTTGTGGTTTTTGTAGAGTCTTCCGTGACAGTTATTGTTGTTGGGCATTTATGCATGACAGTCCTCCCTTCATGGCCTTCCCTAGTTCTATTTGTCAGGGTTATTTATTTTTGAAATGGAGTCTCGCTCTGTCACCCAGGCTGGAGTGCAGTGTGCAATCTCCCCTCACTGCAACCTCCGCCTCCCAGGTTCAAGCAATTCTCCTGCCTCAGCCTCATGAGTAGCTGGGACTACAGGAGCCCAGCTAATTTTTTTGTATTTTTAGTAGAAACAGGGTTTCACCATGTTGGTCTGACTGGTTTCAAACTCCTGACCTCAGGTGATCTACCCGCCTCGGCCTCCCAAAGTGATGGGATTACACGCGTGAGCCACCATGCCCAGCCAAGGGTTATTTTTTTTTTTAACACAAAGTCACTCCATATTGATTCTGACAACTTTCGCAGGGGGAATGTAAGGAGAGGAACGGCAGCGGCTCAGGAGCACCGGGCAGGGAGGGGTTTCAGGTGGGTTCCAGGAATGGGGAGGCTGTGGCCTGGGCAGCTAGCTGACCCTCTCCACTCTGAGGAGGAAGGTGTGCTTAGGGAGGCAGCCAGCAGGGGTGGAGACAGAAGTCCAGGGGATGGGGAGGACCATGACTCAAGAGGAGCCACCACTATGCTGCTGGGGGCACACAGAGGAGTCAGGGTCCAGCCTGTGCAGAAGCAGGCCCAGCCACCGTCCTGTGCTGGAACATCACTCCCATTGGTAGCCAGATCGCCCCATTCCCGACCCCAGACAGGAGGGCCTGGAAAGTTGCTTGCCAGCTGAAGGGAGGAGATGTTCTCGCTGCCCCACTGGCCTCCCCGTGACTGGTGTGGTCTGCCCCACAATGCCCCCAAAAGCCCAGCCTGGGCTGTAGCTCTAGATCTCTCCACCTGCACGTCCACCACAGCATCCCCTGCTCTCCTGGTTTATCTCAGAGGGTGGTACTCTCTAGGCCCCCACCCTCAGGCCTTTGCTCCCAGTCCCCCCTCCTGGAAGCCCTCAATGACTCCAGAAGACCTGAGGGATAGGCAGGTGCTGAATCTGGTCTGATGGTCCAGCCAGGTGGTTCCCAGCTCAGGAACCCCAGACAGGACAGCTCCTCCCCAGGTGTCTGGGGCTCCCACCACTGGCTCCTCAGGGCCCTTGCACATGCTGGCCCCTCTCTCCTGAGCTCTTACCCAATGCGTCATGTGGCTGTCTTCTTCCTATTCCTCTAGGTTCACATCCTCACACTGGCCTTCCTTGACCCCCTGTCCTAGGAGGCTCCCCTATCTGGTCACTGTATCCTGCCTGCCCATTTCTGTACTAGTTTTCCTATGCATTAACTGTCTCCTCACAAGACTGTGTCCTCATGAGGGCGGAGGACCTGTCACATTGCCTGTGCTGTATTCCAGAACCTAGGGCAGAACCAGGCAGGTGCTCAGTTAAGTACATGCAGAAGACTGGCTCCCTGCCCTACGCTGAGGGGGTCTCTTTGGGGATGTGAGGAGGGGTGGGGGTAACCAGACCCCCCATCCCCACTGCCTTCTGCTGAGCACCAGCTGAACATCAGGCACTTATTCTCTTCGACTTCACAGCCACCCTTCAGGGTAGGGAGGTATTACCAGCTAAATATGTCCCCATCACACATGATCCTGTTCTCTCAGAGGAGGGTAATTTGTTAATACTAAATATCAATCAACACTTAAAATGCAAAAACCTTCAACCCAGACATTCCAATACTATAATAGAAAGCCATCCCATGGCTACACTTACATGTGTGCAAAACAGGCTCTATACATCTAAGTGTATCATGACACTATACAGAATAGAAAAATGGCTGGGCATGGTGGCTCACACCTGTAATCCCAGCACTTTGGGAGGCCAAGGTGGGCAGATCACCTGAGGTTGGAAGTTGGAGATCAGCCTGGTCAACATAGTGAAACCCTGTCTCTACTAAAACTACAAAAAGTTGACTGGGCACGGTGGCTCACACCTATAATCCCAGCACTTTGGAAGGCCAAGGCAGGTGGATCATTTGAGGTCAGGAGTTTGAGACCAGCTTGGCCAACACAGTGAAACCCCGTCTATACTAAAAATACAAAAATTAGCCGGGCATGGTGGTGGGTATCTGTGGTCCCAGCTACTCAGGAAGCTGAGGCAGGAGAATCACTTGAACCCAGGAGGCAGAGGCTGCAATGAGCCGAGATCTCACCACTGCACTCCAGCCTGGGCAACAGAGAGAGACTTCATATAAAAAAAAAAAAAATTAGCTGGATGTGGTAGTGGGCACCTGTAATCACAGCTACTTGGGAGGCTGAGGCAGGAGAATCTCTTGAACATGGGAGGTGGAGGTTGTGGTGAGCCAAGATCGTGCCACTGCTCTCCAGCCTGGGAGACAGAGTGAAACTTCATCTCAAAAAAAAAAAAAACAACTGAAAAATGCTAGAAGGAACATAAACACATCTCAATAGGGGCAAACAAATCATAGAGCATCTGTCAAAGGAATACAATGTAGCTATTAGAAAGAATGTGTCAATATGAAAAGTCCCCAAGGTCTTTGCTAGGTGAAAAAAAATTCACAATACATGATGTGCTACTAGCTGTATCAAAAGGGGGTTGCAGGCAGGGTGATGTGACTCATGCCTGCAATCCCAGCACTTTGGGAGGCCAAGGCAGGAGGATCACTTGAGACCAGGAGTTCAAGACCAGCCTGGATCTCTACAAAAAAATGAAAAATTAGTCAGGCATGGTGGCATGTGCCTATAGTCCCAATTACTCAGGAAGTTGAGGCAGGAGGACACTTGAGCCCAGGACATCAAGGCTGCAGTGAGCTTTGATCACACTATTGCTCTCCAGCCTGGGCAGCAGAGCACGACCCTGTCTCAAAAAAAAAGTTTTTAAAAAAGGAATTGCAGATATATAATACCCTTGCCCATGCAGAGAAAATTTCTAGTAAGACAAGCCAGAAATTTTTACCAATCATTACTTCTTGGGATGTAAAGTGGGGAAAAGAAGCAATATGAATCATTTTTGCTGCATGCTTTTTTGAATTTTTGTTATAGCTATTGGGGTTTTTTAAATTAATTAATGTATTTATTTTTGGAACAGATAGCCCAAATTTAAAAGGTATGAAATAATTTACAGTAAAGTCTCCCTCCAATACTGTGTTCTCTGGCAGCCCAGTTCCTCTCCCCACAGGTAACCACTGTTACCAGTTTCTTTTTTTTGTTTCTTTTTTTTTTTTCTTTTGGAGACAGAGTCTCACTGTCACCCAGGCTGGAGTGCAGTGGTGCAATCCTGGCTCACTGCAACCTCCGCCTCCCAGGTTCAAGCGATTCTCCTGCCTCAGCCTCCTGAGTAGCTGGGATTACAGGCGCAGGCCACCAAGCCCAGCTAATTTTGTATTTTTAGTAGAGACGGGTTTTCACCATGTTAGCCAGGCCAGTCTCAAACTCCTGACTTCAGGTGATTCACCTACCTCAGCCTCCGGAAGTGCTGGGATTACAGGCGTGAGCCACCGCACCTGGCCTGTTACCAGTTTCTTATGTGCATGGTAAACTCACTCATTAAATTTTTTAATTAAAAGAGGAAAAAAGTATTAAGGCCAGAGAGTGCAACTCACACGGATGGAAACTGCTCAGGAGCGTGATGGGCCCCACTCAAGGAGGGCCCTGAGTTACTCACAGTTCAGGATGATCTGGGCAGCCCGGTAGAGCTCCAGGCGGCACAGGAGGTCCACAAGTTGCTGGACGGTGGCCTGCCGCATGCCCCACCACCACAGCAGCTCCCGCGTGATGCTCACACCCTGCACCCGCTCCATGGACTTGATCTTCCGCAGCTGGGTCAGGTCTGTGATCACGTAGGAGGCTGGAAGGGACGGAGAGAACTCTGCTTAGAGTCAGAGAGGCAGTCCCTCTAGGACAGGTCCCCACACTAGCCCCTAGCTGGGCTTTTCCAGGACATCCTCCCCAACCACCGCCTCCACACTGGAAACACCACCATTAGCTGAGGTCCACAGGTGGCCCAAGTTACAACGCTGACTCTGCTGGGCACCCATGGGGTCCAGTACATATGACTTAGGAGAAAGACCACGGGACAGGAGGGTCAAAGCCTTGAGCATTGGCTGCTGCTATGCCTGGGGCAGTCACTGCGCCCGTGGGAGCCTCAGTGGGTACTAGCTCTGCCTGCCTCCCCTTCTATAATGGAAGGTCCGTGTAGGCAGGGAGCTCTACCTGTTTGGTTCACTGTTACTTCCCCAGAATTGAGAATAGTGCCTGGTTCAGAGTGGAGGTGGGGCCAGGATGAGGGTGAGTCAGGTGAGGCACCTAGGGAAGGAAAATGCAGGAGGCGCTCATCTTCAGGTGGCACCGCAGGACCCTGAGCATCAGCGCCTCCTTACATTTTGCCCTGGGCATCTCATTCCTCTCAGCTAAGTCCCAGTCCTGGTCAGGGGAACTCAACAAGTGTATGAGGCCAGGTGCAGCGGCTCACAGCTGTAATTCCAATACTTTAGGAGACCAAGGAGGGATTGCTGGAGCTCAGGAGTTCAAGACCAGCCTGGGCAACATAGTGAGACCCTGTCTCTACAAAAAATAAACAAAGTAGGCCGGGCATGGTGGCTCACACCTGTAATCCCAGCACTTTGGGAGGCCGAGGCAGGTGGACCACAAGGTCAGGAGATCAAGACCATCCTGGCTAACACGGTGAAACCCTGTCTCTACTAAAAATAGAAAAATTAGCCGGGCGTGGTGGCGGGCACCTGTAGTCCCAGCTACTCGGGAGGCTGAGGCAAGAGAATGGCGTGAACCTGGGAGGCGGAGCTTGCAGTGAGCCAAGATCACGCCATTGCACTCCAGCCTGGGCGACAGAGCGAGACTCCATCTCAAAACAAAAAAAAGACCCTGTCTCTACAAAAAATAAACGAAGTAGGCCAGGCGCAGTGGCTTACGCCTGTAATCCCAGCACTTTGGAAGGCCAAGGCGGGCAGATCGCAAGGTCAGGAGATTGAGACCATGCTGGCTAACATGGTGAAACCTCGTCTCTACTAAAAATACAAAAAATTAGCCGGGCGTGGTGGCGTGCACCTGTAGTCCCAGCTACTCGGGAGGCTGAGGCAGGAGAATGTCATGAACCCGAGAGGCAGAGCTTGCAATGAGCCAAGATCGCGCCACTGCACTCCAGCCTGGGAGACAGAGAGAGACTCTGTCTCAAAATAAATAAATAAATAAATAAACAAAGTAGCCAGGCATGGTGGCATGCATCTGTAGTCCTAGCTACTCAGGAGGCTGAGATGGGAGGATCACTTGAGCCCAGGAGTTGGAGGCTGCAGCAAGCCACGATGATGTCACTGCACTCCAGCCTGGGCAACACAGCAAGACCTTGTCTCCAAAAACAACAACAAAAAAGATATGCTAAGTGAATGACTGAATGAAAACACACACACATACCACATCGTCTTCACAGAACTGTTATAAGGATCAGAGAGCCATGGATACAAAAATACTTTGCCAATTCTGAAGTATGGGACAAAACTTGCAGGGAGCTACCACTAGTAACAATAAAAATAATGCATTCTTTCTTTTGGTGTTTTACCATAAAATTGATGGTTGTTCACCAAAAAAAAAAAAAAAAAAAAAAAACATGGACAATACAGGGGGAAAAGTTACACAGCATCTCACCACCCTCCTAAGGCCATTAGGGTACTTCCCCTTTCCAAAAATCACCCCCTCTACATAGATGTGTCTTTGGATGTAGTTGTTGCCACGCTGCAGGTAAGATTTTGTATCTTTTCTTTTTTTTTTTTTTTTTTTTTTTGAGACGGAGTCTCGCTCTGTCACCCAGGCTGGAGTGCAGTGGTGCACTCCTGAGCTCACTGCAAGCTCCGCCTCCCGGGTTCAGGCCATTCTCCGGCCTCAGCCTCCCGAGTAGCTGGGACTACAGGCGCCCACCACCACGCCTGGCTAATTTTTTTGTATTTTTAGTAGAGACCAGGTTTCACCACATTAGCCAGGATGGTCTCAATCTCCTGACCTTGTGATGCGCCTGCCTCGGCCTCCCAAAGTACTGGGATTACAGGCGTGAGCCACCGTGCCCAGCTGATTTTGTACCTTTTCTTAAGAGATGGGGTCTCACTATGTTGCCCAGGCTGCTCTCGCACTCCTCGCCTCAAGCAATCTTCCCACCTCAACCTCTTAAAGTGCTGGGATTGCAGGTGTGAGCCACCATGCCTCACCTGAGATTCTGCATCCTGGTCTTATTTATTAACATTATACCACAGGGACTGGGCACAGTGGCTCATGCCTATAATCCTAGCACTTTGGGAGGCTGAGGCAGGTGGATCACCTGAGGTCAGGAGTTCGATACTAGCCTGGCCAACATGGTGAAACCCCGTCTCTACTAAAAATACAAAAATTAGCCAGGTGTGGTAACACACGCCTGTAATCTCCCAGCTACTCGGGAGGCTGAGGTAGGAGAAATCACTTGAACCTAGGAGGTGGAGGTTGCAGTGAGCTGAGATCGTGCCACTGCACTCCAGCCTGAGCGACAGAGACTGAGTCTCAAAAATATAAAAATTAAAAATAAATAAAAATTTAAAAATCTTTTTTTTTTTTGAGACAGGGTGTCACTCTGTTGCCCAGGTGGCATGAGTACAGTGGTGCAAACATGGATCACCACAGCCTTGGCCTCCCAGGCTCAAGCAATCCTCCCACCTCAGCCTCCCCAGCAGCTGGGATGACAGACACACCACCATTCCTGGCTAATTTTTTTTTTTGGTACAGGCATGAACCACTGTGCCTGGCCCATAAATGGATTTTTATGACCAGTATTCCACTGGTTTACTGAAGTGAGAAAGGCATTTTTATTAAAACTAGGAGTAATCAGCCGGGTGCAGTGGTTCATGCCTGTAATCCCAGCACTTTGGGAGGCTGAGGTGGGCGGATCACCTAAGTTCAGGAGTTCGAGACCAGCCTGGCCAACATGGTGAACTCCCATCTCCACTAAAAATACAAAAATTAGCCAAGCGTGGTGGTGCCCACTTGTAGTCCCAGCTACGTGGAAGGCTGAGGCAGGAGAATCACTTGAACCCGGGAGGCAGAGGTTGCAGTGAGCCGAGATCACGCCACTGCACTCCAGCGTGGGCAACAGAGTGAGACTCCATCTCAAAAAAATAAAACAAAACAAAACAAAAAAATATATAAACATAGGTGGGCCGAGTAGAAGAAGGGAAGGCAAGAGATGAAGCCCAGGACCACATAACAAAGACCCTCAAGTGAATGCCCAGCTTTGGAGTTTGGACTTGATCCTAAGAGTTACAAGGGACCACAGAAAATTTCAGAGCCAGTGAGTGCTGTGACCAGATTGCACAATCCCCTACCCTTTGGACAAAATGGGCTGGTGACAGTCTCCTGCACACAGAAAGCCTCCAGGAGAAGTGCCCAATTAAGATGGAAAGTTCCTAAATTGCTATGTTAGTCACTGGAAACCCCAGGCCAGATTGCTGGTCAGTGGGAAGTGATGTCAGCTGGGTCAGCGGCTGCTTCTAGCAATACAGAGAAGAGAACGGATGGAAAAGGAAGGACCATCTCCCCCCACGAAGCATTGGTCATCCACACACACTCCCATCTTGGGAGGCAGCATGACGTAATGGGAAAACAGAAGCCCAGGGCCACCCCTCGTGGGTGGCAGCAGGAACTCAGCCACAGCCTGACTCTCTGTGGGCTGAACTTTCCTTACTCGTGATGGTAATACAAGAGAAACAGGAATTAAACTCTAAGGTGCCTTCCAGCTTAGACATTTTTGTTCCATGACGGTGCCATATCTTAAGGTGTTGACCAATCAGCATTTAACCAGACCCTTTATTTATTTTATTTAGTTTTTTTCAGACGGAGTCTTGCTCTGCTGCCCAGGCTGGAGTGCAGTGGCGTGATCTCAGTTCACTGCAGCCTATGCCTCCCAGGTTCAAGCAATTCTCCTGCCTCAGCCTCCCAAGTAGCTGGGGCTACAGGGCATGTGCCACCACTCTCGGCTAATTTTTTGGTATTTTTAGTAGAGATGGAGTTTCACTATCTTGGCCAGGCTGGTATCAAACTCCTGAGCTCAAGTGATCCACCCTCCTTGGCCTCCCAAAGAGCTGGGATCACAGGCATCAGCCACCGTACCCAGTCTCAACCAGACCCTTTAGAGTCGGGACATGATAGAGATCTTGAGGGGATGAGTCACTACCAAGGCCTTCTGCTAAGCTGCAGCTTTTTTCTCAGCATGGACAGGTAATAGCTGGTCATCGTAGAATATTTGGGAAACAAGAAAATGAAAGTCCCCATGATTATCCCACTTGGAGGACTCCAAGGACACCACCAGTTACATTTTGGTGTCTAATCTTCCAGACTTTTTCTACAGATATGAAAACATGTGCGAAAGTCAGCAGGACAGTAGTGGTGGTTCAGAGGCCAGATATTGGGATTCGGGGCCTGGGTTCAAATCCTGTCTCTGCTGCTTACTTGCTGTGTTTTTGGGGAAGGTGTTCATCTCCCCCTGAGCCTCAGTTTCCTCATCTGTCAAACAAGGATAACAGCAGCACCTGCCTCCGAGATTGTTGCAAGGATTAGATGAGTTCTATGTACAGAAGCACTCAGAACAGTGCTTAACACACAATAAACATGATATAAGTATTAGCTGTAAGTGTTAAACTATCTACATTCTATGAAAACCTGTTTTTCATAGAGTTTGGCCAGGTGCGGTGGCTCACGCCTGTAATCCCAGCACTTTGGGAGGCCAAGGCAAGCGGATAACGAGGTCAGGAGTTTGAGACCAGCCTGGCCGACATGATGAAACCCCGTCTCTACTTTTTTTTTTTTTTTTTTTTTTTTGAGACAGAGTCTCGCTCTGTTGCCCAGGCTGGAGTGCAGTGGCGCGATCTTGGCTCACCACAACCTCCACCTCCTGGGTTCACACAATTCTCCTACCTCAGCCTCCCGAGTAGCTGGGACTACAGGCATGTGCCACCATGCCCAGCTAATTTTTGTATTTTTGGTAGAGACGGGGTTTCACTATGTTGGCCAGGCTGGGCTCAAACTCCTGACCTCGTGATCCACCCACCTCGGCCTCCCAAAGTGCTGGGATTACAGGCATGAGCCACCGCGCCCGGCCTTTTTTTTTTTTTTTTTTTTGAGTCGGAGTTTTACTCTTGTTGCCCAGGCTGGAGTGCAATGGCACATGTCAGCTCACTGCAACCTCCACCTCCCAGGTTCAAGCAATTCTCCTGCCTCAGCCTCCCGAATAGCTGGGATTACAGGCGAGTGCCATCACACCTGGCTAATTTTTTGTTTGTTTGTTTTTTTGAGACGGAGTCTCGCTCTGTCGCCCAGGCTGGAGTGCAGTGGTGCGATCTCTGCTCACTGCAAGCTCCACCTCCCAGGTTCACACCATTCTCCTGCCTCAGCCTCCTGAGTAGCTAGGACTACAGGCGCCTGCCACCATGCCCGGCTAATTTTTTTTTTTAGTAGAAACGGGGTTTCACTGTGTTAGCCAGGATGGTCTCAATCTCCTGACCTCATGATCCACCCACCTCAGCCTCCCAAAGAGCTAGGATTACAGGCATGAGCCACCGCACCTGGCCAATTTTCATATTTTTAGTAGGGACAGAGTTTCACCATGTTGGCCAGGCTGGTTTCGAACTCCTGACCTCGTGGTCCTCCCACCTTGGCCTCCCAAAGTGCTGAGATTACAGCCGTGAGCCACTACGCCCAGCCCATCTCTACTGAAAATGCAAAAACTAGCAGAGTGTGGTGGCGGGCGCCTGTAGTCCCAGCTACTCTGGAGGCTGAGGCAGGAGAATCACTTGAACCCAGGAGGCCGAGGTTGCAGTGAGCTGAGATTGCATCATTGGACTCCAGCCTGGGCAACAGAGTGAGACTCCGTCTCAAAAAAAAAAAAAAGGCTGGGTGCAGTGGCTCACGCCTGTAATCCAAACACTTTGGGAGGCTGAGGCGGGCGGATCACGAGGCTGGTCTCAAACTCTTGGCTTCAAGAAATTTTCCCACCTAGGCCTCCCAAAGTGTTGAAATTAGAGGCGTGAGCCACTGCACCTGGCCTGAAAATGTTTTTATCCCTGATGATTAACAGTACAGGGACTATCACTCTTGAGTTCCTGAATCCTGCAGGAGTTCACCCGAGGCAGTAGAAAACCTTGCCTGTCTTCAAAGTCCTCCACAGCAGGGATGGCACAGCCTCCTGAAATGACCCATCTTAGAATCGAATGCCCACACCCCTCCCTGGGTGGGGGATGAGGAAAGCCCTAACTTGACCCTTTACAATAAGCTGAGTCTCCTAAGCCTCTCAGCAACACTGTGAGGGTGCTTCATGGATGAGGAAACTAAAGGCTCAGAGAGAGATAGTCACCTGCCTGATGTCACACAGCTGGGCAGGGCAAAGCAGGGCTGTGCACAAAGGCTGGCACACGCATGAGTGAACGAGACGGGGAACGGCCACACACAGAAGAGCCCCTGCGCCGAGCCCCTCTGCACACACCTGGGGCTGAAGCTGTAGGAAACCCTTTTTACACAGGCTCAGGCAAAGCCCAACAGAGGCAGCTGCCATCACGGAGACAAGAACTAGGCGTGGCCAGATTATCTGCCAACAAGTGTCGGATCTGAAAGAGCGTGGCTGTCTGTGGCTGCGGGATCTTCTGAATCACTTTAGCGTTCTCACTACACTCTCCCAGTATCACCATCAGCTCTGAGGGACTGTCTTCTTTCTAAAATGACCCACAGGAAGCCAAGAATTTTTAGGACTGAAGGGTCAATCACAGTCACTCGTTCATTCAGCTGAAGAGGGAACTGGAGCACTGGGACTGGGCGAGGAGCAGTGGGCCGGAGGCACCGCTGGCTCTGATCCAGTGTAGGAAGTGGGCTGACCAAAGGCTCCAGGCCAGCTCCAATGGGTAAGAGTGGGCAGCCCGCATCCTCACCACACCAAGGCCTGGCAGCTCATCATTCATTCTGGCACCTGCCCTCTAGCCAGGCACTGTCCCAGGCTCTGGGAATACAGCAGTGAAAAACTAGACAGGTAAGGCCCCTGCCCGCACGGGGCTTCCATTCCATAGGGAGAGACAGGTGGAAAAAATTCAGGAACGAGGGGACATCAAAGGCTGTGAAGCGGAATGAGGGAAATGAAACACGGTGATGGGCTAGAGAGGAACAGGGGCAGGAAAGTCCTCTTGATTTCAAAGAGGTGCCACAGGAGCTTACCTGAAGGACTGTGACAGACAGAATAATACCCTTGGAAAACATCCACATCCTAAGCCCCGAGACCTGTGAATATGGTACCTTACATAGCAAAAGGGACTTTGCAGGTTAGATTAAATCAAGGATTCTGAGATGAGATTATCCTGGATTCTCTGGGTCTGGCCAAGGTAATTACCAGGGTCCCTGTAAGGGGGAGGCCAGAACATCAGATTCAGAGATGAGGTGATGGTAGAAGCAGAAGTCACAGAGACAGATGTGATGATACACACCCATGGCCTTGATGATGGAGGAAGGGGCCATAAGCCACAGGATGCTGCAGGCCTCAGGAAGCCAGTCAAGGCCAGGAGACCGACTCCTCCCTAGAGCCACCCTGAGTTAGGACTTCTGACCTCCAGAATGCTGAGATAATAAACTTGAGGTGTTACAGGCCACCAACTTTGTAGTGTTGTGGGAAGTCAGGGGCCCCGAACAGGACCGGCTGAAGCCACGGCAGAAGAATACAACTTGTGAAGATTTCATGGACATTTATCAGTTCCCAAAATTAATACTTTTATAATTTCTTACGTCTGTCTTTACTGCAATCTCTGAACATAAATTGTGAAGATTTTATGGACATTTATACTCTTATAATTTCCTATGCCTGTCTTTAATCTCTTAATCCCATCATTTTCATAAGCTGAGGATGTATGTCACCTCAGGACCCTGTGATGATTGCATTAACTGTATAAATTGTTTGTAAAACGTGTGTTTGAAAAATATGAAATCTGATTGTAAAACGTGGGTGTTTAAACAATATGAAATCAGGGCACCCTGAAAAAGAACAGAATAACAGTGATGTTCAGGGAACAAGGGAAGATAACCATAAGGTCTGACTGCCTGTGGGGTCGGGCAGAATAGAGCCATATTTTTCTTCTCACAGAGAGCCTATAGATGGACGTGTGAGTAGGAGAAATATCGCTGAATTCTTTTCCCAGCAAGGAATATTAATAATTGATAACCCTGGGGAAGGAACGCATTCCCGGGGTAGGTCTATAAATGGCCACTCTGGGGGTGTCTGTCTGATGCAGTTGAGATAAGGGATGAAATATGCCCTGGTCTCCTGCAGTGCCCTCAGGCTTACTAGGATTGGGAAATTCCAGCCTGGTGAATTCTAGTCAGACGGGTTGTCTGCTCTCCAACCCTGTTTCCTGTTAAGATGTTTATCAAGACAATGCGTGCCCAGTGGGACATGGACCTTCACCAGTAATTCTAATTTCACCTTTGCCTTGTGATCTTTTATTGCCCTTTGAAGAATGTGATCTCTGGGACCTACTCCCTATTCGTACACCCCTCCCCTTTTGAAATCCCTAATAAAAACTCGCTGGTTTTGTGGCTCGGGGTCACCATCACGGTCCTACCAATGTGTAACAGCACCCCCAGAGGCCTAGATGTAAAATTTCTCTCTTTGTACTCTTTATTTCTCAGACCGGCCGACACTTAGGGAAAATAGAAAAGAACCTACATTGAAATACTGCGGGCTGGTTCCCCTGATATTGTAGTAATCTATAACTGCAACAGGAGGAAACTAATAGACTAGAAAGCTAGCCCCAGGTAACACAGGGGGAAGAACGTCCCAGGCAGAGGGAACAGCACCTGCAAAGACCCTGTGTCTGGCCCAGGGAGGTCAGTGTGGCTGGAGCAGGGGAGTGACAGTGGGTGTGGAAGAAGAGGAGGTCAGAGAGGCCAGCACTGGGCAGATGTGTCAGAGTCAACATGCCTGGCAAGGTGTTCAGATCATATCCATCCCAGTGGGGAGCCTCGCAGAGGTATTCTCCAAAGAAGATGTGCAAATGGCCAACAAGCACAGGAAAAGATGCTCCACAGCATTAGTCATTAGGGAAATGCAAATCAAACCACAGTAAGATGCCACTTCACACTGGCTCAGGTGGCTACCATCAAAAAAGCAACAATAAGGCCGGACATGGTGCTCACACCTGTAATCCCAGCACTTTGGGAGGCCGAGGCGGGCAGATCACCTGAGGTTAGGAGTTTGAGACCAGCCTGGCCAACACGGTGAAACCCTGTCTCTACTGAAGATACAAAAATTAGTCAGGCACGGTGGTGCATGCCTGTAATCCCAGCTACTTGGGAGGCTGAGGCACAAGAATCGCTTGAACCCAGGAGGCTAAGGTTGCAGCGAGCCGAGATCATGCCACTGCACTCCAGCCTCAGCGACAGAGCGAGACTCTGTCTCAAAAAAAAAAAAATTAAAAAAAGAAAAAAATAACACATGTTGACAAGGATGTGGAGAAATGGTCATCCTCATACACTGGTGGTTCAGCCACTTTAGAAAACATCTGGTAGCTCCTCAAATAGTTAAACATAAAGCCAGATGCAGTGGCTCACACCTGTAATCCCAGCAATTTGGGAAGGTGAGATGGGCAGATCGCTTGAGCTCCAGAGTTCAAGATCAGCCTGAGTAACATGGTGAAACCTGTCTCTACAAAAAATACAAAAGTTAGCTGGGTGCAGCAGTGCACACCTGTAGTCCAGCTACTCAGGAGACAGGAAGATCGCTTGAGCCCAGGAAGTTGGGGCTGCGGTGAGCTACATTTGCACCACTGCACAAAATCTTGTATGTGAGTGTTCACAGCAGCACTATTCACAATGGCCCAAAAGTGAAAAGAACCCAATGCCCAACAACTGATAAATGAATGAAATGTAGTATATCCATACCATGGAACATTATCCTACAATAAAAAGAAACTGGCTGGGCGCGGTGGCTCACGCCTGTAATCCCAGCACTTTGGGAAGCCGAGGTAGGTGGATTACACGGTCAGGAGATCAAGACCATCCTGGCTAACACAGTGAAACCCCATCTCTACTAAAAATACAAAAAAATTAGCCGGGCATGGTGGCAGGCACCTGTAGTCCAAGCTGCTAGGGAGGCTGAAGCAGGAGAATGGCATGAACCCAGGAGGTGGAGCTTGCAGTGAGCCGAGATTGCGCCACTGCACTCCAGCCTGGGTGACAAAGCGAGACTCCGTCTCAAAAAAAAAAAAAAGAAACTAAGTATTGACGCATGCTACAACATGGATGAACCTCATGTTAGTTGAAACAAGTCAGTCACAGAGCACTATATATTATATGATTCCATTTATATGAAATGTCCAAAATAGGCAATGTCTAAAACTCAGGAAAATGGAAGGAGGGGATTGGAAGTTAACGGGTACAGAGTTTCTTCTTCGGGTGATTAAAATGTTCTAAGATTGATTGTGAAGATGGATACACAGCCCTGTGAATATACTAAATACCACTAAATTGTACTCCTGAAACAGGTGGATTGTATGGTATGTGAATATCTCAGTAAAGCTTTATTTTTTTTTTAAGTCATAGGTATGCCTTCTAATTGAATTTCCTAGAAACAGAAGTTGTTCTGGCATTTGTAACTGAGGGCTGGGCCAATGTGGAAAAAATGAGAGGGAGTCTCACACAAAGTTTGTTCACTGCCCAGGAAACATTCAAAGTAGTGAAGCCAGGTCCAGGAGCAGTGGCTCACGCCTGTAATCCCAGCACTTTGGGAGGCCAAAGCGGCCAAATCACATGAGGTCAGGAGTTCGAGACCAGCCTGGCCAACATGGCGAAACCCCATCTCTACTAAAAACATAAAAATTAGTGGGCGTGGTGGCACATGCCTGTAATCCCAGCTACTCGGGAGGCTGAGGCAAGAGAATCACTTGAATCCAAGAGGCGGAAGCTGCAGTGAGCCGAGATCTCGCCACTGCATTCCAGCCTGGGCCACAGAATGAGACTGTCTCAAAAAAATAAAAATGAAAAGAGAATATTACAACTTATGACTTATAAGAATATTTAACACTTAGGTGTCAGTGCTTTTATACAGTATTTTCATTCCTCACAACTTTATGAAGAAGCTATAATTATCATCTCCAGTTTACATACAGATTCAGAAGCTGAGGCTCAGAGAGGTTAACAAACTGGCCCAAAGTCATACAGCAAGAGCCTGGAATGCAGATCTCCACCTGGAAAGCAGAGACAACAGGCAAGCGGCCTCCCCGCAGAGTCCATGGCCCTCTCCGCCAGTCATCCGTCAGGCACCAACAAACAAAACATATGGAGGCTGTCTGAGTGCCTTCCCACGGAATTATCTAGAACTGTGCACCTTGCAATAGAGTGAAAGTAAGTGCTTGTGCTTAGGCCCCATTATACACACTGAATCTATTAGGACACATCTGATCTCAAAACAGGTTGATAGTCATAAATACTGTGATCAAAACAATGTACACTAAAAGTAAATATCTGATTTTAAAACTATAATGGTAAAGTACATTTAATCACAAATATGATAAATAGGCTGGGCACAGTGGCTCACGCCTGTAATCCCAGCACTTTGGGAGGCCGAAGCAGGTGGATCGCCTGAGATCAAGAGTTCCGGAGGCCGGGCGCGGTGGCTCATGCCTGTAATCCCAGCACTTTGGGAGGCCCAGGGTGGGCGGATCACAAGGTCAGGAGATCCAGACCATCCTGGCTAACACGGTGAAACCCCGTCTCTACTAAGAATACAAAGTTAGCCGGGCGTGGTGGCGGGCGCCTGTAGTCCCAGCTACTCAGAAGGCTGAGGCAGGAGAATGGCGTGAACCCGGGAGGCGGAGCTTGCAACGAGCCTAGATCGCGCCACTGCACTCCAGCCTGGGCGACAGAGTGAGACTCCGTCTTAAAAAAAAAAAAAAAAAAAAAAAAAAATAGTTCAAGACCAGTCTGGCCAACATGGTGAAACCCGGTCTCTACTGAAAATACAAAAAATTAGCCAGGGTGGTAGCGGGCGCCTGTAATCCCAGCTACTCGGGAGGCCGAGGCAGGAAAATCGCTTGAATCCCAGAGGTGGAGGTTGCAGTGAGCCGAGACCGTGCCATTGCACTCCAGCCTGGGCAACAACAGCGAAACTCCGTTTCAATATATATATATATGTTAAATCATAGATCCTTCTAATATACACTAAAACTAAACACACCACACACACACACACACACACCCCCCCAAGAAGTGACAGCACCGTGGGTCCCTACAGGGTCGAGGCTCGCACTTTGCAGGCTGTTGTGGGCTGGATGAGAGGCCACCTGGGGACGTCACCGAGCCAGCAGCGCTGACAGGAGGGCCCCCGTACCCACCGTTCTCTGGACTCAGAGCGCAGTGGCGGCGGCCCCTGCTCGTCGACAGACGTCCTCAGAGACCACGCGGCACCTTCAGGTGACAGGCCGAGGTCCGCGGCGGACCCGGTCCAGGAGGCTCAGCTCGCACGCCCTCGGATCGGGACCCGCTGAACCCGGGTGCCCGAGGGAGCTTGGCGGCCGCTCCAGGCGGGATCGCTGGGGGCTCCGGTCGCCCTGGTCCCCTCCCCTCCCCGGGCCGCACTCACCGAACTCCATCCAGTCCCACTCGCTGAGCGCGTCCATGTTGCGGCACAGGTCGTCCAGCACCCAGGAGGGCAGCTGGTAGATGTAGCAGGCCATGGCACGCTACGGGGCCGGCTCCGGCGCGGGACGACTGGGTCGGACACTGCGGGCTGCGGCTTCTCTAGCCAGGGGCGGACCGGCGGGGAAGTGGGCGGGGCGGGAGGGCACCAGCGTCCCCAGCGGCCACGGGCGGCACGACGGCCCCGCCGGCTCCACCCCAGCGCCGGCCAGAGAATCGGAACTGCGAGGGGAAACTGAGGCCCTGGTGGGAGAAGGCCACACGGGAATTCTGCCGCAGCGGCAGGAGGCCTTCTGACCCCACTTCCATCGGCACTACACCATGCATCATGCGCTCATCAAATACTCCATTAATTACCTACTGTATGCCAGGCAACTCCCTAGGTGTTGGTAATACCTGAATAAGAAACCCTACAGCCGGGCGCGGTGGATCACTCCTGTAATCCCAGTACTTTGGGAGGCCGAGGCGGACGGATCACGAGGTCAGGAGTTCGAGACTAGCCTGGCCAATATGGTGAAACCCCGTCACTACTAAAAATACAAAAATTAGCCGGGCACGGTGGCGCACGCCTGTAGTCCCAGCTACCTGGGAGGCTGAGGCAGAAGAATCGCTTGAACCCTGGAGGCGGAGGTTGCAGTAAGCCCAGATTGTGCCCTTGTACTCCAGCCTGGGTGAAGAGTGAGGCTCTGTCTCAAAAAAAAAAAAAAAAAAAAAAAAAAGCCTACAAAAGCCCTTGCTTTCATAAGACTTACAATCTAGGTGTGGAGAGAAAGACTAACAATAAATAATAAATATAGTATGTTACAGAGTGTCTTAAAGGTAATAAGCACTATTGCAAAAAAAAAAAAAAAGGAAAAAAAGTTGGTTAAAGGGAATCAGGAATTCAGATTGAGCATGGGGAATATTCTATTAAATAGGGTAGTCAGGTAGACTTTACTATAGTAGCTAATATGTATCGTGCAGCTACTATGTGCCAGGCACTGTTGTAGGTGCTGGGAATACCTCTGAAGAGAAGGACAAAATCCTTGTCCTGGAGGGAGACAGACAACAAGCAATAAAAATAGGCAGATAAGCTATGTTGGAGAATGAAAGTAGAAGCCTGGGCAACATAGGAAGATCTTATCTCTACAAAAAACTTTTTTTTTTTGAGACGGAGTCTTGCTCTGTAGCCCAGGCTGGAGTGCAGTGGCGCAATCTTGGCTCACTGCAGCCTCTGCCTCCCAGGTCCCGGTTCAAGCAATTCTCCTGCCTCAGTCTCCCGAGTAGCTGGGATTACAGGCACGCGCCACCACGCCCAGCTAATTTTTGTATTTTTAGTAGAGACAGGGTTTCACTGTGTTGGCCAGGATGGTCTTGAACTCCTGACCTCGTGATCCGCCTGCCTCGGCCTCCCAAAGTGCTAGGATTACAGGCATGAGCCACCACGCCTGGCCTCTACAAAAAATTTTAAAATGAGCCAAGCATGGTAGTGTACACCTATAGTCCCAGCTACTCAGGAGGCTAAGGTGGTAGGATCTCTTGAACCCAGGAGTTTGAGGCTGCAGTGAGCTATGACTGCACTGCAGCCTGAGTGACAGAATGAGACCCTGTCTCTGAAAAAAAAAAAAAAAAAAAGAAAGAAAAGAAAGAATAAAAGTAGAGGGTGGTAAAAGGGAGTGCAAGTGGCCAATTGCATTATCTTAGATGATACTATTACTGGGAAAAAAGCAGAGTATGGTGCAGGGGACTGCAGGACAAACTGGATTATTAAATAGGGTATAAGGGGCTGGGTGCGGCGGCTCCCACCTATAACCCCAGCACTTTGGGAGGCAGAGGCAGGCAGATCGCTTGAGCCCAGGAATTCGAGACCAGCCTGGGAAACAGAGCAAGACCCTGTCTCTACAAAAATTAGCCAGGCATGGTGGCATGTGCCTGTAGTCCCAGGTACTTGGGAGGCTAAGGTAGGGGGATCACTTGAGCCCAGGAGGTGGAGATTGCAGTGAGCCAAGATTGCACCACTGCACTCCAGCCTGGGTGAGAGTGAGACCCTGTCTCTAAATAAACAAAGAGGGTACAAGGAACAGAATTTATAGTGTGTGTATACATATATATATATATATATATATATATATATATATATAAAATACACACACACATATATAAAATAGCTAGTATTTATTGAGCACTTACTATGTGTAGCCTTCACCTGGGTTACTTTACTTACTCCTTACAATGACCCTCTGAGGTAGGTATGGTTATAGCCCCATTCTACAAATAAGGAAACTAAGGCACAGAGAGGTTAAATAATATGGCTAAAATCATTTGAACCTAAGTATTCTGACCCCAGGCTCTCCATCACCACTGGCTAAAGTATATTGTAGATACAGATACATTTATCTGTATCTACAATGTACTTTGCAAAAATGATCTTATGTCATTCTTACAAGCCTATACTATAGATATTATTATCCCCATTTTACACAGAAGTAAATAGATTCCAAGAGGTTAGGCGAGGTCACGAAGGGCAGATAAGTAACTAGAGTAGGTACCACTGTATAGCTGTGGCCGTCAGCTATGGAGTAGCGCTGCAAAAGGAGGAAGCTGAAATCAAAGTGAGAAGTCCTAGGGCCAAGTTGCAGTTCTGCCACCAACAGGCTTTGTGACTCTGGACAACTCATTTCATTCGTCAAGCCTTGTTTCCAGCATCTGTAAAGTGGGCCTGCTCCTTCCTACTGCTTAGAGTTGTGAGGGGAGTGGAATAAATCAAATTATGTAGCCTATATAGAACACCTACTACAGGGCTTTCCTCGCACAGAGAATGTGCCCAAAAAATGGTAGCTGTCATTAGTGGTCTTGAAAAGGCACCCACTGGCCTTGGAGTCCTATCAAGTTTGGAGACCTGGTTCAGCCACTCTCCGGCTCTTAGTCCTTTGAGCCAGTTCTGTTTTCCCTTTTGGAAACTGGATCTCCTGCTGCAGCCACTTGGAAGGATTGTTATGAAGCCTAAATGGACTCCAAAACGCTCAAGATCAACTGTGAAGTGCTGAGCCCAGTAAAGGATTACTATTATGTCCTCCTTGATGTTGAAAGTGGGACATATTTCAGTGTTCTGAGACTACTTTTCAAGTGAAGTCCTGTGTTTTCAGCAGTGGCTGAAGGTGGACTTGGGAACTGTAATGATTGTTTGCCATAGGCTGGGTGGAGAAGCATCTCCATCCCAGGCACACGGGGGTAAAAGAGAATAAAGATCCTCTTCTTTTTCTCCTTTTCTCTTTTTGCAGAGTCCCCTACCTGCTTCTCCTTCTCTTCCGCAAGCAGCGTGTGTGTAGAGCTCCTCCCTCAGTGCCACAGGGCCTCTTCCCTGGGGTGAGGCTTTAAGACCACGGAAGTTTCACATTCAGCCTTGGTCAATCCTGGAAGGCAGAGGAGCCCCCACTGCTCTCTCTGCTGCATCCTCAGGCCCTTCCCGCAATTCCTTCTCACCCCAGCCTCAGGGCTTGGGATCTGTGTCCTAGGATTCTGTCTTCCAGAGAAGCTTGAGTCATTTTGGGCCTGAGCAGGTCATCACAGGGACACATCTCAGTTACCACTCTTTAGAATAAGTTCTTCAAAGTAAGGTCTTTGCTATTACTAATGGTTGCCCTTCACCTACCAACTCACCTAGCAGGCATTTAGCATACATTATCTGTAATCCATACAACCCTGCAAAGGTTTATTGTTTCTGTTTTACAGATGAAGAAACTGAGGCTGAAGTCAATTGTAACTGGGCCAAGTTGGCCAAGTGACAGTGAGGTAGGGGGCAGCACTCGACTCGAAAGGAATGGCTGGGACATCGGACCAAATTGAGGACTAGCTAAAACAGGTGTGGTGGGAAGTACCTCGCATAAGACACTGCCACCAGTGTACCTTGTCAGTTTACCATTGCCATGGCGACTCCAAGAAGTCACCGCCCCTTTCTAGAATGTTCTGCATAAACTGCCCCTTAATTTGCATATAATTAAAAGTGTGTATAAATGTGACTGTAGAACTGCCTCTGAGCCACTACTCTGGGCACACTGCCTATGGAGTAGCCCTACCCTGCAAGGAGCAGTACCTCTGCTGCGGCTGCACACTGCTATTTCAATAAAAGGTGCTATTTAACACCACTGGCTGGCCCTGGAATTCCTTTCTGGGTGAAGCTAAGAACCCTCCCAGGCTAAACCCCAATTTGGGGGCTTGCCTGTCCCGCATCAACAGGATGCAACTCAAGTCTGACCCAAAGCAAATGCTCTTTCTGCTGTGTTATACTGCCTCACCACAAGAAATTTCCTCTGATCTTGCAGTTAATTTCTTCCTCTGGCTATTTTCCATGACCAACACCCACCAGGATCAGTTAGAAACAGTTATTGAGGCTGAATGTAATTAATTACACACTTACGTCATTTTGAGCTGTTCAAGTTTAATTCCCTTGAAATTATAGTCAGTGGTTTGCAACCCTGGCTGCACAGTAGAAACATCTGGGGTGCTTTTAAAAAGTATAAATGCCTAGCCCTACCTCCAGGGAGACAGATTCAATTATTCTGGAGTGGGGCTCAGGCACTACTGTTTTTTAAAGCTTCCCAGATAATTCTAATATGTGCTGGCACAGTTGAGAACCAGTCATATCAGAAAGCTGGGGCAGAGGCCAAGCATGGTGGCTCATGCCTGCAATCCCAGCACTTTGGGAGACCGAGGTGGGTGGATCACTTGAGGTCAGGAGTTCGAGACCAGCCCAACCAACACGGCGGAACCCCGTTTCTACTAAAAATACAAAAAAATTCGCTGGGCGTGATGGCACGCACCTGTAATCCCAGCTACTTGGGAGGCTGAGGCAGGAGAATCATTTGAACCCGGGAGGTGGAGACTGCACTGAGCCAAGATCATACCACTGCACTCCAGACTGGGGGACACAGTGAGACTCCATATCAAAAAAAAAAAAAAAAAAAAAAAAAAAGCTGGAGCAGGAGGGAAGACTGATGAAAGGAGAATAATAAAGCTTCTCTATGCACTTTGCATATATTTTTCTTTTTTTTTCTCTCTTTTTGAGACGGAGTTTTGCTCTTGTTGCCCAGGCTGGAGTGCACTGGTGTGATCTTGGCTAACCGCAACCCCTGCCTCCTGGGTTCAAGCAATTCTCCTGCCTCAGCCTCCTGAGTAGCTGGGGTTACAGGCATGTGCCACCACACCCAGCTAATTTTGTATTTTGAGTAGATACGAGGTTTCTCCATGTTGGTCAGGCTGGTCTCAAACTCCTGACCTCAGGTGATCCACCCACCTCGGCCTCCCAAAGTGCTGGGATTACAGGCATGAGCCACCGCGCCCGGCTATATTTTTTTTTAACAAAAATATCTTTATTGGTTTCTCTGATAGCATGTGATATTTGTCAAAGACAGAAAGAAAGAGAAAACAAACACCTTCCCATAACCTCATCCCTGAGGAATCACCATTATTGTTTGGAGTATATACTCCTTTTACATGTTTTTAGTCCTATACAAAATGATTTTTTTTTTTTTTTGAGAAGGAGTCTCACTCTGTCACCAGGCTGGAGTGCAGTGGCGAAATCTCGGCTCACTGCAACCTCCGCCTACCGGGTTCAAGTGATTCTCCTGCCTTAGCCTCCCAGGTAGCTGGGACTACAGGCGCATGCCACCACACCTGGCTAGTTTTTTGTATTTTTAGTAGAGACGGGGTTTCACCACGTTGGCCAGGATGGTCTTGATCTCTTGACCTCGTGATCTGCCCACCTCGGACTTCCGAAGTGCTGAGATTACAGGCGTGAACCACCGTGACTGGCCAATTTTTTAAACATATTTTCTTTTTTGCAGACACTATGGTGAAAAAAAAATTTTTTTAACATTTAATTTTCTGTTTTTTTTTCAATTAATAGCTTTTCCTGTCATTATATGAGCATAGTACTATTTCCCTTTTAATGGCTTATTTAGGAACACCATACTATATGTGCCCAAACTCCTATCAGTATACTTTTATTTCCAGTATTATGCTATTCTAAATAATACTGCAGCAAACTTCATATACATACATCTATTCACACTTGTTTTTTCTTTCTTAAGGTAAATTCCTAAAACTAGATTTTCTGGAGCAAAGATGAACATCTAAAATTGTGATGGGCTGGGTGCCATGGCTCATTCCTGTAATCCAAACACTTTGGAAGGCCAAGGAGAGAGGACTGCCTGAGCCCAGGAGCCCAGCCTGGACAACATAGTGAGACCCCATCTCTGTTAAAAAATGGCTGCGTGTAGTGGCTCACACCTGTAATCCCAGCATTTTGGGAGGCCGAGGCAGGCGAATCACCTGAGATCAGGAGTTCAAGACCAGCCTGACCAACATGGAGAAATCCTATCTCTACTAAAAATACAAAATTAGCTGGGCGTGGTGGCGCATGCCTGTAATCCCAGCTACTCGGGAGGCTGAGGTAGGAGAATCACTTGAACCCAGAGGCGGAGGTTGCAGTGAGCCAAGATCCTGCCATTGTACTCCAGCTTGGGCGACAAGAGCAACACTCTGTCTCAAAAAAAAAGAAAAGGAGGCCGGGCGCGGTGGCTCACGCCTGTAATCCCAGCACTTTGGGAGGCAGAGGCGGGCGGATCACGAGGTCAGGAGATCGAGACCATCCTGGCTAACACGATGAAACCCCGTCTCTACTAAAAAATACAAAAAAATTAGCCGGGCGTGGTGGCGGGCGCCTGTAGTCCCAGCTACTCGGGAGGCTGAAGCAGGAGAATGGCGTGAATCCAGGAGGTGGGGCTTGCAGTGAGCCCAGATAGCGCCACTGCACTCCAGCCTGGGTGACAAAGTGAGACGCTGTCTCAAAAAAAAAAAAAAAAAGAAAGAAAGAAAGAAAAAAAAAAAGAAAAAAGGCAAAAAAAAGCACAAACAAAAAAACAGAAACAAACAAAAAAAATTTTAAGAAAAACAAACATAAGGCCAGGTGTGGTGGTGCATGCCTATCTATAATCTCAGCACTTTGGGAGGCCAAGGCGGGAGGACTGCCTGAGCCCAGGTGTTCAAGAGCAGCCTGGGCAACATGACAAGACCCTGTCTCTATTATAATTTAAAAAATAAAAATTTCAGCCAGGTGTGGTGGCTCATGCCTGTAATCCCAGCACTTTGTGAGGCCAAGGCGAGCAGATCACTTGAAGTCAGGAGTTCGAGACCAGCCGGCCAACATGGTGAAACCCTGTCTCTACGAAAAATATTAAAAATTAGACAGGCATGGTGGCGTGCACCTGTAATCCCAGCTACTCAGGAGGCTGAGGCAGGAGAATTGCTTGAACCCAGGAGGTGGAGGTTGCAGTGAGCTAACGCCACTGCACTCCAGCCTCAGCAACACAATGAGATTCTCTCTCAAGAAAAAAATTAAAAAAAAAAAAAAGTGGCTACTCTTTCTCTCTCAGAAAGATGAGTAAACCTCTATCCTATCCTATTCTTTTTACCTTTTTTTTTTTTTTTTTTTTGGTAGAGACGGAGGTCTCACTATGTTGCCAAGGCTGGTCTCAAACTCTCCTCCAGTGATTCTCTAGCCTCAGCCTCCCAAAGCGCTGATATTGCAGGTGTGAGCCACAGCGCCTGGCCCCCTATCCTTTTTAATGGCTTATTTAGGAGTGCCATACTTAATTTGGGCAATCTCCCATACATGTACATTTATTTCCAATACTGGAGTCTGTTCCAGAGGGATCTGCTTTCTGCATCTATCAGGGGGGTGGAAATCCTGGAGGCTGCCAAGTATAAACGAGTATTTGGAAAACAGCTGCCCCAGAGGCACACTAGACCTTCTCAAAATCCTCCCTACTGCTTGGAGTTGCTCCACGCCAGGGTAATCCAGACCTGCTGGAACAGCCCTGATACGGTTTGGCTGTGTCCCCCCCAGATCTCATCTTGAATTGTAATCCCCATATATCATGGGAGGGTTTAATCAAATCATGGGAGGTAATTTTCCCCAGGCTGTTCTCATGATGGTGACAGAGTTTTCTTTTTTTTTTTTTTTTTTGAGACGGAGTCTTACTCTATCGCCCAGGCTGGAGTGCAGTGGCACAACCTTGGCTCACTGCAAGCTCCGCCTCCCAGGTTCAAATAATTCTCTGCCTCAGTCTCCCGAGTAGCTGGGATTACAGGCACCCGCCACCACGCCTGGCTAATTTTTGTATTTTTAGTAGAGACAGGGTTTCACCACCTTGGCCAGGCTGGTCGTGAACTCCTGACCTTGTGATCCACCCACCTCGGCCTCCCAAAGTGCTGGGACTACAGGCGTGAGCCACCACGTCTGGCCAATGGTGACAGAGTTTTCATGAGATCTAATGGTTTTATAAGCATCTGCCATTTCCCCTGCTGGCATTCATTCTCTCTCCTGCTGCCCTGTGAAGAGGTGCCTTCCACCATGATTGTTAAGTTTCCTGAGGCCTCCCCAGCTGTGAGCAACTGTGTCAATTAAACCTCTTTTCTTTATTAATTACACAGTCTTGGGTATTCCTTCATAACAGCATGAGAACAGACTAATACGAGCCCTTACCACAGTTCCTATCAGAGGTTTCTGAGCATGGAATAGCTACAACAAGAGTTCTCAAAATTCTTGGGTTGGGCCTAGGTAATGAACACCCTCCTACAAGGGAAGATCCATCAACTCATGTCACTCCCCATCAAGCAAATTGCTAAACTGTCCTTTGCCCAATTAAGTCTCCTCCAACTTATGTTAAGATGAAATGGTTCAACAGGACTTCCCCCAAGCCTTTCAGTAACCTCAGCTCTGTTATCAGCATCTGTGGGGCCAGCTCCAGGCCCCCAGGATTCAACTTTTCCCAATTGGAACGAAACAATCTTTCGTGTTTTTCCTTCTGACAGACAGGGAGAGAGATTACTGCCATTAGTTTGTATGTCAAACAGACTTATATTTTCCTGCGGTTTCATGTTTTGAATTTTGAAATAAGTTTTGTGGGTTTTTCTCCCTCTCATACATTGAGTGCTACTGCCCAATCCTTCTCATGACCATAATACGTGTACCTCAATTTTCTGTGACCTGCCAATGGACTACTGGGTATGTGTGGTAAGGGGTGGGGACAAGAAAATGTTTTGTTGGGGCAGGCAGTTTAGGTGTGCCGAAAGAAAGGGGAACAAGTTGAATGTCCCTCATTGGAAATGCTTGGGACCAGAGGTGTTTCCAATTTCAGATTTTTTTGTATTTTGGAATATGTGCATATATATGAGGTATCTTGAGGATGGGACCCAAGTCTAAAGGCGAAATTCATTTACCTTTCTGTTTCAGAAAAACTGTTTTTCCTCTAGATTCCACACTAACACAATACCAACCCAGAACACTTTCGTGTCCAAATGTGTAGATTTCTTCCCGAGAGCGAGCAAGCAATCAATTCTGCAGTGAACACCAATTAGGTATCCTCTAATTCACTTCCAACACCATCTTTCTGGAAATAATATCAGATCCTGCAGGTTGAGGCCTCAGTCCCCAAGACTGCCCCCACCCACACACCAGTAGCAAGTTTAGGGCTCCAGAACTTCTGACCAACCAGCTTCAAGTTGGGGTTCCCACCACCTTCGCTTTGGGTTTAATTTGCTGGAGTGGCTAACAGAACTCAGTGAAAAATGTTTACCAGTCTTTTTTTTTTGAGACAGCAGGTCTTGCTCTGTCTCCCAGGCTGGAGTGCAAACTGAACAGCTGGGACTGCAAGCATGCGCCACCACTCCTGGTTGTTCTTTTTTTTTCTAGGAGAGACAGGATCTCACTATGATGTTATCTTGAACTCCCAGGCTGAAGCAATCCTCCTACCTCAGCCTCCCAAAGTGCTGGGATTATATGTGTGAGCCACCACGCCCGGCCTACCTGGTTTATCATAAAGGATATTACGAAGGATACAGATGAAGAGATGCGTACACCAAGGTATGGGATAAGGGGCGCAGAGCTTCTGTCCCCTCCCTGGGCGCACCACCCTCCAGGAACCTCTACACGTAGTTCAGCTATCCTGACACTCTCCACTGTCCTCATGGGTTTTAACGAGGCTTTATGATGTCACCATTCCTTCCCCCAGGGTATGGGGTAGGACCTTCTCTGAAATGAGGGTTGTAATCTCACCTGTAATCCCAGGGCTTTGGGAGGCCAAGGTGGGAGGATCGCTTGAGCCCAGGAGTTAAAACCAGCCTGGGCAACACAGCGAGACCCCATCTCTACAAAAAACTTAAAAATTAGCCAGGCAAGGTGGCTCACATCCGTAACAAGGGCTATGGGAGTTATGAGCCAGGAACAAAAAAAGAAAACATATACATCATAACACCAGTTTCATAAACACCTTACAGACAAAGGCTGAAGGTAATTGTAAGCAATATTTTCCACAGTTTTGCACGTGAAACAAGTTTGTGTTAAGTACTCACATGTGGAACTTTCCACTTGTGGCGTCACGTTGGGACTCTTGGATTTTGGAGTGCTTTGGATTTGGAATTTTTGGATTAGGGATACTCAGTCTGTATTGAAGGGGTATCAGGAAGCCAATGACTAGCAGAGCGTGGGACTGAGGTGCTAAGAAGAGGATACAAAGACCCAGGGTCAAAGTATCCGAAAAGTTCACATTGACATCTATTTCATATCCTTAGTGCACTGATTTCTAGCCCATGCCCTCACTGTGGTATTCTCTCTCTCTCTCTCTATATATATATATATATTTTTTTTTTTTTTTCTTTTGAGACGGAGTTTCACTCGTTGCCCAGGCTAGAGTGCAATGGTGCAATCTCAGCTCACTGCAACCTCCGCCTCCCAGGTTCAAGCAATTCTCCTGCCTCAGCCTCCTGAATAGCTGGGATTACAGGTACATGCCACCACACCCAGCTAATTTTTTAATTTTTAGTAGAGATAGGGTTTCACCATGTTGGCCAGGCTGGTCTCAAACTCCTGACCTCAGATGATCTGCCTGCCCTGGCCTCCCAAAGTGCTGAGATTACAGGCGTGAGCCACCTCGCCTGGCCTTATTCTCAACATAATTGCTGGTGAAATACTAACCACTTACCCTTTTGGGTTCTGTTTTCATGGGAAAAAACTTTGTTTCCGATGTGAATGTTTTTCTTCTTAATATTTTTCTGTAGTGTGTAATTTTTTATAGTGATACATTTCTTTTATAAGAAAAATAAAGCTAAAAGAAACAATGTTAAATAAAAAAAAAAAATCCAGGGTTGGAAATAGAAGAGACTTGGAATGAGGCTGGTGGCTTATGTTTGGATCTCCTTCCCATCCTGGGCCTTTATGTAAACAGGTTTCAAAACTCTCTGAGAGAGAAGCGCCTAGTTAAAACACCACACAACACACCCTGCCTATTTCCTTTACTCAGCACCATTTAATGTATTAAAAAACAGCTTTAAAAAAAAAAAAAAAAAAAAAAACTTGAAATAGGAACTTCACCGTCTCTTAAGAGCGATATATTTAATACATTCACAAGATTCGAAATGAAAAACAAACATTATTCATGCTACAGGTTTTTAATTTTCCTTGGACAACACCAAAAACACAGTACTCAAACGGCATGTTTTTTTTTTGTTTTTTTGGTTTCTTTTTGAGATGGAATTTCACTCTTGTTGCCCAGGCTGGAGTGCAATGGTGTGATCTTGGCTCACTGCAACCTCCGCCTCCCGGGTTCAAGAGATTCGCCTGCCTCACAGGCGCCCACCGCCACACCTGGATAATTTTTGTTTTTTGTTTTTTTTTTTGAGACGGTGTCTCACTCTGTCGCCCAGGTTAGAGTGCAGTGGCACCATCTCAGCTCACTGCAAGCTCCGCCTTCCAGGTTCATGCCATTCTCCTGCCTCAGGCTCTCGAGTAGCTGGGACTACAGGCGCTCACCACCACGCCCGCCTAATTTTTTCTATTTTTTAATAGAGACGGGGTTTCACCCGTGTTAGCCAGGATGGTCTCGATTTCCTGACCTCGTGATCCACCCGCCTAGGCCTCCCAAAGTGCTGGGATTACAGGCATGAGCCGCCGCGGCCGGCAATTTTTGTATTTTAAGTGGAGATGAGGTTTCACCATGTTAGCCAGGCTGGTCTTCAGCTCCTGACCTCAGGTGATCCATCCGCCTTGGTCTCCCAAAATGCTGGGATTACAGGCATGAGCCACTGTGCTCGGCCTGCAGGTTTTAACAAGAGGAGCATGAACTATCATTTTGACACAAAGACAGCTTAAAAAAAATAATAAAGCTGGCTGGACGCGGTGGCTCACACCTGTAATCCCAGCACTTTGGGAGGCTGAGGTGGGTGGATCACAAGGTCAGGAGATCAAGACCATCCTGGACAACATGGTGAAACCCCGTCTCCACTAAAAACACAAAATTAGCCAGGCATGGTGGCAGGCGCCTGTAATCCCAGCTACTCAGGAGGGTGAGCCAGGAGAATCACTTGAACTCGGGAGGCAGAGCTTGTAGTGAGCAGAGATCGCACCACTGCACTCCAGCCTGGGCAACAGAGTGAGACTCCATCTCAAAAAAAAAAAAAAAAAAAAAAAAAAAAAGACTATTTGTTGAATGTTGAAAGGAGGAGCTAAAATCAGTTGAAATTCGGAGTAGAAGGAAAACTGGAGTGTCTCATTCACTTCACTCTGATTTGAATTTTTTTTTTTTTTTGAGACAAGAGTATTGCTCTGTCACACAGGCTGGAGTACAATGGTGCGATATCAGCTCACTGCAATCTTCGCCTCCTGGGTTCAAGTGATTCTCCTGCCTCAGCCTCCTGAGTAGCTAGGATTACAGGCATGCGCCACCACACCCAGCTAATTCTTGTATTTTTTAGTAGAAATGGGGTTTTACCATGTTGGCCAGGCTGGTCTCGAACTCCTGACCTCAGGTGATCTGCCCACCTCGACCTCCCAAAGTGCTGGGATTACAGGCGTGAGCCACCATGCCCGGCCTGATTTTTTTTTTTTTTTTTTTTTTGAGGCAGGGTCTTGCTCTGTCCCCCAGGCTGGAGTGCAGTGGCATACTCATGGCTCACTGCAGCCTCCAATTCCTAAACTCCAATGATCTTCTCACCTCAGCCTGCCAAGTAGCTAGGATTACAGATGTGTGCCGCCATGCTAATTTTTAAAAATTTTTTGTATAGATGGGTTCTCACTATGAGCCCAGGCTCATCTTGAAGTTCTGGGCTCAAGCAATCCTCTTACCTTGGCTTTCCAAAGTACTGGGATTACAGGCGGGAGCCACCATGCCAGCCGTCACTCTCATTTTTGAGCACAGGAATTGTGCCCAAAGGCTAGGATAAGGAATTAAAGATGCATGCCAAGAAATACCCACAAACATTAATTATAAAAGGGAGACTATACTAATGTTTGTGAAAAGCTTATACTAACATAGAGCAATATTTAAGTTATAAAGTTAAATGAAAAAGGGTATAAAACTGTATGAACAGTACAATCTCAACTATGTAAAAACCAACCAAAATCTGCCCTAAAAAGGCTGGAAGGAAATAGCTCAAAATGTTAATGTGATTGTATTTAAGAAGTGTATCTAATAGGGATCTTTTTTCTTCCTTTTTAGTTTTCTGTCTTTTCCAAATGTTTCTCTACTGGGGAGATTTTTTTAAAAAGCTATTAGGGAAGGAGTAGAACAAAAGTGGAAAAAAAAATCTATTAGTTACAAAAAACTGAGTCTGATAGAAGCATTGAATTTGAGTTAATGAATCTAAGTCTAGCCTATAAGAATTTGTACATTTAGAAAACTATGAAACAGTCCAGGCTACTCCATGAATCCATTGGTAGGACCAGAGGCTGGAGGTGGAAGTGCCACCTGGTCCTGCCTGATAAAAAATGCTGAATCAGCCAGGCACGGTGGCCCACACACCTGTAATCCCACCATTTTGGGAGGCTGAGGTGGGCGGATCACCTGAGGTCAGGAGTTTGAAACCAGCCTGGCCAACATGACGAAACACTGTCTCTACTAAAAGTACAAAAATTGGCCAGCGTGGTGGCAGGCGCCTGTAATCCCAGCTACTCAGGAGGATTACGTGAACCCAGGAGGCAGAGGTTGCAGTGAGCCGAGATGGCGCCACTGCACTCCAGCCTGGGTGACAAGAGTGAGACTCCATCTCAAAAAAACAAAACAAAACAAAACAACAACAACAAAAAAACCCAAATCAATCAGGAATGTCACATATTTACAAAAAGGAACAGAAATACTCACATTTAGCAAAAACTTATTTGTCCATTAATACTATAATCAAACATGCAGATTTTCTCGTATTTTCTGTGCGGATGGCAAGTTACAAAAATGCTATTATCACAACTGTAGAATGTCAATCCTAGTTTAGAAACAGTAATAAAACAGCACTTCAACAAGAGTGGACCGAGAAAGTGCACGACTTAGAAAATTATAAAAAATGCTTCCTACAAAAATGATTCCCTTTAAGACATTTGTTCACTGTACACATTTTAAGGTCCCCTCTCCCACCCCCCAACAAAAATAGAGGCAGAACCTCTAAGCACTTTCTAACAAAGTGTCCCCTGGTTTGTTCCTCTGACAAACCCTGACTGAAGGCTCATGATGTGCAGGCACTGGGGTCTCAAAGAGGAGAAAGACTTGTCCCTGCCTCACGGATGCCTCAGTCTTCCCAAAGCAGGAGGCAGACAAGTCACCAACCGCTACGGATGTAGAATGGATGTATTATACATCCATTAAAAGCAGATGCCAATGCCTTCTTAAAATTAAACGATATGCTGCAATTCCCACTGAATTACTTATACAAACCTCCTTACATACAAGCTGTCCTGACTTACTAGGAAGCAAAAATGCCACCACCTTCTCCTGATAAATACTTCTCTAATGGGCAGGCATTAAATTACATTTTGTGATGTTTGCCCCTAAACATCACAATGCCTAGTGAAGTCAGTTAACTTTCTTTTAAGCAATGGTGCCTATTTTACTCTGAGAATGAGACACTTTGAAACTAAGGAAGGAACCAGTCCTGTATCTAGATCAAGACTCATCAGTACCATCAAAAGCTGAGATGAAACAGTGTAAGTTTCAACAGAAATCTTCAATCTCCCATCCGTTGATGTGCAATGCGCTCCTGTGTCAGCCGCTCCAGGTCTTTCTGCACATTTGGGTGGTCTTCCAGATCTTCGTAGAGCGACCTGACGATGTCCAGTCTCCTGTAATTCTCAGGCTTGACTAGGCTCCGGACAACCTGGAGGCATCGCTCTTTCAGAGTATACACTGGAAGGGCAAAAACCAAATCCTCAGTGGCAGACTAGGGTCTCAGTACAAGGAACGAACAAGAGGCTTTGCCAACAACTACCTGTACTACTGATGGATCTCACTTTAGGTTAAAGAAAAAAAGTGAGTGCATGTATGTGGCAGTGTGTTATGCTGATGGCCCCCTATGGACACCTCATGGTGTTCATGCCTCTGTAGTAATTTCACCTTGAAATGGGCTGGGCTTGTGATTGCTTTAACTAACTGAATGTGGATGAAGCGACACTGGCAATTCTAGGCCGAAGCCTTAAAAAGGCCTGCTGACTTCTGCTTTTATACTTTTGAAAGCCCTGAGCTACCCTGCTAGAGAGACCACATAAAGAGGAACAGGCCCTGGCCAGGCATGGTGGTTCATGCCTGTGATCCCAACACTTTGGGAGGCCAACGTCAGTAGATCGCCTGAGCTCAGGAGTTCGAGACCAGCCTGGCAACATGGCGAAACCCCGTCTCTACAAAATACACAAAAAATTAGCCAGGCATGGTGGCACATGCCTGTGGTCCCAGCGACTGGGGAGGCTGAGGTGGGAGGATCACTTGAGCCCTGGAGGCAGAGGTTGCAGTGAGCTAAGATCATGCCACTGCACTCCAACCTGGGTGACAGAGTGAGACCCTATCTTGAAAAAAAAGAAAAAAGAAAAGAGAAAAAAAAAAAAGAGGGACAGGCCCAGCCCCCAGCTGCCAGCAAAAGGCAGCCACACCAACGACTACCACCAGCAGAGTAACTGCCTAGCTGAGCCCAGCCTGGACTACAGAATTATGAACAAATAAAATGGTGGGCTGGGCGCAGTGGCTCACGCCTGTAATCCTAGCACTTTAGGAGGCTGAGGCAGGCAGACTGCCTGAGCTCAAGAGTTCAAGATCAGCCTGGTCAACATGGTGAAACCCCCGTCTCCACTAAAATGCAAAAAATTAGCCAGGCTTGGTGGTGCACACCTGTAGTCCCAGCTGCTGAAGCAGGAGAATCGCTTGAACCCGAGAGGCAGAGGTTGCAGTGAGCCAAGATCACACGCCACTGCACTCCAGCCTGGGTGACACAGTGAGACTCTGTCTCAAAAAAAAAAAAAAGGTGGTTATTAGTTTTGGGGTGGTAGTCACAAAACACATAACCAAAACAATGTGTACTTAGAAAATCTAGGCCGGGCGCGGTGGCTCACGCCTGTAATCCCAGCACTTTGGGAGGCCGAGGCGGGCGGATCACGAGGTCAGGAGATCGAGACCATCCCGGCTAAAACGGTGAAACCCCGTCTCTACTAAAAATACAAAAAATTAGCCGGGCGTAGTGGCGGGCGCCTGTAGTCCCAGCTACTTGGGAGGCTGAGGCAGGAGAATGGCGTGAACCCGGGAGGCGGAGCTTGCAGTGAGCCGAGATCCCGCCACTGCACTCCAGCCTGGGCGACAGAGCGAGACTCCGTCTCAAAAAAAAAAAAAAAAAGAAAATCTAGTACAACTGAATTGGGTATCCCAATTCCTATTTTACACTCACTGGAAACGTACTCGAGGGTATTCTATAAGGCAAATTTACCAAATTTAACTTAGCAATGCTCATTTTTATATATCTACTTCCTTAAAACAGGATCTATACACACATAGTAGTTTGAATCCTATGAAACCCATGTATTTGGGGGGTTTTTGAGTTTTTTTTTTCTTTTTTTGAGACAGGATCTCACTCTGTCACCTGGGCTGGAGTGCAGTGGTATGATCATGGCTCACTGCAGCCTCAAACTCCTGGGCTCAAGGGATCCTCCCACCTAAGCCTCCCAAATAGCTGTGACCACAGGCATATGCTAAGATGCCCAGGTAATTAAAAAAAAATTTTTTTGTGGAGCTGGGGTCTCACTTTGTTGTCCAGGCTGGTCAAGAACTCCTGGTCTCAAGCGACCCTCCCGCCATAGCCTCCCTAAGTGCTGGAATTACAGGCATGATTACAGGCAGGAGCCACCACACACTGCTGGTCTTTAGTGAGGTTTTTTTTACCCACAGGAACATCAGTTTATTAGGGTTTACCCTGATAAAATCATTTGAGCTTCAAACAAATAGTGAAGTATTATACCAATCTTCAATGATTTAAAAAAAAAAAAAAACAGGCTGGACGCAGTGGCTCACGCCTGTAATCCCAGCACTTTGGGAGGCTGAGGTGGGCAGATCACCTGAGGTCAGGAGTTCAAGATCAGCCTGGCCAACATGGTGAAACCTCATCTCTACTAAAAATACAAAAATTAGCCAGGTGTGGTGACAGGCACCTATAACCCCAGCTACCCAGGAGGCTGAGGCAGGAGAATCACTTGAACCCAGGATGCAGAGGTTGCAGTGAGCTGAAATCGCACCACTGCACTCCAGCCTGGATGACACTGTGAGACTCTCTAAAAATAAAAATAAAAAAAAAAAAAACACCTCTGATTGGCACTGTGAGCTTGATTGTGTTAAATTGAAAATACATAGGCCAGGTGCTGTGGCTGATGCCTGTAATCCCAGCACTTTGGGAGGCGTAGGCGGGCAGATCATGAGGTCAGGAGATGGAGACCATCCTGGCTAACACGGTGAAACCCCGTCTCTACTAAAAATACAAAAAATTATCAGAGTGGGTGGCACACGCCTGTAGTCCCAGCTACTCGGGAGGCTGAGACAAGAGAATCACTGGAACCCAGTAGGCGGAGGTTGCAGTGAGCCGAGATTGCGCCACTGCACTCCAGCCTAGCTAACACAGCGAGATTCTGTCTCAAAAAAATAAAAAAAATTAGAAGTCAGCAACAAATAAGCCAAAATATCTCATGCTCTACACATTGTTCTCCTGGAACTCCAGGGCACAATTTGGCCAGGGAAACAAAAGGCATTCGTAATTCTACAATTCTACAAAACTAACCTATGATATGATACTTTAATTTCGCTTGTCTCTTAAGAGCCCAAAGTGCTTTTGAGACACCATAACACCTTTAACACATAACGTACAAATACATCACTTCCATTTTATTTATGGTAGAGAATAGGATACAAAAAGATTGGATAACGTGCCTGACATCAGGCAAAAATTGAGAACTGGGCTTAATTTTTCAAGTGGTCTATCCTGTACTTACCACAACAACCTTATCTTTTTAAAAAGTAAAACGTCAGTACCTGGCAGTGTGATATTGGCAAAAATAGGCTGTCCGTCAACATTGAGAGATGGCACAAATAATTCAGTTTGGTTAACCAGAAGCCCATCGTGTGTCCCTGCATCTCTGAAGAGCCAAAGGTGACCTATCGGGACAAGCAAAGGTTGTTAAAGAGCCACACCGGTGGCTGGGCACGGTGGCCCACACCTGTAATCCCAGCACTTTGGGAGGCCGAGGCAGGCGGATCATGAGGTCAGGAGATCAAGACCGTCCTGGCTAACGTGGTGAAACCTCGTCTCTACTAAAAATACAAAAAAATTAGCCAGGTGTGGTGGCGAGCGCCTGTAGTCCCAGCTACTCGGGAGGCTGAGGCAGGAGAATGGTGTGAACCCAGGAGGTGGAGCTTGCCGTGAGCCGAGATCGCGCCACTGCACTCCAGCCTGGGTGACAGAGCAAGACTCCGTCTCCAAAAAAAAAAAAAAAAAGAGCCAGACTGGTCTGAGTCAGGGCACCTATTTTCTCCATTTCCCCTGACCTACACAAAAAGCTTACCTCTCACTCTGCTTAAATATTATACAAAGCCCTTCTAGTAACATTATCTCAGTCAGTCCTCACAACAGATCCATTTACAGATGAGAAAACAAGTCTGAGAGAAGTGACATGCTCAAGGTATAAGACAGTAAGCAAAGAGCGCGTACTTAAAGCTCTCAATCCCATGCCCTTTCTGCTACCATGGTGGAAAAGGGAAGCCTAGGTCAAGTACGTGATTACAAATCACAGCAAACCCTGCAAACTAAAGAGAAAAAGCCACTGACTTCTCAAATCAGTGCTTCTCAAAAACAAGGAAGTGCAAAAACATGTCGAGAGAAAACTCATCAAACCCTAAGATCTGTGCATTTTACTGTATGTAAATTATACCAGAATTTTCTTTTCTTTTTCTTTTTTTTTTTTTTGAGATGCAGTCTTGCTCTGTCGCCCAGGCTGGAGTGCAGTGGCACGATCTCGGCTCACTGCAAGCTCCGCCTCCCAGGTTTATGCCATTCTCCTGCCACAGCCTCCCAAATAGCTGGGACCACAGGTGCCCGCCACCACGCCCGGCTAATTTTTTGTTATTTTCAGTAGAGACAGGGTTTCACCGTATTAGCCAGGATGGTCTCAATCTCCTGATCTTATGATCCGCCCGCCTCGGCCTCCCAAAGTGCTGGGATTACAGGAGTGAGCCACTGCGCCTGGCCCAGAATTTTCAAAATGCATACATCACAAACAAAAGAGGGCAGGAAGCAATCCTCCAGCCCTAAGATTCTGTTTAAGGAAGGAGGAGGTTGTCTTAGAATAAATATAGCACTTGTTCCTCGGGGCATAAATTTACTTACAGATTTGATGGGAAATTTTAAGAAATGTAAACTTGTAATTTTTTAAATTTTGGTAAAATATACATAAAAGTTACCATTTTATTTATTATTTAGAGATGGAGTCTTGCTCTGTTGCCCAGGCTGGAGTGTAGTGGTGTGATCTTGGCTCACTGCCACCTCCGCCTCCCAGGTTCAAGCAATTCTCCTGCCTCAGCCTCCCGAGTAGCTGGGACTAAACAGGCGCATGCCACCACATGCAGCTAACTTTTGTATTTTTAGCAGAGACAGGGTTCCACCATATTGGTCAGGCTGGTCTTGAACTCCTGACCTCAGGTGGATCTACCTGCCTCAAACATTTACCATTTTAACCATTTTTAAATGTACAATTCAGTGCATTAAGTACCTTCAAAAGTAATGTTATTTTCTTTTTTTAAGACGAGGTCTCTATGGGTGCAGCACACCAACATGGCACATGTATACATATGTAACAAACCTGCACGTTGTGCACATGTACCCTAGAACTTAAAGTATAATAAAAAATTTTAAAAAAATAAAAAAGAGATGAGGTCTCAGCCTGGGCAACATAGCAAGACCTCATCTCTACTAAAAATAAAAATAAAAAAAGAAATTAGCCAGACATAGTGGAGCATGCCTATAGTCCCAGCTACTTTGGGAAGCTGAAGCTCTGGGAGGACTGCTTGAGCCCAGGTTAAGGGTGCAATGAGCCGTGATCATGCCACCAAACTCCAGCCTCCACACTCCAGCCCAGGCAACAGCAGGACATCCTGTCTCAAAAAAAAAAAAAAAAAAGACAAGATAGAGAGACAGGGTCTTGCTGTGTTACCAGACTAGAGTACAGCAACTATTCAGAGGCACCATCATAGTTCACTGTAGCCTCCAACTCCTGGGTTCGGGTGATCTTCCTGCCTCAGCTTCCCAAGTAGCTGGGACTAAAGGCAGGAATGTGCCCTGCTAATTTTTCAAGAATTTTTTTTTTTTTTAAATACAGACAGGGTCTCACTATGTTGCACAGGCTGGTCTCCAGCTCCTGGGCTCAAGAAATCCTCCTGCCTCAGCCTCCCAAAGTGCTGAGATCACAGGCATGAGCCACTGCACCCAGGCTCAGTAAATTTTTATATTAAATCGGGCACAGAAAAATTTTGGAGTAAAATACAAAATTCATACAATTTCCTATATAAAATAGGAGCCTACAGAAATGTTGATCCCTGGAAATACTGTGTTCTTCATCTAACATTAGAAGTCTGGTGTAAAAGTGTATTAAGTACACCACCCTCAAGGAAGAAAGATCGGGATCCTTGCAAAAATCCTTTGTAAAGATTAAGTGACACTAGGACTACTTCTCTGCTTAAAGGCCATGGCAAGATTACTGCCTGCACCTTAGGTAAGGCCTAGTTATTCCTCACCTGGGTTTTCACAACTACCTAACTGCTTCCTCGACAGCAGTCTTTCCCCTCCAAACCACTTGGCAACCTGGGTGAGCTTTTCAGTATATAAATCTGACAATGTCATGTCCCTGCTTAAAAACTTTCGGTCGGACGTTGTGGCCGAAATCCCAGCACGCCTGTAATCCCAGCACTTTGGGAGGCCGAAGCAGGCAGATCACGAGCGCAGGAGATGGAGACCATCCTGGCCAACATGGTGAAACCCTGTCTCTACTAAGAATACAAAAAATTAGCTGGGAATGGTAGTGCGTGCCTGTAATCCCAGTTACTTGGGAGGCTGAGGCAGGAGAATCGCTTGAACCAGGGAGTCGGAGATTGCAGTGAGCCAAGATTGTGCAACAGCACTCCAGTCTGGCGACAGATCCAGACTCCAACTCAAAAATATATATACATAAATACTGAAAAACTTTCAAAGGGCTGGGCGCAGTGGCTTACACCTGTAATCTCAGCACTTTGGGAGGCCAAGGCGGGTGGATCATCTGAGGTCAGGAGTTCGAGACCAGCCTGGCCAAAATGACGAAACCCCCGTCTCTACTAAAAAAAAAATTAGCCAGGAGTGGTGGCGCACGCCTGTAATCCCCGCTCCTCGGGAGGCTGAGGCAAGAGAACCACTTGACCCCAGGTGGCAGATGTTGCAATGAGCCGCAATCGCGCCACTGCATTCTAGCGTGGGCCACTGCACTCCAGCTTGCAGAGCAAGACTCCCGTCTCAAAAAAAAAAAAAAATTTCAGTGCCCCCATATTCCTAGGGGTAAAATCACCTTTTAAGCATCCTCTCCCAAGACTCCAGGTCTCAACGCACGCATGTCTAGAACCTCTTACCTAGGGTTGGCTAGTTCCTACTCCATCCTGCTCTCTTCCTTCTCCGGGAAGTGCTCCTTAACTGAAACCACACAACCGCAACCCCTCCATCTCCCAGCAGGCAGGTAAGTCAATTTCCCACGCCACACACGGTCGGCTCTTCCGGCGCCAACATGACCCTGGCTTGTTCCTGTCTTTGCATCTGTCAGTCTCCCCAGGAGGAATGTGTTCTCCACGAGGGCAGGGACTACGCAGAACTGGCCCACTGGAGTCATGAGGACTGAACAGATGGGGTGTTAAGGATGCAGCTTTTCTTTGAGGGGAAAATACACGTGGGGTGGGGGACTGGGGGGAGCCACCTTCAAATGCAAACTATTCGGCCTTATAAAGAATGCTCTGGGCCGGGCGCGGAGGCTCATGCCCATAAGCCCAGCACTTTGGGAGGCCGAGGCGGGCGGATCACGAGGTCAGCAGTTCGAGACCAGCCTGACCAACATGGTGAAACCCCGTCTCTACTAAAAATATAAAAATCAGCCGGGCGCGGTGGCGCACGCCTGTAATCCCAGCTACTCAGGAGGCTGAGGCAGGAGAATCGCTTGAACCCGGGAGGCGGAGGCTGCAGTGAGTCGAGATCGCGCCACTGCACTCCAGCCTGGGCGACAGAGCGAGACTCCGTCTCAGAAAAAAAAAAAAAAAAAAAAGAATGCTCTGACGCTTACGAGCAGCGTCACCCTGGATGTGTCCTGCCTCAAGGGGCCTCAGTTCCCCGTCTGCAAAATGGACCCCGGGGCGGTAGAGGGGCTTCAGACCGTGCTATCGTCCCTGCTGGGTCGGGCCTAAGCGCCGGGCCCGTACCTCGGTAGCTGTGGATGCGGCGGCCCGTGCCAGGCGGCAGCGTTGGGTAGGGCTGCGGCTCGCCGTCGAAGTTGAGCCATACGGGCAGCACGACGCGCGGACTGCGATTGCAGAAGATGACCTGGGAGGGCTCGCGCGAGTTCACCGAGCGCAGCACGGGCCGCGGCCGCCCGGCCTCCATCTCCTCCTCGGCGCCCAGTTCCTCCGGGCCGGACTCTTCCGGGCCGGACTCCTCGGCGCCCGACTCCTCCCCGCCGTCTTCTTCAGGGCCGTACTCTTCGACGCCTGCCTCCTCCGCGCCTACCTCGGCCTCGTCCCAGTTCTCCGCCCTCCGGGGCATTCCCTCCGCGATCCAGACCACCCGGGCCGGACGCCGCGGGATCCGCGGGTCGGACGCGGGGCGGAGCTGCGTGCGCGCTCCCGAGTCGACCTCCGTAGTCTTCGCGCGCGCTCGGTAGAGGATGGAACGCGCTCGCGGAAATAGCCGGCCGGAGGCTGTGCGCGTGCGCAGAAGGATCCTCCAGCACCGTAGGCCGTTGTAACGGAGGCGAGGCTAGGCCAACTCGTTACTGTATTTCCACTATAAAATTTTTTTTCGCCCCTCTAAGGTTTGGTGTTTTTTTTTTTTTTGAGACAGGGTCTCACTCTGTCGCCCGGGCTGGAGTGCAGTGGCGCGAGCTTGGCTCACTGCAGCCTTGACCTCCCTGGCTCAAGCGATCGTCTCGCCTCAGCCTCCCGAGTAGTTGGTACTGTAGGCGCGCACCACCATGCCCGACTAATTATTTTTATTTGTTGTTTGAAACGGAGTCTCGCTATGTTGCCTAGGCTGGTCTCGAACTCCTGGGTTCAAGTGATCCTCCTGCCTTGGCCTCTCAAAGTGCAGGGATTACAGGCCTTAGCCACTGTGCCTGGTGGACTAACTGAATTTTTTTTTTCTTCATGTCAGACGCGCAATGTGCCGACGTCGTAACAAGGTTCGAGGGTGGCGCATCTCACACGGGAACACCCAATCATCACGCTTATAAAGTACAAAAAGTCAACTAACTGAATTCTTACAAGGCATGGGTGATTAGTAAAGAGGGAAAAATAATTAGACCTACTATGTGCAGAGCACTCTGGTGGAAATTGGAAAATCAGATATTTACTTCAGAGCAATTAAAACTACAAACATAAACACTCATTAACTTTGTTCATTTTACAAATATTTATTAAGGCCCTACTATGTACCACCTATGGTGATAAGTGTTGAAAATATTGTAAAAACCGGTCATGTTTCCTGCCTTCACTGCACTTCAATAAAAGCGTCATACGGTAATCAATCACACAAATAAAATAGCAACTATGGCCGGGTGCAGTGGCTCATGCCTGTAATCCCAGTACTTTGGGAGGCTGAAGTGGGCTGATCACAAGGTCAGGAGTTCTAGACCAGCCTGACAACATGGTGAAACCTCGTCTCTACTAAAAATACAAAAATTAGCCTGGCGTGGTGGTGCGCGCATGTAATCCCAGCTACTTAGGAGGCTGAGGCAGGAGAATTGCTTGAACCCGGGAGGCGGAGGTTGCAGTGAGCTGAGATTGTGCTACTGCACTGCAGCCTGGGTGACAGAATGAGACTCTGTCTCAAAAAAAAAAAAAAAAAAAGTGCAACTGTGACTAGTACGACAAAAAGAGACAGGGTACTATAGAAGGCTAAAGATCTGGGGGTCAAGGAAGATGGTACACAATTCTGTGTAATTAAATGTTCAATGATGTGGGATGGACTCAAGTGGAGAAGCAGCTCAGAAAAAGAAGGGTTCAGAGAGTTTTATATTAGTTAAAAATAATTTTTTTTTAGACAGTCTCGCTTTATCACCCAGGCTGGAGTGCAGTGGCTCAGTCTCAGCTCACTGCAACCTCCATCTGCCGAGTTCAAGTGATTATCGTGCCTCAGCCTCTGGAGTAGCTGGGATTACAGGTGTGTGCCACCACACCCAGGTAATTTTTGTACTTTTAGTAGAGACGGGGTTTCACCATGTTTGCCAGGCTGGTCTTGAACTCCTCACCTCAGGTAATCTGCCTGCCTTGGTTTTCCCAAGTGCTGGGATTACAGGTGTGAGCCACCGTGCCCAGCTCAAAAATAAATTTCAAGTAGAAAGAAAAAAATCTATCAAGTGCCAGACACTGTGCTAAGCATCCCACGTGAATTAAGGCTATGTCATTATCTCCATTTCACAGCTAAGGAAACAGAAGGGTATATAAGAATGTGAAGGCCTAGCACTATACGCCTGTAATCCCGAGATTTTGGGAGCCCAAGGCAGGTGGATCACTTGAGTTCAGGAGTTGGAACCAGCCTGGGCAACATAGCGAGGTCCTGTCTCTATAAAAAATGAAAGAATTAGCCAGGCATAGTGGCGTGCACCTGTAGTCCCAGCTACTCAGGAGGCTGAAGCAGGAGGATCACTTGAGCCTGGGAGGTTGAGGCTGCAGTAAGCCGTGATCATGCCACTGCACTCCAGCCTGGGCAACAGAGCCAGACTCTGTCTCAGAAAAAAAAAAAAATGTGAAAAGGGTAGTCAAAATGCTGGATCAGAGAGGCTCATCACCTGATGCCTTAGGAGAAAATGACAGTATGAGTGAACCTCAGGAGTTGGATATCTCCACAAAAGCACTGACACCATGAACCTAAGTAATTTTGCCTAGGGCTCTCCTTGACAGCTCACTGCACAGAGATGGTGTATCCTGGTGGCCTCCAGCAGGATTAAGTGACCAGCAGTGATGCTGGACCCCCAGCTACATTAACAACATGAAAACACTGTAGAGAAAAATCCCAAAGTAGGCCAGACGCAGTGGCTCATGCCTGTAATCCCAGCACTTTGGGAGGCCAAGGTGAGCAGATCACTTGAGGTCAGGAGTTTGTGACCAGCCTGGCCGACATGGTGAAATCCCATCTCTACTAAAAATACAAAAAATTAGCCAGCATGGTGGCCTGCGCCTGTAATCCCAGCTACTCGGGATGCTGAGGCAGGAGAATCACTTAAACCCCAGAGGCAGAGGTTGCAGTGAGCCCAGATAGCACCACTGCACTCCAGCCTGGGCAACAGAGTGAGACTCCACTCAAAAAATAAATAAATAATAAAAATAAGATAAACCCCAAAGTAGGACTTCTGTTAATCAAATTACAATGGCTTAGAGCCATCATAATTCACAAGATTCATGCAAACATCCCCTCAGTTGTACTCCCATGCTAGCGAGGTGAAATATAACAGTTTAATATTACAGAAATGCCTACATCCCTAAAATGAAACCAGTTGTTTAGATAAATGCAGGCTTTGAGACTGCAAATAATGTTTCAAAGATCATTTAAGAGGAAGGGGTGGCCAAGCACGGTGGCTTGTGCCTGTAATCCCGGCACTTTGGGAGGCCGAGGTGGGCGGATAACTTGAGCTGAGGAGCTCGACACTAGGCTGGGCGACATGATGAAATCCTGTCTCTACAAAAAATACAAAAAATTAGCCGGGCGTGGGTGCACCTGTAGTCCCAGCTGCTCAGGAGGCTGAGGCTGGAGGATCACCTGAGCTCAGGAAGGTCAAGGCTGCAGTGAACTGTGATCGCGACACTGCACTTTAGCCTGGGTAACAGAGCGAGACTCTGTCTCAAAAAAGAAAAAAGAAAAGAAAAAGTTGCAAAGGAAACAAGTTTAGAATACACAGGCAAAATTTTTCTTACAGTACACTTTTCATTAGGCAAAAAGACATGTAGAAAAGAATAAAAAATACAATGTCTAAAGACAACCGGTGGGCCGGGCGCAGTGGCTCACGCCTGTAATCCCAGCACTTTGTGAGGCCAAAGCAAGTGGATCACGAGGTCAAGAGATCAAGACCATCCTGGCTAACCCAGTGAAACCCTGTCTCCACTAAAAATACAAAAACAAAATTAGCCGGGCATGGTGGTGGGCGCCTGTAGTCCCAGCTACTCGGGAGGCTGAGGCGGGAGAATGGCATGAACCCGAGAGGCAGAGCTTGCAGTAAGCGGAGATGGCGCCACCGGACTCCAGCCTGGGCGACAGAGCGAGACTCCGTTTCAATAAATAAATAAAGACAACTGGTGACTTGTTCTATCTCCTTTTCTGTCTTTTCCAAATTTTCTCTAAGGGGGATATATTTTGCCTTGTTTGTATGTCGACCAATTAAAATATACAAGTACAATAATAAAGCAAATACTGATAATGTCACATGTAATTAGCATGTTGCCATATTTACTTCGTTTCCAGTTTTTGCAATGAGCTGAGATCGTGCCACTGCACTCCAGCCTGGGCGACAAAGCGAGACTCTGTCTCAAGAAAAAAAAAAAAACCAGAGTATCTTGTCACCCCCAAAACTCCTTCATGGTCAAACCCTGCTTCCACTGTTAATCCCTGGCAAGCACTGGTCTGTCTGTCTTGTGTCCCTATAGTTTTGCCTTTCCAGAATGTCACACAACAAAATCGTATCATATGTAGCCTTATGAGTTTGGCTTTTTTTCACTTAGCATAATGCATTTGAGATTCATCCAAGTTGTAGTATATAATAACTTACTCATTTTTATTGCCAAGGGTATTCCATACTATCTACTTACCAACTGCAAGATATTGGTTTGTTTCCAGTTTTTAGCAATTATAAAGTTGCTATATACATTAGTGTACAGGTTTCTTGCAAACATAAGTTTTGTTTCTCTTGGGTGAGAATCACCTAGGAGATTGCTAGGTCAAACACAAAGTACATGTTTAACTTCATGAGAAATTGCTAACCTGTTTCCCCAGAGCAGTTGTATCATTTTGCATTCTCACCAGCAATGTATGACTGTTCCAGTTGCTCCACATTCTTGTCTACAGTTGGTATTATCAGATTTGAGGTTTTGTTCTTTTTTTTTTTTTTGAGACAGTCTCGCTCTGCCGCCCAGGCTGGAGTACAGTGGCACAATCTCGGCTCACTGCAACCTCCACCTCCGGGGTTCATGTCATTCTCCTGCCTCAGCCTCCCAAGTAGCTGGGGCTACAGGCGCCCGCCACCACGCCCAGCTAACTTTTCGTATCTTTAGTAGAGACGGGGTTTCACCGTGTTAGCCAGGATGGTCTCGATCTCCTGACCTTGTGATCCGCCCACCTCGGCCTCCCAAAGTGCTGGGATTACAAGCGTGAGCCACCGCGCCTGGCCTGGGGTTTTGTTCTTTAAAAATAAAAAAATTTTAGCCATTCTAATTGATGTATAGTGGTATCTTATTGACGTTTAATTTGTACTTCTGAGAGGTGACAATGTGCTGGCAGCCCTCGCGGCCCTCGCTCACTCTCGGCACCTCCTTGGCCTTGGCCACCACTCTGGCCACGCTTGAGGAGCTGTCCAGCATGCGGCTGCACTGTGGGAGCCCCTTTCTGGGCTGGCCAAGGCCAGAGCCGGCTCCCTCAGCTTGCAGGGAGGTGTGGAGGGAGAGGTGCGGGCGGGAACCGGGGCTGCCGTGGCGCTTGTGGGCTAGCACAAGTTCCGGGTGGGCGTGGGCTCAGCCGGCCTGCAAGCCCAGGGCAGTGAGGGGCTTATCACCTGGGCCAGCAGCTGCTGTGCTCAATTTCTCGCAGGGCCTTAGCTGCCTCCCAGCCGGGCAGGGCCCAGGAGCTGCAGCCCGCCATGCCTGAGCCTCCCCCCTCTTCCGTGGGCTCCTGTGCCACCCGAGCCTCCCCGACGAGCGCCACCCCCTGCTCCACTGCGCCCAGTCCCATCAACCACCTGAGGGCTGAGGAGTGCAGGTGCAGGGTGCGGGACTGGCAGGCAGCTCCACCTGCGCCCCGGTGCAGGATCCACTGGGTGAAGCCAGCTGGGCTCCTAAGTCTGGTGGGGACTTGGAGAACCTTTATGTCTAGGTAAGGGATTGTAAATACACCAATTGGCACTCTGTATCTAGCTCAAGGTTTGTAAACACACCAATCAGCACCCTGTGTCTAGCTCAGGGTTTGTGAATGCACCAATCGACACTCTGTATCTAGCTACTCTGGTGGGGACTTGGAGAACCTTTGTGTTTAGCTCAGGGATTGTAAACACACCAATCAGCACCCTGTCAAAACGGACCAATCAGCTCTCTGTAAAATGGACCAATGGGCTCTCTGTAAAATGGACCAATCAGCAGGATGTGGGTGGGGCCAGGTAAGAGAATAAAAGCAGGCTGCCAGAGCTAGCAGTGGCAACCCGGTTGGGTCCATTTGTATGTCGTGAGAGGTTTGTTCTTTTAGTCGTTGCGGTAAATATTGTTATTGCTTACTCTTTGGGTCCGCATTGCCTTTGTGAGCTGTAACGCTCACCGTGAAGGTCTGCTGAAGCCAGCAAGACCACGAACCCACTTGGAGGAACCAAAAACTCTAGATGCAGTGCTTTAAAAGCTGTAATACTCGCGGTGGTCTGCAGCTTCACTCCTGAGCCAGCAAGACCACGCAGCCACCAGAAGGAACAAACTCTGAACACATCCGAACATCAGAAGGAACAAACTCTGGACACGCCACCTTTGAGAACTGTAACACTCACCGCAAGGGTCTGCAGCTTCATTCTTGAAGTCAGTGAGACCAAGAACCCACCAATTCTGGACACACTTCTCTAGTGACTAACAATGTTGAGCATCTTTTCATGAGCTTGTTTGCCATTAAAAAATAATCAAGCTGGCCAAGTGCAGTGGCTCACGTCTGTTAATCCCAGCACTTTGGGAGACCCAGGTGGGAGGATTGCTTGAGCCCAGAGTTCAGGACCAGCCTGGGCAACACAGTGAGACCCTATCTCTATTTTGTAAAATAATTAAAAATTTAAAAAATAAAGCTAATGTATTTATTACTTCAGTTTTTTTGTGGTGAGAACATTTAAGATCTACTCTTTTGGCTGGGCACGGTGGCTCATGCCTGTAAGCCCAGCACTTTGGGAGGCCAAGGTAGGCAGATCATCTGAGGTCTGGAGTTCGAGACCAGCTTGGCCAACATGGTGAAACCCTGTCTCTACTAAAAATACAAAAATTAGCCAGGCATGGTGGTGGGTGCTTGTAGTCCCAGCTACGCGGGGGGCTGAGGCAGGAGAATCGCTTGAACCCAGTGTCAGAATTAAAGGAGAGAAACATGAAGGGTGGGTTGACAGTCAACAGGTTTATTTCAAACCTGGGAGGGATTTCTGACCAAGTTAGGTCAGAAGCTGCACAATCTTACAGAGTTTTTAAGGATTCAGGGTGGGAGAGTTTATCAGAGGCTTCGACTGCTTCTGTGTCTCTTCGTTGTGCTTACCTGGGCGGGAGAGTTGTCTGTTCCCGTACATCTTTCTGCAGCTGCAGGCATGTCCCCTGAGTCTGCTTTTAGCTTCCCTATCTTAGTGCACCTGAGGGAAAGAAATGTGCCTATTAAGGCCCACTGTTTTACTGGGGCACATTGTATGAGGGTGAAGTTTGGCAGTTACCCAGTTACCCAAGTAGGGGGAAAGTAGACTTTCCCCCTACTTCCCTCTGTGCCCAAGCTGTCTTATCTGTGTTTTACTGTCTGCTCTTTCTGGCTGCTTGTGGTTAGAAGAGAAGTGATTTCCTTGAAATGTATGAGGCTAGAAAGGGAGCTGGAACTTAAAGTGGTGGTGTTTGTCCAAGATGACAGTGCTCCTGCTCTGTCACCCAGGAGGCAGAGGTTGCAGTGAGTCGAGATCGCACCACTGCACTCCAGCCTGGGTGACAGAGCAAGACCCCGTCTTAGAAAAAAAAAAAAAACTACACTCTTAACAATTTTCAAATATACATTATTTATTAACTATAGTCATCATGCTGTATAACAGATGTCCAGAATATATTCCTCCCAACCAAAAGGGTGACTCGTACCCTTTGACCAATATCTCCCTGTTTCATCTCAACTCCCCTGGCCCTGGCAACCACCATTGTACTGCCTGCTTTTGTGAGTTCAACGTATTTTATTGATCGATTAATTGATTGAGACGGAGTTTCGCTCTTGTTGCCCAGGCTGGAGTGCAATGGTGCGATCTCGGCTCACCACAACCTCCGCCTCCCGGGTTTAGGCGATTCTCCTGCCTCAGCCTCCAGAGTAACTGGGATTACAGGCGCCCACCACTGCGCCCGGCTAATTTTGTATTTTTAGTAGAGATGGGGTTTTGCCATGTTGGCCAGGCTGGTCTCAAATTCCTGATCTCAAGTGATCTGCCCGTCTTGGCCTCCCAATGTGCTGGGATTACAGGCATGAGCCACCGCACCCAGCGCACATTTTCTTTATCCATTCGTCTGGCAATGGACACTTGATTCCATAGTGTGGCTATTGTGAATAGTGCTGCAATGAACATGGGAGTGCAGATATCTCTTCAAAATACTGATTTTCATTTCCTATGTATATATACCCAGAAGTGAGATTGTTGGATCACATGGTAATTCCATTTTTAGTTTTTCCAGGAACCTCCAAACTGTTTGCCATAATGGCTGTACTAATATACATTCCCACCAAGAACCTGGGAGGGTTCTGTTTTCTCCACGTCCTCACCAACACTTATCTTTTGGCCATTTAATGTCTTCTGTTGAGAAATGTCTACTTAGGTCCTTTGCCCATTTTAAAATCGTTTCCTTGCTATTGAGGTCCTTATATATTTTGAATATTAACTCCTTATTGGATGTATGATTTGCAAATGTTTTCTCCCATTCTGTAAACTGCCTTTTCACTGTTTTTTTACTTCTTCTCACATCAGATGGGCAATGTGTTGACATCATAACAAGGTTTGAGGGAGGCACACCTCACACATGAACATGAAAACCCACTCATCATGCTTATGAACTATGAAAAACTCTGTTGTATTTTGTTTGCCATTCTTGTTTTTTTTTTTTTTTTTTTTTTTTTTTTTGAGACAGACTCTCACTCTGTCGCCCAGGCTGGAGAGTAGTGGCGCAACCTCCGCCTCCCAGGTTCAAGTGATTTTCCTGCCTCAGCCTCCTGAGTAGCTGGGACTATAGATGTGCACCACCACAACTGGCCTAGTTTTATATTTTTAGTAGAGACGGAGTTTAGCCATGTTGGCCAGGCTGATGTCGAACTTCTGAACTCAGGTGATCCACCCGCCTTGGCTTCCCAAAGTGCTTGGATTACAGGTGTGAGCCACCGGGCTCAGCCTGTTTTTTGTCTTCAAGGTGTCAGTTCAAATATTTCGTCCATTTATTTAGCTGTTTTCTTACTGCTGAGTTTTAATAGTTCTTTATATATTTATTCAGGCCAATTGTTAATGCTTTTCAAATGCATGTGTATGTCCATAATGTATATGTGGTGATATATTACTTTTACAATGGTAAACAAACAAAAATAACAACAGCAACAAAAACCCAAACATCATTTCCATGTACAATACAATTTTGGCCTATGGTATCTTTATCATGCAGTGAAGTTGATACCACATTGCTCCTTTGTGTATGTTGTGTTTTCCTGAGGTTTTTCTGCAAATGTCATTCTAGTGTCTTTTGCTTTGAGAACATACAGTGAATAAATGACTATACTATAAGCTCCTTAAGAGTAGAAACTGTCTGTTTCTCATTTTATCTCCAGTGCCTCACACATAATAGACATACAATGTATTTAATGCTAATAAACAACTTCTTAGGCAAAATGTTTGTGAAAGCCACACTGAAGCATTTATCATTTATTGAATTGAAACATTTCATTTCATTTATTCATTTATTGAGACAGGGTCTTGCTCTGTCACCCAGGCTGAAGTTCAGTGGTGTGATCTTGGCTCACTACAGCCATGACCTCCTGGGCCTAGGTGATCCTCCCACCTCAGCCCCATGAGTAACTGGGACTACAGGCATGCACCACCACACCCGCCTAATTGTGTTTATTTTTTGTGGTGGCGGTCTCTCTGGGTTGCCCAGTTTGTCCTCAAAACTCCTGGGCTCAAGCAATCTTCCCATCTCAGCCTCCCAGAGTAATGGGATTACACGCATAAGCCACCACACCTATCCAATAAAATTATTTTTTTAAAAACTGTTATGGTTGGAAAATGCAGCTGAGGCACAATACAAACTTCACGCTTGATAGTCGTAGCAAGCTCAAAGGAGCCAAAGATAACTTTGTCCTAAATGCAAATGTTGATGCCAATGGATACCACCACTTAGATAAATGTAACGAACAATTGCTTTTTTGCACTCTCAAGGTATCAGTGAGATCCAGGGAGAGGCTAATAGAGGGCCGGTATGGTACAGAAAACACAAAACTTATTTATGAGACTCTGAGTGGCTCTGCACTGACCTGGGAATAAGGTTTTAGTTTTGGCTTTGCCACCAGGATGGACATGTCTGTCACTCAACCTGTCTGGGTTTGCTTCTATATTCCTAGAATGGCAGGGGCAGACTAGATTATCTCTAAGATTCTTTCTCACCCTAATGTTCTGTGAGTTTTAATTCTTGCTAGTCCTAATCTTTTGCCAATTTAGTGCACAGGGTGACTTTACTTTTTTTTTTTTTTTTTTTTTTTTTTTTTTTAGCAGATACGGTGTCTCACTATGGTGCCCAGGCTGGTCTTAAACTCCTGGCCTCCAGTGATCCTCCAGGGTAACTTTTCATTAGAAAATAAACCAGCCGGGCACAGTGGCTCATGCCTGTAAGCCCAACACTTTGGGAGGCCAAGGCGGGAAGATTGCTTGAGCCCAGGAGTTTGAGACCAGCCTAAGCAGCATAGTGAGACCCTGTCTCTAAAAACAAAAAAAACAAATAAATAAAGAAAAATTAAATAAAGAAACCCCAGCCTGGCCAACCTGGTGAAACCCTGTCTCTACTAAAAATACAAAAATTAGCTGGGCCTGGTGGTGCATACCTGTAATCTCAGCTCTTCAGGAGGCTGAGGCATGAGAATCGCTTGAACCTGGGAGACAGAGGTTGCAGTGAACCAAGATTGCGCCACTGCACTCCAGCCTGGGTAACAAAGAAAGACCCTGTCTCAAAAAAAAAAACACAAAAAACAAACAACAACAACAACAAAACCTGAGAACTCTAAATCAGCCTTTCTTATTGTATAATCTAGTTGACAGTCATATGGCCTTTAGATGTTAGTTGTTGTTGTTGCTGTTATTATTGTTTTGAGACAGAATCCAGCTCTCTTGCCCAGGCTGGAGTGCAGTGGCATGACCTCAACTTGCTGCAAATTCCACCTCCAAGGTTCGAGCGATTCTTATGCCTCAGCCTCCCGAGTAGCTGGGATTACAGGCACACATCATCAAGCCTGGCTAATTTTTTTTTTTTTTTCATTTTTAGTAGAGATGGGGTTTCACCATATTGACCAGGCTGGTCTCGAACTCCTGACCTCAAGCGATCTGCCCACCTTGGCCTCCCAAAATGCTGGGATTACAGGTGTGAGCCACTGCACCCAGCCATGAAGTTTTGAACAATTATTTACGGCAGCAATTGTCTGCAAACTGCCAGAGCAAATTTTCTAAATCATATTATCCAGAGGCAACTGGGGGCCAACCTTTTTTGCAGGCAACAGCATGAATCTGAGTATAAATACTGGGAAAGAGCCTAGAGATGAACAACAGGCTTCCTGTCCCCACCACCATGTTTATTTGTTTATTTTTTCTATTTTTCTTTTTATTGTAGAGACAGGGTTTTGCTGTTGGCCAGGCTGGTGTTGAACTTCTGGCCTCAAGTGATCCATCCGCCACGGCCTCCCAAAGTGCTGGGAGGCATAAGCCTCAGCACCCAGCCCCCACACCATGTTTTTGAGATGGTGTCTCACTCTGTCACCAAGGCTGGAATGCAGTGGCATGATCATAGCTCACTGCAGCCTCGACCTTCTGGGCTCAAGCGATCCTCCTACTTCAGCCTTCCCAGTAGCTGGGACTATAGGCTTGTGCCACCACACCCTCCTAATTTAAAAACTGCTTTTATAGAGGGGGGTCGCACTATGTTGCCCAGGCTGGTCTCAAATTCCTGGGCTCAAGCAATTCTCCTGCCTCAGCCTCCCAAAGTGCTAGGACTATAGGTGTGAGTCACCACGCCTGGCCTGTACTCTACTTAGTGTGGCTTATAGTACGGGCTGAGTATTATCTGAAATGCTTGGGACCAGAGGTGTTTTGGATTTGGGATTTTTTCAGCATTTGGAAATCTGAAATACTTTTGGAACAACCTTATATACGTACTCATTGAGCATCCCTAATCCGAAATACAAAATGCTCCAATGAGCATTTCCTTTGAGTGCCATGTCAGTGCTCAAAAAGTTTTAGATTTTGAAGCATTTCAGATTTTCGGAGTGGGGATCATCAACCTGTAGTATACTTCTTTAGCTTGGTGAAATAAACATGGGTAGTTAAAGGTCTGAGTAGCAAGAGTGGAATGACAGAACTGGGTACTTCTGTAACGATCAGCCAGACAATAAGCTCCCTATTTTTTCCTGCTTCTGAAATCCACTTTAACCATGTTGGCCAGGATGGTCTCGATCTCTTGACCTCGTGATCCGCCCGCCTTGGCCTCCCAAAGTGCTGGGATTACAGGCGTGAGCCACAGCGCCCGGCCCAAGCTTAATTTTTAAAGACAGACTGAAAACTGCTTTATTATCAAGGGACTTGCAATCTATGCCTAATAGCTCATGGGTTCAAACCTCTTACTTTTCAGCTTTTCAGTAAATAAGTGAATTAAACCAAATTATAGGGTAAAAAACATTTCAAAGTATACAGGCATGAAGAGGTTCCCTTGAAGGTGCCTATGAATGGCTTAGAGGAAAATTTAAAATTTAGCTCATTTTCCACTCAAGATTTTTTTTTTTTAAGACAAGGTCGCACTCTGTTGCCCGGGATGGAGTGCAGTGGTGCAATCCCAGCTCACTGCAGCTTCCACCTCCTAGGCGAATTGCTTGAGCAATCCTACTTCAGCATCCTGAGTAGCTGGGACTACAGGTGCATGCCACCATGCCCAGTTAATTTTTGTATTTTTAGTGGAGATAGGGGTCTTGCCACATTGCCCAGGTTGGTCTCGAACTCTGTCTCAAAAAAAAAGGTAGATTAAAAAAATTATAATTAAAAAAATTATGATGAGTTGGCTGGACATAAAAAGAAAAAAAGAGCTGCCGGGCGCGGTGGCTTACACCTGTAATCCCAGCACTTTGGGAGGCTGAGGCAGGCAGATCACGAGGTCAGGAGATCAAGACCATCCTGGCTAATACAGTGAAACCCCGTCTCTACTAAAAATACAAAAAATTGGCCGGGCGTGGCGGCGTGTGCCTGTAGTCCCAGCTACTTGGAAGGCTGAGGCAGGAGAATCACTTGAACCCGGGAGGCGGAGGTTGCAGTGAGCCGCAATTGTGCCACAGCACTCCAGCCTGGCAGCAGAGCAAGGCTCTGTCTCAAAAAAAAAAAAAAAAAAGCTAACTAAAAAAATAGAAAAATTAAAAAAAAAAAATAAAGACGGGTCTCATTATGTTGCTGAGGCTTGTGCTGACCTCCTAGGCTCAAGCTGTCCTCCCACCTCAGCCTCCTGAGTAACTGGGATTACAGGCGCACACCACCACACCTAGCAGTATGGTACTATTAAGGGCACTAACTCGTTTAGAGCATATTATTTTAATAACAATAAATTAAGATTTTTTTTTTTTTGAGATGGAGTTTTGCTCTTGTTGCCCAGTCTGGAGTGCAGTGGTGCGATCTTGGCTCACTGCAAACTCTGCCTCCTGTGTTCAAGTGATTCTCCTACCTCAGCCCCTTAAGCAGCTGGGATTACAGGCAGGCACCACCATGCCTGGCTAATTTTTCTTGTATTTTTAGTAGAGATGGGTTTTCACCATGTTGGTCAGGCTGGTATCAAACTCCTGACCTCAAGTGATCCACCTGCCTCAGCCTCCCAAAATGCTGGGATTACAGGCATGAGCCACTGTGCCCAGCCAATTAATATCTAGAAGCCAATAAAAAACGTACTGAGCATTTTCACATGTAATGTCATAAAAAGAAGAGCTTTTTCTGCCTAGTATACCATCACTTTTGCCACTATTACTATATCATGCTGGTCCTTGCATATAGCAGGAACTCAATGCTTTTTTTTTAAGCACCTGTCTGCTATTAAATCCATGTGTCTTTTAAACTGACGGCACCAGATAACCTAAAACTTGAACTTTAGAACTACTTCTTTTTTTTTGAGACAGTCTCGCTTTGTCGCCCAGCAGGCTGGAGTGCGGTGGCGTGATCTCGGCTCACTGCAATCTCTGCAGGTTCAAGCAATTCTCTTACCTCAGCCTCCTGAGTGGCTGGGATTACAGGTGCCTGCGACCATACCCAGCTAATTTTTGTATTTTTAGTAGAGACCGGGTTTCGCCATGTTGGCCAGGCTGGTCTTGAACTCCTGACCTCAAGTGATCCACCCAGCCAAAGTGATGGGATTACAGGCATGAGCCACTGCACCTGGCCAAAGATGTTCGTTTCTATTCTAGGATGCACATGCTAAATCAGAGATAAATCCATATCAAGATCAAATCCAGAGCTGAAGCACAGTGTCAGCATGGTAGGATTGGGAGGAACTGAGAAGAGGAAAAGGGCAATACTAAATGAAAAAGTCAAGTCCAGGAGAACTTTCAGGGGGAAATTTGGCTTGAGGTAGACTTTTTTTTTTTTTTGAGATGGAGTCTCACTCTGTCGCCCAGGCTGGAGTGCAGTGGCGCGATCTCAGCTCACTGCAAGCTCCGCCTCCCGGGTTCAGGCCATTCTCCTGCCTCAGCCTCCCGAGTAGCTGGGACTACAGGTGCCCACCACCACTCCCAGCTAATTTTTTTTGTATCTTTTTTTAGTAGAGCTGGGGTTTCACCGTGTTAGCCAGGATGGTCTCGATCTCCTGACCTTGTGATCCACCCGCCTCAGCCTCCCAAAGTGCTGGGATTACAGGCCTGAGCCACTGAACCCGGCTATCTGCTTTTCAAAGAGTAGACACTTAGCTTGTGCCTTATAAAACTAATAATCTTCCTTGGATTGTGGCTAAATTGTGTGAATGCTGGTATTTCAAAAGACTGTAAGCATCATGTCTGATTCAATGCTGTATGTTTTATTGGAGTTTAACATGCCTACATAGTAAATACTTGGTAAATGTGCTGAATGACCAAATGATTCCCAAGATGAGCTAGTCAGCTGAAAGTCCAAACATGGGGACTTGGGCTGGTAAGCCACCTAGGCTTTGAATCAAACAGCTACATCTGAAAGTTTTATGTTAGAATAATAACGCCATGTATTACATTTCTGTGCAATAAGTGAACCCATCTCTAGCTCCTCTCCCCACCATAATCACAGCAGTCAGATAAAAAGTTGAGGAGTTTATTAGGGAAATATGAGAGGCATAGACACTCCAAGTGACAGAAAGAAAAGTCTGAAAATGTCCCTTCAAGCCAAGTGGGGGCCTGGCCTTGACCTCTCCAAATCAACAAGAAACTGGTGGGTTAGCAACAACATTCTCTGGCAGCCACATTGCCAGGGCATGAGTGTCTTGACCAGGACTGCCCCGCACTTCCCACCAAAGGTGGGGAGGAGACAAAGACTGTTCACAGAAGCAGTGCAAAGGCAATGAGAACTTTAAGGAAAGTTTGAGAGAGAGAGAAAGAAAGATAGAGGTGAGGAGGACCTTCACAAAGAGTCCCAGGCTTTTGGCTGTGAATGTCTCAAATACATTGACAAGTAGATGTATAAAATGTTACTGAAAAGGTAAAATGCCTAACGTCGTTTCCAACGGTTCCTCTGAACTTCTTCCCACATACCACACCACACCCCAGATGGCAGAGCCCAAAGGCCACACTTTTGAAAAAAGAAAAACAAGAATAAGCCCTGTTGCTCTTTAAGGAGAAAGGAAGGAGCTGAAGGCTGCTGGGGCCTTTCCCATGTGGCCTGTGTTGTGTAAAGCAACTTCCCAGCAGCAGCACGGCACTGTTCTAGGTGAGTGTCTCACCTTTTGTCACCTGTGAAAGGAAAGGAAAACTGACATTTAGATAAATTAAAAAAGATTAGAGGGGTCTAAAAAAAAATCTTTAGATCCTAGGCAGTGAGAAATAGCAGAAAAGAAGATAGCTGTGAAGTCACAGAAACATGGTTCAAATCCAGGCAACATGCTTAACTTTTCTCTTCTTTTGTTTTTTTGAGATGGAGTCTCACTCTGCCACCCAGGCTGGAGTGCAGTGGTGTGATCTCGGCTCACTGCAACCTCCACCTCCCAGGTTCAAGTAATTCTCCTGCCTCAGCCTCCCGAGTAGCTGGGACAACAGGTGTGAGCCACCATGCCTGGCTAATTTTTGTATTTTTAGTAGAGATGGGGTTTCACCATGTTGGCCAGGCTGGACTCGAACTCCTGACCTCAAGTGATCCACCTGTCTTGGCCTCCCAAAGTGCTGGGATTACAGGCGTGAGCCACCATGTCCGGCCAGTGCTTAAGTTTCCTAAGACTGTTTCTGCTTTCAGGTTTTTTTCAGCAATAAGTGGAAATGTGCATTCTCTCTGGAATGCCCTTGCCCATCAAACTCACCCGAGCTTCAATGTACTCTATTCTCCGTTCAAGGGCTGTCAATTTCTCGTTTAGTGTTGCAAGTCTTGAACGACAAGACATATCTGAGAAAAAGAGACTGGTGTTCAGGATTAATGTCACTCCAAACACAGACACAGACACACACAACACCTACAATGAAAAAGAGGAATAATACACAGAATACAAATGGAAATGGATACAGTGCTAAGATCCACTCATAGCACAGTTGCTTAGAGTGGATCTGCTGAACTTCCTATCAAGTGTTGCAAGTAGAGAATAACGGCCCCACAAAAACGTCCTTTCCTGCAGGGCACGGTGGCTCATGCCTGTAATCCTAGCACTTTGGGAGGACTAGGCGGGTGGATCACCTGAGGTCAAGAGTTCGGGACCAGCCTGGCCAACATCATGAAACCCTGTCTCTTACTAAAAATACAAAAATTAGCCAGGCATGATGGCACATGCCTGTAATCCCAGCTACTTAAGAGGCTGAGGCAGGAAAATCACTTGAACCGGGGGGGGCAAAGGTTGCAGTGAGCCAAGATCTCGCCACTTCACTCCAGCCTGGGTCAAACAGCAAAACTCTGTCTCAAAAAAAAGTCCTTTCTCTAATCCCTGGATCCTGTGAATATGGATTATACATGAGGAAACAGGGCTTTGCAGGTATGATTAAGGTTAAGAACCTTGAGATCCTAGAGTTTGTCTTGGATTGTCCATTTGGGCCCAATCTAATCATAGTCCACAAATGTAGGTGAGAAAGGCATAGGAAGGGGGTCAGAGATGAAATGGAAGAAGAAAAAGAGATTCCAAGTGTGAAGGGGATGCAATCTGCCATTGTTGGCTTTGAAAGTGGAAGAAGGGAGCCATGAACCAAGGGATGTAAGTGACCTTTAGAAGCTGGGAACAACTCTCAGCTCACAGCCAGCAACAAAACAGAGATCTCAGTCCTACAACCACGAGAAACTGAATTCTGCCAACAACCCAATATTCGAGGAACTAGACCCTCTCCTAGAGCCTCCAGAAAGGAAGGCAGTCCTGCTGAAACCCTGATTGGAGCCCAGGCCAGGAGCAGTGACTCATGCCTGTAATCCTAATACTTCAGAAGGCCAAGGTGTGAAGACTGCTGGCCAAGGTGTGAAGATTGCTAGCCCAGTGACCAGTGTTTGATTTATGACCTACACATGGTAAATAATAAATGTATGTGGTTTAAGCCACAAAATGTGTGGTAATTTGTTTTTTTGGTTTTTTTTTTTGAGATGGAGTCTCACTCTGTTTCCAGGCTGGAGTGCAGTGACGCAATCTTGGCTCACTGCCACCTCTGCCTCCCGGGTTCAAGCGATTCTCCTGCCTCAGCCTCCTAGGTAGCTGGGACTACAGGTGTGCGCCACCATGCCCAGCTAATTTTTTTTTTTTGTATTTTTAGTAGAGACGGGGTTTCACCATGTTGGCCAGGATTGTCTCAATCTCTTGTCCTCGTGATCCGCCCGCCTTGGCCTCCCAAAGTGCTGAGATTACAAGTGTGAGCCACTGTGCCCAGCCTGTGTGGTAATATGTTATGCCAGGAATAGCAAATGAATACACCAAGGCTGTACAGCCATTTACTAATGGCCTAACTAAGACTTTCAAGAGAGGGGACATGGCAAGAATAAGAAAATAATCTCAACAGGAAAGAAACGAGGCTGGGCGTGATGGCTCACGCCTGTAATCCCAGCACTTTGGGAAGCCAAGGTGGGCAGATCAACTGAGGTCAGAAGTTTGAGACCAGCCTGGCTAACATGGTGAAACCCCATCTCTACTAAAAATACAAAATTAGCTGGGTGTGGTGGCGGGTGCCTCTAGTCCCAGCTACTCGGGAGGCTGAGGCAGGAGAATCACTTGAACCTGGGAGGCGGAGGTTGCAGTGAGCTGGGATTGCACCACTGCACTGCAGCCTGGGTGACAGAGTGAGACTCCATCTCAAAAAAAAAAAAAAAAAAAAAGGCCAGGCACGGTGGCTCAGGCCTGTAATCCCAGCACTTTGTGAGGCCAAGGCAGTGGATCACGAGGTCAGGAGATGGAGACCATCCTGGCTAACACAATGAAACCCCGTCTCTATTAAAAATACAAAAAATTAGCCGGGTGTGGTGGCGGGCGCCTGTAATTCCAGCTATTCGGGAGGCTGAGGCAGAGAACTGCTTGAACCCGGGAGATGGAGGTAGCAGTGAGCCGAGATTGCACCACTGCACTCCAGCCTGGGAAACAGAGTGAGACTCCGTCTCAAAAAAAAAAAAAAAGGAAAGAAAGTAGAGGCCAAGAAAGCAGCAGAAATTATGGGGAGGGAAGGTGTGAGAGTTCTGAGCTCATTAAAGCCATGTCACTACTGTTGCTCCTAGAGGCAAAGGCCTTTCAGAACTAGAGAAAAGTTGGAGAGCATCAAATACCCGATAAAGCCCACATTCCATCTGTGAAAACAGCCAAAATTATTCTTCTTCCTCTAGCTTTTCCAATCTTCTTTTACCATCTCATTCAAAATGAAACCAGATTTAATTTAAAACAACTTTTTCTCTGCAAACTTCTGTAACAGGAACTATTCTTTTTCCAACTATTCTCAACATATGAGAGAAAAGGTATCTTAGCATGGTCATTATCTTCTACTCTCTCCTCCAACATTGTTGTTCAGTCATCTCTCAATAAACTTCAGTTTTCAAGTCTGAAATATTCGCTGAGACTCTCCCACGCAATGATTTAACACTTAGCTAACAAGTTTCCTTTTCATCTATTCCCTGGCTGTTTTGCAAAAGCGCTTCAGCATCCATTTTGACAAATCTTCCTACACCCTGATCTTGCCTCAACTTTCATCTTATTATGTCCAAATCTTACTCATCTTGCCTGCCTATCTCCTTCAAGGCTAAGTTCAAATTCTATCTCTGAGAGGTCTTGCCAGATGGACATAATAATTCTTCCTCTTCTGTATTTATCTAAACATTTACGGATGAATTTTTTTTTTTAAAAGAGACATGGTCTTGCTCTGTCACCCAGGCTAGAGTTCAGTGTTGCAATCATAGCTTACTGCACCCTCCAACTCCTAGGTTCAAGTGATCCTTCCACCTCAGCCTCCCGAGTAGCTGCAATTACTACTCAGTAGGTGGATGCCACTGTGCCTGGCTAATTTTTTTGTTTTTTGTTTTGGTAGATATGGGGGTCTCACTTTGTTGCCCAGGCTGATCTCAAACTCCTGAACTCAAGCAATCCACCTGCCTTGGCCTCTCAAAGTCCTAGGATTACAGGCGTGAGGCACCGTGCCAGCCTCTGAATTTCTAATTTGTAAGTTATTCATGTACTTGGTCTTTGGTTATGACTTCCCTCTTTGGATAAAGATTTTACAAATAAGAATGTGCATCACTACTATTTAAGATGGTGAAAAAGCAACAAAACCAAATGCCCATGATTGGAATGGTTTGATATAGCGTATTAATGAGACTATTAAAATAGCCATTGAAAGTTACAAGTGGCCAGGCGCGGTGGCTCATGCCTGTAATTCCAGCACTTTGGGAGGCCGAGGCGGGCGGATCACCTGAGGTCGGAGTTCAAGACAAACCTGACCAACATGGAGAAACCCCATACCTACTAAAAATACAAAAAAAAAAGAAATCCTGTCTCTACTAAAAATACAAAATTAGCTAAGCATGGTGGCGCACACCTGTAATCCCAGCTACTCTGGAGGCTGAGGCAGGAGAATGGTTTAAACCCAGGAGGCGGAGGTTGCAGAGAGTCAAGACTGCACCACTGCACTCCAGCCTGGGCAACAGAGCGAGACTCCATCTCAAAAAAAAAAAAAAAAAAAAAAAAAGTGGCCGGGTGCAGAGGCTCACGCCTGTAATCCCAGCACTTTGGGAAGCCGAGGTGGGTGGATCACCTGAGGCAGTGAGCCGAGATTGCACCATTGCACTCCAGCCTGGACAACAAGAGTGAAACTCTGTCTTAAAAAAAAAAAAAGTTTGAGGAATATTTAATGAAATAGGAAAATATTCATGTTACGAAACCAAATGATATTTATGTACTTGTAATTTACAATTTATTTACATGTCTGTTTCACCGTTAGAACAAGTTAATCAAAAGAAGTACATATTGCCTCTTGTAACCTTAGCATCTTGCCTGGTACATAGATGTTGACTGAAAAAAAAAAGATGGATTCTGGTATATTAGTGGAACAAAAGATTGACTCTAGTGTAACTCTATTCACCTTACAAGTGGGAAAACTGAGGTCTAGGTAAGCTGAGGGCCCATGTTGGGTCACTGGTATTCTTTCCCATACTGTGTGCATCCCAATGCACACTACTATCATCTTTCTGTGCCTCCGGGGCTATAATTTATACCCCAGGTCTCCAGCCCAACTCTGCCACTTTCCATTCTTTCACCTGCTTAAAGTATACAATTCAGTGGTTTTTAGTATACTTACAGAGTTGTGCAATAATTATAATCTACTTTTAGAATATTTTCATCATCCCCAAAAGATACCTTATACCTCTTAGTCCTGTCACTCCCCATTCTGTCACCCCTCAGTCCCTGGGAACCACTAATCTTTGTCTCTATGGATTTGCCATTTCTGGACATTCTTCATTCTTTTTACGCTTGTGCTGCTTGAATTCCCAGGTCTAGCTTAAGTATGATCACTTCAGCATCCCCCTTTTCCTGGATGTACTGCCACTTTCTGTCGGAACTGCCCAACAGGACCAAGCCTCTTTTCAGTCTGGTTTTTGGAAGTCTGAAAGCACGTTATGTATGCTACTGAGTAAGAGCATGAATATTATCTCTGACAACCTGCCATTTCCCATGAAGACATACGAAAATTATTGGGGGAGGTAGGAGAGAGGGAAGTTTCCTTCCTGGGTGGCTATTCTGTTCTAGCTGTCAATCTGGTAATGAATTAGAATTCAAGAACAATACTATGCTCCTGGCCTACATGGATAAACACTGTTGAGAAATAGAAAATGTTCAACTGCAGAAACCTTGGTCATATTTCAAATCCTAATAAGTATACGCTGGTTCAAATAAAAAACACTGAGAAAGCATTCAGCAGCTGGATAAATCTGAAACCAGAGCACAAGTATGTGTACATTATCACCAGCCTTTAACTGAAAATACCAGTTCTCGTTAGGAAACAAATGCTGTTATCAGACAGCTCCTTCTCTGAACTTAATGCATATAACTTCAGCATTACAAAAATCAATACTGTCAGGCCGGGCACGGTGGTTCACACCTGTAATCCCAGCACTTTGGGAGGCTGAGGTGGGCAGATCACTTGAGGTCAGGAGTTTGAGACCAGCCTGGCTAACATGGCAAAACCCCATCTCTACTACTAATACAAAAAGTAGCTGGGCATGGTTGTGTGTGCCTGTAATCCCAGCTATTTGGGAGGCTGAGGCAGGAGAATCAGTTGAACCCAAGAGGCAGAGGTTGCAGTGAGTCAAGATTGCACCACTGTACTCAAGCCTGGGCAACACAGCAAGACTCCATCTTAAAAAAAAAAAAAGAATTAGCCAGGCGTGGTGGCGCATGCCTGTAGTCCCAGCTACTCAGGAGGCTGAGGCAGAAGAATCGCTTGAACCCGGGAGGCGGAGGTTGCAGTGAGCCGAGATTGCACCACTGCACTCCAGCCTGGGCGACAGAATGAGACTCTGTCTCAAAAAAAAAACAAAAACTGTCTTTCTTTTGGAATGTTTTTGTAGTTAAGTCTTACTTTTCCAGCAAAATTCTGAATGTCTTAGGAGTGGGTATCATACCCATTTATTCATATTTATTCCTTTCTCACAGCATCTGACACACACCAGGCATGCTACATTTGTTGGCTCAGTACAAAAACCAAGATTTTAAAAAAACAGCCACATTCTCTATTTTGTCTTTATACTTCTCTGCATATATTACCTTTAGAACCAGAAAAAAATAGCATAAGAATAAAAAGCGATAATCTCTAACCATCTATTTTTAGAAACTTCACCAATTCCAAAGTGCAAAATAGGCCTAGTGTTATGATATTTTTGCTACATTACGATTTGTATGTCCTCAAGTTCACGTGGGAGACTGTGACTCTACTCTCACCAGCAGGAATCACAAGGTAAATGCTTTTCAGAAAGTCATTCACTATCTTAGAACAACAGTTCTCTCTCCAAAATACATGGCCCATGCAGATTCTCTGTGGTCAGGGTAAGGACTACAGAATTGCTAACATATTTGAAGAACTTCAGATGCTCCCTCAAAGTAAATTCTTTTTCTTTGAGAGAGAGTCTCACTCTGTCACCCAGGCTGGAGTACAGTGGCACGATCTTGGCTCACTGCAACCTTTGCCTCCAGGGTTCAAGTGATTCTCATGCCTCAGCCTCCCAGGTAGCTTGGAATTACAGGCATGAGACACCATGCCTGGCTAATTTTTGTATTTTTTATAGAGATGGGGTTTCGCCATATTGGCCAGGCTGGTCTCAAACTCCTGAGCTCAAGTGATTCACCTGCCTCGGCCTCCCAAAGTGCTGGGATTATAGGCATGAGCCACTGTGCCTGGCCTCAAAGTAAATTCTTTTTTTTTTTTTTTTTTGAGATGGAGTCTTGCTCTTTCGCCCAGGCAGGAGTGCAGTGGCGCGAGTGCAGAGCTTGCAGTGAGCCGAGATCGCACCACTGCACTCCAGGCAACAGAACAAGACTCCGTCTCAAAAAAACAAACAAAACAAACAAACAAAAAAAACCATTAGGAAAAGGAAATATATTTACTATTCATTAAATGGCAGTGGATCATCATAAAGGTCTTCATCCTCATTGTCTTCCTGCTGAGTAGGCTGAGGAAGAAGGGGAAGAAGAGAGGTTGGTTTTGCTACCTCATGGGTGGCAGAGGTGGAAGGGGAGGCAGGAGAGGTAGGCATACTGTATAACTTTTATCGCAATAAATCCACTTATGGCCAGGCACAGTGGCTCATGCCTGTAATCCCAGCACTTTGGGAGGTTGAACAGAGGTGGATCACTTGAGGCCAGGAGTTCAAGAGCAGCATGGCCAACATGGCGAATCCTGTCTCTACTAAAAATACAAATATTAGCCGGGCATGGTGGCACACACCTGTAGTCCCAGCTACTCAGGAAGCTAAGCCAAGAAAATCACTTGAACCTGGGAGATGGAGGTTGCAGTGAGCCGAGATCATGCCACTGCACTTCAGCCTAGGTGACAGAATGAAAATCTGTCTCAAAAAAAAAAATCTACCTGTAAATGGATCCATGCACTTCAAACATGTATTGTTCAAGGGACAATTGTACAAGCCTACTAATGGCTTAGGATGGGAAAAAAACATCCCATACATAGTCATCCTGACTCATTCAATACCAAGACAACATACTCAAGTCTATCCTTATAATTTAATTTATCCAGTTTCGCAGCCGGTGGGGTCTTTTTCTAAACTCTTGCATTGTGATAGTGTCAATCTTTTTTTTTTTTTTTTTTGGAGACAGAGTCTCGTCTTTTGCCCAAGCTGCAGTGCAGTGGCACGATCCCTGCTCACTGCAACCTCTGCCTCCCCGGTTCAAGCAATTCTCCTGCCTCAGCCTCCTGAGTAGCTGGGATTACAGGTGTGCAACACCATGCCCAGCTAATTTTGTATTTTTAGTAGAGACAGGGTTTCACCATGTTAGCCAGGCTGATCTCAAACTCGACCTCAGGTGATCTGCTCGCCTCAGCCTCCCCAAGTGCTGGGATTACAGGCATGAGCCACCATGCCAATCTTTAAGAACTTGCCTCAGGTACACCTAACTGCTAAGTCAAATTCCTTTGACTGTTAATCCTGCATTATAATTCTCTTCTTACTTAGTTGTATTTAATTGTTATTTTCTCTAAATTCACTTTCTAAAATCTTTAAAAACCACCTAGTAATTACTCCAAACATTTGGCCATTATCATCACTTTAAGGGAGGATAATGATCTAAGCTAAGGGAAGTCATTTCTTTTGGCTCCAAAAGACTGGACTTCTGTATGTCTAATTCCTTAGTTTAGAATTTTTGGGGGCAGGGCACAGTGGCTCAGGCCTGTAATCCCAGCACTTTGGGAGGCCGAAGCGGGTGGATCACTTGAGCTCAGGAGTTTGAGACCAGCCTGGGCAAGATGGCCAAAACCTGCCTCTATTTTTAAAAGCACAAAAATCAGCCAGGTGTGGTGGTGCACACCTGTAATCCTAGCTACTCAGGAGGCGGGGGCATGAGAATCATTTGAATCCAGGAGGAAGAGGTTGCAGTGAGCTGAGATCACGCCACTGCACTCCAGCCTGGGCTAGAGTGAGACCCTGTCTCAAAAAAAAAAAAAAAAAAAAGAATTTGTTGAAAAGCCCAAATAAAGTCTTTACTCTCTATCTGATCATAAAATGTGACTCTTACAAATTAGACATAAAAATATCCAAGCTGATATCTCCTTGCCTATAAAGCAAGAAAAGGGACATTTCTCCTTTGCAAATCCTAAGCTTAGGCTTTTCAATTTTCAGTCAGTCGCCTAGGCTGGAGTGCAGTGGCATGAACATGGCTCACTGCCTTCAGGGCTCAAGTGATCCTCCTGTCTCAGCCTCCCGAGTAGCTGGGACAACAGGTGTGCATGACCATGCCCAACTAATTTTTTTGTTGTCGTTGTTTTGTAGAGATAGGATCTGGTCATGTTGCTCAGGCTGGTCTTGAACTCCTGGGCTCAAGCAATCCTCCCACCTTGGCCTCCCAAAGTGCTGGGATTACAGACATAAGCCATTGAACTCAGCCACGATTATAGTCCTAAACACCCTGTATGAAAATACTTTAATACAAAAATGATGCTCTTCTTTGTCCTGAAGTTGTCATTATTTCATCTTCAAGATTAGAACTTCTTTGAATGTAGGAAGTGGTTCTTATTCTGTGTCTCCCACTATGCCTTAAGAGAGGGCCTCATATGGAGCTCTAGCATCTCTCGCTGATGCTTTCTGACAATCTCTTGCTCTGTCACCTTTGTACTCCTAAGGCCATCAGTCCTTTAGTTAGAGAATCATTCATTTAAAAATCTTTCCAAAGTACACTAGTCCCTATATCCTGTAATTACACAAGAAAGTCTAACCAGTGCCAAGTTCTGTTAAACACTTGGAGAAGAAGGGGTAGGAATCTCGATTGCTTTGCTTGCTGTTCATAAGGAAGAATTTAAGGCTGTCACAAGCAGGCCATGCCTAGGAAAGATTCTGGTAAAGATATCTTTCTGCTGAAGGCACCCGACCTGTGTTAGCTCTGAGGAATGGGCTAGAAGCAGACAGAACACCTACCATAAGCTATATATACTAGCAATACAGAGAGGACTTCCAAGGTCCTACAAGATCCTGGCATCCCTCTGACCTCATCTCCCACCACTCTCACCGCAGCAGACACAGGAAACAGGAAGGAATGGACAAGACGGGAGTGGTTGACAACGGGTCCAACTAAAAGGCACGACGCTAGAGGGTATCGACCAGATCCTGAAGATGGGGAACGGTCAACAGTCTTGAAACAGAGGAGTGACACGGTCCCGGATGCTCACTTTGAGTGCAAAGTGGGGACCGGAATGGATGCAGAGTACAAAGGAGGCAGGGAGACCACTTAGGAGAAGAACCACGGAGCGAGGATGGGGCTGCCTGACGCGTCTAGGAGAAGGACTTGTAGAATGGATCCAGAGGGATGGCAGGAAGCCATGAGCTCAGCGTAGGGCAGGATAACCCTACAGAGACTGTCTACGGGAGCCTGAGGGTCAGGGCGGGAGGGAGAAGGTGGGACCTGAAGGAGGAAGTGAAAACCCGCAACAGCCGAAGGCTGCGGGAGTCCTCTCAAAGCATCTCCCCGGCGCCCCAGCCCAACCACCTCAGCGGCCTCCCTCCTCCCCGCCTCCCCTTGCTGGCCCGCTGACCGAACGAGTTGAGAAAGTCTGCGATTTTCTTGATGCTGCTGGTGATTATCTCAATGTACTCCCGGTTAGCCCAGTCCTGGTGAATCTCCCGCTGCACCGGATCCTCCTGTCCCGCCATGGCCGCCGCCTGAGGAAGAGCGACTGCGCAGGCGCCCCGACCCTACAGGCCTCTAGTGCGCCTGCGCTGCCAGGCCACACCCATCCTCTTGAGCACCCACGAATTCTCGGGCACTATGATAGGCCTGTGCAACGTCACGTCCTCGCCGGCGTTTGCTCTCTACTCCCACGCTATAGAACACAGAAGCCTGGACGCCGGCGGCGAGGTTGTAGTGCACGCGCGTTATGGTCGTTACACGGCGCGTGGGGTCTTGCCGTCTCCCTCAACTGCTCCAGGCTCAGGTTGCGCACTCAGTGTCCGCAGTGAGATGGGCACAGTCGATTAAATCACATTAAATACAAGTCTTTTTTTTTTTTAGACGGAGTCTAAAAAATAATATGGTCATAAATAGCTGGGCACACTGCAAACTGGAACAGTCCCTTTCAGAAGGAAATTTGTGTTTTTGTGTTGTTTTTTGAGACAAGGTTTTTTCTTGTTTTTTGTTTTTTTGAGACGGAGTCTTGCTCTGTCGCCCAGGCTGGAGTGCAGTGGTGTGATCTCGGCTCACTGCAACCTCCGCCTCCCAGGTTCAAGCTATTCTCCTGCCTCAACCTCCCGAGTAGCTGGAATTACAGGCGCACACCACCACGCCCGGCTAATTTTTTTGTATTTTTAGTTGAGATGGTGTTTCACCATGTTGGCCAGACTGGTCTCGAACTCCTGACTTCAGGCAATCCGCCCGCCTCGGCCTCCCAAAGTGCTGGGATTACAGGTGTGAGCCACCTCGCCCAGCCTGAGACAAGGTCTTACTGTCGCCCAGGCTGGAATGCAATGGCATGATCATGGCTCACTGCAGCCTCGAACTCCTGGGCTTGAACTCCTGGGCTCAAGCTATCCTCCAGCCTCAGCCTCTGGTGTAGTTGGGACTACAGGCTCACGTCACCACGCCTGGCTAATTTGTGTATTTTTTGTAGACACGGGGTTTCACCATGTTGGCCAGGCTGGTCTCGAACTGACAGGTGATCTACCCACCTCGGCCTCCCAAAGTGCTGGGATTATACGCATGAGCCACCATGCCCGGCCTATTATGCAGTCATTTAAATGCTAATTATGAACACAAGCAACATGAAAACACATACAATAAATTGAGGGGAAAAACAAAATACCCTCCCTCCCTCCCTTCCTTCCTTCCTTTTCTTACTTTTTTTTTTTAAGACAGAGTTTCTCTGTTAATGCCCAGACTGGAGTGCAATGGCACGATCTTGGCTCACTGTGACCTCTGCCTCCCGGGTTCAAGTGATTCTCCTGCCTCAGCCTCCCAAGTAGCTGGGATTACAGGTGCCCGCTACCACACCTGGCTATTTTTTGTATTTTTTAGTAGAGACGGGGTTTCAGCATGTTGGTCAGGCTGGTCTCCAACTCCTGACCTCAAGTGATCTGCCCACCTCGGCCTCCCAAAGTGCTGGGATTACAGACATGAGCCACCCTGCCTGGCCCACATTTTTCTTTAATTGCAACTATGGAAAAATGTATGTTTGAGGACAAGAAGGATCTACAAAAAAAGTCACTATCTGCTTTGCTAAGGTAGTGGAATATGAACAACTTTATTCTCATTTCAGGGAATACTTACAATCTGGCATGCAGTAAATGCTCTTTTTTTTGAGACAGTCTTGTTCTGTTGCTCTGGCTGGAGTGCAGTGGCTCGATCTCGGCTCACTGCAACCTCTGCCTCCCGGGTTCAAGCAATTCTGCCTCAGCTTCTCAGGTAGCTGGGACTACAGGCGCACACCACCACACACAGCTAATTTTTTTTTTTTTTTACCAGAGATGGGGTTTCACCATGTTGGTCAGGCTGGTCTCAAACTCCTGACCTCAGATGATCTACCTGCCTCAGCCTCCCAAAGTGTTGGGATTACAGGTGTGAGCCACTGTGCCCGGCCAGTAAATGCTTTTTATTAAAAAGAAAAAATGTGGCTCAGTGGCTGGGTGTGTGGCTCACATCTGTTAATCCCAGCACTTTGGGAGCCTAAGGCGGGCGTATTGCTTGGGGCCAGGAGTTCGAGACCAGCCTGGCCAACACAGTGAAACCCTGTCTCTGCAAAAAATAGAAAAATTAGGCATGGTGGCATGTGCCTGTAATCCCAGCTACTTGGGAGGCTGAAGTGGGAGGATCACCTGAGCCGAGGGAGGTCAAGGCTGTAGTGAGCAGTGATTGCACTCTTGCACTCAAGCCTGGGTGACAGAGTGAGACCCTGTCTCAAAAAAAAAAAAAAAAAAAGTGGCTGAAGAGTCAGATTACTACCAGTATTAGCATTAACTGGGAAGAAACCATTACTAACAGTTATTTACCCCAGTAGAGAATTTTATAACCTATAAAGATGCTTTTATAGCTATTACCTTACTGGACCCTCACAAACCCTGTGGAAGGAAGCCAGGAAGAAGTTTCTCATTTGAAAATAAAAAATCAGAAATCTGATGTTCAAGGTAACAAAGCCGATTAAAAGGTAGACCCTAACCAGCTGATTCCAGACTTCATTATCTCTTCACTATACCGCTCTGAAAACAGGTTAAAGTCTGTCTGAGCTCTCCTATGAATACATGTAAATGATTTTTTTTTTCCAGACGGAGTTTCGCTCTTGTTGCCCAGGCTGGAGTGCAATGGCGCCATCTTGGCTCACCGCAACCTCCGCCTCCCGGGTTCAGGCGATTCTCCTGCCTCAGCCTCACGAGTAGCTGGGATTACAGGCATGTGCCAGCACGCCTGGCTAATTTTTTTTTTGTATTTTTATTAGAGATGGGGTTTCTCCATGTTGGTCAGGCTAGTCTTGAACTCCCGACCTCAGGTGATCCACCTTCGTCGGCCTCCCAAAGTGCTGGGATTACAGGCATGAGCCACCACGCCCAGCCTACATATAAATGATTTCTAAAATAAATAATAGATATAGAGAATTAGGGAAGCCTAAGCATGCAGTAGGCTATCTGCTGCTCAAGGCCCTGTATCCTAAGTGATGCTGTTGAAGTGGCATTTTGCTTAGATATCACAAAGTCAGATAGACCTGCTTTTCCTTTAAAGGTATTGCATCAGCCGGGCATGGTGGCTGTAATCCCTGTAATCCCAGCACTTTGGGAGGCCGAGGCAGGTGGATCATCTGAGGTCAGGAGTTTGAGACCAGCCTGGCCAACTTGGTGAAACCCTGTCTCTACTAAAAATACAAAAAAAAAAAAAAAATTAGCTGAGGGTAGTGGCAGGCGCCTGTAATCCCAGCTACTAGGGAGGCTGAGGCAGGAGAATTGCTTGAACCTGGGAGGCGGAGGGTGCAGTGAGCCGAGATCGCACCATTGCACTACAGCCTGGGTGACAACGGTAAAACTCTGTCTCAAAAAAATAAAATAAAAAATAAAGGTATTGCACCATGGTTTGAAATCTTAAATCTACCATCCAGGAGTCATTTCACCTCTCTGAGCTTTGGTTTCTTTATGTATAATTCAAGGATAACAACACTGATGAATTAGGATTGTTGGAGGATTATGTGAGAAAGTATAAATAAAACACTAAGCACAATGTCTAGCTCTTCATAAAGCATGCACTCAGGATCAGTTTATATTTTCTTATTATGCAGACGGCAGAAAACTGTATCCAACAATTTTTTTTTAATGAACATCTTCCATGGACAGGTCAGACTCAAGTCTTGTCCTTTTGGTTGACTTTCTATACACCTGTTCCAGAATCTCCCTTGTAATTCTAGATGACTCAAGGATATGATGCTGTTCTTGAGTGAAGATGGTTCCTTTGGACCTCAGGAGCCTTTTCCTAAACGCTTTACAGAGCTTGCTGTCAGACAGTCCTCTAGTTATGGGTTTGCTAGCATGATAGTTCTTTTTTTTTTTTTATTTTTGAGACGGAGTTTTGCTCTTGTTGCCCAGGCTGGAGTGCAATGGCATGGCATGATCTCGGCTCACCGCAACCTCCACCTCCCAGGTTCAAGCGATTCTCCTGCCTCAGCCTTCCCAAATAGCTGGGATTATAGGCATGTGCCACCAAGCCTGGCTAATTTTGTATTTTTAGTAGAGATGGGGTTTCTCCATGTGGGTCAGGCTGGTCTTGAACTCCCGACCTCAGGTGATCCGCCCACCTCTGCCTCCCAAAGTGCTGGGATTACAGGCGTGAGCCACCGTGCCTGGCCGATAGTTCTTCATTGTAGGAATTGTTTCTGATGAGTGACACAGGGCTGCAGAGGCCAGCTTTGGAAATGTTGTTGATGCAACAAGGAGTGCTACAGTTAACATACGGAAACCAGGTCCCTGTCTTTACTTTTTTTTTTTTTTTTTTTTGAGACAGAGTCTCATTCTGTTGCCCAGGCTGGAGTGCAGTGGCGCGATCTTGGCTCACTGCAACTTCTGCTTCCTGGGTTCAAGCAATTTGCCTGCTTCAGCCTCTTGAATAGCTTGGATTACAGGCATGTGTCACCATGCCCGGCTAATTTTTGTATTTTTTGGTAGAGACAGGGTTTCGCCATGTTGACCAGACTGGTCTCAAATTCCTGACCTCAACTGATCCGCCTGCCTCAGGCTCCCAAAGTGCTGGGATTACAGGCATGAGCCACCGTGCCCAGCCCCTGTCTTCACTTTGAGTTGGTCATACACTTCATGGAACTTGGGGATCTCATTGATGACTTCAGGTATAAGAATCAACGTGGAATCAAAGCTTGAAGAAATATAGCACTTGTATTAAGCCTGCTCATTTGAGCCTCTTTTGCAGTCATATGCACTTGGACCATCACTGGCACAGCTGGCCCTGTTAAGTCAGTATTTCAAATTCCTACTAACACTTTGTGACACCATGTTTGTGCCACAATAAATGTAACATGTGCTGAGACATCTAAGGATAGATACAGCTTGTGCACCATAGCAATGTTGCTGCCTGCTTTGAAAGCATTGAATCAGCTTTTGGCAGAGTAAATGTGGCTATTGTCATGAGAATCCACGAACAGTGCAACCAGAATGTTGAGCACTGGATGATACAGATCACATTCTGGTTTTCCATATGGAGCATGCTATCAGACTTGGAGGTGATGGTGAATGGCACTTCTGAGAACACATCCTTTAGAGCTGGGCAGACTGCACAGGGGACTATTGTACAAATTCTTTTTTTTTTTTTTTTCCCAGACGAAGTATCGCTCTGTCGCCCAGGCTGGAGTGCAATGGCACGATCTCGGCTCACTGCAACCTCCGCCTCCCGGGTTCAAGCGATTCTCCTGCCTCAGCCTCCCGAGTAGCTGGGATTACAGGCGCCCACCATCACGCCTGGCTAATTTTTGTATTTTTAGTAGAGATGGGATTTCACCACGTTGGCCAGGCTGGTCTTGAACTTGTGACCTCAGGTGATCCACCCGCCTCGGCCTCCCAAAGTGTTAGGATTGCAGGCGTGAGCCACTGCACCCAGCCCAAATTCTTATAACAGTATGAAGCTCTATCTATCCAATAATTTTTAAACATACAATTTTGCATTGAGGACTTTCATTTAAAAAACAAAACAAAACAAAAACCACTGTGCAATTAAAACCTAAATGAAAACGACTGTTTTCTTTTAAAATAAAAATGTCAGCCGGGCTCGGTGGCTCAAGCCTGTAATCCCAGCACTTTGGGAGGCCGAGGCGGGCGGATCACGAGGTCAGGAGTTCGAGACCATCCTCGCCAACATAGTGAACCCCGTCTCTACTAAAAATACAAAAAAATTAGCCGGGCGTGGTGGCTGGTGCCTGTAGTCCCAGCTACTCAGGAGGCTGAGGCAGGAGAATGGTGTGAACCCGGGAGGCAGAGCTTGCAATGAGTGGAGATCACGCCACTGCACTCCAGTCTGGGTGACAGAGTGAGACTCCATCTCAAAAAAAAAAGTCTTTTTTATTCAAGAGGGAAATAAAGCCAGTGTGGTGGCTCACGCCTGTAATCCCACCACATTGGGAGGCCGAGGTGCACAGGTCACGAGGTCAGGAGTTCGAGACCTGCCTGGCCAACATGGGAAACCCCGTCTCTACTAAAAACACAAAAATTAGCTGGGCCTGGTGGCACGCGCCTGTAATCCCAGCTACTCGGGAGGCTGAGACAGGAGAATCGCTTGAACCCAGGAGGTGAAGGTTGCAGTGACCCAAGATCAAGCCACTGCACTCCAGCCTGGGTGACACGGTGAGACTCCGTCTCAAAAAAAGAAAGAAAAAAAAAGAGGGAAATAAAAATGAACTAACTGGGGAAAAAAGTTTTGTAATTCAAAATCATTTGTGTCTCTTCCAAGTCTCACTATTCTGTGCCTCTCTCTTCATGTTCTGACCCGACATGCCCTCCAGACTCTTCTCCACTTACCTCTTCTTCCAAAAGGTGCACATGTACACACAGTGGGTGTGTGTCTTCTAAATCAGGATCTTGCCTGACTCTATTCTCAGACCCTCAGTCTTTCTCCATCAGCTTTACCCAAAAAACCAGAACAAAGGTGACAAGTCTTATTTGTGGTGTGTGTTCTATAGTTTGTAAAATGCAAGGGCAATTCTGGGTGTACAAGGGAAGGCCAAGTAGGCCATTAGTTACTTCCTCCCACAAATACTGCACACTGCCAGACATGGCAATAGCCAGGTACTGGGAATACAGACATCAGCTGGGTAGACTCCTCCCTTCCCTCAGCCATCCAGGGTCATTATTTTAAGTGATGATTACAAAGTTGTCAAATCACTCCTTCACTAATATGGCGAAAGTGTATTTCTGCATTATAAGAATGAGACAAAATCATTCTTTTTGAGATTTTTTTGTTTTCTTTTTGAGCTGGGAATCTCACTACGTTGCCCAGACTGGTCTTGAACTCCTGGGCTCAAGCAGTCTACCCATCTCAGCCACCTAGATAGCTGGGATTACAGGTACTCTCAGGTTTAACGCAAGGCTGAGAAAGGTTTTCTGTCAGGAAATCAAGGAAAGACGTGCGTTTCCTCCTGCTCTTGACAGGTGAACATTTATTAATTCTCTTTCTTTGCCACTGGGATCATTCAAATAGAGCAACAAAACCTGACAGAGCTCTGGGTCACTCTGCCTGAGCACCCACTGAGCAGAGTGTGATGAGTTGGGACTAACTTTTAACACTAACTACAGGTCCTGGGACTTTTATGCAGGCCTCTGACCATGGCCATTGAAGTAGGGGTCGCCTGTCCTCTGTGGCTTGATCAAAGGCACACAGGTACACAGGTGTGGCACGGTAGGGAGGAGGACAATGGAGGGGACAGGATTCGGACCAGCCCTCCTGAAGGCCAAGTCCTGGACAAGGCATTCCAATGAGGTGGGGGCGGGGAGTGTGGCCCTGACGCCTCCCAGTAGGGCGCCTCGAGCCCCCATCCCCGCCGCGGCTCGGGCTGCCCTGCCGTCCTGGGTCACAAAGGCGGTTGCCAGGCGCCACGAACAGCGGCCGCCACTTTGGAGCGTGAGACCCTCAGAGTTCAGCAGGTGAGCCCCGGGCCCGGATGGTGGGACTGGGCCCAGGTTCCCACCGCATCGTCCGCCTCAGCCAGAACCTTCTGGTCCCCGCCCCCGGATAGGGACCCAGGAGGCCCAAGCCCCTTCTTCCGGCGGGGAGTGGGAGCCTCTCGCACTCTCGGCAGCTCCAGACCCTCGGGATCTCCGTTTACAGTTCAGGACCTCAGCTGCACTTTGGCGCTAACGCCCTGTTTCCCAGGTGGGGAAATCAAGAGATGGGGTTCCTTGGAATGGGAAGTGGGGTGTGAAGGGGAAACCTTTTTGGCCAGGAGAATCAGGTGTTCCATATCTGGGAGCTATTGAGCAGCTTGAGCAGACTTTGTAGGTTCAAGCCCTTCTGGAGTGGTTGACAGTGACTTCTGGGCGGTGGGGATGGGGTGAACCATCTTTAAACTTTGTGCGAAGAGGTGCAGGGACCTAGGTTTAGAAGCGCTCTCGTCCCATGTTGGTTCTGCCGAATATTTAGGCTGACTCCTGACCTCAAGTGATTGGCCCGCCTTGGCCTCCCAAAGTGCTGTGATTGCAGGCCTGAGCCACCGCGCCGCGACCTAGGCTGGACATTTGACAAAGACTTTTACTTCTACCTCTACTTCCTCTTAGAAGATGTGGCAAGAAAAGGATCCGGGGGGCCCGGGCCCGGTGGCTCACGCCTGTAATCCCAGCACTTTGGGAGGCCGAGACGGGCGGATCACGAGGTCAGGAGATCGAGACCATCCTGGCTAACACGGTGAAACCCTGTCTCTACTGAAAATACAAAAAAATTAGCCGGGCGTGGTGGCAGGCGCCTGTAGTCCCAGCTACGGGAGGCTGAGGCAGGAGAATGGCGTGAACCCGGGAGGCGGAGCTTGCAGTGAGCGGAGATCGCGCCACTGCACTCCAGACTGAGTGACAGAGCAAGGCTCTGTCTCAAAAAAAAAAGAAAGAAAGAAAGAAAAGGATCCTGGGATTAAATACTTTTTTAAATCCCATATTCTGGGATTAAAAATATGCTTGACAGCATTCATACCCTCCGCCCACCTTGCCATGGTGGTGTACCACAGTAGTCCCTCTCTTGGATATGTGCTCTGAAGGTCAAGATATCAAGCACCAGAAGCCTTTCACAGGGTGTTTGGAATAGATAACTGTCCCTTGGGTGTCCCTTTCTCATTCTAAGGCAGCCCAGATATTTGAACACTTAGTACTTTGCAAAGAGCCTACATAGATCATGAGAAACATACTAGTTGGAGAAAATCAACAAATCCCCCTATACTAACCATTGTCAGGAGCAGGTCTTCTGGTCTGAAATGTCACCAACGTTTTTTTCTTTTTTGAGACGGAGTCTCCCTCTGTCACCCAAGCTGGAGTTCAATGGCTTGATCCCGGCTCACCGCAGCCTCCATTCAAGTGATTCTCCTGCTTCGGCCTCCTGAGTACCCGGGATTACAGGCACCCACCACCACGCCTGGCTAATTTTTGTATTTTTAGTAGAGACGGGGTTTCACCCTGTTGGCCAGGCTGGTCTTGAACTCCTGACCTCAAGTGATCCACCCACCTCGGCCTCCCAAAGTGCTGGGATTACAGGTGTGAGCCACTGTGCCCGGCCAACAGTTCTTTTTTTAAAACGAACTTTTCTATCTCACAAACGGCGGTGAAGGTGTCAAAATTTTCACAGTATTTCTGGGGCAATTACTGGATAGGATGAGATCTGCTGCTATCTTCTGTGGGAGAAGAAGGGGCAGAGAAATACACTTGGCTAGAAAGAAAAGGGACCTGCTATGCCCACTAACAAAATAGGTACGTGCTAAAAAAAATTAGCTTCTGAATTTAGTAAAACTTCTTATATACTGGCAATGTTGAAGGAGAATGATGGAAAATTCTAATTTTACTTGCATAAATTTTCAGTTAGCAATATCCTCACAGCCCTTTTTAATCTTCAAAGGAAAAAGAAAATTAAGGTCTTATGGAACCAGTAGGTCTTCCATAGATGGAAAACAAACAAATCAGAAAAACAAATTTAAAACCACACCCACACCTAGAAAAACAAAAATCTTTAACAGTTTTTTGACTGGACTTTGGAAGTGTTTTCTCCCAGCCTGGTGTAGCTCCTCTGAGGTGGTATATAAATAACCCAGGGGTCTGCAAGTTGCTCCCTTGTGCTAGAAAATGCAGAGGCCTTTGGGGCCAGGAGATGATCTCAGTAATGAATAGTGAAAGCTAGAGTTGTTTGAAAGGAATAGCATAAGAAATTCTCAAAATAGACAATGCAAGAGGGCTTATATAAATGCAGATTGCTGGGTCCCACGTGGAGTTTGTTCCTGTTGGTCTGAGGTGGGGCCCAAAAATGTGCATTTCTGCAAGTTTCCAAATGATGCTGAAGCTGCTACTACAGGGTTCATACATCGCGAACCTCAAAATATATATATATATATATATATATATATATATATATATATATATATATAATTTTTTTTTTTTTTTTTTTTTTAGATGGAGTCTTGCTCTTTCACCCAGGCTGGAGTGCAGTGGTGCGATCTTGACTCACTGCAACCTCCGCCTCCTGGGTTAAAGCAATTCTCACACCTCAGCCTCCCCACAGAGCTGGGACTACAGGCATGCGCCACCACGCCCGGCTAATTTTTGTATTTTTAGTAGAGACAGGGTTTCACCATGTTGGCCAGGCTGTTCTGGAACTCTGACCTCAAGTGATCCGCCCGCCTCAGCCTCCCAAAGTGCTGGGATTATAGGCATGAGCCACTGTGTCCAGCCACAAATATTTTTAAGACATGACTTTTCTGAGCTTCTTCTAATCTCAAGTAATAAGGTCTCATCATGAAGTCCCAGAAGCTTCTGTCACCTCAGAAGATAAAGACTCTGTCATTAGCAGCTAACAACACAGCATAGGTCCTAACAGTGGACCTATATTCATTTCAGACAAATCCATTGCCTCATCTATAAAATGGGTTAAGACCTACTTCCAAAGGCTTGTGAAAAAGTTTAATATAAAGTTTTAGTACACATAGCAGTTGCCAGATCAATACTTGTAATCATTCCCTACTTCCCTTTATTAGAATTACTAATATCTAGGCTGGGCGAAGTGGGTCACGCCTATAATCCCAGCACTTTGGGAGGCCGAGGCGGTGGATCACCTGAGGTCAGGAGTTGGAGAGCAGCCTGGCCAACATGGCAAAACTCTGTCACTACAAAAAAATACAGTGAGCCAAGATCGCTCCACTGCACTCCAGCCTGAGTGACAGAGCGAGACTCTTGTCTCAAAAAAGAAAAAATAAAATAAAATAAAATAATTACTAATATCCTAACACCTGTTGGAATCTATTCATGGGAACTATAGAACAAGTTTATGTCTATAGTGAGACAGAGATGGGAATTTGAAAGGCCATGCTCTCATGAAAAGCATGTCAGGGAAATTCCATGCTCTGATTTCCCTCCTTTAGGACTGTCAATGGCAGGATACCAGCTCTGGTCACCATGGACCCCACTGGATGAGAGTTTCCAATGGCTGCGGCACACGACACCTACACCTTCCTCCAAGCACCCATTCAAGGCCTCCCCCTGCTTCCCACACACACCGTCCGACCTTGAAGTGCAGCTGTGCTTTCAAGAGGTCACTCTAGTCCTAGACAGCCCATTCCTGGAATCTGGAGTGAGTCCCAAGTTACCCTGCCACACATCAGAGTTGCGCACGATGAACAACAAAGGACTGGTCAGGAAGCCCCAGCCCATCCGCCTCAGTGGAGTAGATTCTGTCTTTGGCAGGGTTATCACAGCTCAGCCACCAAAGTGGACCGGGACTTTCAGAGTTTCAGACAAGTCAGCCTTTTGCAAAATCATTAGCAGGGAGCACCAGTGGCCCATTGGACTGAAGGAGCCTCAGATTCAGATGACAGTCACTATGTGCAAACAGATGCTGCGCTCTATCCTCTTGCTGTATGCAACTTACAAAAAGTGCACCTTTGCCTTGCAGCACTCCAAGTAAAGGGTCCTCATTTGATCCCCATTTACTCACACCATGCCCTTTGGTATGTACCTAAAGCTTACAGAAACCTGTCCATGTAAATGAAACTGTGACATTGTCCCAGCCATCTTGCTTTTGTTTCAAGCAGTGATGATTCAGGAGCCCCTTTCATCCCTTCCCCTCCAAAAAAGGACCAATGATAGAGAACAAGGAAGAACATTCCCATTGTAAGGTTGAACCATTTAGAGTCAAACTAGCATTGACATGTCCATGTGATAACCGTTAAACAAATGATATAAACCAATGAGCCTAGTGTGAACTCACATAAACACCTACAACCACAATGAATTGGGGGGAAAAGGGGTGTAGAGGAGAAAGATGTATGGATTTCTATGTACCAGGGGATGTCAAAAATCTATATATATAGGTCAAGGATTACTTTAAAACCTCCCCCGACCAAAACAATGAAAATAAGAAAAAAACCCTAACCAACCACACCCTAATACCACTAGAGTGTACAAAAGTGGGTAGAAATACTGATATTAAACAATACTTACAGCCTGGCAAGAAAGAACTTGGTAGCAGCACTGAAGCTAGGCTTTCTGGTAGGCTACATGGAACTCATGAGTCTCCATTTTAGCTGAAATGTACTCCTAATGTAATTTTGTAGCATTTTTTTGGTTTTTGGAGACAGGGTTTCATTCTGTCATCACGGCTGGACTACAGTAGCATGGTCTTGGCTCACTGCAGCCTCAAACTCCCAGGCTCAAGTGATCCTCCCGCCTCAGCCTCCTGAGTAGCTGGGACTACAGGTGCGGGCCACCATATCTGGCTAATTTTTGTATTATTATTATTTTTTGAGATGGAGTTTTGCTCTTGTTGCCCAGGCTGGAGTGCAGTGGCGCCATCTCGGCTCACCGCAACCTCTGCCTCCCAGGTTCAAGCAATTCTCCTGCCTCAGCCTCCCTAGTAGCTGGGATTACAGGCATGTGCCACCACGCCCAGCTAATTTTGTGTTTTTAGTACAGACAGGGTTTCTCCAGGCTGGTCGGGCTGGTCTCGAACTCCCGACCTCAGGTGACCTGCCCACCTCAGCCTCCCAAAGTGCTGGGATTATAGGCATGAGCCACTGCGCCCGGCCATTAATTTTTGTATTTTTTTTTTTTTAGTAGAGATGGAGTTTCACCACATTGCCCAAGCTGGTCTTGAACTCCTGGACTCAAGCAATGCCTTGGCCTCGGCCTCCCAAAGTGTTGGGATTACAGCGGTGACCCACAATATCTGGCCTTTGTAGCGTTCTTGTAACTAGGTTAGGTATAACTCAGAAAATGGAAATAAACATTACATATACAAAGTTAACATGAGTTTGATGCTGCTTTTTTATTTTATTTTATTTTGGTCTTTTTTTTTTTTTTTTTTGAGACGGAGTCTCGCTCTGTTGCCCAGGCTGGAGTGCAGTGGCACAATCTCAGCTCACTGCAAGCTCCACCTCCCGGGTTCACACCATTCTCCTGCCTCAGCCTCCCGAGTAGCTGGGACTACAGGCGCCCGCCACCAAGCCCAGCTAATTTTTTGTATTTTTTAGTAGAGACGGGGTTTCACTGTGTTAGCCAGGATGGTCTCGATCTCCTGATCTCCTGGATCTCCTGGATCTCCTGATCCACCCACCTCAGCCTCCCAAAGTGCTGGGATTACAGGCGCGAGCCACCGCGCCCAGCTTTTTTTTTGGTCTTATACTATTACACCAATCAAAAAAATTTTAAAAGCAGCCAAAACATTCCTTTTGACTTTCTTTGGGCACTGACAAGAAATTGAAGTTGGCCGGGCATGGTGGCTCACGCCTGTAATTGTACCACTTTGGGAGGCCGAGGCGGGTAGATCACGAGGTCAGGAGTTCAAGACCAGCCTGGTCAATATGGTGAAACCCTGTCTCTACTAAAAAATACAAAGATTAGCCAGGCATGGTGGCGTGTGCCTGTAGTCCCACCTATACAGGGGGCTGAGACAGGAGAATTGTTTGAACCTGGGAGGTGGAGGTTGCAGTGAGCTGAGATCGTGCCACTGCACTCCAGCCTGAGCGATAGAGTGAGACTCCGTTTCAAAAAAAAAAAAAAAAAAGGAAAGAAGATCAAGATCAAGTCAATCCTCCAGAAAGATCAGATATATCTCATCTCAGATGAAGTTGGTTCTTACAATAGGAGACATGATTTTAATCGGCAGAACTATGTTAGCACCAGTCTCCATAATTTCTCTGCACAAATCTCAATTCAATTCCACCTAATCCTTGAATAATGAAGCAAATCCAGAAAGATAAATGAGGCAACTGAGGCAGAACTTAGAACAGAATTTATTTGTAAAATTGGTACAAGCCTAAGTTCTACAATAAATCAGAGTTTCAAAACTAGCTCCCAAAGTCCAGAATCATGACTCAGAGATTTTACTCTGCAGTGTAGCACAGCTGGGTTTATCCAAACCAATAAATAATGCTACATTAGAATCCTGAGCCAGGGACTGTGATGGTGTTAGACAATCCATGATGTCCACAAGTTAATAAAGACCCCACTTTAAGAACAAAATATGGCTGGGAGCGGTGGCTCATGCCTGTAATCCCAGCACTTTGGGAGGCTGAGGCAGGTGGATCATGAGTTCAGGAGATTGAGACCATCTGGCCGACATGGTAAAACCCCGTATCTACTAAAAATACAAAAATTAGCTGGGCATGGTGGCATGTGCCTGTCGTCCCAGCTACTCAGGAGGCTGAGGCAGGAGAATCGCTTGAACCTAGGAGATGGAGGTTGCAGTGAGCCAAGATTGCAGCACTGCACTCCAGCCTGGGAAACACAGCGAGTCCCCGTCTTTAAAAAAAAAAAAAAAAAAAAAAAAAGAGGAACAAAAAAGGATCCTACCAGTAAGAAAGGCAAACAGCGGATTTCAAACTCTAACACAAAATGATCACAGGCTGGCAGAGACACAGAAGCAGGCAACAATTTATCTGGGGTCTAATCAGAGTCATCATAACTCTCATCACTATCTTGCTCCTTTTCTCCAGCACTTACTTCGTCTTCTTCACCATCCTAAGGGGCAAAGAATAAATAAATAAGCATTTTAGGTTACTGCTCTGGGTGACCTCTGGAATACAGCTCCTAGAGGATACACAACTGTACTATTATCACTGTTAAAACTTTTTTTTTTTTTTAAAGGAGTCTTGCTCTGTCACCAGGCTGGAATGCAGTGGCATGATCTCAGCTCACTGCAACCTCTGCCTCCCGGGTTCAAGCGATTCCCCTGCCTCAGCCTCCCAAGTAGCTGGGATTACAGGCATGTGCCACCACGCCCGGCTAATTTTTGTATTTTGGTAGAGACGGGGTTTCTCCACATTGGCAAGGCTGGTCTCAAACTCCTGGCCTCAGGTGATCTGCCTGCCTCAGCCTCCCAAAGTGCTAGGATTACAGGCGTGAGCCATTGCGCCCGGCCCAATTTGCATAATTTTAAATAAGCTATGGTCCTCCAGCTCTACTGCATGTATATGACATAGGAACAAAGAGGGCATTCGATATAGAATGAAATATTTATTACAAGTGGTGGTATGGCAGTGCACGGTGGCTCACGCCAAAGTAATCCCAACACTTTGGAAGGCTGAGGTGGGTAGATCATCTGAGGTTAGGAGTTCGAGACCAGCCCGGCCAACATGGTGAAACCCTGTCTCTACTAAATATACAAAAACTAGCCGGGCATGGTTGCAGGCACCTGTAATCCTAGCTACTTGGAAGGCTGAGGCAGGAGAATTGCTTGAACTCGGGAGACAGACTGCAGTGAGCTGAGACTGCACCACTGCATGCTAGCCTGGGCGACAGAGGGAGACTCCGTCTCAAAAAAAGAAGTGCTGTGCTGGTGTATCTCAACAGGAATCCAGTACAAAATTCTGTTCTGTCTGGCTTACGATACTAGTATGAGAGATCTGCTTAGGGGAAAGTACCAAACTAATAGGATATTGTCTGCCTCAAATTCTGAGAAAAAAGTAGAAGGGGTATATTATACAAATAAAACTGGGGACCATGTAAATAAAATAACTTTTTTATTTTGAGACAGGGTCTCGCTCTGTCATCCAGGCTGGAGTGTGATGATGGCTCACTGCAGCCTCCACCTCCTGGGCTTGAGCAACCCTCCCACCTCAGCCTCCTGTGTAGCAGGGACCACAGGCATGCGTCACCATGCCTGGCTAGCTCAAAAAAATTTTTTCTGTAGAGATGGGGTCTCGGGTTGGTCTTGAAATTCTGGGCTTAAGCGGTCCTCCCACCTCAGCCTCACAAAGTGCTACGATTACAGGTGTGAGCCACCCCATCAGGCCAGACTTTTCATACTAAATGATCTTTCTGGATCAGACTCAAATTGCATTACAGACAGAGGCCCCACAGCAGGGGTTCTTAAATCTGAGCTTTTTGGTGTCTATAACCTACCTGAATTGTGACAAAATTTTATAAATGTACACTTTTTTGTTGTTGTTGAGACGGAGTCTCACTCTGTTGCCCAGGCTGGAGTGCAGTAGCATGATCTCGGCTCACCACAACCTCCACCTCCCAGGTTCAAGTGATTCTCCTGCCTCAGCCTCCCAAGTAGCTGAGATAACAGGCACGTGCCACCACACCCAGCTAATTTTTGTATTTTCAGTAGAGATGGGGTTTCACTATGTTGGCCAGGCTGGTCTTGAACTCCTGACCTTGTGATCTGCCCACATCGGCCTCCCAAAGTGCTGGGATTACAGGTGTGAGCCACCGCACCCAGGTTTATTTTTCATTTTTTTTGTGGAGATAGGGTCTTGTTATGTTGTGCAGCTTTGCCTTGAGCTCCCGGACTCAAGCAATCCTCCTACCTTGGCCTCAAAAAGTGCTAGGATTACAAGCATGAGCCACTGCGCCAGCCATGTCTACATTTTTATTTAGCTTTCTTTAAATTGTCGAAAGCATCTGTACCACAAAAAAGCGTAAGAACTTCTATTTTTATTTCAGTTCTCTAAGGTGGCAGCTTCTGACTCTGTGCTTTGGCTTTCACCAAATGCTTTCACATTTCTATTTTTGTATGTTTCAAATGTGTTTAAATGGTTTAACTCATTCTTCTCAACACTCAGAAAATACTTCGATGACTTCTCCCTTCTAAAATGGTTTCAGATATGAATTCATGGAAAATGAGAGGCTATAATGCAGAAAATTGTCAACTCTATAACAAATGCCACAACTCGAGATACTCAGGAGTGATTCTAAGATTGTGTCGTTGTTTCTTCTGGGTCCCAAAAATTATATAAGCACAGAAGCTGTTATGGAGGGAATGGAAATGGGCATAGAAGCATTTGACAATAAACATAAGTAGGCAAAGTTCTGCTCCACCAACTTAGAACAATTAACAAAATGCAACCATCAGTGCCAGACTCTGGTGGGTTTTGTAGAGATACCTCAGTGGCTTTGCTCTTGGAGGCCTGGGATGACATGTCATCCTCACTCTCATCTGCTGTGCTCTCCTGGGAATTTTGGGACTTAATCTCTTCACCCTAAATGTGAATGGACCAAGAAAATGGTGGGTTATAATGATCACATTTAGGGTAATAGGGGAGAAGGTTGAGTTTACAGGCAATACAAAGGAAGATATTTTAGCCATTCAAAACACAGCAAACATGGATACCAACTTGTGATTCAGCATCTAGAGGAGGGATACTCAACTCCAGGTTTCTGAGATGTCTGTGGCCCTGATACAATAAGTAATGTAACGAAAGGTTCATCTTAGTATGCTAGTATCACACTACATTTTAAAAGGCTAGACTGTATTGGTGACTCTAAGTCGATGCTGAACATGGTTCTAAAATTTCCCAAATACCTTAAGGTATCTAAGCACTATCACACCAAGCACGAATGGCCATGCGGAGGCTAAAGGACAGTATGGTGAGGTGGTTTCAGAACATCAGCTCTGGATTTGGGACTGTTTGGACTCAAACTCCGGCTCCACCCACTCACTGTTGAATGACATTAGGTAAATTACTTAACTTCTCTGAGCTTCAATTTTTATGCAGAAACAATAGTATCTGCCTCATAAGGTTGATGTGAAGAAAGGAAGCTAATTCTCTGTGGTGCTGTTTTATATATTTCATATATAATTGACTACAAGACTCAGATATTGTAAGCATGAAAGAAAAGGGCTTATACTACCCTATCTGAAAAATGTTGTAACTCCAAAGTAGTATTATAAACAACACAAGATTTCAGCTAATCAGACAACTAAAAAAAACCTTATAAATGCTCATTAGTTAAAATTAGAGATTGTTGCGGGAAGTCAGGGACCCCAAACGGAGGGACCGGCTGAAGCCTTGACAGAAGAACGTGGATTGTGAAGATTTTATGGACATTTATTAGTTCCCCAAATTAATACTTTTGTAATTTCTTATGCCTGTCTTTACTGTAATCTCTAAACATAAATTGTAAAGATTTCATGGACACTTACCACTTCCCCAGTCAATACCCTTGTGATTTCCTATGCCTGTCTTTACTTTAATGTCTTAATCCTGTCAGCCGAGAAGGAGGTATATAGTCTCAGGACCCTGTAATAATTGCGTTAACTACACAAATTGTACAGCATGTGTGTTTGAGCAATATGAAATGTGGGCACCCTGAAAAAACAACAGGGTAACAGCAATTGTTCAGGGTATAGGAGAGATAACCTTAAACTCTGACCGCCGGTGAGCCGGGCGGAACAGAACCATGTTTCTCTTCCTTCAAAAGCAAATGGGAGAAATATCACTGAATTCTTTTTCTCAGCATGGAACGTCCCTGAGAAAGAGAATGCACACCTAGGGGTAGGTCTCTGAACTGGGCCCCCCCGGGTGTACCTGTCTCTTATGGTCGAGACTGCAGAGGTGAAATAAACTCCAGTCTCCTATAGCGCTCCCAGGCTTATTAGGAAGAGGAAATTCCCGCCTAATAAATTTTGGTCAGACCTGTTGATCTCAAAACCCTGTCTCCTGATAAGATGTTATCAATGACAGTGGTGCCCAAAACTTCATTAGCAATTTCAATTTCGCCTCGGTCCTGCGGTCATGTGATCTCACCCTGCCTCCACTTGCCTTGTGATATTCTATTACCCTGTTAAGTACTTGATGTCTGTCACCCACACCTATTCGCACACTCCCTCCCCTTTTGAAAATCCCTAATAAAAACTTGCTGTTTTTTGTGGCTTGTGGGGCATCACGGATCCTATCAACGTGTGATGTCTCCCCCGGACGCCCAGCTTTAAAATTTCTCTCTTTTGTACTCTGTCCCTTTATTTCTCAAGCCAGCTGACACTTAGGAAAATAGAAAAGAACCTACGTGATTATCGGGGCAGGTCCCCCAATAAGAGATTAATTTGTAATTTCTGGAATAAGACAGATTGGCTTAGGGGAAAAAAAATAACAAAAGAAATGTTTGTCCCTATACAAAAATGTTATTATGAATCTACCCTCAGTGGGGCTTAAAGGAGCTCCTCTAGCTGTGGAGAGAGGTTTGTACTGGTCTGACTCCTTTATGTCTGAGGCATTGTTTATATCAATGGCATGTTTTGGTGCCTTGCTGCCTAAGATGAGGGGTGCAGCCTGTGACCAGGGCCCATGAGTAATGTACCATAACTTTAAGAGTTAAACAGTCACAGACTTAAGAGAAAAGTAGCCTTACTGAGAGACGAGGGCTTAGGTGACCTTCCTTACATGCCATCTGATGCTGTCACAAAGAATAAGAGTAGGGGATTATCACTAGCAGGATCCAAGGCTTACCTGCAAGTCCCGGTTTTTTAGATTGCCCAGCCAGAAAGCCTCTCTACAATTGTTGAGAGTGAGCATAGCTTTGACTCTGCAAACTAAAAGTTCCAGGGTCTTTTTGAGCAGAGGCACATGTTGGGTGAGTCTCGTGTCCTGGTGAATCTGAATGGAAATAAATAACATCCATCTTTTGTGAGTTTATCATCATGCCTTCACATTTCTTATAGAAACCTTTGAATGTTGAATAAGAACACAAGCCCTGCCAGTATGGGCCAACGGTATGTTCCATCAAACAGGAATAGTTTGGCAGAGTAATCCAAAGAGAATGGCAGCTAAAGAATTCAAAGCCTAGAAGACATACCACCAACACCTCTAGTTCCTCTTCATAACCTCTTACTGGCCGATCTTCAATGAATTTACCTAAAATATTCTTGAATATATATTTTACTGATATTAAACAATAGAGTAGCCCTGTTTAGCTAAGAGAATTCCTTAAACATTCACTGTCCAGCCGGGAGGCGGAACTTGCAGTGAGCAGAGATTGTGCCACTGCACTCCGGCCTGGGCTACAAAGCGAGACTCCGTCTCAAAAAAAAAAAAAAAAAAAAATCACTGTTCAGGACCTTATAAATTTAGAACCAGAGGAGGAAGTAAGTAACAGAAACTGGACTCAAGAATCATTTGGTTTGCCAGTGACTGCAGAACTCTAGGGTTCTGTGTTCATTCAGACAAAACGTGACAATACCTCATTAACTATAAGAAGGCTTCAAGTGGAAAAATCCTTTAATGCTAAGATGTTCTCATAAGACATAGATGAGTTCCTTGAAAGTAAGTGGCACAGATGAAAGCCTCTACAGATGGCTGCTTTAGAGCCACCTCCTGTCTCCTGCAGGATCATCACTTACATCACAGTCCTGTTACCTAGAGGACTTTGCAGAAGTAAACATATACCAGCATTCTATTTCTGTCACCCAAGAAGTTTCTAGAGGAAAAAGAGCTTTGGAGTTTGAATCAAATTTCAGATGCGGAGATTCCCCTCTAGAGGACTGCCCAATCTCAAGGAGCAACTAAGGATTTGCTCTGAATAAACTGCCTTTGGACAGACACAGTCCCAGATATAAAGGAAGAAGGATGGTAGCCCATGGATCCCCCAATAGCAACTGCAGATTAAGCCAACAGGCAGGCTGCTGATAGAACCTGCTCCCCTTCTTACCTTGGAATGCCCACACAGGTGATGAAGCAGCCTTGTGTCCAACTGGAAGGTTTCCAGTAAGCTCAGAACATCTTCCTATAACCAATAAGTTTATAAATGCTCTATGAAATGTCCTGATTTCATTTTAGATTCAAGATACCCTTGCAATCAAAAGCTCCAAAGAGGATAAACTCTGCAGTTTCCAGCCTATGCTGATAATCATCTTAATTTGCCTCTCAAATAGGAGGAATAGCAGCTACCTCTTATTCTCAACTCTCCCATTTCTGTCCCTTGTATCAATCTGAGAGTTATAAGACCTGCATTTTAGTTTTACATAGGTTACCATGTCTCAGTTTTCCCATCTGCAACATTAGGATAAAATACCACCTTCCCTTTCTCTTTCAGGGCTGTGAGGGACCAACCAAATATGGTGAGTATTTTGTTCAACTTGCTAAATATGTATAGGAAATAATGTGATTCTATCCTTAATTCATCACTCTAGCCCTGGATGCCATTGGCTAAAAAACTGTCAAGACTGTTCATTACCACAGCAAAGGGTTTTATGACACAAATGAGCTTTTTTTTTTTTAAAATCATTTCTGAGAGTATACCTACAGAAGCATAAAGGAATAAGCAAATGACACACTGATACATGAGGACCTGAGAGTGCAGTAGCACAATAAAATCAAGCTAAAAGGAAGACCACTGTCAGATCTGGAGAAGAAATAGAAAGGTGGGTTTGATCCAGAGTGGGCCTGAGGAGTTCAGCCTACTTTGGAATATTCAGTCCAATTTGGGGATCTCTGGCTACAGCTGAAGTGGACCAGAGGAGCCCAGGTAGAACACTCCCAGCCCCACCCAGGAGTCACCAAGGACATATCTTCTGAGCAACTCTTCAGTGCATATCTTTGTTCTCTGCTCTTAGCTCTTACCCGGTGTTTTCTAAAACTGAAGTCTAGGAGCGGCATACATTGCTTCAGAAATGCTTCCACAAAGAGACGCCCATACTGAAGAAGAGAGACACACTGTTACCTCTAGCTGAGGTATCTCACTGAAAGGCCCCTGAGGCAGAATAGTCTCATCCAGCCCAAGGGTTTTATTTTCTTATTTATATATATAAAAAACAAATTGGGAAGGGTCCAAAAGGTTTATTTGGAGAATGTAACTTAATACAAAAATCAAATAGGCCTGTTAACTAAGCCCCAGAATTAGGCAGACTTACCTACCACAGATACAGTCGATGGACAGGGAACTTGCTCAGCTTAGGAGTGAGAGCATAGAGTAGAGGGGAGCTCTATCTGAGGATAACTTACTCCCAAGAGGGAAAAACTGGGTAAAGCTGAGAAAGCATATGACCAATTTCTAAATTTCCCAATCAGATAAATGACTCCTCTCTCCAACTTGCCCATCTCCCACATTGCGCAAGGGTGGAGTAAAAAGGGAGAGTGACCAGGAGATGACAAGAATGGGGCACCATCCACTTGGAAGGAAACTTGAGGAGTGGCGAAGTAGCATTCTCCCCATAACATTCTGACTGGACTTCCCATCAAATCTAGGGCTAATACAGGCTATTCCCACAAAAGAGAAGTTTGGCAATTATCAGGATATCAGATCCCACATTTGTAAGGCCACCCATAGACTTTAAAGAAAAATCATCTACTCCTCCTTCCTCCCTTTTGCCTGGTAAGGAATGGCACGGAAGGTAACTACTGCTCCTAAACTCAACTGCCCTGAAGCCATTCCTCCTAGTACTAAGATTCTTACCAAAAGTTTTCAAATTCATAGGAAAACTGGCTTCTCCAATCATCCAACTAGGGTGGGAAAATGCATCCATTGCCTTCCCTAAACTGGCATAGATTCTGGAAACTCTGGCTTGTGGGCAAGAAATTGAGCAATTTATCTCAGCTGAGGTCCTCTCTAGAGTGATCCACAGGAAGAATAAATATGAAACAGGGCCCAGTAAATCTCTCACCTTCAAACATACATGCAGAACAGGATGACTATCAAATACCTGGAGAGGTGAAAGACAAGAAACCAAGGCTGAGATCTGCTCCTTTGAGCACTCCAGCCTCTTTCCCGCTGCGCAAAGCACAGCTTTGGGTGCTGCAGAGAATTCTAAAATGGAGGAATGTCAACATTTAAATTAATATTACAAAGCAGAATAAAGTAATTATCACAACTGAAGTTCAAGAAAAGGAAGAGACGAGCAAAGAGAAATAAACTGATTCCAACTGGGAGTGTTGAGAAGATGGCATTATTAGAGGTCCAAAACCTTGATCTGAAGACTTAAGAAAGACTGGATGAGGCTGGGCATGCTGGCTCATGCCTGATATCCCAGCATTTTGGGAGGCTGAGGCTGGTGGATCACTTGAGCCCAGGAGTTCGAGGCCAGCCTGGGGAACAGAATGAGACCCTGTTTCCACAAAAAATAGAAAAATTAGCTGGGTGTGGTGGCATGTTCCTGTAGTCCCAGCTACTCCAGAGGCTTCAGTGGGAAGATTCTTGAGTCTAGGAGGTTGAGGCTGCAGTGAGCTGTGATCACCCTACTGCATTCCAGCCTGGACAACAGAGTGAGACCCTGCCTCAAAAAAAAAAAAAAAAAAAAAAAAAAGACATGAAAGAGGTGGAGAGACAAGGACATTCTAGGCTGGGGGAACAAGCTGAGCAAAACCACGATGGAGTGGGTGAGAGCACAGTGTGTTTAAAGGAGAACGAGGGCATTCAGGGTTAGAAGAGGGAATGTGCGCTCAGATCATAGAGGATCCAAGGCAAGGTGAAAAAGTGAGGGAATTACAGATGGAAGGAGTCATTAAATAGTATTGTGGCATAAGTAGGAGGAAGGAAGGAAAAGACAAAAAAAAAAATGCCTAGTGAGAAAAGGGGTTATCCAGGATGGGTAGGGGGACAAAGGAAGAAGACGACTCAGGGAGAGCAGGCCCCAAGGAAGAGTGGGAAGAGGAGCAAGGAAAGTCCATTTTGGAAGCCAGGACACTTGGTTTCTGCAGTTATTTGGTGAGATGTGTCAAGCAGTCTCCATACTCACCTTTATCAAGTTGATGAGGATACTGAAGTCTCGAACAGCCATGTTCCAGTAGAGGAGTTTCTCTTCATGAATCTGGGGCAGCCAAATATATGGGCACCTCTGAGTCACAGCCAAATACTTCCCTTACTGTATTCCCACTAAGATATAGTTCTTGAATTACATAGCTATACAGATATTTAAGCCAATTATCCTTAGATGTAGCAACCAGTGCATCCACAAGATGGTTCTGAGGCCTGCACATGTTGTGGTAACATTAGAACACCTCATAGGGACAGACTTTCTAAAAAGTTTCCTCTTCAGCAATTCCCAAGTAAGTAAAAGCCTTTGCAACATATACTGACCATGTTGGCCAGGCTAGTCTCGAACTCCTGACTTCATGATCCACCCACCTCGGCCTCCCAAAGTGCTGAGATTACAGACGTGCGCCACTGCACCCGGTGGTAGTTGCTGATTCTTCTATGTCTTGGGTCCAAGTTTTCTCCTAAGCTGTTTTTTGTTTTTGTTTTGTTTTGAGTTTCTGAGATTCAGGATTTTTTTTCAAAGAGTTCCTAGTTTAATTTCCTTTCCCTCTAGTTAGAGGTGAGGAATGGGCTCTCTTTTCCTTGGCTACTGCCCAGTTTGCCTCCTGCTAACTGGCATGAGGTAAGCCAGCCTGTTTGAGATACTGTGGATCTTGGCAGCCTGCTAACCAGAACGGAGCTAGACAAGTAAGAGAAAGGGCTAGCATAGGGAAGCAGAGAAGCTACAGCCGGTATATGTTTTTTCTTTTTTTTTTCTTTTTGAGACAGGGTCTGAGTCTGACATCCAGGTTGGAGTGCAGTGGTGCAAACTTGGCTCACTGCAGCCTTTGCCTTCTGGGCTGCACTGGTTTATGCCAGGTGCAGTGGTTTATGCCTATAATCCCAGCACTTTGGGAGGCTGAGGCGGGAGGATTGCTTGAGCCTATGAGTTCAAGACCAGCCTGAGCAACACGACAAAACCCCGCCTCTACTAAAAATAGAAAAATTAGCCGGGCATGGTGGCGTGCACCTGTGGTCCCAGCTATTTGGGAGGCTGACGTGGGAGGATCATCTGAGCCCAGAAGGCAAAGGCTGCAGTGAGCCAAGTTTGCACCACTACACTCCAACCTGGATGTCAGACTCAGACCCTGTCTCAAAAAGAAAAAAAAAAGAAAAAACATATACTGGCTGTAGCTTCTCTGCTTCCCTATGCTAGCCCTTTCTCTTACTTGTCTAGCTCCGTTCTGGTTAGCAGGCTGCCAAGATCCACAGTATCTCAAACAGGCTGGCTTACCTCATGCCAGTTAGCAGGAGGCAAACTGGGCAGTAGCCAAGGAAAAGAGAGCCCATTCCTCACCTCTAACTAGAGGGAAAGGAAATTAAACTAGGAACTCTTTGAAAAAAAATCCTGAATCTCAGAAACTCAAAACAAAACAAAAACAAAAAACAGCTTAGGAGAAAACTTGGACCCAAGACATAGAAGAATCAGCAACTACCACCGGGCGCAGTGGCGCACGTCTGTAATCTCAGCACTTTGGGAGGCCGAGGTGGGTGGATCATGAAGTCAGGAGTTCGAGACTAGCCTGGCCAACATGGTGAAACCCTGTCTCTACTAAAAAATATAAAAATTAGCCGGGTGTGGTGGCGCATGCCTGTAATCCCAGCTATTCAGGAGTCTGAGGCAGGAGAATTGCTTGAACCCAGGAGGTGAGGTTGCAGTGAGCCGAGATCATGCCACTGCACTCCAGTCTGGGCAACAGAACAAGCAAGACTCTGTCTCAGAAAAAAAAAAAAAAAAAAAAAAAAAAAATCAGCAACTTCCAAGTAATCCAAAGTCCACTTCTTGAAGTGACTATTATCTTACTCACCTGCTGCGAGTCTGCTGCTGTGCCAGGCTCAATTTTTTTCACCGTCTTCTCTAGTTCAGCCATCATCACACGGAAGAAAACAACAAAAGTATGCCTAGAAGACGGGAAAAGCATGCGTGCCCACACCATGATGCACTGCTTAGAACTACCTGGGAAGAACCAGGAACCAAAAGTAGCTTCCTTCCCTACCTCTCTAAATGTCCTTTCACTAGGGTCCTTAGTAAGAGGATGGGGGAGCGGAAAGGACTCAGTAATAAGCCCAAGAAGATTGCCTGTCAAACAATGGAATTAACTTTATGAAAGGAGGTGTTATGGTAGTATGGAAAAAGCAATGAAGTAACAGTGAGAAGATCTGAGTTTGAGTCCTGGTTCTATGTTTATTTTATTGCACGTGTAAGCTTGAGAAGTTCTCTAGCTCTCATTTTCCTCAGCAGTAAAATAGGGGCAATGATACCAACCTCACAGAATTATCAAAAGGATCAAATGAGATAAAGTGAAAGTGCTTTATAAACTGAAAAGACTACAAATGTTAAGATAACTATTGATATTCTGAGACACACACCCATTAAGTGAGACATACATGTGAGCACCCTGTTCTCAAGATGGCTAAAATATCTCAGCTGGGCACAATGGCTCATGCCTGTAATCCCAGCACTTTGAGAGGCCGAGGCAGGCAGATCACCTGAGGTTGGGTTCAAGACTAGCCTGGCCAACATGGTGAAACCCAATCTCTACTAAAAATACAAAAATTAGCCGGGTGTGGTGGTGGGTGCCTATAATCCCAGTTACTTGAAAGGCTGGGGTAGGAGAATCGTTTGAACCCAGGAGGTGGAGGTTGCAGTGAGCTGAGATTACGCCACTGCACTCCAGCCTGGGTGACAAGTTTTCTCAAAAACAAAACAAAACAATACAAAACAAAAACCACCATGGTCCTCTCAAATATATTAGCTGAGAGCCCTTGAAAGGAATGCATAACAGACTCTCTTTATTGAATGAATGATTATATCTACTGTCTGTATCAGAATTAGATGAGGAGGAGCAAGGCAGTTGTGTGGAAGCTATATACGTTGGACAGTGTGATTATGATTCTTTTTTTTTTTGAGATGGAGTTTCGCTCTTGCTGCCCAGGCTGGAGTGCAGTGGCGCGATCCCGGCTCACTGCAACCTCCGCCTCCCAGGTTCAAGCAATTCTCCTACCTCAGCCTCCTAAGTAGCTGGGATTACAGGCATGTGCCACCACGCCCGGCTAATTTTTGTATTTTTAGTAGGGACAGGGTTTCACTATGTTGGCCAAGTGGGTCTCAAAACTCCTGACCTCAAGGTGATCCTCCTGCCTCAGCCTCCCAAAGTGCTGGGATTACAGGTGTGTGCCACCGTGCCCAGCCTGATGATGATTCTATCTTAAGGGAAAAACTGGAGGAAAGAACTCCCTTACCTGGTCAGTGTAGGGAATGTGGAGGAAGATGCATCTTTAGGAGAGTTGATCAGTTCTGGGACACCAACACCAGCAATCTCCTCTATGGCCTTCAGAATGCTCTCTGTGTGCTCCAGGTAGATACTGCATTGAGAGTCAAATATTTGACCCACTAATTAACAAAGTAGAATACAACTACAGATTCCTCTAATTCCTCTATGATCTGAATTAACAATAAGCAGTTAGCTAACAGTATAAAACAGAACCAGAGGATCTTAAGATCCACATGTTCCAAATTGTGTTCATTTTTAACCTACTTCATTGTTTTCAAATTCCCACTAAAAAGGTCATTTGTCCAGTCTCTGACAAACAACAGTAGCAAAATAGAAAAAAGCTATTTGGCTCATTGGAAGAAACCAAACATCTCACCAGAGCAGAGCATGGAGCTGGTCATTAGAGATGTTGCTCTTCTCTTTATCCCCACTTGGCCACACCCGACAGAGGAATTGTCTGGCAAGGGAAGCTGTTAGAAAAGAAGACAAAGGAATCTTACATATGGGAACTTGACCTCATTCTTGCTTTTCAGGTTTTTGAGGATGATTATTGATCAAAAGGATTATTAGTTTAGATTTACTAAGACGTTCCCGGTCTAACAGGCAACTTACAAAAAGCTGTCACGTTCCTGATCCACTGGCCCTTTTGCCAGACATAAACTCATTTGCCTAAGGCTCAACACGTCCCACCCCAACCCCATCTTGAAACACACAAACATGCAAACATGAACATAAATACAGACACACAGAGAAAAGGAATGCTGCTGGGCAGTGGGAAGGCCAATCTTGTTCCTCCTGGGCTGGCCAATAGCAGTGGTCACCTCCAAGATTGAGACCAAACCTTCCCCTTTTAATCAATAGGGATAAATAAAGGTTTGTTTTGCATTTTTATCTTGCTTTCTGATGTGCTGCCAACTAGGATGAGCTGCATTCTAAGAGCTACAATAAAAGACAGTTTAAGAAAGAGGCCAGGGCTGGGCACAGTGGCTCACGTCTGTAATCCCAGCACTTTGGGAGGCTGAGGCAGGTGGATCACGAGGTCAGGAGTTCGAGACCAGCCTGACCAACATGGTGAAACCCCGTCTCCACTAAAAATACAAAAATTGGCTGGGCACGGTGGTGCGCACCTGTAATCCCAGCTACTTGAAAGGCTGAGGCAGGAGAATCGTTTGAACCTGGGAGGTAGAGGATTGCAGTGAGCCAACATCGCACCACTGCACTCCAGCCTGGGTGACAGAACGAGACTCTGTCTCAAAAAAAAAGAAAAAGGCCAGGGAAGAGGCCAGTATTTCTTTTATACTTGACCCTGATTTCTCCTTTATTTCCTACTTTATTAACCTCATGATTTATGTCTCGTTTTGTCAAATGTCTCAGATAAATTTTTTTTTTTTGAAAAGGAAGAACATGATTAAACTTAAGCCAAAGAGAAAACTATCTACTCAGCTTGTCTAACCAAACTCAGACTAAGCAATTTTAGCAGAAATCAGTCAGGTTGTTCTGGGAAAATGACCTTCTTGGTATAGCAAGAGGGCCTATCCAAGGTTATGTGGGGATTTACATGTAAAAATGTCCTGGGAAGCCCAAAGTTTGTAAGTGTGAGATATTAGTCCTATTCATTAAAAAAAAAAAAAAAAAAAGGATCTAGGCCCATCACCAATTTTTTCTTTGTTCTGAGCAGAAGCTGTTGATTTCTCCAAAATAACCATCAAAAGTCTGATGAGATAAAGAGCACACTGGAAACTGGGAATGCTTTGATGGAAATTCTGCAAGTAATGGACGCTCTGGCTGTAAGGAGACAAGAAAAACAAACAAATGCAATAGTATCCTATGTGTCACAGATATATTTAAATCCACATGACGTGCCCAAGTCCCTTTCAGTGTTTGACGGCCTAATCAGAATCCTCCTTATTTTCAGGTGCTTTAGTAGCAACCCTCTTCAAGCATCTTGGTAGAAAACCATACCTTTGTATGGAAAAAGCCAGGGCAGAAGACAGCCCCACTGATGGAATGTTGGCCTTGAAGGGGTCATGTATGCTGAGAAACCCAAGCACCACGCTAATATGTACAACCCTAGATAAATTATCTGCTCTTTAAAGCCTTAGGCAATACACTGAAAATAATTTGTAAAATCTGGGTTCACAGGCCGGGCATGGTGACTTATGCCTGTAATCCTAGCACTTTGCTAGGCTGAGACAGGCAGATCACCTGAGCTCAGGAATTAGAGACCAGCCTGGCCACATGTCGAAAACATCTCTACAAAAATATAAAAATTAGTAGGGTGTGTCAGCATGCGCCTGTAATCCCAGCGTCTTGGGAGGCTGAGGCAGTACAATCACTTGAGCCCAGGAGGTGGAGGGTGCAGTGAGCTGGGATCACTCCAGCCTGGGTGACAAAGTGAGACTCTCTCTCAAAGAAAAAAAAAAGAAGATATAAGGTCCTGACCTATAGACAGGGATGATAAGCACTGACTGCTGACCCAGTGATGGTCTAGGTTACCAAGGGAAGTGAGAGAAAGACCAAGTCACTCTGACTGAAGGGGGAGGGGGCCGAAAGCCATGCCCCTGAGATCATGTCACCTCCCTTGTCCACTGCCTACCCCTCAGCCACATAAGGTCTTCCTACAAGACAAGGGGAAAGAAACAGGCTATCAGTGATAACTAGCTGCTGCCTAATTACCCAAATCTGCTGGGAGACAGTAGGTCCCTGGATAATCAAGAGTTGATTACAGATGGTCAATGTTTTCATCATTATTACTTGAAAAGGCTGAGTTTATGGGCTGATGCATTCATGAAGATTTAGCATGATTATTCAAGGTTTCTAATACTTCAGGATTTATCAGAATACATAGATGAGAAAGCTCATATATGAGGAGAGTAGCTGAAAATAATTTCCTTTACAACTACTGAAAGACACCCAGGTTATTTTAAAGAAAGTTGCCAATCCTGTTCCTAGGAGTTTCTTGGGACAACAATCTTGGCTATGTAGTTATGACTCACCTGAGTAGTTCCTCCAAAGGCTGGCTGTGTTCTCCCTGTTTCAGTCGGCTACTAAGGACATGGAGGGCTGAATACAGTAAATTCTGATTTTCAGGTTGAGAAAATCCACTCCTAAGGAAGTCAAGGTAAGAGGGGTTAGCTTAGTTTCTGGAAAACTACTTGGATAGTATTTAAGGATCCTGGCCTCCAGTCTGTACCATCAATAGTTTAACGGTTTGAAAAAAGAATTGAGAGGTCGGGCGTGGTGGCTCACACCTGTAATCCCAGCACTTCGGGAGGCTGAGGCGGGCGAATAACGAGGTCAACACATGGAGACCATCTTGGCCAACACGGTGAAATCCCGTCTCTACTAAAAATACAAAAATTAGCTGGGTGTGGTGGCGGGCACCTGTAGTCCCAGCTACTCCAGAGGCTGAGGCAGAAGAATCGCTAGAACTCGGGAGGTGGAGGCTGCAGTGAGCCGAGATTGTGCCACTGCACTCCAGCCTGGCGACAGAGCGAGACTCCATCTCAAAAAAAAAAAAAAAAGAAAGAAAAAAGAAAAAAGAATTGAAATGGAAAGTACTGAAGTACCAAATTCAATCACAGCTCTAAGTATCAGAGTAGAAACTGAAGTACATCCAAAGTAATCTTTCCTGAAGTCTTCATAGGTTTCTTTTCTTCTTTCCTCTTTCTTTTCACAGGGGTGAGCCACCACGCCTGGGCCATAGGTTTACTTTGAAGGGCAAAAAGCTCTCCTTCATTCCCTATATTTTAGAGATATGTAGTCTTCTTCAAAAATACAGGAATAATTTTGTCAAACTGCTAAATCAATGTCCAGCCCATAGTGGTACTTACCCCTTCTCCTACATTAATGAGTCAAGTCTTGACATTTCTATCTTTGGATTACCTTTCATATTGTCCCTTCCTTTCCAAGCCTAGACCATCATTTTGGCCAGGCCCCTATCAATACATGTGTAGATCATAGTGACACCTTTTGAGTGTTCTTTTTTGCATCCCTTTTCAATCTGTCCTGCACTCTGCTGCCAGAAGTGTTTTCTTAAACCACTGCTTTCATTGTATTATGGCTGTGATCATAAAACTCCAAAATGGCTTCCCTGGACAACATTTAAATTATTCTGCCTGACCTTTGAGGCCCAGCACAATCTGACGTCCTAGATCTTCTCCTCTAGAAGCATCTTCCTGATCACCAGTGATAGTCATTCTTCCTTTCAACAAATGTATTCTGAGGGCCTATTAGGTGTCAGGTTTTTGGTCTACCATAGCTTCAATGAGATATAGTTGATGTACAATACACTTCATGTACTTAAAATGTTGAATTTGGGCCAGGTATGGTGGCTCACGCCTCTAATGCCAGCACTTTGGGAGGCTGAGGCGGGTGGATCACTTGAGCCCAGAGGTTCAAGACCAGCCTGGGGGCAACATGGCGAAACCCCGTCTCTACCAAAGAAAAAAAAAAGGAAAAATCAGCTGGGCATGGTGGTACATGCCTGCAGTCCCAACTGCTTGGGAGGCTGAGGTGGGAGGATTTATAGCCTGGGAGTCAGAGGTTGCAGTGAGCTGTGATTGTGTTACTACACTCCAGCCTGGGCAACAGAGCAAGACCCTGTCTCAGGGAAGAAAAAAAAAAAAGCCAGGTGTAGTGGCTCACACCTGTAATCCCAGCACTTTGGGAGGCTGAGGTGGGTAGATCACGGGGTCAGGAGTTCAAGACCAGCCTGGCCAAGATGGTGAAACCCCGTCTCTACTAAAAATACAAAAATTAGCCAGGTGCAGTGGCAGGCGCATGTAATCTCAGCTATTCAGGAGGCTGAGGCAGAAGAATCGCTTGAACCCGGGCAGCAGAGGTTATAGTGAGCCGAGATCGCGCCACTGCACTCCAGCCTGAGCGACAGAGTGAGACTCTGTCTCTCACACACACACAAAAGCATGGGAAACAAGTTTAGAATATACTATGTAAAACCACAGGCTAAATTGCTCAAAATATTCCTGTACCAGACCCTGGTGGACATACCTTTTTTTTTTTTTTTTTTTTGAGACGGAGTCTTGCTCTGTCGCCCAGGCTGGAGTGCAGTGGTGGGATCTCGGCTCACTGCAAGCTCCACCTCCCGGGTTAAGGCCATTCTCCTGCCTCAGCCTCTTGAGTAGCTGGGACTACAGGCGCCTGCAACCACGCTCGGCTAATTTTTTGTATTTTTAGTACAGACGGAGTTTCACCGTGTTAGCCAGGACGGTCTCGATCTCCTGACCTCATGATCTGCCCGCCTCGGCCTCCCAAAGTGCTGGGATTACAGGCGTGAGCCACTGCGCCTGGTCGGTGGACGTATGCTTTCATTTCCCTTGATTAAATACCTAAGGATGGAATGGCTGAGTCACATGGTAGGTGCATGTCTAGCTTTTTAAGAAACTACCAAACTATTTCCCAATATGGATGTACCATTGTAAAGTCCCCCTAGAAGCATGTGAGAGCTCCAGCTGTTCCACCTTCTCACCAACACTTGGCATGCTAAGTCTTTTTGATGTAGCTATGCTAGTGAGTGTGTTGTGCTATCTCATTGTGCTTTTAATTTGCATTTCCTTAAGAAGTAATAAACATCCTTTCATGTATTTATTTTAATTGTTTTTATAATTTTTAGAGATGGTTTATTTTCTGTGTTAACTTCACTGGGCCATGGGGCCCAGATTTTTTTTTTTTTGAGATGGGGTCTGGTTCTGTTGCCCAGGTTGGAGTGCAGTGTTGCAATCTTGGCTCACTGCAACCTCTGCCTCACAGGCTCAAGCCATCCTGTCACCTCAGCCTCCTGAGTAGCTGGGACTACAGATGCATGCCACCATGCCCAGATAATTTTTGTATTTTTTATGGAGACAGGGTTTTGCCATGCTTCCCAGGCTGGTCTCGAACTCCTGAGCTCAAGTGATCCACCCACCTTGGCCTCCCAAAGTGTTGGGATTACAGGCATAAGCCACGATGTCAGGCCCCTTTCACATGTTTATTTGCCATCTATAAGTCTCTTTGATAAATTGTTCAAAGTTTTTGTCAGGCACTGCTTTTAAGTAATGAGGATATAAAAATGACAGACATCTGCCTTCATGGAGCTCAGAGTCTAGCAGGAAAGACTGATGAACAAGTAATTATAATAAAATGAGATTAAGTTTTATCACGAACGGATACCAGAGTGTTAGAAGAGAACTGGGGGTTAGAGAGGCAGGATGGATGCTTAAGTTCAGATCTCAAGAGATGTGATGAGTCAGAAAAAGCTGGGGATCAAGAAGAGTGGGGGTCCTGGCAGGAGAATGAACATGTGCAAAGCCTCCCACGTAAAAGCTATATAGGGTGCTCAAATTAATTCAGTGAGGCTGGAGGCAGAGTATAACATAATAAGTGGAATAGCAGGAGTCAGAAGAAGACCTAGAGGCTAGGTAAGAGAGTTTTAACTCAAGAAAAATCTAAGAGCAATCAGAAATCAAAATTGGGATAGGATCAAACTGGGTTTATGTTAGGAAGATCACTCTTACTGCCATGTGAAGAATGGACTGAGAGAGGCCAAGTGTGAACCTAGCCCAGTCCAGGTTGAGAGATAATGGGAGTCTGGAAGCAGTGGAGAAACAGGGACAGATGGCTATCTAGATGTTATTTATAACAGAAAATAAAATCAACAGGATTTGGCAATCAGATGTGGGAAAAAGACGGTGGAGAGCAGAGGGAGGGACAAAGAATAACTCCTGGTTTCTGGTTCAGGCAACTGGTGGTACCATTTACTAAGCCAGGCAAAGCTGAAGGAGCATGCTAGGGATGACATATTCCATTTTGGATGTGGAGTGTGAGGTGTCAATGCCACATCTAAGGAGGTGTTGCGTAGGCAGTTGGATATAAATGCCTATAGCTCAGAAAATAAATTTTGGCTAAATTTAAGCTTGGGTAGGATTGACCAGAAATCTTGTATAATGAGAACAGAGAGCCCAACGCCTGTCCCTGAGGAACAAAAGTATTTAAGGGGCACACCTCCCTTAGTTCTACTTTTGTCCATGTTGTACCTTCCACTTCCTTCCGTTATCTCTCTAAAGGCCATGTACCCTTCTGGGGTTCCCTTGAGTCCCACTGTTTCCATGAAGGTATCATGGAATAGCCCAGCTCACAGTGTTCAGCTCATCACCAAACAATCTGGAATTAAAGCATGCTAAAGGAAACTGGACTAAGGAACAGATGGCCACATCTGTTATCAGCTCATCAGCAAGTCACCTAATCTGTCAAATGGGTTAACATAGTGGCTCCAAAGGACTCAGAGGGTACAAGATCAAATGAAATAATACAGACAAAAACACTCCCACAAAATTAATGAACCATATTCACATAAGATTTTTGAACCTTTTCTTTCTTTTCTACATTTCAGTGCCTTGGTGACTGTCAAATAAAAGCAAGTATATACTCAGTTCTCTCCACACTTCCCACATACTTACCAAGCAAAAAGCCCATGAAAAATCTGCAGCAGCCTCTGATAGCAGGAAGACATTATGTGGTACTCCTGAACTTTCACTCCTGGTCCATCAACTACACCGTGATTCTCAGCAGCTAAACACTAAAAATAAAAATGATTTTAGGACAGTTGCTTCAGTAATTGTCCTCATTTTCCTTTTTCTCAGCCAAAAATGAAACCTCATATTTGCTTAGCAGCTTCTAAGTCTAGGCTTCTGACCTGAAAATAGTTGTGAATGTTCTCCAGGTGGTTACACATTGGGGTCAGCAGTTGAAAAACACAATGAACAATTTCTTGGGCAGATCTCTGTTGGAGATGTGAGAATCCAATATTCCGGCTTCCTTTGTTCTATAATAAATGCAGAGTTATGAGTGAAGAAACTGCTGGATAGCGTCTCAGAAACTAAGGGTTCGCAATGGAGTCAAGTCAAACCTGTGTCACCAGGTAGGAGCAGATGGGAGAAATGAGTTGTTAACCTAAGACTGTATTCTGACAGAGGGATAAAAATCTTGCTCCATCTTCCAATGACTGAGAGATTGGCTTTTGTAGAGTAGGAACAGTGTTTGATTGAGACATATAGCCCTATCATAACTAATCAGATAAAGGTCACATAAAAGTAGAAATCATTTAGGTTGACAAATGTAGGGCAATAGACTCCTTCTTATAATTTTTTTTTTGAGGCAAGGTTCTGCTCTGTCACCCAGGCTGGAGTGCAGTGGCACGATCACAGCTCACTGCAGCCTTGAATTCCTGGGCTCAAGTGATCCTCTCACCTCAGCCTCCTGAGTATCTGAGACCACAGGCACATGCCAACAAACATGGCTAGTTTTTGTATTTTTTATAGAGATGGGGTTTAACCACATTAACCAGGCTGGTCTCAAACTCCTGAGCTCAAGCAATCCACCCATCTTGGACTCCCAAAGTGTTGGGGTTAAAGGCGTGAGCCACTGTGCCCTGCCTCCCTATTATAATTGAAAAACAAACAAACAAAAAAATGTAGAAGCCTGGGCAACATGCTGAAACTCTTCTTTACAAAAAATACAAAAATTAGCTGAGTGCGGTGGCACATGCCTGTGGTCCTAGCTACTCAGGAGGCTGAGATAGGAGGATTACTTGAATCCCGGAGGTGGAGGTTGCAGTGAGCCAAGATTGTGCCACTACACTCCAGCCTGGGCAACAGAGCAAAGCCCTGTCTCAAAAAGTAGACCCGATAGTGAATACAAAGAAGAATGAATTGCTGGGCACTGTAGCTCTTGCCTGTAATCCTAGCACTTTGGGAGGCCAAGGCGGGTGGATCATGAGGTCAAGAGATCAAGACAATCCTGGCCAACATGGTGAAACCCCATCTTTACTAAAAATACAAAAATTAGCTGGGTGTGGTGGCGTGCACCTGTAGTCCCAGCTCCTCGGGAGGCTGAGGCAGGAGAATCGCTTGAACCCAGGAGGCGGAAGTTGCAGTGAGCCAAGATCAAGCCACTGCACTCCAGCCTGGCAACAAAGCAAGACTCCGCCTCAAAAAAAAAAAAGAAGACGAAGAAGAAAAATGAATCAAGAAACCAAGAAACGGGATATATTAATGTTTAAATGCTTATACCCAAGACCCAAGATTTTCTCATTTTGTTATATGTACCGTCCAACTGCTTCCCCGGATGCTAGGTGCACGTTTGTACACTGTATACACATCTGAAGTTCTGGACGTTCTAGACAGCTTACTACTACACTGAGGCATGGGCCCAGGCTTGGTTTGGGAGGCTGTTGAAACCAAAATTCAAGTAAAGAACAGGATTCAGGAATGTTCAGGGCATTTAGAAATACATTTCGTAGGCTGGGCGCAGTGCTCACGCCTATAATCCCAGCACTTTGGGAGGCCGAGGTGGGCGGATTGGGAGGCCGAGGTGGGCGGATCATGAGGTCAGGAGTTCGAGATCAGCCTGATGAACATGTTAAAACCCCATCTCTACTAAAAATACAAAAATTAGCTGGGTGTGGTGGCGCGCGCCTGTAGTCCCCAGCTACTCAGGAGGCTGCAGCAGGAGAATCGCTTGAACCCAGGAGGCAGAGGCTGCAGTGAGCCGAGATTGCACCACTGCACTCCAGCCTGGGAGACACAGCGAGACTCCGTCTCAAAAAAAGAAATACATTTCTTATTCCAAGTGCCTTTCTATTTTCTGTTTCAGACTTCCTATTTTTTTTTTTTTATTTCTGAGACAGAGTCTTGTTCTAATGCCCAGGCTGGAGTGCAGTAGCATGATCTTGGTTCACTGCAGCGTCTGCCTCCTGGGTTCAATCAAGTCTTCTGCCTCAGCCTCCCAAGTACCTGGGACTACAAGCATGCGCCACCATACCTGGCTAATTTTTTTTGTATTTTTAGTAGAGACAGGCTCTTGCCACGTTGGCCAGGCTGGTCTCAAACTCCTGACCTCAGGTGATCCACCTGCCTCGGCCTTCCAACGTGCTGGAATTACAGGTGTGAACCACTGCACAGGTAGACTTTTTTTTTTGTTTGAGACGAAATCTGTCACCCAGACTGGAGTGCACTGGTGCAATCTCAGCTCACTGCAACCTCCTCCTCCCCATGCCTCAGCCTCCCAAGTAGCTGGAACTATAGCTGCACCACCATGCCCGGCTAGTTCTTTTTGTATTTTTAGTAGAGATGGGGTTTCACCATGTTGGCCAGGCTGGTCTTGAACTCCTGAACTCAAGTGATCTGCCCTCCTTGGCCTCCCAAAGTGCTGGCATTACAGGCGTGAGCCACCACGCCCAGCCTTCAGACTTCCTATTTAAAGCAAGATGAGGCCGGGCGCGGTGGCTCATGCCCGTAATCCCAGCACTTTGGGAGGCCAAGGTGGGCGGATCACAAGGTCAGGAGATTGAGACCATCCTGGCTAACACGGTGAAACCCCGTCTCTACAAAAAATACAAAAAATTAGCCAGGCGTGGTGGCAGGCACCTGTAGTCCCAGCTACTCGGGAGGCTGAGGCAGGAGAATGACATGAACCCGGGAGGCGGAGCTTGCAGTGAGCCGAGATCACACCACTGCACTCCAGCCTGGGCGACAGAGCGAGACTCCATCTCTAAATAAATAAATAAATAAATAAAGCAAGATGAATATTGTCTGGCAATACGGCTGCACCCATGCTACCCAGTGACCCAAACACAATGCCAAAGAAAGTGACAACTTTTTCATCATAATACCTCCTTTGTTCCCAAATCCACTATGCCCAAGTCCTATGCTTCTGCCTACACTAACCTTGAGAAAGGGGACTCTCCTGGCAATAGGAGGTGTCAGCATACTCTCCAGCTTCTGGGAGAGATCTTCCAGCAAGAAAAGCAGCTCAGGGGGCCCAAGTTGCACAACTTCTGTAGCCTGTCACATGGAGGAAAGGATTAGTTCCAGGAATGTCCTAGTCATTTCATGATAATTTTTTTTCTTTCTTTTTTGTTAAATGTGCAGTGGCAAGATCATAGCTATTCCAGCCTTGAACTCCTGGGCCCAAGTTATCCTCCCATCTCAGCCTCCCGAGTAGCGGGGACTATAGGCACACACAACCATGCCCAGCTACATTTTTTTTTTTAATTAATAAGAAATGAGGTCTCACTATATTGCCCAAGCTGGTCTCAAACTCCTGGGCTCAGATGATCCTTCTGCCTTGGCCTCCCAATATGCCAGGATTACAGGTATGAACCACCACACCTGGGCCCAGCGAATTTTTAAATTTTTTTATACAGACGGGGTCTCACTTTGTTGCCCAGGCTGGTTTCAAACTCCTGGGCTTGAGCAATCCTCCTGCCTTGGCCTCCCAAGGTATTGGGATTATGGACAGGCATGAGCCACCACACCTGGCTATTTCATGTTAATACTTCCCAATGGGTGAAAAAAAAATTTTTTTTTTGAGACAGAGTCTTGTTCCGTCACCCAGGCTGGAGGGCAGTGGCATGATCTTGGCTCACTACAACCTCTGCGTCCCAGGTTCAAGCAATTCTCCTGCCTCAGCCTCCCAAGTAGCTGGCATTACAGGTGCCCACCACCATGCCTGACTAATTTTTGTATTTTTAGTAGAAATGGGTTTCATCACGTTGGCCAGGCTAGTCTCAAACCCGACCTCAGGTGATAACGCCTGTCTCAGCCTCCCAAAGTGCTGTGATTAGAGGCGTGAGCCACTGCGCCCAGCAGGGTAAATAATTTGACTTTTATTTATTTATTTACTTATATTTGAGACAGGGTCTCGCTCTGTTGCTCAGGCTGGAGTGCAATATTGTGTTCACAGCTCACTGCAGCCTCAACCTCCTGGACTCAAGTGATGGTCCCACCTCAGCCGCCCAGGTAGCTGGGATCACAGGTGTGCGTCACCATGCCTGGCTACTTTTTTTTTTTAACTTTTTGTAGAGACAGGTCTCACTGTGTTACCCAGGCTGGTCTCAAACTCCCAGTACTTTGGGAGGTCAAGGCAGGCAGATCATTTGAGGTCAGGAGTCTGAGACCAGCCTGGCCAATGTGGTGAAATCCCATCTCTACTAAAAATACAAAAATTAGCTGATGTGGTGGTGGGCACCTGTAATCCCAGCTGCTTGGGAGGCTGAGGCAGAAGAATCGCTTGAGCTCAGGAGGCAGAAGAATCACTTGAGCTCAGGAGGCAGAGGCTGCAGTAAGCCAAGATCGTGCCACTGCACTCCAGACTGACGGACAGAGCAAGACTCCGTCTCCAACAAACAAACAAACAAATAAAAAAACTAGCCGGGTGTAGTGGGGCATGCCAGTGGCCCTAGATACTTGGAAGGCTGAGGTGGGAGGATCACTTGATCCTTGAACCCAGGAGTTCAAGGTTGCAGTGAGCTATGATCTTGCCACTGCACTTCAGCCTGGGTGACAGAGCAAGACTCTGTCTCTAAAAAGAAAAAAGAGGCAAGGGAGGAAACTGCACCCATCTCATATAAAGGATAGCTATTATGCTCTGTCATATAATAAAGTCAAGCATGTCCAAAATAAATATTCAGAATAGTAAAATAATAATTCAAGACAGGATAGTTTAGAAGACATACTTTTTCTCTATAAATTCCTCTGTATACCTTTCTAGTTGTGGATCCAAGATGCGTTTCCTAAATATCCTGTGATTTAAAAAATGACTTTGAATGCCACACACAGGGTTTGGGAAAAAAAAAAAAGACTAATTCAAGGGAATTTCCCTTTTGTCTGTTCATTAAATAATCCTTTCATACTTGTTTTCCTCTAATGTTTTGCTACTATTAACTCTGGGCAGGACCCCAGAGTGATCCCAGTGGAATAGCTATATTACACTGCTAGAAGCAGAATGGGTGAAATACAGTCTCACTGCAAACTGCTCACTCAATACACATTTATGTGGCATCTCCTAAGGGCAAGATGATGTAGAAAGATTAAAAAAAAAAAAAAAAGATATGGCTGGGCGCAGTGGCTCACACCTGTAATCCCAACACTTTGGGAGGCCAAGGCGGGCGGATCACGAGGTCAGGAGATCGAGACCATCCTGGCTAACAACGGTGAAACCTCGTCTCTATTAAAAATACAAAAAATTAGCCAGGCATGGTGGCAGGCACCTGTAGTCCCAGCTACTTGGGAGGCTGAGGCAGGATAATGGTGTGAACCCGGGAGGCGGAGCTTGCAGTGAGCCAAGATCCCACCACCGCACTCCAGCCTGTGCAACGCAGCGAGACTCCATCTCAAAAAAAAAAAAAAAAAAAAGGATACTATTTCTGTTCTGAAGGTACCTACATTCGTGTAAATTTCAGGTGAAAATTAATGCTATTTCAATTTCTCTTAAACCTAGAGAAATTCTACTCTCTGATGAAATCCCATCTCAAAAGTTACTTTATCTGTGAAAATGTCCTCTACTCCCAACTTCTATATAAACATCATTCTCTCACTAGAGTTTCACTAGTCCTTGGTTCAGACCATTAATGCCGTATTTGGCATCAATAAAGCTATGGGGCCGGGCACGGGGGCTTGCGCCTGTAATCCCAGCACTTTGGGAGGCCAAGGCGGGTGATCACGAGGTCAGGAGATCGAGACCATCCTGGCTAACATGGTGAAACCCTGTCTCTATAAAAAATGTACAAAAAATTAGCCGGGTGTGATGGCGGATGCCTATAGCCCCAGCTACTCAGGAGGCTGAGGCAGCAGAATGGCGTGAACCCGGGAGGCAGAGCTTGCAGTGAGTGGAGATCCGCGCCACTGCACTCCAGCCTGGGCGACAGAGAGAGACTCCATCTCAAAAAAAAAAAAGAAAATAATAATAATAAAGCTACCGTATTGCTAGCTATTTCCACTTCTTTGATTAGATTAGAAGTTATTTGAAAGCAAGCATGATGCTCTATGTACTACTGAAATGCAAGTGCTTTGATTAGTGGCAAACACAAAATAGGACTCAGTAAGCAACTGTCAGGTGCTGAACAAATGTTGTGAAAAAGTGAAAAGGGCATTGACTTCTAAGAACCAGAAGAGTGCTCCTCTACAAAAATAATCTAGGTAGCTTATTAGTAGTAGTAGTAGTAGTAACCTAAATGTAAGGATTACATCATTGGCATGATATTTTATAATGTCTGACACATTATTACAAACCTTATGACTTACAAACACCAGTATGAGGATGATTATTCATCATTGCTTTCACATATAAAGGCTTTAAAAGTCAGTCTAACTTCTCTCCTCAGTGTCACAGTGTTCTTTGTGAAATAAGAATAGACCTGAGGAACTTTCTGAAAGAAGATTAAATTCTGAGATCCTAGCCTGTCACTTACTTCAGTGTGCATTTCAGTATCTAAGATGAACTTCGTCACAAGTCCACAATGTAGAATAGAGAAGACCTCAATGTCCAGCTCTCGGAAAAAAGCATGGGAATTATGTAGTAACAATGATGTCTTTTCTTCCTTCCCTGTGAACTCCTATGGGGAAGTCACAGCAACAAAGAGAATATATAAATCTTCTATATTAATCGAATTTTAATAAAAACTTCAAAGTACAAATATGCATTTATTTAATGCAAAAAATTACATTTTCATTATAATAACAACTTCCTCTAGCCCAAGTCCCTAAATATTCCCAAGACAGAGCACCTAATTTAAGATGGGGATACAAGTCACACATCAAGACCCTTAACAGGTCATCTATTTAGGGATGATCTATTAGGCAAATCAAGGCATTTAGGTCTAGTACAGAAAACTGTGAGCTGGCCAGGTGTGGTGGTTCATGCCTGTAATCCCAGGACTTTGGGAGGCTGACGTGGGTGGATCACGAGGTCAGGAGTTTGAGACCTGCCTGGCCAAGATGGTGAAACCCCGTCTCTACTAAAAATACAAAAATTAGCTGGCTATGGTGGTGCATACCTGTAATCCCAGCTACTTGGGAGGCTGAGGCAGGAGAATCGCTTGAACCCGGGAGGTGGAGGTTGCAGTGAGCCAAGATCGTGCCACTGCACTCCAGCCTGGGTGACAGAGTGAGACTCCATCTCAAAAACAAAAAACAAAAAACAAAAAACTGTGAGCTTAGGGGCCAGAATGATCTGGCTTCAAACCCCAGCTCCAGCATTTATTAACTGTGTGACTTTGGGCAAGTCACTTGCCCTCCCTGGATCTTAGTTTCCTCCTTTATTAAATGTGGTATTAATATGAAACTTGGGCTCTTACAGAAACTATACCTAATAAATATACAATAAATGGTGGCTGATCAACAGAAATAATTGGGATCCATGTGGCCCAGGCAATTTCAAACACATGAAACTCATTCTACGAACAGTACAAATGTAAAGTAAAAGGGAACTACTGATAATCAAGTACCTCAAGAGAGAATTCAATGTACTGCTGGGGTACAAAAAAGGGAGTAAAACAGTCAAGAAAATAATTAGAAAAAACAGTCAACAGTGTGTGGCAGGAATAAGGACCTGAAGTCTAATCTGAACTTTGCTACTAAGGAGATTACTCCAACGCCTAAGAGAGTTTTGGCTCGCTGTTTCCTAATTTTTTTTTCTTTGTAAAATGCCGAGAATAAAGCTGGGTTTCTGTTAATCTCACTGGGATGTCACAAACCTTCACGGATACCCATCATTCCAATACCTTGTTTAGCTGGCCTCTATGAGATGGCGTAGGGTCACATTCTGAATTTTTCTCTTCTGAAAGTGTGTCAGAGGAGGATGTCTTGCTGCCATCTGTTTTTTGTTTCCTTTCTTTTATATTAAAAAGAGAAAAGTGACTCAAGTAATTAATAATCATGTTTGCCAAATATCATTGCCCTCAGAAAACAACCTGTTGGAAACTGCCTAGAGGTAGAAGAGGTAATTTTATAACCCTAAATTACAGTATATTTATAAATCTAATAAAGGAAGAGTTCAGTTATACAATTGTTCCAATTACTGATGCCATGATACACATAACTTTTAGGTTAATTCAATGAAGCTTATTTAGAGACACAAGACAAGAGGAAAAGAACATACTTACCTATTTTTCCTTTCTTTCTGATTTTTGCTGAAATAGCAGTAACAGTATGAGGTGTTATATCTAAAGTTTCCACATCAAAGTTTCCAAGAGGAGGGACATAGTCTGGGGTGACTGAAACAAACAGCAGGCTGAAGCTCAATGTGTACCAATTACACACCACCATTAGACTTGAAATTCAGTCACTCCATTGGCTAAAAACTAGTTTCCAAAATTACCAAGCATGGCTGAATGCTTATAAGACATATTCAAGTCATCTGACATTGTTTTGGCATAGCAAAATGGCCAGAGATAACACAGAAATATCATATTAAGTATGATCAATTATCATAAAACCACTTTAAATAATGATATATAACTAACAAACAGAAAAAAACTAAAACAAACATTTAAAATCTAAATGGTGGCCAGGCAGGGTGGCTCGCGCCTGTAACCCCAAGCACTTTGGGAGGTCAAGGCGCGCGGATCACCTGAGGTCAGGAGTTTGAGACCAGCCTGGCCAACATGGTGAAACCCTATCTCTACCAAAAATACAAAAATGAGCCAGGTGTGCTGGCAGACGCCTGTAATCCCAGCTACTTGGGAGGCTGTGGCAGGAGAATTGCTTGAACCCAGGAGGCAGAGGTTGTAGTAAGCAGAGATCGCACCACCACACTCCAGCCTGGGCGACAAAGCAAGCCTCTGTCTCAAAAAAAAAAAAAAAAGGGAAAGGTATATATATATTTATGGCGCACATGAGATATTTTGATACAGGTACACAATGTATAATAATCACATGAGGGTAAATGGGGTATCCATCACCTCAAGCATTTATCATTTCTTTGTGTTACAAACAATCCAATTATACTATTTTAGTTATTTTTAAATGTACAGTAAGTTATTGTTGACTGTAGTCACCCTGTTGTGCTATCAAAAACTAGATCTTGGCTGGGCTCTCTGGCTCATGCCTGTAATCCCAGCACTTTGGGAGGCCGAGGAAGGTGGATCACTTGAGGTCAGGAGTTCGAGACAAGCCCGGCCAACACGGTGAAACCCCATCTGCACCAAAAGTACAAAAATTAGCTGGGTGTGGTGGTGCACACTTCTAGTCCCGGCTACTCAGGAGGCTGAGGCAGGAGAATTGCTTGAACCCAGGAGGCAGAGGTCGCAGTAAGCCGAGACTGTGCCACTGCACTCCAGCCTGGGTGACAGAGCGAGACTCCATCTCAAAAATACAAAAACAACTAGATCTTATTCATTCTATCTAATTATATTTTTGAAGCTATTAACCACCCTCATTTTTCCCAGTCCCCCAACCACCATTACCCTCCCCAGCCTCTGGTAACCATACTTCTACTCTATCTCCATGAGTTAAATTATTTTAATTTTCAGCTCCCACAAATATGTGAAAATATGTTGTGCCTGGCCTATTTCACTTAACATAATGTCCTCCAGTTCCATCTGTATTGTTGCAAACAACAGGATCTCATTGTTTTTTATGGCTGAATAGTACTCCATTGTGTATACGGACCACATTTTATCCATTCACCCGCTGATGGACACTTAGGTTGCTTCCAAATCTTGACTATTGTGAATAGTGCTGCAATAAACATGGGAGTGCAGATATCTCCTTGGTATACTGATTTCCTTTCTTTTGGGTATATACCTACCAGTGGCATTCCTGGATCATATGGTGATTCTATTTTTAGTTTTTTGAGGAAACTCCAAACTGTTCTCCATAGTGCTTGTACTAATTGACATTCCCACCAACAGTGTACAAAGGTTCTCTTTTCTCCATATTCTCACCAGCATCTGTTATTGCCTGTCCTTTGGATAAAAGCCATCTTTTTTTTTTTTTCTTTTTTTCTTTTTTTTTTTTTATCGATCATTCTTGGGTGTTTCTCGCAGAGGGGGATTTGGCAGGGTCATAGGACAATAGTGGAGGGAAGGTCGGCAGATAAACAAGTGAACAAAGGTCTCTGGTTTTCCTAGGCAGAGGACCCTGCGGCCTTCCGCAGTGTTTGTGTCCCTGGGTACTTGAGATTAGGGAGTGGTGATGATTCTTAACAAGCATGCTGCCTTCAAGCATCTGTTTAACAAAGCACATCTTGCACCGCCCTTAATCCATTTAACCCTGAGTGGACACAGCACATGTTTCAGAGAGCACAGGGTTGGGGGTAAGGTCACCGATCAACAGGATCCCAAGGCAGAAGAATTTATCTTAGTACAGAACAAAATGAAAAGTCTCCCATGTCTACTTCTTTCTACACAGACACGGCAACCATCCGATTTCTCAATCTTTTCCCCACCTTTCCCCCCTTTCTATTCCACAAAACCGCCATTGTCATCCCGGCCTGTTCTCAATGAGCTGTTGGGTACACCTCCCAGACGGGGTGGTGGCCGGGCAGAGGGGCTCCTCACTTCCCAGTAGGGGCGGCCGGGCAGAGGCGCCCCTCACCTCCCGGACGGGGCGGCTGGCCGGACAGGGGGCTGACCCCCCCCACCTCCCTCCCGGACCGGGAGGCTGGCCCGGCAGAGGAGCTCCTCACTTCCCAGTAGGGGCGGCTGGGCAGAGGCGCCCCTCACCTCCCGGACGGGGCAGCTGGCCGGGCGGGGGGCTGACCCCCTGACCTCCCTCCCGGACGGGGCGGCTGGCCTGGCGGGGCCTGACCCCCACCTCCCTCCCGGACGGGGTGGCTGCCGGGCGGAGACGCTCCTCACTTCCCAGACAGGGTGGCTGCCGGGCGGAGGGACTCCTCACTTCTCAGATGGGGCGGCTGCCGGGCAGAGGGGCTCCTCACTTCTCAGACGGGGCGGTTGCCGGGCGGAGGGTCTCCTCACTTCTCATACGGGGCAGCCGGGCAGAGACGCTCCTCACCTCCCAGACGGGGTCGCGGCCGGGCAGAGGCGCTCCTCACATCCCAGACGGGGCGGTGGGGCAGAGGCGCTCCCCACATCTCAGACGATGGGTGGCCGGGCAGAGACGCTCCTCACTTCCTAGATGGGATGGCGGCCGGGCAGAGACGCTCCTCACTTTCCAGACTGGGCAGCCTGGCAGAGAGGCTCCTCACATCCCAGACGATGGGCGGCCAGGCAGAGACGCTCCTCACTTCCCAGACGGGGTGGCGGCCGGGCAGAGGCTGCAATCTCGGCACTTTGGGAGGCCAAGGCAGGTGGCTGGGAGGTGGAGGTTGTAGCGAGCCGAGATCACGCTACTGCACTCCAGCCTGGGCACCATTGAGCACTGAGTGAACCAGACTCCGTCTGCAATCCCGGCACCTCGGGAGGCTGAGGCTAGCGGATCACTCGCGGTTAGGAGCTGGAGACCGGCCCGGCCAACACAGCGAAACCCCGTCTCCACCAAAAAAGTACGAAAACCAGTCAGGCGTGGCGGCGCGCGCCTGCAATCGCAGGCACTCGGCAGGCTGAGGCAGGAGAATCAGGCAGGGAGGTTGCAGTGAGCCGAGATGGCAGCAGTACAGTCCAGCTTTGGCTCGGCATCAGAGGGAGACGGGAGAGGGGGAGGGGGAGGGGGAGGGGGAGAGGCATCTTAACTAGGGTGAGATGACATCACATGGCAGTTTTGATTTGCATTTCTCTGAGGCTCAGTGATGTTGAGCACCTTTTCACATATCCACTATTTGTATGTCTTCTTTTGAGAAATGTCTATTCAGACCTTTTACCCATTTTTCAATCCGAATAATTTTTTTTCCTATCTTTATATATTCCAGTTATTAGTCCCTTGTCAGATACATAGTTTGCAAATATTTTCTCGCATTCTGTGGGCTGTCTCTTCACTTTGGTGTTTCCTTTGCTATGCAGAGGAAAGGAACTTAACTTTTTAACTTAATGTGATCCCATTTGTCCATTTTTGCTTTGGTTGCCTGTGCTTGTAGGGTATTCCTCAGGAAATCTTTGCCCACTCTAATGTCCTGAAGAGTTTTCTGAATGTTTTTTGTTGTTGTTGTTAGTAGTTTCATAATTTGAAGTCTTAGATTTAAGTCTATAATCCATTTTGATTTTTGTATATGGCAAGAGATAGGGGTCTAGTTTCATTCTTCTGCATATGGATATCCAGTTTTCCCAACACCATTTATTGAAGAGAGTGTCTTTCCCCAATGTATATTCTTGGCACCTTTGCTGAGAATGAGTTCATTGTAGGTGTATGGACTTATTTCTGGGCTCTCTTCTGTTCCATTGGTATATGCATCTGTTTTTGTGCCAGCACCATGCTGTTTTGGTTACTATAGCTCTGTAGTATAATTTGAAGTCAGGTAATGCGATTCCTCCAGTTTCATTCATTTTACTCAGGACAGCTTTGGCTATTCTGGGTCTTCGGTGGTTCTATATAAATTTTAGGCTTTTTTTTTTTCTATTTCTGTGAAGAATGTCATTGGTATTTTAATAGGGATTGCCTTGAATCTGTAGATTGTGTTGGGTAGCATGGAAATTTTAACAATATTAATTCTTCCGATCCATGAACATGAAGTATCTTTCCTTTTTTTATTTGCTCTTTAATTTCTTGCATCAATGTTTCATAGTACTCATTATAGTGCTCTTTCACTTCTTTGGTTAAGCTTATTCCTATTTTATTTGTAACTTTTGTTTATTTTATTTGTAGCTATTGTAAATGGATTACTTTCTTGATTTTTTTCAGATTCTTAGTTGTTGGCATACAGAAATGCTACTCATTTTTATATGATGATTTTGTATCTTGCAACTTTACTGAATTTATCTAATAGTTTTTTGGTGGAGTCTTTAGGCTTTTCCAAATATAAGATCATATCATCTGCAAACAAGGATAATTTAACATCTTCCTTTCCAATTTGGATGCCCTTTCTTTCTTTCTCTCTCTTGTCTAATTGTTCTAGCTAGGACTTCCAATACTGTATTTTATAATAGTGGTATTATATAAGTGGGTATCCTTGTCTTGTTCAGATCTTAGAGGAAAGGCTTTCAGTTTTTTTCTGTTCAGTTTAATAGTAGCTATGGATCTATACCCAGTTTTCTGAGGGTTTTTTATGATGAAAGGATGTTGAATTTTATAAAATTTTTTTAAGCATCAATTTAAATATCATGTGGTTTTTGTCCTTCATTCTGTTGATAGGAGGTATCACATTGATTTACATATGTTGAACAATCCTTGCATCCCTGGGATAAATCATCCCATTTGGCCATGATGAATAATCTTTCTTTTGTTTGTTTTTGAGATGGGAGTCTCGCTCTGTCACCCAGGCTGGAGTGCAGTGGCACAATCTTGGCTCACTGCAACCTCCGCCTCCCAGGTTCAAGCGATTCTCCTGTCTCAGCCTCCCAAGTAGTTGGGATTACAGGTGCCCACAACCACGCCTGGCTAATTTTTGTATGTTTAGTACAAACAGGGTTTCACCATGTTGGCCAGGCTGGTCTCGAATTCCTGACCTCAAGTGATCCACCCGCCTTGGCTTCCAAAAGTGCTAGGATTACAGGCGTGAGCCACCTCGTGCCCAGCTGATATTTTTAATGTGTTGCTGAATTAGGTTTGCTAGTATTTTGTTAGGATTTTTGTATCAATGTTCATCAGGGATATTGGCCTGAGATTTCTTTTTTTGATGTGTCTTTGTCTGGTTTTGGTATCAGGGAAAGCTAAGTGCTTTATTGCCTCACTACTGGCCTAGTAGTACTACCAGTATAGGACACTTCTCTTACCTGCCAAGTACTTTTCCAGGATTATTTGCAATTCTACAATGTGCTTTAACCGAGTGAGCACCTTCCCCTTCATCTCAGGTGATGTTTCCTGGCAGAAGGCATTTACAATCTGCAAAGTACAAATTACATTCTCATACTTCCAAATGTTCAGATTTTAACCTTGTTTATATTATTTATCCAGAGCTGAGAGATGTCTATGAAAAGCAAGATCTTTGAGTTTAGTCTGTAATAGAACTGTCCTCAACAACGTGGTATACAGAAAAAAAATCTCTGGCCCAAAATATAGGAGATTCAGCCAGGCGTGGTGGCTCATGTCTGTAATCCCAGCACTTTGGGAGGCTGAGGCAGGAGGATCACTTGAGGCCAGGAGTTTGAGACCAGTCTGGCCAACATGGTGAAAGCCCATGTCTACCAAAAATACAAAAATTAGCTGGGCATGGTGGCACACATCTGTAATCCCAGCTACTAGGGAGGCTGAAGAAGGAGAATTGCCTGAACCTGGGAGGCGGAGGTTGCAGTGAGCCGAGATTGAGCCACCGCACTCCAGCCTGGGTGACAGAGCAAGACTCTGTCTCAAAAAAACAAAAAACAAAGGAGATTAGGCTTGTGACCCTAGTTTTACTTATTACTAGTTATGTTACAAGGTGGAATAGCCAGACAGCACACAATTTGGTGAAACAAGTTCTATACTGCTACTTACTGTGTGACCTTGGCTGAGTCTTTAACCTTTCTAAGTATTTCTTCATAAAGAAATGAGTCCAGCACTTGGTACAGTGTAAGTACTTAAAAATTTTTAATGACTTTGAACTCCCTATTGAAATTCGTATGTGTAAAATGAGGACAATAGCTATCCTGCCCGTATCATAATAGAGATGTGGTAATCAAATAAGCTCATTCAAGTGCACAAACATTCCTGAAATAATATCAGAGAGGAAGACAGTGAGGTAGAGATATAAGATGTTGCCATCATTGTCATTATCACCAAACACAAATACATTCTAATGGGAGGGAAACTACCACCACTCACTGAATCAAAACAGTAGGCATATGCCTGTGCCAGGACGAACAGTAGTTCCACAGTGAAGGTGAGAAGGTCATTCTAGGGAGAAGGCAGCTTGGAGAAAATAAAGCATGGGCAATGTGAAGTGAATTCTAAGTATTCTCATTTGGCTACCTAAGGAGGTTCATATAACTGGGGAGTGGTGGGACATAACAGCTAGAGAAGCACACGGGGGTTAGTGCTTGGTGAAGACTTCTAGGGAGTCTTGTGGGAACTAAGAAAATAGTTTTGAGAAAAACTATGCACAATAAGTGAAACATCCTATTAACTCTGCTCACCTCTCGGAACCAGTTGAGAGTAAGAAATATGAGAGAACACATGAATGAACGCTCTTTAGCAGACATGGACTCCAACTTCTCTCCAGGCTCCAGGTCAGTTAGGAATATAGGACAATCTGAGAGAGAACAAACATTTCCAACTACCTTTAGTGCAAGCCAATAAAACCTGGAGGTTGCCTCTGGAGCTAGCTGTCCTTGCTATTTACTTTCCCCTTTAACTCATATTTGAAGGCCAAGATCTGATTAAAATATTTGCATATCATATAGCAATCAACAAATATAACTAGAAAGTTTTTGCAACAATTGATTTGTTAACATAATGGGATTCTGTATGTACTATTTTGTCTTTGGAATTCCAATGATAAACTATTCTGCTGAAGTTAGAAAATTCCTCCCCACATACACCATGTATTGATCTGCCCTTTCCCTAAGTTTACCAAAGGAAGAGTATAAAGAAGAAAGGATCTGATGACTTCATCCCATACCTAGTAGACCATCAATCTCCTCCAAGTTTCCGTTATGCTGTCTCTCCACACAAAGTCTCAGTAACCGGAAATACGGAGCCAGGCACAGCGGAGACACCAATCTGAGAAGGAGAAATAAATTTCTAGACCACACTTCATAGGTGTATTACTCCACGTACATAGGGAGATATTACTCCACATACATAGGGAACACAACTTCTTTTTTTGAGACAGAGTCTTGCTCTGTCGCCCAGTCTGGAGTGCAGTGGCACGATCTCAGCTCACTGCAACCTCTGCCTCCCAGGTTCAAGCAATTATCCTGCCTCAGCCTCCTGAGTAGCTGGGATTATAGGTGCATGCCACACTGCCCGGCTAATTTTTGTATTTTTAGTAGAGACAGTGTTTCGCCACGTTGGCCAGAAAGTAATCTCAGAATATCTGTTGGCTCACACAAGGCAATATAAATCTCAAGCCAAGGATCCAAGAAAAAACAAGGAATCTGCCCCATTCTCCCTAACCTCTCCAAATACCATTTGTCTCGAGAGAAACTTTTTTGACTCAACTTCCCCACCAAGAGCTGTGGAATTCCCCATGAACATTCAAAACACTAACAGGTTTAGAAAAGAAAAACTATACTGACTTTTGGCCTGATTCCTGTGAGGTCACCGGACCCCCATCTTTTGCAAAGTCCTGAGAAAACAGCAGCGGCAGGAGGTTTATGGCAATCCCATCCTGAGTGTCGTATTCTTCCAGTCCGTACAGTGCTTTCACAGGAAATGGAAAGTCACTGCGGAGAAAAACCAGAATCTGATGTTGCAGCTCAGGAATACGCAAGGCTACAGGGAAAACCACTAGAGCAAACCAATTTCAAACACAACATCATGGGGAGAAATTAGAAGAACAAACAGTGAACCTTTTAGGAATTTTGGAGCTAAGGGTGCAGGGGTGCTGGGGTTGGGAGGAAAGAAGCTGTGGGACTGGGCAGCTGTGGCTGAGGTGAAGGGTATTCTGAAGTTTGTATCAGCTACTGACAGAATTGATGTAACTTCACCAGTGCAACCAAGCCAGCAGGTAAACAATACCTACCCTTCCGGAACAACACAGGAGTCCACTACGAAGGCATCCTGGAAATCATTACAGATGGTATGCCCAACCCATTCCTTCAGGAAGCAAACAAACAAAAAGGGCAGTGCAGAGTGTACTTGCTGTACAGCCCTAGATAAATTACTCTTAACCTTTCTAAGTCTCAGTTCCCTCATTTCTAAAAAGAAAGTAATAATAAATATCTCACTATTGTGAAGTAGAAAAGAGAGAGTGCATAAAAAGCACTTAGCACAAGGCCCAGCACAGAATAGGGCTCTCAGACAGATAATAGCCATCATCATTAACAAAGTCAATCTCTTCTTTACTATCGTGATTGTTATTAAGTGAAGGAGCCCTCAGAGAAGAGCCGTGAGACAGGGTAGGGCAGAAAAGCCTTTCCCAGTTAGAATTTAGGAGAGGTCACAGGATGATCTATTTTCACACTGCAACAGAAAGACTTGAAGAGTGTAGTAAAGCAGCTCTCATGCTTTATTGCTTTAAGAAAAGACAATTGGCTTTACCAGGGCTTTTGGATCCAGCTTTTCATGTTGGATCAGGTTGGCAAATTCATCATAGTAAAGTGCAGAGGCCTGAGGAGACTGCTCACTGCAGGAATGAACCAACTGCAACAAGGAGGTCACCTGGAGCAAAGAGGAAGAATGGTTTAAACCTTGGGCTGCCAATCTTTCCCAAACTCCACTCGCCCCTTTCAAGACTGTTTTTTCACTTTCTGATTTTACTGGCAAAGCTCTATGTCTCACTTGAAGTTTTCCTGAATGTTCTGACCCGTCTGTCTCCTTCTGATATCATCCCTTTTCCAATCTGCCAGACACTGCAGCCAGATTAATTTTTCTAAAGTAAACCTTTGATTTTGCCATTTCCATGCTAAGAAACCCTTAAGGAATACCTCTGCCTAAAGAATGAAATAAAAATGTATTGCTTTACATGCAAGGCTCTCTGTTTTCTCTCTCAAATAGCTTTTTCTTTTTTTCTTTTGAGATGGAGCCTTGCTCTGTCGTCCAGGCTGGAGTATAGTAGTGTGATCTCGGCTCACTGCAACCTCCACTTCCCGGATTCAAGCAATTCTCTTGCCCCAGCCTCCTGAGTAGCTGGGACTACAGGCGCCTGCCACCATGTCCAGCTAATTTTTTTGTACTTTTATTAGAGATGGGATTTCACCATGTTGGCCAGGCTGGTCTCAAACTCCTGACCTCAAGTGATCCTCCTGCCTTGGTCTCCCAAAGTGCTAGGATTACAATCGCAAACCACCGTGCCCTGCCTGAACTAGCTTTATGTCCCACTTTCCAATTATGTACTTATTTGTCCCCATGCTTCAACCAAAGTGTTATTCCATAAACATGGCATATCTTTCTTGCTAAGACTTTATAATTTAATTAGAGAGATTAAATGGATATAGAAATAAATGCAACTGGCCTGGGAGTGGTGGCTCACATCTGTAATCCCAGTGCTTTGGGAGGCTGATGGGGGCAGATCACCTGAGATCAGGAGTTTGAGACCAGCCTGGTCAACATAGCGAAACCCCAACATGGTGAAACCCCGTCTCTACTAAAAATACAAATTTAACTGGGCATGGTGGTGCATGCCTGTGATCCCAGCTACTTGGGAGGCTGAGGCAGGAGAATTGCTTGAACCCGGGAAGCACCACCGCACTCCAGCCTTGGCGACAGAGTTGAGACTCCATCTAAAAATAAATAAATAAACATAAAAATAAATGCTACCCAAGCCAGTAGTTTCCAAGTGTCAGAAAACCACAGAAGTAGGAGTTCAGGAAAACTTCTTTTACAAAAGAAGCACTTTCTGGTGAACTGACAGTGACTAGAAGCAATTCTTCAGTTACTCATAAACATATCCAATCACATTATAAGAACTCGGCCGGGCGAGGTGGCTCACGCCTGTACTCCCAGCACTTTGGGAGGCCGAGGCAGGTGGATCACTTGAGTTCAGGAGTTCAGGACCAGCGGGGCCAACATGGTGAAACCTCGTCTCTACCAAAAACATAAAAAATTAGCCGGGTGTGGTGGTGCGTGCCTGTAATCCCAGCTACTCTGGAGGCTGAGGCAGGAGAATCACTTGAACCTGAGAGGTGGAGGTTGCAGTGAGCCGAGATCTTGCCACTGCACTGCAGGTTGGGTGACAGAGCGAGACTCTCTAAAAAAAAAAAAAAGACAGGAAAAAGAAAGAAAGGAAAAAAAGAACTCACCTGTGTGCACTGCTCATCGCTCAGGTTGGCTCTCTCTTGGGTCAAACTAGGTGATTCACTTCTAAAAACAAAGAATTTTTTTTTAAATTATTATTATACTTTAAGTTTTAGGGTACATGTGCACAACGTGCAGGTTTGTTACATATGTATACATGTGCCATGTTGGTGTGCTGCACCCATTAACTCGTCATTTAGCATTAAGTATATCTCCTAATGCTATCCCTCCCCCCTCCCCCACCCCACAACATTCCCCGGTGTGTGATGTTCCCTTTCCTGTGTCCATGTGTTCTCATTGTTCAATTACCACCTATGAGTGAGAACATGCGGTGTTTGGTAAAAACACAGAATTTTAATTTCACTTTTGTAATATTTTGTAACAACTGCCAATAAGTTTAAGAATTCTGACTTCCCTAGGGTAGGGTAAAGATAAAAGTGCATGAAGGCAGCGAAGAGTATTTATTTTGTCCATACAAAATACAGATTAGAGCAAAGGATGGTTATCCTATATATTTTTTTCTTTTTTCTTTTTCGTACATATTTTTTAAGGGCAAATTAGCAATAATTAGAGGAAGCACTTAATTAGTGCATATTATGTACTAAACATTGTTCTAACCCTTTAATGTTCTCAATGACTCTATGAGGTAAATCCTATTATTATCCTTATTGCTGATGTGAGTCTACAAAGGCAGAGAGATAAAGTAACTTACCCAAGGTAATTCAGCTAATAAACAATGGAGCCAGAATCTGACCCTGGGCAACCAGTATGGCTTCACTGACTGAACTCTTAACTAGAGTTGCACACTCTGCAACCTCTTCCCATTATTAATGTGTGTCACAGGGGAGTGATGACTATCTGAGCCGGTGGCGGTTGGGGTGGGGTTAGAGGGAGAATTTACTAAGACAGTTGTAGGTAAAGAAAGGCAGATTTCTTAGAGAAAGTATAAAAGTACGTTGCAAGAAAGCACTGGGCAGCCAGCAATAGAGGAGCTGACTGCAAGGAAACAACGGCTTGCTGGGGATTTCTAGAGTAGTATTTATGATGTATGCTGTATGCCGAAGAGGGCTTTGTGCAGTACTGATAATGCCAAAGTTGCAGTGAGCTAACTTGCAGGTGTCTGGTGATTAAGTTGGGCGCAGGAGGGCTGCATGTCCTGCACCATGAAAAAAGGCAGACTTACATACTTTGTCTTTGCTTTCTTTGCTCCCACCATTGTGACTCCTTTTCCCTAATTAGGATTCCACAATGTGGATTCTAAAGATGTCTCCTGATGTCTCAGAAAATAAATTCCAAGGAGCATGAACTGAAATCCAATGTCGGTTTGTAATGGCAACATCTTATCAAGCCCCCAAACCGATATTTCTTTAGATTCTACAAATGGGGCCTCAAGGAACAAGGTGAGGGGAAATACACAAGATCTTATTTGTATCAAATGTATAAAGTTCCCGACAGGAATGACACAGCAATGTAGACACCTGCATTGTCTAGTGCCTATATCAGGAGCAGATAAAGAAAAATGCATTCTAAAAGAATCAGGGTTCCCATTTTGTGCAAAGATTTCTAGAATTTTACCTCTAGCCAATCCTTAATTTTTAACCACAGACTGTAATGGCTAGGATCACATTCCAGCAAAACATATACATGGTAATATATACAGTCACGATTAGAAGGGAACATGGAAAAGTAGCAAAACACATTTGCTCATTTATAGTTGTAACTTCTACTGCTAAAATGATGTCTATGAGATGTAACACTTAGTTAGCAAGATTAACTGATCTTAAACCACAGAAGTCAGAATCTCCACGTGTACCTGTCTGCCGCCATGATGCCAGCCATGGTCACAGCACCAATAATCCCAATGAGCTTGTACTTGAATACGGTGCTAGAGAGCTGCTTTCTTATCACCAAGTGCATGTCATCCTGCAATGAGATGATGAAGAAAGATGAAAATGCTGGAATGGCACAGCAAAAGAAGGTATGGATATCGAGCCATATAGCTAGACTATAAAGGCGTTTACCGTTTACTAACTGTTTTTTTTTTTTTTTGAGACGGACTTTCGTTCTTGTTGCCTAGGCTAGAGTGCAAAGGGGCAATCTCGGCTCACTGCAACCTCTGCCTCCCAGGTTCAAACGATTCTCCTGCCTCAGCCTCCTGGGTAACTGGGATTACAGGCACCCGCCACCATGCCCGGCTTATTTTGTATTTTTAGTAGAGATGGGGTTTCACCATGTTGGCTAGGCTGGTGAACTCCTGACCTCAGGTGATCCACCAGCCTTGGCCTTCCAAAATGCTGGGATTACAGGTGTGAACCACCATACCCAGCCCTGTGTGTCTTTAGCAAGTCAATTCATCTCTCCAAGTTTTAATTTTTACATCTGTGAAATGGGGACTTTTTTTTTTTTTCTTTGAGAAGGAGTCTCGCTCTGTCACCCAGGCTAGAGTGCAGTGGCGCCATCTTGGCTCACTGCTAGCTCCACCTCCCGGCTTCATGCCATTCTCCTGCCTCAGCCTCCCAAGTAGCTGGGACTACAGGTGCCCGCCACCAACCACGCCCGGATAATTTTTTGTATTTTTAGTAGAGACGGGGTTTCACCATGTTAGCCAGGATGGTCTCGATCTCCTGACCTCGTGATCCGCCTGTCTTGGCCTCCCAAAGTGCTGGGATTACAGGGGTGATTACGTGCCTGGCCCGAAATGGAGAAGGTTGTTTTAAGGATTAGCGATACATTATAAAAAACTTCTAGAACAGTGCCTAGCACATGATAGACATTCAATAATAATATCTTTTATTGTTATTATTTCTATAAGGATATGAAAATTATCATAATGTTGATCACTGCTCAGCCAAAATAATGAACTAGAATAAAATACTCAGGTAAAGATTTAAACATGGAGGCAAGGCTGGGCGAAGTAGCTCATACCTGTCATCCTAACACTTTGGGAGGCTGAGGCTGCTGGACTGCTTGAACCCAGGAGTTCAAGACCAGCCTGGGTAACATGGCAAAACCTCATCTCTATAGAAAATACAAAAATTAGCCAGCTGTGGTGGTGCATGCCTGTGGTCCTGGCTACTCGGAAGGCTGGGGTGGGAGGATCACCTGAGCCTGGGAAGTCAAGAACACAGTGAGCCAGGATCACATCACTGTACTCTAGCCTGGGTGACAGAGCCAGACATTGTCTCAAAATAAAATAAAATAATAAAATAAACATTGCTGAAAAACATTAAAGACATAAGGAAATGGAAAGAGCTACTGTCTTCATGGATTGGAAGACACTTAATATTGCTAATACCATTCAAAGTGATTCAGTGCAATCCTTATCAAAGTCCCACAACATGTTTTGCAGAAACAGAAAGATCCATACCAAAATTCACATGGAATTTCAAGGGACCCCAAACTGCCAAAACCTTGAAAAAGAACAAAGTTGGAGGGCCCACACTTCCTGATTTCAATATTAATACAAAGCTACAGCAGTCAAAACAGTGTGGTGATGGCAGAAGGACAGACGTATAGACCAATGAAATAGAATACAGAGTTCAAAGATAAGCCTTCATATATGTGACAAATTGATTTTTGACAAGGGTGCCAAAGTAATTTCAATGGTGAAAGGACCATCTTCTCAACAAATTGGCACTGGAAAAACTGGATATCCATGTGCAAAAGAATGACGTTAAATCCTTAAAATATTAAAATAAGCTATATACAAAAATTAACACAAAGTGGATCAAAGACCTAAATTTAAGAGCTAAAACCTTCTCTTAGAAGAAAATAAAAGAAAACTTTCATGACCTTGGATTCGGCAATGGTATCTTAAGCATGACAACCAAAAGGACAAGAAACACAAGAAAAAAAATTGATAGAGAGTGGGTCGTACAGCTTTGGAGTGGCAACCTTCGTGGTGCCAGCGATGAAAAACAGAATTATATATGGGTGATGCTGAGAAAGGTAAGAAGATTTTTGTTCAGAAGTGTGCCCAGTGCCACACGGTGGAAAAGGGAGACAAGCACAAGAGTGGGCCTAATCTCCACGGTCTCTTCGTGCGGAAGACAGGTCAGGCCACTGGATTCTCTTACACAGACACCAATAAGAACAAAGGCATCACCTGGGGAGAGGATACACTGATGGAGTATTTGGAGAATCCCAAGAAGTACATCCCTGGAAGAAAAATGATCTTTGCCGGAATTAAGAAGGCAGAAAGGGCAAACTTGATAGCTTAACTCAAAAAAGCTACTAATGAGTAATAATTGGTCACTGCCTTATTTATTACAAAACAAATATCTCATGACTTTTTTATGTGTACCATACTTTAATAGATCTCATACACCAGAATTCAGATCATGAATGACTGACAGAATATCTTGTTGGGTGGTCCTCATTTAAAACTAAGACTGGTTTGTGGTTAAATGAATATGCTGTTTTTTTTAATTTTAATAGTAATTCCAATTCAGTAAATGGTATCACTGTTTACCCCTTCTAAAGATATGATTAGACTTTGTTAGTAATGTTCAACTTTTCACAAAGATGGTGAGTGCCATCTTAAAACTTAATGGAGGCCGGGAGCAGTAGCTCATGCCTGTAATCACAGCACTTTGAGGGGCTGAGACAGGCAGATCATGAGGTTAAGAGATTGAGATCATCCTGGCCAACATGGTGAAACCCCGTCTCTACTAAAAATACAAAAATTAACTGGGCGTTGTGGTGCATGCCCCTAGTCCCAGCTACACGGGAGGCTGAGGCAGGAGAATCACTTGAACCTGGGAGGCGGAGGTTGGAGTGAGCTGAGATTGTGCCACTGCACTCCAGCCTAGTGACAGAGTGAGACTCCATCTCAAAAAAAAAAAAGAAAGAAAGAAAGAAAAAGAAAAAGAAATAGATAAATTTGACTTTATTGAAACTAAATACTTTAGTGCATCAAAGGACACTATCAAGGGAGTGAAAACCCATAGAATGGGAGAAAATATTTGCAAATCATATATCTGATAAGGGATCAATATCCAGAATATATAAATAACTCCCATACCTCAAAACGACAAAAACCTAATTTAAAAATGGGCAAAGGGCTGAGCACGGTGGCTCATGCCTGTAATGCCAGCACTTTGGGAGGCAGAGGTGGGTGGATCTCCTGAGCTCAAGCGTTCCAAACCAGTCTGGGTAACATGACAAAACATAATGTCTACCAAAATTATAAAAAATTAGCTGGGCATGGTGGTGCACACCTATGGTCCCAGCTACTCAGGAGGCTGACATGGGAGGATCGCTTGAGCCTGGGAGGTGGAGGTTGCAGTAAGCCAAGATAACACCACTGTACTCCAATGTGTGTGACAGAGTGAGACCCCATCTCAAAAACAAAACAAACAAAAATGGGTAAAGGACTTGAATAGACATTTCTACAAAAATATAGAAATGGCCAAGAAGTACATGAAAAGATGCTTAACATCATTAGTCATTAGAAAATGCAAATCAAACCACAATGAGATACCACTCGCACTCATCAGAATGATTATAGTTAAAAAATAGGGCCTGGGGAGGTGGCAGGTACCTGTAGTCCCAGGTACTCAGGAGGCTGAGGTGGGAAGACTGCTTAAGCACAGGATTTCCAGGCTGCAGTGAAGTATGATCACGCCACTGCACTGCAGCTTGGGTAACAGAATAAGACCCTATCTAAAAATAATAATAATTTTTAAATTAATTAATTAATAAAAATCAAAAGAAATTTTTAAGAAAGGAAAATACATGTTGGCAAGGATATGGAGAAATTGGAACCTACATACATTGTTGGTGGGAATGTAAAATTATGCAGCTGCTATGGAAAGCAGTTTGGTGGTTCCTCAAAATGGTAAACATATGGTCATCATATGATCCAGCAATTCCACTCTTAGATATACACCCTAAAAAACTGAAAACAGGGACTCAAACAAATATTTGTAAACCAATGGTCACAGCAACATTATTCAAATGGCCAAAAGGTGGAAACAACCCAAGTGTCCATCAATGGATGAATGGATAAACAAAATGTGGTATAAACAAAGAATGGGGGCCGGGCGCAGTGGCTCACGCCTGTAGTCCTAGCACTTTGGGAGGCCGAGGCAGGCGGATCACCTGAGGTGAGGAGTTCAAGACCAGCCTGGCCAACATGGCAAAATCCCATCTCTACTAAAAATACAAAAATCAGCCGGGAGTGGTGGTGCGTGCCTATAATCCCAGCTACTCAGGAGGCTGAGGCAAGAGAACTGCTTGAACCCAGGAGGCAGAGGTTGCGGTAAGCCAAGATTGTGCCATTGCACTCAAGCCTGGGCGACAGAGTGAGACTCCATCTCAACAAAACAAAATAAAACACAACAACAACAAAAACAAAGAATGGAATTATTTATTTATTTATTTATTTATTATTATTTTTTTTTTGAGACAGAGTCTCGCTCTGTCTCCCAGGCTGGAGTGCAGTGATGCGATCTCGGCTCACTGCAAGCTCCGTATCCCGGGTTCACGCCATTCCCCTGCTTCAGCTTCCCAAGTAGCTGGGACTATAGGCGCCTGCCACCACGTCCAGCTAATTTTTTGTATTTTTAGTAAAGACGGGGTTTCACCGTGTTAGCCAGGATGGTCTCGATCTCCTGACCTCATGATCTGCCCGCCTCAGCCTCCCAAAGTGCTGGGATTACAGGCGTGAGTCACCGTGCCCGGCCAAGAATGGAATTATTATAGCTGTAATGGGAATAAAGTTCTGATGCATGCTACAACCTACATGAACCTTGAAAATATTATGCTAAGTGAAATAAGCGAGACGCAAAAGGATACATATCGTATGATTCCATTTATATGAGGCATCTAGAATGAACAAATCCATAGACAGAATGTGATTAGTGATTATTAGGGGGTGGGGAGAGGAAGATGGCAAATTATTGCCTAATGGGTACAAAGTTTGTTTGGGATGATCAGGAAGTTCTAGAAATGGATAGTGGCAATGGTTGTATAACATTGTGAATATACTTAATGCTACTAAATTGTACCCTTAAAAACAGCTTAAACGGTCTATTTTATATTATGTATATTTTATCAAAATTCAAAAATAAAATAAAATAGTGAAGTAGTTTTATATTGCTGATTTGAAGCAATCTCCAAAATAAACTGCTAAATGCAAAAGCTAAGATGTAGAACAAGAAGGGAAAGGAAACTACAGGTAAACACAAATTTGTAAATTCTCAGAACATCTCAGAAGCTTATAAAGTGATTGCCCCTGTGGGAGACAAACCAGGTGCCTACAGAACTGAGAAGTGAGAGTTATTTTTCACTGAATACTCTTCTATATGTTTTGAATTTTGTATGACACATGTATATTACCTAGTCCAAAAGTTTTTTTTTTAATTAAAAAAAATGTGCTGACTGGGGATCCAAGAAAGGGGGGGAAAAAAAGATAAAAAATATGATGGTTGTGGCCGGGTGCGGTGGCTCAGGCCTGTAATCCCAGCACTTTGGGAGGCCGAGGCTGGCGGATCATGAGGTCAGGAGATCAAGACCATCCTGGCTAACACGGTGAAACCCCAACTCTACTAAAAATACAAAAAATTAGCCGGGCGTGGTGGCGGGCGCCTGTAGTCCCAGCTACTTGGGAGGCTGAAGCAGGAGAATGGCGGGAACCTGGGAGGCGGAGTTTGCAGGGAGCCGAGATTGCGCCACTGCACTCCAGCCTGGGTGACAGTGCGAGACTCCATCTCAAAAAAAAAAAAAAAAAAAAAAAAAAAATATATATATATATATATATATATATATGTATATACATGTATATACATGTATATATGTATATACGTATATACATATACGTATATACATATATATATGTATATACACGTATATATATATATACGTATATATATATATATGCTGGTTGTTCAAAGTCACAGTCCAGTATGAATTACTGCCATAAGGTAGCACTAAAGCTACAAACGAGTTACAAGTTATGATTCCAATCTAATCTCTTCGTTTTATTTATTTATTTATTTATTTTGAGATAGAGTCTCACTCTGTTGCCCTGGCTGGAGTGCAGTGGCACAAACATGGCTTACTGTAGCCTCAACTTCCTGGGCTCAATGGATCCTCCCACCTCCGCCTCCTGAGTAGCTAGGATTACAGGTGTGTGCCACCACACCTGGCTAATTTTTCTATGTTTTTGTAGAGATGGGGTTTCACCATGGTGCCCAGGCTGGTCTCAAACTCCAGGGCACATGTGATTCGCCTGCCTTGGCCTCCCAAAGTGCTGGGATTACAGCCTGGCTTTTTCAGTGAATGGCGCCCACAAACAAAAGCAAGCCCACGTGAAGTTCACATTAGATGGAGATGTTTCTTAGAAAACAAGGCAATTCTGTGTCCCCACTGCACTCAGAAACTGAACAGTTTCATGGTTAGCTGATCACAGACCCATCTCTACCCTAACAGACAAAGCTTTTTGAGGGCAGAGGATCTAATATATCAGTGCCTGGCACAGAATAGGCACTTAATGTTTGTGGTAAGAAAAAAAAATGCTAGTACTATGGCTATGTACTCCATTTCCACTACTACACACTAGGAAATCTATCATTTGCTTGTTTTTTTTTTTCTAGCAAATTTCAAGAGGTTTAAAATTAATACAAAATACTGAGAATACAAAAAAATTTTTTTTAATTTTATTCTATTTTATTTTATTTTTATTATTATTATACTGTAAGTTTTAGGGTACATGTGCACAATGTGCAGGTTAGTTACATATGTATACATGTGCCATGCTGGTGTGCTGCACCCACTAACTCGTCATCTAGCATTAGGTGTATCTCCCAATGCTATCCCTCCCGCCTCCCCCCACCCCACAAAGTCCCCAGAGTGTGATGTTCCCCTTCCTGTGCCCATGTGTTCTCACTGTTCAATTCCCACCTATGACTGAGAATATGCGGTGTGCGGTTTTTTGTTCTTGCGATAGTTTACTGAGAATGATGATTTCCAATTTCATCCATGTCCCTACAAAGGACATGAACTCATCATTTTTTATGGCTGCATAGTATTCCATGGTGTATATGTGCCACATTTTCTTAATCCAGTCTATCATTGTTGGACATCTGGGTTGGTTCCAAGTCTTTGCTATTGTGAATAGTGCCGCAATAAACATATGTGTGCATGTGTCTTTATAGCAGCATGATTTATAGTCCTTTGGGTATATACCCAGTAATGGGATGGCTGGGTCAAATGGTATTTCTAGTTCTAGATCCCTGAGGAATCGCCACACTGACTTCCACAATGGTTGAACTAGTTTACAGTCCCACCAACAGTGTAAAAGTGTTCCTATTTCTCCACATCCTCTCCAGCACCTGTTGTTTCCTGACTTTTTAATGATTGCCATTCTAACTGGTGTGAGATGGTATCTCATTGTGGTTTTGATTTGCATTTCTCTGATGGCCAGTGATGATGAGCACTTTTTCATGTGTTTTTTGGCTGCATAAATGTCTTCTTTTGAGAAGTGTCTGTTCATGTCCTTCGCCCACTTTTTGATGGAGAATACAAAAATTAGCTGGGTATGGTGGCACGTGCCTGTAGTCCCAGCCACTTGGGAGGCTGAGGCAGGAGAATCGCTTGAACCCAGGAGGCAGAGGTTGCAATGAGCTGAGATCGTGCCAACTGCACTCCAGTCTAGGAGACAGAGCTAGACTCTGTCTCAAAAAAAAAAAAATCTTTCCCAACATATTGCCTCTTACCTGGATGTGGCTGCTGGCTTCATTCTGTTTGCTAAATGCCAGTGTGCTGAGAACATAGAAGAGTTTTCGTATTTGCTGAGGGGATATGTTATCCAGATAATCTAAAATGCCCTGTGGAAAAAATGATGCCAACAATGAGGCTAGCAGCTAACATTTTTCCCTTAAAATTCAAAAAATTAAAATCCCTGTAAAAGAGACACACATAGATAGCCAGGTATCTAAAACTTTTTAGCTCCCTTAAAAGCTCAAAGCTCAAGTTCTAAAAGCTATGCTCAGAGCCCAAAGGTTTGATAGACTGGATATAAACTGGGAAAATTCTTACAACTTTCTAAATCTCTTATTATCAGAGACTAGGAACTAACTATCAGGAAACATAAAGTTTTCTTTATCCTCTTCACTCTGAACCACAATCCTGGGCTTTAATCATCTACTGCTTAGTCATTCTAATGCACCTCCCAGTTCTCGGTATTCTTTACCTCCACCTTTCCCTTTTTTTTCAGTGAAAACAATATTCTACCAAAAGTTATGTCTTTACCCTATTCCTTGCCATATCATCCCTTCCCAGCTTCTACTCAATGAATTATTTCTCCTTTCTCTACAGATCTGGAAGGAGTCACAAGGAAACTATTTACTTTGTGACCTTGGGAAATGCCTCAGCTTTTCTCATCTATAACATGGTGATAATAATAGCTATACTACCTTTCATGGTTTGTCTGAGGAAAAAGTAATAAAACAGCTTTGTAAACTTTTAATTAATTTTTAAAAATCTCCATTTCTTCCTCTCTATTGAATCCTTTCTCTCAGCCTACAAGCAATCTCAAACCTCCTCATCTAAAAAATATCTCCCTCACAACCAGCTTCTTTCTCAAGCTACTTTTTTTATTCTCTCCTCCTTGATGCTTCTCGACATTGACTCTATTCCCCAAGTCTTCAAGTTACTGCTCTCTGGCTTCCACCCTTATAATTCAATTAACACTGTTCTCTCAGAGGTTACCAGAGGTATCCTAATTGCCAAAGCCAATAGCCTCTGCCTCCATCTTCAACTTTTTCAGTGTCCAACACTGGGAGATAAATCCCTCACTCCTTTTTGTTTTTTTTTTTTTTTTTTTTTTTTTTTGAGACGGAGTCTCGCTCTGTCGCCCAGGCTGGAGTGCAGTGGCGGGATCTCGGCTCACTGCAAGCTCCGCCTCCTGGGTTCACGCCATTCTCCTGCCTCAGCCTCCCAAGTAGCTGGGACTACAGGCGCCCACCACTACGCCCGGCTAATTTTTTTGTATTTTTAGTAGAGACGGGGTTTCACCGTTTTAGCCGGGATGGTCTCGATCTCCTGACCTCGTGATCCGCCCACCTCGGCCTCCCAAAGTGCTGGGATTACAGGCGTGAGCCACCGCGCCCGGCCTCACTCTTTTTTTTTTGACAGTTTCGCTCTTCTCGCCTAGGCTGGAGTGTGATGGCATGATCTCAGCTCACTGCAACCTCCACCTCCTGGGTTCAAGTGATTCTCCTGCCTCAGCCTCCCGAGTAGCTGGGATTACAGGCATGCACCACAATGCCCAGGTAATTTTTGTATTTTTAGTAGAGGAGGGCTTTCTCCATGTTGGTCAGGCTGATTCGAACTCCCAACCTCAGGTGATCCGTCCGCCTCGGCCTCCCAAAGTGCTGGTATTACAAGCATGAGTCACTGTGCCCGGCCAATCCCTCACTCTTGAAACTCATTCCTGGGCTTTTGCTACCTGACATCCTTTAAGCTCACATTATTAATCTTCCAGGTTTCTCATTTTCCTTCTATGGACATTTGCTTTCATCTGCCACTTAAACTTTAACCTTCTCAAAATGTCTGTGCTCTTCTAAGCCTTTTTTTTTTTTTTTTTTTTTGAGACAGAGTCTTGCTCTGTCGCCCAGACTGGAGTGCAGTGGTGTTATCTTGGCTCACTGCAAGCTCCGCCTCCTGGGTTCACGCCATTCTCCTGCCTCAGCCTCTTGAGTAGCTGGGACTACAGGCGACCGCCACGATGCCCGGCTAATTTTTGTATTTTTAGTAGAGACGGGGTTTCACCGTGTTAGGCAGGATGGTCTTGATCTCCTGACCTCGTGATTTGCCCGCCTTGGCCTCCCAAAGTGCTGGGATTACAAGCATGAGCCACCGCACCCGGACCGCCACATATTCTTAACAGTCACCAAGTCATGTTAATTCTAACACCAAATTGTCTCTTAAGCCATAATTTCTTCTACATTCCCGTGACCAAAATCTGGCCCTTACTCTCACTCCCTTAGACCATTTCAGCAGTCTCCAATCCACCCATCATATAGCCTACTGAGTTATCTCTCAATGCTGAGTAGATTAGGTCAACTGTATGTAAAAACTAGTAATAGCTCCTTATTGTCTAAAAAATAAAGTTGAAACTCTTTAGCATGTTATTTGAGACTCTTTGCAACATGGGCCTGTCCTATGTCTTACCAGCCTTGCCTCCAATCATTCCTCTCCATATATATCCTATTCTCCAGTCATGCTTGTTTGCTTCTCATTCCTCAGTCACACCATTGACTTGGGCACCAGTTTGCTTCTGCTCAAACTCTTCTCTGCCTAGAACGCACTTCCCATACTTTCTCTTGTCAGTCATTCCCATCCTTCAGCAATCACTCACATTGCCTCTTTGAAGAATTCTCCAGCTTCCCAGGCTAAATTTAATTATTCTTACTCTGTTATATCTATAGTACTTTACCAGAGAATTCACCATGTTGTATTTATAGTGACTTGCTTATGTGTCTTAGTCTTTAACATGAAAGGTAAGGGCCTACTTTACATTCACAGCACCCAGAATAGAGATTAGCCTGTAGGTTAGGTATAAAGAAGTGTTTGCTGAATGAATTAACACATAGATAGAATAGTCACTTTTTATTTATATTACTTGCCCATCATCTCACCTCCTTCCCACCACCTCCCACCAATTATAGTATTCAATATCTAAAGTACAAGAAGCCAATAAGATACCTTTACAAAGACAGCATTCATCATCATAGCAGATGGGTTTAACACTACCAACTCTAGAAGGACATCTAAGGCAGTATCAACTTCAGCTTCATTCCCACTGCAGATATGGGTCACTAAGGCACCAACCACTTCCTATACAGGGGAGAGTCAACAGAACAGTGTAAAACAAAATATGGATGGCCATTCTAAAGGGATTCACCCCCAAGGCCTCTCCAATCTCTACTTTGTTAAAATCACAATCAACCCAAACCCATCACCTATTATCTAGTTTTCATTAATGTTGGCTTCAGGAGATTTAGGAATATGCCAGTGTAACTTGACCATCCCATCTTGACCTATTTCCCATATTTTATCAGTGAGCTCTACCTAAGCCCTCCTGATTTTGCTCCTTGGCGTAGTTTTCCTCTTTCTTTTTCCCATATGGGTTAAATTTTACCCTTTAGGTTGAGGTTGTACAAGATCAGTTGAAATTCCTCAAAAAGATGGCACTCAAGGAGCTAAAAGCTTTAAAGGTTTTCTCCATATAGTACAGGCTAGACTTGCATGTTTCCAAGCAAACATGGATTATGACAGTGTCTCTAAGACATTAAGAGGGTCCAGAAATGTCTTAGATGCCATTCTCCCTTTATACTGTCACTCCATAATAGTCATAACAGAATTACATTTTCAACTGCAACAGCTACCTCATGTCAGCTGCAACTATTGCTCTACTTTAAATGTTTAAAATTTTTTTACAAATCTTCATTTTAAAAGTTCCATTCAAATGCGTTTTAACATTGTTAATGACAGGAAGAATATATGTAAAAATACAAAATAAGACACTGTTCTTTACTTGCTTTCATAAACATTTTCCACAAATACAGTCCTCCCTCTCTGGATATATGCTATTAAAATGTGTCTCGGCCAGGCCCAATGGCTCACGCCTATAATCCCAGCACTTTGAGAGGCTGAGGCAGGCGGTTCACCTGAGGTCAGGAGTTCGAGACCAGCCTGGCCAACATGGTGAAACGCTGTGTCTACTAAAAATACAAAAAATTAACCGGGCGTGGTGGTGTGTGCCTGTAATCACAGCTACTTAGGAAGCTGAGACAGGAGAATCGCTTGAACCCAGGAGGTGAAGGTTGCAGTGAGCTGAGATAGCACCACTGCACTCCAGCCTGGGCATGAAGAGCAAAACCACGTCTCAAAACAAAACAAAAAAAAGTGTCTCATGTTTTGAAATGGACTAGATCTGGATCTTAATTTCAGACAGAGAATTTTAGAGCTCAGAACACAGAGTTAGAGCCACCAGTCAAGTCTCTTCCTTTCATCAAGGCTGGGACTAGAATTGAGCTTTCTTGAGACCCAGGTCAGAGTTCCTTCCCCTTCAGTGAGTTCCAACCAACAAGAAATAAACATCAGATTATTTTCCCTTTCTGTGTTCCCTCCTTGCCAAAATAAATGTTTCAACATACCTGCTGGCAGTACGTGTCAAAAAACTTAAATGCATATTTGTATAGGAGACTGCCAAATGAAATTATACTCTGGTCTAGAGAGTGAAGCAAACTCTGAGCCAGCGACAGAATGGATGAACACATATCCTTAAGAACCTTGAGTGGGGAAGAGTAGAGAGAGAAAAGAAGCTGTAGGAAACAGTTAGTACACAACCTAAGAGTTGCTTATCCTTTTGGAATGTCAGACTTCTCCTCCCTAGCTCTCATTTTAACTTAGGAAATCTTAATCTTTGTTTTACACAAAAATAATCCTTCATCATTCTGAGATTACTCTCAGCATCAATGGGATTCCACGTTTGGATAATAATTGACTTTTAAGCTCAAAGAAGTTAAATTACAAGCCTAATAGAACATTCCTATCTGCTCAATTTGGGATTGGAGGCCAGATGTTCTAAATCCCAGTTTCCCCATGCAATCATACTACCCCCAGGGATGTTCCACCTTGGTTATAATTTGAAGTAGGTCTATAAGGTTCAATGCTAACTAAGCTGATTTTTTTAAAAGAAGATCAAGAAGAGAAGTGATCATAACCTACCAATAATTCAATGTACATAGACATTAATGGACCCAGACTAAATAACCAGTTAATAAACATAGCTTCCTTATTGATACCATAATTTTTAAAAATCTTATATTTAGTACTAAGCTGGGTATAATGCTTTATTGGGGAAAATGCAATGAAAAATTACATGTGGTTTCTGCATCTAGAAAATTACAGCCCAAAACATGTATAATTGGCAGAAATAAACACAGAAAGAACTGCAAGATAAAATAATACAACCGTTAAATCTATTCCTAAATATAAAATTTAAGACCCAGCGAGGTATTCTCATTAGCTCCTAACCCAAACCCCAAACCACTGGCCCATCCAGTTTTCTAAGTTCTATACTGCTAATATCCTGAACGTTCAGCTGGCAAAACACTATTCCTAGCTTATAAAATTCCACTTTGAATAATTTACATTTCTAGAGGAATTATCACCTAAAGTCCACAGTTTTGAATGGCTAAAGAGTGATAGTTCAAATAGGTACATATTTACATTTCTACTAGTTTCTACAGGCTGGTCCTATTCCCCTCAAGGTTTTTATAAGCTACTTAAATAGGATACGGAAGGCCAGTTTGTCAAAGTTGCAAACTGCATTGAGATAGACAATTAAAATGATTAATGCAAAAACAAAATTCAAAAATCTCAATGGGTTTGAACAATGGACTGAAATAAGATGAAATTTTACATGAGAGCTGTAAAGCTTTCTGTTTTAGATTAAAAATCAATAGTCTCTGACACTTACTAAGTAATGAACAGAGAATGTACTCTGGAGCAGCTGTTCTTGAATGCAGCCTGATCGAATCTTATTTCTTAGCACCCTGTCAATGTACTTCTTTGTCTGAGTATTGGTGCTATAGATGATGAAAAGCATCACCAGGTCAAACACCTATTGTCAATAAATATGCAACAACAGAAAAACAGTTAACAAATCAGTACATTTGCTACAATGAAACAGCAGCTTTTCCTCTAATTAAAACACAGAATGGATAATGCTCATTTGTTCCACACACTCCCCTGGGAGTATCTACACTTTTCACAAAACTCAGAAATATTTTTCAGATAAATAAAGTGCCACAACTGTTAACCATTGATACCCCTTAAGAATACAGAGCAGGCCAGGCACAGTGGCTCACATCTGTAATCCCAGCACTTTGGGAGGCCAAGGCGGGCAGATCACAAGGTCAGGAGATCGAGACCATCCTGACTAACACGGTGAAACCCCGTCTCTACTAAAAATACAAAAAATTAGCCGGGTGTGGCAGCATGCACCTATAGTCCCAGCTGCTGGGGAGGCTGAGGCAGGAGAATGGCGTGAACCCGGGAGGCAGAGCTTACAGTGAGCCGAGATCGCGCCACTGCACTCCAGCCTGGGTGAGAGAGCGAGATTCCATTCTCAAAAAAAAAAAAAAAGAATACAGAGCAATATGCATGAAAGTGATATTACTACAGAAGTAACTCTGAACATCTTGACATTTATTAAAAGAAAGATTCAATCACTTGCCAACTCCAGCGTGTATTTGTTGCCAACTACAGTATGTATTTTCAGTATTACTAGGAAAATTACTAGGCCAGGCACGGTGGCTCACGCCTGTAATCCCAGCACTTTGGGAGGCCGAGATGGGTGGATTACGACGTCAGGAGTTCAAGACCAGCCTGGCCAAGATGCTGAAACCCTGTCTCTACTAAAAATACACAAATTAGCCGGGCAAAGTAGCACACACCTGTAATCCCACCTACTTGGGAAGCTGAGACAGGAGAATCGCTTGAACCCGGGTGACAGAGGTTGCAGTGAGCCGAGATCGAGCCACTGCACTCGAGCCTAGGTGACAGAGCAAGACTTTGTCTCAAAAAAAAAAAAAAAAAAGGAAAATTACTTTGTGAAAAGTTGGAAAGACTATAAATGCCCATCAATACATCAATACAGGAAAGGTTCAATAAATTATGATGGAGTAATTTTAATTTTTGGAATATTACACAGTCATCAGGAAGAATAAGCCATGCTAGGCATGGTGGCTCACGCCTATAATCCCAGCACTTTGGGAGGCCGAGGCGGGCAGATCATGAGGTCAGGAGATTGAGACCATCCTGGCTAACATGATGAAGCCCCATTTCCACTAAAAATACAAAAAATTAGCCGGGCGTGGTGGCAGGTGCCTGTAGTCCCAGCTACTTGGGAGGCTGAAGCGGGAGAATGGCGTGAACCCAGGAGGCGGAGCTTGCAGTGAGCCGAGATCACGCCAGTGCAGTCCAGCCTAGGTGACAGAGTGAGAACCCGTCTCAAAAACAAAAACAAAAACAAAACAAAACAAAAAAAGAGAAAACATTGGGCGTGTATTCAGGGCAACCTGAGTCTATGCTTCCAGGAAAAAAAAAAAAACAGTTAAAAAGGCAAGCAGGACAAACAAGAAAAAACAAAAAAAATTTTACTACTTATCTTAACTGAATGCTCCACTTCTTAGGACACCAAAACTGAGTTATTAGACCAGAATACAGTCATTAAAGATAACAATGAAGACAATGCAGACCTTGAAATATTTATGACAGGAGAAAAAATGTTAAGAAAAAAAAGTAAGAATACAAATTATATTTATACAATGATTACAAATATGTAAAAATAGGTATGCAGGCAGCCAAGGTGGTAAATTTATGTTTATCCAAAACCAAAAACAGTGTGTTGGAGTACTTTGATATTTTTCACCAGAAAAAATTCTGAATTTTCATTGCTTTATTCAGCATCATGAAAGCTTTTAAGATAATCATCCCAAAATTGGATAACAAAACTAACAAAAATCCCACAAAACAGATTCCAACCAAAGAAAAATCTTTAAAGGCAACCAATCAGCACCTAAGGAACTCAATCATCCGGCTTTTTATCTTTTGAGATGGAGTCTTGCACTGTCGCCCAGGCTGGAGTGCAGTGGCGTGTGCCACCAGGCCAGGCTAATTTTTTTTGTATTTTTAGTAGAGACGGGGTTTCGCTACATTGGCCAGGCTGGTCTCAAACTCCTGACCTCAGATGATCCGCCTGCCTCAGCCTCCCAAAGTGCTGGGATTATAGGCGTGAGCTACCGCGCCCGGCCAATCATCTGGCTTTTTGATGGAAGGTATTTCTAGAATTAATAGAGACATAAGATCCAGTACCACTGCCTTGACAGTGGACAGATTGATTTACTCTAGTCAGGTCTACATGAGCAAAGTAAAGTAAAACATGGAATGCCATTATCTTGACAGTGGTGCTGAGTGGAAGGAAGGGCAATTAGGCAGATACAGGGACCTGAGACTTAGGTGGTTATTTTCTTCATCTCATCAGTGGGGACCTGGCTTCTTTGACTGCACCTTGATGTGCTTGTTTACACTGTTAGTATTTCCCCTTGTGGATACTGTAGGCTTATTTTATAGCCAGAGTGAGTAGGGGCAGGCTATCTGGCCAGTCGCCACCTCAGATTATCTTCCCCAGACAGCTAATGTTTATTAGAGCAACTAGGGAAGAGAGAGAAGAGTGACTGGAGGGGGGAGAAAGAAAGACAGTGGGAAGGCAAGCTAGCCAATGTCATTACTTTTAAGTCTGCAATACTGAAAATGCATAGTACATGAACATTACCTTGTGTTCAGATACTGAGGCAGTGTTTTCAATTGCCTGAAAAAACAGGAGAGAGTCACAAAAATATTATGACACATCAGCGAAACACGTTACACCTTATTCAGCATGCCCTGTTATCTCATCTAAGAGCCAATGTGTCCATCTGGCAACCATCAGCTATCATTTCCACTTGAATGAGTTTTGAGATTTTTATTTCAGTCTACCTCAGTTATACATCTGTCACTAATTGCCACTCATTTCCTCCTTGATAATCAAAGTTCCAAAGATCTCACCTTAATCCAGGCTTCTGAAATGGTTTTCTCATATCTAATAGCTGACTTTATTACATCAAAGAGGAGAATAATACAGCTCTGACCGCTGCTTTCTTGATTTCCTGAGGAACTACAAGTAGCAGAGAGGAAAAAAATTACTCTTCTACGTACCAGAAAAGAACTTACAAGATCGGAGTTCCTGCCATGTACCCTGGAGCAAATGACAACCTCATGTATAAGATGGCTAATAAACTTGCACTGTCGTCTGTCTGGGATTGATCTGAATGGCTAAGAAAATATATAAACACATACATACTCACATACATATATGTAATTTGAAAAACAATATAATACTAGATGTAAATGTCATAATAGTATCATTATTTGTAGTAGTATTAAGCTCTAACTCTGACAGTGGGATGTCAGAAAATTGTGACATCCTGTGTGAGGATGAGCTCTTTACCTTGCTCGTCCTTTACTTTTCAACTTTACTTGGGAAGCCTGTAACCGTGATGGCAAAACACAATGCTGCAGATCCAACTTCTCCCGAAGCTCAGAAATTACCTGCAGAAAGTAAATATTAGCTATGGTTTTCTGCTCATTCATAGTGGGTAGGCACAGTCCAGTCTCTCTACCATGACAATCTCCTGAAAGACTGAGGAAGAAAAAAATTTAAATGTTGGACATTTTGAAAAATAGAGTTATGAGAATAGCCAATGCAATGTCATAGAACATCATACCCAAAATTTCAGAATTCTGTGAGGTACTACACAGGAAGAGTAAATGTAACTTATAGCAGCTTATATAGATCAATGAATCTGTTGAATAGCTCCATTCTCTCCTCTGAATGCTATCCGGATTAGTCAGTATTCTCAGTTAGTCTGGGGACAGAGAAGAGCAATTGGCACTTAAGTTGCTTTATCTAGGTGTGATGGGATATAAGAGCATACCTCAAGTGTATCCATGGCTGTTACGGAATGAAGAATGAACTTTATTATCACAGGTAAATCCTCCAATCTAATAGACGACAACTTATCCATCACCAACTGGCGAACCTAAAAATTAAAAGCACAGAAACTTAATAGGTTTTCATGTCACTACCTCAACTTTGTACTGAACTGTTAGATAAAATTAGAAAAAAATCACTTCTCTTACTCCATCTTCCCACTTATAATTTAGGGAAAAACAAAATTTTAGATTTTTCCCCAAATTAGAATCTTTTAGTTGTTAATACCACAGCTTCATCAAAAATAGACGGGCAATAAATGTGAAACAGAGCTATTATCTTACATTTAGAGCCTAAATTCTCAACTGGCTACAGTAAGGCATAAAAAGTATTATTCCTATGGGAAGCAGGTATGACTCAGACAACATGGAAGATTTCCACTCAAAACTTACTGCTTAAAAACAGACCTGTGGGCCAGGCACGGTGGCTCAAGCCTGTAATCCCAGCACTTTGGGAGGCCGAGGGGGGTGGAAAACAAGGTCCGGAGTTCAAGACCAGCCTGGACAATATGGTGAAACCCCGTCTCTACTAAAAATACAAAAATTAGCCGGGAGTGGTGGCAGGTGCCTGTAACCCCAGCTACTTGGGAGGCTGAGTCAGGGAACTGCTTGAACTTGGTAGGTAGAGGTTGCAGTTAGCGGAGATTGCACCACTGCACTCCAGCCTGGGTGACAGAGTGATACTCCGTCTCAAAAAAAAAAACAGACCTGTGACTCTACCATAGAATAGCATCTGAAACTCATTGAGGGGAAAAAAAAAAAAAAAGAGAGATATCAAATGTGATTCACTATGGTTTCAAAATGAAATATTCATTACTCCCAAGGCAATGACTGACTGACACTTGTTCTGGGAGGTTGGAAAGCTGGCTCTGTTTCTGGAAAGCTGAGTCTTTTCTACCTTCAATAGGAAGTTTGGGTCAAGTCGGAGGCTTGAAAGGACATCCAGGATTGGGACAGTGAGTGAAGTATTCTCTATCAGTAGGTCACTGTGAATGGTAGAAAAAGAAAAAAGTTGTATAATGGTTTGAACAGAGCTGGGCAGACAATGACTTGAGAAAATCATTTATTAGAGTATGAAAATAAAGGACATACTTAGTTGCCATTAAGTTACCGTTTATAGTATGTTTCTTTAAAAATTGTTTTGACTGCAAAAAATAATACATGCTCATTATAAAAATTCAAATAATAAAAGTAGAAACAAGAAGCCTTCCATCACAATCCCCACTACCCAGAGAACACCACTATTTAGTTTGGTATGTATCCTTCCCCGCAAAAAGGAAAAAGAAAACCCAAAACATTTACAATGAAATCTGATAAGTATGAGAGACACATGTAGGTGGTGCTACAGGAGCACAACATAGTGAGAAGGACAGTGATAGATTGCTTTTTTTTTTGTTTGTTTGTTTTTTGAGACAGGGTCTTACTCTGATGCCCAGGCTTGAGTACAGTTACAGTGGTGTCATCACAGCTCACTGTAGCTTCGACCTTCCACGCTCAATTGATCCTCCCATCTCAGCCTCCTGAGTAGCTAGAATTATAAGTGCGTACCACCACGCCCACCTAATTTTTGTATGTTTTTGAAAGACGGCTTTTCACCATGTTGTCCAGGCTGGTCTCAAACTCCTGGGCTCAAGTGACCCACCCACTTCAGCCGCCCAACATGCTGGGATTAAAGGCATGAGCCACTGCGCCCAACAGACGGTGACAGATGCTAAAAAAAAAAAAAGACTATACAAAAGGAGATGAGCTGGCATCAGGCAGGTAAAGTGGATGGCGTAGTACTTTGCCCAGAAGGAGCATCCTGCCCAAAAGGATGAGGGCAAGAAATCACTGGATGTTTTGGAGGTAGCTTTGCAGACAACTATACAAAAGGAAGTATTACAAACTGAATTTAAAAAAAATACTTCTAGTACAATAAAAAGTTGCATTAAGATGGAAACTTTATTACCTAGGGATATTGTTCTCCCCTTCTTCAATACTTCCCTACCAATTACTATTTTTCAAATGAATGACAGTAAGCAATGGGTCTCCGCAAGCGGTCTGATGCAGGACTGTGCATTAGAATGAATCACCTAGGAACCCAAAGAAGGTAGATGTTTAATAGGCTCCACAAATGATTTTAATGTGCAGCCAGGGTTAAGGACCCCCTGAAGAACAAGTTAATGAAACTTAAGGGATCATGGTCAACTTCTCCACTGGCCAAATTTAGATATCTAATCCTAAGCCAGACTTCACGCTCATAACAGGTATACCATTTAAAAGAAAGTACATGGGGCCAGGCACGGTGGCTCATGCCTGTAATCCCAGCACTCTGGGAGGCCGAGGAGGGCGGATCACAAGGTCAGGAGATCGAGACCATCCTGGCTAACATGGTGAAACCCCGTCTCTACTAAAAATACCAAAAAAATTAGTCGGGCATGGTAGCAGGTGCCTCTAGTCCCAGCTACTTGGGAGGCTGAGGCAGGAGAATGGGGTGAACCCAGGAGGCGGAGGTTGCAGTGAGCTGAGATCGCACCACTGCACTCCAGCCTGGGCGACAGAGCAAGACTGTCTCAGAAAAAAAAAAAAAAAAAAAGAAAGTATGTGGATCTATTCAAATATATACCTTTTTTTTTTAAGTCAAATCCCATACCCTACTCATGAAGGGGGGTATCATCCTCTTTTTAGATAGAAGAGACCATATTACTACTGCTCTTTGCATACTGCAGTGATAGAACCCCCATAGCTGAGCCTCACTTAGATGATGACAGAGGGTTTATCCACCTGAGTTCTTTCCCCACATCAGCGTGCTGGGAATCCCCTAGGATCTCAGGTAGGCTGGTGATGATGTCATGCTGCAGGTTCTCTGGAGCAATACTGATCAGCTGCATGATCTTGGTGGTGAGGTCCTGCAGTAGAAGACACTATTAGAACTGCAGCACATTACCCAGAATAAAGAAAGACTACCTACGTGTGAAATGCAGAGCTGAAATTATTTGAGAAATAAACACAGTCATTTATCTCTGTACTTTGAAAAAGAATCTTCCCAAATATTTAATTTATTTAATAAATGATATCTACTCTTCGTATTTAAACTTTTCTGAAATTTAAAGGGTGAAGTATCTATGATTCTCAAATTATGAAAATTGGAAAAAGCTAATGGATGGATGGAAAAGTATGAATTTTCTGTTTAGAAAGAAAAAAAAATACAACCTCCAAAAGATATGAGAAACATACTCTTTAAATTCAAGAGATAAAGTCCATAAGCCTACCTTGCCATCCACAACTCTGTCAAGCCATTTTAGTTGACTGACAATGAGTCGAGGTATGTTGATTTCATCACTGTTCTTGCTAAAATGTTAGGAAGAGAAAACAGGGAACTGAGCCTTTCTGGTCAAAATAACAGCAAGCATTAATACTGCACAAAATATTTTAGCCATTCCATTAACATTTACCGAACACCTACTATGCATTCGGCACTGCACTAGACACACAAGTGATACCCAAGATGCAGGAGATACATGCTTACGTATGTTAAGAAAAATGTCTAGAAGACATGCTAAATATGAACAGTGACTACATCCAGGGAGGATTTAGAGAGAAGGGATGACAGGGCTAGACAGCATCTCTTAATAATAATTTTTAAAAAGACAATGTTAATAAATCTTAAAAACTGAATATGACAAGTATTTTTAAAAGGTAAGACACTAATAACATCAACGCAGTAAGTGCTTAAAAAGGCAAGCATAAGTCAGATGCAGTGGCTCATGCCTGTAATCCCAGCACTTTGGGAGGCCAAGGTGGGCAGATCACATGAGGCCAGGAGTTCAAGACCAGCCTGGCCAACACGGTGAAACCCCATCTCTACTAAAAATACAAAAATTAGCTGGGCACGATGGTGGGTACCTGTAATCCCAGCTACTTGGGAGGCTGAGGCAGGAGAATCGCTTGAACCCAGAAGGCGGAGGTTGCAGTGAGTTGAGATCGTGCCACTGCACTCCAGCCTGGGTGACAGAGCCAAGACTCTGTCTCAAAAAAAAAAAAAAAAAAGCAAGCATATATTGCTAAGGGAACATAGAAAGTCAAATTAGATTATATTTATAAAAGTACTAAAAATCATTTATAAATAAAGAAATGTTGGCTCAATTATCATTTTTCCAAATATGATAGTTTCCACCTTCCTTCGAGCCTCCTATATCTAAAGTTTTGGACCACTTCCATCTCCTTGACAGCATGGTCCTTGTTATTGCAGCCAATCTTAACTGAAAAAGACTAGCCAGGATGTAAAGCATCCAGCATGAGACATTTAGCTAAAACAAATTTGAAAAAATAAACCTTCAGTGGGTGCAGTGGCTCACTCCTGCAATCCCAGCACTTTGTGGGGCTGAGGCAAGCAGATCACTTGAGGTCAGGAGTTCGAGGCCAGCCTGGCCAACATGGCGAAACCTCATATCTACTAAAAATACCAAAAATTAGCTGGGTGTGGTGGCGCACACCTGTAATCCCAGCTACTCGGGGGGCTGAGGCAGGAGAATCACTTGAACCCAGGAGGCAGAGGTTGCAGTGAGCCAAGATCGCACCACTGTACTCTAGCCTGGGCAACAGAGTGAGATTCCGTCTCAAAATAAGTAAACCTTTAAACTTACTATTACTGTATCAGGACTCTGAAAAAATTAAAAAGGAGAACATAAAAATGACTATAATCCTGTCATTCCAGAAAGGTACACTATTAATATACATATGTGTATGTGTGTATCTTCTTTTTTAAACAAAATACTGAACTACTTATTGCAAAAACTGCAATTACTTTTGCACCAACCTAATATAAGTGCTATGTGTAACCTGGGTTTGTTTTTTTCAATTAATGTATGATATTAACTAATTCTTTTTACAATTATTAATGTGCACATAATATTTCTATTTTTTGAACATCTCAATTATTTACATTTCTTTATTTTAAAGAGTAATCTTTTTCAATATACGGAACACTTCACAAATTTGGGTATCACCCTTGCAAAAGGGCCATGCTAATCTCTGTATTGTTCCAATTTTAGTATACGTGCTGCCAAAGCAAGCACTAAACTAATATTATTTCATTTTCATTCACAGTTATTATCTTAGGATAAATGAGGAGACATGACATTAGGATTAAAGGGTATGCAAAATCTAAGGTTTTTGACACATACAATCTATTGCTCTTCCGAATCGATGCCTGAACTAATTTATATGCTCACTAGCAACGTACAAGCATGCCTATTCACTACACTCAACAAGGAGACCCTTTGAGAGTAGGAAAAAATGCATTTATTTTACTGTGTAATAGTTATTATTTACTATTTTGATACAGTGTTTTAAATTTGTGCCTTTGATTGCTAACAAAATTGAACTTTTTAAATATTTGATGTTCTTGTATTTCTTCTTTGTAAACTGTCTGTTCATGACCTTTGTCTACTTTTCTATTAGGCTGTTCATTTCTTAACATAGTAATTAAAAAAAAACAGGTAGGGCCACATCCCAGTAGTTTGAGAGGCTAAGGCAGGTGGACCACTTGAGCCTGGAAGTTTTGAGACTAGCCTGGGCAACATGGCGAAACCCCACCTCTACCAAAAAAAAAAAAACCACGAAAATTAGCTGGACCGGGTGGCGCACACCTGTAGTCCCAGGCACTCATGATGCTGAGGTGTGAGGATCACTTAAGCCTGGGAGGTGGAGGCCTCAGTGAGCCATGATCGTACTACGGCACTCCAGCCTGGGCAACAGAGTGAGACCCTGTCTGAACATACACTACAAAATTTAAAAGGTAAAGAAAAGTATTCAGAAAATACCTGATTCCAACCAACTGGCTACCCTCTTTGGAGACAACTACCATTACCAGTATATTGTGTATCCTTCTACTAGGGATTATCCCTGAGCATAAGCAACAGATACTTAAAAAAAAAAAAAAAATTCTGTTTTGAAATACAGACAAGGTCTCACTACATTGCCCAGGCTGGTCTTGAATTCCTGAACTCAAGCAATCCTCCTCCCTCAGCTTCCCAAACTGTTGGGATTACAGGTGTGAGCCACTGCACCAGGCCAATAGTTACTTTTAACAGTAATCCTATCTATTTTTACAAAGTCATATTAATAGATGAAACTTCAAAGACACTCCAGTAAAATTTTAGTAGTCACTTAAGAAATATAATGATAAATATGACTTTCAGAGAAACCAATAGTTTTCAGAGTAACCTTTTCAGAGAGAACTTAAGTACATCAGGGTACTTTGAACATTCCATAATAACGCCACTTACTTTTCAAAAAAATATTCTGGCAACTTCTCAAATAAGGTTTTGATAATGGCAGGCTAAAAAAGAAGACATAGGGAGTTAGGAGATGATCTCAAAATACACAATAGAAATGTATAATCCCAGCTACTTGGGAGGCTGAGGCACGAGAACCTCTTGGACCTGGGGAAGGCAGAGATTGCAGTGAGCCGAGATTGCACCACTCCACTCCAGCCTGGGTGACAAAGGAGACTCTGACTCAAAAAAAAAAAAAAAAAAAGAAATGTATAATTCTCTTTCCAACTAGAGCTCCTGGAATAAACACTTTGCTAAAGTTGATATCTTATTACAAGGATATCCACACGAATATGTCTTCATTTTTAGAATATGCTATTGGAATACAAAGACTTAATTTGTCTTCTGAAAAACTGAAAATGATTATCAAGGCAACGTTAAAATAATCAGATAATTAAAATATTATTAAATACAATAACTGTTAATCCACAAAATGCAAACTTTAAAAGATTATCAAATAACTTGCAAGGGGAGCTCTCAGGAGGAACAAGGGAGCTCTTAGACTTAAAATAACTAAATTATCTTCAAGATTTCCAGTGAAAAGGAAGAGTTTAAGAGTGTGAAAAGATTAACAGTAGGGGAGAAGAGGAAAAATGGAGAATGGGGTGGAGGGAAGTTTTCTGCTCTATATACATTTGTATAACTTGAGATATTTAAATCATATCAATGTATTGTCTACTTAATAAAAGAGACGAGGAGGAGGAAAAGGACAAAATTAAGTTACATAAGCATCTAAAAAGCTAAATGGGAGATAATGTAGATATGAATATGATAAAGATTACCAGATACTCAGAGATACACAGGATGCAGCTTTAAGAACAGGAATCAGATGCAGAGAGAATAAATGGGGCCGCCAGATGTATTAGGCTAATAAGCACAGTTTTAAAACACAGACATTACCCTACCAAACCCATCACAGCAACAGGGCTGTGCTAAAGCTGCTACAAACCCAAATTCTCCAATTAACCCTACTCTATCCTGTGTTCCCGCTATTTAGACTTGAGCATACACCACAAACCTCTTCCATCAAATGTTCACAGAAAAAGTGACAGTCTTACCTGCAGTATGTCAATCCCCAGAAGCAGTTTGATGAGACTCTTAGAATAAGATGCACCCATACTGTAAAAAAAAAAGAAATCTGTTTTCCACTTTGCTTTCCTTGTTTTAATGCTTTTATCATCTTTTCTCAATAAAATTGGTTAAATACATAATATTTAAAGAGGAACTACCCTGTTAGACAAGAAATACAGAAATGAGCAGATGGCTCTTTGCAAGGGAGAGGTAGAGATTTGAAATTCTGTCAGCATAGGTAAAACACTGATTGTTAGGCTCATAACCACAAGCTTAGGAATTTTAAACTTAGTTTAAACTCTGAGGAAAACAGAGCTTACACCAAAAATGAAATTTGAAACAACTGTGCTCTCCCTCCCCAGCCCCATGAAGTTGGCAAAACAGACTGAATTTCAGCAAGATTCCATGCCTCCTCTCCACACCTGGCTTCCTCATCCTGCAGACGCTCACAAGACAAAAGGCAGTTCCTGAAACTGTCTTCATCCTCAATGTAAGACTCCAGGCCACTAACAAATTCTTCTATTATCTTAAGGAGATTTAAAAAATAAAAAAGAATAAAATTTTTAGTTTAATATTTGCTGTTAAAAATCATTCTAGCCCACTCAACTTTATACCAGTGTCCTTAAATTCCAAATTCTAGAGTTATGCTGGCACAAGCAAAAATACCAGGGGAAAAATACATACTTTGGGATAGGAAGGGTGTCTCCTCAGGGTCTGAAAGAGCTTCTTTTGGAAAGCTATTTGATCCACAGCTATGCAGAAAAAAGAAGAGCTGGTCACCAGTTTCCTACCATAGTTTTCCTTCTCTAAAAACCCAAGTTTCTTGCCTGATGAAACCAATAAAAATATTTTCAACCTAATTTCAGAGACAAATCTTTTTTTTTTTTTTTTTTTTTGAGATGGAGTTTTGTTCTGTTGCCTAGGCTGGAGTGCAGTGGCGTGATCTCAGCTCACAGGAACTTCCGCCTCCTGGGTTCAAATGATTCTCCTGCCTCAGCCCCCCCAAGTAGCTGGGACTACAGACACGTTTTTTTTTGTTTTGTTTCGTTTTTTGTATTTTTAGTAGAGACAGGGTTTCACTGTGTTAGCCAGGATGGTCTCGATTTCCTGACCTCGTGATCCACCCTCCTCAGCCTCCCAAGTGCTGGGATTACAGGCATAAGCCACTGTGCCCAGCCCAGAGTCATGGGGTTGTGTCTAAACCCACATAAAAGACTTAGCTTTGGCTGGGCGCGGTGGCTCATGCCTGTAATCCCAGCACTTTGGGAGGCCGAGGCAGGTGGATCACAAGGTCAGGAGATCAAGACCATCCTGGCTAACACGGTGAAACTCCGTCTCTACTAAAAATACAAAAAATTAGTCAGGCATGGTGGCGGGCGCCTGTAGTCCCAGCTACTTGGGAAGCTGAGGCAGAATGGTGTGAACCTGGGAGGTGGAGCTTGCAGTGAGCAGAGATCGCGCCACTGCACTCCAGCCTGGGCGACAGAGCAAGACTCCGTCTCAAAAAAAAAAAAAAAAAAAAGACTTAGCTTTGATAGCAGATAGCCACTAAGTGTTCTAAAAAAGACCTGCCATAACCTTAGCAAGATAGAATAATCTGCTCCCCCAAAACAGAATCTTATATGGCTTTATAAATTTTCTTCTGAAATTATTCTGACACTGATACAGCTGCTTTCTGGATATTTATTTTTTCATAAGAAAACACAAAATAAATAATATATAATATTTTTTCTAATAAAAGGATGAGAAATGCTTTACTTAAGACATAGTAATGAGGACCAAAGACTGTACCATTTTCTTTTTCCATTTTTGTTTTTTGGAAATGGAGTCTCACTCTTGTCGCCCAGGCTGGAGTGCAGTGGTGCGATCTTGACTCACTGCAACTTTCACCTCCCGGGTTCAAGCAATTCTCCTGACTCAGGCGCCCAAGCAGCTGGGACTACAGGCACATGCCACCATGCCCGGCTAATTTTTTATATTTTAGTAGAGACGTGTTGCCCAGGCCGGTCGCAAATTCCTGAGCTCAGGCAATCCGCCTGCCTCGAGCCTCCCAAAGTGCTGGGATGATAAACGTGAGCCACCGCGCCCGGCCTGACTGTACCATTTTCTAAAAAGCAATTTCAACTTTGTCTCAAGATGGATGGCCCTCTGATTTCTAATCTTCATTGCCTCTCTATTTAGAAAACCCATGATTCAGTCCTGAACTATTTCATTAAACCCAGAGAATAAAATTAGATTAAAATATTACCTAGTTGATTCTGACTCTCTCCCGTTTTAAGAATAATTCCTGATATCTTAAGAAGCTTTACAAAGATGCTGTCATTTTCTTCAACTTCATTAGCAATATGAGATTTCTTTGTCTTTTTGGAAAGTGGTTGCTTCCTGGTTTCTGAAAATAGAAAAATTTTCAAGAATATGGCAAATAGTAAAGGAAAAATTAAAACTTAAACCCAGGAATAATAATCATGAGAGGAAAACTGATGTGTCCTTAAAAATTATACTAGGATTGATGCTGTAGTGAAATAAACTGTCTTCAGCAATAGTGGCTTCCAAAACAAACAAATAGAATTATTTTCACCTATTTTCATTTGAAGAATTCAAAATGTGCCATTTCTGGCCAGGCAAGGTGGCTCATGTGGTAATCCCAGCAAATTAGGAGGCCAAGGCAGGAGGATCACTTGAAGCCAGGAGTTCAAGACCAGCCTGGGCAACAAAGTGAGACCACCCCCCCATCTCCCCCCCTTCACCCCCATTCCCCCCCTCCACACACAAACTAGTTAGGTGAGGAGACGCACACCTGTAGTCCCAGCTACTTCGGAGGCTAAGGCGGAAGAATAACTTGAGCCCAGGAGGTTGAGGCTATAGTGAGCTATGATATTACCACTGCACTCCAGCCTGGGTGACAGAGTGAAATCCCCATCTCTAAAAAAATAAATTCAAACAAATAAGTGCCTAACAAGAATAACCCACAGAAATGTTTTCCACCCAAATACTAAACTAGCCAGTGTCTCTCAAGCTGTTGCCTGCAAACCACTGTACTGGAATCCCTGGGAAGCTTATTAAAATGCATATTTCCGACCCAGCACAGTGGCTCACGCCTGTAATCCCAGCACTTTGGGAGGCCGAGGCAGGCTGATTACCTGAGGTCAGGAGTTCAAGACCAGCCTGGCTAACGTGGTGAAACCCCATCTCTACTAAAAATACAAAATTAACTGGGTGTGGTGGCGTGCGCCTGTAATACCAACTACTCGGGAGGCTGAGGAGGAGAATCACTTGAACCCGGGAGGCAGAGGTTGCAGTGAGCCCAGATCGCGCCACTTCACTCCTGCCTGAGCAACAGAGTGACACTCTGTCTCAAAGGAAAAAAAAGGCATATTCCATGCCATATACCAGAGTTACTGAGTCAAAATCTTGGGAATGGGACCTAGGAATCCGAATTTTTTATGTTCTTCAGATAATAATCCTGATACACACCAAATTTGAGACTCAATGATCTGAATAAAGGGTAGACAGAATGGGGAAGGTTCTTTGTATCATATCTTTGACTACAATGCTCAGATAGGTTTAATCCCAAGACTTTCAACCCATAAAAAGAAATAAGAAACAAGAAACAAACAGGTACTTGAAGCCAAGTTTAAAATTTACTCTTCTCCCTTAATGATGCCATTTTGTTTTTTCCTTCTTCAATTCCTCTCCCTCTTTCTTTTTTTTTTTTTTTTGAAATGGAGTCTTGCTCTGTCGCCCAGGCTGGAGTGCAGTGGCGCGATCTTGGCTCACTGCAAGCTCCGCCTCCCGGGTTCATGCCATTCTCCTGCCTCAGCCTCCCAGTAGCTGGGACTACAGGTGCACACCACCACGCCCGGCTAATTTTTTGTATTTTTAGTAGAGACGGGGTTTCACCATGTTAGCCAAGATGGTCTCAATCTCCTGACCTCGTGATCTGCCCGCCTTGGCCACCCAAAGTGCTGGGATTACAGGCGTGAGCCACCGTGCCTGGCCTCCTTTCCCTCTTTCTAATAAAGCCTTAATCAGAATGAGACAAAGACCACTACCTTCCTGAATGAAATGTAAAACACAACCAGAATGAAAGTTTCAGTTTGTTCATTACTGACCAAGAGAACCCAAATCCCTTCTAATAAACTTAATTCAGAAGTCTCTTCTCTTTTGGAGAACAGTATTTCCAAAGTATAACATTTACTTTCAGTAATTTCCTATATTATTCCTCTTCAGTTTCAAATTTTCTACCAATTTCTCTATATTCTAATTCTAGAACCCCATTACTAATCAACCATTGGAGCTTCACAACTTCCTTTTTTTTTTGAGATAAGAGTCTTGCTCTGTTGCCCCGGCTGAAGGGCAGTGGCGTGATCTCAGCTCACTGCAACCTCCACCTCCGGGGTTCAAGCAATTCCCCTGCCTCAGCCTCCCGAGTAGCTGAGATTACAGACACGTGACACCACGCCCAGCTAATTTTTGTATTTTTAGTAGAGATGGGGTTTCACTATGTTGGCCAGGCTGATCTTGAACTCCTGACCTCAGGTGATCTGCCCGCCTTGGCCTCCCAAAGTGCTGGGATTACAGGTGTGAGCCACTGTGCCCGGCCCACAGTTTCCGTTTCTAAATCAAGCCTATTCCTTACATGGTTTTGGACTCACAATTTTTATCATTATAATCACTGTTCAGCAAGCATTTTCATCTATTTCGGTTGAATTGACCAAGAATCAGACTTAACTTCCAATAACCTAGTAAGAAATAACTCTTCAATCCACAAGTCAGTAGAAGCTAAGCTATGAGAATGCAAAGGCATTAAGAATGACATAATGAGGCCAGGCATGGTGGCTCACGTCCGATATCCCAGCACTTTGGGAGGCTGAGGTGGGTGGATTACCGGAGGTCAGGAGTTTGAGACCAGCCTGACTAACACGGTGAAACCCCTTCTCTACTAAAAATACAAAAATTAGCCAGGCATGATGGCATGTACATGTAATCCCAGCTACTTGGGCGGCTGAGCCAGGAGAATCGCTTGAACCCGGGAGGCGGAGGTTGCAGTGAGCCAAGATTGTGCCACTGCACTCCAGACTGGGCAACAAGAGCCAAACTCCATCTCAAAAAAAAAAAAAAAAATGATATAATGGGCCAGGCGTGGTGGCTCAAGCCTGTAATCCTTGCACTTTGGGAGGCCGAGATGGATGGATCACTTGAGGTCAGGAGTTCCAGACAGCCCCTGGCCAGCATGGTGAAACCCCGTCTCTACTAAAGATACAAAAAAATCAGCCGGGCATGGTGGCTGGCGCCTGTAATCCCAGCTACTCGGGAGACTGAGGCTGGAAAATCGCTTGAACCTGGGAGGTGGAGGTTGCAGTGAGCCGAGATTGTGCCACTGCACTCCAGCCTGGGTGACAGAGTGAGACTCCGTCTCAAACAACAACAACAACAACAACAAGAATGATATAATGGACTTTGGATACTCAAGAGAAAGGGTGGAAGGGGGGTTAGGGATTGAAAAAATACACATTGGGTACACCATACACTTTTCGGGTGACAGGTGCACCAAAATTTCAGAAATCACCACTAGAGAACTTATTTATGTAACCGAACACCACCTGTTCCCAAAAAACCTAGTAAAATAAAAACAAACCAACACAAATCAAGATTAATAGAGTAGATAAGAGCAATAAATGAACTATCAACCTCCCCGCCCCCCACTCCCTTTTTGAGACATGGTCTCTCTTGCTCTGTCGCCTAGGCTGGAGTGCAGTGGTGCTGTTATTGACTCATTGCACCCTCGACCTCCTGAGCTCAAGTGATCCTTCCACTTCAGCCTCCTCAGTAGCTGGGACCACAGGCACAAACCACCATGCCCAGCTAATTAAAAAAATTTTTTGTAGAGATGGAGTCTCGCTATGTTACCCAGGCTGGTCTTGAACTCCTAGCTTTAGGTGACCCTCTCACCTTAGCCCCTCAAAGTGCTTGGATTACAGGTGTGAGCGATAGCACCCAGCCATCAACTCCTTATATCTGGAACTCTTGGGATCTTTGTCAACTATTTCTCATATGGGCAGAGTCTGCACTGTTTCTTTGCCTCTGGTTTGCTTGCTTTGATGTATTTTTCCTTTCACATCACTAACATAGCATGTGTCTAGATCATAATATTTTTTTTCCAAGAGAGGAAGAAAGACCATAAAGTTTTTTAAGGGTACAGACTATGTTATGTCTTTGTGTCTCAACACCTAAATGATGTATAGCAGAAAAAGTCTGTAACACTAATTCCTCTTATGGATGTGGAGACTGAGGTCCAGAGGCTGTGGTCATACTCAAAGTTATACGCAGAATTCGAGGCAAAAACTCAGTCCCAAATCTGATATTTCTCCCTTAATTCTGTGCACTCCATTCATTACACTTTGAAGATTCTCAGCACTTGAAAAGCAGGAACTTTATATCTCTCACATGCCTCACACATTGCTACAGGAAATAAAGCAACAAATGACTAGATACTTACTGGAGGCATCTTCTGTCAGGCTCTCTTTATCCTCAGATTTTGACAGTCTTCTTTTGGAAACCATTTTGACCAATGTCTTGTGCACTTAAATTACTTCCTAGAGCAAAATCGGGAAACAGAAGTTACCCTCTAGAAGATAAATTCTGAGAAGTTAAAGCTATTGTTCAAAGAAAACTGCTCTATCCAAAATCAGAGGGGCTCACATCTCCATATTAATGCTACCTAAACCTAGGTGCTAAGCAAATTTCAACTCTTACATCTAGCCAATACTACCTTCCTTTCAAGTCTTAGTTACCTCTTTAGGCAGACTACTTCGCTGTTGCTGAAGGATAAAACCCATCACTCTCCATCTGAGATTCAAGACCCTCCATTATCTATCCCCAACGTACCTGTCCTTTAATTCATGATTTCAATACTATATGTTAGGGACTGTGCTAGGTGCTGGGGTTACAACTGTGAACTAGACAGACATGATCCCTGTCCTCAGGGAATTTACAGTATGGTAACAAATAGCCTTAATGTACTGAACTACAGTTATGTAAGTGCTATAAAAGTACAGGTTCTATGAGGGCTTACTAGGAAATTTAGTCTAGTTGCTAGTAAGGGTGGTAAAGAGAAGCAAGGACCATTTCTTAGGGACAATCTCCTTGAATTTTTTTTTTTTTTTTTTTAGTAGAGACAGGGTTTCACCATGTCGGCTAGGCTGGTCTCAAACTCCTGACCTCAAGTGATCCACCCACCTCGGCCTCCCAAAGTGCTGGGATTACAGGTGTGAGCCGCCCGGCCTAAAGAAGTGATTTTTTTTTTTTTTTTTTTTGAGACGGAGTCTCACTCTGTCACCCAGGCTGGAGTGCAGTGGTGCAGCCTCGGCTCACTGCAAGCTCCACCTCCCGGGTTCACACCATTCTCCTGCCTCAGCTTCCCAAGTAGCTGGGACTACAGGCGCCCGCCACCACGCCCGGCTAATTTTTTGTATTTTTAGTAGAGACGGGGTTTCACCGTGTTACCCAGGATAGTCTTGATCTCATAACCTCATAATCCGCCCGCCTCGGACTCCCAAAGTGCTGGGATTACAGGCGTGAGCCAACCGCGCCCGGCCTGAAGAAGTGATTTTTAGGCAGGGACTTGAGGGCTGAAACAGCAGTTAGCCAGTAGAAGGGGTAGGAGAAGAGGAGTCCAGGCAAATAGATACTCATACTGAAACAAGGAGATGTGGAGTTAGAAATCAGACAGCAGAGGTGGGGGAAGTGCCTGAATCACATGACCTTTTAATCTTGTAAATCAGAACCTTCGTGGTCTCAGTGCCTTTGCACAAAGGTGTTCTTTTCATCTGAAGTGCTCTTATTTGCCTGGAAATTCCTACTCAGATCTAAACATTCAATCGAATGTCATCTTCCTTGAAAAGTGTTCCTCCTATCCCTAAGGGAGTTTGCTACTGCAGCTTCCCTGCTCCACAGGGTATACCTAGGGGCCCTTACCTCACACTAGACTGGGGCTCTTTGAGAGCAGGAACCCAGTCTCACTTACTCAATGTCCCTAATGCCCAGCATAGTTACCGGCATAAGGAAAATTTCTGAGAATATTCAGAGTGAAAAAAGCTCGCAGTGCAGGGGAAATGCTAAAAGCTAACAAGAACTGTTTCAAGTGCTTTATATTTAATAATTCATTTATTTCCCACAAAACTTTTTGAGGTGGGTACCATTATTCTCATCATCACGGGCAGAACTGGGATTCTAACTCGGAGTCTGGCTTCAGCACCTGCGCTCTTCACCACCTATACTTACTCTTGATGATTATAATGACTTCTAATAATGGTTAACATTTACGAGGTACCGGGCCCTGTGCTAAACTTTTTATTTATCGCCGCTTCGGTTAATACGGATAACCATTATCAGCCATCTTGCAGATGGAAAAACTAAGTCTTGTCAGCACGTCCGGCTTCCAGGCACCCGCCTTTAACACGTGCGATACCATCTGGCTTCCAGAAAAGCCCAACAGAAGTGAGATGAGGCCGACTGCCTGGATTAGTTCATCGGGAAGCGGGTGAGGGTAAAAGCCTTTCTCGTTTCCGCATTTTAATGACGCAGAAAGGTACCTGTGGGGATTATCCCATCTCAGGGCAGATGAGGAAGCCAAGGTTCGGGGCGCGGAGCCCCAGAGGAGAACGCCGACCGCGGCCCGGACTTAGAGATTAGGCCGCAGGGGAGCGGGGCCTCGAGAGACTACGACCATTGCTCCACTTACTCACCGAGAAGCCGTCGCCGCCCGTAGTTTTCGACTTTCCCGCCAGGCCCGACGCCGCTCTGACGCCACCGAGGCGCGCCATGACGTGACGCCAACTTCCGCGCCGGAAGTGGAAGGCCGGGCAGCCCAGCTGAAGGCAATAAGCTGGGCTCACCGCTGCAGCAGAGTTCTGTGCTAGCCGGGCATAGGGGCGAGAGAAGGCCCAGAGGCGACGTCAGAGAGAAGCAACTGCGCCCCGGTGAAGAGAAGCTCGCCCATCACCGGCTGGGAGCCAGCTTTCAGTGAAGATGGCAGGGCCAGAACTGTTGCTTGACTCCAACATCTGCCTCTGGGTGGTCCTACCCATCGTTATCACTCTTCGTAGACATGATCCGCCACTACGTGTCCATCCTGCTGGAGAGCGACAAGAAGCTCACCCAGGAACAAGTATCTGACAGGTCAGCGCCCTCCCTTCCCCAGCCTACCTCACACCGCCGTGACCTTGGACAAGAAAGTGCAGGCGTTGTGTCAGTTTGCCTAGGTTCACGTCTCGCCCCCACTGGCAAGGTGACCTTACCCGTTACCTCTGTGTTTCACTTTTGTCCTCTGTGAAATGGGGATAATAACAGTACCTCCCTCATAGACAGGTGGGAATCAAATTAGATGATGTCTGTAAATCCCTTAGCACAGGATCTAGGACGTATTGAGTGTTAAAAACAAAAAACAAAAACGGTGCTGTTAATCCTTTAGGTTAGTCGCCAACCCTCGGTGGGTTTACCTATGAACTATCCCATCCCACCCTTTCGTTGGGAAGAGTGCCTGGTGCTTTATAGCTTTTAGTATTTGTAACATCCAGTCAAGTGAGTGTGATAATCTGCATTCTACCAAATTACTGTTCCAATGGTTAGCTGAGATGCTAAGCACCAAAGCGCTTTGCAATCTGTAACACTGCTGTTAGACATGTAAGGAATTGTAATTATCATTTCCCTTCCTAGGGTGGAGGCAACTTCCTCACATACTTCATTGCAGTATTTATTTATTTATTTAATTTAACTTAATTTAATTTTTGAGACGGAGTTTCGCTCTTGTTGCACTAGATTAAGTATCTATTATTTTTCCGTTTGCATATTTTATCACTTGAACAGAAACTCTGAGCGCAGGGTCATGACCTTGCCTTACTCTATACCCCATAGCATGCAGCAGAGTGCAAGGCACATGGTAGGCCATCAAAAAACTTGTTCACAGCCAGGCGTGGTGGCTCTCACCTGTAATCTCAATACTTTGGGAGGCTGAGGTGGGAGGATCGCTTGAGCCCTGGAGTTCAAGACCAGCCTGGGCAACACAATGAGACCACTGTCTCTACAAAAAAATTTAAACATTAGCCAGGTGCAGTGGTGTGTGCCTGTAGTCCCAGCTACTCGGGAGGCTGAGGTGTGAGGATCACTTGAGCCCGGGAGTTCGAGGCTGAAGTGAGCCATGATCGCACCACTGCGATTGCAGCCTCAATCACTGCAGCCTCGACCTTTTTGGTCCAGCCTGGGTGACAAAGCAAGACCCTGTCTCCAGAAAAACAAACGAAAAAACACTTGTTCAGTCTACGATAATTCAAGACTTTTCCAGGCAGTGTAATCAAAAGAAATTCATCTAGCTCTCCTATATTTACGCTGCTGAATAGTTTTGTAGAAATGGAGTTGAATATCATGACCCTGAGGTATTTTAAGACCCTAAATAAGCAATCTTAAATTATCCTGTATTTTCTAAACACTCAATATCTGTGTTATCTGAAGTTTGCAAATTCCGCAAGAAATTTTTAATTTTGTATTTTTATTTTTGTGAATATCTAAAAATAAGTCCTTGTACTGTTATAAAGATAAAGCTTTGTAATTTGTAACTGAAAGACATCTATTTATTTTTGGCAGAGACAGGGTCTCACTATGTTGCCCAGTTGGTCTCAAATTCCTGGGCTCAAGGGATCCTCCCATCTCAGCCTCCCAAAGTGCTGGGATTATAAGTGTGAGCCACTGTACCAGGCCTAAATGACATTGTCTTAGAATAAAACTTTAAACTCGGTACCTCTCAAACCAGAGTTCCATATTCTTAAGAATCTATGTCTTCTCCTTTCCAAAAAGTCAGTAGTATATTCTTCAAGTTCGAGAACCATTTTTTACACACATTCTATCCCCAAACCTAGTCTAATATATTTTATTCATGTATTTTTCAGCTTTGGTTTAATACCTGTCAGAATTTTTTTTTTTTTTTTTTTGAAACATTGTCTTGCTCTGTTGCCCAGGCTGAAGCTGGGGAATAAGGTCAGTGATGCTTCTGCCATCCCTATGGAGCCACAGAGCCAGTCTGGGAAGCCCCACTTCATAGCTCCTTGGCTGCCAGGGAAAGAACAAGTGGGCTGGACTCTATGAGGTGGAACTGGAGCCCAGGCCCTCTGTTGTGGAATCACTACCCAGAGACTTTATCAGGGTACCTCTTGGCTCCTGGCTTCAGGGTTCATAGTCTAGAAAAATATTGTCCAATAAAATATAATGTAAGTTACATTTACCTTTTAATTGTGGTATGGTTTCCTTCCTCTAAAAGTTTACAATTCAGGGTTTTTTAGTATATTCACAAAGTTGTGCAATCATCGCCACTATCTAACACTGCGGTGACTAATAGGCTGGAATGCAGTAGTCATAAGCCTATCATAAGCGTAAGTAGAGAGTCTTTAGGGGTGCTAACCATCTGGTTGTCTCGATGCAGGGGACGAGGCACCCACAGTCCCTCTCCCATAAGCCTGCCAAGAAGATTGATGTGGCCCGTGTAACCTTTGACCTGTACAAGCTGAACCCACAGGACTTCATTGGCTGCCTGAACATGAAGGCGACTTTTTATGATACGTACTCCCTTTCCTATGATCTGCACTGCTGTGGGGCCAAACGCATCATGAAGTGAGCAAATTGGGGTTTCCTGGGGACAAGGTGGGTACGGGCAATGGGAGAGCCCCTGTCTGTTCACATGGACTCAGCCTTCTCAGCACCTGGGTCTGGCTTTGGTGCTGACAAAGCATAGCCTGTATCAGACAACACGGAGCCTGATGGGCTCTCGAAGTGCTGTGGACAACACTGGCGTGTGCCCAGGGGTGCACATGTTCCTCCTGGTGGAACCTGGATGCATTTTATTTTTATGACTACTTTCCACTCTAGCAACTACATTTTTTCATTGAAATAGGAAGTTTTCCTAAGTAGTCTTCTAGTCAGTTTTTTAAAAATGAACATGTGTTGGCCAGGCATAGTGGCTCACGCCTCTAATCCCAGCACTTTGGGAGGCCAAGGTGGGTGGATCACTTGAGGTCAGGAGTTTGAGACCAGCCTGGCCAACATGGCAAAACCCAATCTCTACAAAAATTAGCTGGACATGGCAGTGCATGCCTGTAATCCCAACTACTCAGGAGCCTGAAGCAGGAGAATCGTTTGAACCCAGGAGGTGGAGGTGACAGTGAGGCGAGATTGTGTCACTGCACTCCAGCCTGGGCAAAACAGCAAGTGTCTTACCAAAAAAAAAAAAAAAAAGTATGTGTCAAAGATTTCATTGAATTCATTAATTAATGAGAGAACTAGCAAGAAGTTACAATCAGTTCAAAGGAGAATTCAAAATCCCACACATATATAGGTCCAGTAAGAATGATGAGATAGGCTGGGTGCAGTAGCTCTCACCTGGAATCCCAGCACTTTGGGAGTTCAAGGCAGGAGGATCTCTTGAGCCCAGGAGCTTGAGACCAGCCTCGGCAATAGTGAGAGAGAGAGAGAGAGACACACACACTTACACACACACACGGCAGGAGGATCTCTTGAGCCCAGGAGTTTGAGACCAGCCTGGGCAACACAGTGAGAGAGAGAGACACATGCGCACACACACACACACACACACCCCTGGGCAACATAGAGAGAGACACACACACACACACATACACACACACACACACACACACACACACACAGTTTGAGACCAGCCTGAGCAACATAGTGAGAGGCATGCACGCTGGGAGCAGTGGTAGTATGTGCCTATAATCCCAGCTAGGTGGGAGGATTGCCTGAGCCCAGGAGTTTGAGGCTGCAGTGAGATATGACCATACCATTGTGTACTCCAGCCTGGGCAACAGCATGAGGCCTTGTCTCTAAAAAGAAGAAAAAAAGAGATAAATGTATACATACAAAATTGGGTTTTTTCTCCCATGGGGATGGGAGGGATGAAATAATCTTCCCTCCATAGGACAGAATTAGTTTGCAAGTCTTATGGACCAGAGTCATTTGTACTATATAATGAACTTTTCTTAAAACTTATTTTGAAAGCCTAACCAAGTGTCTCAGGAAGCATGAGAATATGTGAGGTTAGAAGCTGCATGCCGTTATGGTGATGTTTCCCAAATTCTGCCGCTCCAGTGGCGCCCTGGGGCATCCTTCCCCATTGGGTGGATGTAGCCACTGAGGCTGAAGTGATTGAATCAGTCCAAAGCCGCAAAACTTGCAAGCAGCAGAGCATGGCTGCTAGTCCATCTTTCCGATAGTCTATTCTTCTCCAGTTCCTTCATTCAGTGTTTCCTGAGTGCCCACTGTGTGCCTGGCCCTATGCTGTAACTACAGATTCAGAGATGAACAAAATACCAGATAGAACAAGTTCCCTGAGGGCAGGAATTTTTGTGGCCTTCAGCACCTTGGTGAATGCTGACACATAGTAGTTATTTAAATGATTGTAGAATAAATGAAGACACAGGCGATCTCTATTCACATGGGGCTTCTGAGAAATCCTGCTCAGGATCCCAAGAGTTCTACCAGATCACATGTAGCTAGAACATATCAGACCTTCTTGCTTTCTTAGTTGATCTCCTGCAGACCCAATCTGCAGTTGAGGAAACTGAGGCTGTGTGGGTCTGCTTGCCAGAGACAACAGTGGGTGGCAGGCTTGAGCCTGGTTCTGTGGCTGAGAGTTCCATTTTCCTCCTCGGCTACTTCTTCCAGGATACTACCATCTCATGCCACCTCTTGACCTCAGACTACCTACCACCAGTAGTCTGCATTATTTCAAAATTATGAACAAGAAGTTTCAGACCAGCTGGGGGCAGTGGCTCACACCTGTAATCCTAGCACTTTGGGAGGCCGAGGGAGGTGAATCACCTGAGGTCAGGAGTTCGAGACCAGCCTGGGCAACAAGGTGAAACCCCCGTCTTTACTAAAAATACAAAAATTAGCCGGGCGTGGTGACACACTGCTGTAATCCCAGCTACTCAGGAGGCTGAGGCAGGAGAATCACTGGAAACTGGAATGTGAAGGTTGCAGTGAGCCGAGATCACACCATTGTACTCCAGCCTGGGCGACAGAATAAGACTCTGTCTCAGAAAAAGAAAAGGTCTCAGACCTTAAACTCAGTCCAGTTAGGGGAGGTGGGACACTTCGACCTAAACACAGTCTGGTGACTGGAATCAGTTTAGTGACTTAGTGGTATCACTAGGTTTTTTTTAATTATAGTAAATATGTATAGCATAAAATCTATTGTTTGGACCATTTTAAGTGTACAATTCAGTGCCATTAAGTACGTTCACAATGTTGCCCAGCCATCACCACCATCCATTTCTAGACCTCTTGCATCATCTTAACCAGAAACTCTGTCCCCCTGAAGCACTAAGTCTCCATTCCTCCTCCAGACACTGGTAGCCTCCACTCCACTTTCTATGTTTGCCAATTCTAGTACCATATGGAACTGGAGTCAGTCAATACTCGTTCTTCATTTCTAGCTTCCTTGACTTCGGATTTTCAAGGGTCGTTCATATTGCAGTATGGATCAGAATTTCATTCCTTTTTTTTTTTTGAGATGGAGTCTCACTCTGTCACCCAGGCTGGAGTGCAGTGGCGCGATCTCAGCTCACTACAACCTCTGCCTTCCAGGTTCAAGCAGCCTCAGCCTCCCGAGCAGCCCGCCACCATGCCCGGCTAATTTTTTTGTATTTTTTGAGTAGAGACACGGTTTCACCATCCTGGCCAGGTTGGTCTTGAACTCCTGACCTTGTGATCTGCCCACCTCAGCCTCCCAAAGTGCTGGTATTACAGGCGTGAGCCACCGTGCCCGGCCTCAGAATTTCTTTCTTTTTTTCTTTTTTTTTTTTTTTTTTGAGACAGAGTCTCATTCTGTCGCCAGGCTGGAGTGCAATGGCACGATCTCAGCTCACTGCAACCTCTGACTCCCGGGTTCAAGCGATTCTCCTGCCTCAGCCTCCCGAGTAGCTGGGATTACAGGCACGTGCCACCACGCCCGGCTAATTTTTGTATTTTTAGTAGAGACAGGGTTTCACCGTTTTGGCCAGGATGGTCTCGATCTCCTGACCTCGTGATCCGCCCGCCTCGGCCTCCCAAAGTGCTGGGATTACAGGCCTGAGCCACCACGCCTGGCCGACCTCAGAATTTCATTCCTTTTTAAGGCTGGTCAGCTAGGTTGTCAGCCTCAGTTCCTTAATTTGAGAAGTGGGTATACTTCTAAGTTATAACCTTGAAAATATAAAGTATTCTCTTGTGTAGATGTGAATAGTTCTAAGTCTTTCTGCCACCCACACCCCAGTCAGACCATAAATTCACTTATTGAATGAATGTTAATAAAAGACTAAAGTTTGAACAACAGCCAGGTAACATTTCTTTGCCTTTTATTTTCCACTCCCCTATCTCACTTAGGACTAGACACCTCGAGTGACCCTCACATTCCCCTTTCAAACAGATTTGGTAAGAATTTGATTAAAATTATCTAGCATTCTTTATATTTTTTTAGAGACAGCGTCTCACTCTGTCATCTAGGCTACAGTGCAGTGGTGCAATCATGGCTCACTGCAGCCTTAACCTCGTAGGCTCAAGTGATCCTCCTGAGTAGCACAAGTGTGTGCTACCATGCTTGGCTAGTTCTTTAATACTTTTGTAGAGACAAGGTCTCACTAGACCAGGCTGGTCTCAAACTCCTGGCCTCAAGCCATCCTCCTCGGCCTCCCAAAATGCTGGAATTATAGGCCTGAGCCAGTGCACCTAGCCAAAGTTGTCTAGCATTCAACCAGCTGCTCTTGAACCTGCCCCCGCTTCCCCATTTCCCCTACTTTTCAAATATCCAACCCCACGTTAATTGCTTTATGCTATTTCAGCCTTATGACCCTGGGTGGCAGGTGCAATCCCATTTTACCCATGAGGGAGCTGAAGCTCAAAACTAGAGCAGTTTGCTGAAGTTCACCCAGCTAATAAGACTGGATTAGGACTTAGGCCTGCCTGATTCAGGTTCAGTTCTCAGTACATGCTCATGCCAGGCATGGATGTCTTCATGTCCAGCACTCTGAACATGAGCTAGACTGCAGGTGACTTAGAAAGGCCTCAGAGTCTAGAACAGAGTGTCTCAAGGGCAGAGCCACATTATGGAGATTAATCTGGCTGGACCAAAGTAGTAGTAGAAAAATAGAAAGCCATATGAAATGAGCTGGGGTTTTGCATGAGAAAGTAGGGAGGTTCCGGGCATCTCAGTTAAGGTGGAATTGCAGGTCCTCGCCCTAATCCTGATCCCATCTGCAGCATCTGTTCCTATTTGCACATTGCTCTAGAATTGATGAAATGCTTTTAGTGCTACCACCTCAGTGGTATTCAAATGTTATTAATGAAGAAAACAAACATAATGAAACCAATCCCTTCCAGGCCAACATGGGAATAATGGGTTGTAGGGAGGTGTACACTTATGTTTTATTCTTACTTGTTTTTGAGACGCTCTGTTGCCCAGGCTGGAGCGCAGTGGTGCAATCTCAGCTCACTTCAACCTCTGTCTCCCGGGTTCAAGCGATTCTCATGCCTCAGCTTCCCAAGTAGCTGAGATTACAGCTGTGTGCCACCTCACCTGGCTAATTTATTTGTATTTTTTAGTAGAGACGGGGTTTCACCATGTTGGCCAGGCTGGTCTCAAACTCCTGACCTCAAGTGATCTGCCCGCCTCAGCCTCCTAAAGTGCTAGGATTACAGGCGTGAGCCACTGAGCCCAGCTTTGTTTTGTTGTTGTTGGTGATGGTGGTGGTTTTTTTGTTTGTTTGTTTTGTTTTGTTTTTTTGAGACAGAGTCTTGCTCTGTCACCCAGGCTGGAGTGCAGTGGCATCATCTCAGCTCACTGCAACCTCCGCCTCCTGGGTTCAAGCGATTCTCCTGCCTCAGGCTCTCAAGTAGCTGGAATTATAGGCGCCCACCAGCAGGCCTGACTAATTTTTGTGTTTTTAGTAGGGACAGGGTTTTACCATGTTGGCCACACTGGTCTCAAACTCCTGACCTCAGGTGACTCACCCACCACGGCCTCCCAAAGTGTTAGGATTACAGGCATGAGCCACTACGCCCAACCTACTTCGTGGTTTTGACTTGCGTGCCCTCTCATTCCACCCAGGGAAGCTCTCCACTGGGCCCTTTTCAGCATGCAAGCCACGGGCCACGTGCTGCTTCACCTCCTGTTACCTGCAGCAGCTCCTCGATGCCACAGAGGACGGGCATCCCCCCAAGGGCAAGGCCTCATCCCTCATCCCGACCTGTCTGAAGATACTGCAGTGAAAGCCCAAGCCCTAGCTTTCCCCAGTGAAGGACTAGACTAGGGGCCCCACGCTCAACTGGTAGTGGCCACAAGCCTGGCAGCTGTAGAGCCGCTAACCTCCCGACACCTCCCTCACCACACAGGACCCTGAGTGAGGAGGAGGGGCTGGAAACCTGGGATGGGTTGGCCAAAGGAGAACCTCAGGCTCCTGGCCTGGCCCAGCTCCTTCCTGCCCAAGGTAGCTTAGCCCATCCAGACTGGTCCTGAAGTCTGTCCCTCCATTGGCATGAAGTCTGCCCCTCAGCAGTCCGGCCTCACAGGCTGTACTTTCATGGTGCTCTCTACCTTCTGGCCCCCATCCCAGAACATTCGTGAGTGAATTCGCAAGCATACTAGCATGTGATATTAGGGAGTTTGCAATAAATTATTGATGCTGATGTATCTTTGCCTGTGTTCTTTGGGGTGGGGTTCTAGCTGGAAGGTTGGAGAGGGCTAAAGGAAGAGATGAATCTGTTGTCAAACTATTCTCCATAACATAAGATTACAAATAATAGTTTTTCTACCAAAGGGGGGAAAAAAAAAAAAAGCTGAGCACAGTGACACGTGCCTGCAGTCCCAGCTACTCAGCAGGCTGTGGTGGGAGCATCCCTTGAGACCAGGAGTTCAAGGCCAGCCCGGGGCACAATAGCAAGAGCCCAGGCTCTTTAAAAAACAAAATTGCAGGGGTGGGGGGAGGGGGGAGGGATAGCATTGGGAGATATACCTAGTGCTAGATGACGAGTTAGTGGGTGCAGCGCACCAGCATGTCACATGTATACATAGGTAACTAACCTGCACATTGTGCACATGTACCCTAAAACTTAAAGTATAAAAAAAAAAAAAAAAAAAAAATTTGCAGGCCGGGTGCAGTGGCTCACGCCTGTAATCCCAGCACTTTGGGAGGCCCAGGCGGGCGGATCACGAGGTTGGGAGATCGAGACCACAGTGAAACCCTGTCTCTACTAAAAATACAAAAAAAAAATTAGCCAGGCGTGGTGGCGGGTGCCTGTAGTCCCAGCTACTCGGAGAGGCTGAGGCAGGAGAATGGCGTGAACCCAGGAGGCGGAGCTTACAGTGAGGCGAGATCGCACTACTGCACTCCAGCCTGGGCGACAGAGCGAGACTCTGTCTCAAAAAAAAAAAAAAAATTGCATTTGATTTTGAAACTAAAGTCGGCTAAATTTGAGGCTTGAGCTGACCATGTAATTGATACCATAAGTAACAATTTCCTAATTAAATTCACCTATCAGAGGAGCTTCAATTGAGCAGGTGGGATTAAGTCACTCTTCTAATTTCTCAGTGTCCCGTTTTATAATAACCATTTAAGTGGTTAGGTGAAAAAGTACTACTCAAGCTGTAAGGCATTTCCCCGTCAATGCCCATCCTAACTTGCCAGACAGCTTATCTTTCATGTTCAGGACTTTCAACCTCGGGATTTCAAAGTGGGCTCATAGGTAGCCCCAAAGAGTAGGAGCTTCTCATCAGTGTGAGCTGGCATTTTCCAATATTGGACAACTCAAGACAAGCATGAAAGGCTGAATTTAGGCTGGGCGTGCTGGCTCATGCCTGTAATCCCAGCACTTTGGGAGGCCAAGGCAGGTGGATTACCTGAGGTCAGCAGCTGGAGACCAGCCTGGCCAACATGGCCAAACCCTCTCTCTACTAAAATACAAAAAATTAACCAGGCATGCTTGTAGGCATCTGTAATCCCAGCTATTTGGGAGGCTGAGGCAGGAGAATTGCTTAAACCTGGGAGGCATAGGTTGCAGTGAGCCAAGATCGTGCCATTGCACTCTAGCCTGGACGACAGAGTGAGACTCCGTCTCAAAAAAAAAACACAAACAAACAAAAAAAAAACGAAAAATAAAACAAAACCAATCGTTTTACAACTCTTACTATAAAGCCTATTTGGATGTAGTAAATACTAAGGCAAAGGTCTGTATTACCAAAGATGGTCTGGGAGCTATTTCTGGCAGCGGACCCAAACCCTGCAACCTGTGGGTGAAGCTGCTGAAGCTCACTGAAGAGGGCCTGCTATTCTGGGCTCTCCTTCTCTTGCAGTTGTGGCTGGAGGCTGGCCTGGTGTCAGGCTGGCTCCATGGGGTGGGCCGTCTGGCAGGGAGGCCTGATGTTTGTATTAGCACAGAATCTATCCCAGTCCACCCTTGCCGAAGCTGTGGCGGGGCCTACGTGCTCCTTCCGTAAAGTGCTCAGTAACAGAGTTGGAGTGGGGGTGGGAGGCTCGGTATTTGTCCCAAGCTTCCCTCCTCCTGGGATCCGGAGTTTCACAAGTGAATCTTGAGCAACTGCCCACGGTCTCTTGGCATTGAGCCCAGGGAAAACAACGTTCTTCCTTTTCTTCCAGGAGCTCGAGGCTAATGGAGTCAAAGCAGCTGTGGTCAGTGAACAGGAAAAGGCAGCCTTTGATGAGGCTGGGGGGCTGGGGAGGGAAGATTCCAAACAGCAAAGGAGCTTGAGCCTCAGTAGGGCCTGGCGATCCTAGTGGGAGAATGGCCTTTCCTGGAGACCCCCCCGCACAGCCAGGAGCAGCTGTCGTCAAGGTGGGCTGTGTCCCAGCCCCTCCAGCTCAGCCTTTTCATCTGTTCAGGCTGGTGCTCACGAGTGCACAGGACGCCTTTCAGAAGGAGGATTCTAAATCCCGGGGGTCTGTAATGGCACAGCCACATGTCTGAGCCCAAAACAAGAGAACCACATGTGTTTTTGCCACACTTCTTGCCAGTGCTGTCCATATTTGTGTACATAATTTTTTGTTTCTTTTCTTTGAGACAGAGTCTCACTCTTGTCACCCAGGCTGGAGTGCAGTGGCACGATCTCAGCTCACTGCAACCTCTGCCTGCTGGGTTCAAGCAATTCTTCTGCCTCAGCCTCCCAAGTAGCTGGGATTACAGGCACCCACCACCACGCCCAGGTAATTTTTATATTTTTCATAGAGATGGGGTTTCGCCATATTGGCCAGGCTGGTCTCAAACTCCTGACCTCAGGTGATCCACCTGCCTCAGCCTCCGAAAGTGCTGGGATTACAGGCGTGAGACACCACACCCGGCTCTTGTGCACGTAATTCTATTTTATTTGAGATGGAGTCTTGCTCTGTTGCCCAGGCTGGAGTGCAGTGGCATGATCTCGGCTCACTGCAACCTCCGCCTCTCAGGCTCAAGAGATTCTTGTGCCTCAGCCTTCCAGGTAGCTGGGACTGTGCACCACCATGCTGGGCTAATGTTTGTATTTTTAGTAGAGTTGGGGTTTCACTTAGCCAGGCTGGTCTCGAACTTCTGGCCTCAAAAGATCTGCCCGCCTCGGCTTCTCAAAGTGCCTTGGATTCCCAAAGTGCTGGGATTACAGGTGTGAACCATCATGCCTGGCCTGTGCACATCATTTCAATAACTGATATTTTGAAAACATTGTTTATTGACATAATTTATGTACAATAAAATGTATTATTTACAAGTATGTCTTTCAATAAGTTTTGGCAAATTTATACAGTTATGTAACCACCATTTCTGGCAAACCAGAAAGCTGCCATCTGTCCCTTTATAGTCATGTAAATAGACTTTTCTAAAATGTCATGTAAATAGAATGATATATCTTAAAAATTTTTATTTCTATTTTTGTAAATTAAAAAAAGTATTTAGAAAATTATGAATCATATAGTCTTTTATATCTGGCTTAGATTTTTAAACTGTGTGTGTGTGTGTGTATGTGTGTGTGAAGAAGAAATATATCAGCAAGGTAAAACATTTAAGCTGTTCCAAAGGGTAAACATAATTACTCATCTAACCCCATCTGATTCCTTCAGAAGCAAACACCATCTTGTTTTTGTGTGTACTTTCAGAAACACAGAAGGATGTAAATATGACTAAGAAATTGGCCGGGCGCGGTGGCTCACGCCTGTAATCCCAGCACTTTGGGAGGCCGAGGTGGGCAGATCACGAGGTCAGGAGATCGAGACCATCCTGGCTAACATGGTGAAACCCCATCTCTACTAAAAATACAAAAATTAGCCTGGCGTGGTGGTGGGCGCCTGTAGTCCCAGCTACTCGGGAGGCTGAGGCAGGAGAATGGTGTGAACTCGGGAGGCGGAGCTTGCAGTGAGCCAAGATTGTGCCACTGCACTCCAGCCTGGGCGACAGAGCGAGACTCTGCCTCAAAAAAAAAAAAAAAAAGAGACAGAATAAATAGTAAATAGTAAAATGCAAGAAGTGAGGCTTCACCACCCCACCTAGCTGATTTTTGTCTTCATCTGTGCAACTATGTTGGAGCAATCTTATTCCTCCTTTTCTTCGGTGGACACATGCAGCAAAATCTTAATAGAAGTGAAAGATGCGTCCTCCGGCAGCCCTGTGGCAGCCCCAGTTTCTTTTCTTTTCTTTTTTTTTTTTTTTTTTTTTGAGACGGAGTCTCACTCTGTCCCCCAGGCTGGAGTGCAGTGGCACAATCTCGGCTCACTGCAAACTCCACCTCCCAGGTTCACGCCACTCTCCTGCCTCAGCCTTCTGAGTAGCTGGGACTATAGGTGCCCGCCACCAAGCCTGGCTAATTTTTTGTATTTTTAGTAGAGATGGAGTTTCACCATGTTAGCCAGGATGGTCTCGATTTCCTGACCTCGTGATCCTCCCGCCTTGGCCTCCCAAAGTGCTGGGATTACAGGCATGAGCCACTGCGTCCGGCTGCGGCAGCCCCAGTTTCTTGTTGGCTAGGCTGATGTCACAGCCTCAGGCTGTCCAGCTTGGACAACACTGGCTTCCTGTGATGATTGTCGCTGGGCAAGGGACGTTTCTGGGTCTCTGCCACTGCTGCTGGTGGTGTGGGTGGAGGTAGAGGCCACAGCGTCACGCTGGGGGGCTTTGCCAAAACTGTCCGGCTTCCTCTGCAGGCTGGCAGGGGCACTGGCAGGAACAGTGGTCTTCTGCTGAATGCTGAATATGGGACAAGCTGGCTCGCTGTGAGCCTGCTTCAGTGGGAGAGAGAAGGTGGAAACTTCAGTGGATAGAGAAGGACAGGTGGGAACCCCAGGAGGAAGGGACCATGGTCTGATGGTGGACTGCTTCTTTTGTTTGTTCTAAAATGAGGTAGGTGGCCATAGGATAGTGAAACGCTTTTTCTTTGATTGGCACAGAGATGTTCTTGGCCTGGAATCCCATGGCCACCATGAGCTGGGTGGTATGTTGGCTCATGGCTCTTTGTATGTTGTCCGTGGCATCTCCTAACCACAGTTCACCCACCAGTCCCTCAAAACTTCTTTCAGTGGGGGCCACTCCCTGGGTTCTAGTGTTAGTAACTTTTGAATGAATCTTTCAAGTTGAAGGGAAAAAAAATGGTGAGGCGTGGTAGCTTCCTGTGAAAATTTGATTCTTGAGGTCCATCGTGTTCCCTGAATAGAAGGGTAGGGCCCCGGCCACCATATGGTAGAGTATGACGCCAAGGCCCCATATGTCCATGGCAGGGCACTGGTACCCCCAGCCCAGGAAGAGTTCTGAGCAGGAATGGTGGTCTTCTGCCTTCACTTCTCGCCGTCCTTGGGCAGTCAAAAATTAAAAGTGGGAACAGCTGGCTCCCTTTGAGCCCTCTTTGGTTCCACAAGGAAGGCAGACTTTGTCAGATGGGGAAGAACAGGTGGGACCCCCAGGAGGAAGGGCTGTGCTCCAATGATGGAGCGCTTCCTCCTCTGTACTTTTCTCTACCCCAGGATTAGGTACGTGGCCATGGGATAATCACATATGTATTTTTTGTTGGGGAGAATATTGATTCCGAGATGTGTGCTGCTTGGAATCCCATGGCCACCATTACCAGGGTTGTAGGGGGCATAGGTGTCCAGGGTCTCTGTATGGTGTCAGCAGTGTCTTCTGGCCAGCATTGACCCAGGGGTCCCACGTCAGCTGGTTTAGTGGGGGCCACTCCCTGGGGTCGAGGCTGAGGAATTGTTTTACTAGTGTTTCCAGTGGAAACGAAGAAATAGGTGGGCAGTCATACTGTCACATAGCCTGAGGCAGGAAGGGACCACGGGTGGGGCTGGATGTTTTTCAGCCTCCCTGGCAGAGATCACTGACAGAGTGGTCAGCTTGGCCAAGTTTCTGCGGTGGCTGGCAGAAGAGGGAGAGGGAGGCAGTCCCCAGAGCAGGAATGCCTTCCCTTGCAGGGGAAAAACCGGCCATCCTCCCCTCAGAGCCTCCTTCACTGCAGCCCGTGGGAAGTGAGTGACCTGGGGGATCCGTGCCCCAGGGGCTAACCTCTGGGCTCTGGCTTAGCCCCACCCCGGGGAAACATTCACAGCCCCTCCTGAAGAGAGCCTTGCTGCAGGAAGACTCTGGCGGCGGGTGTGGGGGGGTGGTGCCCAGCTGGGAGAGTTCTGGGCTGTTGGTGGCAGTACCCCAGGCTCCAAACTCTCTGGGCCTGGGGGCAATTCCCTTCCCTGAGTACAACAGATTCCCACCCCGCCCTGCCCTACTGCCCGCCCCGCAGGGAAGTGGCCCAGGAGAGGAGGCGTGGACAGGTATCCCAGTGACTCCAGTCGGAGTCAGCTTGGGTAGCATGGCCCGCGGAAGACAGACCGGGCGAACGGGGCGGGCCCCAGGCTACCGAGCTGCAGCTGACAGGCAGTCCGGCGGCGTCGGGTCTCCATGGATACGGGGGTGGGGCCAGGCGGCGGCGAGCGGCGGCGGGCGGGGCTTTTAACGGCCATCGGCCCCTCCCAGCCTGGACAAAGACACAGAGCGCGGCCTGGGAGGCGGAGCTCTGCGGGCGGCCGGGGCCGCCTCCTTCCAGGCGCTGCTGCCCCAACACAGGCGGGCACTCTCTGCGGGTCCCGCGGCTCCCGCGGCTTCCGGCCCACTCAGCGCCTCCAGAGGCCTCAGGTGAGGGTCACCCCCCGCAGCTTGGGGTCACTCCCCTGAGCCCCCGGATCTTCCCATGGGTCCTTTGGAGGCCTGGGTTTTGGAGTTTGTCCTTCGTTAAGTGCCGCCCGCCGGGCGCGGCTGCTCCAGGACCACAGGTGACCGAGTGCGGCCGCGTCCCCTGCGGGCCACCCATCAAGGGCATAGGGGAGAGGCTCCTCAAGGCGCAGTGACCAGCCCTGCCCCGGGCTGACCCTCAGGGTGGGGAGGGGGCACTAACTCGGGTCCTCTCCCCCTAAGGCTCCTTCCTCACCTGGGGTGAAGGGCTCCCAGTCCTAGCACCTCAGGGGCCTTCCTGTTTCATTCATGCCAACAAGTGAACATTGAGCATTTGCTGTGTGCAGGGACAGAGAAGACAGACACGCTGGCCACTGAGTGGGGGAGGGAGTCTAGTCTATCAGTGCAGAAAACTCCCCATAGAGGTGGGGGCTATGACGGAAACACCAGGAAAAGTGATGGTGGAAGATGGGGGTGACCTACTGCAGATGGGGTGCTCAGGGAGGGCTTCTCTGAGGAGGTGACATTAACTAGATTGACAAAAGGGATGATCAAGGCCTGTGAAAGTTTTTTTTTTTTTTTAGACGAGTCTCGCTCTGTTGCCCAGGATGGAGTGCAGTGGCGCGATCTCGGCTCGCTGCAAGCTCCGCCTCAGCCTCCGGAGTAGCTGGGACTACAGGAGCCCGCCACCACGCCCAGCTAATTTTTTTGTATTTTTAGTAGAGACGGGGTTTCACCGTGTTAGCCAGGATGGTCTCGATCTCCTGACCTTGTGATCCGCCTGCCTCGGCCTCCCAAAGTGCTGGGATTACAGGCGTGAGCCACCGCGCCCGGCCGAAAGTCTTTTAAGATAGGGAAGAGCAGTGCCCAGTGGGGTGTCCCAGGGATAAAAATAGGGCAGTAGGTGAAGGCGGGGGGTGTGAGCCAGGCAGGCAGGGGGGACCAGACACCATGTGATGGGTGCAGGGGTGGGACCCACGGAGGCT